>NC_000006.12:111320790-112570790 GCF_000001405.40 Homo sapiens | reverse complement strand
CACAATGGCCAAGTTTTGGAATAATTAGAGCAACAAGATAAGCAAAGTAGTAAAAATTTGTAACACATCATATAAAATAAATATCCATAAGTCTTAGTCCATTTTCTGTTAGTAAAACGGAATCCCTGAGACTGGGTAATTTATAATAAACGTATCTTTATTTCTAACAGTACTGGAGTCTGGGAAGTTTAATATCAAGGTGACAGCATTGGGTAAGACCCTACTTGCAGCATCATCACATGACGGAGGGCATCAAATGGCCAGAAAGCAAGAACGTGCATGTCATTTCTCTTTTCCCCTTCTTGTAAAGCTACCGGTGCCATCACGGGGGGTGGGGTGTCCCACTCTGAAAACTTTATTGAATCCTAATTACCTCCCAAAGCCCCCATCCTCAAACAGCATATGAATTTAGATCTTAAGTTTCCAACACATGAAATTTTGGGGACACGTTCAAACCACAGCAATGAGTCATATGAATAAATAATTGATTAAATCAATACACAGAGGCAAAAGGACAAATCTGCTGTGCATAAATAAAAATTCCTAACAATTTATATGGACACTTCACCTTCAAGGAGGTGAAGGGAGGGAGAACTCTTATAATGAGTTTTTTCCATACAGTACCATTAAAAAAAAAGGGTGTGGGGACAGTAACCTTACATTATAGAAATCTGGCAAATACCACCATAGCCACGTGATGAAAGTCAACATCAAAGGTGATAAATCATATTAATCATATTGATAGTAGGATCCTACAAAATACATCACTAAGTATTCCTCAAAATAGTCATGGTCATAAAAAACAGAAAAGTCTAAGAAAATGTCATAGCCAAGAGAAGCTTAAGGAGACATGGTACTCTATGTAATGTGGCATTGTGGATGGAATCCTGGAATAGAAAAAAAGATTTTAAAAAACTAACAAATATTGACATTTTCTTAGACATTTCTGTTTTTTTATGACTATGACTATTATGAGGAATACTAGTGATGTATTTTGTAAGATCCTATCAACTGGAATTTTTCTCAAGTTTTTCTCATGATTAGACTGGGGTTACATAATTTTGGGATGAAGACAACAGATATAAAGTTCCATTTTTATCACATTATTTCAAATTTGAAGCAAAAGATGAATTTTAGTTAATGATAATGTATCAACACTGGTTTATTAATTGTGACAAATGTAAGATGTTAGTAATAAGGGAAACTAAATTTGGATATATGAAAACTCTCTTTACTATCTTCTCGATGTTTCTGTAAATCAAATAGTGTTCTAAAAGATGAGGTTGATTTTTAAAAGATCAGAAGAAAATATGGAAGATTATTTCTAGAGCTGAGTTGTTGGTACAAGCCTCTTTGTTATACGATTCCCATATTTATAAATGTGTTTGAAATATTTCAAAATAAATATATTTTTAAAGAATAATCTTTATCAGAAAGTACCCAAAGGAAGCTAGTGTATTAAAAGTCAGTTGATTGAAAGAAATTACAACTCTTAGATTCACAAACACTAGCAATAATAATTGTTAGAAACTTCTAAAATAAAAAACATTTTATAGTAAAAAATATTGTGGGATCCAAAGTGCTTTTTTTATTTGAGTTATATCTACAAGTACTTTTGCCTTAGTATAAATTAAAACTGAGAAAGTTTTAAAACACAAGAGCACACAATCACAAATTCTACTAGCCATCAGAACTGTTGTTATCACACATGACAAAGCCTCTAGAAAAGTCCATTGTACCTCACAAAAGAATAAAAATGAAAAAAGGCAAAATGAATGTTAAAATCCTGGGATAAAGTCTGCTTGGTCATGACGTATTTTTCTTTTTATAGATTGTTAAGTTTGATTTGCTAAAGTTTTGCTTTTTAGTTTTTGGCAGTACCTGAAATGCTGCAATGATAATCTTTATAAAACTACATATGAAGATGCTTTTATTTCTGATAAATTGTTTCCCAAAAGTGAGTTGAATGGTATGAGTCTTTTGAATTTCAATAGATTCTGCCAGATTATTATCTCAAAAAGTTGTAGTAATTCATTCTTTCCTTAGTCTCTAAAAGTATTTTGCCATGCTTAATAACAATAAATGTTATAAGTATTTTTGTTAATAACTCATATTAAAGAAAATAAAATTAGGAACCTCTAGTTTTGACATAAATTATGTTAATTAATAAACATCTATAGGACAAGGCATAAGCATCTCATGCCTAGAGCTTTTATACAACTATCACATAGAATCAAAATTACAAATTAGATATAAATTTGCAAAAATCCAATATAATTAAAACATTAATTCAATGTGACAGATGATATTGATGTGCTAAAACAAATAGCAGAAGTCAGAATTAATATTAGAGAAATGTAGACAGTTCTATTTCTACATTTAATCAGTTTCCTTGTTTTCATTTCAGTTATACTAATGTAAAGAATGCCTGTTTATGTTAGCATGCTTTACAGAATGGTATACATAATTTCAAAGTTTTGTTTCTGGGTTCATGATAATCAGACTCCACATTTAACTAAAATTCTGCCAGTAAGCTATCCACAAGAGCAAGTTTTATTGTAGTGTCACTTAATAACTTTTTAAAGTTCTCATGTTAAGATGAGGTTGTCATGTGGCTCCATTGAAATCTGCAGCAAGTATTACTAACTTATATTTTCTTGGTTATGTGCCTTTATTTTCTTATTTACTTAGTTGTATATTTTCTGATCCTTTCAATCACTCCCACAATGGAATGCAAACTTCATCATTATTTCTGTATCCCCTCACCTAGCCCCATTCCTAGCCAAGTGAATACTTGAATGAATTAATGCACAATTTAATCATGGCTCAAATCAGGCACAAAAGCAACCTCATTGCTTATTTACTGGCATACTTAGAAATAATGCATTATATAAGTGGTATGTATACGAATAAGGTCTATCTAATGCATTTTTTCAAAAAATAGCTATAGTACCTACAATCTCAGTGCCTATAGCAGATGTCACTTGGCAAGTTCAATCTTAGACCAAAGACAAATAGGGAATCTAATATTGCATAGCAGTGCTCCATTGTATGGTGATTATTTAAATGACTATGAATTAGCTTATATTAATTTTTATATGAGCATTAAAGTTAAAGCCAGAAAAAAATTAAATTGAATTAAATCCCCAAAGCTAGTATATTTAAGAATTTCCTAGAAGTCAGTTAGCCCATTTGGGAGATACTGGTATACAATATCTATGCATAATGTTGGTCTTTGAAAGAAAAATTCTTTGTTTCCTTCAGGAAATCTATAGATTCTGCTCAACAGAAGTTTCATGGGGTCTACAGATAGGGCTCCTGGGGTTCCATTAATCCCAGAAATTATGGATATACAACTCAGTAAAGGCAAGAAACAATAGTGACAACCCAAGTTCATAATGGTATAAAAAAGTCAAGGTCAACTCAGCCTTATATACCTGCTGCTGAAAATCAAAATCCTGAAGGAAGATTTTTAGATATAGAGAGTAATGTAGGGGGCTTCTATTGAATATCTTGTTTTCTCTGTTTATATCCATGGAAATTAAATTTCTTGACCTGTGAAAGGTTGTTGGACCAGATAAATTTTTAATACACATCCTAATTCTCTAGAGCTTACACATAACTCTGAGTATATTTTACAGGCAAACTCTAAGAACTGGCTCTTATTCATAAAATATTCTAATACCTCAATTTTATGGTACTTCAATTAAATTTACATTCTATCCTTATTGTCATCAAACTAAATAAAACTGTAAGCTAACACTGACAATTAATTAGGGAGCAGTCATTTCAGACTATTGTTTGACCACTAATGCAGACATATTTGCCCTTCAAATTGCAATGGGGACATATTTTCCATGTCAAAAATTAGAATACCTGATCTGAAATGAATATTTGTATATCTTAAGTTTATAAAGGAAGTCTTGAACATGGTTACATTTTGAAAATTTCTAGGATATTTAAATATTATAAAAAGAATATGATAAAATAAGTTGCATGAAGTTAAAGAACATGCCTGGTATATCTACCACTGTATCCCCAATGTGTACATATTGTAGGTTCTCAATCTGTTTTAAAAGAACAAATCAATGAATAAATAAATGAATGACAGTGACAACAAGAAGAAAGAGAGAGAGAGTAACAAGGCTCAGGAACTGCATGGCTTCCTAGAATCACAAGGTGGATGCAGGGATGCAGTTTTAATGTATCAGAAGGAAAAAAATGGTACCCTGTGACTAGCCAACTGAAAAGGGAATCTGAGCAGTGGGAAAGAACTCACGGAAACCCAACTTGGCTCCTTGGAAATTTCTCAGGAACAGCTACAGACCTGAATCAGCTATGGAGTCCCATCTGTAGATCCAGTCACAGAGCTCTGAGGACAGTGGTGGAACTGATAGTAGTGGCTGACTCAAGAGGAGAAAGTAATTTGGAAAGAGAAAAGGGAGATAAACATAAGAATATTTTTCTTTTGTCAAGAGTTATTTCACTACCTGTTTCTAGTTTGAATGCCTTTAGAAAAGGATTTTGAAAAGCATCACAAAAAGATTGTATTGCTCTATTTAAACATTTTTCACTAAGAAGATCTACCTTTCTCTCTGCCCTGGGAAGATGACCCATTTGGAAAACATCAACATGCTTCCTTACCCACCAGCTTTCACTTGTCTTTGGCTAACAGGGACCCCAAGGAAGGAGGAGAGTGAGGTCAAGGTATACTTTCCTTGATGCCCTCCCTGTGAGGTCTCCTAGAGCTGTAGCCTCTCGAACAATGGTCCCTTTTCTTTTCAAGGTGATCTTCTCCACATGATGCTCCCTTTCCAGATGAAGGTTGTTCCTTTCTCTCCCTAATGTTGGATTGTGGTTCTTTCTCACTTTGTTACAGTTGGTAGCTAGTCAGACATGAGCAGAACAGGAGACGGCTCCCCATGACACACACGTGCACGTGCACGCGCCACACACACACACACACACCAGGAATGTTAGGTGACCATCACGTGATGGTCAGGTGGTTGTGAGCTGTCTCTCTAAAATAATAATTTCCCAACATCAGGCAAAGACCTCCCAATAAACAAAAACACCTGAAACTATTGATCAGCAAAATGTCTCCCAATAAACCAAAACACCTGAAACTATTGATCAGCAGCTTCCTGATAAGATCTCAGGAGTTGGGTGAGTGGGCTCAAACATGCACATTAAGAGGCAAAATGGTGGAGTTTAACTGGTATATGACCTCCTAGGGACACTTGACTGGTAAGGGAAGAACACCTCAGGTAAGCATGGGTACAACTTCAGTAAACACACTGTGCATGCACACCTCCCAAGTGCTGGCAGACCACTACACATGTTAACACCCAGCCCAAGGGAAGAATCCGGAGAGAAGGGACACAAGACCGAGGAAATATGCCAACATATAAAACCCCAAGTCAAAAGGTCAAACTGCAAACTTGATCTCTCCAGTCACCCACATGGCCCTCTTCCAAGTGTACTTTACTTCCTTTCATTCCTGCTCTAAAGCTTTCTAATAAACTTTCACTCTTGCTCTAAAACCTGCCTCAGTTTCTCCTTCTGCCTTATGCCCGTCAGTTGAATTCTTTCTTCTGAGGGGCAAGAATTGAGGTAGCTACACACCTGTAAGAATTAGCTGCTGGTAACTTACTTTGGTGCCGTGTCTTGGATACATTCCACTGCTAACATACTATGGCACATTCATGACTCTGATATATTCTGCCACTAACAACTCAACTTTGTAAATGAAAACTTTGTAAACTTTTTCCTCAAATTACTGTATTTCAAGTGGGCCTTTGTTTCTTTATTGGTACCAGATTCATAGAGCCACACATTCTTTTTTTCTGATTTTACCCAATTTCTGTTTCTACCTGTTCAGTTCCATCCCTTCTTCATCTCCTTCATCTCTAATTTCTAAGAGAAGACCAAAAAAAAGTCCCTTTACCTAAATCCTAATAGAAGTCTCAAAATAGGAGCTGTCACTTAGATCACAGATTTCTTAGGTTACCTTGGCATAAGAAAGTTTGGATTTGAACACTTTCTGGGCCGGAAAACAAAATCATCTGCTGAGAAAGCTCACTTTATTTTCAAAAGTGTATATTTTATATTTTTAATTCAGCAAAACTTTTCTCCTTGTAGGTACTATACATTGGTTTTAGACCTAACTCTTTGGGACTGTAGAGAATATGCATATTGAGTTCTCATATTTTCTTAATTACAGGAATAAAATCACATTCGTGGAGGGCCTGCTAATTGCCATGTGCCGAACAAGATGCTCTCTCTCCACTTATCACAGAGCCTAGGGGTGTTGTTGAGGCAATACTGGGTAGGTGGTAGGTAGGTGACGGATCACAGATCTGGTCACTGTTTTCTCTGCCTTCAAATCATATGCTTCCTCCCTGAAGCCAGACTATTTCTCTTCAAATACTTAAAAATAATGATCTTACCTCCCATTCCATTTTTTTCTTCTTTGAGTTAAAAGTATACAGTGGCTTAACCATTCCTTATTTACCATAACATTATTTATAATTGCTTTTTCCATTTGGCCACTATATGCTATATGTGCTTATTTACAAAAAATATTTCTCTTATTTTTTGTGTGTTCAGAACTGAATGCAGTACACCCAGACCAACACCTGTTTGTTTTACTTGCTGCCTTCTCAGCAAACTGCCTGAAGGTGTCCACTTTTTGAAACGCACATCATACTTTTAACTCATGCATTAATGAAAACCTCCCATTCTTTTCTATGTCTACCCCAATCCACAATTTTTTATTTAGATTTTCAACATGAACTCCAACCAATGTGTTGTTTTTCCTTTTAGTATTCCCTGCATCAGTTCTAAACTGTTCTTCTAGCCCCTGAGACCTCTCTACATTCTCAGTCTCTGTACTGTTACTGTCCCAAAGCCAAGCAGCTTTCTTTTCATCTGAATATATCCCCAAATTCAAATAAACATCAGGTTGACCACAAAAGCCTTGTAGAAAAAGTATCTGAAAGGAAAACTTTCTTAAAATCATTACTAAAAGCATCTTCCTTCCCCCGAATGTTACACACCTGGAAAGTATTTAAAATCTCACTTTCTGTCCCTTAAGAATTCACTCCTGGCCCATACAACTATAATTTACTTCATGCAAATCCCTGCCCCTCTCTACGAGGTTATTTACCCACTGACATTCCTTCACCGCCCATCACCTACTGTGTAACCTTGGCTTCATCCCACTCTAACTGCTTTTCTCATGATGTCACTTCTCTGGAATCCTGAAGAATGAAGCCCCTATTGACCCAGCATTATACCAAATACTGCAATGCTCTTTCCTAGCCTCTTCTCATGTGCAAATTTGATGAGCATGTCTTATATTTTTATCCAAGTCAAAGCTAAAGGTTTGTGTAGTTATTTAAAACCAATGTCACTCCTAAAAAGCATAAGAAAAGTTTAACCCTACAATAATATGTATCCATTTATAATAACCGTATAAAGTCAAAGCCATACAAAGAAAAGGAAGCAATTGAAGCTTAAGTAATTATAGTCTGAAAACGTTACATTTGGTGCTCAGCATTCTAGCAGCAAGAGCAAACAAGAGAACGATTCTAAATACTATAATTTCCAATATCTGCCAAAAGAAAACACACCATTCTTTGGGAGAAATAAACATTTTCCTCACACAGTGAGACTTAATAAAAGTATTCTTTGTGACAGCCCAATGGATTTTAAGCTCCTTAAAAGCAGGGACTATTTTTAGTCCCCTCCTGTATACTAATCTCCCCCTGATTTCTACTGTGCTTAGGAAGAGAATATTATGCTGGTAATATGTGTTGTTTGACAAGGACATTAGTCAAGTGGCTTTTTCTCATTTGTGGAATAAACACGGGAAAAGATAGTTACAGCTTATGAATGCAGAAGTTGTGAAAGAAGTAAACATGTTGAATAGTAATATGAGATACTTTAAATAGGCCAAACTGATAAGAGAAAAACGTCATACTTTACAGAAATAGAAAAAGAACGGAGGAGTGAAAGAGTCAATTATGACAGGCACAAATTGGAGTGAGTACAGAAGGAAACATGAAAGCTTTCAAGGTTGGGGACCAGCAGAAGTTACACAGGGCAGGAGCATGTTAAGCTGTGATGCCTTAAATGGCATGCACAGTCAACATCCATTCATTTGTGGGTAGTCTGTTTAAAGAGTTCATTTGACCCAGTTACCATGGTGCTCGACTTTGTCCATCCTCCCACACCGAGTTGAAATACTTTTATTTATAAAAACTATGATGTTGGACTAAACAACACATCCTTGTTGGGTACTCATTGGATTTTAATGAGCATCTGGGCAGACCCTGGGAGAGAGCTGTGTTCTCACAGTGCAAGGGCAGGCTCGATGCTTTCAGCTGTTGGCACCACTCACAGTAGATAGTGTTCTCAAGAGAAAGAGTGTTAGTAAACCTTCATTTGTGTGTGTGTGTGGCTGAAGAGAATTGGCTGCAAAAGAGAAATTCAATTCTCTTATTTCTGAAAGCAGTAAAGAAGTTTCCAAATGACTTCCTTTAATGCATTTGGTAAGTTGCCCTCAAAGACTATTGTTTGAGCATCTCAAAATACAGGCTTAGAAAATCCCCCTTAATAACTGTCATTACAAATAACCTGTTTAATATTTGCAAAGGATGAGTTTATTAACAAATTTCACTACATCCAATATTTGGTAATAATATAGTACCCCTGAGAAATCCTGGGGAGAAGAGGATGAAGAATGAGGAGTTTCAATGGGAGTGGATATAAACTATCCAAATGAAAGCTATTTTAAAAAATGTCCTTGACCACTCCACCAGCAACATTAGAGACCTTGATGGGGTTCACTTTGCTTTCCCAGGAAGAAAAGAATCAAATATAGCTAGAGTAACTACTGGTAGTAAGATATTCACAAACATCTAACTCATTCCATAACTCTGTATATTCTCTTCCCTTCACCTAGAATACCTTTCCCTTCTTACTCTAGTCCCTGTTTTTGTTTTTTCCTTAAACTCTTACTCATCCCTCAAAATTCAGCTCAGTTTTTACCTGCTCTATAAAGCTTTACTCAGGCATCCTAGGCAAAACTTGTTTCTCCCATTTTCGTGTTAAGTATTAGGCATTGCCAGACCATTTTTCTTAGCTCAATTGAAGGTCTTACATCTACTCTAACTTCCACTTAAAGATCTATTGGATTATGAAATATTTTAGAACGACTATTTCTTATTGATTTTGTATTCCCACTCCTAGTATAGTGTTTAATATTTATGAATGAATAAATGAATGAATGAAAAACAAAGCAGGACAAAGAAGAGCAAGGCAAATAAAGCTGAAAAGACTGGACAAAAGAAGAAAGAGAAACAAATGGCACAGGCTGAATATAAGACTAAAAACTATTAGATATTAAAGATTGTTAGAGGTTTGTAACCTCAGGAGAACCAGGCTGGGGCAAGAAAAGACAGACAGTAGAAACATGATATTAAAGAAAATCAATCTATATCACAAACAAAAAGAAGAGGGACAGTGGAGTTAGAAAGATCTTTTGAAAGCCTAGAAATAGAAAGCACTGGGTTAGGGCAAGGCAGAGTCTAAAATGTCAGACTTTTAAGAGCTCCTTATAGGACCCAAATTGGAATCCCACAAGACATAGTGGTGTATTCGGATCCTAAAATATTGCTTTTCTCCAGAAATTACTGATGAAGACCCACGCAGAAGAACTTTGGAAGTTTAAAGAAAATTGATACTTACAATAGGAAAGCTGTTAGTTCCAAGACAAGACAATATGGTATTAAACCTTTATTTAGTGCCTGTGTTGCTGTGAATTAAGGATGGAGTGGCCAATGAGAAAGACGCTTAGTTCACAGGCATTGGCCTGCACTAGGAAGTCTGCCCAGCTCTGAAAGGTTCACTTGTACATGCACAAGCCCTGTGCCACATGGGGTCTCCCTTCTCTAAATTCTTGTGGCAAATGGTATCATCTCATTCACGTCTTGATTCTCTACCAGATTGTAGTTTACTCAGAAAAAGGAACTATTACTGTGCTTCTGGAACCAATCTTGGCATGAAATTGATAGCTGTTTTCTATTGATTGGTTGAGTATTATGCTAGTTTTTTACTGGTTGAGTTTAACCATATAAGTAAGTTAGCACTCAAAGTCTAAATTTCAGCCCTTTGAGATCATTTATTTTAACTGCTTAGTCTCTGTCCCTAATTATTCCATACTCCAACTTTATGGTGGTAGTGAGGAGGGTGTTAATTCTAAAATTGTGTACTTGTATTATATCCTCACTTTTTTTCTAAGCTCTCTACCTACTGTTAATTATGTGGTGTCCTTTTTTTCCCCTCTCAGGGACCTCCTTTCCATAGCTTCCATCCTTCTCCAAGCTTGAGTGCCAGCTCTCTAGGCTGCCACACACCAGTTGTGCTGTTAATTATTTACCTTTATTACTCTTTGATATAGAAATTGTTGCCCAAATTGTTTTCATTTTTGTTTTTAGTTGTCACCATTATTTTCTTGAAGAGAATCCTCAGGAGATTTCCAAAGAAAGGACATTTGCCATATTAATTTTCTAAGCTTGGTTATAGCTATATTATCTTATTATGCTTGAATGGTATTCTGGCTATGTTTAGGATTCTAGAGCAGAAACACTTTTTCTTCCGTCATTGTAGGCATTAAAAGATAAGATTTGAAAAGTCAACCAGAATATAGTACAAAAATTTAAAAAATATATAAAGACATAAACACTCAATTATGGATATAGTATCTGAATATTAGGAGTAAAGGCAAGGAGAATGAAGAGAACTGAGAGAAGAAATTATAAAATTATGCAAAGAAGTTGCTCAGAGTGAAAAGAAGCATGTTTTAAAGGTTGAAATGACCTGTGTACCACTGACCATGATAAAAAGAAACAGACACACACCTGGACAAATTAGTGTGAAGTTGTAGAACACCAAGGAGAAAGATAAAATATCTTAGAAATTTTAGTGAGGAAAATCCAGTTAAGTTATGAAGAAATGACAATCAGATTGGCCTAAGACTTTTATTTATATCAGAAGACAATAGAACACAAAGGCAATGAAAAACCAAGGATGACTCCAATATTTTTGGCCTGAAGAAATGGAAGGATGGGTGGCCTATGTTTAACTAAGATTATGGGAAGAACAAGAAGCTCAAAAGTTACAAAGGAGAGGTCGGGGTGATTAAAGAATACTGTTTTAGATATATTGAGTTGGAAACATCAACTGAAGGCAGCAAACTTAAAGAAATAAAAGAAAGGAAGATATCTGAGGTAGAAATAAAAATAGAAAATGCAGCATGTAGATGACATACTAATAATAATAGGGCCCTGTTTAGGACCACCATGGAAGTGAATGTAAGTAGAACCAAGAAGAGCACTGAGCCCTGGGCACTGCACTGCAGTGTGAATCAGTCAGGAAGATATGGAGAAACAAACAGTGAAGACTGAGCACACACATACAGAAGGATAAAGAGACAGCAGAGAGTGAATGGTGTTTAGGAAGCCAAGTGAAAGATGAATTTTGAAGAGGTGGAAATATCAATCCTGCTGTTGATAAAGCAAGTTGGCTATCATGTAAGTTATGTGACCCTGCCTCCTGGACAGTGCTGATTGTTCTTTTGGTGGCATCTCACCCAAATTGGACCAATGAGACATTTTTCCCCTCTTTTTATTTTGTTGGTTTTTTTTCTTTTAGCTTGGAGGAAAAAGAGTTAGCCCAATATCTCTCTACTGACTTAGGCCATAAGAGGTAAAATTCCAATGCTGTCATTGCCTATGTTTCCAACACTTGTCTAAAGCTGCTCTGCAGTGAGAGAGAAGCACAGAGCCAAAGAGCAAAGAAAATGGAGATAAGTGATAGAGAGCATCCAGGCATTGTTTGAGATCATCACTCAATTTTCCTTTTTCACTTTTCTATGTTTTTACCTTTGGGTTCCAGGGGTACCCAAGCTGGCTTATAATACATTTCCCTTTTCTTAAACAAGCATGGGTTATATTTGTGCCATTTGCAACCAAAATAGCCCTAATTAAAGCCACAGTATTTCAGCTATAACTTATTTCAATTTTATAATTTACTAATACACTAGAAAATCTTTTTTAAAAAGCTAAGTGAAGACAATAAAAAGCTTGAAAATGGCAAAGGAACTATATATGTCTTTTTCCTAAATCATGGAACATAAGATTGTAAAGGCAAACTTTCAGAGAGTTAACGCCCCTTTCAAGATGATAGAAATATTACAGGTAAGTTATAGGTAATATGATGATTAATATTAGGTGTCAACTTGACTGGATTAGAGGATATCTACATAGCTGATGAAATATTTCTGAGTGTTTCTATGAGAATATTCCTGTAGGAGATTGGCACGTGAGTTGGTGGATTGAGTGGGTGAAGATCCTCCCTCAGTGTGAGTGAGCACCATCCAATCTGGAGGGGGCTCAAAGAAAAAGGCAAAGGAAAGGAAGATTCACTGTCTCTCCCAGAGCTGGGGAGCCCTTCTCTTGCCCTTGGATAGCAGAACTTCAGGTTCTCCAGCCTTTGGACTCTTGGATTTGTACAAGCAGCCTCAGGGTTCTCAAAACTGAGGGTTACATCACCATCTTCCTTGGTTCTGGGGCCTTTGAACTTAGACTCAGCCATGCTACCAGCATTCCTGCTTTTCCAGCTTGCAGACAGCCTATCATGAGAATTCTCAGCCTCCATCATCATGTGAGCCAATTCCTCTCATAAATCCCTACTCATATCTATCTTTTATCTATCTATCTATCTATCTATCTATCTATCTATCTATCTATCTATCATCTATCTATCTATCTATCTAATTGGTCTATCTCTTGGAAAACCCTGACTAAATAGGCTTTTGTACATTGTGAGTCTCTATACATGTCTTAATTCTAGAATAATAAAAGCCTGATTTTTCCAGTTCCAATATTATGCAGGACATGATGCTTAAAATGACAGAATTTTACTAGGAAAAGTTAAGACTTTTTCACTGGGGCTGAAGAAACACATGAATGGTAGCTCTCCATATTGACCACATTGTTTTTTTAAAATATGATTCATTGTCTTTTATTAAAAAAAAAGAAAAAAAACTGTATTTGCAAGGTACCTGCAAGAGCAGTGGAATGAACATTTTTAGTTGCTGTGGCAACAGGAGAATAAGTAGAGCAACAGGAAAGTTAAATGCTTAAGCTTCATCAGGCATTTCACAAGAGTGGAGGGAGAAGAGCATTTCATTTATATTCTGATACACACACAGTTAAGTGATATTTCTGATAAGGTTCAGGTTCCTTAAGGATAACTATATGTGGACTTCATCAATTACTATAAAAATAAATCTAAGAGGCAGGATACAAAGTCTTATTGTTTACTAGCTACAATAAGATTAAATCTACACCTATGTCTATTTTTAATCTATCATCTATCTATATTTTTAAATCTCTTTCCACATTGATGTTAAAAAAGACACAACAACACCTCTGTATCAGCATTTCCTCAGACATGAAGATAATAACACCCACTTCTTAGGGTTACTGTAAAGATTTAAATTAGTTAATAGGTGTAAAGCTTTTAGAATGGAATCTGTGACAGTAACTGCTATAATAAGTATTAACTGTTTTATCAAATCAGACTATGGTCATTTACAATGTCAACCTAAAGTATAGAATATAAAGTTAGCAGGAGGGCTGGCAGTAAGTAGCCTGACCTTGAGAAGGCATTGCTGACTACTGGAGGCTTCTAGGGGTCACTGTGTATTCACTCAACAAATATGTTTGAAACAATATCTACAATACTATGTTAAGCAGTACAGGGGATATGCAGCTAGATAATACATGGTTCAAACATCCTTTAGACCATACAATAAATAGAGGTATAAAAGTTATGTACAAGTACCATGTCTAAATCAGGATACATATTATAACAGATGTATAATAATAGGTCAAGAACAAGTTTAATGAATTAATGGGAAGGAAAAGAATAAGAAAAAAGTTGAAAACAGAAAATGGGGGATAAATGATCAAGTATAAGAGAAGGCAGAAATCTATATATAGCATGAAGAACACAGATGAAGTTGGACTTCGGCAGAATAGACATTTAATCATTAGAGCTTAGACAAAGAGAATTAAGTCTGATAATGGGGTTTGCTAAATTTGTAGTTTGGTTTGCCAAGCTAGGAAATGGAAATGAGATTCCATCAAATGAGCTCAATTTTCCCAATTGTGGTTGTCAAGTGGGCAAGTCATCTGTAGAGAAGCAAGTGGAAGAGGATCTTTTTGTTAACTTGGAGGAAAACAGTGAAAGTTTAAAGTAGACATTGAGGGGAATAGAATGGGATATTGAAGTAGGAAAAGTGAAAATGTTGGTAAGCATCTCCAGCTCCAGAGACCCGACTGCTGTTGAGGTCATGATTTTATAGGGACATCATTTTAGGCTGATGTAGCTTTTTCAGTCATTTTCACTGATTGGCTAAAGTAGAGAAAAGTAAACAGTACCACTAATCCAGGGTTGGGAATTTTTCTGGCAAGTACGGAGAAAGAGAAATTAATAGTAATAATAATAATAATAATAATAATAGTAGGCCAGGCGTGGTGGCTCACACCTCTAATCCCAGAACTTTGGGAGGCCAAGGTGGGTGGATCATGAGGTCAGGAGATTGAGACCATCCTGGCTAACATGGTGAAACCTCGTCTCTACTAAAAAAAAAAAAAAAAAAAAATACAAAAAATTAGCCAGGCATGGTAGTGGGCACCTCTAGTCCCAGCTACTAGGGAGGCTGAGACAGGAGAATGGTGTGAACCCAGGAGGAGGAGCTTGCAGTGAGCCAAGATCGTGCCACTGCACTCCAGCCTGGGCAACAGAGCGAGACTCAGTCTCAAAAATAAAATAAAATAAATAATAATAATACTTAGCATTTACCATATGATAGATATTAGACACTATAGGTATGTTAATTCCTTAATCTTGTCTCCAAACATTTGCCCCTTTATATGTAAGAGTTTCATTGATCTGTGATTCATAATGCCTCCTCAGGACATGTGATAATTGCTTAGGCCAATAGGATGTGAGCAGAAGTGGTGATGTGCTTGTTCTGAGGAGAATCTGTGAGGGAAATTGTGATTCCACTAGAGCTCTTGCTCATTTTTTACTCCAGACAGGGTTGGTTCTTTCCATCTAGGTCCCAGAATGAAGCAAAGACATAGACCAGATCCATGGCAACAGATGATAACTGCTAACATGTAATATGAGCAAAAAATAAATGTTTGTGTTCTGCTTAATGTAATCACACAAGAAAAGGAACT
The DNA here is from genome assembly GCF_000001405.40 of Homo sapiens. Taxonomy (NCBI): domain Eukaryota; kingdom Metazoa; phylum Chordata; class Mammalia; order Primates; family Hominidae; genus Homo; species Homo sapiens. The sequence goes on along the minus strand of NC_000006.12, from coordinate 112,555,470 downwards.
AAAAGGTATATAGATTTGGAAGGAAGAAGTAAAGCTGCCATTATTCACAGGTGGCATTACTGTCACAGAAAATCTCAAAATAGGCACACAAAAAAAGAAAAAGAAAAATAATCTGAAATGAATAAGTGATTATAGCAAGGGTGCAAGATACAAGGTGATTATACAAAAGTCAAGTGTTTTTCTATATACTAGCAATGAACAGGTGAAATTTAAAATTAAAAACAAAATACCGTTTGCATTAGCACCAGCAACAATGAAATACTTAGATATAAATCTAACAAAATATGTGTAAGAACTATTTGAAGGAAACTACAAAACTCTGATGAAAGAAATCAAAGAACTAAACAAATGGAGAGATATTCCATGTTCATGGATATGAAGACTCAATATTGTCAAGATGTTAGTTTTTCCCACCTTGATCTATAGATTCAATTAAATTACAATCAAAATACCAGTAAATTATTTTGAGGATACGAACAAGCTGTTTCTAAAGTTTATATGGAGAGGTGAAAGACCCAGAATGGTCAACACAATATTGAAGAAGAACAAAGTTGGAGGACTAACACTATCTGACTACAAGACTTATAATAAAGCTACAGTAATCAAGACAGGATTTCTAACAAGCAAGGCCCCAAGAGGTGGAATAAGGATGTCCTGAGGTGGAAGATGCCCTCTATTTTGCTTCTAGTGAGCAGGGCTGATCATAAGAGGATCTGGCAATCAGCCCTGATGCTTCACAGATGCCAGGACAGAGAGCCAGTTTGGTGTCCAGATACAGACAGAGCAGAGCAGAGGCTGTCCATATGGATGGCATCTCCTGTGGTCATTGGTCTAATTAGATGCCTCACCACACATATCATAAGCAGCTTCAATACAGGACCAGAGTTATACACACCTAATATCTAAGATTTCAGCACAAATTAATAATGAATGAATTAAATATCTAACCTGGCCTGGTACTATTATCAGTAATATCAGGACCATATTATGAAAAAAAAATTTCAATAATATTTAGGATTATAAAAATTTCACCTAAGGAACGAAAAGAATAATATAACCACCAATGCAGCCCATTTCACAGGTTCAAAGTTTATAAAATGTAACTTTTTTTTCTTTTTTTTGAGACGGAGTCACGCTCTGTCACCAGGCTGGAGTGCAGCGGTGCAATCTCAGCTCACTGCAACCTCCGCCTCCCAGGTTCAAGCAGTTTTCCTGCCTCAGCCTCCCAAGTAGCTGGGACTACAGGCACCTGCCACCAAGCCCACCTAATTTTTGTATTTTTAGTAGAGACAAGGTTTTTACTATGTTGGCCAGGATGGTCTTGATCTCTTGAACTTGTGATCCACCCACCTCGTCCTCCCAAAGTGCTGGGATTACAGGTGTGAGCCACTGCGCCCGACTCTATAAAATGTAACTATTTTATGTTAAATATCCAGATAGAATACATAGCTTTGAATTTCATAGTGGAACCAATGCCTGGGCTGCTAATATGAAAGGCCTTGTCACCTCTACTTATATTCTAAAATGATTGACAAATGTTTTTCAATGATACAATACCCTAAGCAGAGATCAGGGAGCATGATTAATGCTAAAAAAGAAGAGAAATTGTATGATGAGCCTGTGAGTTACTGCATACTTCAAACACAGAAACAAAGAGCCTCATTGAAATCTCTTTGAAATTAAGAGCCAAGTACACAATCATGTCATTTGCAAACAGAGACAATTTTACTTCCTCTTTTCCTAATTGAATACCCTTTATTTCTTTCTCTTGCCTGATTGCCCTGGCCAGAACTTCCAACACTATATTGAATATTAGTGGTGAGAGAGGGCATCCTTGTCTTGTGCCGGTTTTCAAAGGGAATACTTCCAGCTTTTTCCCATTCAGTATGATACTGGCTGTGGGTTTGTCATAAATAGCTCTTATTATTTTGAGATACGTTCCATCAATACCTAGTTTATTGAGAGTTTTTAGCACGAAGGGCTGTTGAATTTTGTCGAAGGCCTTTTCTGCATCTATTGAGATAATCATGTGGTTTTTGTCATTGGTTCTGTTTATATGATGGATTACGTTTATTGATTTGTGTATGTTGAACCAGCTTTGCATCCCAGGGATTAAGCCAACTTGACTGTGGTGGATAAGCTTTTTGATGTGCTGCTGGATTTGGTTTGGAAGTATTTTCTTGAAGACTTTCACATTGATGTTCATCAGGGATATTGGTCTAAAATTCTCTTTTTTTGTTGTGTCTCTGCCAGGCTTTGGTATCAGGATGATGCTGGCCTCATAAAATGAGTTAGGGAGGAGTCCCTCTTTCTCTACTGTTTTGAATAGTTTCAGAAGAAATGGTACCAGCTCCTCTTTGTACCTCTGGAAGAATTCGGCTGTGAATCTATCTGGTCCTGGACGTTTTTTGGTTTGTAGGCTATTAATTATTGCCTCAATTTCAGAGCATGTTATTGGTCTATTCAGAGACTCAACTTCTTCCTGGTTGAGTCTTGGGAGGGTGTATGTGTCGAGGAATTTATCCATTTCTTCTAGATTTTCTAGTTTATTTGCATACAGGTGTTTATAGTATTCTCTGATGGTAGTTTGTATTCCTGTGGGATGGGTGGTGATATCCCTTTTGTCATTTTTTATTGTGTCTATTTGATTCTTCTCTGTTTTCTTCTTTATTAATCTTGCTAGTGGTCTATCAGTTTTGTTGATCTTTCAAAAAACCAGCTCCTGGATTCATTAATTTTTTGAAGGGTTTTTTGTGTCTCTATCTCCTTCAGTTCTGCTCTGATCTTAGTTATTTCTTGCCTTCTGCTAGCTTTTGAATGTGTTTGCTCTTGCTTCTCTAGTTCTTTTAATTGTGGTGTTAGGGTGTCGATTTTAGGTCTCTTCTGCTTTCTCTTGTGGGCATTTAGTGTTATAAATTTCCCTCTACACACTGCTTTAAATGTGTCCCAGAGATTCTCATCATCTCAGCCCAAAAACTCCTTAAGCTGATGAGCAACTTCAGCAAAGTCTCAGGATACAAAATCAATGTGAAAAAATCACAGACATTCTTATACACCAATAACAGATAAACAGAGACCCAAATCATGAGTGAACTCCCATCCAAAATTGCTACAAAGAGAATAAAATACCTAGGAATCCAACTTACAAGGGATGTGAAGGATCTCTTCAAGGAGAACTGCAAACCACTGCTCAATGAAATAAAAGAGGACACAAAGAAATGGTAGAACATTCCATGCTCATGTATAGGAAGAATCAATATCGTGAAAATAGCCATACTGCCCAAGGTAATTTATAGATTCAGTGCCATCCGCATCAAGCTACCAATGACTTTCTTCACAGAATTGGAAAAAACTATTTTAAAGTTCATATGGAACAAAAAAAGAGACCACATAGGCAAGACAATCCTAAGCAAAAAGAACAAAGCTGGAGGCATCATGCTACCTGACTTCAAACTACACTACAAGGCTACAGTAACCAAAACAGCATGGTACTGATACCAAAACAAAGATATCGACCAATGGGACAGGACAGAAGCTTCAGAAATAACACCACACATCTACAACCATCTGATCTCTAACAAACCTGATGAAAACAAGAAATGGGGAAAGGATTCCCTGTGTAATAAATGGTGCTGGGGAAACTGGCCAGCTACATGTAGAAAGCTGAAACTGGATCCCTTCCTTACACCTTATACAAAAATTAAATCGAGTTGGATTAAAGGCTTAAACGTTAGACCTAAAACCATAAAAACCCTAGAAGAAAACCTAGGCGATATCATTCAGGACATAGGCGTGGGCAAAGATTTCATGACTAAAACACCAAAAACAATGGCAACAAAAACCAACATTGGCAAATGGGACCTAATTAAACTAAAGAGCTTCTGCACAGCAAAAGAAACTATCATCTGAGTAAACAAGCACCATACAGAATGGGAGAAAATTTTTGCAATCTATCCATCTGACAAAGGGCTAATATCTGGAATCTTCAAGGAACTTAAAAAAACTTACAAAAAAACCCATTAAAAAGTGGGCAAAGGATATGAACAGACACTTCTCAAAAGAAGACATTTATGAGGCCAACAAACATATGAAAAAATGCTCATCATCACTGGTCATCAGAGAAATGCAAATCAAAACCACAATGAGATACCATCTCATGCCAGTTAGAATGGCAATCATTAAAAAGTCAGGAAACAACAGATGCTGGAGAGGATGTAGAGAAATAGAAACACTTTTACACTGTTGATGGGAGTGTAAATTAGTTCATCCATTTTGGAAGACAGTGTGGCGATTCCTCAAGGATCTAGAACTAGAAATATCATTTGACCCACCGATCCCATTACTGGGTATATCCCCAAAGGATTATAAATCATGCTACTATAAAGACACACGCACTCGTATGTTTATTGCAGCACTATTCACAATAGCAACGACTTGGAACAAACCCAAATGTCCATCAGTGATAAACTGGATTAAGAAAATGTGGCACATATACACCATGGAATATTATGCAGCCATAAAAAAGGATGAGTTCATGTCCTTTTCAGGGACATGGGTGAAGCTGGAAAGCATCATTCTCAGCAAACTATCACAAGGACAGAAAACCAAACACCACATGTTCTCACTCATAGGTGGGAAATGAACAATGCGAACACTTGGACACAGGGCGGGGAACATCATACACCAGGGCCTGTCAAGGGGTGGGAGGCTGGGGGAGGGATAGCATTAGGAGAAATACCTAATGTAAATGACGAGTTGATGGGTGCAGCAAGCCAACATGGCACATGTATACCTATGTAACAAACCTGCACGTTGTGCACACGTACCCTAGAACTTAAAGTATAATAATAAAAAAAAAAAGAAATTAAGAGCCAAGGTTCAGTTTCAGAGCGAAGACTGAATGTCATAGCTCTTGGCCTCCATTTCTTGATTCAATCTAAGATGCAAATTTATCTGCCATTTATTATCACAACTAACCTAATTATTACATCACACTTCAAGGTCTGTGGGATAAAGCTGGTATACTAGTATTCACTTTCAACTATCCTAACATTTTGAATTAGATGACATGTAATTCATCTGTCCCCTTCTAAAGTCTTTCTAAAATCTCAAGATACTTTTGCAGCTAATCTTTTATTTTGCTATTTTTCCATGAAAAAGTTAATACACAGATGCAAATATATATATATCTTAATACACTTTTCAATTAAAGTTTTCTTAACTGCCTGAAAAATAACTAGCATTTCTTAGACTAGGTACTTTAACATATGTTAATCCTAACTCTCACGACAACTGTCTCGAAAATCATTATCACTATATCCATTTTACAAGTGAAGAAACTGAGGTTCATAGAATCTAAGTAGTGCGCCAAGGTAAACACTGCTAGTTTGTGACTGTGGTAGGATCTGCTGAACTCCAGGTTCTTCCTCTTTTTCTCCAACTGCTACCTTAGGAAAATCTAGCAATGTTTTTGAAACTTTAGTTATTTACATTTCTATCTTCACAATTTTTGCCATATCATCACTTAAGTAATATTCATTTACATTTTTCTGTAAATGAAATTACCTTGAACACATTTCTTTTTGAAAAAATCTTTATTGCTGTGTAACTGAAAAATCACTGACATTTATTATAAATAGAAAATAACTATAAAAATAAGTGAGATAAAAACATGATAATGTTATCAAACAGGAATTATAATTAAAGTATAAAATAAACAAAAGGCATATAATACTAAAGTTAATTAATTTTAAATTCAACTAACTGAAAAAAATCTGTCCCATATAGACACATTTAGAATAAATGTGTGAAATTTTGGTTAAAAAAAAAAGTGAGAAAACTTTTTCACTTAGCCACCCATGGATATAGTCTTGTTAGAGAAAATACTTAGAAAGTTTGTCTATCAAGTGTTCCTTAGTGCTTCTTGAGCGTGTGAAACATGTTTAGTGCATTCATTTTTTTTTTTTTTTTTTGAGGCAGGATATGGCTCTGTCACCCAGGCTGGAGTGCAGTGGCACCATCTCAGCTCACTGCAACCTCTGTCTCCTGGGTTCAAACAATTCCGGTGTTTCAGCCTTCCAAGTAGCTAGGTTTACAGTAATGTGCCACTATGCCTGGCTAATTTTTGTAGTTTTAGTAGAGACAGGATTTTGCCATGATGGCCAGGCTGGTCCTGAACTCCTGGCCTGAAGCGGTCTGCCCACCTCAGCCTTCTAAAGTGATGGGATTACAGATATGAGGTACCATGCCCAGCCTAGTGCATTCTTTAGGTAATGTCATGAGTAGGTTGTCCAGGACAAAAAAATACAAGAATCCAACTGATCTTGATCAAGGTGAGTATTCTGCTGATAATCTTGTCTTTTGAAACATAGATGTTCGGTTGTTTAAATAAGCAAATAAATCTCAAAGTGATGTAAATTGCAAAGCAAGACTCTGGTATCACATGATCTCACACAAGTTTCCCTCCAGGAAAATTTTAATTTCCTCAGACAATTTGTGTAAATGAGAGAAGTCTTTCTGAGAAAACATTAACGACAGTCACTTTGCTTTGAGAAAAAAACAAAGATGCCTAGGCCTGCCTTTAATTTGACTGATGAGTTTAACAGCTTCACTAAATGCTCTAAAAACTCCTCTGGGTTATTCAAGAAGGGAAAGCTTGCTTGTGCATGCAATAAGTAGAATTTGTTCCAGGTACGTCTGCTTGAATCCAGAGAAATGTCTTCTTAAGAAAACTTAAATTACTCACTCACAATCTATGTTCTACATTGTCGTTCATCATAAACTTGCCAGTGGGTTTAAAACTCTCTTCTTCAGTTGCATGAATTGTGAAATGTGGCTAAACATGTTTTGATGGATGCTTCTATTTTCAGCTTGTATTTGAGAAAAAAAATGTGTAAGGCTGAGTTCAAAGTATAAATGAGTCCCTCAGTCCGCAATGAGTCTATGGCATAGAAGTTAACAACTATTGCTTTATGTTGGGCCATAATTGTAACTCCCATATTTGGGACTCATAAATGAGTCCCTCGGTCTGCAGTGAGTCTATGGCATAGAAGTTAACAACTATTGCTTTATTTTGGGCCATTCATTGTTATTTTATAAAATGCCTAGATCATTTTTCCCAGCATTTTATTTTCTAGAAATTTTGATGACTAATATATTTTTGTAAATATAAAACAAGCAGCAGTTTTAATGACTTTTAAAGTTTATGCCAGTTTTTAATAATCAACATCTATTCTCCCAGCCCCCAAAAAAGCCTAGCACAAAACCAAGATTATTTGTCAGTTTTTACTGTATTTGTGGTCTAGCCAGAGTCAGTAGCTCTTGCTTTATTTTTTATTTTTAATTATACTTTAAGTTCTGGGATACATGTGCAGAATGTGCATGTTTGTTACATAGGCATACACGTGCCATGGTAGTTGGTTGTACCCATCAACCCGTCATCTATATTAGTTATTTCTCCTGATGCTATCCCTGCCCTAGCCCCCCAACCCCCAACAAGCCCTGGTGTGTGATGTTCCCCTCCGTGTGTCCATATGTTCTTATTGCTCAACTCCCAATTATGAGTGAAAACATGTGGTGTTTTGTTTTCCATTCCTGTGTTAGTTTGCTGAGAATGATGCTTTCCAGCTTCATCCATGTTCCTGCAAACCACATGAACTCATCCTTTTCTATGGCTGCACTGTATTCCATGGTATATATGTGCCACATTTTCTGTATTCAGTCTATCATTGATGGGCATTTGGGTTGGCTCCAAGTCTCTGGTATTGTCAACAGTGCTGCAATAAACATACATGTGCATGTGTTTTTATAGAATGATTTATAATCTTTTGGGTATATACCCAGTAATGGGATTACTAGGTCAAATGGTATTTCTAGTTCTAGGTCCTTGAGGAATCACCACACTGTCTTCCACAATGATTGAACTAATTTACGGTCCCGCCAACAGTGTAAAAGGATTCCTATTTCTCCACATCCTCTTCAGTATCTGTTGTTCCCTGATTTTTTTTTTTTTTTTTTTTTTTTTAGACGGAGTCTCGGTCTGTCACAAGGCTGGAGTGCAGTGGCGCAATCTCAGCTCACTGCAACCTCTGCCTCCCAGGTTCAAGTGATTCTCCTGCCTCAGCCTCCTGAGTAGTTGGGACTACAGGTGCCCACCACCACGCCCAGCTATTTTTTTGTATTTTTAGTAGAGACAGGGTTTCATCAAGTTGGCCAGGATGGTCTCGATCTTTTGACCTCGTGATCCACCCGCCTTGGACTCCCAATGTGCTGGGATTACAGGCATGAGCCACTGCACCCAGCCTGTTTCCTGACTTTTTAATGATCACCATTCTAAATGGTGTGAGATGGTATCTCATTGTGGTTTTGATTTACATTTCTCTAATGACCAGTGATGATGAGCATTTTTTCATATGTTTGTTGGCCTCATAAATGTCTTCTTTTGAGATGTGTCTGTTCATATCCTTTGCCCACTTTTTAATGGGTTTTTTTGTAAGTTTTTTTAAGTTCCTTGAAGATTCCAGATATTAGCCCTTTGTCAGATGGATAGATTGCAAAAATTTTCTCCCATTCTGTATGGTGCTTGTTTACTCAGATGATAGTTTCTTTTGCTGTGCAGAAGCTCTTTAGTTTAATTAGGTCCCATTTGCCAATGTTGGCTTTCGTTGCCATTGTTTTTGGTGTTTTAGTCATGAAATCTTTGCCCATGCCTATGTCCTGAATGATATCACCTAGGTTTTCTTCTAGGGTTTTTATGTTTTTAGGTCTTATGTTTGAGTCTTTAATCCATCTTGATTTAATTTTTGTATAAGGTGTAAGGAAGGGATCCAGTTTCAGCTTTCTACATACGGCTAGCCAGTTTTCCCAGCACCATTTATTAAATAGGGAATCCTTTCCTCATCACTTGTTTTTGCCAGGTTTGTCAAAGATCAGATGGTTGTAGATGTGTGGTGTCATTTCTGAGGCCTCTGTTCTGTTCCATTGGTCGATGTATCTGTTTTGGTAACAGTACCATGTTGTTTTGGTTACTGTAACCTTGCAGTGTAGTTTGAAGTCAGGTAGTGTGATGCCTCCAGCTTTGTTTTTTGTTGTTGTTGTTGTTTTGTTTTGTTTTTTTGTTTTTTTGAGACAGGGTCTCACTCTGTCACCCAGGATGGAAGGCAGAGACACGATCTCAGCTCACTGCAACCTCTGCCTCCCAGGTTCAAGCTATTCTCCCGCCTCAGCTTATCGAGTAGCTGGGAATACAGGTGCACGCCACCAGGCTCAGTTAATTTTTGTATTTTTAGTAGACATGGGATTTCACCATGTTGGCCAGGATGGTCTTGATATCTTGACCTCATGATCCACCCGCCTCAGACTCCCAAAGTGCTGGGATTACAGACGTGAGCCACCATGCCAAGCCTGTTCTTTTTGCTTAGGATTGTCTTGGCTATACAGGCTCTTTTTTGGTTCCATAGTAAATTTAACGTAGATTTTCTAATTCTATGAAGAAAGTCAATGGTAGCTTGATGGAGATAGCATTGAATCTATAAATTACATTGGGCAGTATGGCCATTTTCATGATATTGATTCTTCCTATCCATGAGCATGGAATGTGTTTCCATTTGTTTGTGTTCTCTCTTGTTTCCTTGAGCAGTGGTTTGTACTTCTTGAAGAGGTCCTTCGCATCCCTTGTAAGTTGTATTCCTAGGTATTTTATTCTCTTCATAGCAATTATGAATGGGAGTTCACTCACGATTTGGCTCTTTCTCTATTATTGGTGTATAGAAATGCTTGTGATTTTTGCACATTGATTTTGTATCCTGAGACTTTGCTGAAGTTGATTATCAGCTTAAGGAGATTTTGGCCTGAGATGATGGTGTTTTCTAAATATACAATCATGTCATCTGCAAACAGAGACAATTTTATTTCCTCTCTTCCTATTTGAATATGCTTTATTTCTTTATCTTGCCTGATTGCCCTGGCCAGAACTTCCAATACTATGTTGAATAGGAGTGGTGAGAGAGGGCATCCTTGTCTTCTGCCAGTTTTCAAAGGGAATGCTTCCAGCTTTTGCCCATTCAGTATGATATTGGCTGTGGGTTTGTCATAAATAGCTCTTATTATTTTGAGATAAGTTCCATCAATACCTAGTTTATTGAGAGTTTTTAGCATGAAGGGCTGTTGAATTTTGTCAAAGACCTTTTCTGCATCTATTGAGATAATCAAGTGGTTTTTGTCATTGGTCCTGTTTATGTGATAGATTACATTTCTTGATATGCGTATGTTGAACCAGACTTGCGTCCCAGGGATGAAGCCAACTGGATCATGGTGGGTAAGCTTTTTGATGTGCTGCTGCATTCTGTTTGCCAGTATTTCATTGAAGATTTTCACATTGATGTTCATCAGGCATATTGGCCTAAAATTTTGTTGTTGTTGTTGTGTGTCTGCCAGGTTTTGGTATCAGGATGATGCTGGCCTCATAAAATGAGTTAGGGAGGAGTCCCTTTTTTTTCATTGTTTGCAATAGTTTCAGAAGAAATGGTACCAGCTCCTCTTTGTACCTCTGGTAGAATTCGGCTGTAAATCCATCTGGTCCTGCGTGCTTTTCGGTTGGTAGGCTATTAATTAGTGTTTCAATTTCAGAACTTGTTATTGGTCTATTCAGGAACTCGAGTTCTTCTTGGTTTAGTCTTGGGAGGGTGTATGTGTCCAGGAATTCATCCATTTCTTCTAGATTTTCTAGCTTATTTGTGTAGAGGTGTTCATAGTATTCTGTGATGGTAGTTTGTATTTCTGTGGAGTCAGTAGTGATCTCCCCTTTATCATTTTTTATTGTGTCTACTTGATTCTTCTCTCCTTTCTTCTTTATTAGTCTTGCTAGTGGCCTATGTATTTTGTTAATCTTTTCAAAAAAATGAGGTCCTGGATGCATTGATTTTTTGAATGGTTTTTTGTATCTCTATCTCCTTCAGTTCTGCTCTGATCTTAGTTATTTCTTGCCTTCTGATAGCTTTTGAATGTGTTTGCTCTTGCTTCTCCAGTTCTTTTACTTGTGATGTTAGGGTGTTGTTTTAGATCTTTCGCGCTTTCTCCTGTGAACATTTAGTGCTATAAATTTCTCCGTAAACATTGCTTTACCTCTGTCACAGAGATTCTGGTACATTGTGTCTTTGTTTTCATTGGTTTCAGAGAACTTATTTATTTCTGCCTTAATTTTGTTATTTACCTAGTAGTCATTCAGGAGCAGGTTTTTCAGTTTCCATGTAGTTGTGCGGTTTTGAATGAGTTTCTTAATCTTGAGTTGTAATATGCTTGCACTGTGGTCTGAGAGACTGTTTGTTACAATTTCTGTTCTTTTGCATTTTCTGAGGAGTGTTTTATTTCCAATTACGTGGTTGATTTTAGAATAAGTGTGATGTGGCGCTGAGAAGAATGTATATTCTATTAATTTGGGGTGGAGGGTTCTGTAGATGTCTATTAGGTCTGCTAGGTCCAGAGCTGAGTTCAAGTCTTGAATATCCTCATTAATTTTCTGTCTCATTGATCTGTCTAATATTGACAGTGGGATGTTACAGTCTCCCACTATTATTTTTTGGGAGTCTAAGTCTCTTTGTAGGTCTCTAAGAACTTGCTTTATGAACTTGGATGCTCCTGTATTGAGTGCATGTATATTGAGGATTGTTAGCTCTTCTTGTTGCATTGATCCCTTTACCATTATGTAATGCCCTTCTTTGTCTCTTTTGATCTTTGTTGGTTTAAAGTCCATTTTATCAGAGACTAGGATTGCAACCCCTGCTTTTTTTGCTTTCCATTTGCTTGGTAAATATTCCTCCATCCCTTTATTTTGATCTTATGTGTGTCTTTGCACATAAGGTGGGTCTCCTGAATACAGCACACCAATGGGTCTGGGTCTTGACTCTATCCAATTTGCCAGTTTGTGTCTTTTAATTGGGACATTTAGCCCATTAACATTTAAGGTTATTATTTTTATGTATGAATTTGATCCTGTCATGGTGGTAGCTGGTTATTTTGCCCATTAGGTGATGCAGTTTCTTCATAGTGTTGATGTTCTTTACAAGTTGGTATGTTTTTGCAGTGGCTGGTACCAGTTTTTCCCTTCCATATTTAGCACTTCCTTCAGGAGTTCTTGTAAGGCAGACCTGGTGGTGACAAAATCTCTCAACATTTGCTTGTCTGTAAGGAATTTTATTTCTCCTTCACTTATGAAGCTTTGTTTGGCTGGATATGAAATTCTGGGTTGAAAATTCTTTTCTTTAAGAATGTTGAATATTGGCCCCCACTCTCTTCTGGCTTGTAAGGTTTCTGCAGAGAGATCCACTGTTAGTCTGATGGGCTTCCCCTTGTGGGTAACCTGACCTTTCTCTCTGACTGACCTTAAAATTTTTTCCTTCATTTCAACCTTGGTGAACCTGATGATTATGTGTCTTGGGGTTGCCTTTCTCGAGGTGTATCTTTGTGGTGTTTTCTGTATTTCCCGAATTTGAATGTTGGCCTGTCTTGGTAGGTTGGGGAAGTTCTCCTGGATAATATCCTGAAGAGTGTTTCTCAACTTGGTTCCATTCTCCCCGTCATTTTCAGGTACACCAATCAAACGTAGGTTTGGTCTTTTCACATAGTCCCATATTTCTTGGAGACTTTGTTCATTCCTTTTAATTCTTTTTTCTCTAATCTGGTCTTCACACTTCATTTCATTAAGTCAATCTTCAACCTCCGATATCCTTTCTTCTGCTTGATCAATTTGGCTGTTGATACTTGTGTATCCTCTCGACATTCTCGTGCTGTATTTTTCAGCTCCATCAGGTCATTTATATTCTTCTCTAAACTGGTTATTCTAGTAAACAATTCCTCTAACCTTTTATCAAGGTTCTTAGCTTCCTTGCATTGAGTTAGCACATGCTCCTTTATCTTGGAAGAGTTTGTTATTACCCACCTACCTTCTGAAGCCTACTTCTGTCAATTCATCAAAGACTCATTCTCTGTCCAGTTTTGTTCCCTTGCTGGTGAGGAGTTGTGATCCTTTGAAGGAGAAGAGGTGTTCTGGTTTTTGCAATTTTCAGCCTTTTTGCACTGTTTTTTCCTCATCTTCATGGTTTTATCTACCTTTGGTCTTTGATGTTGGTGACCTTTGGATGGGGTTTTTGTGTGGATGTCCTTTTTGTTGATGTTGATGCTATTCCTTTCTGTTTGTTAGTTTTCCTTCTAACAGTAAGGCCCCTCTGCTGCAGGTCTGCTGGAGTTTGCTGGAGGTCCACTCCAGATCCTGTTCGCCTGGGTATCACCAGTGGAGGCTGCAGAATAGCAAATATTGCAGAACAACAAAGATTGCTATTCCTTCCTCTGGAAGCTTCTTCCCAGAGGGGCACCTGCTAGATGCCAGCTGGAGCTCTACTGTATGAGATGTCTGGCGACCCCTGCTGGAAGGTGTCTCCCAGTCAGGAGGCATGGGAGTCAGGGACCGACTTGAGGAGGCAGTCTGTCCCTTAGCAGAACTTGAGTGCTGTGCTGGGAGATCTGCTGCTCTCTTCAGAGCTGGCAGGCAGGAAAGTTTAAGTTTGCTGAAGCTGTGCCCAGAGTTGCCCCTTCCCCCAGTGCTCTGTCCCAGGGAGATGGGGGTTTTATCTATAAGCCCCTGACTAGGGCTGCTGCCTTTCTTTCAGAGATGCCCTGCCCAGAGAGGAGGAATCTGGAGAGGCAGTCTGGCTACAGCAGCTTTGCCAAGCTGCAGTGGGCTCCACTCACTTCGAAATTCCCAGCTGCTTTGTTTACTTTGTGAGGGGAAAACCATCTACTTCAAGCCTCAGTAATGGCAGAGGTTCCTCCTCCCACAAAGCTCAAGCATCCCAGGTCAACTTCAGACTGCTGTGCTGGCAGCAAGAATTTTAAGCCATTGGATCTTGGCTTTCTGGGCTCCATGGTGGTGGGACCCTCTGAGCTAGACCATTTGGCTTTCTGACTTCAGCCCCCTTTCCAGGGGAGTGAAGGGTTCAATCTTTTTGGCCTTCCAGGCACCACTGGGGTATGAAAAAAAATAAAATAAAAAATAAATAAATAAAAAAACAAAACTCCTGTAGCTAGCTCAGTGTCTGCCCAACCAGCCGCTCAGTTTTGTGCTTAAAACCCAGTGCGCTGCTGGTGTAAGCACCCGAGGGAATCTCCTGTTCTGTGGGTTGCAAAGACCCTGGAAAAAGCACAGTATCTGGGCCAGAAAGCACCATTCCTCATGGCACCTCACAGGATGGAATGCACCATTCCTCATGGCACCATCCCTCATGGCACCATCCCTCATGGCTTCCCTTGGCTAGGGGAAGGACTTCCCCAACCCTTTGCACTTCCTGGGTGAGGTGATGCCCCACCCTGCTTCTGCTCACCCTCCGTGGGCTGCACCCACTCTCTAACCAGTCCCAATGAGATGAGCCAGGTACCTCAGCTGGAAATGCAGAAATCACCTGCCTTCTGCATTGATCTTGCTAGGAGCTGCAGACTGGATCTGTTCTTCTTCGGCCATCTTGCCAGCCACCAGGGCTCTTGTTTTATTTTATGTGACACTACTAAAAAGCAGCCATGGATTTTATATTTTCATCCTGGTTATATTATACATTACTCATCAGAAAGCTTGATTGTCCTTTTTTTTGGCTAATAAAATTTCTATTTTTTTTCTGGTGTTTATTTTGTGTTTCAAAATTACACTTGAGTTGAGATGGATTTATACTAGAATTTGAGTGTCCCTAAACATAATCAAACATGCTCACTTTGTTACCAATTAATAAACATTCACATTTCAAATAATTTTCATTAAATCTGTCAAAAATTTTATTTTTACTTGTCATTTTACAATAAACAAGATTTGGGCCAATTCATTCATTTTGTCCTCACAGCTATCCGAAAGCATGTAACTGATTTCATCACAGGTACTATTAGTTCTAACATTTTCATCACAATTTCCACCTCTTCTAAACTTAAAAGCTTCCTCTCTACAATGGATAATAAAAACCCTCCATGGAATTCTAATTTTAAAATAAGTGTAATACATTCTTCCCACACATAATAATTTTCAACATGTGGAAATAATGTTTTAATGAGCTGCAGAGATGTAAAACTGGATGCGGTGGGCTATGGACATACAAAAAAGCACAGAAAGCCATTCTGCAGAAAGAGACTGGAGAAAGAGCTAATTTTACAGAGAAAAACACAGGCAAGCGACGCTGTGGTCTCAGCGGAAAAGACTGAAACAGTAAATGCCTTAGATGCTGACAATCTATAGTTTCCAGTCCCGTCTCTCCTAAGACTTGAGAGCACTTTCTGCCCTCGAGTTCTAAGAGTCAGTTAAATATACTAATAGTAAATTTCTCATGTTTGCTTAAGGCTGCTCAAGTAGATTATTCTTACTTATAATCAAATGAACCTCTTCTACAATAATTGGTGCCTAACCATTGTTTGGTTGAGCTAACTGAATTGCCGTAAACACCCAATCCAAAATTAAATGTTTTTGTACACTCAGAATTTGAAGCCTTTTAAGATTTGTGGGTATGAAATCACACTATTCTCAATAATAAAATATTTTGAGATAGGCAGTAGCAACCTACCCACCCCACCCCATCCCTTAAAAATAAAACTAATGGCAAGATAAAAAATGTTTTTCAATGTTTGATTTGATTTGAGGCTCAGTGAGAGTTGCAAAAAATGACATACAAAATGAATATGGCCAGCATATATACATATATGTAGCCTAGAGGAATCTCAAGAATCTTCTGAAAATTTTGAAGGAGTGATATAGATTTACTGCATAAAAATCCTAAACTCACAGAAAACCTGAAAGCCAAAGACATCAATTCTTATAATCAACACAAGATTTCACCATAAATTCAATAAAATCCTGCCAGACTTTACAACTGCCTGAGGCCATGCACCTCTGACTGTACAAGGAGAGGAATAGATGGGCACCATATGTGTGGTTTGTAATAAAATCGGGCCTAGATATCTATTTTGGGAGCATATCATTAACCATTGGCTACATTTTTTTTTATCGCAGCATATGTCCTAATACAAGAAAAGAATTCTAAAATAATGGAATGTGCAATGCACTCATTTAATTTTAGAGAAACCAAAGAAAATATAGCTAGCCTAAAGTCTAATTATATTAATATTTAAGTGCAGAAATCAGTGTCTGCTTTTATTCTCAGAGCTAATGATGATGTTATATGAAACCTTTACATTAAAAAAGCATTATCAAATTACCCACACATGTGAGATTCAAATAAATGTTACTTTATTTTCTTTCCTATAGTCTTTGAATGAAAGATTAGCAAAACTCTTTAGAGGATAGAGACTAGAGGTTATAGTTTCTCAATACAAAAATAAAATAGTTAAATGACTATGAAAGACATGGCAAGAATAAATAAATTAAAAGTCAAATTTATAAATATGGTTTTACAAATAAATCCCTTTCTTAAAATAATCAGATTGTTTTAATATTATACACTGATATTTAAACTTACCTGATTTTCATCTCTATGATAACTGGGCTGAATTCTAAAACTTCAAGATATGACTATGCATTTTTGTGTATTTTCTTCCAATGATACTAATCTCTTGTCCTTAGTAATAATCTCTAATTCTAGTTGGAGGAAATTATGATAACTCACAGGTCTGATTTTAATTATCTTTGAATCATAGCCACATTACCTATTTAAAGTTATTTTTAACTCCAACAATGAGACTTTGTCATTTGACAATAAACAAAAGAATGAGACTTTGAGAAAAGCTTGGACTGCATATATGGAGAAAGGATTTATTTCATTTGGTATTGAAGAGCTCAATCTCTGACATTTATGTTAAGTAAAGCCATTGCGCACTTGAAAGCAGTATCCCTTCCTTGCCTGGGATTCCAGGTGCAGAGATATGTGGCACAATATTCACTTAGGTTAGAAACTTATTTTGTAACTTGAAAGTAATTATGTGTTGAAGAGTCCAAGCCAGGAGAAAAGTAAATTCTGATGACTCCAAATATATATTTAAAGCAATACCAAGAATTTAGAGACAATCCTGATTTTTTGCAGAAAGGGCCCATTTTACCTTTCTGCAACCCAGGAATGGCTTGGTCATTCGAGACAGTGCCTCTCCAAAAAAAATGGGGGTTCCTGTTTATAGAATTACCCTGGAAAAGAAAAGACATGAAAGAGAGTGGATGGAGTAGTTTAATACAATTTCATGAAGCTCAGTTCAATCACAACGAAAATTCCTAATGCTGGCAATATTCCCAAGCTGGTCCCCACTTCAATTTGTTCAGGCCCTCATTCAGTGGGCTTAGCCCTGTATGAGAAATCTGGATATTGTAGAGGCCCTACACAGCAGAGCCTACTGGAAAATCAGATTTCACAAAATGTCCTGGACCAACTAGTCTGTGTCCATCCATATTTCACCCAAGAGCAGATCTTATTCTAGTCTCAGGCTTCTAAAAGGACCCTGAAAACTGAAACAGAAACTAATATCTTTTTGCAACAACATGACTTATCTTAACAATTTGTTTATGAAATAGATAGCAAATATCTTATTCTGTTAATTTTTACAGATGGAAATACTCAGAGATCAAATTATGAAACTTGCCTGTTCTTGTCATCTAAATTACAGTAGAATAAGTTCTGGCATTCTTTCTCAAAAATCATGATATTTCCCAGAAGGAAGCAGTCATTTCTTCTAATTCGGAACACACTATTTCAGGCCCTGGTTTGTAGTTAAAACCCCACTTCATATTGGTTTGTGTTTGTGTCTCTACAAAGGGAGATCTGTTTATATAAAATGCAATTTAAACAACGAGTCAAATTACACCCTCCTCTGACTCCATGATATGTAGTGAGTCTTTGAGTTGCCCAGAGTACTTGCTTTGTAAGAAGAATTGAACAAAACAAAATTAATTTGTGCCCACCCAGGGATGCAAAAAAAAAAAAGAAAAAAAGAAAAATAAATATAAAATAAAATAAAATCAGTTTCATGTGACATAATTTGATATAGTTTTATTTTAAAAAACTCTATTAAAGTCAGTATTTTATTTAAACTATCATTTAGTTTTCAATTATTCACTTTTTTCCTTGTGAAAATGAAATCATAATTTGGGACTGACTGTGGTGTTTCTCCTTGGAACTCAGGTATTAAGAGGCAAAGAGCTAGGAGAGTTGGCTCACACCTGCAAGCCCAACACTTTGGGATGCTGAAGCAGGAGTTTGAGACCAGGCTGGGCAAAATATTGAGACCCCCATCTCCACAAAAAAAAAGGTTTTTAAAAAATTAGCCAGCCATGGTGGTGCATGCCTATAGTCCCAGCTACTCTGGAGGCTGAGGTGGGGGGATCACATGAGCCCAGGAGTTTGAGGCTGCGGTGAGCTATGATCATACCACTGCATTTCAGCTTTGGTGACAGAGCAAAATCCTGTCAAAAAAAAAAAAAAAGAAGAAGTAAGGACCTAAAGGTCCTCATTAACTCAAGCAAAGCATATATTAGATTCAAATGTTTTTGGCTATAGTTAATTGTTAAGTATATGATGAAGACAAGCTCATGGACTGAGTGACTCCACACCATTCATCAAAGAGTGTGAATTATGCTCATATAGAATGACAATGACACTCATAATAAAACAGCTATACTCAATTATGAGTGCCAATTTTGTGGTGATTGCTATAAAAAGAGGAATTTTTAACTATTTGAAGTTTTCTCATTATATAATTTATGTAGCCAAAAACTGAGAGTACTTCTTTCATAGTTCAAGTTGTTAGAATTCCACACTCATCCTATTTTATTTTAACCTGGCTCCTTTAGGATGTAGACTTGTAGAAATTAATTATACTGGTAGAAAGGCAATCCAGATTGAGACAGATTAGTGGTTCTCAAATCTGAGCATGTATCAGAAGCACCTAGAAGGTCTGTTAAAACAAAATAATTGCTGAATCAAAGTTTTTGTTAACAGTTCTTAGAACCTGAGAATTTGCATTTATAAAAGGTTCCCAGGGACCACACTTTGAGAATCACTGAGCTAGAGGTTATATATCAGCATTAATATCTATGAGAGCAACCAAAG
Source organism: Homo sapiens (assembly GCF_000001405.40). Classification (NCBI taxonomy): domain Eukaryota; kingdom Metazoa; phylum Chordata; class Mammalia; order Primates; family Hominidae; genus Homo; species Homo sapiens. The sequence continues at coordinate 112,536,397 of NC_000006.12, read as the reverse complement.
GGAAAGAGAGAAACTGATTTTTCAGAACTGAGTTTAGGTAACCTACCTATAAAGGTAGGAGTTTAAATTAGTTCCTCCATCGTGGAAGACAGTGTGGTGATCCTCAAAGACCTAAAGACAGATATATCATTCCTCCCAGCAATCCCATTACTGGATATATATATCCACAGGAATATGAACTGTTCTATTATAAAGACATGTGCATGCATATGTTCATTGTGGCACTATTCACAACAGCAAAGGCATATAATCAACCTAAATGTCCATCAATAATGGGCTAGATAAATAAAATGTGAGATATGTATACATACATACATACATACATACATACATATACATGCCATGGAATACTATACAGCCATAAAAAAGAACAAGATCATGTCCTTTGCAGGGACATGGATGGAGCTGGACGCCATCATCCTTAGCAAACTAACACAGGAACAGAAAACGAAATACTGCATATTCCCACTTATAAGTGGGAGCCAAATGATGAGAACACATGGTCACATAGAGGGGAACAATACACACTAGGTCCTATTAGAGGGTGGAAAGTGGGAGGAGGGAGAGGATCAGGAAACATAACTAATGGATACTAGGCTTAATATCTGGGTGCCGAAATAATCTGCAGAACAAACCCCCATGACACACATTTACCTATGAAACAAACCTGCACACGTAGCCCTGAACTTAAAATAAACGTTTTTCAAAACAAACAAACAAACAAAAGAACAGTTAAATTTGAATTTCAGATAAACAATCAAACTAGAACTCAGGATTAAGAAACTCACTCAAAACCGCTCAACTACATGGAAACTGAACAACCTGCTCCTGAATGACTACTGGGTACATAATGAAATGAAGGCAGAAATAAAGATGTTCTTTGAAACCAACGAGAACAAAGACACAACATACCAGAATCTCTGGGACACATTCAAAGCAGTGTGTAGAGGGAAATTTATAGCACTAAATGCCCACAAGAGAAAGCAGGAAAGATCCAAAATTGACACCCTAACATCACAATTAAAAGAACTAGAAAAGCAAGAGCAAACACATTCAAAAGCTAGCAGAAGGCAAGAAATAACTAAAATCAGAGCAGAAATGAAGGAAATAGAGACACAAAAAATCCTTCAAAAAATTAATGAATCCAGGAGCTGGTTTTTTGAAAGGATCAACAAAATTGATAGACCGCTAGCAAGACTAATAAAGAAGAAAAGAGAGAAGAATCAAATAGACGCAATAAAAAATGATAAAGGGGATATCACCACCCATCCCACAGAAATACAAACTACCATCAGAGAATATTACAAACACCTGTATGCAAATAAACTAGAAAATCTAGAAGAAATGGATAAATTTCTCGACACATACACCCTCCCAAGATTAAACCAGGAAGAAATTGAATCTCTGAATAGACCAATAACAGGCTCTGAAATTGTGGCAATAATCAATAGCTTACCAACCAAAAAGAGTCCAGGACCAGATGGATTCACAGCCGAATTCTAACAGAGGTACAAGAAGGAACTGGTACCGTTCCTTCCGAAACTATTCCAATCAATAGAAAAAGAGGGAATCCTCCCTAACTCATTTTATGAGGCCAGCATCATCCTGATACCAAAGCTGGGCAGAGACACAACCAAAAAAGAGAATTTTAGAACAATATCCTTGATGAACATTGATGCAAAAATCCTCAATAAAATACTGGCAAACCAAATCCAGCAGCAGATCAAAAAGCTTATCCACCATGATCAAGTGGGCTTCATCCCTGGGATGCAAGGCTGGTTCAACATTCGCAAATCAATAAATGTAATCCGGCATATAAACAGAACCAAAGACAAAAACCACATGATTATCTCAATAGACGCAGAAAAGGCCTTTGACAAAATTCAACAACCCTTCATGCTAAAAGCTCTCAATAAATTAGGTATTGATGGGACGTATCTCAAAATAATAAGAGCTATCTATGACAAACCCACAGCCAATATCATACTGAATGGGCAAAAGCTGGAAGCATTCCCTTTGAAAACTGGCACAAGACAGGCATGCCCTCTCTCACCGCTCCTATTCAACATAGTGTTGGAAGTTCTGGCCAGGGCAATCAGGCAGGAGAAGGAAATAAAGAGTATTCAGTTAGGAAAAGAGGAAGTCAAATTGTCCGTTTGCAGATGACATGATTGTATATCTAGAAAACCCCATTGTCTCAGCCCAAAATCTCCTTAAGCTGATAATCAACTTCAGCAAAGTCTCAGGATACAAAATCAATGTACAAAAATCACAAGCATTCTTATACACCAATAACAAACAAACAGAGAGCCAAATCATGAGTGAACTCCCATTCACAATTGCTTCAAAGGGAATAAAATACCTAGGAATGCAACTTACAAGGGACGTGAAGGACCTCTTCAAGGAGAACTACAAACCACTGCTCAATGAAATAAAAGTGGACACAAACAAATGGAAGAACATTCCATGCTCATGGGTAGGAAGAATCAATATTGTGAAAATGGCCATACTGCCCAAGGTAATTTATAGATTCAATGCCATCCCCATCAAACTACCAATGACTTTCTTCACAGAATTGGAAAAAACTACTTTAAAGTTCATATGGAACCAAAAAAGAGCCCGCATTTCTAAGTCAATCCTAAGCCAAAAGAACAAAGCTGGAGGCATCATGCTACCTGACTTCAAACTATACTACAAGGCTACAGTAACCAAAACAGCATGGTACTGGTACCAAAACAGTGATATAGATCAATGGAACAGAACAGAGCCCTCAGAAATAACGCCGAATATCTACAACTATCTGATCTTTGACAAACCTGACAAAAACAAGCAATGGGGAAAGGATTCCCTATTTAATAAATGGTGCTGGGAAAACTGGCTAGCCATATGTAGAAAGCTGAAACTGGATCCCTTCCTTACACCTTATACAAAAATTAATTCAAGATGGATTAAAGACTTAAACATTAGACCTAAAACCATAAAAACCCTAGAAGAAAACCTAGGCATTACCATTCAGGACATAGGCATGGGCAAGGACTTCATGTCTAAAACACCAAAAGCAATGGCAACAAAAGTCAAAATTGACAAATGGTATCTAATTAAACTAAAGAGCTTCTGCACAGCAAAGGAAACTACCATCAGAGTGAACAGGCAACCTACAAAATGGGAGAAAATTTTCACAACCTACTCATCTGACAAAGGGCTAATATCCAGAATCTACAATGAACTCAAACAAATTTACAAGAAAAAAACAAACAACCCCATCAAAAAGTGGGCGAAAGACATGAACAGACACTTCTCAAAAGAAGACATTTATGCAGCCAAAAAACACATGAAAAAATGCTCACCATCACTGGCCATCAGAGAAATGCAAATCAAAACCACAATGAGATACCATCTCACACCAGTTAGAATGGCAGTCATTAAAAAGTCAGGAAACAACAGGTGCTGGAGAGGATGTGGAGAAATAGGAATACTTTTACACTGTTGGTGGGACTGTAAACTAGTTCAACCATTGTGGAAGTCAGTGTGGCGATTCCTCAGGGATCTAGAACTAGAAATATCATTTGACCCAGCCATCCCATTACTGGGTATATACCCAAAGGACTATAAATCATGCTGCTATAAAGACACATGCACACGTATGTTTATTGGGGCACTATTCACAATAGCAAAGACTTGGAACCAACCCAAATGTCCAACAATGATAGACTGGATTAAGAAAATGTGGCACATATACACCATGGAATACTATGCAGCTATAAAAAATGATGAGTTCATGTCCTTTGTAGGGACATGGATGAAATTGGAAATCATCATTCTCAGTAAACTATAGCAAGGACAAAAAACCAAACACCGCATGTTCTCACCCATAGGTGGGAACTGAACAATGAGAACACATGGACACAGGAAGGGGAACATCACACTCTGGGGACTGTTGTGGGTGGGGGGACGGGGGAGGGATAGCATTAGGAGGTATACCTAATGCTAAATGACGAGTTAATGGGTGCAGCACACCAGCATGGCACATGTATACATATGTAACTAACCTGCACATTGTGCACATGTACCCTAAAACTTAAAGTATAATAATAATAAAATAAAAATAAAAAAATTTTAAAAAAATCAATTTTTAGTATAAGTATGTCCCAAATATGGCCTGGGACATAAGTATACTAAGAAATAATCATTGTTTATCTGGAATTCAAATTTAACTACTTACCCTATGTGCTTTTTTTCCAGCTCAACCTGGCAGTTGTAAATTAAGTGACGGTATTAACAATTTACTCTTTGGTTGTGAAAATATGTATCTCAAAATGATTATGCTGCTTTATTCCATTGCTTTAGCATATACCTTAATTTTGAGTCTTTCCATAGGGCTCAACAGCAAAGCTTTTGAAGCCTTTCATCTGTGTGATACAAAAGTATCACACACAAAAAAATTAAAAATTCCACTTTTCCATGGCTGCCTGCATCAGGAGGCCCGGTGTAACATGGTCCCTTCAGCTCTTCTAGGCACCCAGCATAGCTAGACACCTGGAGAGGGAAGAATTAGATGGGAATTGAATCAGGAGAAACAATGACAAAGAGTACCTAAATGAAAGAGAGTATAAAAGAATTTTTTCTTTGTGGTTTCTGTGAATATAAAATTTTGGAAAAAAGAAATAACATCTAGAAAAAAATTCTAGGGAACTTTCTGTAGGATACATCATGTATAACCAAAGGCAACCTCTTAGAAGTAAACCAACTGGAATGATAAACATTATACTTTCTGTTTGTGGTGTTTTTCTTCTTTACACATGATTTCAGCCAGAATCAGCCCCAGATTTATTCAAATTAGAATTCAGCACATATATATATATATAAAATATATTATACATATATACAATATAATGTATATATAAGCAATATATTATACATATATATATTTTATATGTGTGAGTGTGTGTGTGTGTGTGTGTGTGTGTGTGTGTGTGTGTGTGTGTCATACTTGGATGGGAGCAATTATCAAGGATTTTAGACCTAAATTCCATCACCTCACTCTACTGTGCTTTGAATTAAAATAAGTGTCCTTAAACTTGGTTATATTTGAATCACATAAGAAAATTCCAAAAAAAATAAATGTATCAGATTATCATTCTGAAAGATACTGATTCAATTGGTCTGTAGTAGAGACCAGGCAGCCGGTTTCCAGAAACAATAAAATAAAATTATCAGACTTTCCTAGAGTATGTTTTCAACACGACCATCAAATCGGTGGGATAATATAATGAAGGAATGAGGGCCAGGTAAGTTCCAATTATAATGATTATTGGAATAAGAGTAGAAATTCATAAAGATACAGAGATGGCTCTGAAACTGGGGTTACGACTCTGGGGGATGCTGTCAGAATTATAGAACTACCCAGAGAACCAAACAGAGGCAGTGGTACACGAGTTTACTAACTGTAGAAATCTAGAAAAACTTCCTCATAGAATGGTCAACTGGAGTTTTGATTATCTAATTCTTTTGCCATCCTCCATGGTTACCTGGCTTCTGTAGAAATTGGATGGTGGGAGGAGATCAGTTTCTGAGGGGCTCAGGTTTGTTACAGCTTTCCATTCACCTCCACCAGCTAAACCAGATCCTTTAGGCTTGATCACAAATCAGGATCAAGAATTAGGCAGACCTTAAATCTTGTGCTATGGGCTAATTGCAACCATAAACTGGAGAAATGCATGTATAGTAGTATGCCATAAACAAGAGAGAACTTGTACTGTGTTGTAACATGTCATAGAAGCAGTATGGACAGATTCAAAGGTCAAAAATGGCTGCCACTTATGTGAAAGGCCATGCACTGAGGGTTTATATGAATTCAAAATCCTGAAGTTGGTTGTCTCTGTGCAGGATTGTTTCCCTGTCCTAAAAGGAGTGCACAGCCAGATGTTCAGGGACAAGGATTTATAGCCTTGTGTAGGGAGTGTGAAAATATATTCTAATTTCACATTCAGGGTAGAAGAACAATTCTAGCAAGCTCTCTTCCTCAACGCAGTGGAAGAGATGTGTAGGCTCAGAAGTTCAGTTCGCATAAAGGTGATTTACAGACAGAAACTAATAAACAATTGCATGGTCACCTTAAAGAGGCCTCCAAATCCTCACTGATGGTAAAGTTAACCAGGGAGAGTAAGAAAACTAGTTGAATTAAGCAGACATCAGGGAGAAAGATTGACAAATGGGAACCAGGCCTGAGACACCAAGGTATCTTAGGAAAAGGGAAGTAATACAAGTCTATGCCTTGGAGACATAAGCCCGACAAGCAGGTCCCAGTGCATGGGAATAAGTACCCCAGTCACATCTGAAGACTTCCCACAGAATTACTGCTAATATATATGATATAGTGGTGTATATGCCAGATCACTGCCCTCGTTTGTCCTCTCATCTTCTTGCATTTTTCAGACCCCATTGTGACTTCCCACAGCATTACTTTGGTAGTGACAAAGACGTAAATTTAGTGTCTTATTGATCCAAAGCATCTTTTTCTACCACAACCAGAGATATAAACCTTGGAAGAAAAGAGTTTAAATCTCCAGGTTTTCCCTATCCCTCATCTCTAAGATTTGCACATGGAAATCTGAAGGCTATAGTCTGATCCTGACACTATCTCCAGGGTTTCCAAGATGAATTATGCTCACCCTAGAAGGAGTAAAGGAGGGGATGAGGGAAATGGATTCTAAATAAAAGAAGTCCCAAGGCTACCCAAATATATATCCTTCCTCTTGATGTGGAAGATCTCAAAGATATAAATAATGAAATATTGAAATGAGGTAGGGAATTGTATTCATCAGAAATGCACCTTGAGGATTTTATATGAGAAAGTGTTCGGCGTAAGCAAAAAAATATGTGTGTCATTGAACATGGAGTCACCTGGTCCTCAACCATCTTAGGAAGCCCTGCAGATCAGGGTGTCAAGAGTACGAATCCCAGCGGACACTTACGACTAGAAAGTGGTGTACTAGAACAGGCTGTATGGAGAGTAAGAAGGAGAAAAGGAAATGAGTTAACTAAGCCTGAGAAAACCAGAGAGATCTTTAGCTGCTGTTGCTTGTATGAAAGTTTGTAGAAAGTTTATGATTTCTGGGAAGTTTTCTTCATGGTGCATTGTGTAAAACCCTAGAGTCGCTCTCCCTCTCCCTCTCCCTCTCCCTTTCCCTCTCCCTCTCTCCCCTCTCCCTCTCCCCACGGTCTCCCTCTCCCTCTCTTTCCACGGTCTCCCACTGATGCCCAGCCGAAGCTGGACTGTACTGCTGCCATCTCGGCTCACTGCAGCCTCCCTGCCTGATCCTCCTGCCTCAGCCTGCCGAGTGCCTGCGATTGCAGGCGCGCGCCACCACGCCTGACTGGTTTTCGTATTTTTTTGGTGGAGACGGGGTTTCGCTGTGTTGGCCGGGCTGGTCTCCAGCTCCTAACTGCGAGTGATCCGCCAGCCTCGGCCTCCCGAGGTGCCGGGATTGCAGACGGAGTCTGGTTCACTCAGTGCTCAGTGGTGCCCAGGCTGGAGTGCAGTGGCGTGATCTCGGCTCGCTACAACCTCCACCTCCCAGCCGCCTGCCTTGGCCTCCCAAAGTGCCGAGATTGCAGCCTCTGCCCGGCCGCCACCCCGTCTGGGAAGTTTGGAGCATCTCTGCCTGGCCGCCCATCATCTGGGACGTGAGGAGCCCCTCTGCCTGGCTACCCAGTCTGGAAAGTGAGGAGCGTCTCTGCCCGGCCACCCATCGTCTGAGATGTGGGGAGCGCCTCTGCCCCGCCGCCCCGTCTGGGATGTGAGGAGCGCCTCTACCCGGCTGCGACCCCGTCTGGGAGGTGAGGAGCGTCTCTGCCCAGCCGCCCCATCTGAGAAGTGAGGAGACCCTCCGCCTGGCAACCGCCCCATATGAGAAGCGAGGAGCCCCTCTGCCCGGCAGCCACCCCGTCTGGGAAGTGAGGAGCGTCTCTGCCCGGCAGCCACCCCATCCGGGAGGGAGGTGGGGGTCAGCCCCCGCCAGGCCAGCCGCCCCGTCAGGGAGGGAGGTGGGGGGGTCAGCCCCCCGCCCGGCCAGCCGCCCCGGCCGGGAGGGAGGTGGGGGGGTCAGCCCCCACCCGGCCAGCCGCCCGGTCCGGGAGGTGAGGGGCGCCTCTGCCCGGCCTCCCCTACTGGGAAGTGAGGAGCCCCCCTGCCCAGCCACCACCCCGTCTGGGAGGTGTACCCAACAGCGCATTGAGAACGGGCCATGATGACAATGGCGGTTTTGTGGAATAGAAAGGGGGGAAAGGCGGGGAAAGGATTGAGAAATCGGATGGTTGCCGTGTCTGTGTAGAAAGAAGTAGACACGGGAGACTTTTCATTTTGTTCTGTACTAAGAAAAATTCTTCTGCCTTGTGATCCTGTTGATCAGTGACCCTACCCCCAACCCTGTGCTCTCTGAAACTTGTGCTGTGTCCACTCAGGGTTAAATGGATTAAGGGTGGTGCAAGATGTGCTTTGTTAAACAGATGCTTGAAGGCAGCATGCTCGTTAAGAGTCATCACCACTCCCTAATCTCAAGTACCCAGGGACACAAACACTGCGGAAGGCCGCAGGGTCCTCTGCATAGGAAAACCAGAGACCTTTGTTCACTTGTTTATCTGCTGACCCTCCCTCCACTATTGTCCTATGACCCTGCCAAAACCCCCTCTGTGAGAAACACCCAAGAATGATCAATAAAAAAAAAAAAAAAAAAAAAAAAAACCCTAGAGTCAGTCCCTTTAAAGAGATAAACTATAAAAAAATTATTCTTTTATTATTCTTTTATTCTTTCAGGTTGCTGGGATTGTATTTGTACATAAATGATGTTCATATTCATTCATCTATTCTTTTATTCATACCCTCAAAAACAATTCTTGGGTTCCTACTGTGTCCTAGGCATTGTTTAGGGATTTTTTATGTGATTTTTCTATAGGGAATGAGACACATGGGTGACCCGGATTTATCAGGATTATATAACAGGAAAATAAATCAATCTTTTCATCACATTCCATGCAAACCCACTGAAGACTAGCTTCCTTTCATGAGTTTATAACAGTTACTGAAAACAACAAAGACAAGTATGAATTCTTCAAAGTCCTATAGTATCACCTGAGAGGAAAACATTCTGAAAGTTTTAAATGATTACCTATTCACATTTAAGAAGAATCTTCATGGAAAATTTGACAATGTCTCCGAAGAGGGCATTATATTAAATAATATGCCACATTTTAGGGAAAAAATGTTTTGTAATATATAAGAAATTTTTTGTCTACAAATAGTATTAAACCTGGTTCAGATTGATTTATAAGTATGAAATTTGTTTATTCATGTAAGCGGAAGTTCAGAGAGAGGGAGGTTTTCAGGGTTGGCTTAACTTAGCATCTGCTTAATTTCTTTGTTTTCTCTCAAAGAGGACTTTTGCTGACTTCTCTCAGAGGAGGAAAATGGGTGTAGAGTTCCAGGCCTTATCTCTACAGGCAATGGCAGTAACAGGAAAAGAAAGTCCGTCTTTTGATGCCTCTCTCTTAAGCATGCGGAAACTGCATTCTAAGAAAACCCAGAAAGCCTCCTCCTCATTCCCATTTGCCTGAATTGGGTCACATGCCCAGTCATGAATCAATTCCTTTGGCCGAGGGAAGTGTCGTTTTCTGAAGAGCCAAAGCTTGATTTTCTGAATTACTCACTTCGAAAAGGAATATGTTGCCCTTCAACAAATCAGGTCCACCCATAAAACTAAGGAAGGGATAGAATTCCCCTAAAGCTTCGGTGCCCCATGGGCAAGAACTAGACTCCTGGATGAACATTTAACTACCATAATGAAAGGGGAAGGGGTAACAGATGATCACCAGGCAAAAATCCACTACAGGAAATCTTGTCATCCACAGAAATGCCTCCTAATGCTTTCTACCTAAAGAAAAGAATGGAGCCATTCAGCATCCTGGCAATATATTTGGCCACATGGATGCTTTATAGCATTTGATAAACATGCCTTGTTGACAAGTTTACACGTCATAGATTTCATGTTTCTGTGCATTCCTATGTAATCATGTTAATGCTACAACCAAGAGGCAATGGGGTCTGTTTGCTAGAGGCCTTTCTCCTTGATTAATGAAAAATGGAAAGTTTTGGAAGAGCATTTCATGTTTTCCTGAGTATCGTTATTTGTTTACAAGATAAAAACCTTTACTTGATTATAGAAATACTAACATTATCTGATAGGTAACACCACATGAGAATTCTACTACCTTAAAGATTCAGGCAAAGTGTGGTAAACTCACTGCAGATTAATATATGGCAATCTTATTCTGAAAGAGGACTTCTAGTGAATTGTCTATGTGACATTTGTTAACAATTTAAAATGTACTCACAGTGATTGCAGAGAAAGCATTAATTAAATTAAGAGAGTTTCTCTGTCAGCTATGTTCATGGAGGCCATAAAATTTTAAGATAAAACAGCAATAAAATTTATTGACAATTATACACTACAATTGAAGTGTGTTTATTTTTCTATAGATATTTTGTATAGGATTATATAGCCTGTTCTTGAGATAAATATTGCTATAAGAACTGACTTCTGGTCTGAATCATCAAGCTCTAAGGCGTTAACTTGGTAAGTAAGTGAAATATATTTTTCCTTTATTACTTTTTAAATTTGTACTAATCAAAAATGCCTTTCTTTGTTAATACAACTAAATAAAAATATTAATAATTCCAATTAGTATACTCCAACAGACGATGCAAATAGAGCCAAATTAGGAAAATTCAAGTAGCTGTTGACTCTTTTTTTAGCCAATCCTTAATTGTAAGAAGTCATGTATACTTTAAACTTTGTTTTCCCCATAGTTGAGTGTTTTTATAAACTTTCTCAGAATATTTCTGTTTCTATTCAAGGATCCTTTCAGGAATATATACAACTTCAGTGTTTTATTCTTCTTAAATATAATTCCTTGGTGCCTTGTCATTGGTTTTCTCATTTAGCAAGTATTGTCCATAACAATGTCCAACTAATCAGCCATTGTCTTCCTACATTTTCACAGTAGGAAGAGATCACCTTCCCTTTTTTTTTTTTTTTTTTTTTAATGCTGTTTCACTCTGTTGCCCAGGCTGGAGTGCAGTGGCGCGATCTCGGCTCACTGCAACCTCTGCCTCCCGGGTTCAAGCGATTCTCCTACCTCAGCCTCCTGAGTAGCTGAGATTACAGGCACTTGCCACCATACCTGGCTGATTTTTGTATTTTTAGGAGAGATGAGGTTTCACCATGTTGGCCAGGCTGGTCTCAAACTCCTATTACAGGCGTGAGCCACCGCACCCAGCCTGAGATGATCTTTTAAGCCATATAGCTGGTAAAAAAATAAAGAAAGAAAAGGAGAAAAGAGGACTCTGATAAATACCCACATTGGCCTTAAGCAAGAAGAAGGCTTGATTCCCAACCACTCGCATCTATGGGTAAGGAGTGGACACCAAGAATAGAATGATTAGAATTACAGACACCGATAATTTTAAGAACAACATTTTTTAAAAAGTATTATTGATATAAATGGATGATGGGATAAAAGACAGGTATTAAAATAATTATGCATAGCTTCTTTATCTGTTGGTCTCCAGAAAATCCAGGCTATATCAAGAAAAAATAATAAACTACAAAGGAGCATGTAAAATATAACCCTATTCTTGTCCAAACTAATATTTATATGTAAATATTTTGTTAATAGCATTTACCCTTAAAGGTAAACTGAAGGTGAATGTTTTGTTTTTCTATACTTTTCTGTATTTTTTCAAATTTTCTAAAAGACTATATATTAATTTCCATTAGCCTTCTAAAAAAGTTATAATTCTATTTTCATTTCTAAGCACAGTTAAAAACTGTCAAACAGAAGTAGATATAAAATGGCTTAAACAAATTGAGTAATTATAAAGTTAATTACATGCTGTTTATCTCTCTCTTAACCTAATTCCCACCCTCTTGATAAACAATTGATATTTTTGTCTTTTTGCCTAGTAACAAAGGGTAGTCACTTTTCTAGGCCATAATCCCGTATCATCCAGCAATATGTTTGTAATCCTTTTTTGCATTTGCATTATAGTCAGCCTTGGTTAGTCTCAAGTTGCCTTTTACATGAGAAAACATTCTCCTTACCTAATGTGTGGATTGTTATTTTCCAGAAGGCTAGCTTGACTGATGGATCAGCTAACTCTTCTTTTTCCTAAATACACTTTGTTTCTTTCTTTCAGATATAATACGTCTGTCTTAATTGAGGCTCTTTCCTAATAGGAAATAGTATTAGTAAAGAGCCTCAGTTTTCAATGCCAGTGACCCTTCAACCATGTGTTCTCCAGAGGTTCTCAGCTTTCAATTCTATCCTTTCTATACATTTTTTCTTGCTAAGAGTTCTAGGTTTGTGGTCACAGGTGAACCTTTAGCATCTGGTGGCTGTTTCTAAGTTTTAAAGTACTCATACTGAATCATACTTCTAATGCTAATACTAATAAAAATAAAACTGAACATTTTCTTACTTTTTTAAGTTAGATATTGTATTTCTTTTTAAAATTTTTTTTCTTTTAGTTACTCTTTTTAATTACTAGATAAAAAGCATTGGCATTAACACTCCTGTTAATGTACCTGATGAGACAGAGCAGCTTAGCTCAGCAAGGGCAACCCAAATAGGTCTCCCACTCTGGAGTGAGATTGTCTCAGCACCATAAAGACAGTCCTATGGAGAAACTTGATGACCTGATCCCAAATCACTGCTACTGAAAATTCAGGAGGACTTCAGGCTAAAAAATCTAGATTGCATTATGGCTTGGCAGAGCTAGTGAAATTATGATTTCATATCTTCCTCTATAGGGAAAAATATAGGCAACTAGACAATTAACCCATAATATGGAATGAGAAGGAAATAGAATATATCACAATAGGAACCCTGAATATAATCACCTCCACTGTTTTAATGATAAGAAAAGTAAGCGTTCTGAAATATTTCACAATAATTTTTGATGAAAGAGTTTACCACTTACTTAAGAAAGATACTAAAATACCCCTTATAATGAACTGCCTTTTAGAAAAAGCAAACAAAAGTGTTAACTAATGGTCAACACTCTACTGGTTTAGATTTCCAAGGGATTAGCCATGTATATGGTTATTCTTCTTTTTTCCTATCAATAAAAACCAAGGTGAAACCAATAAAGTGAGGATTATCTTCACTGTCTTTAGAACTAATGTGGTTACAATACACTCAACATGAGTAGCTTTTTTAAAGAGACAGAGTCTCAAATCTTATAGCCACATCTACCATTTCATTATTGTAATCCCCTGACAGGTTCATCCTGCCTTCTGCACAGATGAAACCAATTCACTGAGACCATGGTATTTTTACCACAGTAAAAAAAAGAGTTTAATTAACACCCGGCTAACCATTTAGTAGACAAAGTTATTAAATCAGCATCCCTGAAGGCTCAGAGGTTAGAGTTTTTCAAAGATAGTTTGATGCAGCTGATTGGTTGGGGATGCACTCATAGGAGTATAGAAAACTGTCCTCATGAGTCCACCTCTGGGTAGGGAATCACAGAACACACTGGGTTATGAGTCAGAATGTGTCTGAAAAACATCTCAAAAGACTAATCTTAGTTTCTACCATGGTGATGTTATCTACAGGAACAATTGGGGAAGTCAAAAATCTTGCGACCTCTGACCACATGACTCCCGAACAGTAAGGGATTATAGAAACTACGCCTACATATTAGCAGAATTCAGACCCCTCCCATAATCATAATCTTGTGGTTTTTTATAATATTAGTCTTACAAAGGTGGTTTCAGCCCCCAAACAAGGAGGGGAAAAGTTTTAGGGAGGGACTATTATCATCCTTGCTTCCAAGTAAAACTATAAACTAAATTCCTCCCAAGGTTAGCTTAGCCTGTGCCCAGGAAAGACTGAAGACAGCCAGCCTGTGAGGCTAGAAGGAAGATGGAGTCAATGTGGTATATTTCTCTTACTGTCATATTCTTTGCAAAGGTGGTTTCAGTGTAAGTGAAGAGCAGAGGGCTTGTAGCACAACCAAACTATATAATAACTTCAAAGCTCCATTAAAAAAAAAAAAAACTTCCTCTTGACCATTTCCATAAGAATAAACAGAAGGTTGAGAAGTGAAAGGAGTCCTAAATGGAACACAAGATAGGGTGAAAAAGCTCATTGGTCACTTTCAAAGTGCACCTTCTTAAAGTAAGCAGACAAATCAGTTTCTGATAGCGAATGGGCAGATGACAGGAGCTTATTGGATTTCTTTCCCCAAGGACTCAATGAAGAAGTGAAAGAAGAGTGAGAGAGAAAAGCTACCCTGTGTGGAATGGAAGGCAGATGAGCTTCTACGAGTTCCATCCCTGCCATCAGCATAAGGATTGCCTGATTCAGACAACCGTGTGGACCCAGAGGAAAAGGCAGCATTGGCACACATCAGCAACAGGAAGGGAAGGTGAAGTCCCATGCCTCTCCCTACAGGTGTTCCTGGAAGGTAGGAACTGCTGGAGTATCCCTCTTTAACCAAAAAATTAAGTGGGAAGTGACTGGGGTGATGGGATAGGAAATGAGAGAGCACTTTTCTGAGAAACCCCAGAAAATAGTGTATTTATTGGTACTCTGTTCTGTAATGTAACCTGAGTGAGTATAATAAAGAATTTTGCTGGTCTTTGTCTCTGGTTCCTGGGAGGGAGGCTCTAAACCCTTGGAATTTCCCAAGTTATAGGGAATGTCTTTGTTATTAATCATGGCCCCTGGAAATTTGTCTGAGTTTGTGCTAATGAGATGACGTATAGTGGGCCCATGAATAGTTTCAAGAATAGGGCTGGCCTTGCTGGAAAGGCCAATCACCCATTTACAGGGTCGAAACTTTGATCCAGCCCAATCCCAAGGAGGAGAAAGGGGCTGGAGATTGAGTTCAATCACATGGCCAATGATTCAGTCAATCATGCTTCTGTGGAAAGACTCCAACAAAAACTCTGAACACCTGAAGATTGAATGAGCTTCTGGGTTAGTAATATATATTGATGAGCCAAGAAGGTGATATATCCTGAGGACAAGGAAACTTGGCATCTGGGACCTTCCCAGACCTCACACTGTCCATCTCTTCTTTTGACTGGTCCTGATTTGTATTATTTATAATAAAACTATGATTATATGTATAGTGCTTTGTTGAGTTCTAGGAGTCATTCCAGCAAATTATCAACCTGACAGGGTAGTGGGAGCCCCCAAATTAGTAACCAGTTGACAGAAGTACAGATGGCCCAAGAACTCTTAAATTCGCAGTTGGTGTCCGAAGTGAATGTAGTCATATAGGTGTTAAATCAAGTTTAGCTTAAAGCTGCCGACTTAAATATTTTGAGTTCAGCCTAAAGGTTTCTCTGTACATTGTAAACTATCCTAAATTGAGTTGTAAACAGACTGTAGCCTTCTCTTGTGCCAATCACGGAGTTTTGGACTGTCAAACGTGGCCAACTCTTCAAACAATGTTCAAATAAGGCAGATGCCACCCTGTAACCAATTCAGCTGTTTTTGTACCTCACCTCCATTTTCTGTACCTCACTTTCCTTTTTCTGTTCATAAATCTTCCACCATATAACTGCACTGGAGTCTCTGAGCCTATTCTGGCTTGGGAGACTAACTCAGTTTATGAATTGTTCTTTGATCAATTAAACTTTTTTAAATTTAATTTGGCTAAAGTTTTTGTCTTAACAGGTGGTGTCAGAAGTAGAATCCAAAGGAGAGCTTCTAACAACCCCCAGGAGTGCTGAGTGACCAAGTGAGGTATCATTGTGTCCATTGCTCCCTCAGAGCAACTGAGGATCATGGTAAGTTTTCTCTTGGATTCTAACGCTCAACAGATTTGGGTTTTGAGCTCCCCAAGTTTCTTTGAGCAAATTTCTAATCCAAACTGGGTTAGGAAGTTGTGACAGAATCTGGACTGGGTCCAGCATCAGATTGGATCTGATAACTAACTGAGTTGAATCCAATTAGAGGCCTCTTACGTCTCACTGGGTCAGAAAGAAACTGGTAGTAAATGGCAGTACTGCAGGAGGTATAAAATTTGGATTTTGGAAATTCATAGGGATTTTTGTTTTCTACCTCCTTTGTTTCATTTTTCTTACATGCTTAGGTAGGGAAAAAAATCATTGGCTACATTGATCAAGGTGACTTGAGTGCCAAATATATTTGAGGCAAAAATGAAATCCTTAGTTTCTGAAGAACTGAATAACTTCCAGCTTACACACGCATACGTATTAGGCCCTGGAAGCAGCAAATTCTTACAGAAATGGCAAAATCTTCTAAAGAGAAGTTACAGTGGAACATTCCAAATTAACAATACCGCACTGAAGAAGTGCATTTGAAAATAAGGACTCCCAAATTAGTCTCATCTAGGGATGCCTACTGACATGCAGAAGCTTCTAAAAAGATTTCAGTATTTTTTATTTAAAGACTTTATAAAAGATAAATAAAAAGCTTGTGACTAACTGATAAGAAAAATTAAATCTGCTAAACTTTTGGCTTAGATACTATTCCATTCCAAAGGTGGAAAGAAAGCTATCTTAGATAAAGTGTTTATAAAAGGTAGGTATTCAGGTATAATAGGCTTGTTTCTTTTTTAGGTCTATTGATGCAGAGGCCAAGCATAGAGAATGCTTTCTTTGCGCTGTTCCTTAGGGGCTTCACCCTGAACTCAATAATTTTAGCTAAGAAATGGTAGCTAAGTTGAAAAGAACACCCTATTGACTAAAATACACCTTTCTGGAATTTAATTGGCTATCTTGAAACTCTTTTGTAAAAGAAATTTAAATCTAAGAGGGAAATATCCATTTTTAAGAATGTCTGCCTATGTACATTAGAAATACTTACTATCCTCCTAGATTTACAAAATAAGTCATACCTTTGTTTAAGGTACTTTTCTGGCCATCTTGTCTTAAGTAAACTTTTATTTGACCAGTTGTTTCCCCCTGGTTTGAGCAAACGATGATACAATATTTAGGCATAAAATCTTAGCTCTATGCTAATGAAATAGAAATTTGTTTTTGTTCTACCTAAGATTTGTCCCTTTAGAAATGAAACTCTATTGCCTAGTTAACAAGTCCTTAGGGCAATGAAACAGGTAACTGGAAGATTGATAGATCAAATGGGGAAAAGAAAAACTAAAAGCTGACAAATGAATATCCTTTATGAAAGCTACAACATCTGCTTCCCTGTGTTTGCATGTCAATCTGCATTATGTGTCTGTGATAATATTTGGTAAAGTTAGTTTTTAAATTGTTAGGAAAACAGAAATGGCTTTGAAATTATCAGTTAAATATAATTAGGTACTTGCTTGATTTGACTGTGAGCTTATGCCTTTGGTTTAGAGTCTGGATTCAGGTGGCCATCATGAGGTCTGGTGACATGTTCTTAATGCCTAGACCAGCAGCTACAAGCCAGAATCAAGCCCAGTTATGGCCCTTTCTTCCTCTGCTTTCCCTGTTTTGCCTCCTGGCTATTTAGGGAGGGGTTGGACCCTCCAGGTATAGTCCTTCAGGTATAGCCCTGTCTTCTGTCCTGATGGGCTCAGACAGGCCCTGAACTTCATAGTCCTCCTTGGTGCCATGTGGCTACTTGGGACCTAGAATGACTGGCAGAAGACATTGGGGAGGCTGTGTCATACTTTCAAAATGCTTTTCAGTAATTTAAAATCTTGGAGTCACGTTATGTCACATTAAGTAATTGATCATCATAAAATGTCTAAGTCTTCTGTAGGTGAAAATACTGAAATATCAATTGTTCCTCACGAGTTTAAGCCTATATGTATTGACATGTTATTTTTATATGGTATAGAAAAGGTAAATATATTCACATCTGCTAATAAACAATAATTTGAAGAAGTGTCTTTCTAAAAAATTATAAAATGATTTTTATCTACAAATACTGATATAAAAGAGTTCAAAATTACTTTCTATGGTTTTCACTAGAAATTAGGGTTACCAAAATTAAAAACTACTAGATATGAAAAAAGCAATTCTGTATACAAAGTGTATAAACAAAAGTAAGATATGCATTTAATGAGAAAAATTATAAAGACATAAATATGCTTGTTAAAAATTTTGTCTGGTTTAAATTTACATAAAGGCTTCAAACTGAAGGGGTAAAAGAAAAATAGATAAAACAAGATGAATATTACAAGTTGGGGAAAATGTGAAATGAAAGGTTTATGGAAATCTTGTGTGGTTAAAAGATGAGAGGATGACCAAAACGCAGAAATTATTCAATCAAGTTTAGCCTAAAGCTGCCTCCTTACATATTCTAAGTTCAGCCTAAAGGTTTCTCTATACATTGTAAACTATAACCTAAATGGAGTTGTATACAGACTACAGCCAATTCTAGTGCCAATTACTGAATTTTGGCCAAAGGTGGCCAACTCCTCAAACCAGGTTCAAATGAGGCAGACACCAAGCTGTAACCAATCTGGCCATTTCTGTACCTCACTTCCATTTTCTCTAAGTCATTTTCCTTTTGCTATCCCTAAATCTTCTTCCACCCTGTAGCTGCACTGGAGTCTCTGATCCTACTCTTGCTTGGGGGGGTGCTCCATTCATGAATCATTTCTTATTCAAGTAAACTCTTTTAAATTTAATTCAGCTGAAGTTTTCCTTTCTTCTTTTTCAAACATAAGAATTTTGCCCTAAACCTGTGATATTGAACCTAACTCCAGGTATAGCCAGAACTGCACTGCACTGAGAAAGTTACTATTGCTCCTAAGTGGCTTTGAAACACTTCTCTAAGCAATAATTTCGAAGGAACTTGATTCTTGAAACGTCATCTGATGTTATTTTTGTCAGTCAGGTTTCTCAACGCCAACTGTCACTGAAGCATTCACACATTTATCTTGGCCCTCCTCTAAAATGATTGACTAAGGCACTTTGCAGGCTAACAATTTGTCTTGGGCATCCTACTCATCTATATCCATCCCTTCCCCCATTTATGTTCAAATATTTCCAAAAGAAAATGCTACCCTCTGTATTTACCTGAGTTCTTATTGAATCCCTGCTCATGGTATCAATGCAGAGAAAGAGACCAACTGACTGTCCTTATTTTCACCCCTATGTGTAATCCCTTTGTTGTACCCATAATGTCAGGAAAGACAGGTAACAACATCCCATGGCCAGAAAGGAAGTCTTACCATGAGACTTTCTCTCCTACCCTTGGGACACAAGGGTTGTGGCAAACATTTTCCTATTTCATCTATTGAGTCAGTTCTCAGCCTGCAGAGGACCCGTTTCAGATAGGCATTCAGGAATACTTTCTTCTCCTAGTCTACCCACTCTTTTCCCCTCTCATTATTATTCTATTTCTATCCCACTTTCATGTTCCATGGAGGGGAAAAAAAGCAGATCCAGTTAGTCTTCCACTCTATTGGAGGTGGCTTTAAGTCCTTCAATGTCTTCAGGGATAAATACCTACGAGACAAACATACCTGTTCTTGCCATTACCAAAAGAATTTCAACAGTATAACAAGTCACTGGGTCAACAAAGTCACTCTTTTTCTCTTTCACTATAAAGTATTCTCCAAGGAGAGGAGAAGAAAGAAAGGAAAAAAAGGGGAAAAAGTATGTAAGAAAACCTTACAGAATTACAAAACTAGAGGCTAAAAGGGTAAGTTGTCGTAGTTTTCACTGCTTTTGACCCTGAACTTTTGTAAAAACTACACCCCAGTAACTAAAATTGCCCTCCTTGTGTACAGCAGTATGATAAACCACATATAGAAGCCTTTTCTTTCTCAGACTTGAATGTCTTGGCTTGGTAACAGAAAGGAGCAATTAGCAGCTGTACAGACATAGTCAAATTGTACAACTATCTGAATCTTAGTTCTCCCAGTTAATAAGCTTTTGGGATTATTGTGGCAGCAAAATGAGATAATGTTTATAAAGTATATGACCCATAGTAGGCTTACAAAAAGTAGTAGCTATTATTATTGCTATCATTGCTTACTTTTGAAACGCAAGGTGCTAAATGGTTATAAACCACTGTTTTCAAGCCTAGCAGCATAGATTAGAAGCCTTTATTTCCCTTTACTAGCTACATATCCTTGAGTATTTGCTAAACCTCTCTAATCTTTGATTTCTTCATCCATAAAAGAAGGATAATAAATATTACCTACTTCACAAGGTTGTTTTAAACATTAAATGAAATGAAATACATGAAGTGTTCACAACAGTGTTTGAAAAATTGTGAGCACGAAGTCAATGTTTGCTATTATCGGCAGTAGTTGTAGCGTGGAAAGAGTGGATTTTCAAAAATGAGTTTATTTTGATTGAGAACTCAAATGTTTTATACATGCAGCCACTCAACTGGGCAATTTCGGTGATAGCAGGTACTGGCTGAACATGTCAGTTCACTCAACAGGAGAGATTCTGCTTTTGAGTTTCTTGCCTCACATTAAAAAAGGTGTTTCCATTCCAACTCTGACCCATCTTCCTGGTTAAGACAGACAAACAGGCAGACTGATACCTCTCTCATTAACATGTTTCTATATTCTTTGAGTATAGCCAAGTGGAGATTATATGAATCCTCATAGAGTTTCTCTTTCCTCCACATTGTGGTCCCCAGTTGCACAATGAGTGTTAAGTGGCTGAATGAACAACTCTACAACCATTGAAAGAAAGTTGCTGAGGGGGATGCAGTAATGGATTCTATAGTTGTACCCTGGACTCACACAGCATCGGGTTCAAACCTGGCTATCCCACTTACAACTCATGGCCTTACACAAGTTACTTAAATATCCAAACATCGGTTTTCTTTCAAGTAGAATGTTAGTATAGGTTATAGTCTCTTATCCAAAATCCTTAAGGTGAAATGGGTTCTGAGATTGAGGCTTTTTCAGATTTTAGAATGTTAATGAGAAATATTCTGTATATTATGTGACATCCCAGCCAGAGTCTCCAGCAGTTCCCTTTAATAAAGCATGCTAATATTTCAGCAGATAATGTAGGATTATTCACATTATTACATAAATAAACAACAATTTGCCACCAGTTGAGTTCAGGTGAGGTCATATTCTGCTACCAAATGAATTAGAAAATCAGCTTCCAAGTTGTAGTGGTTTTTCAATTTCAGTATTGCAGGAAAAGTACTGTGAATTTGAAATATTTGTTCCTGCCTCTACGGTGTTTTGGAACCCATTAAACAAAATTGTCACAATAAAGTGACTCTAAGTGATATTGGAGTATGAAGCCATACTCTCTAAAGAAAGAGTATTTATAACCCCAGGGACACTCAAAGACATAGAGTGACGTTTTCATACAGCAAATTCTCATGCAATTGTCTTTACATGCTCTCTTTTAATTGTATGTTAGTACTTTGTCAACTAATTCTTCTTAACTCAGCTTAAGTTCCCTGGTTCTTCATTATAATCACTCCCTTGCATTCCCCCATTTCCTTTGCCCCCTCCTGCTCAATGTTCTCCCTTGTAAAAAGACTAATCCTGATTAAATCCTACTCTTGCACCCACTTTGTGATTTCATTCCCACAGCTGAACATTGCTGGAGTAAACAATACAATCACACTGAATGGTCCGATGTTGAATTCATAACTTTGAATTCAGGTACACCCAGAGAGCTTTCTGGCTCTGCCACTCAGATCCCTTTACCTTCTCATTCTTCTATCTTCTAAAGGACTCTTTTTTTCATCTCCCTTGAAACCTATACTTGTACCCCCATCCTTTTTCTCAGATGATGGTCCTACTTTCTATTTCAATGGGAAAACAGAAGCACTCAGAGAGAAGCTTTCGTAAGCTCCCAGCACCACATCTACCCAATTATCTGCATCTATGCCTAAATTCTCTGCTGTCCTCCAGCTATAAAGGAAGTTGGCTGCCCTGGGCACAATCCTTAGATCATTTCTTCTCTACATCTAGGTTCTTTTCCTGGGTGAATGCAAATGGCTCCTCAACATCTCCACTTGGACATCTACTAGGCACTATAAACTCAAGCCATCCAAACTATACCCCGCATTTCCCCTCAACAAATCTGTTATCCCTCATTGCTGGAAATAGCATCTCCATTTTTGCAGTGTCTCAAATTTGAAAACTTCTATAATACTTAATTTCTGTTTCTCCCCTACCATACATCTCATTCCATCATCAGATCCTGTCAGTTCAAATTTCAGCATGTATTCAGACAACAAGCACTTCTTATCAGCTCCAAGGTCCCATTCTAATCCAAACCACCACCATCTCAAATTAACGCAATAGCCACCTAACTGCTTTACATGATTCCTTGCTTGCCCTGTATTGTCTGCTTCTTCTTGACAATCACCAAAGTGATGCTTTCAAAACCTGCCAAACAACAGTCTCTTCTGATCAAAACCCTCAAGGAGTTTACTCAGGGAAAAAGACAAGTTTCCCACAAGGTCTGCACCATTCATACCTCAATCTCTCTCTCAGCTCTACCACTATTATTCTCCCTCTTGCTTTCTGCTCCAACTACACTGACCTCATAGCTGTTCCCTGAGTCTCATGTATTTGCACAGTTTCCATTGGCTGGAACACTATTCCCCAGACATCAATGTGTCTTAGTCCCTCACCTCCTTCAGATTTTGAAATGCTGTCTTCTCAATGAGGTTTGCCTTGTTGGTCTTATTTAAATTGCAACACTCTTCCTCATTGAACTGCCTGTCTCCCTTCCATGCCTTCATATTTTCCATTCTCCTTTTCACTATCCAATACCACATTGTATTTTACTTATTTATTTGTTCATTATGTCTTTCCCCACTAGGATATAAGCTTGACAAAGGGTGATATTTGGGCAGCTTTATACACTATTTTTTTCTCAGTACCTAGAATAGTGCCTGGCAATAAATATTTATTGATTGAATGATTAAAATGCAACAGCCATATTAACTTTTAATATGAACATGAGGTTCACAGAAATGTCCTACCCCTGGGGAGTACAGAATGGCTGTATATAGTTTTACATTCATTGCCTTCTGCCTACAGGGATTCATCACTGGGAAGGTTTGAAGAGGCTTCATGTAATGTGTTCAGTCATAAATCTCATCTCAGGATCATTCTACAGCATCCTTTGCTTGAACCCAACTAAGGACTAACATAAACAGAATAGGTTTTGGCAACTTCCTTTAATATTTTTAAAAAGTAAAGCAATGCATTTATTATATATTTTTATATTTTATTAATTACACTCAGCATGGAACCAATGAACTCTTATTTTACATACAATTCCTACAATTGTACCACAATTGTACTTAGCCCTTAACAGAATAAAAGTAGTGTGGCTATAGAAGTAGGCAAACCAGCAGGAGGAAATGTGTTCAAAAATCTTACTAAACGAGAAAATGGGAAAACTTTTATAATCAATTAAGCATAGGGACAAACAACCCAAAAGGATATCTAAAAATACTAAAACAAAGCACAGATAAGTGATGTTTATAGTTTTAGTTCTGAATTACTGAGAAAGGCTGAAACTAAGTTCATATTCTTTTTTTATTTTTTCAAGACCAACTTTGAATCTTTACTTTTTCTATAACTGCTTTATTGAGATACAATTAACATAGTGTACAATTCACCCACATAAAGTATACAGCTCAGTGAATTTTAATATATTCCAGAGTTATGCCACCATAACCACTAAGTTTAGAATATTTCCATCACCCACAAAAAACAATCCCATACTCATGAAAGTCTCTATCCCTTTCCTATGAAGCCTTTTGTGACTGGTTTCTTTCACTTACCATAATGTTTTCAGGGTTCACCCATGTTACAGCAAGTATTAGTACTTCATTCCTTTTAAGTTTAATGTATTTTTAAAGATAGAAGTTTAGTATTTCAACTAATATTTAATTCAAATAATTTAATTTTAAACTAATATTTACTAATATTAATATTCAGACCTAGCATACAAACTGTTGTCTCTAACATCATTCTCCACTGAAAACATCCAGGGGTCACTTTAAAATTGTTCAATTCAGTAGCATGAGTGGTTCAAGGTGAGCCTAGAACATCTTATGTCAAAAATCAAGAAGCTATTGGACTAAATAATGGGGCCATGTGAAAAGGATGCAGGAACCAGGATGAAAGGACTCCTATTACTTTCATGGTACCTCCTTTTCCTCAGTGAAATAGGAAACAAAGACAGCCATCGTCTGAGAATGAGCATGAAGGTGGAGGCACTAGAGATTTGAACAGAGAAGAGCTGTGGGAAAGAGTCTTTTAGAATAATGAGGTGGTTAAGAGACCAGAAAAATACCCAGAAATAAAGATTGTAGTGGATATAAATACTATGAGTCAATGAAAATTCATGAGTTAATAACAATAATCAAAAAGGAAAAAGTTGGGAAAATTTCATATTGCTATCAGCAGTAACTCTTCAAACTACTTTTACTTTGATGATTGGTAATTAAAAGAAAGAAACTGAGCATTTATCCAGCCTTTCAAAGTAACAACTAATCACAGCTGATGATGGATTTGTCTAATTTACAGAACACTTAAGCTAATAAATGTAGAAGAAATTATAGGATTTTAAAAACATAATTTTCCAAACCCTCTTATTGACCTAGGCAAGTATTACCAAGTCATGTTAAAATCACTTAGGTGAAAGCAAGAACCACACTTGACACAAGTTACTTTCTAGTGTCTCAGGGCAAAACACTCCTGTGCAATAAAAGGATTAGACTGTCATCATCCAGATCCAGTGGCCCACCTATGCATTACTATTGGTGAGTCAACTAGATAGAATGTGTCCTCTGATATGATTCAACAAGAAACCCACAAAATCACCTACATTGTATTCTAGACAAAGATGTTTAACTTGAATTCATCAAGCTTTCCAAGGATGATTCCTGTTTTCAGGATACAGAGGGAATAGAGAAATTCAATTACAGAAGGAGGAGGAGCGGAAAGGAGAACAAGAACAGGAAGAAGAAAGAAAAAGCAAACTAAAGAGGAATAAAGGAAGTAAAATAATTAAAGGAAGTGAAGGATAAAGGAAGAAAGGAATCAGGAGGAAAATGAAGACACCATCAGATAGACCCAGAGAGTTTATAAACACAGAGTTTTTAACATTCTTCAAGGAAATTGACCAGGTCTCTGGTCATATTTACATAACGCATATAATAACACATATAATAAATATGTGTTATGAAAGAGAAGTTGTGCTTGATCAAAAGAGTTTAAAGCAACTTAAAGATCAGATGCAATACTAAGAATATTTGGGACTCAGCTGGAGAAGTTTGAATATGGTCTCAGTATGAGGTGCAATGAAATTTTACTAAAATAGAAGGGTAGAGTTTATTGAAAAAATAAGTTACAAAAAAGGTATGTAGGTATGTACTGCATAGTCTTTTTTAATTTAAAAAATTTTGTTGTAGGAGTAGGTAGATAGGTGGCCAGAAAGACAGTTAGATCTGGAAGGATGCACAGAGGTGATTTCTGGAATTATCTTAATTTCTTTAAACTTTTGTCTGTGTTTTCTAATTTTCTGCACTGTACTTGTACCTCTGTAATAATAAAAGACTGTGTAAAATAAAATAAAAATTGAGTCAATCCCAATAAATCAATCAATAAACACTGTTTTAGAATCAAAAACAGCATGATTCAAGATGGCAAATGAGAAAATCTTAATAAAATGAGAGTAAAGTAATTTTTAAAGTATATGTTTAAAGATGTACCCTTTAAAGATGAGTAGATTATGAGGAAAGCCATTTCCAGAGAAAAAAGATTATGAAGTTATTCATAAATGAAACAAGGTAGAGAAAGCTATAGCTTTTAAAACATATTGAGTGCCCACAGTGGAGAAAGGAGGACTTTCCAGCAAAAATCTAGGGCGTCTCCAAACTCAGAATTAGCTAGCATAGAAGATGGAGTAAGAAGTGGGGCTAAAAACTGAAGTTAACTGGAAGTTTCGGAATCACATAATGCTATGAAGAACAAAATTGGTCAGCTTAATAAATGCTTCATTCTGTTCTTAACAAGGTATGCCCTCAGAGGAAACTGTTTAACCAGAGGCTAACCTGCCAGGGTTTTATGGATGCCTAACTTACACAGGGGAAGGAAAAACTCTAGTCCACTGTAGGCATTCTTTCCCAGCTAAGGGAGAAGCAGACAGCTGAGAATCACTTGTAAGGTTCAAAGTCCAGAGGCACAGGTTCACTAAAAGATTGAGACCTAACTATAGAGCGATAGAATACGTCCCCTCCTTTCACACCAACTCGCCTATTACTAAAGACCTGTTTACAGCAGTTCCTTTTACCCAGCAGTTCCTTTTACTTTATGTCCAGCTATTAAGAAGAAAGTATAAGGCATACTAAAAGGCAAAAACAAAACAAAACAAAAGCAAAAAACACACAGTTGGAAGAGACAAAGCAAACATCAGAACCAAACTTGGATATGGCAGGGATGTTGGAATTGTCAGACAAGATATTTTAAAATAACTATGATTAAGATGCTAAGGACTCTGACGAATAAAGTAGATTGAAAGCAAAAACAGACAGGCAATGTAAGCAGAGAGATGGAAGTTCTAAGAAAGAATGAAAAAAAAATGTTAGAGACACACATACACAAAAAGCCACTGAAACAGAAATGAAGTCTGCCTTTAGAGCTTATTAGCAGACTGGACAGAGCTAAGGAAAGAATCTCTAAGCTTGAGGATATTTAAATAGAAACCTTTGAAACCGCAAAACAGATCAAAAAAAGAAAAAAAAAGAGCAATATCCAAGAACTGTGGAAAAACTGCAAAAGGTATAACATACACATAATAGGAATACCAGAAGGGAAAGAAAGGGAAAAAATAACAGAAGAAATATTTGAAACAATAATGAGTAAAAATTTCCCACCAATGTATGTCAGACACTAATCCAGAAAGCTCAGAGAATACCAAACAGAATAAATGGCAAAAAAAGTACACTTAGTATATCATATCCAAACTACAGAAAATCAAAGTTAGTGAAAGAAGTCAGAGGAAAAATAACCTTACCTATAGAAGAGTACTACCTTACTATTACAAGGCACTCACACTACGCATGAAGTGGTATAGAAATTGAATTACATCCAATTTCTCAGCAGAAACCATTCAAAAAAAAGAAGAAAGTGAAGTGAAATATTTAATGTTGAAAAAAAAACACCAGCCAAAAATTTTGTGCCCTGCAAAAATATTCTTCACAAGTGAAGAAGAAATAAAACTTTCTTAGGCAAACAAAAATTGTGGGACTTTGTTGCCAGGAGATCTGAGTTGTATGATATGTTAAAAGAAGTTCTTGAACTAAATTAGTAAACTCAACACTTCAGGATCTTTGTTAAGAAGCTTGGTTTTGGCCGGGAGGATGGAGTTCAGCGGGCAGCGGAGCTGTCTCAGTCTTTGCCGCCGCCCCGTCCGGGAGGGAGGTGGGGGGGGTCAGCCCCCCTGCCCGGCCAGCCGCCCCGTCCGGGAGGTGAGGGGCGCCTCTGCCCGGCCGCCCCTACTGGGAAGTGAGGAGCCCCTCTGCCCGGCCACCACCCCGTCTGGGAGGTGTGCCCAACAGCTCATTGAGAACGGGCCAGGATGACAATGGCGGCTTTGTGGAATAGAAAGGCGGGAAAGGTGGGGAAAAGATTGAGAAATCGGATGGTTGCCGTGTCTGTGTAGAAAGAAGTAGACATGGGAGACTTTTCATTTTGTTCTGCACTAAGAAAAATTCCTCTGCCTTGGGATCCTGTTGATCTGTGACCTTACCCCCAACCCTGTGCTCTCTGAAACGTGCTGTGTCCACTCAGGGTTAAATGGATTAAGGGCGGTGCAAGATGTGCTTTGTTAAACAGATGCTTGAAGGCAGCATGCTCGTTAAGAGTCATCACCAATCCCTAATCTCAAGTAATCAGGGACACAAACACTGCGGAAGGCCGCAGGGTCCTCTGCCTAGGAAAACCAGAGACCTTTGTTCACTTGTTTATCTGCTGACCTTCCCTCCACTATTGTCCCATGACCCTGCCAAATCCCCCTCTGTGAGAAACACCCAAGAATTATCAATAAAAAAATAAATTTAAAAAAAAAAAATGTAAAAAAAAAAAAAAAAAAAAGAAAAGACAAAATAAAATGAAATAGAATGAAAAAAAAAAAAAAGAAGCTTGGTTTTTCTTTTTAAAAAAGGAGGAGAAACTATTTGGAAACTGGCAACCAAAAAATATTGTCTTTTCCACAAATTTTATTTTTAAAATATGCTTTAGCCGTGTGAGCAAGTAGCCTTAACTTGTCCGATTTTTGTCAGAAGCACAATTTGAATAAAAATATAAGTGGAGATAAGCCAATTGTATTACTGATTCGTGACTAAAATTTTAAAATAAAAGCTATAAGATCTTCGTAAAAAAAAATAAAATAAAATAAAAAATAAAAAATAAAAAAAAAAGAAGTTCTTTAGAGAGAAGAAAAATGATGTAGTTCAGAAACTTGGATCTAACTAAAGAAAAGCATTGAAGAAGGAATAAATGAAGGTAAAATAAAAACTTTTATTTTTCTTATTCTTAATTGATCTAAAGTTTGTTCAAAATAGTAATAACAACAATATATTCAATTACATCTGCTTATGTGCATGTATGCTTATGTATACATGAAATAAATGGCAGCAGTGATGCAAGGAACAGAAAGGGAAAATTTGCATAAGGGGTTCATACTATGCATGAAGTGGTATATAGTGTTATATGAAAGTCAATTTGGATTAGTTGCAAAAGTATATTGCAAACTCTAGGGCAACCACACAAAAAGTTAAAAAGTGTAATTAATATGCTAGGAGAGAAGAGGAAACAGAATCATATAAAATATTCAACTAAAACCATAACAGAAAGAGGAACAAAGACCAAGGGCAAGAAATAGAAAATAGCAGCAAATATGGTAGATATCAATCCAACTGTATCAATAATCACTTTGAACATCAACGTTTAAGTACATCATTTAAAAAACACATTATCAGAGTAGAACAAGAAACAAGACCTAACTATATGTTGGCTACAGAAACCCATTTTAAATATAAAGATATATAAAGTTTAAAAATAAAGGACTCGCTCACACATGTAATCCAAGAGTTTTGGGAGGCCAAGGTGGGCAGATCACTTGAAGTCAGGGGTTCAAGATCAATCTGGCCAACATAGTGAAATGCCATCTCTATTAAAAATACAAAAATTAGCCAGGCAAGGTGGCATGCACCTGTAATCCCAGCTACTCAGGAGGCTGAAGCATGAGAATCACTGGAACCCAGGAACCAGAGGTTACAGTGAGCAGAGATCACGCCACTGCACTCCAGCCTGGGCAACAGAGTGAGACCTGGTCTCTAAATAAATAAATAAATAAATGGATGGAGAAAGATATTCCATGCTAACATGAATCAAAAGAATGCAAAAGTAGCAATATTCATTTCAGACAGAGCAGACCTCAACCAAGGAAAGTTATTGAGGATAAACAGAGGCATTGCATAATGATGAAGGGTCCATTCTCCAAGAAGACATAACTATCCTTAACGTGTATGCACCTAACAACAGTGTTAAAACACGTGAGACAAAAACTGATAGAGCTGCAAGCAGAAATAGATGAATCTATTAGTACAATTACTTAGCACCCCCCTGTCAGAAATAAACAGATCCAGAAGGCAGAAAATCAGTAAGAACATGGCTGAACTAAACAGCACCATCAATCAACTAGACATAATTGATATCTGTAGACTACTTTATCCAGCAACAGCAGAATAACACTCTTCTCAAGCTCACATGGAACATTTACCAAGGCAGACCACATTCTGGCCCATAAAACACACCTGAACACATTCAGAAGAATACAATTCATACAATGTTTGCTCTCAGACTACAGTGGAATTAAAATAGGAATCAATAACAAAAAGTTAGCTGGGAAATCCTAAAATACTTGAAAATTAAACAACACACTTTTAAATTACATTTAAGTCAAAGAAGAAATCTCAAGAGAAATTGAAAAAAAAAATTGAATTAAATAAAAATGAAACAAGTTGATGAGCTTTTAAAATTGAAATTATTAGGCTAGAAGAAACAAAGAAATAATATTTAAATTGAATTTAAATAAAAAACATTAAAATTTAGGAATATGCGATATGGTATTTTAAATAAAGTAGCATACAATATAATACTATGAGTTCTGGTCTGGGAGAAAACATGCCCATGCAGAAAGAAAGACACAATGCTCTCTAATTTGAGAATTGAAGTCTATGCGTGCTATGAAAATGGCTCTTTTTTTTTTTTTTTTGCAAAAGGATTATCTCTGTCATGTCTTCAACCTTAAGTTATTATGGAAATGCTATAGTACAATCAATGAGTCTTCTGCACACAATAGACTAGTGTTTAAGTTTTCTCAATCATGTGACGTTAGAAAATTAAGCAAAATTCTGACTCAATTTCCCCAGCTGTAAAAGGGGCATAAATCTCTGTTCTATCTTACAGCAGTATTGTGAGACTGTATTCACGCACCCTGCAGAGATTTATCAAGGACCTATTACACGCGCTGCATTTCAGTATTCTTAAACAAAGCCTGTAGGCTGGCTGGTCTCCTGAGTCTACTGAAAGGAAATAATGATAAAGCACCCGTTAGAGACCTCTTACTTAAATGGTTTAAATATATATATATATATGTATGTGAGTAAAATATGCTATTAAATTAAGTTAAAAACTTTAACCTGATTACAGGCTTCATACATCTCTTGTGCCATGCTATCCAGTAAGTTTATTTTCAGTAAGAACATATATTTCAGTGTGTACTTTTATAGGTAGTAGACAACCTAAAGTTAATTACATAACACTAAAGCAAGACTTTCTCCTATCAACAGCTTAAGAACTTTTAAATAAATAAGGACATAAATTACTAATAATAAATGTAGAAATGTTGCTATCACCCAATGTTGAAAACAATTCTGTTAACCCAGAATGCATAGCTGGGGCAAATAATCTTTAAAGAATTTGGGAAATTGTATCACTTTTACATTTCATCTCACAACAAGTATAATATTTCCAATGCTGTCCTCTGAGTGAGGATTATCAAAAGAATTGATTTTCATATTAAATTCCATCTAAAATGTACTATAGTTTCTTGGGTCATGAAACATAGATGCTCCATCTGGTTTGCAATGCTTATATCAGTTTGAGGTTAGTTTTTTTGGTTTTTGGTTTTTCTCCACCTAGAGAGCTTGTGCTCCCTCCACCCCTTTTTCTGAACAATAGATCTTTTAAAGACAAGAATCCACTGACCTTCTTCAAGGGTCATTTGGAACCTTGGGTAACATGTAACAGTTCTTACTGATGGACTTTCATACACAGTTACCAGAGACGTCTATGGTAAATAGGGTCTAGGGAAATACAAACCTGGATCTGTCTGCCAACTCATTATTAATACATGTGAATGGCCCGGACCCCTGACCTACACAGTGAATCTGTAAGCACAACTTCCCTCCTTCCTCTCTCCTCAGTATGACACTTTGGTGGTTGCTGGCTGTGCTTACTTTCCTCTATAATTTGTATTCATGTAACCTCCATTACAATATTAACTCAGATTTATTTTGTTTCCACATCTGTTCTTCTCAGCCCTGTTGATAGCACTTCATGGTAAGATGAGCTAGGGAAAGAAAATAAGCAGGGCATGTGGAGTTGCTGGGAATAGACATGGAGCTCTCTTCCTTTGATCTCCAAAGTCGTGTTTCTCCTACAGAGAGTTTCCTCTATGCATCATGGAAAGCATTAGGGGCTGAAGTCACACCACCGTGAAGTTTAAGAAGAGAAAAAGAGAAAGAAAAGACAACTAAAAGCTCTGGAATTCGAAATGAAGACTCCTTGTGCAGTCCTTAAATATTAAAATAAACATCTTTTAAAATCCTCAGGTGAACTCGTGCAAATTGCATATGCAAGTGCGTGTAGAAATGGAATTGTTTGATATATTTAACTCAAGACTTAAAGTACTCTTCAGATGAGTGTCTAATAGGAAAAAGAAAAATTTTATCACCAACAGGAGGATATTAATGTTGCTACAAAACTCAAAATATTCTGAAGTTCCCTGCTAATATTGCAGTGTCAGAGCTCGAAGAATTTTGATGATCATTCATCTCCCCATACTTACTTATTAACTAAATAATCATTATTAGCAACATATATGTGTTCATTGTCAAATTGGTTCATAGCCCTTTCACTGGCTTAACCATGAAAACATAAAATCTAGTCTATTATTTTCTCTAAAAAAACTAATGAAAGTTTTTCTGGGCATTAAAATCCTATGCCTAAATGTGATTTTAGTTTCATATCACATTTTTTTACTTTTCATTTTTCTTCAGGTAAAAAATAATCAAATCAAATTGTAGTTTCCATTTTACCCAGTTATTTTGGCCCCAAAGAGATGATAGTGAATAATTTAAATTATATTATATATTAATCATTTTTATTACGTTTTTGTTAGGCAGGAATAGTACCATTATTCCTCTATCCCTTCCCTTTAAAAAATTCAGAAATGGGCAATGGCTGTGAATATGGAAGGAGTTGTGCATAGTGTTTAAAAGTGTTAAATCTGAGCTGAGAGAAAATTAGTTCTTTTGCAAACAATGGAAAACCAGGGAATTATTTCATTGTCACGACCCAGTAGCCACCAGATGCTTAGAATTCCATGTATTTTAAAAACAAACCATTCAACGACTCCTTTGACACCCAAAGTATGTCAATAATTCAATGTATTAGTTGGATGCAAATTTTATACAATAAGGTATGGAAAGCAAACTGTAATTGGGAGTGCCAGAGTGAATGGAGCTCTATCCTTTGACAGAGCCCATTGTTGAACCCCAGCCTGAATCCCCGACCCTTTACTTTGCAGGGATACAATAGCCTTTGATATGAGATGGTGGGAAACAGACTCAGAGACTCATTTCACATTCAGTTGCAATTCATCAGTTTGGCGGGGACTTTTAACAGCTTTAATGACCACAGCAATTGATGGTTAAATCAATTTGTGCCGGTGACAGCATGGCTGGCCTCTAGACTGTAACAATCCAGGATTGCACTAGGCAGAAAAGACTGTTATTCAGATGTGCACGGCTCCTACTTAGCTCAAAGTGAGAACAACAGGGAGACAGAGTCTCTCACAGGGCAGGCCCTGGAGAATGCACTCATTCACTCCATTTGACTACA
This sequence comes from Homo sapiens, assembly GCF_000001405.40. Classification (NCBI taxonomy): domain Eukaryota; kingdom Metazoa; phylum Chordata; class Mammalia; order Primates; family Hominidae; genus Homo; species Homo sapiens. The sequence goes on along the minus strand of NC_000006.12, from coordinate 112,503,210 downwards.
CAATGCCAGAGCTTCTTTGTAAAGTGTCGCGGTAGAATTTTTTTTTTAAGTATTGTTGGAAGTAAAAATATACAGTAGGAGACAAAGGTTTCTAATATTTAACTATATCCTAAGAGAAAGTAGCAAGCCAGAAAGAATTTAACCTTTGTTTCTTTGATCGAAATGGGTGGTCCTACTACTACCATCACTAGACACCCCTCCTCCCGTAAAAAATTGAAAGAAAGGAAAAGAAAATCAACAGCAGAGATTATAACAGAGGAGGTTTCCATTTAGAAAAAAAAGGTGAAATGGTAATTAGAAAAACACCACCACCACATTCTGTGTCCAAGAAAAGGAAGAAATATTGCTCCCTCTTCTGTTTATCACAGGTAGTTTTTTTCCAAATAGAAGTCGTCTTTTTACATTTTTAAATATAAATGTTTACAGTGAAGAAACACGCCATCAGCATAGTGAGACGCCAGGCTGGCTTATATGATTTATTTATAATAAAAAAGTTAAATAAATAAATACTTTGCTAAGCCTACTTTATAATGTTTAAGAAATTTATAAGAAAATTTGACATTTTACAGGTGGGGGAAGGGACAGTCATTTCACCAACAGAACTTTTTGTGCCAGCACACATGAGTGTTAGAATGACTAATTCAACTCCATACAATACTTTACAAGTCTGCATAAAATTTGCTATGTAAGGCATCTCACTGTAACTTCAAATAATGGAGGACGCAAACATATCATTTAAACATCAGAATAATAACTGCTGGAATAACGTAAGGTCCACATATGCACTTTAATGAACTTCTAAGGTATGAAAACTAATTTAATAAGTGTTTAGGGTTTTTAAAAAAACAGGCATCATGCTACAAATTTTGCAAAACAGAAATCCTCTGTAAAAGTACAAAACTCAGACACATAAAGTATTAAATTCAGGACTTGATGGAATTGACCACAGGATGGAATTTTTGTGATCTTGAGTTACCTTTCATGCTCCATTAGAAATCAAACCAAATAATAAAATATTTTTTAAAGTTATTGAAAAGAAGGGGGAAAAGGAATCTCTCTTAGAACATAGGTGGATCCATGGGAAATGTATTGCACAAAACACGCAGCTATAGCACTGTGAAAAAAATGTAAACAACATTTTCCAACAGATTTGTCTAAACATTGAAAGAATATTGAGGTTGTACAGAGGAGGTCTTGGCACTGAGTCCAGAAGCTGAGCTTGGTAACTGGGGAGGGGGAAGAAAAGGAGGCGAGTTTCCATGGCAACGCTGGTGCTGCGTGCAAATGGAACAAGCGTGCATCTTCCCAAGGGAGGAAGGGAGCACGGAAAGTGGAAATGGAGGGGGAAGGGCAGTGTAGCTTCTGCAAGGCCAGTTTATGCTGAATAAGTGTTTTGTGTAAAACTGTGACATGATCTATATCAGAGTATATATTGTGAGAGACCTGAGATCCTCTTGTGATGTACTGAAGCAATGATTAAAGATCATTTTGCCTGGGAATATATATTTATCTTACAATATCCATTTTGGATGTATAAAAATATTGAATTCATCCTGTTGCATACATTGTCCTCTGCCTTCACAATAGAATAGCATGAGGTGACTAGAATAGAATTTTGCATGGATTTTCCATATCTTTATACCTGAGAGTCAAGTTTATATGGGAGAAAAAAAACCTTTTATGTCCTTCTCTTAGCTTAAAAGGCAGATAGATGTGGTTTCTTATAGTGTTAAATGTGAAACTTTATTCACAATCACGACAACAGTGTTTCATGTGTCACAAGGCAGAATATTACACGTAAGGAATAAGACTGTATAAAAGCTAACTGATAACATTACTTATCTCATTTAAATTAAATCATTATTAATATTTTATCCCATTATAAATGACAATGTGAAGATTAAAACAAAGTGACACCAAGAAGAGGTGACAGATGGAGAGCTAACTCTCCTCAATGCTCTAGAAATCAACATATTACTACTAAGGAAAAACCCTTTCATTGGAGGTCAGATTATAGTGCAAATTAGCATTGAGTAGAAATGCCCAAAATGTGGGCTTGATTGCACAAGAATTAAACTTACACCATTGCCTGATGGTTTTAACAATTAAAAATCTGGTTCATAATATATACTAGTCTATAAATTCTATGAAGGTAGTGGCTATGTTTACCTTTTCCACATAATAGTGTGAAGTTTCTCAGCAACCACCACAAAACCTACATATAGCAGATGCTCAATACATATTTGTTGACTACTGAATGAATAAAACAAACCGTTTTCAAAATTGGGAGAGACAATTTGTAAATGCACAGGAAAGAAATGAATCTTCATTCATCATCTCCGATATAACAAGCAGCATGCTCATATTATCTGACTTAACACTCACAAATACCTGCAAATGCTTTCATTATTATCCCCATTTTACAAATGAGAAAAGAGAATCTCTGGACATCTAGGTAATTTCCTCAAATTTACACCACTGAAAAAGCTTGTATTCAAGCCTAGTCCTGTCTAAATATGCAATTCATGATCTTTCAACTTCCTCTACTGACTACTTTATACCAGACAGCATTGAGTAGAGCCCACTTTGTCCAAATAGGAAGAACTGAAGTGCAAAGGACTCACTTGCCATACTCATCACTCTTCTTGGGAACCCTCTAAAAACCCAGAGTGCCATCCTTTTGGTGTCCCATCAGTACTGCTCCTTGAAAGCCAGTAGAGGCCAGAAACTGAAATCCAAAGTTGAATTAACCAAGTATAACTCTAAGCCCTTCATGTATAGCTGGGATTAAAACACTGTAGAAGTTATATATATATATAGTGTTCCCAAATTCTATTGAAGTCCTAAAGGAGCCCACATTTCTACTACCTAAATGCTGCTTCCCACACTTCATAATCAAGCCAAGCCACTTCAGCCAACACTAAGCCCCTTCGGACCAGCAAAGCCTTATCCAAATTCATTTCAACCCCTTCCCTTCCTCATCCTCCCTTTGTCTGCCTCCTTAAAAATTAGTTCCAGTGAATCCAAAGGAACCTCCATTCAACTGTCAGTAGATTTTACTACAAACTTAGTGTCTTCATAGAATAATCTCTCCAGTATATCCTAATGATCCTTTTCCTCTGAAATAGAGGTTGTTTGTCTTCCTTCTCCTTGCATTTCAAGGGTCATAACACTCCCAAGTTCCCACCAACATTTTCAACAATTGTTCTTTCACTCATGTTTGAGACTGTAGGATTCATCTTTATTTATGTGCTCACTCATTATAAGCAGATAATAACACGACAGGCATTGTCTCAAGACATTGTTTTATTTTCCATAATTCTTAAGTCCACTCCAAAAAGCAGTGGTTTTATACACACAACACCCCAAGCAAGTTTCAAACAGGTTAAATAATTAACCTAGTTTTTGAGGTGGAGTGGGAATTTGAACCCCCAAATGAGGTTCTCTTCATAGCACCATGTTCTATTTGGCTATACTAACCTCTTTCCACCCTCATTTCTGCCATCTTCCAATCTCCATATAACTCCCCACATTCACTGAAGACTCTTGCCCTTGACTTGTAAGACTCTATTGCCAACATTTTGGGGCATGTCAATGCCCCCACCTTGCGCAGACATATTAGTATAATACTAACCTGTGCCCCAATAATCTTTTCCTGTGGTGAAACTCATCTGTAAGCAAGTAATGAATAAGTAAGTCTATAAGTAAATGTTTGAGGGCTGGGAAAAAGAGAGTAAATATGGTGCTAGGGGCAAAACCCTTCAGAAATGTGAAACGTCAGAGCTGAAGAATGAGAAGTGCCGGAAATTGTATTAAGTTCTTAATCACATGCTTGAAGTTTACCCATAACACAACAACAACTTAAACAGTCAATATACATTTTATCTAACATTCAGTTTTAGAATTATCTCAGCATAACAATATATTGTTTCAGCATTTATCTGTTTTCATTTGCAGTTATTACTCTATAGCATATTGCAAATTCAGGAAAAAATAGATCAATGGCTCCAATATTGTTTATTGAAGCATAAAGGTGGCAAAATAATCAATAAATTACTAAAATCAGGAAAGTCATAAATAGTGAACCAAACTCCAGGACAAGTGACTCTGCAAGTGCAATCACTTGCATAAACAGAGGAGGATAAAATGAAAATAGGCTGCATAATAATGAGAATCAGAATACTGAATTTTATTGAACTAGTGATGGATTTATATCTGCAGTTTCTATTGAAAGTATATCAAATACTGGTATCAAGTCATAAAACCTTTTACATCATTTACAAAAAATCACAGGGACTTCTCTGGTAAACCAATTGAGTTTTTCCAAAATGAAGACGAAATAATGTTTTCCAGTATAGAATTAATGAGTTTGCTTGCCAAAAGCAGAGAAGAAACTGAAACAAAAGAGGCAGCATTCAGTTATAAGCCTCAGGGCGCAAAAAGGTATAAGGCATACCATTGCTGAGAAGTTTATATAACAACCAGCAAAGTTAATTTAAAATACGCATATGTGTTGGAAAGAAAGCAAAACGAGTTGCACACAAAATACACCAGTGTATTTTGCATAATATCAATGTTGTGTAATTTAGAAGAGCAACTGCTGTTATATTTGTGTGCTAACAGATATTTTGCTTTATAGTTCTACAAGCGTCTAACATGTAGAGCATGAATTAGGTCCCAGTATGTGTGAGATTTACATGAGGAATGAGTACTAGGTGATTATTTGTTCTGTTTACCTCTGAAAATTTGCACCAAGGGAGCTGTAATTTGGTACCTAATGATTACTTTGTAAGCAAGGTATTGACTAGCAAAGTTCATTTAGATCAATACTGACAAATTTTCAACTATGTATAGAGCAACAGAATATGTTACTACACAAATAAAACTAATTGCACTTTCATGTCAATCAATACACATCTTCATTCACAGAGAACTGTTGATAATGAGCAAAATATTGCCTGATGTATACTCAGTATTGAAAGAAACATAAAACTATATGAACATAATTAATAGGACCACTGGGCATATGCTTTTTCAATACTTTAAGGAGATATCCGAAGGCCAGTAACTATTAAAAGTTCACTGGGTGTTGATTTCAAAAATATCAACAAAGATATAAACACTTCTTAATGACCTAATTCTGTGTATAGCTATCTCAAGTAGCTTTCTTAAATACTTTATCTTGACTAACCTGCATTTATCACTTGAATATAAAACATTCCATGCTTTAATCTTGGGAATATTTTGAAAAAATTGTGAGAATTTCTTGCAAAGATGGAATTGTTTTATTAATAGGTCAATTGCTGAAAGTTTCATGCTTCTCCAACCCTTCACAATTTGTTTCACTTGTTGAAGCAACTGATACTATATTTTCAAGGTTTTTTTTTCAGTTGTGATAAGAAACATAAAAATTCACCATTCACAAAAAATAAATTTACCAACTTATCCAGATTAAAGTGTACAGTGCAGTATTGTTAACTTTATTTACATTATGGTGAAACAGATCACCAGAACGTTTTCTTTTGCAAAACTGAAACTCTATACCCATGAAACACCTCCCTAGTTTGTCCTCCTTTCAGCCCCCGGCAATGACCTTTATGTTTCTGTGAGTTTGAATATTTTACAAATGTCATATAAGTGAAATTATACAATACTTGTCTTTTTTTACTGTCTTATTTTACTTATACAATGTCCTTAAGGTTCATCTATGTTGTAGCATGTAACAGGATTTTCTCCTTTTTAAGGCAGAATAATATTCCATTTTATGTATAGACCACATTTTCTTTATCTGTTCACCTGTCAATGAACATTTGTGTTGCTTTCACTTGTTAGCTATTGTTAATCTGCAATAAAAATGGGTGTGCAAATATTTCCTTGAAAACCTGTTTTCATTTCTTTTGGAAAATATGATAATTCGATTTTTAATTTTTTGAGCAGCTTTTATGCTGTTTTTATAGGGACTGCACAATTTTGCCTTCCCACCAACAGTGTACAAGTTCCAATTTGCCACATCCTAGCCAACACTTATTTTGTTTTTTTTTTAATTAGCCATCCTGATGAGTGCGAAGTGACATCTCAATGTGCATTTTCCTAGTGTTTTTTGATGTTGAGTATCTTTTCATATGTTTGCAAGCAGTTTGTACATTTTATTGGATAAAATGTCTATTCAAGTCCTTTGCCCATTTTTTCAACTGGATGTTAGATTTTTTTGTTGAGTTGTAGTTCTTTATATATTCTAGATACTAACCCAAGCCCATATCACATGTGTGTTTTCTAAATATTTTCTCCCATCCTGTAGGTTGCCATCTTACTCTGTTGACTGTTTCTTTTAATCTACAGAAGTTTTTTAAGTTGCGTGTGGTCCCATCTCTCTATTTTTGCTTTTGTTGTCTGTGCTTTTGGTTTCATGTCCAAGAAATCATTGTCAAATCTCATGTCATGAAGTTTTTCCACTATGTTTTCTTCCAGGAGTTGCATAGTTTCAGGTCTTGTGTTTAGATCTTTAATCCATTTTAATTGTTGTATATGGTATAAAATAATGGTTCAGCTTTATTCTTTTACACATGTATTATCCAGGTTTTCCAGCACTTTTATTGAAGAGACTAACCTCTCCCTATTGGCACCCTTGCCAAAGATCTTTTGACACTCTATGTAAGAGTTTTATTTTAAAACCACATTCAAATTCTATAAAAAGGCAATAAAATTTCTAGAGATAATTGCGACTAAAAAATGGATTAGAAATCCATTTGCATTTATCTTTTGACTTCTACTTTGAGTGGGAAATGTTTGTCAACAACACTGGAAGTGGTTTTAAACAGAAATCTCCCTGAGTTTCGGGACAAGCTGATTATTCAGCACTATTTGACAGTCACCAACTAATTATTTCCATATTGCCAACTCATGACTAATTTAATACAAATATATAAAGACTAAGAATAGAAAACTATTGAATGTGTTTCCTAATCAATGTATTAATCTATCTGCAAATGAGTTTTGTATCATGAATTCAGTGAAAAACTAGGAAAATTTCTTCCTCTTAAATTAAGCCATGATCACTTTCATTAACACATATTAAAATGTTGTTTACTCTTTAATTTTTATACCATGATAATTTTTCTAGCTATTTTAAAATATTGGTCGTTTATGCCCTAAATATCAATTAAATGATTGAAGATCACATTTTGAAAAGCTCTGTTTTGATTTGTAACTATACAACTGCTAAAACAGTGCTATCCAATATAAGTGTAATGCAAGCCTCATGTATAATTTTAACTTTTCCAGTAGCCACATTTTAAAAAGCAGCAGGTGAAATTAATTTTAATAACATTTTATTTAGCCCAATATATCCCATATATTATCATTTCAATATGGAATAAATATTTAAAATAGTAACACATTTTGCATTCTTTTTTTCATTCTAAGTTTTCAAAATCTGGGCTATATTTTACACTTACAGCTCATCCCAGTTTGGAGTAGCCATATGTGACCAGTGGCTATTGTATTGAACCACATGGTCCTGAAAGCTCAAGCTTAGAAATCACATTTTCTGATCAGAACTTTCTGTCCATTCATTCCTTCCAATATTTTTCTCTCATTAACTCTAAATTTAAACTTCATGGAGTCCTTCCTTTATCCTGTGATACTATCCTTCCCAGGATCCATCGATTCCCTCTTGCCTGTGTTATGAAAGCTCTCGGTTTGCTTGCTCTCTAACCAGTAGGCCTCGCTTGCCAGACCCTTCTACAATGTGGGATCAGTTTAAGGACTCACTTTTCTATTTCTTCTCCAGAACCATGAGCACTACTGAAAAAAAAATAGTCTTGCTGATTAGTACCATCTCACATTGCTTCCATTCACGCCCAGGTGAGTCTTCAATGCTCCACTATGTATTCACTTCATTGTATTCATTCCTAGGCACATTCACTTTCCATTCTCTCAGCAGACAGTCCAAACTTATAGCATGCTCCTAATGTCTTCCTTCCCTCTCAACCCTGTGGATAGCATAGATCCGTACTTCATAAAAAAATAGAGTAGAACATGCACGACAGGCATCCTCCTCTTCAAGGCAAATCCCTTCCACCTGAGCTCTTCATCCCATTCCCCACTGAGATCCTCAATGACTGAGTAGAGAACAAGAAGACAGATGCCATTCATGTTAAATATTGATGTAATTACTCAGTGTCTTACGGAAACTTTAAGTTATAGTTCCTATTCTGGTCAAGATATGTGTTAAGCAAAGCTTTCCAGTCCTCAGTTTCTGCATCTTTAAAGTCAGATTGGATGAATTCTGTTGTCTCTTTTAGCTCCAGAGTTTTAAACTCTACAGTCTCAGCATAATATCAAGCAAGCTTTCAAGTGTTGAACAGACACAGAAAAAAGAAAAATGAGTATGTGTAGAACCAGGTGGCCTCTGTTCCTTTCTGGCTCTGAAACTTTAAACAGAGACCAGAACTCCTTCAAGATTCTGTCTCCTCATCTACAAAATTGAAATAATAATAACAACTTCACAGACTTGCTCTGAAAAATTAAAGAAATAGCATCTAGATGGAAAAGCTTCTCCTGAACACTGCCTGTTCCAGAGCAGAGACTCGGTTTCCATCTCTGTTTTAGGCATGGACAGAGGCATTATGGTGGTCATTGCCTGTTTGCACACAGATCTGTTCCTGCCCTTTACCTGCAAACTAAGTTTTCCAGGTTCCCTCACTAACTGGCTTTCTGCCATGTTTGGCCACCAGAGACAATGGTGGAAGACTAAGGGTAGAAGGGGAAGAGAAATAGAGTGTTTCTCCATCTTTTTTCCATTCATCAAGCACCATTTTACATGATTCTAGCTCCCTGCCAGATACCACCTACCTTGATGGTCCTGTGTCGTTTATTACAAGAGAAAATCCTTAGTCCTGGGTTCTGCTAATACCACCTTCTCTCTGTGTCCCTCTGCCCCTAGAAGTAGAGTGATGTCTTGAGATTCTTTCCTCTGTTTGTAATATTTAGCAATTCCTGTTTCCTGGTTGGACCCTGATGAAGACAGTCATGATTAGTCTCAACTATCTTTGAAAAATAGATGAGGATGATAGTCTGAAATTAAGAAATAAAGTCAGAAATCTATTCAGTTGCAATGATATAATCTTATACTTTGTCAAAATCAAGTCTTCATTATATTAATTTCATAGCCTAATGCTTCATTTCAGAGTTTCTTAGAGAAGTTCTGAGTTCATAGAATGAACAAAATTGGAAAATATAAAATTTGGTGAGTCCAAGATACCACAGCTGGGCTTAATCGCAAATTTACAGGGTAGAAGTTGTGTACATTGAGCTACACTGCATCAGACCAACTAGATTTTATGATACAAAGTCCAATTTTTCCACAACATATCATTCTATAGGTAATAACTTACATTGTTTGAAACTCTTCTCCCATTCCTGCAGGCCTTGCTCTGTTGGAATACTAGGTTTCTAATGCTAATCTTAACTACATTCTCCCCTCTTCATGCTGCACTGCAATGGTTTATAATGGATTCACATGTGAAAACTAACATTTTCAAGAAATAAAATTTAAACTTTTCTTGGGCCTATATGCTGAATAGAAAGTCATTTCTTCTACATCACATTATTTCTCAGATACACTCTATCTTTAGCTAATAGGGACTTAGCTTGCCAGGAGTTCAAATCTCCTAAAAATGTCTCATTAACAGGTTTCCCTGACCTTCTAATTGTGTCTACTCACGTGCCCTCCTGGGGCAATGTCAAACATTCAAACATTGCATCTACTTGCTTCTTTCTTGACCAATAATTTGTCTAAGCTTCTGCATAGCTGACAAATAGTTGGCTTTACATTTAGTATCTCACCTAGAGATAGAATTTACAGTATTGTATTTCATTCTAATATTATTCCATACATAACAGCTGTAACCATCCAAATAATTTTCATAATTCTCACAAACATTTATGGAACCTGGCACTTTTCCAAGCACGTTACGTACATTCATTCATTCAATATTCACAACCACACTGAAAGGTAGAAAGCACTGTTTTCTCCATTTTACAGATGAGAAAACTGAAGTACCTAGAGATTAATTAATTTGAAATTTATACTACTACTACGTAATGGAGCTGGGATTCAAACCCCTGAATTCTGATGCCCCAACCTATATTCTCAATCACTACCCATAGTGAAATATAATTTTAATAGTAAGCACCTTCACAATTGTAACATTTTTATCTATAATTTTTATCATTAATTTTAATTTCTAAATGATTTCAGACATAAAAAATGTTATGAAATAGTACAAATAATTTTCACATTCCCTTCTCCCAGATTCTCCACAGTACAAAATTCAAAATCAGAAAATTAACATTGGTACTGTACTATCACCAAATCTACAGACCTTATTTACACTTTTGCCAATTGGCATTACGCTAATGTCCTTCCTCTGATCCAGTATTCAATCCCAGACCAAACATTACATTTACTTCTCATGTCTCTTCAGTCCCCTTAATCTGGAATTCTTCAGCCTTTGTCTTTCATGACCTTTAAACTTTGACCCTGTTACTTTGTTGACTGTTCATTTGAGTGCCCAAAATAATCTTAAGGTGGAGGAAGCTGGACACTAATCAGTGGGAAGTTCTTTCAAAATCACATAGAGACACAGGACGACGTACAACTAAACCTATATTTGATGGGAGACAGAACCTAGCTTCTCGGGGAGGATCCCAGAACCTAGCAGCTTTGTGGAGACTGATACTGGTTACTGCCTTCTCCACCGCCTGCCCTACCCCTACCAGCACTCCTTTTTCAGAGCACTGTTGGTTTACAATGAATTAGAGAAATATTTCATTCTGCTGGGTAATCTACATGAATCTGATTTCTAAAGCATTCTGCCCTGAAACAACTATGTTGTAAGGCATATGAAGAAATTTAGTTTCCATTCCTATGCATGTTCCTCCTGAATATTCCCAGCTAATTGGCTGCAGATGAATTTCCTGCATGGATAAGAGCCATACATATTATATTAAATACCATATAAATTAAATTAAATTAAATACCATATAAATTATATACCATATATTATATTAAATACCAAATAAATTACATACCATATAAATTAAATACCACATATTATATTAAATACCATATAAATTAAATACCATAGCCATACATATTTATATTAAATATCGTATTTCTATTGTGATATGGGTATTATACACAATTCCTATTTAAATATATTATTTGTCAATATCATATTATTACCTACTTTGTGGAAGGTGAAAATTTTTTTACAGTCTCTTAGTTTTATTGATATATAATAATTATACGTAGTTATGAGATACATGTGATATTTTGATACATGCATTCTACTTTTGCTCACTAGAGGATTAAGGCAAAATGTACAGCAAGTTATGTGGCCTGGACTAATTCCTGTGTCAGCTATAATTATCAAACTAGAATTTTTTTCAGTGGACATCCTGAAATCTGAATGTAACAACATGGAGAAGGGGAAAAGGAAGACCCTCTACTAAATGGCTTGTAACTAATGCAATGTAAAATAAGCATGCTTAAAATTGGTGGATGCTGGAGTGTGAGAGCTTCCTCATGCAGTTCAATTAAAAAATGATTCCATTTTATCACTAGGATCTCTCATAGTTTGTACTGTCCTTTGTTGGACTTCATTGATCATGAGAGATATGCATTGATCAAAGTGCTTATCTCTACTTTTCCATATTAATGGGTAAGACTACACTAATACTTTGTAAAACATCAGGAGTTCTCGTACTAATGGTCTCAGTATCCCTTTATACTCTTAAAAATTACTGAGAACTCCAAAGAGCTTTTAAGTGGAATGATAGGTAGATAGATAGATAGTAAATAGATAGATATCTGTCATTATTTGCCATATTTGAAATTGAGACTGATAATATTTAAAAATTGTTATCAGTTCATTTAAAAATAATAATAATAAACTCAGAAAACTTTTGTGTTGTTATAAAAATTGTTTTAAAATCACAGAACCCTTGAAATGGTCTCATTTTTCCAGAAAAAAAAAAATGGGAGATTTGGTGCTTTCCAAACAAAATAAAAAATATCAACCATAGATGAGTTTTTCCTATTATAAAATACTGATTTGGAAATTAATCATCATATTTAATTAGTCATTTAGTTCCCTCAACTTTTTTATTAAAATAATGTACTTTCTTATTTTTTTTTCTTTTGAGACACAGTCTCATTCTGTAGCCCAGGCTGGAGTTGCAGTAGCATGATCTTGGCTCACTGCAGCCTCTGCCACCCAGGTTCAGACGATTCTCCTGCCTCAGCCTCCCGAGTAGCTGAGATTACAGGCACCTGCCACCGCGCCTGGCTAATTTTTGTATTTTTAGTAGAGACGGGGGTTTCACCATATTGGTCAGGCTGGTCTTGAACTCCTGACCTCATGATCCACCCGCCTCGGCCTCCCAAAGTGCTGGGATTACAGGTGTGAACCATTGCGCCCAGCCAAAAGAATGTACTTTCTTAACTCATTTTATGACCACTATCCTAATACAGTCCCTTGTTATTTGACCCATTTCCACTCCCTGAGAGAGCCAAAACATCAAATTGTCTTCCTTCATCTCCCTAAAGTGTCACTCTCACTATACCCTGCCCTAGTCAAACCTGGATCCAGGAATACTTCTTTCCCAGGGCAAAAATTCCTGCATTTCTCATGTCTATCTTAGAATGCCTCTCCTTCACATACCACTGCTGTTAAGCCCTGAACCCTTCCTTTAGTTACATCTACCAAGTTCTACTCACCTGTGAAGCATTTCCTATTTAGTCAGTTACTAGTAGTTTACCTCTCCCCTGCTAGCACATATAATCGGTGGCACATTATCTAAATCTTGTTATTGCAATTATTGAGCATTAGACCAGTTGCCTGAGGAAAGGTGCCTCCATTCATACATTTCTGTATCCCCTGCCTAGTCTATATCTGCCTAGTCTAATATCTGCCTAGTCTAATATCTGCCTAGTCTATCATTCTTCAAGCACTTGTTGACGCTGAGTTTACTTTCATTCTACTTTTCTTATATTTTCTGTCTATGTCAGTTATATTGTTCAAGTGTCCTATTATGCTACTTAATGAAATATTCGCCAATCAATGCAATGCCTTAGTATAATTTGGGTGGCTGAACAAAATTCTAATGCAGGGCTTAAAGTGCTCTACTTTTTTTTTTTTTTTTTTTTTTTTTTGAGACGGAGTCTCGCTCTGTCGCCCAGGCTGGAGTGCAGTGGCGCGATCTCGGCTCACTGCAAGCTCTGCCTCCCGGGTTCACGCCATTCTCCTGCCTCAGCCTCCCGCGTAGCTGGGACTACAGGCGCCCACCACCACGCCCGGCTAATTTTTTGTATTTTTTAGTAGAGACGGGGTTTCACTGTGTTAGCCAGGATGGTCTCGATCTCCTGACCTCATGATCCGCCCGCCTCGGCCTCCCAAAGTGCTGGGATTACAGGCGTGAGCCACTGCGCCCGGCCAAAGTGCTCTACTTTTACACAGGATTTGCATTATCTGGCTATGTGTTACCAAAATACATTACTAAGACTTCAACCCTAATTTACCAAGTAAGCAAAATAATGTTTAATAAGGGAAATAATTTGAGGAAGAAAGAAAAAGGAATACATGATGGTAGAATCTTACTGTATAGACCTGGATTTATTTCAGACTTAAGAATAAGGAGAGAAATGAGATAATCACTAAGTGCAAAGTATCTCTGTGGTGAAGGGAGATAAGAATGAACATGAGGAAGAGAGAGGAAAAAAGATAAGAAACATTATAAACAATCACCCCTTCTTCAGTCACTGTGATGTATTTGCTTTGAGCTGTAAAACGTAGTGGTTTTTCCTTAGAGCATTCTCCCACCTCAAAGTAGTTTCTGAACACTACGTTTAAAATAAAAGTTAAACAGTCCAAGCAAGCTAAACCAGATGGGCTGGGTGGTTTGAGCCCTGAGCATGTACAATGCTAGATGATTGTTGCTATTTAGTACCTAGCCTGGCACTGACACAGCCTCAAAATGTCCAAGTGTTTTAAGAATTTTCTCTGGGCATCAGTTTCTGTATGCTCACAGCCTCACTTTTTTGATATGTGTTAGCATATAAATGTTGGACCCTTAAAAACAGGTGTTCTGTCTCTTCCTTTTCAGCCACCAATTCAAACCAACCCTGCTATTATTTAAGGTAGGAAAAACATTAACATTGTTTTGTTATTTATAAGCATTCACTTTGCTCTTTAGGAAACGAGGACAATTTGTTGCCATGATGAATTTGTGGTGTTCTTCTCTTTACTGAAGACAGAAACAGATGCCACTCCAACCCATGTGGAATTTTAATGTAGGGTTATTCAGAGCCGTAACAACATTTGGGCCACTTACGTCTAGTACCTGTCCAAGACTTGCCTTCAATAATAATCAATTACATCCATTATCTCAAATAGCTCTCAATGCTGTGAATTTGAAAAAGAGAAAAGGAAACTCCTTCATAAAATGATCTTAAAGAATCCCATATTCTACTAGCCTAAATTCTGCTTGTGGTCTATAACGTGATTATGGGTTTATGAAGTATGTCATGACAGAGGTGACAGTATGAAGAGACCCTTGGTACAGTAGTATTAGGTGCCTTTTACAAAATTTTTAATTAAGTACTGTTCTTGCCACTACATTTAACTACCCAGCTTCCAGCGAAAGAAAAAGGAGAAAAAAAAAATGCCTGATACTGGTTGCTATGGAAGCTAGTGCAAAGAGTGTGTCTAAATTCTGTGTCAAGGTAATGAATTTAGCATCTACAGGAAAAGAAATAGATTTCCTGTCACACACTGTAGATCTACCACAGGAAATGAACACATTGCAGACATTTTAGGATGTTTAAACCCCATTTAAGATGCACAAAAGTGGTAGAGAGGGTGCATCAGATAACCTCGCAGGGCTCAACCCTTCCCCACCAGTGTGTTTTCATCTATGTCTGTGATAGGAAAGGGAGGAAGGAGCCTTCAGTAGGAATCTAGCAGTTTGTACTCAGCAGGTCCCACTGTGATGATGGCATGGTCACAATTTTTCCTCTCAGCCCCATGGTTGCTCTGGATGTTGAAAGCCTGTTTCTCAGGGATGCTCTTTGAAAGGTCGTTTCACTCCTTCTTCAACCCTTGATGATTCCCTAGTTCTTAGCCCTGCCTGTTTACCTGGTCATCCTCCAGTGGGGCTTCCTGAGCCTACTCCTAGGCTCTCTCTCCTCCCTCATAAAAACAGTTCATGTTGTACTATTTTTGTCATTGGTCTGCTTAGTTAGCAGTTGAATAAGCTATACATATGAATGTAAGTATGTATGACTATAAATGCTGTATCTTGCTGAGCTGAGGAATGGACATAATATATAGTTTAGATAGTGCCAAAGAGTCATAGATAGCCCTCCTGAAGTAATGTTCACTCTCATAGGTACAATGGCAACTACCTCACTGGGATTAGATATGGTTTGCATAAGTCACTTAGTAATGGTATAGTAATGATTTAATATGGGTGCTGCAACAGGCCTAAATCTCAGAAATTTAAGATTAAAAATGTTTGTCTTTTACTGGTGGCTCTGCCTAATTTGGACAAAGCAGCCCCATTATCTTGTAGCTCTGCCATCTGAAACACTTGACCTCTAAGGTTGACCTGGGAGAGAAAAAGAGAAGGGTGAAGAGCCAGCCTTGGAAATGGTATTCATTACTTCTGACCCATTCTCTGACCAGAAACCAATCATAAGCAAAAGACTGCAAGGACGTATGGAAAATGTGGGTGAACATGAATGGTTTCTACAACCATAAAATTCTGACTGAGACTTGGATGGACAATATTTTCTATTTTGAAAATTGGAGTAACAATTGTTGTTGATTGAGAAACACAAACCAAACTTGAGTAAATTGATACGGTAGCTCCAAAATCTTTATAGAAATTAATGACCTTTACTGGTGACTGCCCTAAGCCTTTATACATATTCAACATTATTCTTTCTCTGTGATTTATTTATGCCTTACCTGTTTTATCTGAAACATAAGAAAATGGTCTCTAGACCTTACTAGAGGAATATTCTGAGCACATATTCTGAAATACATTTCTGTAAAAAACAAGAAATGATGGTAACAATAATAACAGTCTTTCACTGTACTTTCAGGCAAAATCAAAAGTTTTTGTATTCCTAGGAGCTTCTTTTCCACCTTTTAAGTATCTTTAGTCTTAGTCTTCAAAGAAGTTCACATAAAAGTGCTGTTATCAAAAAATATCTTATCACTTAATTCCAATAACCGCATCCTAATGTCTGCAAAATCATAATGAAGTGCCTTCTAACCATTGTTATTTCTATAATATCTGAGGACAGCTGGTATAGTCAGAATAAAACAGAGTTTCAAGCCAAATACTGTGCTAATTGTTTATATTTGTTTATTAAACACTAAGTAGAGACTAAAACAAATCGGAAAGCATGAATGGTCTCGGTCCACTTAGATGGAAAGCACAGGAACAGAATTCCCAAGTATAAACTCAGCCCTTTTGGAAGCCTAACTTGCCTATTGCTTCAGAAATTAATGGACTGCAAATGTTACTATATTTTGACAACATATTGTACCCAGACCAGAGACGATGTATGGTCCCAGCAGGACAGATGTTTTGTGCAGTCAGTGGAAAATTCAATCAAATAAGCTATAATTGCAAAAGTAATTAAAGTTCATTACTTACAGTAAGTACACTCAGAAAACTTCAATAGCTAAGGAAAAACAACTTTCTTCTCTTACCATCACATCAGACAAAATTAAAAATACAAGAATTTGACCATTAGGGCAAGATGAAGGATTCTCTTCTAGTTCCGAGATAAGTAAACATTTGCAAATAAGTCATAAAAGTTAAATAAAATATTCAGGAATGCTTTTTATAATAAATATTTGAGTTGACAAAACTATGGGCACAGAAAATCACCAAACACATTTGATGGCAGATTTAGACATATAATAAACTTTAAAATCATTATATAATTTCAAAATTGTACCATAGGGAATATTGACTAAGAGGTTAAAAATATGGGAGATGTTGCCAGTTTCCTCCAAGCTTAATATCTGTTCTTTTAAAATAGCTCTGAGAAGTGTCTGGGGATTTCTCTGTGCCCAAAAGTTCAATGATGTGTCATCAAATATGCATTTTATCACAGTATTACAATAGCTACCAGTTTTTATCTACTTCCTCTGTACCTAGAGCTGTGCTGAAACTTTACAACAATCCAGTGAAATAGGTCCTGTCATTTGCCAAATGTTATAGATGGAAGTGAGATTTAGATACATTAAGTAACTTTAAAACATAAGTGCAGAAGTTGTGATGACGAATGATACAGTTAAATTCCAGATACCACACTCTTAAATACTTTATTATATTGACTTAGAAAGTCAACATTCATATTTGTTTACAAGCAATCCATTTCCCTTAGCTATTTGAAGTAGCAACAACATTTTTTTAAAATCACGGTTTATTTATGAATATCTTAAAACCTTCCTTGAACTATTTTACATCCTTTGCCTGTCAGGACGTGTTATGTAAAGTGTCCCTTTTGGTAGTACTCATATTTCAACTTTCAAGATTCAGATAGAGCCCCTTTATTGCACGTGTTCTGTATTTGATGAATGAGAATGCTGTTCACATCTTTCATGAATTTAAAATGTCTGTAGGTCTCCATTTGTTCTTGTATTTCCTTTCAATTTTTAAAATTAAGCCCTGTTTTCTTTCCATTTATATTAGCATGGAACCCTTTGAGTGCTTTATCACACTGTTATTATTCTTCAAATTATTCTCTGTGATTTTACATTCCTTATCCCTTAACACATGGCAAATCAGAATTACAAAAATCTTTTACTTTGAATAAGGCCAAGCTAATGTTTTCAGTTTCATTTCTTTGCCAGTATTCCTTTGAATCACAGTAACATATTATGTTTGAAAATCCAAGAAATAGGCATTTACTTCTTCCTAGAAACCTTCCCTGGGCTGTAATTTGTAATACATTTATTTCCATTATTGTTTGCATTTTTAAAGTGTTGTATATTTGCCAACAGAAAAGTTTTAAAATTTCGAGTGCTATTGTCCTAAATTTTTTAAATGCATTAATAGCAATAGTTTTTTTAAATGGAAATACTTGCTTTTGATGGTATTGATTCTTCATTTAGATGAAGCTGCAAGTGGTAGCTTAGTAAATACTGAAATTGAAGTATCTGCTTTAAATTACATTTTGCTAAAAATAATTTCCCCACATTGGAGACAATTTGCAAATATAACAAGAGAAAAAAGAGTGCAAGTTAAGAGAGCAAGCCTGAAAAATTGACTTCTAAAACCATTTATATTTGAAAGTCTGGTTAATCCACTGCTTCCTGAATGATGGCTCTTGGAACACTGATCCCAAAACATTAACCCAAATGAGTCTATTATTTGGGAAAGCAGTAATTAAACAAACGAAACAAGTTTCTATACTCCAGATATCAGTTCTTAATGTATACCAAAGATCATTATAAATTTTCAAGAGAAAAACGTGATAGGAACTATTTCCCACATTCCTTTGGCTCTAGGACCCTGATATTCATGAACTGTTCTCAGTTCTAATGTTCTGTGAAATACACAATGGGACTTTGGGACGCCAAGGTGGGCAGAGTGCCTGAAGTCAAGAGTTCGAGACCAGCCAGGCCAACATGGTGAAAGCCCGTCTCTACTAAAAATACAAAAAAAATTAGCCAAAATTAGCCGGGAGTGGAGACCCGCACCTGTAATCCCAGCTACTCAGGAGGGTGAGGCAGGAGAATCACTTGAACCCAAAAGGCAGAAGTTGCAGTGAGCCAAGATCACGTGCCACTGCACTCCAGCCTTGGCAACAGAATGAGACTCTGTCTCAGAAAAAAAATAAATAACCCCCCAGCGCCGCCCCCGCGACACACACACACACTGGGAAATTCAGAGGCAAGTAATATGTTTCATAAACTATAATTATAAACTACAATGATTTCTAATTGTAAAAGGTCTGCTAGTAAATATTTGGAGTATCATTATTACATAAGGATTTATTCTAATTGGAAGGACACTGAAGACAGCACAGAAAGAGATGTTGCTGGAGAGAGATGAAGGTAGGGTGACAAGGCACACACACTATTTATTATCAATATAACGTCAATATAAGGTAGTTGATGTTATTAATTTTTCTCCTGTGTTTAGATGTCTATTTCAGTATAAATATATGAAATCATCAAGACCTTTGTTTAAACAAAATTTAACTACTTCTATTTTACTATTATATGCTAATACTGACATACATAGTATATAAAAGATTTTTCTTTCTATTAAAAGTATTTGAGTTATTAAAGTATGGTATTTAGTAGTATCTGTAACACAGCAAAAAAATGGTGGCCTCCTTTTTTAAAATTAAAAACATGAACAACTGCTCATCTGCTGGTCAGAATATGAAAGAAGTCAAGAAACAAATTATTAAAGATTGCTACTTTCTTTAGACTGTTAATTTCTTCAATGCTAGCACTACTAGCATGCTTTCTTTCTTTTATAATAATAGTGCAAGTACTGCAAGGTAAAATGCCTTTTCTTCTATGGTGAGGTCTCAGCTTCAACAAATATTCTAAATTTCTTAGATTTTATAAACCTTTAAAAATAGGTTTCGCCAAAAGGAGAGGGTTTTATCCAGACTTAAGGTGAGATCTGAGTGACTTTTGAGCAATGCCAGTGAGTGACACTAAATTTGACCCCATTGTCTATCCCTTTACTATTATAAATAGCATCATTCCTTTGGGTCCTGAAGAAGATTCTTTCTTGAAGCATGTCCTATCAGAAATGTAAGTACTTGATGGTAGAAGTAATGTCAAATGACAGAAACCAACTAAGAACAAGATTCTTTACTTAAACTGATGAGAGAGGAGAGGACAGAAAGGGAAGATGATGCAGAATTGAGAAGTACTGAAAACTTCACCTCCTTAGAAAATGCCATCTCTGAGCATGCAGGAATTTTTTCAGCTACGGAACAATTAATGGCAAATAAGATTGCAGAAGACACTAGAGAGGCAGATGATGCGAAACAGAGTCTTGGGAAGTCAAGATGGTTTACATGGAAAGGAAAAGGATGCAATACCATGAACAGTAATGAAAATGCATTTTACTTAAGTTTCTGAAAATGCTAAATTGGAACACAAAATGGAAGACAGTGATAGTTGATAATTGACTCGATCCTATAATAAAAACAAAATATAATCATCCAAATAAGGTAACACAGGGAGCAGCATAAAGAGCTTCAAACAAGCAGAGCTTCCATTATATCAACATTCTCATTATCTCACCTCACACAAGTAGGAGCCAACCCATTCCCATTCCCATTCCTAGCTTCATTTCCATCCCTAAGTAACACGGTTTCACGTAGAAAGTGGCATCCAGTTGCTCTCAGGGAAAAGCCAGGAATCATCAATAGCCAGCAAGCTTTCTGTGGGCTAGCAGGTGCAGTAATGCTCCCCAGGACCGCAGACACTGCTTAGCTCACTCTCCATCCCACCTCCAGTTTCTTCTTCCTCTATGACTCATGACACAGGTTGGCCTCAGAAATATCCAGAGGAACCTTCCGAGAAAAAAAATCACACCCACTCAATTTAGCACAAAGCTGTAAATCCTTATGGCCTTTGTAATCCACATCTCAGGGCAGTGCCTGGTACACAGTGAGATACTCAAAATGCTTGTTGAATTGATATTAATTTAACTGAGTAATATTCTTCCTGGTCTGCCTTATTTTAGCTTCCTAGCTTTATCTAGTGTCTCTCTCCCACATAAACTTTTATTCCAGCTATCCTAAATTATGTAAGCTTTCCTCAATTTAGTCCTGCTTGCCTTGTTTTATATCATCATTAAACATATTGTATTCAGCTAGAATGTTCCTTCCTTTTATGCCTGGCCAACTTTTACTTTTCCATAGTGACATATCTGAGGTATCATCTCTCCTAGGATGTCTCACCTAACTGACAGTTTGATTTCAATGTTTTTCTTCTCCCTTCCCATCGGACTCTATAAACACCTCTCTCACTGCCTTCTTCTCACTAAGCCGTCATCATTGGTTCATTTATTTATCTGTTTCATTATGTTTGATCCTTCCCTATGTAGAGACACGTTCACATTCACTTTTTCATTGAAAGCAAAAAACGGTGCCTGACAGCACATAACTGATAATAAATGTCTGTTTTTTAAAAATGGAAGTTCTTATTAAATAAGATGAGACTATTAGATCTACTTTTAGTGCAATTTGATTTCCCTACTCAAAATTAAGTTTTATAAGCAAAGATCTTTGGTATATTGATTAAATATATCTAGAAGGAAATAGAGAATGTTCTGAAAAATTTTATTTCTCTGGTATTATTTTGTTGGGATATACTATAAAATCAAAGAGAAAATATTTTATCTCATACCTCAAATGATTGTGAATTTATCCTTTCTTTAAACTGTAAGGATGAATTAACAAAATACCTAATATGGGGATTGTGAAGAACACATTCAAGCTTCAGATTGAGGTATAAAGGCCATTCAGTGACGACAAAGAAGAAAGGTTAAGAATGCCATGTTGGAAGTCCTTTGAATCCTGCAAAAAAAGAACTATGCAAATCCACTGTTGATTGCCAAAGGTATGGCTAAATAACCATTAAAACATTTCAACATGTTGTCTTTCCAAAACAATAATTATTATAGAATGCAGATGTTGTGCAGATGCTGTGCAGTTAGACCATAGATAAAGTGTACTGCTTAACCTGTTTGGTATCTGAGTTTCATCATCTCTAAAATAAAGGATCCCTAGGCTCTCCTCCAGCTGGCTCGGATACACCTGAATAACAGTAGCTTAAACACATGGATCTTCTATTGTTGAGCATTTTTCATGTAACAATGAGTCTACTAGTGGACAAGCCCAATCTAAGCCAGCTTCTAGATTATGGCATCCGGGCCTTGGGGTCCTGCTGCTCTTCAGCTCTGCTCTCCTTCACATGTGATCTTCATCTTCCTGTTTGCAAGATGGCTACCATACCTATGGGCATAAAGTTTGCACTTCAGAAAGGAAGAGAGAAGAGAAAGGGGGAAAAGCAAAGGAATTTTGCCCATTAAGGTCGTACCTTTCAAAACATTTTCTAGAATACTTATTCAATGACTCCTAATTATTTTTATTCTCTCAAACCAAGTCACATATTCAACAATAGCTGCAAAAGAGGCTGAGGAAGTAAGCTTTTTGACTGGACACACTGCTGACCTTCAAGAAATCAATGTTCTGTTAGTTCATTAACAATGGGGTATGGATATTGGATAGACCACTAGCAATGTCTTCTACACAGTTGTAGCACTCTCCAGATTCATTTACATTACCGTCTCCTCCTTTTAAATGCATGCTGCTATGGTCAGGTGAGTCACAGTGCAGTTAGTCACAATTATAACTATTACACAAGTTCCAGAGTAATTTTCAGGAGAAAAAAACAATGGAAACATTGTACTCACTGACCAACATCTCCCCATCTTTTTCTCCTTCCTCCCTTCCCCAGTCTCTGGTACCCCATAAATATGTACAATTACAACAGGTCACTTAAAAAAACTAATGGGAAAATTAGCTTCAAATATGCAAAGGATGTAGTAACGTAGAAATGGAAAAGGTTTGTGGAAAAAAGTACATCACAGTATGCTAAATATTTCAATTGAGAGATGGCCAACAAACAAGTAAAACAATTATCTCCCTAATGAAAGAAAAAATTAAAAAGGAAGTAGAGAAACAAGGAAGTAAAGAAGGAAGGAAGGAAGGAGGGAGGGAGGGAGGGAGGAAGGAAGGAAGGAGGGAAGGCGCGAAGGAGGAGGAAGAAAGGAGGGAGGGAAGGAGGGAAGGAGGAAAGGAGGGAGGGAGGGAGGGAAGGAAGAAAGGAGGGAGGGAAGGAGGGAAGGAGGAAAGGAGGGAGGGAGGGAGGAAGGAAGGACATTTATTTCAAATTTCACAACTGCACAGATAGTGAGTATATTAGTCTGTTTTCACACAGCCATAAAGAAATATCCAAGACTGGGTAATTTATAAAGGAAAGAGGTTTAATTGACTCAAAGTTCCACATGGCTGAGGAGGCCTCAGGAAACTTACAATTGTGGCAGAAGGGGAAGCAGGCACATCTTACATGGTGTAGGCGAGAAACGGGGAGCAAAAGCGGGGAAAACTGCCTTATAAACCATCAGATCTTGTGAGAACTCACTAACTTTCATGAGGACAGCATGGAGGAAACCCGCCCCATGATTCAACCACCTCCCACTTGGTCTCTCCCTCGACACATGGGGATTATGGGGATTACAATTCAAGATGAGATTTGGGTGGGAACACAGAGCCAAACCATATCAGTGAGTGAAATGAAATAAGAATTTTTTTGAAATGAAAAAATGAAAATGAAAATGAAAATATTTCATTTTGAAATGAATTCATTTGAATTCATGAAAATGAAAATGAAAATATTTCATTTTGAAATGAATTCATTTGAATTCATGAAAATGAAAATATATTCATTTTGAAAATGAAAAAATCAAAACACCTCTGAGTTAGTGTACCAACGTTGAGCACTAAAGGGAATACCAAAAATCTTTGCTAACACAATATTAAAATATTAGTGGACCTCAAATAGTAATGTGGTGAACATTTTTAAAGAAAACATTGTATCTCCATAAATGATGCAAGTGTAATCAGAACACTTAAAAATGAGCTCAATCACTTATTTTATGATGTACATCTTAAACCTCCAAATTTGTATTACTCTAGATTTTCTCAATATACAAATGGTTTTAAAGGCTAAAATTTACTTGTTCTTGTTAATTTGAAAATTATGTATATACTGAAATAGGAAATAATAGAGCAAACACCACCCTTTGAACTATTAATAATCTGCCATATTTGGTTCTTATATTTTCTTCATTAAAGGAAATAAAATATTAAAACTAAATTCATCTTTCCCCAGTTACCTTCTCTATCCTACCTCTCCATAGAAATTTATTAACCAAAATGCAATATATGTGTTTTAAAAAATAATCATACCATACATATATGAATTCATATATTATATTTTGTATTATTTTTTATTTTACATAAAAGTTGTCATTGTTAAATATTTTTGTACAACTTGGGTTTTTTTTTTGAAATATGGTCT
Source organism: Homo sapiens (assembly GCF_000001405.40). Taxonomy (NCBI): domain Eukaryota; kingdom Metazoa; phylum Chordata; class Mammalia; order Primates; family Hominidae; genus Homo; species Homo sapiens. The sequence continues at coordinate 112,479,001 of NC_000006.12, read as the reverse complement.
CACTCTGTTGCCCAGGCTGGAGTACAGTGGTGCAATCATGGCTCACAGCAGCCTCAGCCTCCTAGGCTCAAGCCTCAGCTTCCTGAGTAGCTGGGACTCCAGGCACCCAACTAACTTTTTTTATTATTTTGTGGAGACAAAGTCTCGCTATGTTGCCCAGACTGATTTTTTTTATTCAATGTTATTTTTTACCTTATCTCTCCATCTTAATATACAGACTGTTTATTCATTTTAATTGCAGTGGAATATTCGAATTTCATTTTCAATGTATTTCTTAAATAATGTCATTATCACAAATGAACTTTTATATAATGACTTTTTTTTCTGCTTTCTCATCTCCACCCCTTTCTAGACTTTCATCTTACACACACACACACACGCACACACACACACACACATAGCTTTAATTTTAGACCTCTTAAACATCAAATGCTGTTGGTGGATGTTCTGGGATCCAGCTAACCCTCTTATGGTATATAAAGGCTAGGATAAGTGTGGACAAGAAACCCCTGAACTTTTTTCAATCTCTCTTTGGGTACATTAATTACATATAACTCAGAAATGTTTTGCACTGAGTGTGAATATATAAAAATTTGAGGACTATATTTAGAATGTCATGTTTCTCTTCTCGAAGAGATAATAGTTAAAATAGAATCTTAAGAAAAAAACCAACAGATAGGGTGTATAAATCACTGACTTAACAGGGTGTTTCCACTGACAATGCTTTTCAGCTGTGCAGTTTGGAAAGAAAAATGAAAAGGAAAAGTGAGCTCATCAGTTCACTCAGGAAACTAAACTCTTTCATAAAGGTTTGTTGTTGGAATTGAGATTGTTTTGGATGAAAAAATGCTGCAGCCTCCCGGTCTCTAGTTCCCATTTCTTCCATTTCTGGATGTAATTAGCTTTATATTCTTTTCCTTTACACACACACACACACACAATGTCAAACTACAAGCCTGAGTATTCAAAATAATTTAACTATATTTTATGAGTAAGCTTTTATTTCCCCTACATATTGTGACACATCTATTACTTCTACCTAGTTTGTACTTCATAACTTAATGTCAATCACTTTAAAATAACTAAGTGCATGGAAAAGGAGAAGTTCAAGCTAATTTTCATCACCTCCCCTCAAAAATATCATGATTTACTTTATAGTCACCCACAGACTAATTATATTTGTAGAACTTTATATATCACGGGGATTTTATGTTACACAATTTATCTGAACAAAATTGCACCATGTAGGCTATAAGATGACAGAACAAAACAACAACAAAGAGCAAAAATGATTCTTGTCCTCAGGGAGTTAACATTCTAATAGGTGAAATGATGCAGACAGAAATAAAAGTAGCTTTGACTACGAGTGTGTTTCAGTGGGGAAGAAGAGGACATTTTACCTGGAAGAAAAGAGATGCAGCTGGAAGCTAATGCCGGGTTCTATCAACTGTCCTCATCAGGAAGGAAGACACCATGGGACAGGCCAGACAGGAGACTGAGAATTCTGAAACCTTAGTCCTCATCTTGGCTTGGTCCTTACGGTCTACCATCATCCCTGACACGTAATGGGTGCCAATGAAAATGTTGTTGATTTACCGTACAGCCTTGAGAACGTCACAGTTTCTCAGCCTTTGTTCCTCCCCCACAAAGGGGAATAAGAGATCACTCATAAGGTTCTTGTGAAGATCAAATAAGGCAACATATGTGAAAGTGTATATAGTAAACTCTAAGGCACCAGAAGTATATTGTATATCATTCTCGGAGGAGTTTAAAAATGTGTCACAAAATCTTTGAAGTTGGTACATCATGCTATGAAGTGACTTCTCTATGAAAAAATGTTGGCCTATGGCTGGGGATGGGAAAGGAAAAAACTTAGCCTGTTGTTATCCTCCTCCTTTGGCCTCAGCAACCTCCAACCCATCCATTTGCCCCTCCCTGAGTGGACAGTATGTAGTGGACCTTAGAGACTTGTGACATCCTTCCCCATTGGTGACTGGGACTTTTCCCAGAAGAATGTGAACCACAGAATACCTCCATGTTCAAAATACAACACCAAACTGAAGCTAATCCGTGTTTCCTCTACAGGGTTCCAGCACAATAACTTTAGGGAAGAAGAGAAGATGATTTAACGACTGAGGTTTTTCCTTTTTTTTATTGGTTGGTTGGTTTTTTTACATCAGATGGGTAATGTGCAAATGTGGTAACAAGGTTGGAGGGCAGCATATCTCGCACATGAGTATAAATACCCAATCATCACACATAAGTTGCAAAAGGATCAACAACTGCATTTTGTAAAGCTGTGAGGTTTTCTGTTATTTTAAATCCCCATAATAGGTCAGAACCCTTTGCTAGGCATAATGGAAGAGATGGGTGTACATTATGTACAATTTCTGTGTTCTGTGGTAGCCTAAGGAAAGATGCCCAGATCTGGAAATAAAGCACAGCACCATAATGACAGTGATCAAGAGGTAATGAGGAACCTGCTCACCCAGTTTAGACTCTGATTACACCCTCAGAGATAACATTCATAGTCCAAGAATAGGAACATTCTGAGCATATGGCATTGACCAAACCTTCTGTACAAAACCTCAAAATAGGCATTGTGTGAATACAATACATCAGCGTACCATATTTCATGTAATAATCTTTTCATGACGGTCTCATGCTATAGTATTTCAGTGACGGTGTAAAGAGAAGAAATGTGATTAAACCAAAGAGGGAGGTGATGGGGATTATCCTCAGGAAAAAGAAAGAGAAAAATGAGGTGAAAATACGATGGTCCTTAGTTAAGCAGATAAAACAGACTAAGCAGAATAAAGAACAATGTATGGTGCTCATTCCATCTGGGCATATTTGAGACAGCTATTTAATAGGGTATTTTGCTTTTGGCAGACTTTCTCTTTAAACAGGAACTGTGTGCATATTAATAGTAACCCTCCACATACAAATCAGCTTGGTTCTAGCTACATGGCATTATTGTCAAACATGCCAATACCTGTAAAATGTTGAAGTTACCACAAAAATTTAAAAAACAATAATGCCCTATAAATCTCCATGGGTTTTATAATTCATTCCTTATCAATCAAACTAGTTAGGATTTTTTCAATCTTTGGTTTAAATTCTTTTTCCTCATCTGTGATATAATAAAATGCAGCTAATACACTTATTATTATGACATTTTGCAGAGTACCACACAGTTTTTGCTCCTTTTCCTTTTCCCTCATTTCTTCCTTTTGTCTGTGGTATATGCCTACACTGATATGTATAGGGTGCCATAAAACAAAGTGGAGTGAGTAAGAAGAGATGATTATGAAGAATAAATACAGATTATTTTAAAAGTGGAAAAGTTCTTGGGTAGGTAGTTTTCAAAAAGTAGCCTAAACTGAGTTTCTGATGAAAGATAAGTTGTTTCCCTGAAAGTATTTTCCTTCTTTTACCCATCACCTCACCTGTCTTCCCCGGAGTTCTTTCTCTAACTATACTCTCCTTTGCTCTCAAATGCTTTTTTTCTTTCTCTACTATTTTTTTCTTCTGTTTTTCTCTCACTATGGGAGACTACTGCTAAATTGTTTTCTCTATTATTTCCCATGCAATCTTTCATGAGAATTCTGCTTGTGGCTGAACTTCAGTGTGTTTGGCTATAAGCAGATGAATACAATGCAGTTTGGAATCCACATCATAAAGCAAATCACTCTAAAGCAGATGGCATTTTCCCATGGGAAAATGTTTGCAGTTTGGGGTTTTCATTCCTAACCAAAGACAGCCTCAAATGAATCATAGACATGACCAACAATATGTCTTTAAAGTGAAGATATGACTATAAACTACTAGAAAAGAAAGCTAAGTTATAAATCCTAAGAAGTAGATTTTAATTGTATAAACTGATTATTCTATTATGAACCTCTATTATGAAATAAGCCTACAGACAAAAACAAAGGGTTATCTTTAATTTAGTCTAACTCTAATGTGCAAGGTATAGAAACATCTAATTATTTGACAATTATTGATCTAGTATTTTTTTAACTGAAAGCAAAGAGCTCATCTAATTCAATAATGTACTCATTGGTTTTTATTTACTGATGAAGAAATGGATTCTATTTTCCATCTTAGTATAGAAAATGGATTAGGATTGTTTAAATGTCTCAAGTTTCTTTAAAAACTAAGTCATGGGTTTCTTTTCAGCCTATTTATGAATATAGTGGTTTCTTTTTACTGTGTTCATGATAAAACTCTAATACCTGTTATGTAAGTTTCCTACAGCACCAGGATGGGTATTAGTCCCTGAAACAAAGGCATAAGGAAATCAAGAAAACTTTTGAAATTTCCAGAGAGTATAGCTAAGTGTAATTAGTAATTACCGTCAGCCCTCCGAATCCATGGGTTCCACATTCCTAGATTTAACCAACCAAGGATTAAAAATATTTGGAAAAAGATAAGTTAAAAAAAAAGAAACAAGATAACACTAAAAAAAACAAATAAATAAAACAACTGTTTATATGGCATATACATTGTATTTGTTAATGATAAGTATTCTAGAGATGATTTAAAGTATATGGAAAGATGTGCATAGGTTACATGCAAATACTATGTCATTCTATATTGGGGAATTGAGCATCTGTGAATTTTGTTACTCGAGGGATGTGGTGTCCTGGGATCAATTTTCTATGGATACCAAGGGACAGCTGTATCTATTCTCAGTACCATTACTGAAATTTATTACTTTTCACATCATAACTATCTATAATGCTCATACCCAAAGAAATGATCTGAGTTCTAAGACTCAAAAGTTAAGAGTTCGTTCTCTTTAATGTAACCCTAGAGATGAGGAATCCATGACACAGACTGAGTTAAGGGCTTTTCGACCTAAGTCAATTGGCAAATAGTACAGTTTTGATGCTGCTTCCTGAATTAAGTATGCCTATAGATGTCAAAACAATCAACTAAAAAGACTTTGGGAGGCAAAACAAGACATAAATGCATATAAATTTCTTAAGTCCAAAAAGCCACTCTTTTGTTCACAAAATGAGCATTGATTGCCTTCAGCCTGACCTATGTAAGCATGTCTTCTGATGATCTATGGCACAACAAAGAAAATCCCATATATATAATGTGTATGCGTTACTAGATGTATTTGGCTCTTTGAGTCTTAGAAACTATGCAGGTAGCATTTGGAAACTAATAAAAATCATTGAGAGGCAGATAATGGGGCAAACTCTATTCTCCAAAGAGAGCCAATAGTCTGTGCTGGTATAGATTAGAGATAATGCTCTATAAAGCAGCATTTGGTAAAATATGCTGCAGGCAGAAGATGGTCAATAAATGTGGTTGGCTATTAAGCTGTGAAAGGGTCCTCCTACGGAATATACATAAACTCTATTCTGCAAAGTCTTCAAAGATGTTTTCTGATAGCACAAAACGTCCTCTTTTTTTACAAAAGGGCAATAACTAGATGGATTTTGCCTGTTTTCAGGAGACTCAGGGTCCAGAGATCACTGCATTTCTCAGGGAATTTACCTGGTGGAACTACTGGTGGGCGAAAATAATAAAGCTAGGTCATAGGACAAGTATAACAATAAATTTTACACTGAATTGAGGGTCTCCCTGTAAATTAAAAAATGTGTGGCAAGTTCTTTCTTATTTAAAAAATGACAATAGAATGGCAATGAATATAAAAATAGTGATGACATTAGAACATTTTCTATAGATACTAAAACTACAGAGTGAAAATCTAAGTATTTTGCCACATCACCAATATTATATCAGACTAATATCATGTGTCTTCTGAGAAAGACACATCATCATCTTGTTGGTATTCCTGCCTAAATACTGTATAAACGGAATATAATCATGAGGAAATCAGACCAACCCAAACTGAGGGATATTCTACACAGTAGCAGGCCTATACTTTTCAAAAATATTAAGGACAAGAAACACAGAGAAAGTATAGAAATTATTCTAGATTAAAGAAGACAAAAAGCAATGATGTGACATATGTGATCTTGGGATACATTCTAGACCAGGAGAAAAAAAAAAGCTATCAAGGATATTCGTGAGATACTCAATGAAATTTGAATATGCATTGTGGACTAGAGTATTTTATAAACACCAAATTTCCTGATTTTAATAAATATACTGAATATATTGTGGTCATGAAAGAGACCGTACTTAGGAAATAATCACTGAGTTTTTAGAGGTAAAGTGGCATAATGTCTCCAGCTTATTCTCCAATGGTTCAGTAAACATACATAAATAAAGAGAGAAAATTTAAACAAATGAGAAAAAAATTAAACAATTACTAATCTGGTCATCTCAAATTAGCAACCATCCATTTTGCTCAGGACTAAGGGGCTCCAATCATCTGTTTAGCCTTCCTTGGGCTAAAGCTGTCATCACTATTACCAGAAAAGTCCCAGACAAACCAGAGCAAGTTGGTCACTCTGCCTCCCCCTTCATCCCGAAAGTACAGAGTGAAATTTCATATTGGGCATTGAAGACAGGGGTTTTCTTGCTGTTTTGTTTGAATAGTAAACTTTTTATGCATTTATGGAAGCATAAAGTCAATGTAAGAGAATAATACTATTTGGATAAGAGAGATATGAATCGTGCTATTACAGTGTTTGGCATGCTGGAGTGGTAACTCGTTAGAGGAAATTATGAAAATAGATATTTACTCTGCATCTTCTCTTTAGAGAATGCCATTTAGCCTATAAATGTGTAAGTTCATCATCAGAAAATGCAATCAATATGCAAAATCCTTTACTTGCATATAAAGAGATTGCCTCCTTATGTGGAAGATTAGAGGAAACCAATTTCCCTCATGTTGCTGTTCAATATCTAATGAGGAACTTCAATTTATTTCAACTAAGATTACATTTTAACATCCCATCTAAGGCACAGTACAATAACTGGCATGCATTATACGCTGGTTCTAAAGGGAAACAGATGAAGAGTGCAATTGTATTTTCAAAACACTTTAAACAGCTTTGATGCTTGGAAAGTCACTTCACTTTTTGCCAACAAATAATGCCAATATTCCTTTGATCTTAAAAAAAAATGTAGGTTTAAAGCAAGTTTCTCAGGAATTCATATATATTTCATTTTAGAAAAATTTTAGAAAATAAAGGCCAAACTTTCATCCTATTACTACCATAAGTTCAGCATAAACTCCCTTACAAATATGTGTTAAGCTAGATGTAAAGGGGGAATGCTGAGGATTTTTCTGTAAACATGTCTCAAGTATCTGCCCTAAAAATCTCCTTCAAAAGAAGTTAGAAAATAAACTATTGAGTTTCACAAGTGTCTTCACACAGATAGTTTCTCCCTACTGTCCCGAGAGTCCTTTCTAACAATTTCTTTTCTTTGTTACTGTTTTTATTTCGTTTCTCCTAGCTGCAAGGTAACTATATCTAGTAACAAAGAATAGATTGTGTGAGCAACTCATGTATGTAGCTATAAGGAGTAAATTGTGACTCTTCCTCCTAGCGGGGAGGACAGCAAATATTCCACAACACAGCATGAACTGGAGACCTTCAAAGATATTTTTCTGCCTTTGTTAAGGCAATTCCCACAGCAAGATCTTCCATCAGGGCAGCTCTGGGCTCTGCTGGCAGCAGCTCCAGGGTGACTGCTCTTGCAGGGTCCACTCCTTGCAAAGGCCCTCTACATAATTCCTATTGTTTGCTCCACAGATGTCCCCACAACTGCCCTAAAGGGTGACTCTGGTCTGCATCTACCTGGTAGTTCTCCTAAAGAACTCCAATATTTCTTGGTAACTCCTAGTTCAGTGTCACTATCTCAATACCATCTGTTCAACAAATGTTTGCTAAGTCCCTGCAATTTGCCTAGCACTGTGTTTGATCTATAGACCATAAATAGAAGAGTGGTGAAGTGTTCTGCAACAGTCTAAGCAGGCCTCAGCGAAGCAAGGAAGACAGATACCTGAAGCATCTAACCTCTAATGAGTGATTCATAACTTGGTCCCCTCTCAGCATTTCAAACCCACTTCTTTCAAGGAAATAGGTGAATATTTCTACACCTTGAATCCACAGACATATTCTCTGGCATCTGTATATGTGTGTGTGCTTTTATTTCAGTGATTAATCCTGGTTATGTAAACCAAGACTCAATAAACATTTTTTGTTAAGGGCTAGATGAAAATATTTTTACCTTTGTGGGTTACACAATGTCTATCATAACTTCTTAGTTTTCCATTGTAGCAGGAAAAAGCCATAGGCGATAACAAAACCAATTAGGTGTGAGTATGGTACAGTAAAATTTTATTTACAAAAATATGTGGGGAATCAGATTGGGTTTGCAGGCTGTAGTTCAATGACCACTGATCTAAATGAGCACCTTACAAGAGAATTCTGCCAAGTGACTTCAGCAGTCACATCTAAAGTATGTTTAGGAGAGGAATAGAGCCAAAAGAAGGCCAGAGAGTATGAGGACACAGTGTGCGAGTAAAACCTTACTGTGGTGTGAGAAGAGTAAGATGGTGGGGTAGGGATTTCATTATATGGAACGTGGCCTTGTATACACGCCAAACCAGAAAATTTCTGTATACTGGGAGGGCAGCAACACATTCATATTGCTTTGTGGAGATACTGTCACTCCATATGGCAACTTGCAATAGATTGTCAGTAGTAAATATACAAATTCAATGAAGAGGACTTTTTTGTTTACCACTGTTCTTTTTTCTTTTTTAGCATTATATGGAAGAGTACATGTTTATATTGATTTGCCCAGAAAAATAATTAAATGGTGTTTAAAAATAAGTTTACTATTAAAAAAACTAGAAAAAAATGACTCTATAATTTATCATGAGCAAAACCAAAAGATTCAAGTCAATATGAAGTTAAACACAGGATATACGAAGGACTTCAAAAAGCTTGTGGAAAATGGAATTAAAAATATAAATACAAATATAAACTTCTGTTCTCAACATAAGTTCTAGGAAGTTCAAGACACTTTTGTATGTGATTATAACAGCCATTTAGTCCATCTCGAAAGAACTGAGGGTCCTAAGAGTTTGACTACATCAATGCCACCTTTTTTACATTATTAACTGAAGAAAACTAAGTACCCTTTAAAGTTTTTTTAATTTTTATAATATGCATTTCCTATGAATGCTTTGAAGACCCTCAGTGTTCAATTGTCTATCCTTAAAATCAATAGAGGCTGTTGTGTTTCAGAACACACATTATCTTCACATTAAATTCATGTTGTAAATTTGAATTTGGTTTTATAGATTTAATTATATTTAACATATGATTTTAGTTGTATAATTACTTAAGAATTCTATGACAAGGAGTTGATATTTATTTGTACATTTTACATAACAATAAAAGTGACTAAAAGCAATTTTTTATGTCGCAAAATATTTTTGCTTCAATAAAATGCAATGTAAAATGACAGAGGTGGAGTCATCTTCTTCAGGAGACACTGTGAAGGTAGACATGAGTTATTAGATGGGCCTCTGAGGGAACACCCCACTATGTGAGGAATCCAGATGTCTGATTAGCTTGTTCCTCCTTTGGAAGATAAAAAAAAATAGCCTTGAGGGAAAAAGTCTGGAATTGAGGGAATGAAAATCAAACAAATATGTATCTGCAGAATAGGGACGAAAAGAGTGTGGAAATTTTAATCCTTGGGAGGTCACAAAGGAAAATGAAAACTAAATTTTTTGAAAGTACATTATAAGATGCTTTATCTTGTTATTTCCCTCAGTTCTCCTAATAATCCTATGAGATAAGAATTGTTACCTCTAATTTACAGAGGAGAAAATTTAGGCTCAGAAAAGTTGACCAAAGTTATCTAAGTTTTCACAGGCTAGTGAAGGAACACAGCTAGAATTTGAACCAAGCTTTGTACAGCAACAAAACCCATGCTATTTTCAGTACATAATTCTAAATCTAGAGGTGGTTTCTGAGTAATAAGAAAGATTTATTCATTTAACAACTGAAGATTTGCTTAAAAGCCTACCAAAAAAACCCTGAGTGCCTAAACCTCAGGCCCTTTGCCAACTCCTGGATAATAGTAAACAGAAAATATAATAGTAAACAGAAAATAAATGTGATTTCTAATCTCATAGAACTCAACAGCCTGGGGAAGGAGATTGATATACAAATGCACATATACTTATAAGGTACAATAAAAATCTATGAAGTAAAAGAATATTATGAGAAGAAAGGGCATTGTAATAATGTAATACTTAATCCAGCATTTTGAAGGATCCGAATTTTCACTGAGAAATTGTTGAAAGGAAAAATGGTGTAAAACAGTGATTGCTAAACTCTGCTGCACATTGGAATCATAGCATATATTTTTTAAATAATGATGCCTGACTGCTACCCTCAGACATTCTGATGTAAGTGACGTAGTGTACAACCTGGTCATAAGGATTTTTAAAAGCACGCAGAAAAAGTGGCTCAGAGCAGTCTGAGGAATGTAAGGTATGCAAAATTTATCACTCCCAAAGAGACAGGAGCATGAGACTTCAGTCACGTCCCCTGCAGCCATGCCCAGGGGAAATTTTTAAAGGCATAGCTTTAAAATGTTTTTTTCTTTTTCCTTTCCTTTTTCAGACTAACTCATAAATGACCTAACACATTACCATAAAGTGCACAATGTGACCCTCACTCATTATCTTCATGTTTCTGGAATTTGTGATATAAAGAAAAATATATATTCAATCAATAGCTTATGTTATTTTAATGAACAATTTTGGCAACAAAAGCCAAAATTGACAAATGGGATCTAATTAAACTAAAGAGCTTCTGCACAGCAAAGGAAACTACCATCAGAGTGAACAGGCAACCTACAAAATGGGAGAAAATTTTCGCAACCTACTCATCTGACGAAGGGCTAATATCCAGAATCTACAATGAACTCAAACAAATTTACAAGAAAAAAACAAACAACCCCATCACAAAGTGGGAGAAGGATATGAACAGACACTTCTCAAAAGAAGACATTTATGCAGCCAAAAAAACACATGAAAAAACGCTCACCATCACTGGCTATCAGAGAAATGCAAATCAAAACCACAATGAGATACCATCTCACACCAGTTAGAATGGCAATCATTAAAAAGTCAGGAAACAACAGGTGCTGGAGAGGATGTGGAGAAATAGGAACACTTTTACACTGTTGGTGGGACTGAAAACTAGTTCAACCATTGTGGAAGTCAGTGTGGCGATTCCTCAGGGATCTAGAACTAGAAATACCATTTGACCCAGCCATCCCATTACTGGGTATATACCCAAAGGATTATAAATCATGCTGCTATAAAGATACATGCACGCGTATGTTTATTGTGGCACTATTCACAATAGCAAAGACTAGGAACCAACCCAAATGTCCAACAATGATAGACTGGATTAAGAAAATGTGGCACATATACACCATGGAATACTATGCAGCCATAAAAAATGATGAGTTCATGTCCTTTGTAGGGACATGGATGAAATTGGAAATCATCATTCTCAGTAAACTATCACAAGAACAAAAAACCAAACACCGCATATTCTTACTCATAGGTGGGAATTGAACAATGAGAACACATGGACACAGGAAGGGGAACATCACACTCTGGGGACTGTTGTGGGGTGGGGGTAGGGGGGAGGGATAGCTTTAAGAGATATACCTAATGCTAAATGACGAGTTAATGGGTGCAGCACACCAGCATGGCACATGTATACATATGTAACTAACCTGCACATTCTGCACATGTACCCTAAAACTTAAAGTAAAATAATAATATAAGAAAAGAAAAGAAAAGAAAAAAAAAAAGAATTTAACTGAGCAAAGAATGATGTGATGATTTGCAAGTCAGACAGCCCCCAAACCAGAATAAGTTCAGAGAGGCTCCAGCACAGCCATTTGGTGGAAGATTTATGCACAGAAAAAGGGAAGTAATGTATAGAAAACAGAAATGAGGTACAGAAACAGCTGTACTGGTTACAGCTCAGCATTTGCATTATTTTGAATGGAGTTTGACAGTTGACCACTTTTGATTGGCCAAACTCAGTGATTGGTATGAGAGTAGGTTACAGTCTATTTATATATCCTGTTAGGTACAGTTCACTATGTATGAAGAAACCTATGAGTCAAACTCAAAATATGTAAGGAGGCAGCTTTGGACTAAATTTAATTTAACAAGCCACACCAGAAAGTGTTATGTGAGCTCACAGTAATCCTAGTAAAGTAAGAACTTTGTCATCCCTGACTTTTCCTTTCTGGTCCCCGTTCTATCTGGGAGAAGCAATGACAGCTTACCATGGTTTTAAGACCACTGTGTGGGGGCACTGGGGAAGGGACAGGGACAGAAACATGAGGCAATAAAATAAAAACTTGCCCACACCTCCTAGCCTTAGCAGGCACAAACTGGGAGGGAGGTGTGGTACATGGTACTAATACTCACCAATCACTGTCTTTCCATTCCTGAATTATGAAAGATTTGCACTCTCCAGCTCCTTTCAGCTATCTGGGGCATATGGCTACTTACAGCTAATGAACTGTGAATGGCAATTATATGCATCACTTCCAGACTACAGCCATAAGAAGTCCCTGGATAACTCTTCATTCTTCACTCTTTCATAGCAACAAGGAACCCCCATGTCAAGAAGGTAATGTCCCAAGAGCAAAGTAACTTTAATTGCTCAGTTTCTACTGGGAGGAGTTACTGCCTTAGAGGGTCCTGTGGTCTTGAGAGGACTTAGGATAAACAAAACAAACAAACAAAAAGCAAACTTGTTTGGGGTTTGTATGTTACCAAAGCATAACCTGGTCTAACCTGATTAATACAAGGAGAGAAGATTTAACCCAGAAAAAAGTTTGGACTTTTGTTACTGCTTGAGACTGAACATACTAGTTGTTGAACTAAAACTGTTTTAGGGGTTGGGGGAAAATTTTATTGCTTCATTATTTCAGCCTCAAAATATGCTTTTTGAAAATTATGCTAATTAGAGAAGGTTTCTAAAAATTCTCAACAGCCTAAGACAGCTAATTTAAGATTACATTTCTTCTTGTAACAAGAAAATAAATGGTAGTATAGCCAGAAGGAAGGAAGGAAGGAAGGACAGATGGACAGAAGGAAGGAAGGAAGGAGAGAGAGAAAGAAAGAAAGAAAGACAGAAAGAGAGAAATAAAGAAAGGAAAAGAAAAGAAAAGAAAGAAGGAAAGAAAGAAAAGACAGAAAGAAAGAAAAGAAAAGGAAAGAAAGTTCATTGCCTCTGAGTTTCAGGTGTGGATAAGGGCAATTCATGAAAGAATAGAACAAACTGTCATCCTTCAGCAGCTAAGATTTTGTTTCTGGAAGGTTTTAAAAATTTGAATTGACAATTGTTACATTAAGTTTAGTCTAAAACTGGCTCTTACATATTTTGAGTTCAGCCTAAGAGTTTCCCCATACATAGTAAACTGAAACTTAACTGTATACTGCAACCTACTCTTGTGCCAATCACTGAGTTTTACCCAATCATAGGCGGCCAGCTTATTTGCCTTATCTGAAGCACGTTCAAATAAGGCAAATCCCGAGCTGTAATCAATCTGACTGACATCACATACCTTTTCCTGTCCATAAATCTTCTTCTGCCATGTGACTGTACTGGAGTCTCTCTGAGTCTATCCTGGCTTGGGAGGCTTCCCAATTCATGAATTGTTCTTTGCTCAATTAAAGTCTGTTAAACTTAATTTGTCTAAGGTTCTTCTTTTTAATAAATAGTGTCAAAAGTGGGATCTGATGTAGAGCTTCTAGTGACCCCCAGAAGCATCAAGTGACTAAGTGAGGTACTTACTGAGCCCGTTGTGTCTACTGTTCTCCTGAAGCAACTGGGGATTGTTACAAGTTCTCTCTGATTCCAAAGCTCCGCAGATTTGCGTTTTGAGCTCTCCAAGTTTGTTTGAGTAAATTTCCGAGCCAAACTGGGTTTCGAAGTTGCAACAGAAACTGGACTGGGTTCAGGACTGAATGGATTTAAAATTAACTGGCTTGGACTCAGTTAGAGGCATCCTATGTCTCCTTGGGTCAGATAGAAACTGGTAGTAAACAGCAATATTGAAGGGGATGTAAACTTTGGCTTTTGGAAATTCACAGAGATTTTTATTTTCTACCCACTTTGTTTATTTTTTTTCTTGCCTGCCTAGATAGAGAAGAATCACTGGCTAAGTTGTTCAAGGGAATCCAAGAGCCAAAGACAAGATTCAAGGTGTATTAATGCATTCTTGCATTGCTATAAAGAACTACCTGATACTGGGTAATTTATAAAGAAAAGAGGTTTAATTGGCTCACAGTTCTGCAGGTTGTACAGGAAGCATGGCTGGGGGGGCCTCAGGAAACTTACAGGTAATCAAGAGGTTGATGGGGGTGGAGAGGGAAACTTTGAAAACTGGCAAATGAAGAATCTTATAAATCTATAAGATCTGCTTCTGTCTGTGTGTCTGTTATGTCTATGTATGTGTTATATATAGGTGATAATATTTGGTAAATACAGCTAGTTTTTGAATTGTTGATAAAATAGGAGTGGCTTCAAAATTATTGGTTAAATATATTGGACACTTGATTGGTTTGACTGTGAGCCTATCTTTTTGGTTTTGAGCCCCTGGATTAGGGGGTCTGGATAGGTGGACATGAGGCCTGGAGACATTTTCTCAGTGTCTAGACCAGCTGCTGCAAGTCAGAGTCAAGTCCAATGTGGCCCCTTCTTCCCTGCCCTAGCTTTGCCTCCTGGCTATTCTGGGAGGGATCAGATCCTCGAGGCACAGTCTTCCCAGATCTATCTTCTGTCCTGAGCTCTACACCTGGTATGTAAATCCAGGTCTCAGAAAGGCTCTGCCCTTCATAGCCATCTTGGAAACCACATGGCTACTTGAGACCGAAGATGACCAGAAAAGACATTAGGGAATGTAGCTGTGTGTATTAGATTGTTCTCACATTGCTGGTAAAGACATACCTGAGACTGGGTAATTTATAAAGGAAAGAGGTTTAATGGACTCACAGTTCCACATGGTTGGGGAGGCCTCACAATCATGGCTGAAGACAAACAAGGTGCAAAGTCACGTTTTACATGGCAACAGGCAAGAAAGTGTGTTCAGGAGAACTTTCCTTTATAAAACCATCAGATCTCATGACACTTATTCACTATCATAATAATGGCACTGGAAAAACCTACCCCCATGATTCAATTACCTTCCACTGGGTCCCTCTCATGACACACGGGAATTATGGGAGCTACAATTCAAGGTGAGATTTGGGTGGGGACACAGTCAAACCATATCACTGTGTCACAGTTTCAAAATTATTTTCAGTAATTTAAAATCTTAAAGTCACGGTATGTTAAATAATAGATAATCATAAAAGTTCAGAGTCATTTGTAAGTTAAAATACTGAAACATTAATTATTAAACATAAGTTTATGTTTATATATTTTGACATCTTATTTTTATATGATATAGAAAAGCTAAATATATTTAGATCTGTTAATAAATAATAATGTAAGGAAACATCTTTCTAAATAATTATAAAATAGTTTTCATCTACAAATACTGATACAAAACAGTTCAAAATTTCTTTCTAGTGTTTTCACTATAAATTAAGGTTACTAAGAGTTAAAATTATTATTTTTATATATAATTAAAACTACTAAATATGAATAAACAATTGCATATACAGAGTTATAAACAAAAGGAAAATATGTTTTTGATGAGCAGTTATAAAGGCATACAAATGTGTGTTTGTTAAAAAACGTATCTGATAACTTTAGGATCATATCATCTGGACTGCATAAAAATTCCCAGAATTCCAGTGAAGACAGTGAATGGTTTATAAAACTGTTAACCCAAGCAGGACAAAAAATAATTGAATACCAAGGAAATACTTTGCCGGATTTTCATGCTAAATCAGCCAGTACTGAAATTGTTAAGATATGCAATTTGAATGAACTCCATGGTCCAAGTCAAATTACCTATGATAACCCATCAGTTATCAGTGTTATACACATGAATTGCAGAAACAAACCTGGTATTTAAGAGAAAATAAATCCAATATTAAGTACAGGCTCATGGAGAACCCAAAAGGCCACCTGATCCTTCCTGAGTCCTTAAAGCTTTCATCACTAAAAGCTCTGCAGTCCATGACTTATCACGAAAGAGATAAAATAATCCAAATCAAATAAATATATATGTTTGTACACAAACACACACTTGTGTATATGTGTCTGTGTGTGGTGACTGTTCAAAATTGCTAAAATAGTTCATGACCAATGTTTGGTTTCTCAAACTCATAGTCCTGGAATAATATTAATAATAAAAACTTCAGCTACATTTCTGCTACCAGATGGGCCAGTGGGCCATTTAAAGATCTATAGAGGAATTTCATTCAGTTGCCATTTTTAATGCATGTTTTCTGGTAGTATAATAGCTTTCCCATTAGATGACTTACTGGCTGAACAGAGAAGTGTCTGTGTAGTTGCTGATACTTCTAGTTGCATATGGAAAAATATATTGGGTATTACAGAGATTCAGTTGTAAGGAATTAATGTATAGGCAGCTTGTTTAAAAGGGGTAAACTCTATCTGGCTCATCATTTGATCTATTTGATTATAGTTGGTTTGGTTCACGGGTACCCTAACTAAATAGCATATTCCAAACTTTTGGTATTATCCTAATGATAGCTATAATAGTAGTCTCCCTCTTGCATTATCTTCTCTCAAAATTTTTAAATGTTTGCATACAGCCATGTCTAGAATGTCAAATGATCTCTCTTCAACTGGAGCAACAAAAACTCAAAGAAATGTGTGAACACAAGGACACTATAAATTAAAAATAACAAACTGAAACCAGAAACCCAAAATGATGGTAACTGAAGGTCATACTAAGGCCTTAAGCTTTTGGTCACAACTTTACCTAAGTGATAATCTGCCAAAAAGTGGGGGGGAGGGGACGGGGGTGGATTTTTTAAATAAAATTATGGAAGATTATTGTTTTTGATGGAAGTCATGCACTAGGCTCCAACAGAACAAACCAGATGAAACCAAAATGGAGTCACTCACGCCAAATGTAACATAATCAAACTAAAACTTTAAGGAAACAGATAGGTCAGAAATAGAAACTAAAATAGACCAAGTTTTGGATTTCTCCTGTAAACGGTATATTCTAATACAAGGAGGTCTGCTCTAACCCTCACAAAAAAAAAAAAAAAATGCCTGAAATTCTTGTCCCCACCTTATAAAACCCACTATTCTGCTATTTACCAGTGGAATTTGAAACCAAATAAGTACATTTATGATGATAATAGAGTGACATCAATATCTATAGTTTTGTTCTATTTCTCAAAATGAAGAGGATGACCAAATGGGGTCAGACAGCTGCTTTCTCATTGTGTCTTAATGTGGTAGAATGAGAGAGCTCTTGTATCTTTTCCTCTTCTTATAAAAACACCAGCCCTGTTGGATTAGGGCCCTTCCAAGGTTATTTAACATTTATCACTCTTCACAGGCCCTATCTCCAAATAAAATCACATTGAGGATTAGGGCTTTAACATATGAATGGGGTGGGCACATTGAATCCATAACAGCCCTTAAAACACTATTACTGTTGAACTTTCTATAGTAAAATTCATTTGATATTGCAAGATTAAAGTTATCTAGTCCTTACCCTCCCTTTCCCCAACTAACAATTGTTTGGATAAAACACAATTTCTTAGGTATGCAACTTTTACATTATTAAACTGAACATATAAAAATAATTACCTAAAATTTTTGGTACAAAACGCAATACTTTACAAAGAAAAAGCATTACACTTTAAGAAATGGCTTGAACTTTACTACTTTTTTAGGAGTAAAGGAAGTCTTTAAACCAAGTGAGTCGTATTTTATGTTTTATTCCTTAGAAAAACAATTCTTGATGTTGCACAAAAACATCTCATTTGCCATTTTTATTTCCTGTTCTTCCAACATATTTTTATTTTTACATTTTAGAAATAAAATGTCAACCTCTGAGGTTACTTGAATAATAAAATAGAAACCATTATATTAAAGACAAAGAACACTTAAATGCCGATTGTTAAGTGCAATAATCCAAAATGAAAAGGCTATATGTCTCCAACCATATGACATTCTGAAAGAGGTGAACTCTGGAGACAGTAAACAGATCAACTATTTCAAGTGTTTTGGAAAAGGGATAGAGGACAGGGCATTTTTAGGGCAGTGAAACTACTCTGTATGATACTGTAATGTTAGATGCATGTCACCTTAGAGTTTTTAAAGTCCATAGAATGTGCAACATAATGAGTTAACCATAATGTAAATTATAAACTTTAGTTAACAACAATGTATCAATATTAGTTCATCAATTGTGACAAATGTACCACACTAATGCAAGATGTTAATAACAGAAGAAACTATCTGCAGAGGAGAGGGGGTCATATGGTAATTCCACATACTTTTCACTCAATTTTCTGTTAACCTAAAATTGCACTAAAAACAGTCTATTAAGTTAAATAAATAAACATCCATTGTGTTAATTTACCCCTTCTCATATGATGGTTTTGGTTTCTATTATTATTGAATTACCTTTAAACACTTTTTTCCACTACTACATTACGTATTTATAATGATGGAATACAAAACTGTCTAAGTCCTGGACCTAGTTTCTTATTTTATAATTTCTGTATGTATTATTAAAACAAGTTTTCTTCCTAATTGACTTATTTTTATTACTAATATTACTTTGATAGGCCGTTTTGAGAAATGCTTTCATTAATGTAGGTTTGCCTTCCTGAAAATCATTTTTTAAAGTCAGAGATTCATTATTGTTGGTGAATTGCAGCATTGTCAAGGTCAGTAACATTTTCTAAGCACCAGCTGCACCACCTCAGAGAGATAATTCTTGTCTTGCCTCAATTCACATTTCCCTGAAATGGTCAATTTAATAAATTTCTTTATTTACATGAACATAGTAGTCACATAAATCCATCAGAGCAGATATTCTACAACTTTAGATAAGTTCCATAACCCTAACTGATTGATGATATTTTCCCAACGATCATGGGAAACAGAAAAGCAATTAAACAAAGACATGTCTCAGGGCATGCTGACTATCCCATGCTGTCTTTCTTTTTGAATGCAACCCACCTGCATAAAAATGAAAACATACATGTACCCATCTGATTGCCTAAGAGAAGCTGGTTATGTTTTATTTGAAATGTTAATAGATTTTCCTAAACTTCAGAATTCAATTCACCTTTTTTTCTTTGGTCAGTTATTTCTCCCTTGAATTAAAGATGAACTACAACACTGAAAGAAGTCATAAGTTTGATTATTTTCATGACTTATGCAGTAACTTAAAAATATCTGACTTATTTTATGAGATTCCCTGTGATTAAGTAGAACATACATTTGTTACCATTAGCTATTTTTTTTTAATATTTGGTTGATGTCTATGTTTATTCAGGCTGCTATAACAAAAAGGTGGCTTACAGACAATATAATTTCTCATAGTTTTGGAAGCTGAGAAGTCCAAGATCAGGACATCAGGAGATTTGGTGTATGGTGAGAGCCAATTTCATAGTACATAGCACTTTCTCACTGTGTCCTCATATGGTAGAAGGGACAAGGCAGCTCTCTGGGGCCTGTTTTATAAGATCATTAATACCACCCATGAGGGTTCAACCATCATGGTCTAATCACCACCCAAGGCCTATATTGGTGACAATATCATCAAGTTGGTGATTAGATTTCAACATATAAATTTTAGGCGAACACAAGCATTCAGGCCGTAACAATTTGTATTGTTTCTTTTGTTTCAATTTAATTTTTGGTAATTATATCAATGAGAAACAGAGGGAAACATCTTAATGCATCAAGTTTGGGATTTTGTTTGGAATTCCAAGCTCATTTATTTAGCATAAACTTGAAAGTAATTTAATGATTCCTGCTTCAAAATCCTAAATGTCAGGAGCTATAATACTAGCATAGAAACAAAGAAAAATATCATGTCTTGGATTTCATGTATTTTTTTCACCTACAGATTTTGGACACAGAATTTCTACTATATAGCTGCTTACTAATAAAAATAGTTATCAAAGTCTGGAGCAAGTGTTTTTTAAGTTTTTTAAATAAAAAAAGGAAATTAGTCGTAGTTTAATATTTGCTTGTTTATAAAGTTCTCTGGTATCCAGAACTCACTAAAAATCAAATCTCTATGCTAGTTCAGCTGCTTGGAAAATAGCTGTGGAATCACCATGATTTGATAAGTCAAGATCTAATCAGGAGGACATGCTAAATCAAGAAGTTTAATACAGGACATTAATACAGGCAATGAGTCACAAAGGAAGAGAAAGAGCTGAAAGACAATTAGGGAATGGTAAGGACACCCAGAGTTAAGCATCAACACCCAGAGATCAGTGTCAGCCAAAAGTTACTCAAGAACTGAAGAGACAAAGGAAGTGATGAGTCCAGAAGCCAGAACACTCAGACACAGACAGTAGTGGAACCATAGAGGAGCAGCCACGCATGGAGGGAGGGTCCCAACTGGGAACTGGGATGATGGCAGGCATTTGCCCAACAGAAGTTGTGAGTACAGAGAGAAGGTCAGCCAGAGAGAGATGGAATTATGGAGGAGAATCAGCCTATGTTAGAAATGCAGCCCAAAGATGAGAGAGAAGGCACAGAAATAACCTGGCTTCCTCTTCTAGTCCTCCAACTTCCCGGTTTTGCTTCCCATTATCCATATCTAAGCAGAAAGCAATTGGTAGACGGATGATAGAAAATAAAGTTTGCAAATGTCAGGGCCCCAAGACACTAAGCAGAAGAATAGGAAATAGATCTTTTCTCAAAGTGAGGGAGTCATGATTTGAGGCACTTGGCAGGACATCCAGAAGCTTGGACTAGGAAAGATGTAAGACATGTCAGCTTGGAAAGTTCTGTGATGTTTCTAACAGCAACATAATAACAGACAGAAGTATCCACATTATTAGTGTTTAATGTAGGTTTTATAGCAAAAAAAAATCTCAGGAATGTTTTAAAAATATCTGAGTTCTTGGATCAGTGGGAAATTTTGCTTATGAAATCATTGCCAAATTTCTTGTAATAAAAACCAATTATTGAACACTTAACAATGTGCCATTCTCAGTGCTATTAATGTGTTTTTAAATTTAATCCTCACAAGAACTATATGAAGTAGATAGAATTATCTCCATTTTGCAGATAAAAGGACAATGACTAAAAGAGGTTAAATTGTGTGAAGTCACAGTGGCAAAAAGTGGGAGAGTCGCCATTCAAACCCCATATTTCTGATCTCCAAGCTCTGTCATTGATCCCCATGCAATTCTACCCCAATCAATAATGACTGAATTATTATCATTGTGTGTTATTTATAGTCACCTTTTTGTAGCAGATGGCTCTCTCCCATTTCCACAAGGCTGGCTCACAATAATGATGGTTAAAATTAAATAGGTGTTTTACATCCAAGCCACTCACAGAAGGTGAAGTCATTTCTGCTTATATGATCAATGATTTTTTAAAGGCTATATTTGCATTTTTAATCATCTCTTTAATCACCTGTAACTTCTCTGTTCTTATATAAGATAGCTAAGAAGATAGCCATTTATAGATTTCTAATGTGATGGGGAGGGGAAACATGAATTCTGCTATTTTTACTTTAGACTAAATTAGATAGGTATTTGGTTAAATATTTAACCCTAAAGGGCTTAATTAATTAATGATTAGCATCTGATACATTATATAGAATGTATGTATGTATGTGTGTATGTTTAGGAGGGAGTGATATAGCAGGCTATTCTAGAACTCTCAAAATTGCATAAGCCAATGGTATTCCAGAGCCTATTTTTTTTAAAACAGGCATCAGTATGCAGAATAACAAAATACATGCCATATACTGAAACTTAATCCTTATGTTTTCCTATATAATGCTACCCAGATTACACTGGACATTTTTCTCAAGGAAATGTACCTAAAAAAAAATAGTAAAAACTGGGGTATCATTCTTCAGTTGCATTCACTGGACATAAAGAAAATGTATTTTCTTCAAGCTGGGGCCAGCACGAAGCTGGGTAGAGGGCACTAGTGAGGGACTGTGGCTTCCCGTCTGTCCTCTCCTTTCCTCCATAACCTCAGACATGTTACTTAGCCTCTTTGTTCATGGTTGTTTCTCTGTAGTGTGAGGCACTTACTTCCTGCATTTCTGACCTTAAATACATGTGAGTGTAAATGATATGGTTGTTAAAAAACTTTGCAAACTACAAAATGCTACACACATTTAAGTTATCATAAATATTCTTCTCAGTCATTATATGCTGGTCTAGATATATACACACATATACTGTAAATGCTTTCAGACACACAAGTCTGCGTGCATGCACACACACACACAGAGGCCTGGAAACCATGCCATGTATGTGATGCACACTATGCATGTGTATGGATCATCAGAGGTACTGGAGGGGTGGGGAAGGAAGATCCATTGGTCTGATAGACTGCAGCAATTTCCTGGCCTGTATCTTACCAGTAATCTCTCTTAATATGTTGAACAAATCGAACAAGAAGGGTAGAACGTTGTACCATGCACTGCTAGAAATGGCATTTGTGGCAGAAAATAAAATTATTTCATCAAATTATACTGTGTTTCCCTAACGGTTTTTCTTGGTGAGATTCGGAAAAAACATTACCATCTCATCCTGACTTAGAAGAATCTAGGTTAGTACTTTCTCAGATAAATTACAAAAATAACTTTTCCCATGATTTACACCTAGAAAAATGAGAAATGTCAAAAACTAGCATAAAGAGCAGAACCGCATTTACTATTATTTTAAATATTTCTCTATACAAGAGAATTATACTGCTGAAAACTAGAGAAATGTAAAAGTTTTGACTTAGGGGATTTAATTTCAGCCAATTTACCTTCTTTTTTTAACAAACACAAAAGCTTAAAATGTCATATCCTTATGGTTGAATTATTGGACCATCTTTTCAGTAGCTGTTGCCAAACAACTTTATCATTACTAATTTTGCTCATTTACTAGGTTTTCTTCTCTTTAGATATGCCAGAGATCAGCCATTCTGATTATTTCAGAAGCTACATTAAAGAAAAATTGCAATCCACAAATTTCTGTGTGTGTTGGTCTTAATTTTCTTCCTGACTTCCTTAAGTCTGCTATTTATCCTTTTACCTAATTATTGAAATAAAATATGTCACACACCAAGTAACTGGCACAGTACCAGAGGAAAAACTGTATGCGAATATACTTAGGATTTGGACTTCAAAACATCTTTTATGCATAATAAAGAAACACAGTTAAATAGATTTGGCCACAGGAAAATAATAGCTACTGATTTGGAAGTACTAATTATCATATTTTATTCTGGTGTGTATTCTAAAGCAGCAGAGGGTTACAATTTTTTTCACAATCAACGTGAATGTATCTTACAAGTAAAAAATTACACATTTTTGTGCAAAATAGTGTTCGGTATTTGGTACTGATCCCAGGTTTCTAGATAGTGGGGCTGGGAGGTTAGGGGCTGATAGTAGGCTGGGAGAAGGACTGAACATCTTGCCATTTCAGATGACCAGGACTTCTGGGTTCAAGCAAAGATAAGCCATTATTTGTTCTAACTATAGCTCTGTCCTCTATGTATTTAACAGAAAAAATGTTCACAGACTATGAGAATAATTCATCAATTTTTCTTTTAGTTATTATTGTGAGTTTTCATATTTTCTTATATCTTCATAGATATTTGTGTTGCTAGAATAATGACTAAAGTTTAGATTCAAAGACAGATTACAAAAGAGTAAGCATTCTTGTAGAATGCAAAACTTCAATTATTGAGATATTTAGGTAATTATTTGATTTTAAAATAAAATGGAAAACTAATGTGTGTGTATCAGTTATCTACTGTGGCATTTGAAAGCTATAAAACCGAAGCTTAAAACACTTATTTCTTCACAGTTCTGCAATTTTAGCTGCATTAAGCTGGATAGTCTTTCTGCTAAGCTCACCTGGGGGCCTCTCTTACAGCTTGCTGGCATTGAGATTTCTACTAAGAATGAATGGCCCAAAATGGTTCATGTTTCTGGTGGTTTTCCAGAACAGCCACCCAGGGCACCTCAGTTATATTCTATACAGCAAGAGAGCCCAAGTTTCCTACACAGTGAAAGTAGATGCCTTAAGGTCTGTTGAGGCCCAGGCTTACAAATCACACAAGGTCACTTCTACCATTCTACTGATCAAGACACAGCACAAGCCTACTTGATCCAAGAGGTAGGAAAATAGATTCTACCCTTGACTTGGGCTAACAATCCAACATTCTAGAAATAAAACTATTCTTGCAGAAAAAAATAATTACAACAGCTAATATGTATTGAAACATTTACATGTAGCAAAGCAACTGTTCTAAATACTTAACATATATTAATTTTCAAATAGCTCTCTGAGATAGGTACCACTATTTTCATACTTTTATAAATGAGAGAACAGGATCACACAGACATAAATCTGTTAAAACTGTTTCAATAATTAAATAGTTGTGGTATAATCCTGATGCAGAAGTAGACAGACTTAATTAGAACAAAATAGAGAGGGCAGAGTTACTTCTAATTATATATTGTAATTCAATCTAATATAAAACAAAAATGTAATATGCAACAAATTATTAACTTATCTGGCAATTATTCAATAAAATAGATTATAAACAAAAAACTTGATACACATCTCATTCACCAAAATGAAATCCAAATAGGTTGAATATGTAAGTATATAAATATTAATACTATAGAAGTATGGGAATAAAGTATGAATAAATATATTTAAAATCTTAAACCAACCAAGCACATTTAGCATATTACACAATCTTATAGTGAGGGCGGCTGTGAATACCAGAAAGCCAGAAACTAATTAAGATTTTATTATATAAAAACAATAATAGGTGAGATTCATTAAGAACTTACAGGCAATATTCTAAATGTTTTACATATATTGTAACATTTGACACACACAATTTCTATAAGGTAGGTGCTATCATTCACAATTTACATGTGAGGAAACTGAGGCATAGAGTAATTTATTATCTATAGTCACATAGCTTATAAATAGGTTAGAATTGGAACCTCAACATTCTGATTCCATAGCCTGTGCTCTACCATAAAAATAAAATGAGCTTTTTTTTAAGGTGAATAAAAAAAAACATATTACAAAGTTGAAGACATGAAAAAAATGGGGAAGATATTTATAATGAAGATAGCAGGCAAAATATTAACATGACAAATGGAAGAATCTTAATAAATATGAAAAATCCTAATATTAAAGAAACTGGCAAAGAATAGAAATGGGAACTTCACACAGAAAAAGAGATAGAAATATTCAATAAATACCAGAAAACATGTTCAATTATACAAGTAATCAAATAAATGAAAACAAAAATAGGAATTATCTTTCTCAATTTTTTATCTAGGAAATGTGAAAGTAATGAGTGATGCCAAGTGCTTATGAAAATATGGGAAATGGCAATCCCTATGAACTGATGGAGGGGGTATGAATCAATAGACAATTTGACAAAATGCACCCAAAGTTTAAATGATCACATCCTGAAGCCAGGTAATATTTTCTATAGACATTTTTCCTAAAGAGATACCTACACACATAAGTACAGATGTACTTTTATCATGTTGTTTTCGAAATGAGAAAAAGTAAAAGAGAGAAAATCATCTTAAAACTCCTCAAGAAGGAATGGGTAATGAATTTTTGAATAACTATGTCATAAAATAACATCCTTTGCAGGCATCAATATGAATGATGTAAGTCTATTAATACTGACATTGAAATGTTTATTTACTGTATTATTGAATGGAAAAAGCAGGTTGTAAAACATTCTGTAATGTGTAATCTTCTTAATATAAAATTCTATGGTAATACATCGAGAAAGTCTGAAAGGATATTCACATTGAAGTTAACAGGGGTTGTAACTGGATGCTGAGATACAGGGGAATTGATTTTTATTCTTTATGCCTCTATTATTTAACTATTTTACAAGAAGAAATGTTCTCTTTATAAATCAGAAAGTTTGACTTTCTGAAGGTGGTGGCATGAAGATGTTGGAGAATCTTCTCCCCCCCAAAAAAAACAAGTCTAAAACTGGAAAAATTGTTAAAAACAAACATTTCAGAGCTATAGTTAGCCAGTGGTGAACAAGAAAGTAAGAAGTGTTTACTCACAAAAGATTACCAATGTTTTGTGTAAAAACAGTGGGATTCTACCTGCAGCCTTGTTTACCTAGCTTGCTTTCTCCCATACACACACTCACACACACGTGCACATAAACACACACATACCTAGTCAGTTGGCATGGTCATTTTACAAGGATAGGACAGGTTTGGAAAACCAGCAGCTTTGCTGCTAGCAGGAGTGAACCTGATTTGGAGCAGAGGGCAACAATTGTGGATGGCAGCATTGTTAGTAAAATTATTGAAATAAATTGAGAAAGCATTAGGCTAAACTAGCCTGAGTTTGCAATCCCAGTTGAGGAAAAACACTAGAATGAGAGAAATATAAAACTATAAAAGCAAAACTGCAGCACTGTATTGTGTTTATAACATATACAAAGTTGTTATATTTCACTGGAATTAAATCAGTATTACCTGGTCCAGACTGTGATAGTTAAAATGTATAGTGTATCCCTAAAATAGTCTACAATAACCACTAAGAAAATAACTCAAATATAGACTTAGAAAAATGAAAATGAAAGACGAGACATTACTACAAATCCTACAGAAATAAAGAGGTTTGTAAAGGAATACTATGAACAACTATATGCCAACAAATTACATAAATTAGACAAAATGAATAAAATCCAGGAAGAACACAAACTATTAAAATTGATTCAAAAAGAAAATAGAAAATCTGAATAGGCCTAGAACAGTAAAAAACTGAATAGATAATTAAACACTACCCCCAAAGAAAAGCACAGGACAAATTGGCTTATCTGGTAAATTCTATCAAACACTAAAAGAATTAACGCCAATTATTCACGAAGTCATCCAAATATCAGAAAGAGAGGAAATAGTTCGCACCTCATTCTATGAGGCCAGTATTATCCTAATATTCAAATCAGAAAGGCATATCACAAAGAAAGAAAACTATGGGCCAATATCTGTTATGAATATAGACGTAAACATCCTCAATAAAATACTGCCAAACAGAGTCTGGCAACATATATAAAAGGACTATATACCATTAACAAGTGGAATTTATTTCAGAAATATAAAGTTTATGAAAATATTCACAGAGTTGAGTAGTGGTCACCACAATCAATTTTAGAATATTTTCATCACTCCCTAAAAAAATCCCTGTACTCATGGACAGCCTCTCCCATTCCCCTCTAAACCTCCTACTGCCCCAGACCCAAAATCAATTAGTATAACACATCACAGTAATAGGCTTAAAAACAAAAATTACATTATCATCTCAATAGATGCAGAACAGGCATTCGATAAAACTTCATACACTTTCTGACAACAACATTCAACAAATTAGGAACAGAAGGGAACCTCCTCAATCTAATTAAGGGCATCTATGAAGATCCACAGCTAACATCATATTTAACAGTGAAAGAGTACTTTCCTCCTAAGATCAGAAACAATATAAGAATGTTTACTCTTACCAGAATAGGAAAATCTGTAGACACAGAAAGTAGATAATAATTTTTGAGGTCTGGGCAGGGGGAGGTTTAGGGAGAAATGGAGAAATCTGTCCCATTAGTACAGGGATTTTTTTGGGGGTGATGAAAATGTTCTAAAATTCATTGTGGTGATGGCTACTCAACTCTGTGAATATACTACAACAACTGAATCTCACACTTTAAATATGTGAATTTATAGTATATGAATTATCTGAATAAAGCTGTTATTTTAAAACACAGAGAAAGTAAAATGGCACATTACAATATTTGCTCAATATAAAAATGTAATAAAGGAAGAATAGAGGAACAAAAAAGACATGATATACATCAAAAATAGACAGCAAAATGACAGATGTAAATCCAACTATATTAATAGTGTCTTTTAAAGTGTATGAACTAAATAAACACTCCAGTGAGAGGGCAGAGACTTTCAGACTGAATAAAAAAGCAAGATCCAATGGTGTGTTGTCTACAAGAGACACTATTTGAATTTAAAGAGACAACTAGGCTGAAAGTAAAAGGATGAGGAAAGATATACCTTGCATATAGTAGACTATATGGAGTGGCTATTAATATGAGACAAAATAGAGACTAAAATAAGAAATATTATTAATGTTGAACTCATTGAAGTAGAGAGTAGAACTGTGGTTATTAGAACCTGGAAAGAGGAATGGGGAAGGGAATATAAAGAGAGGTCGATTACCAGATACAAAAGTACAGCTAGATAGCAGGAATAAGTTCTAGTGCTCTGTAGCACTGTGGGATAACTATAGTTCACAATAATTCATTGTATATTTTCAAATAACTGGAAGAGAGGATTTTGAATACTCCCAACATGAAGAAATGATATATATTTGAGGTGATAGATATGCAAACTACCCTGATTTTATCATACACACATTGCATGCAGATATCAAAATATCACTCTGTACTCCCTACCTATGTGCAATTATTACATGTCAATTAAAAATAAAATTCAAAAAAAGAAATATAAAAAAATTACTAGTGACAAGGAAGGACATTTTATGATACAAGGGTCAATATATATGGAAGTTTTAAATTTACCATACATAACATCAGAGCCCCAAAGTACATGAACCAAACACAAACAGAATTGAAAGAATAAATCAGTTCAACAATTACAGGTGCAAATTTTAATACCTCACTTTAAGTCATTGATAGAACAACAAGGCAGAAAATCATTACAGATATTGAAAACTGAAACAAACAACATTTCCAATCAACTTGACCTACCTGACATTTACAGAACACTCCCCCACTAAACAGCAGAAAATACACTCTTTTCAATGACAAAAAGAATATTCCCCAGAATGGACCATATTCTAGGCCATAAAATAAGTCTCAATAAATTTAAAAGAATTGAAATCACTTAAAATATGCTTTCTGAGACCAATAAAATTAAATTAGAAGTTGTTAATTATAATTGTTAACCCTAATTTAATTTTAGTTAAATTAGAAATTGTTCATTTTCTGTTGTTAATGAAGAAATTTGGGAGATCCCAAATATTTGGAAATTGTACAGCACATTTATAAATAACCCAAGGGTCAATTAACAAACTACTTTGAAACTAAGAAAATGTCTTGAATTGCATGAAGAGGAAAATATATAAAAATTTGGGAATGCAGCTAAAGTAATACTTAGAGAAAAATTAATTGCTTTAAACACATATTAGAAATGAAAAAAACTTTAAGTTTTCTCCACCTAAAGAAAAGAAAAGCAAACCAGACCCAAATTAAGTAGAAGGACATCATAAAGATCAGTGCTGTAATCAATTAGTAAGAAAATAGAAAACTAACAGAGAAAATCAATGGAACCAAAAGTTTGTTCTTTGAAAAGTCAGCAAAACTGATAAAGAATTAGACTAATTAATAAAATTATGAATGAAAATGGGAGCATCAGTAACTTCCACATAAATTTAAATGATTATGAGAAAATATTACAATCTGCTTTATGCCAATGAATTAACAACTTGAATAAAATGGAAAAATTGAGACAAAGATACTTATTATTAATAGCAAAAGAGAGTCAAGAAAAAATAGAACATTTGTAGAGAACTACAACAAGTAAAGAAATTAAGTTAGGCCAGACACAGTGGCTCACACCTGTAATCCCAGCACTTTGGGAGGCTGAAGCAAACAAATCACTTGATTCCAAGAGTTTGAGACCAGCCTAGGTGACATGACGAACCCCCTCTCTACAAAAAATACAAAAATTAGCCCAGCATAGTGGCACACACCTACAGTCCCTGCTACTTGGGAGGCTGAGGTGGGTTAACTGCTTGAGCCCAGAAGGTGGTGGTTGCAGTGATTGCGATTGTGTTGTTTTACTCCAGCCTGAGTGACCGAGCAAGACTGTGCCAAAAAAAAGAAAGGAAGGAAGGAAGGAAGGAAGGAAGGAAGGAAGGAAGGAAGGAAGGAAGGAAGGGAGGGAGGGAGGGAGGGAGGGAGGGAGGGAGGGAGGGAGGGAGGGAGGGAGGGGGAGAGGGAGGGAAGGAGGGAAGGAAATTTAATTAGTAATAAAAATCATTCCCATGAAGAAAAGCCTGAATTCACTAGTGCATTCTACCTAA
This sequence comes from Homo sapiens, assembly GCF_000001405.40. NCBI lineage: Eukaryota > Metazoa > Chordata > Mammalia > Primates > Hominidae > Homo > Homo sapiens. Next base: position 112,448,724 of record NC_000006.12, on the reverse strand, counting down.
TATTTAAAGAAGAAAAAGGAAAGGATACCAATCCTGCACAAACTCAGAAAGTAAAGGAGGAAGAAACACTTTCTGATTTATTCTATGAAGTTAGCATTACTCTGATACCAAAGCCAGACAAAGACATCAAATGAGAAACAACTGTAGACCAATTCATTTAGGATTAATGAATACAAATACAAAAATCCTTAACAAAATATTAGCAATACCAAATCTTGTTAACAGGTCAGAAGGATTATACATCATGGCAAGTAGGATTTACCCACTTGGATGTGAAGATACAAAGTTTGTTTAACATCCAAAAATCAAACAGTATAATACATAATATCAATAGAATAGATGGCAAAAACCACATGGCCACCTCAATAGACTCAGAAAAGCATTTGAGGAAATTCCAGCATCCACTTATGATTTTAAAAAATACTTTAAACAAACAGTGAATAGAAGACAACTTCAACTTTATAAAGGAACTCTTTAAAAACTCTAGGACTAACAACCTATTTAATAGTGAAAGACTGAATGCTTTCACAATTAGACCAGAAACAAAGCCAAGATGTTTGCTCTCATTGCTTCTATTCAATTCTGTGCCAGGGGTTTCAGACAATGCTATCAGGCCATAAACATAAACTAAAGGGATATGGATTGGATAAAAAGAAATAAAGCTGTTTTTATTTGCAGACAACATGATCTTGTGTGTAGAAAATCTTAAGAAAACATAAAAAGGAAAGAAACCTACAATTAGTAAACATCTTTGAAAGGTTGCAGGATACAAACCAAAATTGAGAAATCAATGGTATTTTTAATACTAGCAATAATCAAAACTTGAAATTAAGAAAACAATTTTATTCAAAATAGCATCGAAAAGAAATACTATACTTATGAAAAAATTTAACAGAAGAAATGAAATACTGGTACACAAAAACCTACAAAGGATTGCTGAGAGAAATTAAATACCTCTAACAAAATGAAAAGCTATTATCTATTCATAGACTCTAAGACAATATCTTAAGAGGTCAGTTCTCCCTAGGTTAATGTATGTATTTATTTAATCTAATGTCTATTAAAATTTCTGCAGTCTTTCTTAATAGAAATTGACAAGGTATTTCAACAATAAATGATAAAGCAATGGACCCAGAATACCAAAAAAGCTTTGAAAAATAAGAGTTGAAAGATTTGCACTACCTGATTTCAAGATGTACTACAAAACTACAGAAATTAAGTTAGAGAGGTATTGTGTAAGGAGACATCTAAATCGTGGATCAGAATTGAAAATCCCAAAATAACCTTTTACATGTATGGTCATTTATTTTATTTTGTGGGTACAAGTATTTATGTAAATGTTTATGTTCCTTGTTCTATTTCATTTTCTCAATTGCCTTTTTATAAAAATAAACATTTTGTTTCAGAATAATTTTAGATTTACAGACAGCATGGAGAGTTTCATATTCCCTGCACCTTGTTTCTCCTATCGTTAACATCTTACATTACTATAGTCAGAATGAATAAACTAATATTAATAAATGATTATTACTAAATTCCATACTTTATTTGGATTTCCTCAGTTTGTACCTCATATATTTTCCTATTCCCAGATCCCATCCAGGTTACCACATTACATTTAGTCACCATGTCTTCTTAGGCTCCTCTAGACTGTGACAGTTTGTCAATCTTTCCTTGTTCTTTGGTTGTTGTTGTTGTTGTTATTGTTGTTTGTTTTTACCTTGACAGTTTTGAGGCTTACGGGCCAGACATTTTGTACAATGTCCCTCACATGGGGTTTTTCTACATGTTTTTCTCATGGTTACACTGTGGTCGTGCATTTTGTGAAGGAAGATCACAAAGATAAACTGTCCTTATCATAACATCATATCAAAGATACATTCTATCAACATGACATCACAGAGGATATTCACCTTGATAGCCCAATTGCGGTCGTGTTCGTCAGATCTCTCTAGGGTAAAGTTGCTCTTCCTGACTTCCCCACCCCAATCCATATTGTACTCTTTGGAAGGAAGTCACGATGCACAGCCCTCACTTAAGGGGTCCAGGAGCTGCATTCTGCTCCCAGAAGGAGTTATATTTATATATAATTATTTGAAATTCTTCGATATGGGACATTTGTCTCTTCCTCATTTATTTATTTATTTGTTTGATTATGTATTTCTATTCCTATGAATTCATGGGTATTCATTTTATATGTTGGGTTATAATCCAATACTACATTATTTATTTTGTTGCTCAAATTGTCCCAGCCTTGCCCATTGGGAGCTTTTCAAGTTGACTCCTGTGTCACTTTGACCCTCATCATTTTGTCTTCAAAGCACTTTCTTACTTTCTGACCCTTCAAGTTCTCTAGGCCATTCTTGTATTTTCCGTGACTCAGTTCTAGAATCAGCCATTTTTCCAAAAAGCCCTGCTTCCTTTTATTGGAAAATGGTAATAGAAATCAAGATCCACATGCTTGGTGCATTTGTTTTTTCTGGTATGTCATTGCTATTAGACTCTCTCAGGGATCACAGCTAGAAAATGCATGTGTGTATACTAGCGTGTGAATACACACATTTCTAAAATTACACACATATATTTATATATAATGGTATCATGTAACATTTATTAATATGTGTGTATATATATATATTTAGATGTGTGAGAGTTTATTTAGGTTTTCAAAATTATTTTAGGACAATGCAAGCAAAATGTATTAAGACCACTGAGGAAGAAGGCAATAATATCTTTTGACTAAACAATTGCATTCTGGGACTTAGGCACAAGGAGCCATATACTAGGTCACAATATTCATTGGAGCACTGTTAGGGATAGCAAAAAACTAGAAATAAGCACTTACTAAAAGAGTAGTTAATAAATAAATGGTACAATTACAGACCATAAACTAATGTACAGTGGTGAAAGTAGATTATATACACCTATTATACTCAAAGCATGTTCTGTGGATCAGTGTCAGTTCATAAGTCATTTGTTATCAATCTATGTCAAGATGAGAACTAAAATTGAGAGGAAATATTTAGAAACTTTTATAGCAACTTGGAATAATTTTTATCTGTTAAATGAAATAATAAAAAAGTTTGATGTGTTTTATTACGTTTCTAATAATTTATTTTATTACATTTTAATAAGACATTGGTTCATAATAAATTGAAAATTATTAAAAACAAAAAAACTTTCTTTTCCAAAGTTGGAGAAGCTAGATGAATAGACAGTAAATCTCAAAAATATAATATTAAGTAAAAAGAGAAAATTTGAAAATTGTAAATACAGTGTGTTGCCAACTATCTTGTAAGTAAATATATACATAGTAAAATATGTATTGCTTATATAGTAAATGAAATAATAAAATATATGCAACTTATACAGTAAAAGGTGTAAGTATGTACTGATGAGCCATGCATGAGCGTGACATGCATCGAACTCTAAGTAGCAGCACCCTCTGAGAAAGGGAGGAAAGAAAAGAGAACAGATTCCTGGAGTGTTAGGAGCTTCAACTCTATCTGCGATATTCTGCTTCTTTTTAAAAAGATATCTGAAACAAACAACATGGGACAAAGTTTATTTCTTTTTAATGATTGTTCATGGGTATGTGGGTGTTTATTATATTATTGTCTATCTTCTTTTATGTTTGAAATATTTCATCATAAAATACATGAAAGCAAACCAGGCCGGGCATGTGGCTCATGCCTGTAATCCCACCACTTTGGGAAGCCTAGGCGGGTGGATCACTTGAAGTCAGGAGTTCGAGACCAGCCTGGCCAATATGTTTAAAACTCTGTCTCTACTCAAAATACACAAATTAGCTAGGTGTGGTGGCATGTGCCTGTAGTCCCAGCTACTTGGGAAGCTGAGGCAGAAGAATCACTTAAACCCGGGAGGCAGAGGTTGTAGTGAGCCCAGATTGCGCCACTGTACTCCAGCCTGAGTGACAGAGAGAGACTCTATCTCTAAATAAATAAATAAAGCAAACCAAAGTTTTTTCCAAATTCAATAGAAACTGCAGATTGTTGGAAATTTTTCATAAGAAAAAAACAAAAGAAATCTAACAGATCAAAGCTCTTTTTTGGGGGAGTGGGGGGATACGGTCTCACTCTCACTCTGTCACCCAGGCTGGATTGCAGTGGCATAATCATGGCTCACTGCAGCCTCGACCTCCCTGATCCTCCCACCTCAGCCTCCTAAGTAGCTGGGACTACAGGCATGTGCCAACACAGCCGGCTAATTTTTTTTTTCATAAAGGCAATCCCAGGTTGCTCTCAAACTCCTGGGCTCAAGCAATCCTCCCACCTCAGGCTCCCAAAATGCTGGGATTACAGGAGTGAGCCACTGCACCCACCCTAAAGCTTTTTTAAATTATCTGACAAACTTTAACAGATTGAGTGTCTTTCAAAAATGATTGACTGAATATCCCCTATATATGAAAAACTATGCAAGGGGTACTGGGAATGGGAAAAACTAGTTATTGAGGATATAAAAAGACTATTTGGAAGAAATCTGAAACTAAACAGAGGGCTTATTAGTCTAGATGTCTTGATATGTACCCTAAAACACAACTGGATCTCTGTATCTTAGATAGGATTTTACCTTAACAGAGACAGGATTCCTGTTTTTATTACTTCATTTCCCCACATTATCAGTATCCTACATTATATTGGTCTTAGCAATGTTACCTGGTGAACTGACATTTCTAGAAACAGACATCCTGAGGTTCATAACAGGGAGAAAGTTTCTAACAACAGATGCTGGACAGATGCTTTTCTTTCCTTTCCTTTTTTTTTTTTTCTTTTCATTTTTTTAGAATTTCAAAGTTGGGCAAGCATGATCTTTATGCTGTTGCTTAACTGCTGGCCGGCTGCCTCCACAGCAGCCTCAGAATAAGTGGATTTCCTTTGTGTCTAAAATGATCCAACACCAGATGTCAGCCTGGAGGTTTCCATCACTCAGCAGCACTGGGCTGCCATATTACCTAGCACTGAGAATGATAGTTCAGAAACAGTGAGTTCCAATCCTGTTTCATCAAACTGAATGAGAAGGAAAAGGGAGTTTCACCTCTTTGAGGTGAGGCTTTCTTTGACCTATGAGAAGTTTGTTGTTAAAAAAATAGAAATGCAATCACTAGAGAGATGTAAAAGATGAAGCTAAACTGGGCAGCTTGTAAATCATTTAATAGTGTACATGTGATTTAACAGAAACGGGGTCAAGGTTTCCAGAGAAAGTGATTCGATGCAGATTACATGATACTAAAAACATAGAGATGATTCTGTGTGTCACTAATCAATGAGGACATAAGAATAGTAATAAATATTCATCATTACGACTCTGACCCTCTGGGCTCTGGTCACTTTCAATATTCTTCAATGAAAGCTTGAGCAATTAAGATGGCTGATTTCCCGGGGAGAGAGCTTTGTGTTAGCTAAGCATGACAGAGCACAGAAGCTTAGAAGACTCCTAAAATAGCAAACCCTGTTGAGAGGGCTCATATTTTTCTTTTCTGAATTCACAGCCTGAGTTAAAAGTGACTGTTTATAAGAAACCGGTATCCAATTGTTAAATTAGTCTGAAAAAAATAAGATATTTTCTTGGGATGTTTGCTTATATCTGGAAATTTGCAGAAATTTACAGTGGTCATTTAGGGGAGTTTTCAGATCTAAAGAAAAAAATCAGAATTATTTTACCAAGGAAAGGAAAATAAAATGCATCACAGGTAAAAGTTTCTAGTTATTTGTAAAATTCTCTCTTTTCCCTTTGGTAATGTTTAAAGAATAAAAAGCTGAGGCAAAAACTCAGCCTGATAGGTAAATTGAGATCTATGGTTCCTAAGCTATTTTTGTAGTACCACAGCATGTCTCCAACTAACCTAAAGATTTCCTAATTAATTTTCTACCACCTAAATATTTATGTTAAAACAGAAATGCAGGAGCAGAGGGGAGGTTTAGGAAATTGCAAGTTCACATCCACAACCTGTCTACTCATCCTCCCAGTAGGCCCTCCATGGCTGTTGAGAGCAACAGCTCTGCAGCAGGGCTAGAATTCTGCTTCCTTGTGGTAGTTGCAAAGTCACTCAAACACTGTACCTTCATTTATTTTCTAATTCTAAAAATATTTTTTCTATTTTCTAAGTTTTACTTTTGTAATAAGAAAATAGAATTTCATAAGGAAATAAAAGATACTGTGTTAAAATTCTAGCATTTGGTCTCCCAGGACACTTTCATTCCACTGAGGGACAACTTTCAATTTTTATACCTAAATTTGATCCCTCTAGGAAGAAATTTCCAGCCATTTCTAAGATTGAAGTCAACAGCTTCAGGAATGGATTTCCCGTTACTATAATTGTTTAGGTTCTTCTTTCATCTATGTTGGTATTTGCATATATAATTGCAAATACCAGAGATTAGTCTTAAAGCAGTGCACTCTAGTATTTGGTATGCAAGTGGAAGATTCACTTTATTCACTCCATCTCCAAAGGAGCTGAGGTACCTGGCTAATAGGTGGTTAAAGTGAGAAGATCTGAAATGTGGTCTATCTTCAGAACCACCCAGAGATCTTTTTAAAAACTTCCTGGGACACTGTCCAATGCTACTGAATTAGAAACTCTTAAGAAGGAAGTAAGGAGGACTTACTCAAAGACCTGACCTGTGTATTTTTTAATACCACCTAAGTGATGTTAGTAATTGGGCAGTTTTGTGAATAGCTAATTGTTAATTGGCCAGTTTGAAACCAGGTAATATTAGGAGAAAGTGTCACTCTAAGATTTAATAATAGTATGTGGCTTTATTTTATATCATGTATAAACATATGTGGTATGTCCTTTACAATTTCCCTTAGAATATTTGTTTTAAGCCTATTGGCTTCCAGTAGCAGAAACGCAAAGAAATTTTCTGGCAGTACATTCTGTACTTTTGGTTCCTTGCATTTGGGCCAATTCTGAAATCAAAAGGTGCTGGAAAATGGTTTGAGGAAGTGAAAGGCAGCTCTCTAGCAAGTAATCAGGCTTCAGGTTGGTGTGAACAGCAAATGAATATTCAATTATTTGTATGTCAATTGCTTGTCTACCCTTCCAGTAGAAATATAACATCAAGGTGTAATAAAGGCACAATTTCATCCAGCTTTGCTGACTTTAGGTGTTTCAATCATAATTGAAAACATTCCTTTCAATCAAATCACAGATACCAGCATTATTCAAAGAGTGAATAATACAATAGAAATTTCCAAATATTTTGCTAATCCCTTTCAAAACAAATAAGCCTTCTGATATTTCCACTTAAGTTATGTATTGTAACTTAATATAATATAATAATTTAAATATGGCTTGGGTAATAAATATAAAATTTAATCAACAATTTTTCTTTCTACTGAGGGAAAGAGATGGGATGAGAATAAATAATGGTAATTCCCTACACTCAGTTTTTACCATAAGAAGGATTTGAGCAGGTAGGTGACTCCCTTGACCACATTTCCCTAACTTTGCAACCTGAGCATCATCAACTCTACTCATTCAAGCAAGGGGCATTTTTTCAAATTTTCAATTAAAAAATGTATCTTCATTAAACTCAAGCGATTTCTTAAAGGATTTTTAACATCTACCAAAAAGCTCATGGTGATAACATTTTATAAGTTGAGATTGCTCTTTAACTAAGCCCAAATATTTCCAAGATTTATGTCCTAACATTCAAATTTCAAGTAACCAATGTCACATTCTCAAAGTTAAAATGCCAAAATTTTAAATGGTGGTTTATAGTGTACTGGTATGCCAGTTTTGACTGTAGTTTCTTTAAAATGTTTCTAAGATAAAAGCTTAGTTTTTTTGTTTTTTCTTATGAAACAGGATCTTGTTCTCTTGCCTAGGCTGGAGTGCAGTGGTGCAATCACAGCTCACTGCAGCCTTGAACTTCTGGGCTCAAGCAATCCTCCCACTTCAGCCTCTAGATTAGCTAGTACCACAGGCACCCACCACTACACCTGACTAATTTTTAATTTTTTTTTTTTAGAGATGGGGTCTCACTGTGTTGCCCAGGGTGGTCTTGCACTCCTGGGCTCAAGCCATCCTCCACCTTGGTGTCTGAAAGTGTTGAGATTAGAGGCATAAGCCATCACACCTGGCCTACGACTTAGTTTTTAATTATAAGATAATTTACCATGTCACAATGAAGGAGCCTTATCTATAGGATGATTCAGATTTGGAAAGATCCCAAGTCAATAATTGAAAGAACCCAAGTCTGAATCCGTAGGTATTCTGAGTTAAAAGGACACTGCTTTGCCTATTCTTATTTGAGAACCCTTTAGAATCTGAGCATTGTGGGAGAAAGCAGCAGAGTGGATTCTAGTTCTTTTTCAAATCACTTTAGCTGGGGAACGAGTGATCATACAGGCTGGGAGAGACCATAAAGTGGACCCTAATAGCTTCAAGGCAAAGAAGGGAAAGACCAGACCAAGGGAATTAATATATTTCCTCTGCTGATAAAAAGCTGTTACTTTTCAAGCTTTTTCATTGGTTTCAAACCAAACCAATGGTTTCTTGTGTTCCAATTTATTTAGCATTCTTTTTAATATCATGGATTCAAAAAGTCAGTTCCTTCTCCAGGAAATTTTTTAATCATATTTAGTTAACCAGCCAAATGTATGAAAATTTCATTTGAGGTACAGTATTTTTGAAATATTTGGCTTAGCCCCATAATGCAATGCCCAAATTGCCTTCAGATTTTTATTCCTAAGTGGGTTTTCATATTCAATTAAATTCTCTGGCATCAAAGCTATGAAGAAACATTCTGGGCCAAAGATATTTCAGTTACCTTTAAGTCCTCTAGGGAACACCTCTGCAAAAAAAATCAGGTCATTTATTCTTGAAACTCATAAATGGCAATGCAAACATACACTGAAGTTTCATTTATCACATAGAGGTTGAGAGAATGTATGATTGGAAGTAGAATGAATAGTAATAACTTCTGAATATGTTCCATATTTTTGTACGCTCTGCAGTCTCCAGTTTCAGTTTTCTTTTGCTACTCCAGAGCTGGAATTTATTAAGGTATATTAAGGATAGGTCTGAGAGTCATATTTCAAATATTTTTGCCAGTCTCCCATGCAAAAGCAAAAAAAAAAAAAGTGTTCACTGATACTGATAATTCTCACCATTGCTGACAAGTTTCACTGTTTTTTTCTTCTTTTTTTCCAGCTGAGAAAATATTTGCTGTTGAACATCTGGCTAAGGAATGTTCAAAGTCCAAAAAGGTCTTGTGTATTATCTGAGTGAACTTTTAGGGGGAAAAAAAAAGTAACATTGGAGTATTAGGCATTTTCCCAGAAATGCATTTTCAGAGGAAATACTCTTTCATGAGAGTCAGAACATTCTAAAACTATAAAGATAGAATAAAAGACTTTGATTAGTATTACAAATTATTGTCGTGTGGACATTGAAATGTGCCATTCTAGGAGGCTCACCTTAGAACCATAGAACCCACTGACAGCCACGGCCGGCAGACCTAGACAACGCATGTGCTGGACAGCACTGTCTACTCAAACTTGTGCCTGGCAGGAAACTAACAGGCAAAGCTCTCAGAATTCAGATTAGAATGCTCTTCCCTGCTTGTGTCAGTGCTTCTTCTCTTGAGGTCCAGGAGGAAAGTAGATAAAATTTCTCTTACGGAATCATCTGGTCAGGCCCTTGACCATTTAGAGTTGAGTTCAAAGAATTTTTGTGCTGAAAGTATGTGTGTGGGTAGAGTGAGTGGTTGTGAGTATAATTCAGCATTGGGAGACTTAGCGCCAAATTAAAGAGTAAATTTGTACATGTTTGTGCAAACACATACAAACAAACCTCCATGAGCTATAGTATCTATGAGGTTACTCTAAAAGTCTACCCCCAGTTGTACATCAACACAGGCTGAAGAGACCCTTATAAATTCAAAAGCATGAAAAATCCACCAACGGGCCATATAGATTAGCATTTACTTGTGTTTCACTGGAAAGCCTTTGTATGAAACACATTAATATGTTTCAGAAACAAATAGCAAGAATACTACTCAATTTGCACATCTGCACAAAATGAGACCTTCATGCCACATTATGTGAACCTGCAAAGATAGGGCCCATATCCTGTTCATTATAGGACCTCCAAAACCTGGCAATCCTGTCTGGATTTAAATATGTCCACTTCATATAATGATTTTTAGATCTGAAAAGGGCCAGAGAGATCATCTAGTCCAAACTTCTCATTTGGCAGAATAATAAATTTTGATAGAATATTTTTCTAGAATATTACAACTCACAGATTCAGAGCCCTTACATCTTTCTACCATGCTGTGAAGATTTCTTTATAATCCTTGTCTTGGTATTTCTTGCCCTGATAGTTAGGGAATAATTTTATTTTAGGTTTTCTATTAACTTCTGAAATCGTTAAATTCTTTTGTGAGACATTAATTGTTTAACTCCTAAAATGCTGCTATGGAGATCATGAAATATGCATGTTAGAAAACTGAGGCTAAAAAAAACTGGGCTGAATACTGGTTGGATACAGTACGGACAACCTCACACCTGAAAATAATGTTCGTGGAGCATCTCACTGGAATAAGCTCACTTATGTTCTCTTTTTCTCTCTCCCTTTCTGATTTTCTTTCTCTTTTTTCTTTATAATAGTTTGACAAATACAGCCATTACCATGACCAAGGAAAATAATTCCTTCAGAAATGTGCAGCCCGATACAGATATGTTAACAATTTCTCTTGAAACATGATTATTTCTATCAGAATGGTGATAATTTTCCCATTTCGTTACTGATAAATTGGTTTTGTTTTGTTTTGGCAGGGTGATTTTTTTTCTTATTGTACAAAAGCAAAAAATAAAAGTTCCTTTGCAGTGCTTAGTGGTTTGGGTTTGGGTTGCAAGCTCTTCTGAGGGAGCTCACTAGCAGAAGATACTGCCTTACAAGCCCAATTTTAGTTGTCCTTTCCCTGAGAATCCTATAGATTCATACCCAAGCAACGAAGCAGCAGCAGGCTGTACCATTTCCTGTTTTCTCCATAGCTTTAAGTTGCAGACCCAATTTTCCCTTGTGAATCCTATTTGAAATACAGCATTCCCACACAGTGTTCACATTTTCTCATTTTCAAAATGAACAAACAAAAGACTATTATTAACAAAACCAAATTGCTGAGAACAATGTTAGCCTCATGCAGGCAACAAAACCAAAAACAAATAAATAAACAGAGGCCTCAGTCTCGAGGGAAGAGAGTTACTAACAATCCACTAGATGACTACCTTCTATTCCCTAGTGTCTCCTATTATTCAGAGACCTCCTTGGACTATAATAAATTAGTTTGACAAATTATTCCTCTCACCAGACTTATTCATCGTCTAAGAGGGGTTTTAGCAAAGGAAGCTTTGTCTGCAAGTGACACATTGAAGGCATCTGTTTAACAGATTCATTTCTTTAAGGGTCTCTGAGGGTTGCTTTCATCAGGATAGAGTGTGAAGTGCACTGGGCTTTTCATTCTCCCAGAGTTCACACCCCATTTGTCACTGTCAATCTTTCTGTTGCATATCTGACCTGTCCTTTCCCTACCCTCTGGAGTCTCTATCTCTGCTGTCAGGGGGTTGGCTCAACCTGTATTGCATCCTGTTTTGTAGAACACATGCCTGCCACTCAGATGTTTCATGGATGCATTTTACTTTTAGTTTGGGGAAATCTATTTTCCAAAGATCATAAAATAAAAGCCAATATCTTTTAATCAATAAATGCATAACCATATTCCTATACTCTCCTCAGCATAATCATTAAGATTTATTTTCCATCCTACATGGGCTTGATGAACATCAAGCATATTTATTCAGGAAGGCATTTCCACAAATACTAGAAAAAAACAAAAACTGCTCTATTTCCAGCCTTCATCTCTCCAATTCATTCTTCAGAGTGCAGCTAGAGTCATCTTTCAAAAATGCAAGTCTGAGCACATCAAGGCCCTTGAATAATTCACCACTTTTCTTATAATAAGCCTTAATTCTTTAGGATGATGTTCAACACCCTTTACAGTCTGGCTTCTGCCTCCCTCAAGACCAGGATTATCTTTCAATCCACCCCTCACCTCCCTCGCGACTTGTATACCAACTACCCAAAATGCCTTTAGTTCATCTACTGAGCGCCTTATCTAATGACATACCCTCGCTCTCTCACTTCCAGGTCTTTGTAGATGGAGTCCCCTCTGCTTGCAACATTCTTTCCACTTCCCCTCTCCTCCTCCTTTGGGTGACTTCTATTTTTTATGTTGCATCTTAGCTGCCAGTGCTTTAAGGAGGATACCTGTTCCTCCAAGGCAGGGCTAACTGAACATAGTCCCCAATTCTTCCCTTACCATAGCTCCTAGCAATTCTGTTGTAATAGCCTATTTTTTTCCCCTCACTAGTCAGTAAGTATATTTTGTCAGGGTAAGGAGTGAATCAAATAGGTCACTACAGTCCCAGCATCTAGTACAAAAACCACAAAACATAATAGCTTGTTAAATGGTGAGCCTACAACTGTGAAATAAGAGCTTTACTTAACACCCTGCTGGTGGTGGTGGTGATTATAGCCCTTATTTTCAAGATGCTTGCAATTTAGGTAGAGTGAAGATTATTTACCCCCAAAGATATTAATAAAAGAAATGAAGTATATGAGTATAGAATATAAATGCTGTGTTAATAGAAAAACAATTACCATAGTATTTCATAGGAAAAGGAGATCAAAAACTGCATTCCAAGGAAACACTTAGAGGGTAAGATTGGCCTAAACTGTGAAAGACTGAACTGCTTTCATAAAAGTAGAAAAAGGGAATAATTAAAGGATCAAAGGGAAGAATTAAAGGATCAAAGGAAAGAAAAGTCCAGATGGAAAAGCATATATGTAAGGCATAAATACATGTTAAATAAACAATGACCAGCTCATTAAACCCGGAAGAAAGAAAGGAAGAGTTGTATGACAAATTCTTTCATTCCAGCAACATACATGGAGCATTTACTATGTGCCAGAAGGTGTTCTCAGCATCTGGGGTATGTCAGTGATTTAAAGAACATGAACACCACCCTCAAGGAGTTTACCACTCCGGTGGAGGGACAAACACAACAAATAATTATATACAGGCCCACAATCCTTTATCTGCCAAATCAAAGTCCAAAGAGATCTAAAAATTGGTAGTTTTTCTTAAATTAATTGTCAGTGAAACTGACCTGACCTGAAGTAACAAGCAGTTATGTACAGTCCTTATTGTAGTTAATGTACGTATTTCTGTGTTTTGCTTCAGAAATACCAATGTATTTGAGAACACAACTCACTAAGATATAATACATGGTATATGCACTGCATTCTCTGCTAAAATATGAAAAAGACTAAATTCTGAAGCACATCTGTTCCCAGGGGGTTTTGATGGGGATTGTGGACACAAATTGTTGTTAGGAGCAGTGCCAGGGAAAAAAGAAAGAGGATCAGGGTCAGGGAAATCTGGAAGACAGGAAAGCAAGCAGGGACATGGGTGCAGCATTACATAGGGTGATCAGCGTAGGCCTCTTTGGGAAGGTGGGATTTCAGCACCTTCACTTACAGATGTTAGGGAGCTAGCCAGGCAGACAGCCAGAGCAAGAGTGTTCCAGGCAGCAAAAACAAAAGGTCAAAGGTGCTGGAAGCAGCAGAGACATAAATAAGGAGAAGAGAAGGAAAGTAGGTCAGAGAGGTAAGAGGTGGTGCTCAAAAAAGACAGATCTCTAGGCCGCTAGATTCTCACTAACATAGTAACTTGATCTGACTTACATTCTAAAAGCATCATTCCAGCTGATGTGTTGAAAATGAACTACAGGAAAATGAGAGTAGAATCATGGAGACCTATTAGGAGGACACTGGCTCCCAATTTATATGGTGGCTCAGACCAGTGTGGTGGTAATGGAAATGGTGAAAAGTAGCCAGAATCCGGACTGCTTTTGAAGATAGAGTCAACAGGACTTTTTAACAAATTGGATGTAGGTATGAAAGAGAAGAGTCACAGATGACTCCCAGATTTGGGGCCTGAACCATTGGAAGAATGGAGATGACACCATCTGAAATGGGGGAAGCTAAAGGTGCAGCAGGTTTGGAGGGGACCGTCAGGAGGGGTTGTTTTCTTATGCTGAGTTTGAGACACATCAGACTTTCAAGGGATGAGGTGGAGTTAGACATACAAGTTTGGAGTTCAGAAGAAAAATCCAGCCAGGACATAAATTTGAGAGTTATTAGCATAGTGTTGCCATTTAAAGTCATATGACTGGAATATAACTCTAAGGAAGTAGATGCAGGTAGAGAAGAGAAGAAATCCAAGGGTTGAGCCCTGAGAAGCACAGAAGATAAAATAAGGCGGGGGAAACATATTGAGGAAGGTACATGTGTGTATCTCTAGAATTAATATTCATTCTTACTCCAAGCCCTCTCAAATAGTATAGAACTCAATATTGTAAAGAGAACTCAATAAATCCAGGAATCCCTAGATATGGCTTGGGAGGTATAAATAAAACACCTTAGAAAATGAATATACATTTCCTGTTCCTTAAGGTATTGGCTGGGAATAGAAACAATAATTTACTAAAGTACCGCAGCTCTCCAGTGCCTAATATATTCCTGGCAGGATTCAAATGAACATTGAAAACATGCCATTCAGACCTAAATTTTATTCCCACAGAGCTGGAAGAAATGTAATAAATGCTTTTCATTATTATTACAATAAGCATCAATTATGGTAACAACGGTGTTTGCTGTTGTGGTTAGAACTAATTGGCAGACGGTAAAAGGTGCCGGGCAGCATTCTAAGTGCTTTGTGCTTGTTAACTCATTTACTCTTAGACACCTACTCTGTGCAATAAATAATATTATTAACAAACAGTTTAAAAATATTGCCCAAGGTCACATTGTGGTGAGTGATAGAGTTCGGATTTGAACTCCAGCAATTTTGACTCCAAAGTCTACTCACTTTACTATCATGCTAAACTTCTTAGGATAAGCACTTGTTACTTAGTATCAGGTTACTGCAATAAATTCTAAAAGTAAACCTATTTCTCTAGGGTGATAAAATGGTAAACCAAACATTACCTGGGGTTGGCATCAGAGAACACAGACTCAAGTTTATGCTCTTCCCTTCTCCAGCCATGTGCTCCTGAGCAAACAGTTTAAAATTGTATCTGATTCCTTTTATGTGAACTAAGGATGACAATGGCACCAACCTCAACCTGGTTTTGAGGGAGTAAGGCAAGTACATAGGGAAACAGTACTCTGTAAATTGTAAAGCACAAATCTAAGTTATCTTCCAGTACCTGACATATGGGAGGAAACTTTCTAGGAAGAAAATGCTTTCTTTTACCATGACAGTGGCACCACGCTGCAAAGTGACAAGGTGCCATGCCCATTTTTAGAGTGGGGAAGCCTCACCTTGTTATAGTTTTCCCCAGAGGCAAGACCTTGGTCCCTTGCTCATGCTTCTTCTCTCTCCCCTTTGCTTCTTTCACAAAGTACTCTCATTATTCATTAGGACTCTGACCTGAAATTGTACCCAAATCTCCTGGCCCATCACCCCTATATGCCTGCTTTCCCCTTCATCTTGATAGAGACTCAGAAGATGACCTCAGTAACAACTCTCTGGGCTGGAATCTGTAGAAGCCTCTAGTGCTAAGCCTCTTGCCTGGATTATGTGTTTTATAAGTCTTCCAGGGCAGCAAGAGCACAATTATTTTTGAGAAAGTGAAACAATGACAAAGAAATTCTTGAAATATTAGTAATCTTTATAAGGCTGATTTTATGCCTCTAAAAATTTCCTCTGTTTATAAGGCTGATTTTATGCCTCTAAAAATTTCCTCTGTTATGCCACAGGTTAAAATCTGTGAACTGACTTAGACTGATAGCCAATGACTACATTCTCACTCCCTACTTAGACAAAAGTTAATTTGTGTTTTACAAGATTAGCAGGTGGTAAAATCTTCTGAGATGAATGTGCAATGCAACCAACGATGCTTGACTGTCATATTTATCAACCCTGCAACGTGCCTAAATAATGTACCTTGCTCCCAGTTTTACACTGTGACCCTGAATTCTGCTTTATTTTTTTTTTGAATCCCATTAGGAAAATTCTTACATGAAAAAATGAAGGATACAAAATCATGGCTAATGAAGCCACCATTAGCTTTTGGTCTTTTCCAAGACTATATTCCACATGGGATGAAATCACCACCTTTGCCATGAGGATCCATTTCAGGTCTCATGGGTACCACTACTGTAAACTTCTGAGAAACAATCCACAGGAATAAGATAAATAACATAGAAATGAAACATCTTTTTCTTTCTAATATTCGTTGGAAAAAAAATAAAGTAGAGCTCTGCTTTCTGCTCATGGTGCTTTGAAGCAGGCTAATATTTTGAGGGGCTCTTCTTTCAGAAAATCTCCAAATATTGTGTTTGAGAAAAAAAATGAACCTATTATTCCGACCAAAGCATTAAGACACAATCTGGCTCAGTTGGTGGTAAGATGTTAAAGAATCTTACAAAAATCTGTGTGTGAGAAAATGCAATCCTATGGAGAGAAAAGCGGGCTGTTAAAAACTTATAAGCTCCTTTTTTCTGTTTATGAAAATTAAAGGAAACAAATCATAAATGATCTTTAAAGAGTTCCTCAGAGACCCAGCTGCCAACCTCACCACTAGCCACCAAACACACCCTTCCTCCACCACAAACTCAGAGTGTGCTTTTCATTATCCAATCACAAGCAGAACATGCTCAAGTGTTTACACAAAGGTTTATCAGTATGGAGCAAAGTCATAATTTTAATCAAATAATGGAAATGTTTAACATCCACTTAGGCCTTTCTTTGATTCATTGACATATATAGACTTGGATTTCTAGAAGACCGTAAATATTCTCTAGCTCCCCACCCTACCTTTCATCCATCTTGCCCAAGGCCCACTGTCACCACTACCTACATACCACCTATGTATTAAACCACTTTACGTTTATAAATTTACAAAAAAGTATAATTACCCACTTACCTGCCAAAGGAGAATCAAAACTCCTCTTAAATTCTGCTTATTTTTTTACTTGTTAAAACAGTTTTATTGAGATATAGTTAATGTACAAGCAATTGCACCAAAGTATATACTATTTGATAAGTTTTCAAATATGTATTCACTAAAACCATCACCAAAGTCAAGATAATAAAAATTTTCATCACCCCCCAAAAGTCACATCATACTTCTTTTCAATGTTTCCCTTCCTCCTTTCCCTACCCTCCTCTAGCTCCAAGCAATAATGGATCTGTTTTCTATCACTACAAATGAGTTTGCAATTTCTAGAATCTGATATAAGTGGAATCATACTGTATATATTTTTGCCTGACTTTCACACAGCATAATTATTTTGAGATTCATTCATGTTGAATGGTTCATTTCTTTTTATTGCTGAGTAGTATTCTATTATATGGATACACAACAATATGTTTGTCCATTCATCAATTTCTAGACAATAGGGATCTTCCTAGTTTTTGACTATTTGAAATAAAACTGCTGCCAATATTTGTGTACAAATCTTTTTATGAACATATACTTTTATTTCTTTGGGTAAATATCTGGAAGTGAAATAGCTGAGTCATATAATAAGCATATGATTAGATTTCTAAGACACTGCCAATCTGTATACCAAAGTGATTGTACCATTTTATATTTCCACCAGTAGTGTAAGAGAGTTCAAGTTGCTTCATATTCTCACTAACACTTGGTATGATCAATATATTTAATTGTATCCATTCCAATAAGTGTGTTCTAGTGTCTCATTATGGCAAAGTGTGAATATCATAGTCTACCACCTATATTTGTGTCATCATTGAGTTGAGAAAGATCAGACACACAATGACTTTGCACAGGAATGTAGCTCCTGAAAATACCTAGTGTCTTCAGGGGACTTGGTCCCTGTGCTGCCAGCCCTCCTGCAAGCTTCTCACTTCTCACACTATGCTAACCCCTACCTCAGCTGCTACTCCTCTTACTCCACCATTTTTTCTAACTCCCAAAGGAAAATGCTAGACTTATTGTCCTGCTCTTTAATTTATCTTGAACGTATTTCCATATCAGCACGTATAGATCAACCTTACCTTTTTCAAGAGCTGCATAATATTTTACTCTATACAGGCCCTTTAATTAATGTAACCACTCCCTATTGATGGGCATTTCAAAAGTTTTCATATTTTTGTTATTATACAAATCTGGTTCATGCCTTTTCACATACATGTAAATTCCCATTAGGAAATCACTGCACATGTGGTTTTGGTCCTTTTCCAGTCTCTCCTATGCATGTTCCCCACACATAAAGAAATACCAGTTAAATCCTTAAATTGACAGCTAACATGCCTTTTTATGAAGAGAAAAGTCAGCCAGGCAAAGAGAAGTGAGTGACCTCCAACATCCCCTGAATTTTTACAGCCCTGGCTCTACTTCCTGGAGAGGCAGTATGGCTTGGTGGGATAGCCTTCGAGTCATACCTGACTTAAAATTCAGCTCCACCTCTAATTATATTTATCCCTACCAGCAAATTACTTGACTATGCCTTCCACATTGTGAAATGGAGTAACTGGGGGAATACTCATATAAAACACATACATTTTTTTCCTCAGGTACACAACAATCACAGGAGATGTTACCCTTAGTGCTGGGACAAGTATTGGAAATACCCACTGAGCCAGGAATTTGCCTTTCTGTTGCCAGATTTGGGAAAGTTTGGGGGGATAGTCCTAACAAGTTCTTAGGAGACTGCATGGGAAAACATATTTAGAAGGCTCAGGGCCAACTAGTACAGACAAATACTTCAACCGCCACTCCAGTCTGTCCATATTCACCTGCAGAAGAATATCTGTGTGAAGGATTATACCTGAGATTTAGAAGCTTAATAAGCATTTACTTATTTCCCTATATATAATAAAATCTATTTATTTTATGCTTGTTTCATTAGTTATTCTGTCTCCTAGACACAAAATTGTGGTTTATTACATAGGTGGTATGTAGGTAGTGGTGACAGTGGGCCTTGGGCAAGACTCAGTGCTGTGCTGGCTTCAGGCTTGATCCACCACAGTCCCAGTGGTGATGGCCACAGGAGCGATCATGTCACCCTTCCCCCATCTCCAGGAAGCTCAGCACAGAGGGAGAGAGAGAGAGTCCATTTGTTTGGGAGACAGTAAGGGAAGAGAAGAAGAGTCTCTGCCTGGTAATCCAGAGAATTCTTCCAGATCTTATCCAAGACCAACAAGGCATTACTTGCATGAGTCTGCAGAAAATACAGCCTTACTGGGCTTGGGGTGCCCCCTAAAGCATACACAGTTGCAGTGACCGAAAACTTGGATCACAATACTCAAGTCCCTTGGAATACCTGGAAAGCCTTGTTAAGAAGAATGAGTAAAAACAAGCCCAGACTGCGAAGACTACAATAAATATCAAACTTTTCAATGCTTAAACACCAACAAACATTCACAGGTATCAAGAGCATCCAGGAAAACATGACCTCACTAAATGAAGTAAATAAGACACCAGGGACCAATCTAAGAGAGAGAGATGTGACTTTTCAGACAGATAATTCAAAACAGCTATTTTGAGGAAACTCAAAGAAATTCAAGATAACACAGAGAAGAATTCAGAATCCTATCATGTAAATTTTACAAAGAAATTGAAATAATTAAAGAGTATCAAGGAGAAATTCTGGAGTTGAAAAATGCAATTGACATATTGAAGAATGCCTCAGAGTCTCTTTTTTTTTTTTAGCAACAGAAATTTATTCTCACTGTTTTGGAGGCTAGGAGTGTGAAAGGAAGATGTCAGCAGGACTGGTGCCTTCCAGGGGCTCTGGGGGAGAACTTGTTTCATGTGTATGTCCTGGCTTCTCATGAGCGTAGGCAATGATTGGTGTTCCTTGGCTTGTAGATGCATCACTCCAGTCTCTGCCTCCAGCTTCTGCTTGTGTATCTCTGTGTCTTCACATGGCTGTCTTCTCATAGAAACACTGTCATATGGAAATAGGGGTCCATCCCACTCCACTATGACGTCATCTTAACTTATTACATATGCAGGGAACTTCTTCCCAAATAAGATAACATTCTGAGATATTATGGGTTAGGGTTTCAACATATTTTTGGGAGGACACACAATTCAACTCATATTGGACTCTGTGAAATTACTCAACAGAATAGCTTCATAATGCATGAGAAATAAAAACTGGGGTGTAATTTCAGATGTTACAAACTTAAAGTTAATGCTTGTTCAAATTGACTTAAAGGAAGGGGTGGGTGTAAAAAGGAGGAGGAGGAGAGGCAACTTGTAGAAATGGAACCCAGAGAAGGAAGGGGGCCAAGAGAGCTCATAGCTAATTTCTACAAAATAAAAAATTTCCTTGCTGTCTGTGAGTTCTTGGCAGCTTTAGGTTGAGGACTGTACCCTGAGTTGTCTTCTCATCTCACTACACTCCCTAATTGTACACTCACATTTTGTCCTACAATCCATCTCCATACATTTTCTTCTTCCATCTTTGCCCCTCCAGTCCCTCCAGTTCTGCCTGGAGGCTAAAGCGAATGAAATATATCTACTGTTGTACATTTAGATTGTTAAAAAAACACTTTGAGTCTCCACATTCAAATTTTCTTGCAATGTTAGATTGCTTGCTCTAATTTAGCCTATTAACTATGGGGAAAATACATTGACTATATTTTACTTTTCTATTTTGTGATATTAACATTTGACTTTCAGCTAATCATTTAAATGTGCACCACCAGAAAACACAGCTTTATAATTGCCTCTGTATTTACATTCCTCAGGGTTGAAGCATAGCAATTTGAATGGATGCAGTTTCATAATTAATATAGATAGACAAAAATGAGAGAGAATTGTAAAGAGGTTCCATGGTTTTGGGAGCTATTCCCTGGCAATCCCTTGTGTTTGATTAAAAAAAAAAAAAAAAAGCAAGGCAGAAGTTGAGTGCTCTAGGCTATTCTGCATTTATGGAATTTTTCCACTAGGTAATATGCATTCAGGTCACATAGACAGTGAGATTTCCTTCAGTGAAAGTACAGATAAAAAGTGCTTAAATTGTGCTCCATTTAAGCAAACCATCAACTGGTGCATTTTTTTAGATAAATTGGATTTTATCAAAATTGAAATCTTTTTTTATACTTTAAGTTATGGGATACATGTGCAGAATGTGCAGCTTTGTTAGATAAGTATACAAATGCCGTGGTGGTTTGCTGCACCCATCAACCCATCATCTACGTTAGGTATTTTTCCTAATGCTATCCCTCCCCTTGTCCCCAACCCCCTGAAAGGCCCTAATGTGTACTGTTCCCCTCCCTGTGCCCATATGTTCTCATTGTTCAACTCCCACTTATGAGTGAGAACACGCGGTGTTGATTTTCTGCTCTCGTGTTAGTTTGCTGAGAATGATGGTTTCCAGCTTCATCCAAGTCTCTGAAAACAACATGAACTCATTCTTTTTTATGGCTGCATAGTATTCCACGCTGTATATGTGCCACATTTTCTTTATCCAGTCTAACATTAAAGGGTATTTGGGTTGGCTCCAAGTCTTTGCTATTGTGAATAGTGTTGCAATAAACATACATGTGCATGTGTCTTTATAGTAGAATGATTTATATTCCTTTGGGTATATACCCAGTAATGGGATTGCTGGGTCAAATGGTATTTCTGGTTCTAGATTCTTGAGGAATTGCCACACTGTCTTCCACAATGGTTGAACTAATTTACACTCCCACCAACAGTGTAAAAGCGTTCCTATTTCTCCACATTCTCTCCATTGGCTGGAAAGGGACCTCATATTTTGTATTTGTCCTGATTGGCTAGCAACTTAGAACTTTTTAAAAGAGGCAAAGGCAGAGGAGAACAAAGGAAGGAGGAAGTAACTTATGGATTGCTGAGAAATGTAAAAACACCTTCAAATAAAGAAGAGGAACAGGCTATGACCTAATGCTTGCTTGGACTAGTATAAGCATGCCAGGGCAAATATTTAGGCTAAATTGTGAGAGCTAAAAACATAAAGTACATTGATTTCTTTATTACAGCTAGCAGATATTTAAGAATGTTAGCACAGGTCTTTGAATAAATTTTGCTTCTAAGAGAAGTTACTATTTATTCCTAATTAGATGGAGAGGAAAGTCTTTGAAGAGGAGCCTCTACTTTACTTTTTACAACTCTGATGATAGTTTCTTTTGCTATGCACAAGCCCTTCAGTTTAATTAGATCCCATTTGCCAATTTTGGCTTTTGTTGCAATTGCTTTTGGTGTTTCAGTCATGAAGTCTTTGCCCGTGCCTACATCCTGAATGGTATTACCCAGGTTTTCTTGTAGGGTTTTTATGGTTTTAGGTCTTATGCTTTAATCTTGAATCCATCTTGAGTTAATTTTTGTATAGGTGTAAGGAAGGGGTCCAATTTCAGTTTCTGCATATGGCTAGCCAGTTTTCCCAACACCATTTATTTTTTTCTCAGGTTTGTCAAAGATTAGATGGTTGTAGTTGTGTAGTGTTATTTCTGAGGCCTCTCTTCTGTTCCATTGGTCTATATATCTGTTTTGGTACCAATACCATGCTGTTTTGGTTACTGTAGGCTTGTAGTATAGTTTGAAGTCAGGTAGCATGATGCTTTCAGCTTTGTTCTCTTTGCTTAGGATTGTCTTGGCTATGCAAGTTCTTTTTTGGTCCCATATGAAATTTAAATTAGTTTTTCTAATTCTGTGAAGAAAGTCAATGGTAGCTTGATGGGAATAGCATTGAATCTATAAATTACCTTGGGCAGTATGGTCATTTTCATGATATTGATTCTTCCTACCTATGAGTATGGAATGTTTTTCCATTTGTTTGTGTCCTCTCTTATTTACTTGAGCAGTGGTTTGTTCTCCTTGAAGAGGTTCTTCACATCCCTTGTAAGCTGTATTCCTGGGTACTTTTTTCTCTTTGTAGCAATTGTGAATTGGAGTTTGTTCATGATTTGGCTCTCTGGTTGTCTCTTATTGGTGTATAGCAATGCTTGTGATTTTTGCACATTTATTTTGTATCCTGAGACTTTGCTGAAGTTGCTCATCAGCTTAAAGAGTTTTTGGGCTGAGACGATGGGGTTTTCTAAATATACAATCATGTCATCTGCAGAGATAATTTGACTTCCTCTCTTTCTATTTGAATATGCTTTATTTCTTTCTCTTGCCTGACTGTCCTGGTGAGAACTTCCAATACTATGTTGAATAGGAGTGGTGAGAGAGAGCATCCTTCTCTTGTGCTGGTTTTCAAAGGGAATGCTTTAAGCTTTTGCCCATTCATTATGGTATTGGCTGTGGATATGTCATAAACAGCTCTTATCATCTTGAGATATGTTCTATCGGCACCTAGTTTATTGAGTGTTTTTAGCATGAAGGGGTGTTGAATTTTATTGAAGGCCTTTTCTGCAACTATTGAGATAATTATCTGGTTTTTGTTATTGGTTCTCTTTATGTGATGGATTACACTAATTGATTTCCGTATGTTGAACCAGCCTTGCATCCCAGGGATGAAGCTGACTTGATCACGGTGGATAAGCTTTTTGATGTGCTGCTGGATTCTGTTTGCCAGTATTTTGTTGAGGATTTTCACACTGATGTTCATCAGGGATATTGTCCTGAAATTTTCTTTTTTTGCTGTGTCTCTGCCAGGTTTTGGTATCAGGATGATGCTGGCCTCATAAAATGAGTTAGGGAGGAGTCCCTCTTTTTCTATTGTTTGGAATAGTTTCAGAAGGAATGGTACCATTTCCTCTTTGTACCTCCTGTGGAATTTGGCTGTGAATCCATCTGGTCCTGGGCTTTTTTTTATTGTTAGGCTATTAATTACTACCTCAATTTCAGGGCTTATCGGTCTATTCAAGGACTCGAATTCTTCCTGGTTTAGTCTTGTGTGTGTGTATGTGTCCATGAATTTATCCATTTCTTCTAGATTTTCTAGTTTATTTGTTTAGAGGTGTTTATAGTATTCTCTGATGGAAGTTTGTATTTCTGTGGGATCAGTGGTGATTTCTCCTTTATCATTTTGTATTCTGTCTATTTGATTCTTCTCTCTTCTCTATTAGTCTGGCTAGCAGTCTATCTATTTTGTTAATCTTTTCAAAAAACCAGCTCTTGGATTAATTGATTTTTGGAAGGGTTTTTCATGTCTCTATCTCCTTCAGTTCTGCTCTGATCTTGGTTATTTCTTGTCTTCTGCTAGCTTTTGAAATTGTTTGCTCTTGCTTCTCTAGTTCTTTTACTTGTGGTGTTAGGGTGTTGATTTTAGATCTTTCCTGCTCTCTCCTGTGGGCATTTAGTGCTATAAATTTCCCTTTAAACACTGCTTTAGCTGTTTCCCAGAGATTTTGGTACATTGTGTCGTTGTTCTCACTGGTTTCAAAAAACGTATTTATTACTGCCTTAATTTCATTATTTACCCAGTAGTCATTCAGAAGCAGATTATTCAGTTTCCATGTAGCTGTGTGGTTTTGAGTGAGTTTCTTAATCTTGAGTTCTAATTTTATTGCACTCTGTTCTGAGAGACTGTTATGATTTCCATTCTTTTGCATTTGCTGAGGAGTGTTTTACTTCCAATTATGTGGTTGATTTTAGAATAAGTGCTATGTGGTGCTTAGAAGAATGTATATTCTGTTGATTTGGGGTGGAGAGTTCTGTAGATGTCTATTAGGTCCACTTGGTTCAGAGCTGAGTTCAAGTCCTGAATGTCCTTATTAATTTTCTGTCTAATATTGTCTAATATTGACAGTGGGGTGTTAAAGTCTCCTACTATTATTGTGTGGGAATCTAAGTCTCTTCGTAGGTCTCTAAGAACTTGGTTTATGAATCTGGGTTCTCCTGTATTGGATGAATATATATTTAGGATAATTAGCTCTTCTTGTTGCATTGATCTCTGTACCATTATGCAATGCCCTTCTTTGATTTTTTTGAACTTTGTTGGTTTAAAGTCTGTTTTATCAGAGACTAGGATTGCAACCCCTGCTTTTTTTTTTCTTTCCATTTGCTTGGTACATCTTCCTCTATCTCTTTATTTTGAGCCTATGTGTGTCTTTGCATGTGAGATGGATCTCCTGAATACAGCACACTGATGGGTCTTGACTCTACCCAATTTACCAGTTTGTGCCTTTTAATTAGGGCATTTAGCCCATTTACATTTAAGGTTATTATTTTTGTGTGTGAATTTGATCCTGTCGTTATGATGCTAGCTGGTTATTTTGCCCATTAGTTGATGCAATTTCTTCATAGTGTCAATGGTCTTTACACTGATTTGTTTTTGCAGTGGCTGGTACCAGTTTTTCCTTTCCATATTTAGTGCTTTCTTCAGGAGCTCTTGTAAGGCAGGCCTGGTGGTGACAAAATCCCTCAGCATTTGCTCGTCTGTAAAGGATTTTATTTCTCCTTCACTTCTGAAGCTTAATTTGGCTGGATATGAAATTCTGGATTGAAAATTCTTATCTTTAAAAATGTTGTATATTGGCCCCCACTGTCTTCTGGCTTGTAGGGTTTCTGCAGAGACATTCACTGTCAGTCTGATGGGTTTCCCTTTGTGGGTAACCTGACCTTTCTCTCTGGCTGCCCTTAACACTTTTTCCTTCGTTTCAACCTTGGTGAGTCTGATGATTATGTGTCTTGGGGTTGCTCTTCTTGAGGAGCATCTTTTTGGTGTTCTCTGTATTTTCTGAATTTGAATGTTGGCCTGCCTTGCTAGGTTGGGGAAGTTCTCCTGCATAATATCCTGAGGAGTGTTTTCCAACTTGATGCCATTCTCCTCATCACTTTCAGGTACACCAATCAAACGTATGTTTGGTCTTTTCACATAGTCTTATATTTCTTGGAGGCTTTGTTTGTTACTTTTTATTCTTTTTTTCTCTAATCTTGTCTTCACACTTTATTTCATTAAGTTGATCTTCAAGCTCTAATATCATTTCTTCCACTTGATCACTTCAGCTGTTGATACTTGTGTATGCTTCATGAAGTTCTCATGCTGTGTTTTTCAGCTCCATCATGTCATTTACGTTCTTCTCTAAACTGTCATTCTAGTTTGCAATTCTTCTAACCTTTTATCAAGGTTCTTAGCTTCCTTGCATTGAGTTAGAACACGCTCTTTAGCTCAGAGGAGTTTGTTATTACCCACCTTCTGAAGCCTACTTCTATCAATTTATCAAACTCATTCTCCGTCCAGTTTTGTTCCCTTGCTGGCAAGGAGTTGTGATCCTTTGAAGGAGAAGAGGCGTTCTGGTTTTTTGAATTTTCAGACTTTTTGCACTGGTTTTTCCTCATCTTTGTGAGTTTGTCTACCTTTGGTCTCTGCTGTTGGTGACCTTTAGATGGATTTTTTGTGTGGTCTTTCTTTTTGTTGATGTTTTTGCTATTGCTTTCTGTTTTTTAGTTTTCTTTCTAACAGTCAGGCTCCTGTTCTGCAGGTCTGCTGGAGTTTGCTGGAGATCCACTCTGGACCCTGTTTGCCTGGTTATCACCAGTTGAAGCTGCAGAACAGCAAAGATTGCTGCCTGTTCTTTCCCAGAAGGGCACCTGCCAGATGGCAGCCAGAGCTCTCCTGTATGAGGCATCTGTCGACCCATGCTGGGAAGTGTCTCCTCGTCAGGAGGCAAGGAGATCAGGGACCCACTTGAGAAGGCAGTCTGTCCCTTAGCAGAGCTCAACTGCTGTGCTGGGAGATGGCTGCTCTCTTCAGAGCTGGCAGGCAGGAATGTTTAAGTCTGCTGAAGCTGTGTCCACAGCTGCCCCTTCCCCTAGGTGCTCTGTCCCAGGGAGACGGGAGTTTTATCTATTAGCCCCTGACCGGAGCTGCTGCCTTTCTTTCAGAGATGCCCTGCCCAGAGAAGAGGAATCTAGGGAGGCAGTCTAGCCACAGTGGCTTCTCCAAGCTTTGGTGGGCTCCACTCAGTCCAAACTTCCTGGTGGCTTTCTTTACATTGTGAGGGGAAAATCACCTACTCAAACTCAGTAATGGTGGCCCCTCCCTGCTCCGAGCTTGAGCCTCCCAGGTCGACTTAAGACTGCTGTGCTGGCAGGGAGAATTTCAAGCCAGTGGTTCTTAGCTTGCTGGGCTCCATTGGGGTGGGATCTGCTGAGCAAGACCACTTGGCTCCCTTACTTCAGCCCTCTTTCCAGGGGAGTAAGTGGTTCTGTCTCACTGGCATTCCAGGTGCCACTGGAGTATGAAAAGAAACTCCTGCAGCTAGCTCGGTGTCTGCCCAAATAGCTGCCCGGTTTTGTGCTTGAAACCCAGGGCCTTTGTGTTATAAGCACCCGAGGGAATCTCCTGGCCTGTGGGTTGTGAAGACCATGAGAAAAGCATAGTGTCTGGGCCAGAATGCACCATCCCTCACGGCACAGTCCCTCTAGGGGAGGGAGTTCCCTGACCCCTTGCACTTCCCAGGTGAGGCGACACCCCACCCTGCTTCTGCTTGCCTTCAGTGGGCTGCACCCACTGTCTAACCAGTCCCAATGAGATGAACCAGGCACCTCAGTTGGAAATGCGGAAATCACTCGCCTTCTGTGTTGGTCTCGCTGGTACCTGCAGACCAGAGCATTTCCTATTCGACCATCTTGCCCGAGAAAAAAACAGAGTCTCTTAATAGCAGATTTGATCAAGCAGAAGCAAGAATTGGTGAGCTTGGAGACAGGCTATTTGAAAATACCTGTCAGAGGAGACAAAAGAAGAAAGAATTCAAAGTGACGAAGAACGCCTGCAAGATGTAGAAAATAGCCTCAAAGGGACAAATTAAGAGTTATTGGCCTGAGGCCAGGGGTGGAGGTGCGTGCCTGTAATCTCTGTACTTCGAAAGGCTGAGGCAGGTGGATCAGTTGAGGCCAGGAGTTTGAGACCAACATGGCCAATGAACCATCTCTTCTCTCTGACCACAATGGAATAAAACAAGAAATCAATAAAAAGAGAGATTTTAGAAACTATACAAACACGTGGAAATTAAACAATATGTTCCTGAAGCCCCAGTGGGGCATTGAAGGGATTAAGAGGGAAACTGAAACACTTCTTGAAACAAATGATAATGGAAACACAACATTCCAAAACCTATGGGATACAGCAAAAGCAGTGCTAAGAGAGAACTTTATAGCTATAAGTGCCTACATCAAATAAAGTAAACTTCAAATAAACAACCTAATGATACATCTCAAAGAACTAAAAAAGAGCAAATCAAAACCAAAGTTAATCAAAGAAAAGAAATATTAAAGTTCAGAGCAGAAATAAATAAAATTGAAATAAAGAAAGCAATATAAAAGTTCAAGAAAACAAAAAGTTGGGTTTTGAAAAAAATAAACAAAATGACAAACTTATATCCAGACTAAGAAAAAAGAGAGAAGACCCAAATAAATAAGATATAAAAAAGGAGATATTACAACTGATACCACAGAAATTTAAAGGATCATTAGTATGTACTATGAGCAACTATATGCCAATAAATTCGAAGGTCTAGAAGAAATGGATAAATTCCTAGACACATACAACCTATCAAGAATGAACCATGAAGAAAACCAAAACCTGAACAGACCAATAACAAGTAATATGATGGAGGCCATAGTAAAAAGTTTTCTAGCAAAGAAAACCCTAGGACCTAATAATTTCACTGCCAAATTTTACCAAACACTTAAAGAAGAAGTAATTCTTATCCTACTCAAATTATTCCAAACATAGAGGTGGAGGGAGTTCTTTCAAACTCATTCTACAAAGTCAGTATTACCCTGATACCAAAACCAGAGAAAGACACATAAAGAAAGAAAACTACAGGCCAATACCTCTGATGAATATTGATGCAAAAATCCTCAACAAAAAAAAAACTAGCAAACAGAATTCAGCAACATATTAAAAAGATCATTCATTATGACCAAGTGGGATTTATCCCAAGGATGAAGGGATGGTTCAACGTATGCGTATCAATCAGTGTGATACATCATGTCAACAGAATGAAGGACAAAAGCCATATGATCATTTCAATTGATGCTGAGAAAGCATTTGATAAAGTTCAACATTCATTCATAATAAAAACCCTCAAAAAACTGGGTCTAGAAGGGACATACCTCAACATAACAAAAGCCATGTATGACAGACCCACAGCTAGTATTATACTAAATGGGAAAAAACTGAAAGCCTTTCTCTAAGATCTGGAGCACTACAAGGATATCCACTTTCATCACTGTTATTCAACACAGTACTAGAAGTCCTAGGCAGAGCAATCAGAAAAGACAAATAAATAAAGGGCATCCAAATTGGAAAGGAAGAAATCAAATTATCCTTGTTTGGAGAAAATATGATCTCATATTTGGAAAAACCTAAAAACTCCACCAAAAAACTAAGAACTGCCAAACAAATTCATTAAGGCTGAAGAATACAAAATTAACATACAAAAATCAGTAGCTTTTCTATATGCCAACAATAAACAATCTGAAAAAGAAATAAAGTAATTCCATTTACAATAGCTACAAAAGAAAATAAAATACCTGGGAATATACTTAGGCAAAAAGTGAAAGAGCTCTACAATGAAAACTATAAAATATTGATGAAAGAAATTGAAGAGGACACATAAACATGAAAAAATATTTTATGTTCATGGATTGGAAGAACCAATACTTTTAAAAGGCCCATATTATTCAAAGCTATCTACAGTTTCAATGCAATCCCTATCAAAATACCAATGACTTTCTTCACAGAAATAGAAAAAACAATTCTAAAATTTATATGGAACCAAAAAAGACCCAGAGTAGCCAAAGTTCTACGGATCAAAAAGAACAAAACTGGAGGAATCCCATCACCTGACTTCAAATTATACTAAAGAGATATAGTAACAAAAACAGCATGGCACTAGCATAAAAACAGACACATGAACCAATGGAACACAATAGAGAACACAGAAACAAATCTATACATTTACAGTGAACTCATTTTTGACAAAGGTGTCAAAAACATACATCGGGTAAAGAATAATCTCTTCAATAAATTGTACTGGGTAAACTGGATATCAGTAGACAGAAGAATGAAACTAGATTTCTATCTCTTACCATATACAAAAATCAAGATGAAATGGATTAAAGACTTAAACTGTGAAACTACTAAAAGTAAACATTGGGGAAATTCTACAGGACATTGTAATGGACAAAGACGTCTTGAGTAATACTGTACAAGCACAGGCAACCAAATCAAAAATGGACAAAAGGGATTACAGCAAGTTGAAAAGCTTCTGCAATTAAATAATGTAATTGTATATTTAAAAATAAAGAGTATAAATGGATTGTTTCTAACACAAAGGATAAATGCTTGAGGTGATGGATACTGCATTTACCCTGATGTGATTATTATGTATTGTATGCCTGTATCAAAATATCCCATATACCCCATAAATATATACACCTAGTATGTATCCACAAATTTTTTTTTAATTTTGGTTTATCATACATCTAACATACAAAAAATAGCAACTTCATGGATTTAAAAATTTTGAAATTTAATATATTTTTAATGGAAATATCACTACAAGTTATCTTGTTTTTGTTTTGTTTTGTTTTTTAGAGTTAGAATCTCATTGTGTCACCCAAGCTGGAATGCAGTGGCATGATCATAGCTCACTGCAGCTTTGAACTCTTGGGCTCAAGCATCCTCCAAACCTCAGCTTCCTGAGTAGCTGAAACAATTGTCAATTTGTATAAAAAACCAAGTCGATTGTCCATAATAAAAAATCATATTTGACCTATTCTCTTCTTCTATTTCTACAACCAATAATTACCTTAGGGCCTTATATTAAGACTAGTGGTGAGGGGGCGGATAACAGTGCAAGTGTTTTAGACTTTCAGCCTCCAGCTAAGAAAGAAGCACACTGACACTGTGTGAGTGAAGAACAATGACTAGCAGGGTGGCCAGTGCCAAGGTATGAACAAGGTCTTTGGTTTGAATGGTATGAATGAATAACAAGGGTTGGGGGAGTGGGGAGGGATAGCTAATGTAAATGATGAGTTAATGGGTGCAGCACACCAACATGGTGCATGTATACCTATGTAACAAACCTGCACATTGTGCACATGTACCCTAGAACTTAAAGTATAATAATAATTAAAAAACCTACTATTATCAATGAGCTGGCATTCACACCTCCTATTTTTCGTTGTTTATTGTCTTCAAAAAGTTGAATCAAGGTACACATTCCACAGGTCTACAGGTGACCCTGAGACTCAGGATGGGGTTGCTTTCTTCATCATTGTGGTCACAGGGACAGAGTAAATATCAAAGCTATGAGCATGCAAACTGTGTGTTTTCTTTATCTAATTAAGCTCTGACAACACTTTTATTACAATCACTTTACCCTTCCAAGGTATCTTGCTCTAATTCTCAGTAATTGGTAGGCTGATTATAACAGCTCTTGCTCCCTTAAGTAGGCACGTTTCTTACGTCAGGGCTAATGTTGGCTTCCCATTGTCTCAGCTAATAGGTTTTTAATATTTTAAATTGTCAGTTTGTTTTTCTTGACCCTCTTCCACTAAAATTAATCTTTCCTCATGATGTGTTTGCTGTTGTAGCGAAGGCTGAGGCAAGACCCAGGTTGCCAGAGAAAGATGAGCCAGCCCCAGTATGTGGCCTCTAGCCAAAGGACTCCAGGCGTTTTTAATTAGAAGTGGAATGAACTGTGTTCCTGGCGTGGGATTCCCAGATCAAAATGAACTTTGGGCTAATGAAGTGAGAAACAATTGCTTCCAGAAAGGTGAAATGAGTGGTTTCTGCCTCCAAAACTGCTGAGCCCCTGTGTGTTGCACATCTAAATAACCTAACTGTTTTCTAGTTCCTATGAAAGTGATTCTCCAGGCCTCCTTCTCTCAGCCCCCTTCCTAATTCTCAACTCACATGACCTAAAGGATGGGAATGCAATAGGAAGTTGACTATTCTGTAGACATCCCAAAGTTCAGAGAGGGATAAAATGTTTTCAGGCACTTTTGAAATACAAAGTTCAGATTTAAATGATCTTTAATAATAAGAACACAATTTACAATCTGAGAATGTACATTATCTCAAATGGTATTATTAGGCCCATTGTATTTAGCTGAGGGAACTGAGACCCAAGAGATTAAGTGATGCCCCCAAAGATAATACAGTTAATTCATGGCCAAGTTCAGAATAAAACACAGGTTTCCTAGCTGCAAGAGTATAATTATTTCATTTTCTTGCCCCATCCATCGCTGTTAAAAACCCTTCCAATTTCTCTATTCTATAATTCTGAAAACAATAGCAATATGAAACTTGTAGATTTAAAATCACCCTGATTTCTTTGTGATAATTTTTTGTATAGGCTTTTATCAACAGGTCTTACAATATATAGTATACGCACCATTATATAAAAGATTAGCATGCAGTAAATATGACCCACACCAAGGGAAAGGCAATGGAGTGCCTTAAACCCAGATCTTATTGTTGTGAAAGTTATTGAAAGCCTATTATGTGACAGGCACTGTTCGAAGGGTTTACACGAGCTCATACACTCTTCATACAATCCTGTAAGGTCAGTAGTATTATTACTACTATTTTACATTACACTGCTAGTAAGTAGCAGATCTGGAATTTGAATTCAAGTAATCCAATGCCCAAGTTTGTATACTAAATGCCCTGTTTTATACAAGTTGTTAGTATTTAGTAAATTAAAATAGGCAAAAATATCCTTTGGGCAGAGAAACAAATACATTTTCTTAACTTTCCATCCAACCAAAAGAGGACACTAACATAAAATGATAAAATATAATGTATGGGATTCTTCCTAAATCTCTACCTACTAAAATCCTACCTATAATTTACCTCTCAGAAGCATGTAAAATGAATACATAAACTAATACTGTTTCCTCAAAGACAGAGTCTCACTGTGTCACCCAGGCTGGAGTGCAGTGGCATAATCATAGCTCACTGCAGCCTCAAACTCCTGGGTTCAAGCAATCTTCCTGCTTCAGCCTCCCACATAGCTGGGATTCCAGGCATGCACCACCACACCCAGCTAAGTTTTAAAATTTTTTTGTAGAGACTGGAGTCTTTCTTGCTACATTGCCCAGTCTGGTCTCAAACTCCTAGCCTCAAGCAATCCCTCTGATTTGGTCTGCCTAAGTGCTGGAATTACAGGTGTGAGCCATGTGCCCGGCCTAAACTAATACTGTGATCTTGAACCACAGCTGAAGTCAACTTTAGCTAAAATTCTTAAACACACTTTAACTGGATTCCTTGAATACAGTCCAAGAGATTATGGAGACGTCAGCCATTCCATGGTGTTAGCATTTCAAAAATCTTTTAGAAAACTATTCTCATCCTTTATCAAAACTATTCTAAGTCACTCTGTTAAATAACATGCAGAATTCAATGTTAGCTTGATTGAAATTTTAGTCACAAGCTAAATAATTGGTTTTTACACTTGTAACCATATTATTTCTATAGCCTATCACTTTCGTATTAACCAGCTCATTAAGAATAATAAATTATGAATTATAAACTTCTGGAATTTATCCAATTTTTTAAGAAAATAGGTTGTTCCATTGAGAAGTTAAATGATTCATTTAGGAAATTACTCAACAAAACTGTCCTCAATCACTCAATTAATTAAAATAAGAAATAACCTAGAAGAACAGAACCATTATTGTATTCTCATATTTCCAGACTATGGCTTTTGTGGTGTTTAAGTAAAATTATTTTAAATCTGATGGAAGCCTGTAAAAATGAGATTAATTTTCAGTTATTCCTGCAAATAGCAAGCATTTCATTTCAGTTTTACTATATGGTTGTTAGTGAAAATGGCTGATGCTCATAAAAAGGGAAAGAAAATCCTCTGACTTGCAATTTAATTCTTTTTCAAGAAAACTGATTTTTCTATTAGGCAATTTGAAACTTAAGCAAAAATAGATATCCTATCATTGATGGAGACCTTAACAAACTAATGACCTTCTTCTGGAGACACTGGTTTGTAACCCTAATTCGGGTTTTGATGATGACGTATGCAGTAAAGGGGAATCAAACTGAAAGAATGAAACTACTGTTCTCTTTGTAAATTATTTGAACAAACTATGTCCACAGACAATTCATCTGCTCCTCGTCTATATAAAGTATATTCTTCACCATGTAAACCATAAACTTTTACATAATTTTCTTCTTTTGATACTTTTATTGAACACATGGATAAATTCACATAGACTAGATTAGAGAAGACATTGCAAATGTGATTTCACTCCTCATAGGAGCCATCACCTGATATCATGGAAAGAATAGATGGTTTGAGAGTCATATCTGAGTTCCCATCTAGCCTTTGAAACTTCCTAGCTGTGTGACTTCTAATAATGTGTCTAGCCTCTCCGAGCTTCAATTCCTGTGCTGGATACCTTCTTTGTGTCCTCCCAGATGTACTGTCCTCATCTCCACCCTGCTCTCATGGAAGACCAGCAGGGACTATATTGTCAGACATCCTTGCCCACTGGCTTCCCTTCAAGTTCAGCTATGAGAAGCCTGACAGGAGATTGAAAGGAAAGAAGTGAAGTCACCTCTGGGCAGCTCTGTCTCTTGATTAAAAGTCACAACCTCTCTCAAGATATCCTTCTCTTTCTAGGGTCCAGGGACTACCACCACTTTCTCCCCTTGTCCTTTGAGCCAGGGTGTGGTAACAGCTCTGCTATGACTCACCCTGGGAGATTGCATTATCCCCTGCAGGAGTTTGCACCTTGAGGACATCTTTGAAGAATTCCTTTCTTTAGCCATCCTTCATTTATCTAATTCAGCAGTGCCATCTGTCTCCTGCTGAAACCCTGACCGGTATAGTTCCCTAGCCTGTACAAATGAGGACAAGCTCACCCACCTCACTGGATTATTGTAAAGAGGGAAAAGATAAATGTGAGCAGGGCTGGGCACTTCCTTTGCATTTATTATGCTTGTGGTCCTTATAATTCTTTAGCTCAATTAGAAATGTTCATTATATGCAAAAATGAATTTATGATATGCTAAAGGATGGATTGTCAGAATCCTAGGTTTAAAAATCAATGTGATATCTCTGTGTTACAAAGACTTGAAAAATCAAGTGTTAGAGACTCAGGAGGAATCCTACTTTACCAGAAATCAGGCATTTTGTTTTCTAGTCACACAATACCTTGTTATATATAGAAGGAGAGATTCTTATTCACACAGGCAGTATGAATAACCACATGAAAGAGACGAAAATTATGCTATGAGATATATTGAATCTAGATATTGGTTACATGTTACTACAGATCATAAGTTAAAAAAATTTCCATTGTTCTTTATCATCAAGAAATACCAGTTTGTTAAGATAAATTCTGGCTTTTGAATCCAACAACCATAGTCATATTTTATTTCAAACCAAGTTAAAATATGTTAAATATATTGATTTATTATTTTAAAACAAAATAAATATAGAATTTCTCCTAAATATAGAATGTAATTTGCTTAAACATTTTTCCCAGGATTTGTAAACACTGCTACCCATTTATGCTTTTTTATTTATTGAGCCCACATATTACAAAATACTTTTCATATGTTTAGAATCCATCTAGCATATTTGGTAGATAATCATTTTCATAACTTTAACAAATTATTCAACTTGTAGAACAGCAATTATTCACCAAACATGACTTGGTTACATTAGTTCAAGAAACCTATTTACTATTTTCATTTTGAATATGGGCTGATTATGATAATCACTGTAAGAAATTATGTTTAAATAGACAAGATATTTGAGGAACTCTGAATTGTTATGTATTTCCTTAGCTGAAAAAAGAATATTTTAAAATAGAATTACAAAAGAAAAGAAAATATCTATTCTGCTTCTAGGTCAATGGGAAAGTACATTTCTTTGTACTACATTGATATAATAATAGCTGAATATTCATAAGCCTTTTTTGTGCACTGTGAATGATACTAAACACTTTACATGTATTACCAAATTCAATCTTCATAACTCTCTAAGATAGGGTGTAAATGAGGAATTGCATTTGATTGCATTTAGTAAAAAAAAAAAAACTAAATAATACTGGCAATTAAATAATGATGTGGTTTTTGCATGTTAACAGGAGATCCAAAACATGATCTCAGGCTGGTGCAGAAGTTCCGCTGTGTTCACAGTGACTCCATCTCCTTCCAGATGCAGTTGTGATCCACAATCTCATATTTTAAAAATGGCATGAAGTTTCAACCATTGCATTCATCTTCTAGGCAGGAACAAGAGGAAGGGAAAGAAGTAAAGGCAAAAAGGCACCAGCCGGCTAAGTGTCAAAGCTGTCAAAGCTCTAATTCATCAACTTCCACTCCCATGTCTTGACCATTCTGCAAAGGATTCTGGGAAATGTAGTTATATAGCTGGGCACATGGCCAATGTCATCAAATTTATGATTCTTTTAATAAGAAAGAATGGAGGAATAGATATTGGTTAGGCAGCCTGCTGCCTCTATCATAGGGTCAGTTCCATTGTTTATCTCCATTTTATAGATGAAAAATCTAAGAAATTTGCTTTTGGATGTATCACTAGTAAGCAGAGCAAGTGGTACTACTAAGACTAGAATCCACCTTGGCCATGCTATAAAACTTAGACTTTTTACTTTGTTTATTAAAATGTATTTTTCTCTTTTTCCTTTTTTTTTTTTTTTTTTTTTTGACAGAATCTTGCTCTGTCACCTAGGCTGGAGTGCAGTGGTGCAATCTCAGCTCACTACAGCCTCCACCTCCAGGTTGAAGCAATTCTCCTGCCTCAGCCTCCCAAGTAGCTGGGATTGCAGGCACCCTCCACTATGCCTGGCTAGTTTTTTGTATTTTTAGTAGAGATGGGATTTCACCATGTTGGCCAGGCTGGTCTCGAACTCCTGACCTCAGGTGATCCACCCACCTTGGCCTCCCAAAGTGCTGGGATTACAGGCTTGAGACACCACACATGGCCCCAAAATATGTTTTTCTATTACCGTCATGCCAAAATGTAAGCTTCAAACCTTTCCTCGGGTTTATTTTAAACATTTTCAAACCTACAGAAAAGTTGTAAAAGGAAAAGGAAACATTTTTATACCCTCCCCTCAGATTTATCAATTATTAACATTTTATCACATCTGATTTTGTCTCTTTATATTTATACCTATACATGTATATACACAGACATACATAGACACATAAACATACACACGTTTGTTTTACATGAATGTACATATTTTATCTGACACCATCTAAAAGTTATTAGCAAACAATCAACATTACCCATCATGCCAAATACTTCAGATTGTATCTGCTAAGAACAAGGGCATTATCTTGCATAACCAAATACAATTATCACCAGGAAATATAATATTAATATAATATCTATTAGATGATCTATATTCAATTATCCCAGTTGTCCCAGTAATGATCCAGGACTCCATCAAAGATCACACTGCATTTTGTTTTCCTGTCTCTTTAGTCTTCTTTAATTGAGAGCAGTTTCTCTACCTTCATTGCCTTTCATGGCACTGAGATTTTTGAAGAGTCTAGGCAGTAGTTTTGCCAAATTATACTCAATGTAGATTTGTCTCATTTGTCTTCAAATTAGATACAGATCAAATATTTTGGGGAAAATAGCTCTATTCTTTTTAGTACATTACATCAGAGATGTTTGTGCCCTCATTGATGATATTTTGATCACTTGGCTAAGGCAATATCTGCCAGATGTCTACAATATCCATAAAAGTAGCTTTTTGCTTTTGTAATCAGTAATCTGAGGGTTAATATTTTGAGGCTATATGAAAATACTTTCATTCATGATTTTAGCATATGGGATGATTCTTGCCTGAATCAAATTATTAGTACAGTGGTGGCAAAAGAGTAATTTTTCTATTATATTTATACTATTCATTTCTTCCACATTTATATTTGGTATTCTTCTGCATAGATGGGCTTTAAGATTTGTTTCACTTTGGTTTAGTTCCATCATAGACTCATCAAATTTATTCCTGTTATTATTTATTTTGATGTTCACATTTTCCAAAATTGTCCAATGGGAACCTGTTAAGCTAATTCTTGTGTTCTTTCGACATGTCCCTATCATTTTTTTTATACCAGTAGACTAAGACCTATTTTTTTTGAGCAATTTTTTTTTTGTACTCACCTTACACTTTCTTCCTCTTTGCCCTAGAATTGATCATTTCTCCATGTTCTTTTCACTGAGATATGGTATTAGAAACCAAAATCTGGCCATCTGATGAGCTTACCAACAAAGATTGTTTTTGCTTTTAGATCCCTTTAATAGAGTTTTTTTGTTGTTAGTTTTGTTTTTTGTTTGTTTGTTTTTAATCACTGATACTTCTAATTCCAATCCAATACTACAGGATTCTTCCTCTTGTTCATCATTCCCACTGAAAGTGTACAAGGAATTCCTTTCAAAAGTTAATTGAATTCCTTTTTATTTTATTCTCTGTGGCCATGTTATCTATTTAATGTCTAGTTAAGTTTATTTGTTTACATCTGTATTCCAATTTAGGGCTTTTCCCATTCTTATTAAGATCATTTTATACTATGTTATACCTCCTTTAAAACAGCCAAATAACTTAACTGATATAGTAAGTCTTTCAGTATTACTCTTTTTAAAAGATGTTTAAGTTTTATTTTGTTTTTAATTGACATATAATAATTGTGTGCATTTATAAGGTATGGTGTGAAACTTCAATTACTATTTCTTCTAACAAGTAATTTTGCTTCCTTAAAATGAAAATAATGTCCTCATTGACTTAGATATTTAACCAGATCAAGATGGAAAAGAAAAATCTGAAGAGCTCACTATAATCAATGAGGTAGTTTCTGTGTGTGTGTGTGTGTGTGTGTGTGTGTGTGTGTGCGTGTGTTGGCTTAAAGAATAAAATAAATGGCAACAATAATGGGGATTAAAACAAATCTTTGCAATAGAGAAAAAAGTTGGAGGGCAAAGAATTGTGTGCAAGGAACTTTCATTCAATTTACATGCAACATATATTAATCAACTCACAAACTTAGAAGATCAAGAAATGTAACTTCATTTTTTAACCAGATCTGATATGAGCTGGTGTGCACCAGCACAAGCATAACAGATGTTAAATATTAAAATGTTCCATTATCAGTCAAGAGCATTCCTCTCCACTGTCACTGCCACCCTAAGCCCTACTCCACAAAGCCCCAGCTCTCTGAATGTCCCAGAAATTTGAGAGATGATGTCAGGCACAGCAGGCAGCTGCCAAGATTTTTCAGCCAACCTCTGATCTGATTCGTTGGTAGGGGTGTTACACAGTTACTAAATATTTAATATTACCCTTGCCTTTATTTAAATTTAATTTCAATTTTTAGTTCCCATTCCACTGAGTGGCAGAAACAGTGTCAGTTACGCCAAGGTCCCCATCTGCTTTCCCAGGGGGGTTTACCTAGGTTCCAGAAAGCTTAAATAGGACAAAAGCACTGGATATGGCCAGTGCTCATCTGAAGATGAGTGTGGCAGAATCTTGCCCTTAGTATTGTTTTCTGTCTATATAGCAGCCACCAAGACACCCTCACATTGTTGGGGTCAATGGTTACTGGTTATTGATCTCGGAAGTTCCCTACTGCCTCCCCTTGTTTTTTGTTTTTTGGGTTTTTTTTGTTTTTGTTTTCCTTTTGAGACGGAGTCTCGCTCTGTCACCCAGGCTGCAGTGCCGTGGCGTGATCTTGGCTCACTGCAACCCCCGCCTCCCAGGTTCAAGCGATTCTCCTGCCTCAGCCTTCTGAGTAGCTGGGATTACAGGCGCCTGCCACCACGCCCGGCTAATTTTTTGCATTTTAGTAGAGGCGGGGTTTCGCCGTGTTAGCCAGGATGGTCTCCATCTCCTGACCTCGTGATCCACCCGCCTCGGCCTTCCAAAGTGTTAGGATTACAGGCGTAAGCCTCCTCTCTTATTCCCAGCTAGTATGCAAGCTCTCTGGGGCTTCCCTGAACTGCTCTTGGGAACATGGAAGGCATCCTGCTGCTCCTACACAAGGGAGGTATGTGCAGAGCTCAAGGGGCCTGTCTCACCCCATTGGTCTACATCAGCACTGTCCAGTAGAAATATAAGGCAAGCCACCTGTGCAAGCCACAAACATTATTTAAAATTTTCTAATATGCACATTTAAAAGATAAAATGAAACAGCTGAAATTAATTTTAATAATGTGCTTTATTTAATGTGATACATCCAGATATCATTTCAACATGTAATCAATATAAAAAATTATTAATAAGATAGTTTCCATTCTTTTTGTGCTAAGTCTTGAAAACCTGGGTATCTCACACTTGACAGCACAATTTGGACTAGCCACATTTTAAATACCCAAACCCCACACTTAAGTTTTGGGTTAAAAAAAATGCAAATGTTGTTTCTGTTTTCACCCAGTGTTGGAATCAGGATTTCACTGGAGTCTTAGTTCCTTCCTGGATAATACCTGATCTGCTGGCCTCTGCTCTTGCATCCTCCAAACCCATGTGGAGTTTCTGTATCACTATTGTCAACCACTCCCAGACAAAGCTTACATTTTAGAAGGAATGAGGCCCTTTCCCAAAAATCCTCTGGCCTCATTTTTTGTTATGCACTTTCTTTCCCGGAGTCATGCTATGCACCAAAGGAGAAGAATATGAGATAAAAGGAAACAGGGCAAAAAGCCCTCTGTTAATTCTGCAAAACATTTATTTAGTTCCTACACTAAACCAGAATTCACTTAAATGTATCACAGCCTCTCCACCTGAGGAAATCATAGCGAACATAACTGGACATCCACATTTGCCTCGGAAAGCCCCAACGTATGTCTCTTTTCATGGCATAATTAAAAGCTCCCCCTTTCATTTTAAAAACTGTCTTGGTTTGGATAATAAATGATAGTCACCTAATTATAGTCTCTAAATAGTATTACATTGTTCCTCATATATCCCTATGAAATAAATAATATTGTCTAAGTTTGTAAATAAAGACACTGAGCATCAGGAGGAATTAAGCACTTGGCCACAGTCACAGAGTCAATCCAGGGGCAGAGTTCATTCACTGTCCCTGGCATTAAAGCCCCTGTTCTTTCTCCTCCATTATGCATAGCAGTTTTGGTCATCCTAGGTTCTGCAGGGTTGGAAAAACTTTCTTTGGAGATTTTCCACCTCAATTCCAATTTTACTGCCTCTCAGCTGTCAGCTGGTTGAAAACTCAGGCTCTGAAACGTTAATAGTATGTCTACCGTGTCCCAAAAAGGTTTCCTAGGCCAAGCAAATGCGGTTTAGTCGTTGACAAAACAACCATTAATAACTCTAAACTTTCTAATGCCAGCTTCACCCAGGGAGAAAATTAAGAGACTTTTGATGACTTTACACTTCATTGGTCACTGCGGTTTGGAACGCAATAATAGCAAGCTGCAAAACCTAGCAGGCCAATTAAATGAAGGAGCTAAAAATAAACTGCCGAGTGCCTAACCTCAGAGGTGCATGGAGCTCCTTCCAAAACAGGTATAATCTAGAGGTAGAAAAGGATCAGTGGGTGGGGGATTTATCAGATAGAGATCTACTACTTGAATAGACAGGCGGCAGTGGCCCTAAATACGGGACTTAATGGAACAAAGAATGCTTTTGCAGTTGGAGACATAACAGGCATGGAAGAAACAGAGATAGAAAAAAAAATCTAGACAGTGAAAATTTTATAAAACAGTACTACAGAGAGAAATTTTAAAAGACTAAATGTAAACTGGGCTTACAGGAGTTTAAATTCAGCATCACCAGCTTTGATGATGGAATAAATGAAAATACTGACCAGCCGTTCTCCATCCCTAATGGAGGCAAAGACGGAATGAGATTCAATTCAAGCAATACTGATTAGGTTAGGTACAAGGAACACTTTCTCCATAATAAGGACCAGGCTGGATTTTAAATACCTCATAACCATTGAAGATCCTCCTGTTACAGTTCAGAAAAGAGGGAAATGATTGACTTGGGTACACTTGGGAACCCAGAGCACTGTTATTCACTGTGGAGATCTGGATAGCACAAAAAGAAGTGTTTATAAATATTATTACTACACGTGTGCTCCATTTCTTCTAATTATATTGAAAACAGCTGCTATCAAGGAACAAACATTTGGGCCGTTCTGGGGCTGTAATTTTCAATTCCAGAATGCACCTATAAATATGACATTTAAACAGTGCTTTCAAAGGCTTAAATAAAATGTTTAAATTACAAGAGAGTTTTAACGTGTTTACAAGTTCTAAGGAATTTTTTTTAAAAAGAGAGAGTTTATTCGCCGCCGCATTTTTCTTCTCATTCTGGCATCACCTTTGACCCTGGTTATGTTCCCTCAAGACAGGACTTAAAACCCTGAATTATGGGGAGGCTCTCTCCCCACTCCAAATCTACACCTACACCCCTCCACTCCTGGAGCCCCATAGGTCTGCTAGGATTGAAATTTGCTTGCAATGATGTGCTGGTAAATCAAGTGGGCACCAGGGAGCTCAGATTTGTAGCATTTGCTGGTTTTCATAGTGTAAATATTCCCACCATGGCGATTTCAAGGACAGCTATGTTTAACAAACAGCTTGCAAAATTCCTGAAAACATCACAGCATGTTTTCATGAGCTTGTGTGGGGATATCTATCATATTACTGGCTAGAGAAATTTTGTGAATCCAATTCTCTGCCCCACGCAAGAAATATTCCAAACCTCTGAGCAGTCTTATATGAAAACAACCATAAAAATAAGAGCTGCCTCTTGCTAATCACTCTTTATGTGCCAAGATTTGCAGTTCTTTAGAATAACATTATTGATCCTGTATGAAGAACTTCATAGAGGCTTCATAAGGCTCCATAGAGGCTTCATAAGGCCATTACCGGTACGTCCAGGAACAAAGGCTTGGGGGCTAATAACCTGAGCAAGGTCACAGATATTGGAAGTTTATAGAAGCCAAATTCAAACCCAGGTCTATCTGACTCCAAATTCCAGGCTTCACCTCTACCCTATCCTGCTTTCTTTTCAGTGAATCCAGTTATCCTGACGGTCTTTCCAAATCTCCACTCATCTTTCTTCGGTACTCTCCTGCCGCTTTTCTTTACCTTCATTTTGGCCCCTCCTTATCTCTTATTCCTTACAAAGGAATTATTTGCCACTGGAAGGCAGGGCTGTGTCCCAGGCATCTTTATATACCAACAGTGCCCCATAACTGCTCTATTAATGTTCCTGCATAAATAAATCAGTTAATTAATGGATTCAAAAAGAATCCAGGTCAGCTTTATTCCTTTGTTTAGACTGCTCAGCATGTCACATTCCCTGGGCATCAAAGCCTCAGGATTAAAGATAGAGCTGGTAATAAGAAGATGCAGTGGAAACTCACACTGAAGTTTATGAGACACTACTACCACCTCCATTGGATTTAGATTTTGTTTTGTTTTGTTTTGTTTAAAAAAAAAACACAAGAGCTAAAAGACTTAAGTCAATATATCTCCAATTGACTGGTGACTTAGGTTTGTTGTTGCCTATATTTACATCTCACATAGTCTTTAAAATGCAAAAATTTTAAATGGTCATTTCATTGCTTTCCTGTCTCCTAAATGATTATCACCTCTCCAGACTGTAAGCTATAAGCAGTCACCCTGACTCCCAGCTCTTTGACCTATAAAGTAGACTCATAAAAATTACAGCCTGGAAAGCAACATCTGGAGCAGCCCATGGACAAGGCTGATAAATCATTTTATGCATTCATAAAAACTTAAGAGGGGTTTTGAATGAATAATAATAATCACACTTCAAAAGAATCTCAGCAAGCACTTTTTTAAATGAGGCACATTGGGGTTTTTAAGTAGCAGTGTCTAATAGAGTATTTCTAAGTGTTTGGCTTCTTTTCATAATGTGTAAATTAGTTAGGCAAGTCAACCTGCACTTTGAAGGCCTGTGACACATGTCAGATCCAAGAGATGTTAAATTTGATGTTGGTTAGATGTAGAAATCTAACTCATTTCACTTTTTCCAGAGATACTTGGGCTATAGGTGATCATTTCCTCTGCAGTATAAGCTCCAGGTCTCTATTTGATGACCCCAGTGCCTAAGGTAAGAGTTTTATGAGTATGCTAATTTTTGTGGCATACCACAGAATAACTACTAAATTAAACCAGGAGATACTCTTTCCACTTATACCATTCTTTCAGTATATGGCACAGAATTATTTTAGCAAGTGTCTTTCAAAAAGACAACTTTTTCTTTGCTTCTCCGAACAAATGAAAGTAACTTGCGCATTGAAGGCCCTCGGCAATATTGTCTGATTGACTTATTGAACTTTAGTTCTGGTAAAACAGCTTGTGGGAGAGATGGAGGTTCAGATTTTATTAGCTTAGAATATCTTTTCTGCCAACGGTGACTTGACTGTATCATCTTTAAATACAAAGGATAGTTCATTATTCTGTAGCTTAGAATTCATGTGGTATCTTGATGTTTCTTTTCTGCCCTCTTGGATATAGTA
This sequence comes from Homo sapiens, assembly GCF_000001405.40. NCBI lineage: Eukaryota > Metazoa > Chordata > Mammalia > Primates > Hominidae > Homo > Homo sapiens. The sequence continues at coordinate 112,404,212 of NC_000006.12, read as the reverse complement.
AAACATAATTCTTTCCTTTTAAGAAATTTGCAAAATTGTGGCTCTCTGACATAAGTATTCTTAGACAATACATATCACGTATCTCATTTCAAATAGCTGTGATTTAGATCCCTACCCAGTTTTCTACTCTTAAAATGAAGAACAATTTTGAATGTATAATGATATGCTATTCTTTTTTACAGTTCTTTATTCACTTTCCATCAATTTCATAGTCACAAAATGTCAGCATTTTTTCAAGTGTTAGAAAAATGTACAGAAGAAAAAAATCTGTAGGTGAGTTTCTTGTCCTTCCTAGAGTATTATTTATGAGGCATTTCATTTCCCCCCAAAATAAGAAACTGGAATTTTCCGTACTTCAACTGGATACAATCTAAGATGTTTTCTAAGTAGCAATGTCACACTTTACCATGATTGTAAATTCCATTTATAGTTTTTATAAAGTTAGATTTATACTCATGCAAACAAAACAGCTTAAAACCCACGATCAAGTAAGCTTCAACCCTGAATGCAAGGTTGGTTCAACATAAGCAAATAAATAAATCTGATTCATCAGATACAAAACTAAAGATGGAAACCACATGATTAACTCAATAGATCCAGAAAGGGCTTTCAATAAAATTTAACATCCCTTCATGTTAAAAACTCAATAAACTAGGTATTGAAGGAACAAACCTCAAAATAATAAGAGCCATCTGTAACAAACCCACAGTCAATATCATACTGAATGAGCAAAAGCTGGAAGCATTCCCCTTGAAAACCGGCACAAGACAAGGATGCCCTTTCTTACCATTCCTATTCAATGTATATTACTGAAATTTCTGCCCAGAGCAATCAGGCAAGAGAAATAAATACAGGGAATTCAAACAGGATGAGAAGGAGTCAAACTGTCACTGTTTGAAGATGACATGACCCTATACATAGAAAACCCCATTGTCTCAGCCCAAAACCTTCTTCAGAAGCAACTTCAGCAGTCTCAGAATACATAATCAATGTGCCAAAATCTCTAGCATTTCTATTCACCAACAACAGTCAAGCCAAGACCCAAATCACAAACAAAGTCCCATTCACAATTGCCACAAAAAGAATAAAATACCTAGGAATACAACTAAAAAGGGAAGTGAAAGATTTCTACAAGGAGAACTACAAACCACAGCTCAAAAAATCAGAGATGACACAACCAAATGGAAAAACATTCCATGCTTATGGATAGGAAGACTCAATATTGTTAAAATAGTCATACTGCCCAAAGAAATTTGTAAATTCAACACTATTTCCATTAAACTACCATTGACACTCTTCACAGAACTAGACAAAACTATTTTAAAATTCCTATGGAACCAAAAAGAGCTCAAATAGCCAAAACAATCCTAAGCAAAAAGAACAAAGCTGGAGGCATCATAATACCTGACTTCAAACTATACTACAGGCTACAGTAACCAAAACAGCATGGTTTTGGTTACTAAACAGACACACAAACAGACACGTAGATCAATGAAACAGATTAGAGAACCCAAAAATAAGATCGCACATCTACAACTATCTGATCTTCAACAAACCTGACGAAAACAAGCAATGGGGAAAGGATTCCCTATTCAATAAATGGTGCTGGGATAACTGGATAACTGGCTAGCTGTATGCAGAAGATTAAAATTGGACTCCTTCCTTACACCATATACAAAAATTAATGCGAGGTGGATTAAAGACTTAAATGTAAAATCCAAAACTACAAAAACCTTGGAAGACAACCAAAGCAATACCATTCAGGTCATGGGCATGGGAAAAGATTTCATGACTAAAGACACCAAAAGCAATCGCAACAAAAGGAAAAAGTTGACAAATGGGATCTAATTAAACTAAAGAGCTTCTGCACAGCAAAGGAAACTATCAACAGAGTAAACAACCTACAGAACAGGAGAAAATGTTTGCAAACTATGCATCTGACAAAGGTCTAATACCCAGTACTTATAAGGAACTTAAAAAAATTACAAGAAAAAAACAAACGACCTCATTAAAAAGTGAGCAAAGGACATGAACAGACACTTTTCAAATGAAGACATACATGTGGCCAACAAACATATTTAGAAAAAAAAAAGCTCAACATTGCTGATCATTAGAGAAACGCAAATCAAAACCACAAGATACCATCTCACATCATTCAGAATGGCTACTATTAAAAAGTCAAAAATAGGTTGTGGAGAAAAAAGAACACTTACACACTATTGGTGGGAGTGTAAATTAGTTAAACCATTGTGGGATAGTGTGGCGATTCTTCAGAGACCTAAAGTCATAAATACCATTTGACCCAGCAATTCTATTACTGGATATGTACCCAAAGGAATATAAATCATTCTATTATAAAAACACATGTACACATATGTTCATTGCAGCACTATTCACAATAGCAAAGACATGGAATCAACCCAAATGCCCATCAGTAGTAGACTGGATAAACAAAACATGGTACATGTATTCCATACACCATGGAATAATATGCAACCATAAAAATGAATGAGATCATGTCCTTTGCAGGGACATGGATGTAGCTGCAGGCCATTATCCTTAGCAAACTAACACAGGAACAGAAAACCAGGTACCACATGTTCTCACTTATAAGTGGAAGCTAAATGATAAGAACACATGGACACATAGAGGGGAACAACACACACTTGAGCCTATCAGAGGGTAGAGAATAGGATGAGGGAGAGGATCAGGAAAAATAACTAATGGATACTAGGCTTAATATCTTCATGACAAAATAATTGGTAAAACAAACCCCCATGATATATGTTTACCTATGTAACAAACCTGCACATCCTGCACATGTAGCCCTGAACTTAAAATAAAAACTGAAAAAAAAAAAAAAAAGATTGCAGATGGAATTAAGGTTGCTAATCAGCTGATCTTAAAATAGAGAGAGTATCCTGGATTATCTGAGGATGACGTAACCATGAGAGGCCTTAAAAGTGAAAAAGGGAGGCCAAGGAGGAGAGTCAGAGAAAGATGTGATTAAAAATAAAAAGTCAGAGAAATGCTAAATGGCTGGTTTTAGAGGAGGAAAAGATCACAAGTCCAGGAACACAGGTGGTCTCTCAAAGCTGGAAAAGGAAAGAAAATGGTTCTCTCCTAGGGTCTCCAGAAAGAAACACAGCCCTGCCAGGGCCTTGATTTTAGCCCAGTGAGACATGTGCTGGACTTCTGACCTCAAGAACTAATAAACTGTTGTTTTAAGTAACTGAACTTGTGATAATTTGTTGCTGAAGCCATGGAAAACTACTACAGTGCTAAATGAATAGAAAAAGCCCACCCTCCAAGGCATCAAGGAGAATTCAATTACAGCAGGGGCTGCTGAGACCAAATCACTAAACATAGCTGCTTACGATAAGTACAGAGATTGATAAAATGAGCCAGCTCTGGAGATTGGTTGCTCAACAATGTGATGTACTTAACACTACTGAACTTTACATTTAAAAACTGTTAAGACAGTAGATGTGATGTTATGTATATTTTGTCACAATTATAAAAACCCAAACAAACCAACAAAAATTAAAAAGTCAAGCTCAGAAAAGTTTCACATGCCCCTGAATACTACAGGTCTAGGGTTATTATTTCACAAAGGGAAAGTCTAAGTTACGCTAATAGAAGAAATATCCTTTCCTCATATAAGACCAGGCAGTCCTTTGGAGCAAAAACAAAAGCAAAACCAACAACATTGTTCTCTGTGGTTACATGTGTTTTCTTCTTTTATCTAAAGAAAAAAAAGGAGGGAGACACCTACAACCCCTGCTCCTGTACATTGAGGAGTCCAAACCACTACAGTTAGTCACCCCTTTGCCTTCAGAATCAGCAAACATGAAATGCAGAGAGGCATCATTTATTATCTGATCAAAGCCTGAATCTCTCTAGTCTTCAATTCACAAGACTAGACCAAAAGGACAGATCAAACACCTCCTGTGAAGACATGTGGAATTAGAGAATGAGGAAGGGGAGAGGATAGAAAGGTGGGAGGACTTTCACGGGCCCAAAGTCCAATATTTCCCTCCAACAGACTCAGTCACTTTGTCAAGTTTCAACCCATATCCTCTAGGTATAACTGAAGTCTCTGACTGTCTGTAAAAGAGTGTGAGAGAGCTCCAGTTAGATATGACTGTTTGGTTTCTGGAAGACTAGCTCCTCAGAACACAGGAGGGACTTGGATAAAGAACAGTAATGATAGAGACAGGAAGCAGACAAATGCCTAGGCAGATATGGATGGGTCCCAGCTGAAACCTAACCTTCAAGCTGAAGACAATTTAAAACCTAAGTCTCGGGTAAATCCACAGATTGGATTGAGAACCTGTCTTCCCATTTGGCAGTGCTTTCCTCTGATTGATCCTACCCTTCACCTATTTTACATATACCTACCCATTCCTAATTGGTTCTCTACACTGTCGTGCTCACCTTAGAGTGGTGTCTTCACTTTAACCTCTTTTGCCTACTCACAAACCAATCAGCCTGCACTCCCCATTCTGAGTCCATAAAAAGCCCTGGACCCAACCACACTGGGAGAGAAATCACCTGACTGGGTGTGGGGGACCCTCCCAGATGCCCTCTCCACTGAGAGCTGTTCCATCACTCAATAAAATTATCCTCCTTTGCCCATCCTCACCTTTCAATTATCAGAGTATCCTCATTCTTCTTGGACTCGAGACAAGAGCTCAGGAACCACAGAATGCAGATACAAGCTATAGCACAAGTGGGATGAGTGGGTGGGGCACCTCCAGTGGCAGGCTGGGGGCTGAGCAAGGCCCTGGCAGAGGGGTGTTACTGGCTATGGAGGTCCCTGGTTGGCAAAGTGGCCAAGAAAACTCCTGCATCAGTAACATCTCTCTGGTCATTGTGTGGGCTCCAGGAAAAAAATGAGCTTAGAGGTGTGTTTCAGTAAAAGTCTTTTTATTTTTATATGCATGTTAATATATATGTTATATATATATAAGTAGGTAACATATGTGTAAAGAGAGAGAGAGATTTTAAGGAACTGGCTCACTTGACAATGGGAGCTGGCAAGTGTGTAGGGCAGGACAGCTGGCTGGAAACTAAGGTGGAATTTCTATGGAAAACTTCTTGAGGCTTTGAATTGATTGAATGAGGCCTACCGCATTATGGAGAATAATCTCCTTTATTGAAAGTAAACTGATTGTAAATGTTAATCATATCAGACAAAACACCTTCATGGCAACCCCTAAATTAGTGTTTGAAGAAACAACCGAGCACCATAGCCTACCAAGTTGACACCTATAATTAACCATCTCAAGGAGCCTCAGTTCCCTGTGCTTTTCCCGCCTTGGGGATTGCAAAGCACAGTTGCAACAGCAGAGGGACTCACAAGCAGCGGTGATAGAAATGAACCCACGAGCTAAAGGCCAGGGACGAGTATGACCCTGGTTGCCCCTGTCCCCTGGCGTATTTCAGAAAGGACCATATTCTGAGACAGAGTTTGTATGTCCCCTGGTTATTCTCACCAAAAGCAATTTTTCATGAGTATGTGGTGTTTTGCCAAGAAAATTAGAAGATGTCCTGCTTCTTCAACTTTCCCACAATAAAATGAAATGTGATATCTTCTTTTCATTGCGCATTTTGACTTCTTCTGATTGTAAAAGTAATATATGCTCATTTTGGAATATTTGGAAACTTCTGAAAAGTAGAGAGAAAATTAAAATCACCCTCATAATCCTTCTATTCAAAGACAACAATTGCTGACATTTAATGTATTTTCTTCTTCTCAGATAATTCTTTTTCATTGTATTATCTAACATATCCACAAAAATATTTTTTCCAAGAAAAAATATTGTTAGTAAGGCCAGGTGCAGTGGCTCATGCCTGTAATCCCAGCACTTTGGGAGGCTGAGGCGGGTAGATCACGAGGTCAGGAGATCGAGACCATCCTGGCTAACAGGGTGAAGCCCCATCTCTACTAAAAATACAAAAAAACTAGCTGGACGTGTTGGCGGGCACCAGTAGTCCCAATGAGATCTGGCCTTGCAAATCTTGCAACCAGCCACATATCCTACCACATACCCAAGGGAACCTGAGATCTAGTCACACTAGGTTACATAATCTGTCTTACCTCCATACAGGCACTCTTTATCTTCCATCTGTCTCAAACAAAAGCCCTCAACTTTTACTCTGCTAAGTTACATTTTCAAACAGTAGAAATACTATCCAAAAAGACAGTAGGCAATTTCTAAGAGTGGGACAGGGAGAAATAGTCAACCAGATTATACTTCCTTGGTTTAAAAAATAGAACAAATGCTAGTTTTAAAAAGAAAATTATAATGACTAGGGATTTTCCATTTTTATATGAAACCTATGGTTATGAAGTAAAACCTTCAAGAAATATGGCTAAACAATAACATCAGTTATCCAGCCATCTTTACCAGCTAGAGTCTGCCAGGTGTTTTGCATGCATCATTGTTCATGTTCATGACACTGAAGCCTTGCACTGTATTAGCCATTTTACAAAGAAAGAAACTGAAATTCAAAGAAGTTAAGTAACTTGTTCATTATAGATACAAGGGGCAAAACTGAGATTTGACCCCATGTTGACCAACTCCAAAGCCTATGCTCTTAAAATTTCTTTTACCTAATTCATTGGCATCAGAGCTTTGGCCAAGAAAAAACAAATGGCCAATTGTGATTTGGTCATAACTATGCCAGAACATATTTTGTCAAATTTGAAAATGTTTATTCAATTATGACAGATCAGAGAGTTTTCTCTTTTGAGGATCACCCACCATGAAGCAGTACTACACAAACAGAACTCACTTAACATGAAGAAGAAAAGGTTATGGAAAGATGAATATGCTTTCTGATGATAAAATTCATAGTATCAAAAATGAAATTAAAAGGTGAGAGCTGGATTCATAGTACTTACAATTTATTAAAACTAGTAAACCCATCAGGGAAATATATAGCCTCATATGAATTACGTGTGTGTTATACCATTCTTCTGAAAAAGTTAAGGACTGAGCAAAAAGTCCTTGAAAACAAGGTTGCCTTCATCCAAAAGTGGCTAAAACTGAAACTGTGGTCTGTTTAGCTGTACCAAAAAAAATTACATAAGGACAGCAAAATGAATAGAAAAACAAATAATCCATTTTTTTTCAATAAGCAGTAGAAAATAAATGAGACAATAAAGTCCTTTCTTGAAGACGAATGAGGCAAAATATTTTGAACTTATAAATTGTTATTAATTTTGCCTGCCCAGCCCCTCTTCATGCTGTAGACTCTACTGAGAGCACCACAGAAGGATGGGATTTTTTTTTATTCATTCATTCATGCAATAAATACTTATTGAATAGCTACTATATGTCAGATGCTACGATAATCACTAGGAAAGCTGAGATAAATACAACAAAGAACTTGACCTCATCTCGCTTATATTCTAGTAGGAGAAATAGACAATAGCTATTTAAGCAAATAAATAAATAGTAATAAGTGTTATGAATTAAAATAAGAAAGGAGAATGAGGTTGGGAAAGGAAAAGTTTATCTAAGGTAGTTGAAGAAGGCCACCTTGAGGAATAATATTTGAACAGGGACCTGAATAACAAAAAAAAGAAGCTGATGGGAGAAGACAAGTGTTCCAGGAAAAGAGAAAAGCAAAAGTAAACCATAGATGGAGGAAAAGTTTATGCCTAAGTAAAATCCAGATTACTCTGCCTGGGTGGAAAGAAGTTAGAGAAAGAGAGGAGATTACATCATAGAAAGGGTTGGCATCCAATCAGGGACTTTTATGATTTGGAATCTGGAATGTTTATTTTTAGTGAGACTGAAAGCTAATAGGCAGCTGCCAGCAGTGGAGTGACAGGATAGAGAAACAACTGTAGAGGAGCAAGAGATGATGGTGACTCAGACCAAAGTGGAAGCAGTGGAGGTGAGGAGAGCTGGTCAAATTCCAGGTATATATTCAAAGTAGGGCCATTTGTGGTGATGCAGCTATATGGAATCAAAAGAAAATCGAAGACAACTCCGGGGTTTTCTTTTAATCTAAGCAGAAATTAGACCCCATTTGTCACTCCATACAAAAATCAACTCAAAATGGATCAAAGACCTAAATGTAAGACCAGGAACTATGAAATAATTAAAAAGAAAACATAGGGAAAGTGTTTTAGGACATTGGTCTGGGAAGAGATTTTTATGAATAAGACCTCAAAAGCACAGGCTACAAAAGCAAAACAAACAGAAAGAAATGAGATTATATAAAACTACAAAACATCTGCACATCAAAGAAAACAACCAACAAAGTGAAAAGACAACCTACGGAATGGAAGCAAATATTTGCAAACTATTCATTCAACAGGGGATTAACATCCAGAATATACAAGGAACTCAAACATCTCAACAGCAAAAAAAACAAAAAATCCAATTAAAACATGGACAAATGGTCTGAACAGACGTTTCTCAAAAGAAGACATACAAATGGCCAACAGATATCATTTCACCCTAGTTAGGATGGTTATTATCAAAAAGACAAACAATAACAAATGCTGGTAAGGATGTGGATAAAAGGGAACTCATACACTGTTGGTGGGAATGTAAGCTAGTACAACCAATATCAAGAACGGTATAGAGGTTCTTCAAAAAAACTACCAATAGAACTAGCATATGATCCAGCAATCCTACTGCAGGGTATATATATCTAAAGAAAAGGAAATTAGTATATCAAAGAGATATCTGTACCTCCATGTTTATCGCAGCCCTATTCACAATAGCCAAGCTATGGAATCAACTTAGGTGTCCAACAAGAGATGAATGGATAAAGAAAATGCTGTGTATATGCACAATGGAATACCATTCAGCCATAAAAAATTAATAAATACTGTCATTCACAGCAATATGGATGGAGCTAGGTGACATTATGCTAAGTGAAATTAACCACAAAAGGAAAGTTAAACACTGCATATTCTCACTCATATGTAGATGCTGAAAACAGCTGTTAAAAGTAGAACAGAGGATAGCAGATACTGAAAAGAGTAGAGAAAATGGGGGAATAGGGAGAGATTTGTTAAAGGATACAAAATTACAACTAAATAGGAGAAATAATTGCTACTGTTCTATACCACTGTAGGATGACTATAGTTATTGAATGTTCTCAACAAAAAGAATTAATATGCTAATTACCCCCATCTGATCACTATACATTGTATGTATCAAAACAGCACTATGTACTACATAAATATGTACAATTATTGAATGTCAATTTTTAAAAATTAAATTAAGCTTTAGAAAAAGTACTTGGTGATACCACTTCACACTAAGAAGGCTCTTTTCTAAAAAGCAGTGGGAAGTAACAAGTGCTAGTAAGTATATGGAGAAATTAGAACTCTCATACATTGCTAATGGGAATGTAGAATGGTACTGTTACTTTGAAAAGCAGTTCAGCAGTTCCTCAATAAGTTAAAAACAAAACTACCATATGACCTTGCAACTCTACACCTAGGTATATACCTGAAAGAACTTAAAACAGGTGTTCAAACAGGAACTTGTACATGAATGTTTATAGCAGCATTATTCACAGGAACCAAAAGGTGGAAATAATCCAAACATCCACAAAACAATAAATGGCCAAACAAAATATCCATACAATGGAATATTATTTAGTTATAAAAAAGAAATGAAGTACTGACACATGCTCCATAGATGAACCTGTAAACATTATGTGAAGTGAAAGAAACCAGACACAGAAGTTCATGTCGTATGATTCCATTTATATAAAATGTCCAGAATAGGCAAATACACAGAGAAGGAAAAGATTAGTGATTGCCAGTGACTTGGGGAAGGGAAAAATGAGGAGTCATTGATTAATGGGTATGGGGTTTCCATTTGTGGTGATGAAAATGCTCTAAAACTAGATAGTGGTAATGTTTGTACAACAATTGTGAATGCATTAAATGTCAATGAATTATACACTTTAAAAAGGCTAAAAAGATGAGTTTTACCTTATATAAATGTTACCACAATTTTTAAAAAACCATTTGTCGTCAAAACAAAAACAAACCAAAAGAAACGTTCTGCTCAACAGGAATCATGGTAATTGTCTTGCGCAAAGTATCTTCCTTTAATATGGCAGAAATATTAGTGTGAAAGACAGAGGACTCTGAAAAGCAGGAGCAGGAAATTTAAGAAAAACAGCAAAAGCAGACATGAAGCTGAAGAACCACAGAGGAGCCAAATTACAAGTAAGCAGAAACTTTGAGTCAACAAAAAGTATACCATAGAGTAAATCTGTGAGTAGAGGATGATAGTTAAGCAGAAGTCACAAAATCAGAGGGAACCCAGCAGAGAATTGAAGGCCTGAGCAGGCCCCATAAAGCCTGGTTCCACAGAGAAGCCTTGAATCTTGAATGACTCTTCCTTCTAGTGTAGCCTCTAAATTGTGTCTGTAAGCATGGCCCCTGTTCCTTTGGAATGACCTAGCTCTTCACAGACTTTGTAAAACCCCATCTCCATTACTGCCACATCAGTAACTTAATAATAAATCCCCATTATTTGAGATACCATCATGGTCTTACAGCCAAATATCCTGAATATTCACTCACTCTATTTTTCAATGGCTTTCACTTTGCCATCAACAATTAATCAGCAACTGCAATTAATAGGATAATTAATTGCAACTGCAACTGCAATTGTAGGATAATTTTCTATTTTGTGGGGTTTGGAAGCACAGAAATGAAGGAAAGGTTTATAAGAGGAGGGAAATAATGGTAAGGAGCCTGACTGATGAGGCTCCAGGGTTTGGGGTTGCAGGGGTCTCATGGTCTTTATTTTCACAGCCAATTAATGCCTAGATGTTGGTGCAAGTTGCCCCAAACAGCGAGAGAGTAGTCCAGGTTTTAAGCGGATCCCGTGTTCCCAAACTAGAGTTCTGACAACCAATGAGACAGCAACAATCATCCTGATATCTTTCAGACCAGCAGATTTGCTTGGAATCCCAGCTTACATAAATCAGTGATCGTTTTCTCAATCTATTTCCATTGGCATTATGAGTAAAAGTCTTCACAGATTTACTCTTCACAGAGTCTAGCAGTAAATTGCTTGACAGTTCTAGTTTTCTGTGTGGTGAAATTAAATATTTTATTAAAATGTTTTTGTATAGATTCACATGTGAACTATGCAAGTCTCTTTCTCTGCTTCTTTGTTCCTTATTTTTTCTTCCTTCTTCTCTTTCTTTCTTTCCTTGGATTGGGTAGAGTAGGGTGGGTTGCAGGTAGTGAAGGCAGCAGACAGTCAAATGAGTCTTAATATTTAGTGTTTATAATAATCCCGTCACTTGGCAGAAGATGAGCTGTAGATCTCTTCATTCTTATTACAGGCAGTACCTGAAACACATTCATCACAGTCAAAAGGAAGTGAAGAGACACAGAAGGGAAGCAAGATACTGAGATGCTGCCAAGTATCCCAGAGTCCATGATGGAGTAGAGATGAAACAATAGACCCAGGTCATTCCTCTGCTGGAGGTTCTGAGGCAAGCAGTAGTGCTCTGCAGATGAACATTCATGACAACTTGCCTTTCAACTGGAGGTGTGTGACAGCCAGAAAAATACCATCGAGGTAAAGCTTTTTTCTCCTAGAGGAGCAACTGACTCACCGCAGCATGTTGTTATGTGGACCTCGAGTCTGTGGACTAGTGACCTTCACCTCCTTCAGTGTGTGGGTCTGTCCAGGGCTTCCATCCCTCCAGTAAGAACCCTAACCCACATTCCTGCATTTGATAACTTTGAGTTAAATCAAGAAAAGCTTGGAAATTTGGACATAGTTGTTTATAAGTCACTCATATTATCTATTAAAGTCTAAAAATGTTGTAGTCCCTGAATTTAGTAGAACAATGTCTGTAGTGAGAGCAAAAATCTTTCAGGGAAAGCTTACTCCTCCTGATCTTCACTCCACATACTTCACTGATATTGGACAACTAACCCTTTAAAAAGGTTTTGCTTGGGCTCCTTCAAAGCCATGAAAAGTACCAAGGTATATCAAAGTTCACTATCCTTTCCATATCTTCCATAATCCCAGTCACCCTTTCTATCAGACACAAAGTGGGGACATAGGCAGTGCCTTAAAGCATCCTATCATCTACACCTAATTTGGGGCACATATCTGATAATACTGACTCCTAAACCTTGATTCTGAAAACCACCATCTCTCTATTAAATGATCAAGAACATCCCACACACAACACCGGGCAATGATACATCTTCATGTATTTCCTGAATCTAGGTTAATTAATCTACACGCAGCTTCATTTGGCCTAGTTTCTTCCACACCTTTACAACCCTGGTATTCATAAGGACTCTGAGAAACAGTTATAAATAATTCTTAAATATAGACTGTCAAATTATCTTTTTACCAGCCACTTTCTCTGGAATGCTCCCTCTACAGTCTGGTGTAGTATGACTTTATTTGAAGTCTACCAGCTTTAACAGAGCTCATATCCCACTGATGAAGGCAAAATATATGACTCCTAGCTCATAGCATCTCTTTTAATCTTCCTTTCTGTTCCCTGGGCACTGTGACGCTGCTAAAGTTAAAGCTGCAACGGAAACAGGAGATACATCCTCATACATTTCTGTCCTCACACTCACCTTCTGTCTCATCCCTGAATGTTTCAAATTTCAAAGATTTTAATGTGAGTTGAAATGAATAAGGCTCTAATGACTCTATCATCCACATTTATGTTAGACAAATATACAATGTAATCTACATGAATACGCATGCATTCTTAATGCATTACCCTAAAGAGAATATCACAAAAGAGGAATTTTAAAATAATGTACCTAAATTCACAGCTATCTATCACACTTTACACATAGGTGAAATTATCTGAAATCACCGTGCATGTATATTTGGGGTCAGAGAGTTTCTGAAATTTTGAAGCAGAGAAAATTATAACAGTAGGGAATACTTCTGACTAGTCTCCATTAATGTTTTTGAAAACTTGCACTTACCAAAATATGTTTTCTTGCTTTTCAAAGTCAAGCATTAATTCTTAGGAGACTTTTAACAATTAAAAAAGATGTGTTTTAAATTTTGAATATTCAGAGGCTAATCTACTTACTATCATTATCAGCAATAAATCAGGTCTATGATATCTGCACTGATACACAAAGTAAATAATTCAATTTCCTCATCTTCAAATTGCAGGGAAGGATAACTCAGTATTAAATTATAAGACTTGAATTGTTTGCACTTGCTTGAACAAGCTCAAATGCAAATTGTAATTCTTACACGTATTTTTAAACAATCAGAATGTAAAAATCACTGTGTGACAGCAAACCAACTGAAGAAATTCAAATTCAAGTTTGTGTCAATTCCTTTGCAAGGTATCAATAACTAGCTCTGACAAACTGTATGCGCTGAGGCAAGATGCAAATCTTCTATTTCAATTTATGTAATTTTATTAAATCATTCATATGCATACACCAATCATATTGTCAGAAATCACTTTAGTGACTGACTTAATGGCTATCTATCATGTTTTAAAGTGATTCTAATTCTAGGTTGGACATTTCACTACCATCAATATCCAAAATATTTACTGAGGTCTATTATGTTAAAAGTATTTTTCAATCCAGCATCCTTAACTCTGTTGCTCATAGTTCTGGTTGTCAATACCACAAGAAAGTTTTCCTGTTGAATGAATTGAAGTCAGTAAGTGCTCTCAGACTTCCTTTTTTTAAAGTGAACTATCAGTTTTGTTGCTATAAGCTGGTGTTTTCAGAGTAAAAGAGTGAAGGGTTTGAAATGACAAAAAGGTTTCCTTTGCCTCTCATAGCTACACTTTAAGTTGATGTGTATAAGGAACATAGCATTACCTGTATTTTGAACTTAGAGAAAAAAAAATGCTCCACAACTTTTTTGAGGACATGCCACTGTCACCACAGCTTCCCTATCTAAATGATTCCCTTGGGAGATAACCCAGTCTTACCTGACCCCATGCTATGGCCTCAGTTGATTGGCTCAGGAATAGACACTTCATTCAAGCTGTGCCAAGTAAAGCCCTTCCCAGGGATATCTTTGGACTGAAACTGAAAAAGTAGAACGTCTTTTGTTTTGGTGGAAGATATAGTATCGAAAACTCATGAACTTCTTGTGGCTTATATTCAGCCCTCTGTCGTGCAAACTAGAAATGATGATGGCGATATACAGAATAGCAAAGATGAGACAGGTTATGTCCTGCTGTCATTGAGGTTCCTGGTCACGACTGCTTATGAGAACCAGATGCTTCTCAGCTTTACTGTTGAATTCTTCTATGGATTCTGACAGATAATTTTTAGTTTGACTATGGTTAGTTAGAACCCAAAGAATCCAGGCTGATATTTTTAAGTTATTATCCAGAAAAAGGTTTTCACAAGGATAGAACCTAAAATTTTGATGTGGCTGAATCCAAATAAAATGTAAATAAGTATATTTTTGAAGGTTGAGGTTTGGAATCCAAGAATTCCATATGAACACTTTTATTACTATGTACACTTTTTGAAGGTGGTAAAGCAGTTGGTTAAACTACTGCCTGTCAGCTCTTGGGTTCAGATCAAGTAATCACGGAGACTTGAGCCTTAGGGAGATTGATAGGAAAATGCTGCCATGACTATCATAGGGTGTTGGCCACTTCCTTCAGCATTCACAAAAATAAAGTATGGGAGAGACAAGCTGACTCACTGAAAACTGACAGAGAACAAAAAAGCATGTGGGATAGCTTTGTTATAAGACAATATTGACTCCATAACATGAAATTTCTGGAGATCAGATAATAATACAATTTGATGAATTGCAGCAAACTCTTTCTCACCCTGAAGTGTTTAGCTGACAGGCAGAATATTAGCTCCTAGAAATTGGAATAGGTGTATTCCAGAGGATCTAGAGTTATTAGTAGTCACTGATTCCTCACCTTTCCCAGAAAAAGGTGATAAAGCTTCCCATTAAAACAATGTATTTGGGTTCTTGTTAAACATGACAAATTAATCCTAGGTGCCTACTTCTTTGAGCACCACCCAAGTGATTACTAAGAGAAATAAAAATATATAAACCTAAAGCCAAAAAGAATGAGATAGAAGACAACTGCAAAGAAAATATATTAATAAAATTTTCAAAGGTAGAAAGAGGAAAGAGCAGTAGTAACTAACTGACTAAACAGAGTTGAGAAATATTTAACTTAAGTGCTTATAGAGGTAAGATACTAACAGGAAATGAGCTAACATATCCCACCCATGAAAGGCTCAGGGTTGAAGATACCAGATAAGTGTTAAATGTAGTTAAACACATTTCAATTGATGGATTTATTGACAATTTATTTAAATAAAGAGTAGCTAGAAGTCCTATCTCTCCTTCTCAAAGAGAATAAATAACCACCCCTTCAACAATTTTCCAAAAGAAAATAAAATATTTTTTCTCTGAAGAAACCTAACCAGAGAGGGTCCAGACTAAAGGATGCACAACATCCTTTAGTGTTGGCAAAGTATGAGACAAAAATGGGGATTAATGAAAATGCACATATTGAACTATTGGATGCCAAGAACTTTCATTGCTCCCAGAATTCTTCTCTGGAGAAACTGAACAGCTCTAGATGAAAGATATCTATGTACTGATTTTCAGCATCCTGCCAAAAAAAAAAAGAGAAGGTTTATCATGTTCACATCATACAGTGAACTCCATCAGAAAAACATTCTGGTGCTTGATACACACATTTACAATTTACAATCAACTTTTTAGTGACTCTTAATTATGAACAGCCAGAGATCACCAGACATTTGAGAAAATCTTCCAGTGTCAAGATGGGCACCAAATTAAACAAAAGGGATGCAAAGGAAGGAGACAAACCAGAAAATCTTTTTTTTATCCTGTAACTAATAACCTCAGAGAGTTAAAGAATGCAGCAAATGCTTATGGAGCTCTTGTTACAGGTCAAGCAGTGTTCTAAGTGCTTTAAGTGTATTCATTCATTGAATAATCACAACAGTCCTATGATGAAGGCCTTATCCTATTTTACAGATGAGAAAATTTAGTAATTTGTCTGAGTTTGCACAGCCATTAAATGACAGAGCTGGGATTTGAACGTAGGTGGTCTGACTGCAGGTCTACCTCTTAACCACACACTACAATGCAATAACATAAGAAACTACTGCGTGTCAATAAAACAAGTTTCACCAATCAGAATAAGATAGAGCTCTTATAGATAGAAAAAAGGTAATCATTCTTTAAAATATAGTAGAAGAATCAAAAGATAATTCCAACAAATCTCCCAGGAAGCTGAATAAAAATACAAACAGAAAATTTTAAAAGATAATAAAATTAAAGACTCAGTATATGAAGCACAGAATATCCTAAAAACCTGCAGAAAGCAAACAGAAGCCCATGTATAAAGGAATGGAAATTTAAATAGCACCACTTTTCTTTTTTTTAATTATTTTTTAAGTTTCGGGGTACATGTGCAGGAAGTGCAGGTTTGTTACATAGGTAAATGTGTGCCATGGTGGTTTGCTGCACCTGTCAACCCATCACCTAGGTATTAAGCCAAGCATGCATCAACTCTTTTCCCTAATGCTCTCCTCACACTGCCCTTCCCGAACAGGCCCCAGTAAGTGTTGTTCCTCTCCCTGTGTTCATGTGTTCTTTGTTCAGCTCCCACTTATAAGTGAGAACATGTGGTGTTTGATTTTCTGTTCCTGCGTTAGTTTGCTGAAGATAATGGCTTCCAGCTTCATTCATGTCCCTGCAAAGGACATGATCTCATTCCTTTTTATGGCTGCATAGTATTCCATGGTGTATATGTACCACATTTTCTTTATCCAGCCTATCATTGATGGGCATTTGGGTTGATTCCATCTCTTTGCTATTATGAATAGTGCTACAATGAACATCCATGTGCATGTATCTTTATCATAGAATGATTTATATTCTTTTGTGTATATACCTAGTAATGGGATTGCTGGGTCAAATAGTATTTCCAGTTCTAAATCTTTGAGGAATCACCACACTGTCTTCCACAATTTACATTCCCACCAACAGTGTAAAAGCATTCCTATTTCTCCACAACCTCACCAGCATCTGTTGTTTCTTGACTTTTTAATAATCGCCATTCTAACTGGTGTGAGATGGTATCTCATTGTGATTTTGATTTGCATTTCTCCTGTGATCAGTGATGTTGAGCTATTTTTCATATGTTTGTTGGCCGCATGTATGTCTTTTTTAGAGAAGTGTCTGCTGCTCATATCCTTTGCCCACTTTTTAATGGGGTTTTTTTATTATTGTAAATTTGCTTAGGTTCCTTGTAGATTCTGGATATTAGACTTTTGTCAGATGAATAGATTGCAAAAATCTTCTCCCATTCTGTAGGTTGCCTGTTTGCTCTGATGATAGTTTCATTTGCTGTGCAGAAGCTCTTTAGCTTAATTAGATCCCATTTGTCAATTTTTGCTTTTGTTGCAATTGCTTTTGGCAATTTCATCATAAAGTTTTTGCCCATGTCTATGTCCTGAATGGTATTGCCTAGATTTTCTTCTAAGGTTTTTATAGCTTTGGATTTTACATTTACATCTTTAATCCATCTTGAGTTAATTTTTGTGTGAGGTGTAAGGAAGGGATCCAGTTTCAATTTTCTGCATATGGCTAGCCAATTCTCCCAGCACTATTTATTAAACAGGGAATCTTTCCCCATTGGTTGTTTTTGTCAGGTTTGTCAAAGATCAGATAACAGTACATTTCTGGATTATTTCTGAGTTCTCTATTCTGGTCCTTTGGTCTACATGCCTGTTTTTGTAGCAGTACCATGCTGTTTTGGTTACTGTGTCCTTGTAGTATAGTTTGAAGTCAGGTAGTGTGATGCCTCCAGCTTTATTCTTTTTGCTTTGGATAGTCTTAGCTATGCAGGCTCTTTTTTGGTTCCATATGAATTTTAAAATAGTTTTTTTCTAATTCTGTGAAGAATGTCCATGGTAGCTTAAAGGGAATAGCATTGAATCTATAAATTGCTTTGGACAATATGGCCATTTTCATGATATTCATTCTTCCTATCCATAAGCATGGAATGCTTTTCCATCTGCTTGTGTCCTCTCTGATTTCCTTGAGCCATGGTTTGTAATTCTCCCTCAAAAGGTCCTTCCCTTCTCTTGTTAGCTGTATTCCTAGGTATTTTATTCTATTTGTAGCAATCATGAATGGGAGTTCATTCATGATTTAGCTCTCTACTTGTCTATTTTTGGTGTATAGGAATGCTTATGATTTTTGCACATTGATTTTGTATCCTGAGGCTTTGCTAAAGTTGTTTATCAGCTTAAGAAGCTTTTGGACTGAGACAATGGGGTTTTCTAGATATAGAATTATGTGATCTGCAAACAAAGCCAATTTGATGTCCTCTCTTCCTATTTGAATACCCTATATTTCTTTCTCTTGCCTGATTGCCCTGGCCAGAACTTCCAACACTGTATTGAATAAGACTGGTGAGAGAGGGAATCCTTGTCTTGTGCCAGTTTTCAAGGGGAATGCCTCCAGCACTTGCCCATTCAGTATGATACGAGCTGTGGGTTTGTCATAAATGGCTCTTATTATTTTAATGTATGTTCCTTCAGTACCTAGTTTATTGAGAGTTTTTAACATGAATGGGTGTTGAATTTTATCAAAGGCCTTTTCTTTGTCTATTGAGATAATATCTAGTTTTTGTCTTTGGTTCTGTTTATGTGATGAATTACGTTTATTGATTTGTGTATGTTGAACCAGCCTTGCATCCCAGGGATGAAGTCAACTTGAACATGGTGGATAAACTTTTTGATGTGCTGCTGGATTCGGTTTGCCAGTATTTTATTGAGGATTTTCACATTGATGTTCATCAGGGATACTGGCCTGAAGTTTTCTTTTTTTGTTGTATCTCTGCCAGGCTTTGGTATCAGGAAGATAATAACACCACTTTTCATGAGCAACACTGAATGCTAGAGCACAGAGCAGGAGTACCGTTCAACTTCTGAGTGAAAATTACTTTTAACCCAGCATTCTGACTCATCAGTGAAAAAGTTTGTATATTCATAATAATGCAACAAAAATATTAACCAAAATTTGAGTTATGACTGTATTGGTTGGCAGAAGAAGATAAAAGGATGTCTTGTAAGAGTCAATGCCTCAGCTGCGATAAAAAAGTTACAAATAAAGTCTAAATCAGCTAAATAAATCAAGAAGGAGCCCAACAAGTAACTTTTGTAAATAGACAAATGTAAATCCCAAAAGAAAAGGCTAAGAGTTGAAAGTAGTTACCTCTAGAAGTGGAATTAAAGTTGGAGAGAGATAGGAAGGGAAAAGTCTTCTTAATATGAGCTTTTTGGTAATTCTTTGATTTGAAAACTGTGTGCTGACATTACTTTGATGAAGAAACAACTCGATAAAAACAAAAATTAAATTTTGTGAGTTGCATTCAACTAGGACTCTGAGTGACAACAATCTAAGGTATTCTATTCTCCCCACCACAGCCTGTGGTTTTCTTTCCCTGTTCTGTGAATGGCACAGCCCACAAGCTTAGTATTAAGAAAGGGAAACTCTAAGTTCAGAATAAAGATTCAAAGGCTTGGCTGAACATGATTTTTAGATAACTGAATCTCCCAAAATCAAGGTGACAAGGGACTCATTAGGCTATTAAGCTGCATTGCCATCGGGGGAATACAATAACAAGTAAGTCTGTGATTGTTCAACAACTCAGGCCATGCCCAGGTTTAAGTAGCCTCACCAGTGAGAAGGAAAAGTTTAGGCAACACAGAAGACTCAGCAAAAGAATTGTCCTTCATGTTCCTCTCAAAGTGATGCGTAGGATACTAGAAAATGAATGTGTGCTGGTAAGTGGACCACAGGGAGGCTGCAGGCTGAGAAATTCAAAGATGCCCATGAGATTCTTAGGTCCTCCCATGTATCTCAGTGGTCTTCAAATTATTTTACATCTGTAGAATTTTGAAAAATTATGTACCTCTCACATACTGGCATTTAATATGTTTCATCAGAAATTTAAATTGTTGCAAATAACATAATCCCTGGTATATTATAAATATTGAAACCAAAATAAAGACATTGTTGTCTAGTGTTTTCATCATCATAAATGTAAACAGTTAGAAGTAATTTAGTTGTTGGCCTATTTCAAGTATTGACCTTTTAATATCTTAAAATAAAACTGTTATATTACTCTTTTAAGTGTATCCAATGGAATGAAAAAACCATCAGGATTTTACATCTATCATCAGCCACTTAAAAAATACATGAACATGTCCATCTTGAACAGTCAAAATTTTTATGCGCATTTTCTCCTTTATTTCATATTTCCAATCTACTTCTTCACATACTTTTTACTACTGAAATCTAATTTATGCTTTAATATATTTATAGGTTTTTTTGGTCACACATTATATTTCTCTGTAGCCAAATTTCATATGTAGGTTAAAACATTAAAACATATTTTAATTTTATGATTATATGTTTCCAAGCATTAAAATAAATCTTAATGACATTTGTTGTTAATAAAACTCAATTGGTTAAAATAATCCAATTGCACAATTCTGATAAACAATTATTAAACATAAAAATAAATGTAATGAATGTATATACTTAGGTGCTAGAATAAAACAGATCATTTAAATGTACAACCAGGGCTAATAACCAGTGTTTATAGAAGAGCCTAAGGAGTCAACTTCTAGGTGTTACAAAGGGCCCATCCAGCTGCAGCCATGCTTCTCAAAGTGTAATTGCAGATGAAAATGCAGATTCTGACCTGACATGGTAGGTGTGGGGCCTGAGGTTCTGTGTTCCTGGCAAGCTGCCAGGTGATTGATGCTGATGTTACTGGTCTAGGGGTCATACTTTCAGTAACAAGAAGAAGTAGCAGTGAAGTAGTGGTTCTTAACATAATCTACACTTTGGAATCCCCTGGGAATCTTTAACATGTCCCACCCACTTCCAGACATTTTGACAACTGATCTCACAGTTTGGACTGTGGCCTGGGCACAAGGGCAGATCATCGTGTAGTGTAGGAATTCACCACTGAGGTGAAGGAGCTAGTGCTAAATGCATTGTGAATGTTTCCTCGTGGGCCTCCTTTTGACTGAGCCTCATGCCCTGGAAGGCCTGCTACTCTAAAGACAAATAGTGTAAATCTCGAGGTGCTATCTGAACAAATTGACTGTTGCAGGCAAGGCTGGTTCCATGGCTTTATAACCAGTGCAATTGTACAGGAAGCCATGTGCAGAAGAGCCCTGCACTTGGTTTCATGCTCTAGCTGTCACCGTCTTTGGATTCTTAATGATACTATCTTTGAACTTTTTTGTAAGTGAAGTCTGAAAACACAATGAAGCACGAGCAGAGGAGCTGCACACAGTCTGCATTTAGGGCATGCCTTGCTGCCCTATTTGCATATAGCATTCAAGAGTCCCATGAGTGTAAAGTTCCAGTGGACCAGCAATGCATGGGAGTCCAGCAACACTCAAAGTGCAGGATGAATGTGTTATATCCACGACTGAGTAAATGGGACATTGATAGCCACATTTTCCCTTCAACCCAGATCTCAGAAAGGAGGCAATGATGTTCTAGAACATTCATGACTAAGAAACTATCATATTCTTTCTTACTTGTATCACTTTCCTGTATTATTCAAGGACTTACACCGAAAGTGATGATACAGAAGGAAAGGAAAAGAAAGAGAAAGACAGGGTAACCCATATTGTACACATATCAAGAAGTAAAATAAAAACATTTGGGTTATTTTCAGCAGGTTTTCCACTATGCTGGGAAGAACAAAATACATATGCATGTATAAAATTCAAATTATGTGAGTTCAGTGATTCTGCATCCAAGTTAAATACTTTTGTATTTGCATTTAAAACGGGCATTGTACATTATAAAGATGAATGGTAAAAATTTATGCTAATAATTTATTTCATTTAGGACATTAAATAACAAAAACCACCATGAGAAGATGAGAGAGAGGGCCCATGGAATACAGAAACAAAGCTTTATACTTTAGAACCTTAAAAGCACTTTTTTTCCTGTTTTTCATTAAGGGGCCCAAAATTTTCATTTTGCATTGGGTACCAGAAATTATACAGCCAACTCAGGTAGTAGATTAAAGGCAGCATTGTTCCTGGTGACCAAGACTCAGTAGAGTTCCCATCTCCCACTCTCTCTTGTCCACCAGGGCCTGGTCTTCTCCCCTCAGTATTCCACATGCTAAGACTCTTAGAGCAGAGGTGGGAATTACTTATCCTTGGCTTATTTACTCCTCCAAGAAGTACCAGTCTAATTATCAAAAGTTGGATTGCTTTATCTTACTTCAGGAAACACAGATTAAATTCCAGTTTAGTGACAGAATTTAAAGTATTTTGGTGGCTCGATTATGTTAATCAGTTTTAAACTGTCTCTATTTACTTCAAGCAGAAAATTCTGAACCAAAATATACTCAAAATCTGAATCCAAACAAATTCATTTTGACTCTTATTTTAGCTTTTCTTAAAAATATATATTTTGAAACTTTCCAATGCTGTTCTTTATTTTACAATCTGTGCTTTATATATTTTTCCAATATACACATCAAGGGAATTTAATTAGAATTGCCACAGTTAATTGTTTTCTCAAAATAATCTTGAACTAGGCAATTTAAATAATGCTGTGGATTAAAATTATGTCAACAATTTATATTTCTTAATGAAACACTTGTAATTTCCGTTCTTAGGAAAGTACACTATACTGGCCTGTTAATATCTTGCAGAGTGCTTCCCCTTCATTCACCAAAGACTCTGCCTTGTTCCTAAATAATCAAAAAAATCATCTCTATGTGGTGCTTAATTCCTGCTAGAAAATTAAACAGGGCTGGACACAGTGGCTCACGCCTGCCGTCCCAGTTACTTGAGAAGCTAAGGCAGGAGGATCACTTGAGCCCAGTGTGTGGAGGCTGCAGTGAGCTGTGATTGTGCCACTGCACTCCAGCCTGGGCACAGAATGTATAGAAATAAAATAAAATACATAAGTAAAATTAAACAAAATAAAGCTTGCAATATGCCCTATGTGATGGTAAACTAGAATTACACATTAAATTCCCATTCTGCTAACAGGCAAGATCTGCCACACCAGAGAAGAATCCCCCTCTTCAGAAGCCCCACCAGCAACCGTTTTACTCTCTACGAGCTTGACTTTTTAGGGTCCACATATAAATGAAATTGTACAGTATTAGTCTTTCTGTGTCTGGCTTATTTCACTTAGCAGAACGTCCTCCAGGTTCATCCATGTTGTTGTAGGGGGAATGTGGGGAAATGTTGGTCAAAAGGCACGAACTTTCAGGTATAATAGATAAGTTCTGCAAATCTAATGGTTAGCCATGGTGACTGATTAATATTGTGTTATTTACTTGAAATTTGCTGAAGGAGTAGATCTTAAGTGTCCTAACCACAAATACACCCCCAAAAAAGGAGTATGCATGGTGATGAATGTGTTGATTAGTTTGTGGAAATCATTATACAATGTATAGGTATATCAAAGCATCACATTGTACACTCTGAGTATACTTTTTTTAATTTCTCAACTACACCTCAATAAAGCCAGTGGAGAAAGAAAGAAAGCCTTCTAAAGAACAAAATGCCTTCTGAGTCCAAGGAGTGAATTAACTCTGGTGTTGATTAAAAACTGTAGTAGAGAATTCTTACAATTTGAGCAAAGCCTTCTTCTGGGGGTTGGCACCTTTAACCATTTCAGTTTTACTCCAGATATCTGCCAAGCCATCTTTGCCTCTCTGCCATGAGATAGTCTGGGACTGTCTTGCTTTTCCTGACTCTAGAGCTAATAATGGCTTTGTTCTAGAGAGCCCACTCTGCTTTTAGTAAAAGCCCATGCAAAGAATCGTGATCTGGGGGCTACCTGCAGGTGATCTCATTCCAGCCAAGTACTGGCAACAGATGCTCTTCCATCCTGCAGGTTGCCTTTTTACTCTCTTCATATTGAAGTAGATAGAGTGTCAGCAGAGTAGAAAAAGTTGTTTTTGTTACTGAATAAGAATTTTTCAAAATCACAGGTTCATGCAAATGTTTTCTATTTAGCACTGTTTGTCACTGTCTCCTCTCTTCCTTTTCTAATTAAATCCCTCAGAAAAAGTACTATCTCTGCCCAACTTTCATTGTCTGGGTTTTTTTATATGATATATATAAACTACTTTCTTCAAGTTGCTTCAAATGTTTTCTGCACATTTCTATAAAGTGTTATAGCAAATAATGAATGTTAATTTATTTGAGTCAATATGCTTAAATATTGAAGGTTTCTGGATTCACTATCTCTAATCTACTCATTATATATATAATGGATTTGAGAAAGTATTTCCAAAGCTATTTATCACCCAAGGTTTCATTTATTTGATAGGATCTGATCATGTGAAAGCATATTAATAAGAAATATTCATAGTATGTGATACAAAGACTCCATAAATTTAACTACTTAAATACTTACAGAATAATTTGGGATACAATCCATTCCTTGTAACAATAGTACCATTATTCAAATTAAAACATATTACATATTTTTTAATTGTGCTACCAGGTTTAATTCATTGGATATCCATATGGAAAACAAAACGTATATCATTCTCAAACCATTAAAACACAGTCTAAGTAGACTGCAAATATAATTGTAACCATTAAAGCAATAAAAGTTTTTGAAGAAAATGTTGGAGGATGTTTTCATAGCAGACAAAGAGTTCCAAACAGAGCTCTAATAAAGAAAAGATTATAAATTGGACTGCACCAAGACAAAACTCTGTTCATCAAAAGACATTATTGAGAATAAAAAGGCGACCCACATAATGTAATATATTTGCAATATATTTACCCAATATAGAATTTGCATCCAAAATATACCAAGAACTGCAAACTAATAAGAAAAAGACAACTTGTTGGAAAATGGAGAAAATGACTTAAGCACTTAAGGTACACAATGTGATTAGGCATCATGACTATGCAAATTAAAAGCAAAACGCAAAGAAAGAAATACCCAGTGTTGGCAAGAATGTATAACAACCTAAACTCTCATATACTGATGGTGGGAGTGAAAATTGATGCAAACATACTGGAAAAACTATCTGGTAGTATTTACTAATGCTGAACATATGCCTGTCTTATGACCCTCTATACACAAAAGATGTGTATACATATGTTCACCAAAAGATACAAAATGAATGTTCATAGGAGCACTTTTTATAGTAGCCAAAAACTGGAATATACCCAAATGTCCATCAAGAATGAAACATAAATTGTGGTACATTCAGATAATAGAATACTATGTAGTTCTACTCCCCATTGATACTATTCAGAAAGAGTATATACAACTATATACAACAATAAACATAAACCTCATAAACATAATCCCAAGTGAAGGAAGCCAGACACAAAAGAGCAAATACTGATTTCATTTACTTCAAGCTCTTGATTGTTTTTTGATCTGGCTGTTTACATGGGTGTGCTCATTTTGGAAAAAAAAAAAAAAACACGTAATTTGTACTCTTCGCTGAATGTGTATTAGACTCAATTTAAACAACTAAAAATACTGTGCTACATGGACAGTGTCTATATTCTTAGCAGAATATTATGACACCTTGCTGTGTTAGATAACATCGTCTCTATCAATAAGAAGCTAGTGTGTGTGTTTATGTGTGTATTTGAGTAAAGAGTTGCCTTTGTGGCCGGGCGCAGTGGCTCCTGCCTGTAATCCCAGCACTTTGGGAGGCCGAGGCGGGCGGATCACGAGGTCAGCAGATCGAGACCATCCTGGCTAACACGGTGAAACCCCATCTCTACTAAAAATACAAAAAAATTAGCCGGGCGTGGCTGCGGGCGCCTGTAGTCCCAGCTACTCGGGAGGCTGAGGCAGGAGAAGGGCGTGAACCCGGGAGGCGGAGCTTGCAGTGAGCCGAGATCTCGCCACTGCACTCCAGAGCGAGACTCCTTCTCAAAAAAAAAAAAGTTGCCTTTGTGGCTCCACAAAAAAGCCATTATCCTCAATTAAATTGCTAATTCAGGTGAATCAAATGTTTAAAGTACTTTTATCTGTTTTCCTTATATCTGCAGGGTTGAGAGGCTAATTGCTTTGGAAGGATAAGTTATTTTATTTTTTAACTCTGCTTTATTCTTCAATTCAAATTGAGTTAATTTACAACTAAGAATTGAACGCCATTTTCTGATATGAGTTTACAAAATCAAATTTTCTTAAGTTTATAAGATTTTCAAATTTGAGAAATTTAACCCTGGCCTTAAATTTTTCACATCTGGGAGTTTTAGCTATGAGTTAGCTAGTCTTGTCCACAGGAGCTGAACAATTTCACCGTTGGTCATTTTCTGTCAACGTCTTCATACCATTGACCGCCTCCAGTCTATACACATGCCTGAACCTGCTCCCAAAATAAATAAAACTAAGTCACAAACCCTGATCATCACTACAGTTTCTGGAATTTTCTGAAAGCAAAGAGACATTTGACTCTGA
Source organism: Homo sapiens (assembly GCF_000001405.40). Taxonomy (NCBI): domain Eukaryota; kingdom Metazoa; phylum Chordata; class Mammalia; order Primates; family Hominidae; genus Homo; species Homo sapiens. The sequence continues at coordinate 112,377,708 of NC_000006.12, read as the reverse complement.
GGAAAGTGAGGACCCCTGAGGAAATAAGGTGCACTGATGGTTCCAGGACCAACACTTGGTCATGATTCCCAACGCCCGAGCAGTCCTGGTTAAGTTATCTAAACTCTATGAGTTATATCACTTTTATAACCATTTCCTCATTGGTGTACTAGTGATAATAATTCTCGCTTTGCAACAGAACTATGAGAAGTTAAACTAAGTTGACAAACCATCTGGCCTTGAATAAATGCTCCACAATTAGTTCCTGTTATTTATCCATTTATCCATCTGGAGGCTTCTCAAGGCAGCAACCGTACATTGTTCATTTTATCCTCAATGACCAGCTAAATCCCTAGCAATTGTTAAGTGCTGGATAGTTAAAATGAATAAGTTAATAAGTTAAAGAATTCTTTTAAGAGGTACAATTCTTACAAGAGGTTTGTAAAACACACCAATCAACATTCTGTAGCTAGCTAGAGGTTTGTAAAATGTACCAACCAGTACTCTGTAAAAATGCTCCAATCAGTGCTCTGTAGCTAGCTAGAGGTTTGTAAAATGGACCAATCAGCGCTCTGTAAAATGGACCAATCAGCAGGACATGGGTGGGGACAAATAAGGGAATAAAAGCTAGCCACCCCAGCCAGCAGAGGCAACCCACTCGGGTCCCCTTCCACGCTGTGGAAGCTTTGTTCTTTTGCTCTTCACAGAAAATCTTGCTGCTGCTCATTCTTTGAGTCCGTGCCACCTTTAAGAGCTGTAACACTCACCACAAAGGTCTGCGGCTTCATTCTTGAAGTCAGTGAGACCATGAGCCCACCGGAAGGAACCAACTCTGGACACAGAAGGACCATTTCAGCAGAATCTGTATTAATATAAAACTACCAGAGGACTAGAGAAGGGATGCAAGTTTGCCACAGGTCGGGAGAATAGAGATGCATAATTTGTGGAGTAGCAAACCATCCATTCCTCCTCTTCTATCTTTCAGGATAGGGCCATTCTATCAATCCCCCTGTGCCAGCCGTGTGATACTGGAGATACCTAAGCCACTGGGCTCAAGATTTTCAATTATCTTTCGTGTAAAAATGCTGAACCTCTGTTCTCACACAGTGCCTGTTTCCCCAAGTCTGATGGTGGAAGCATAAAGAAATGGGCAGAAGAGTGGCCTTGGTGCAGAGAGAGAACCTAGTTGGACTGCGTTACCATTTGATGTGTAAACATCTGTGGATTTCCTACAGATGTTCGAGCAAACCCTGTAGCAGGTGGTAGGGATTCAGCCACTCATTGTACTGGCCCCTTCAAGAGAGCCACTTCCGGGTGAGGCAACCCTAGCAGCAACAAGATAATCTGGATAACTTGTTGTAGGGGCTACAGGTGAGAAAAACACAAGTTCAATTGCTGGTCCTTTACCAGGGCCTCTGAAGGGACTGCCTCTCCAAGGAGCCAAACATACAACCCACCACCCAGGACAGCCTGCTGCTCTGAGGAAACCGACAGTCCCATCTGGACTCATTGATGAACAATAGGAGGAAAAAACCTGCAGGTATGTGTGAAACCTCCCTCCCTCATTTTCCTTCTCCTCTCAACACCAGGAGGGCAAGTGCAGGAAAGAAGGTGAGTGAGAGAATAACTATACCAATGTCCACAGTTCCCAGCTGGTAAAGCTTTAAGTCCACCTGTATTCATGGGAAGAGGAACAGAGGATGCACAAGGTTAGGTCTAATATTTGAAATTCACCTCTCTTAATAACTAAAAGTGTTTGAAAGATTACAGAAATGACTTGAGTTGTCATTAAGGGAGCCAAAGACCCCACAGGAAAACAAGGTTTGATGCAGTATAACAGTAGCACTAAAATAATAAAATAAAAAATAATGGTATTAAATCCAAAACAAGCCCATGTGGATTGCTGATCATTTATGTAACCATTTTGTAACTTTCAGTCACCTTTCTAGCCTGCAGTTTTTGGACTCATGCAAATAAGACAGCTTTGTGGCAGGATCTTAGGAAATTTTATATCACATGGTGAGCTTCACACCACGCAGTTAGAATAATTCATATGCAGCACAAACCTGAACCAAGATGATTATATCATTTACACTTCTCCAAATTCCTTCTGTCCTTGTGTGCTCTCGGACCCATTCCAGCCCTTTCTCTAATCTCTTCTGTAGTGGCCTGGGCTGATCCCTGCAAATTCCATTTCCTACTGCCTTGTAATTGGGTTCAGGCAGTGGGAACACTGGCAGAATATTTGAGGGTGAAAAAAGAAGAGGCCAGGGCATTTCTTCACCTACCTCTCTGTTTTGGAGGCATCCTCAGAAGTGGCTGGACATCCTCCAGGACTTCCAGATTCCTCTGGACAGCCTCTCCTTCTGTGCTCCCAGCCCCTCTAGACTCTGGCCGTACTACCTCCCTTTTCCCCCTTTCCTCCATTCTAAAGCTGGTAGGAAATTCCTGCTGTGGATAATAATGGGAATGCCTCTTTTTTCCCTTCCTGCCATTTTGGATCTTGCATCACTGCTGTAGTTTCCCATATTGGATGCCTTCTATTGAACTAGTTGGCATGAGCTGTTTTCCTGAATGAGCACTGACAAATATTCTCTCTTAATCCCATCCATCGTCTACCATTGTGTGGTGACACTCAGATGAATGCTAAATACACACATCTCATTTCAAGATATGCCATATTTATTCATTAATCTTTAACCTATTGTATTAAAGACAGTGAGAAATACATTGTCTATTACCAAGCTCAAGTTTTCAAAAAGTGATAGCTATCAAGAGTAAAAGGGAATATCAAAGTAAGTTTCTCAATCATTGGGGAAAATGGGCATAACACTGAACTCCCCATGGTTCAAGAATGGACTTGTTCAGGGAGTCAGTGTATTCTCCCATATTAGAGCACAAACCCCTGGAAAATAGGCCACAAAACCAGTTAAATTTTGATTGGAAAAGGAATTGGATTTCTTTCACTACTTAATTCTAGGTGCTGGATATACAGCTACGCATGAAACAAACAAAATCCCTGACCTCCTGGAGTTTAGTCTCAAAGAAGAAACACTAAAAAAGTAAACAGATCAACAATATTATTTCAGCAAATTGCAAGTGCTATAAAGAAAGATGAAGTAGGAAAAGGGAAGGGTAGTGGCTGGGAAAGGAGTTTTATTGATGGTTTCATAGAAGGCTCCTGAGAGGTGACAAGATAGCAGAGTCTGACTGATTAGAGAAAGTCAGGAGGACAAGAAGAAGAGCATCCCCAGCAGAGGAAGGAGCAGGAATGGAAGCCCTGCTGCAAGAATGCAGAGTGGGGCTGAGGAGTTCTGCCCTGGCTCTAGCACATGCCCTGAAGAGCCTGCATTTTGTAATGCATTCAGATTTGTATACCAGTGCAATTATATTTCAGTCATCATTGGCCCACCTCCCAATTTTTCCAAAACACGTGCAGACTTCTCAGAAATAACTATCACTGAACTTTTCTCAATAAATTCATTTATAAATGGTTGCACACCTCCACATTATTGACCTCAGGTCAGCTGGTGTTTCTCTCAGTGATAATCCCTAGACCAGTTGCTTCCAAGTCACCTGGGGTTGGGGTTCTTGTTTAAAATGATGCCTTCTCATCCCCCTCTCAGAACTACTGAATCCGAACCCCTGGGCTTGATGCCTACACATCTGTGACAGTCTTTCCACATAACATTTAAGCTCACTAAGTCTGGGAGTCACTGGGCTGTATACCTCCATGCCTCCATCCCACAAAATTTAGCGTTACATGGTTAGTGAAGCTGCAGCTTGCCAGCAAGTATATACAATTTCTCAGTTTAAATTCACCCCCTCCACCAAAAAAGAGTCCTTTAAAAGAAAAGCAATCAGTCAGTATGGAAATGTCCAAACAAAACCAAAATGCATAATTTAATTTGTGATTCTGATTTCAAAGGGCCAGTTTATTTAATTCCATTTGGAACTTTACCAACGCTACTAGGTATCCCCCTGTGTGTGTTTCTCCCTCTCACCCTAGAGAAGATTTGAGCCAACTTTTACTGTGGTCTAGCAAGATTTTCACTTCTGTCTCTGGGGCAACTGGTGAGCTTCTACGTACCTTTGATTAAAAAGAATCTCTGGCTATCTCGATTTCTGAGCACACTTCCTCTTTAGTGCCCTTTCCCAGTGAATTCCTGGCAAAGTCACAGAAAATCACTTTCAGGATAACATTTCTTTAAAAGTTATTACATCTAATTTATATAAAGTACTTGATTGTTTAAAAATACTATATAATTATATGTTTAACCTTATAGCATAGAGTTCTGTTTAATCTTACATTTTGCTTTAAGAGAAAACCAAATAAATTGCAAAGTATATATAGTCAAAAACTTTTCTAATAAATCAAATTCACAAAGATTCTTGTTTGGAGGTTTGGAGCAAGTAACCATGATTTCAAAAATAACAAATTGCTGGCAAGCCCATCAGAAATGTCACACAAGAACAAAGTAAAAAGGCCCTTACTAGTTTCAAAATATAAATAAACATACATTGCAAATCAAACAATTCAAATTATATATATGGGGTTTATTATTTCTAACAATTGATCTATTTTTATTACCTTCGGAGCACACTTTTAACCTAGTTCATATATATTACATCTGTCTGAATTTTAAAAAAATTGATACTTGGACATTGTCAAAAGAAACATTACTTCAAAAAATTAAAAAATAGAAAAGAATAATATCTGCTAGTAATGGCTTTTAGGATATTAGGTAACCATACTGCCACTTTTATCCATCACACTTTCTATCTCATTCCATGGAAATATTGCCATTCCACAGTCTTCCCAAAGTTAATTGACTGGGGTCGGTGAAGACAAAATCATAGGATTTCAAGAGCAAAATTTCTTCCTGCTTTTCACAACTTAGCCAATTCTCTGTATGCCAAGTGACTTTAGTCTAATAAGAATTAAAATAATTTTTCTAATTTCACGATCACAGGTTTTTTTCACGTTTTTATATTTCCATGTCATGATACCCAGATGCTCCGATTTTCTTTTCTGTGAGAGTGTCTCTCCAAATTCCCTGCAAAACTTTGCCCTATTCTTCCTACACTCTGCAAAGGGCAGTAGAGTGAAGCAGCAAGGACTCTACTACATTCTACATACACACTCCCCTCTTCCAACCATTGTTGTCTTCTGGTCCTGTGGTTAGTCCTTCATACTCCTCATGTTACCACAAAGACGGCAACCAGTAAGCTACAGACTAAAGGGTGCCAAGGATGTGTAACGTTACTCCCCATTAACTGACCCAAATGCAACCTGTTTTGCACAGTGGTCTATGCTAGTCCTTAAAATGTTCACTAGAGGGTGCACTATTTCTTTCCAAATTATTGAAGATGACTCCTAAATAGTAATATTAAAGTCAATCTATTCAAATGCTCCACTATATTAAGTCCTCAACATTAGATTTCAAGAAAAATAATAGCCAGAAAAGTCATATTTAGTGGGTCTAGTGGACAAAAATGGAAGTAGCAACAACTATCTACCATTAGTCCAGTGGCAGAATAATTTCTTCATCTGGAATTCTCAACCTTAGGATGAATGTGGCTGGCACCATATGCACTATGGTCTGTGCTTTCTGCACACACACACACACACACATACACACACATGCACACACACACTCCCCACTACAACCAAGCTTCTTGGAGAAAAGATGGAGGGGAAGAGATGCACCTCAGGATAGTAACCAGACAGAATAGCTATGACATGCTATGCAAAACCCTGTTTGACCAAAGAAGCTTGGCCCTTTTTATAGTAGCGCTTGTCTCTTTGCTACTATATCAGAGGAGGGTAGTTGTTCCCATGAGCTTGTTAACTCCAAGCAGGCTTCCTTGTCAATGAAGAATCAGTAGGGGAAGCTGTTAACTGTCAGGTTATGGCCAACCCAACAGTGGAGGCTTTAACATCAGATCAGAGTTACCTGTTACCCCATGCAAACTTTCATAAGGAGAGTGGGAAGGGGCAAATCCAAAGTTGGACATCTGAGATTACTGATATTCATTATTAAGTAAATGAACAAAAACGTTTTCCCAATAGCAATTTTAGTATAATCCTCACAATATCCTCATTCCATATATTATATTTTCTTCAGCTGAAAATGCATGCTTGTGTTTAATACAATTGTCTTTCCATAGCCTCTTAGCACATGCCAAGACACCTGTTGTTTTTGTTGTTGTATTTTGTGTGAGATATATATATATAAAACCAAGGCTCCTGTTTAAACTCAACCTGTTTCACATTGTGGTAATAGTTGACTTTCATTTGTCGCCACTTATTCATTTTTATAAGGCTGACCTCTTTTCACCTCTTAACACTACCCCAGAAATTTCTGAAAGTATCATCATCACTCCCATTCAGCTAAGATGTTCCAGATCTATCTTGCTCTTCCTGCCCAAGTTAAGCAGTCGCTCCCCTCAAGGGAGAACTGGTTCATTTCGGGGAATGATGATACATAGTCCTGAAATCTGGGTGCTTGTCTGCATTTTATATCATTCTACACCACCACTGGCAATAAACTGCCTCATATTAGAAGCCATGTGTTTTTAGTAACGTAAGAGCAGACTTTCAAATTCAGTCCTTCAGCTATCAATGTGGAGTAACTGGTGCTCACCAGGATTGGGTCATGATGGTGAGTGTTTATTGCAAAGCATGTTAACCTCCAGTGCATATTGACGTCACTGCTCTCCTGGGTGGCAGCAAAGTGGGTTGAAATTCAGAAAATGGTTCCCCTAACATGGCACAAGTCCATAATATGACCACAGCTACACATAGCTAAATGCAGACTTATTTTTTATTTATTTTTTTTTACATTATCAAGCACAGCATTAAAAAAAAATATATTAACACACTCTGGCAAAATGGGCCTTGGCTGTTAGTCTCTGTTAACAAAGAAGATATTCAATAAGGTGAAGTCCATTAGATTCACTGTTCTTGCTAATACTGCCCTATGAAAAGTAATACACATTCTCTACAGATGACCAATGTATGGAGGGGTCCTGTGTTTGCTTTGACTTTCCTTTGCCCTAAGTAAGCACTTTTATTGAAGCTCTCTTAATCTTTTTCCACCTGTTATACATCAGTGATGAATGTAGTAACTAACCTTATTTCACCTATGGCTTACAGACAAACCCTTTTCTTTCAAAAAGAAAATATCTTTTTTAAGCTGTTTTGAGATTATTTCTCTTACTTCATCCCAAAGAGTCTATTTTGGAAGGTGGTCTCAAGTTATTAGCTATTCTAAAATAGAACATTCTTAGCATTTTAACCAAACAAGGTCGTGACTGGAAAAGCTGCTACTTTCTGACATGGGCCTACAGGCGTCAGAATTAATTGGCACATTTTCAGTGGGGTAAATTGAAAACTTTAATCAGGGACTGAAAGTTCGACCATTTCCAATAGCAGAACGGTCAAAGGGGAAAAGAGGTGTGCTCTTCATAGGTCTCTTAACTGAATTATTCATGATGGAAGAAGATATTACACTCTTATAAAAGTTTCCTTATGGACTTCATTTAGAATTATTTCCCTTAATCTATTTGGATCTTCAGGGGGAGTCCTGCCTAGGGTGAATATTGACTTCAGTGCCTATAAAATTTCTGAATGGCTCTGTCTTTGGGGTTCTCAGCCCAGGCAACTTAACAGCATAGCAACAGCTTTTAGGATAAATGAATTCACTCCATTAGGCTTATGAAACTGGTCCATGCCCATGAGGTCACCTACTCCTGAAACCCCCTCTGGAATAAAGTTTTCACACCTCTGTAGAGCAGAGGCCTTAGTACAAATGCTTACAGAAACCAGAGACCAATAAACTTGTCTTCCATTGACTGGTGATAGACAACGGGGAGGGGAGCTGCAAAGCCTTGCTCCACATCTGTCTCACCTCCTGGCTTCCACCATACCAGATCTTACGTGGTCAAATCTTCCTATTTCTCAAGAGAAGCTGGTGGATTTATAAGCTTGTTTATTGTAGGCATGTCAGATGGGTAGAATGGGATTAATGGGATTAATCATGCCATCAATTCATGACACATTATCTTTGTTTCTTATCTTATTTTTATCTCCATCTTATACAATCCAATTTCTCTTCCCCTCCACAGGCTCCCAACCTAAAGTATTTCATATTTGTACCTTCAACCTCCAATATTTTTATTTGTACCTTCAACCTCCAATATATATATTTCTATATCTGTGAATGTCTTTAAAATATGAACATTAATATTTGTGTACATGTAATTTACATAAATAGTGCTAGACTACAAAAATTATGTTTTCGAGATCTGTTCATGTGGCTAAATATCTACTTTGTTCATTTCTTGTGACTGCTGTATAATCTAAATTTAGCCTAAGTATCCCCTGGTTCTTTGCTAGCACAAATAATGCTGAGATAAACATCCTCTTAAATATCTCTGGTGCATGCTTGTGAGAATTTCTATAGTGTTTAGGGTCTACAGAGTAATGAATCAATTCCACTAAGTACTGCTTTATAGCTTTCTAAGGTGACCATACCAGTCCATATCTCCCAGCAGTACACGAGGTTTCCCATCTCTCCATAGTCCCACCAGCATTTGATATGCAATGTTCTAATTTTTTGCACTTCAGTAAGCAGTATCTCAGAGTTTTAAGTTATATTTTGTTGATTAAAATGAAGTTAAACAACTCATTTTTGCATGTCATTTGTCAGCCATTAGGGTATGTCTTAATCATAATCTTTGACTTTTTATGTTGTTTTTTTCTTGCTTATTTACAAAAATTTATTTTATTATTCTAAATATTAATTATTTCTTGGTGATAAATATATTATAGATCTTCTCTCAAACTGTCACTTATCCTAAGTTTTGTTTTCATTTTCTCCAAATGAAACCCCATTCCTAAATTTTGTTTGTGGTGTTTTTGATTGTCCTTTATTAAGTACTGACTAGAAAGCTAAAATGCCACCTTTCCAGACTCTAGAAGTTAGGGTAGCCAGGTAACAGTTCATTCTGATGTAATGAAATATATTAATTTTTCTCTTTATAGTTTATACTTGAAGGATTTATTATTTATTTATGGTCCAAGGTCACTCTATCTGATGGATTTATTTTAGAATCTATCTACATGCCCAATCACAAAGAAAAATTTCTGAATTTTCTTCTATTAGCTTTACAGTTTTAGCTTTCAAATTTAATTTTTTAAATCTACCTGCTTCTCTAACTTAATTTTTCCTCCTATTCCATACTTTATATTCTGTCCAAGTCTCCCAACACTATTTATTAAGTAACTCATTCATTTTCCAAAGATCAAATTCTAAGTGTATTTATGTGTATTTTTTTCATTTCTATTTCTTTGAATAATAAATTAAACTCAGATAATTTTTTGCCCCCTTACTACTCCTCATTTTCTAAATTAGCTTAGCTATTTATACACATTCATTCATCTATGTTCATCTGGAAATCAGCTAGTGAAGATGCAAACGCAAAAAAAAAAAAAGTTTACTGGGATTTTAATTCAACTGCCTTAAATATTTAAAATATTAAATTATCCCATCCATGAACATGATTTACCTCCAATTTTTTTATGTTTCTTTTATATACTTTACTTATATAAGTATGATGCACTTAAAGGTAATTCCCAGATAAGTTACAGATTTTGTAACTGGACATTGGGATTAATACTCAAAAGCATTTGAAATCACTTTTTCCCCTCCTTCCACAAGGGAGGCCAGTTCTGGCCAAAGAGAGAAGGTCCCTGTAAAGGGGGTTTCTTCCTCACCTCACATCCTCAAAAGCAAAGCTCGATAAGAAGGAACCCACTGAAATCCACCGGACATTGAAGTCTTTTTATCAGTAATCTTTATAACTGACACACTCAGCAAAATCCTGACACTGAGATCTCTTCAACCCAGCTTCTTCAGCCAAAGACTCTCAAGGGAAAGAAGTGAAGGGGAAAATGTATAACTACATCAGCCAACAGCAATGTTTGTATCTTACTCGGATTTCAGTTCAAACGTACACACTGGATAAACAATGTGTAAGACAATTTAGGAAATGTGAACAATGGACGCTTGATATTTTTTAAAAACTATATTTTTAGATGTGATAATATTTTGATTATTTTTAAAGGATTTGGTTCTCTAAGAGATATATACAGTAAATATGTATAGACGAAATGATACGGGAACCCCTCAGGTGGCGGCGGGGGAGACGGTGAAGGCTGCCGCCCGCCAGCCCATCCCGGCTCTAATCCGCTGTCTCCGTGTCCCGCGGCGCCCAGACTATGTACCTCCGCACCGCGGTGTACGACGCCGCCCGCAACGGTAGCTGCAGCTGCTCTAGAAGGTGTTCACCTGCCGGAGCCCGGAGGAGCTGGACAAGCTGACAGGCGAGGTGGCCAGCTCGGGGGACGCCGCTGCTCATCCACCTGCTCTACTTGTTGGAGAAAGTGGAGTGCACCCCCAGCACGCTCCGGCCACCTGGACGCAGTAGGATACCCGGTGAACCGGTGCGGCGCGAGGGTGGAGGCTGACGGCTAGGGACCCTTCGGTGGCGGGACCATCGAGGGCTCGCCGCCGCTGTGGGCCGCCTCTGCCGCCGGCCACCTGGACGTGATGCGGAGCCTGCTGCCTCACAGGGCCTCGGCGAACCGCACCAGGAGCACCAACTCCACGCCCCTGAGCGCCGCCTGCTTCCATGGCCACTGGCGAGAACCAGACCTACCCGGAGGTGGCCAACCGGCACGGCCACATGTGCCTCATGATCTTGTGCTACAAGGGCCACCGAGAGATCGCCCGCTACCTGCTGAAGCAGGGCGCCCAGGTGAACCGGCGCAGCGCCAGTGGCAACACGGCCCTACACTACTGAGCCGAGTCTGGCAGCCTGGAGAGCCTGCAGCTGCTGCTGTGGTGGCAGACCCGCATGGGATTGCCTTCGCAGGACTCCGCTGCTGCTGCCAGCGTGACGGGCCACACTAGCATAGTGGAGTACCTCATCCAGGAGCAGCCCAGCCAGGAGCAGGACGCCGGGAGAGAGGCTCAGCCAGGGCTACCTCAAGAAGGCCCTCCACCAGCCAGGGGTGCACGCAGCCTCAGGGACTCCATGCTGCAGCTCCTCCGCGGAGGAACCACTGAACGGGGAATCCTATGAAAGCTGCTGTCCCACCAGCCCGGAAGTTGCCTTGGAAGCTGCCTTGGAAGCTGCCTTGGAAGCCTTGGAATTTCTGGGAGCCACGTATGTGGAAAAGAAGCGAGATCTGCTTGGGATCCTTAAACACTGGAGACGAGCCATGGAGTCACCTGCCCAAACCAGAACCCCAGAGGCTGGTCTTGGCCTATGGCTATTCCAGGGAGATCCACACCACCGAAGACTTGGAAGCTCTGATAAACCACCCAGATGAGATGCGCATACAGACCCTGTTGATCTGTTAGCGAATCCTCTGCGCCTCTCACTCCGACACTTCCTGTTACATCCGTTACTGGGGCGCGGTGTAGGCGGCCTGCGGCAATTTCCAGCGCTGCATCCACTTGCGGAAGTGGGACCTGGCCATGCAGCAGGTCAGCCAGCCTCTGAGCCCCATGACCGCCAGCAGCTTCCTCTCCTTCGCGGAACTCTTTCCTTACGTGCTGCAGGACCGGGCGGCCAAAAGCAGCTTGGGCATACAAATTGGCTTTGCAGACCTCATAGGGGTTCTCACGAAAGGGGTCTGGCAAATGGAACGTTTCCAGGACCCAAGGAGCTGCCGCTGCCCAAGGAGCCTGAAGACGCGGCCCAGTTCACCAAGGCGCTGGACATCATCCTCTACCTTCTGTATCTGTTGGAGGAAGTGGAGTGCACCCCTAGCCAGGAGCACCTGAAGCACCAGACCATCTACCACCTGCTCAAGTGTGCACCAAGGGGCAAGAACAGCTTCACCCCTCTGCACATGGCTGTGGGCAAGGACACCACAAATGTGGACCACAAATGGAGGCAGATTCACCTCCCTGCACGCGGTTCTATTATTTGCTAAAAAGAGCCCAGATGCTTTTTCTAAATTTCAGAAATCCATATAAAACATACAGTTTTCCAGCTGCCCATTCTCAAAATTGTTACAAGTTCGGTCTCTTTGGTACTTCTTTCTCATCATTCCAAGAGATGGTAACATGTTTTCTGGGCCTATGAACTTTAACCAGAAGGCTTTGTTCACACCTGCAGATATATTTAGATACAGTATCAAGAAGCAGACTGAGGTGGAAATTCTTTGAATGTCACCAATGTACACCTTGAGTGGGGAATGGGGGGAGGCTCCACGAGGAGGGGAGGGTTTGATTGCCAATAAGAAAATCAGGTCTAGAAAGAAGGAATCTCAAAATTTTCAGCACAGTGCTGATGATGAAGACATGACTAGTAGTCAGTTATTTATCATCACTACAGAGATCAGTCATTTCTTCTTTTATTAATACATAATATTTCACAGATTTATGGGGCACATATGTCTGTTACATGCTTAAAATGTGTAATGATCAAGCCAGGGTATTCGGGGTATCCATCACTTGAGCGTTTATCAATTGCATGTATTGGCATCATTTCAAGTACTCTCTTCTAATTATGTTGAAATATATTTAATATTGCCGCCAAGTATAGTCACCCTCGTCTGCTATCAAACATTAGAACTTATTCTATCTAAATGTATATTTACACCATAACCAACCTCTCTTCATTTCCCCCTCCCCTCCACCTACCCTTCCCAGTCTCTCATATCTATTACTCTATTCTCTGTGTCCATAAGATCAAGTTTTTTAGCTCCCTCATATGAGTAAGAACGTGCAGTCTTTGTCTTTCTATGTCTGGCTTATTTTCGTTAACATAACAACCTTCATTTGCATCCATGTTGCTACAAATCACATGATTTCATTCTTTTTATGGTCTAACAATATTTCATTGTGTACGTATACCACATTTTCATATTTTCTTTATCCATTCATTCATCGATGGACGTTTAGGTTAATTTTGTATTTTTACTATTTTGAATAGGTCTACAGTAGTCATGCAAGTGCAGCTATCCCTTTGATATACTGATTTCCCTTTCTTTGGATAGATACTTAGTAATGACGTTGCTGGATCTTATGGTAGTTCTATGTTTAGATTTTTGAGAAATCTTCATACTGTTTTTCATAATGGTTGTACTAATTTACATTTGTACCAACAGTGTATAAGAGTATAAGGGTTCTCGTTTCTCTGCATATTGCTTGCATGTTATTTTTTGTCTTTTTAATCATAGGCATTCTAACTGGGGTGAGACAATATCTCATTGTAGTTTAATTTGCATTTCCCTGATGATTAGTGACGCTGAGTATTTTTTCATATACCTCTTGGCCGTTTGTATGTCTTTTTTTATTTTTTATTTATTTATTTATTTTATTTTGAGACAGGGTCTCGCTCTGTTGCTCAGGCTGGATTACAGTAGTACCATCATGGCCCACTGCAGCCTCGACTTCCAAGGCTCAAGCAATCTTCCTGCCTCAGCCTCCCGAGTATCTGGGACTACAGGTGTTCACCACCACGCCCAGCTAATTTTTTTGTTTAATTTTTGGTAGAGACACAGTCTCTCTATGTTGCCCAGGCTGGTCTTGAACTCCTGGGCTTAAGCAGTCCTTCTGCCTCAGCTTCCCAAAGTGCTGGAATTACAGGCATAAACCACCATTCCTGGCCTTGTATGTCTTCTTTTGAGAAACGTCTATTCAAATCTTTTGCCTGTTTTTAATGAGATATCTGTCTTTTTAGAGATCAGTATTTTTAAAATCAGATCCCTTAGTTTAACATCAGAGTGTTGTCCCCCAACTTCATTAATTACATTTATCACCACAAATCAATGTCAATTTATATAACATTTAAATACATCATTCCAGAAAACTTAAGAAAATACCTAGTTTGTATTGAGGTTGTTACAAGAAGAGTCCTATTGATCCTTGTGCAAAGCATTAATGTTTCTGCAAGGAGAGTATCGGGGCAAGGGAGGAAGTTAGAGGCTTTTCCTTTATAGATTCAGTAAGAATAAATAGATGACTTTGTTAATTAAGCTGATTTTGACTGGAATGAAAGAAACCTCTTATTGGACTGGCTTAAACAAAAAGTGGAGTTTAGAGGAAGGGACACTACAGTGTTTCAGGGCAGAGCCAAAGAACAAAGGAAGCCAGGACGCTGTTGGGCCCCAGACCTTTTAGAACCTGGGATGTGAAATGTCACAGTTAGTCTCCCACCACCACAGCCTCTCACAAAATGCTGACTTCTTTTTCTCCCTTGATATGAGCCTTCTCCACATGATGGAAATCACAGATGCTGTCTGCACCAAGATTTGCAACCTGCAAACTCATCCAATGCTGAAGGAATGTTGTCTGTCTAGAAGGAATGAATCAGCAGTCTGTAACAATATTGTACAGAAATGTTGTTACCTCTGAGAGAACTGTTTCCCCTCTAAGGTTTTTAGTGTATGAACTCATATGTTCTCTAAGTGATGATCATTTGATCTCCCCTTTTCAATAGTTAGCTTTATTACTAGCTTATAAATCAGTGTCATGCTAGTAAATGTCTAACAACTGATTCTCAAAAATTAAGAGAAAAGAGAAGCAAGAAAAAGAAAAAAGGTTTTAACTGTAACATTTGCCTGTTTGCCAGTATAATTACCTCTAACACGACCAATGTGAAGCTGCAACATGACGTCACTGAATGCAGAGTTGGGACCCAGTCAGCAGTCTAGAGCCCATACAAACAGGAGCCGGCAGTGCTGCTTATAATTTATTTAGCCTCTATTTAGAGAGCAATGTTAAATAGCAATGATAGCAGCAAGCAGCCTTTCCTTCACCCTGATGCTTTAGTATCCAGCCGCAAATAACTTGCTCCCTGTGTGCTCCATTTGATTACATGCTAGTGGGTTCTTGGAGCTCTGTATCTGGACTTAGAAAAAGGGAATGTCGGTCGTCGGCAAAGCCTGAGTCCTGTCCCCTCGTTCTCTTCCCCGGACAGCATGAGCTTCACCACTCGCTCCACCTTTTCCACCTACTACCGTTCCCTGGGCTCTGTCCAGGTGCCCAGCTACACGCCCGGCCAGTCAGCAGCACAGCCAGCGTCTATGCAGGCGCCGGGGGTTCTGGTTCCGGGAACTCCGTGTCCTGCTCCACCAGCTTCCGGGGCGGCTTGGGGTCTGGGGCCCTGGCTGCCGGGATGGCCGGGGGTCTGGCAGGAATGGGAAGCATCCAGAACAAGGAGACCATGCAAAGCCTAAACAACCGCCTGGCCTCCTACCTGGACAGAATGAGGAGCCTGGAGACCGAGAACTGGAAGCTGGAGAGCAAAATCCGGAAGCACCTGGAGAAGAAGGGACCCCAGATCAGACACTGGAGCCATTACTTCAAGACTATCCAGGACCTAAGGGCTCAGAACCTCGCAAATACTGTGGACAATGCCCGCATCGTTCTGCAGACAGACAATGCCTGTCTTGCTGCTGATGACTTCAGAGTCAAGTATGAGACAGAGCTGACCATGTGCCAGTCTGTGGAGAGCGATATCCATGGGCTCCGCAAAGTCACTGATGACACCAATGTCACTTGGCTGCAGCTGGAGACAGAGATCGAGGCTCTAAAGGAGGAGCTGCTGCTCATGAAGAAGAACCACTAAGAGGAATTAAAAGGCCTACAAGTCCAGATTGCCAGCTCTGGGTTGACTGTGGAGGTAGATGCCCCCAAATCTCAGGACCATTCCAAGATCATGGCAGACATCCAGGCCCAATATAACGAGCTGTCTCGGAAGAACAGAGAGGAGCTGGACAAGTACTGGTCTCAGCAGATTGAGGAGAGCAGCACAGTGGTCACCACGCAGTCCACCGAGGTTGGAGCTGCAGAGATGACACTCACAAAGCTGAGACGTACAGTCCAGTCTTTGGAGATCGACCTGGACTCCATGAGAAATCTGAAGGCCAGCTTGGAGAACAGCCTGAGGGAGGTGGAGGCCCGCTATGCCCTGCAGATGGAACAGCTCAATGGGATCCTGCTGCACCTGGAGTCAGAGCTGGCACAGACCCGGGCAGAGGGACAGCACCAGGCCCAGGAGTATGAGGCCCTGCTGAACATTAAGGTCAAGCTGGAGGCTGAGATAGCCACCTACAACAACCTGCTGGAAGATGGCAAGAACTTCAATCTTCTTAATGCCCTGGACAGCAGCACCTCCATGCAAACCATCCAAAAGACCAACAGCCGCTGGATAGTGGATGGCAAAGTTGTGTCTGAGACCAACCACACCAAAGTTCTGAGACATTAAGCCAGCAGAAGCAGGGGACCCTTTAGGGAGCAGGACGCCAATAAAAATTCAGAGGTTAAAAAAAGAAAGAAAGAAAGATGGAGTGTCATTGTCAATTAGAGATGCTGACCAAGGACTGGGGAGGAGAAAATGGCTAAGCACAGCAGTGCCCCACATCTGCCCCACGATGAAGACTATGCTCTCTGAGTGAACTGTTGAGATCCACAGTCTATTTTTATCTTTCCTAGGCTATAGACTACTTAGGAAGTGAGGAGACTTAATAATTAGGCAACTTATTTAAACTCCTTTTGCCTCAGTTTCCTAATTATTTAAATAGGGGTATTAGAATATATACCTTGTATGACTTTTATGAGGTTTAAATGAACTAATTCATGTTAGGCAACAAATCCAATGCCTCACACACAGTAAATGCTCAATAAATGTTTTAATATCAATTTTAGTCATTTGTCTTTTTCTCTTAAATACTGTCAACCATAATATTGGTTTAATATGGTCTATATTACATTTTAAAAATATCCTTCTTGTCCTTGTTTTCTAAGTTCTTTTTGAAAAATAAAGAATGTAAATTTTGTCATTTGCCTTTTTAGGATTTATTACTTAATTTTTCTTATAGATCTAAGAAGAAAGAACATTCAGTAACTCAGTAGAAGCCAATAAACTCCCCCCTCGTCTCTCTGCCTCACATGCCCTTTCTCCATAAGTCCTGGCCTTTTTCCAGCTGGGCTGACCCCCCCATACAGTCATGCTCATCAACAGTTTCCTTCCTGGCTACTCCTCCCACTCTCTCAATTACAGCTCCCTGCACCAGCCCTCCACAGAAGCACACTTTCAGCCAATACAAAATACCTTGATCAAAGGAGTCTGCCTCAATTTGTGGCTGAAAAAAAATTTTTAAGCATAAGCTTCTAAAACATTCTGTTACACAAAGTGGGAAGGGGTGTTATTTAAAAACACAACTGACTGAAGCAGCTTTTCCTTCACAAGAAAGCTGAGACAGACTTCATTTGCTCTACGTAAAAAGTAAGAATTTGAGTTTTGGGGGAGGAAGTTGAGTTTTTTGAGTTGCCTGGGAGCAGCCCAGGAAGGAAAGGAAGCTGTCTAGAGGGGCAGCCAGGTGGCAGAGACAAAAGCAATGACGCGGGCAGGGGTTCCATCTGGGATCATGGTCAGTTAGAATGGTTATAAGATTTTTTAAAAACCTGAGTATTTAATATCCAGGTATGAATATTTAATATGCAATACATATCTCATCATCTTGAAAACATGATAAGACCTGCCATGTTCACAGCATTATATGTTCAGAGTACTTTCTAGAGAGAAGAGAAGATATTGGGTGGGGTCTCACTGTTGCCTTCTGCTGATCCAAACAAACAGATGCAAAAGAACTGACTATATAGGGAGGTAACCAACAGTAACGTTAAAAAAAATGTCATTTTCCTCAATTCAGCATCTGGGAAATTCCCACGTAATGGAAGTATATTAGTTAAGAGTTCTCCAGAGACAGAACAAATAGGATATATTAATATGTAGAGAGGTATAGATAGGTATACGAGAGAGAGGATTTATTAAGGGAATTGATTGGCTTATGCAATTACGGAGCCTGAGAAGTCCCATGATAGGCTTTCTGCAAGCTGGAGAACCAGGGGAGCCAGCAGCATAGCTGTCCAAGGCTGAAGGCCTCACAACCAGGAAAGTTCATGATGTGACTCTCAGTCTGAGGCTGAAGGCCTGAGAGCCCAGGGGTCTGCTGGCGCAAGTTCCCAAGTTCAAAGGCCTAAGACCCTGGAGTTCTGATGTCCAAGGACAGGAGAAAAGAGACATCCCAGTTCCAGAATATCCTTTTTGGAAAAACAAATTCACCTTTCCTCTGCCTTTTTGTCCTATCTAGGCACCCTGCTGATTGGATGATGCCCACCCACAATGAGAGCCGATCTTCCCCCGTCAGTCCCCGGATTCGCACACAAACATACTTTCACAGACACACCCGGAAATGGTGCTTAACCAGCTATCCAGTCAGTTAACACCTGAAAGTAACCATCACAGGAGGTAAGGGCTAGCAGGTCTGGCCTGTGGACCAGAATTGGTGTCCTTAGAGGACCAGCCATCCTTCCAGTTTCCGTGAATGAATGCCCAGCAGACCCCCAGAGCCTATTCTCTCCTATTTCTGCCTCTCAGCATTGGCAGCCAAAGGTGAAGGGGGAGCATCCAGGACACAGAACACACGGTTGAATATCTTGGGATCATCAATTAGACATGAAATTTCAGAGGCTTTGGAACCAGAGCAACTCTATCTTGCATAGGGGCTAGGTAAAATGAGGCTAAGACCTATGGGGTTGCCTTCCAAGGAGGCTGGGCATTTTTAGTCACAGGATAAAATAGGAGGTCAGCCAAAAATACAGGTCCCAAAGACCTTGCTGACAAAGCGGTTTGCTGTAAAGAAGCTGGCTAAATCTCACCAAAATGAAAATGGAGATGAAAGTCACTGTTGGTTGTGCTCAATGCTCATTAGATGTTAATTATAATATATTAGCATGCTAAAAGACACTTCCACCAGCACCATGACAGTTTACAAATGCCATGGCAATGTAGGGAATCATCCTATATGGTCTAAAATGGGGGGAACCCTCAGTTCTGGGAATAGCTCACCCCTTTCCTGGAAAACTCATGAATAATCCACCTCTTGTTTAGCACATAATCAAGAAAATACCATAAAAGTGGCCAACCAGCAGTTCTCAAGGCTGCTCTAGCTATGGAATAGCCATTCTTTTTTTTTTTTTTTTTTTTTTTTGAGACGGAGTCTCGCTCTGTCACCCAGGCTAGAGGCTAGAGTGCAGTGGCATGATCTCAGCTCACTGCGACCTCCACCTCCCGGGTTCATGCCATTCTCCTGCCTCAGCCTCCCGAGTAGCTGGGACTACAGGTGCCCGCCACCACGCCCGGCTAACTTTTTTGTATTTTTGGTAGAGACAGGGTTTCACTGTGTTAGCCAGGATGGTCTCGATCTCCTGACCTCGTGATCCGCTTGCCTCGTCCTCCCAAGTGCTGGGATTACAGGCATGAGCCACCGCGCCCAGCCCCCATTCTTTATTCCTCTACTTTCTTAATAAATTTGCTTTCACTTTGCTCTATGGACTTGCCCTGAATTCTTTCTTGCACAAGGTCCAAGAACCCTCTCTTAGAGTCTGGATGGGGATCCGTTTCTGGTAACAGAAAGATTTTTCCATGGTGGACACACCTTAGGTCATTAGCGAGGACAAGGAGGGAGGTGGTGGTGACAACATTGTGGGTCACATCAGTTGGAACCTCTGCATTAGATCACACATATTCAGACTTCCGTCCAGCAGGGTACAGTTCCATTTGATGAGAAATGATGCCTTCACAAGCCCTGAATTCATTCACATTAATCTCTTGGTTACTGCCTGACTCACTGAATAGGGAAAGCCTATCGCTTCCTGTTGTCTCATCTATTCCATGATGCACTTGAAGCAAAATTGTGCCAACGTGAGAAAATGTGGGGATTCAAAAAGTAATCCAAACAAATGTAACGAGTCACCTTATTTTGAAACTCTGCCTAGTTTGTGAAGGTCAGATGCTATTGGTTCATCAAGTCTGCCAGCATTATCAAAAAAAGGAAGAAAAGAAGAATAAAGCTCAAATGGATGCTCAGTGATTATGAGAAGCAAAAGTAGATGTTTAAAAATATGTATTAGTCATTGCTGAGGTTTATTTACTTAATCTTCATCAATTTGTAACATTAAGGAGATATAACCTATAGACTGGGCATGGTGGCTCACACCTGTAATCCCAGCACTTTGGGAGGCCTACGTGGGCAGATCACTTGAGGTCAGGAGTTTGAGACCAGCCTGGCCAACATAGCAAAACCGTTTCTCTACAAAAATATGAAGATTAACTGGGTGTGGTGGCACAAACCTGTAATCCCAGCTACTGGGGAGGCTGAGGCAAGAGAATTGCTTGAACCTGGGAGGTGGAGGTTGCAGTGAGCCAAGATCACGCCACTGCACTCCAGCCTGGGCAACAGAGTGAGAAAGACTCTGTCTCAAAACAAAAAAACAAAGAAAAAAAATCATTTTTACTATACCTAATAACAATGCTTGAAAAACAAAATTATGTCTTTTTTGAAAGATACAGGGTTTGAGGTCAATCTGATTTTACTGATATTTTGTAGGAATTAGATCTTCTAGAAGTCCTTTGATGGCAGCTATGATGTCATGCATTTTGGAGTGACAGGTGTTAATGACTTCCTGGAAAGCTTAAGGGAAAATTTATCTTATAAATCTGATTGAGAATTGTTAGCACAAAATTGACTAAGTTGATAAATGTAATACAAAAAGTTTTATCTGAGTCCTGAAAAAAGACTGTTTGAAGTCAATCTCCTTAAATATTCTCAAGTGAAAAAAAGGTGCAAACTAATGTATAGGTAGTACTAAATTTATATATAGGCGAAATACATACATATATATACACATATAGAATACCTTTGGAAGAATCCTCAAGCAATTGGTAACAGGAGTCGTTTTCAGGGAGAATGAATAAATGGGGAGTGTCAGGAAACAGTTTCACTATGTGGCATTTTAAATATTGGACCCCATGCGTTTATTAGCTGGTTAAAAAAGTCTGAAGCCTTTCCACGCTACCCACAGAGGGGTCCATACAGCATTGTTCTGAATTCCTGTTGTAACTTAAAGGGAAACTTTCACAACGTCCAGAGCCCTTGATGTCCTGCAAATGAAGGAGGAGGATGTCCTTGCAGCAGGAACCCACTTAGGTGGCACCAATCTTGACTTCCAGATGGAACAGTACATCTGTAAAAGGACAAGTGATGGCATCTACATCATAAATCTGAAGAGGACCTGGGAGAAGCTTCTGCTGGCAGCTCATGCCATTGCTGCCATTGAAAACCCTGCAGATGTCAGTGTTATATCCTCCAGGAATATTGGCCAGAGGGCTGTGCTGAAGTTTGCTGCTGCCACTGGAGCCACTCCAATTGCTGGCCGCTTCACTCCTGGAACCTTCACTAACCAGATCCAGGCAGCTTTCTGGGAGCCACGGCTTCTTGTGGTTACTGACCCCAGGGCTGACCACCAGCCTCTCACGGAGGCATCTTATGTTAACCTACCTACCATTGCTCTGTAACACAGATTCTCCTTGTGCTATGTGGACATTGCCATCGCATGCAACAACAAGGGAGCTCACTCGGTGGGTTTGATGTGGTGGACACCGGCTCGGGAAGTTCTGCGCATGCGTGGCACCATTTCCTGCGAACACCCGTGGGAGGTCATGCCTGATCTCTACTTCTACAGAGATCCTGAAGAGATTGAAAAAGAAGAGCAGGCTGCTGCTAAAAAAGCTGTGACCAAGAAAGAATTTCAGGGTGAATGGACTGCTTCAGCTCCTGAGTTCACTGCTACTCAGCCTGAGGTTGCAGACTGGTCTGAAGGCATGCAGGTGCCCTCTGTGACTATTCAGCAGTTCCCTGCTGAAGAGTGAAATGCTCAGCCTGCCACAGAAGACTGGTCTGCAGCTTCTAGTCTCAGGCCACCGAATGGGTAAAAGCAATCACTGAATGGGTAGAAGCAACCGCTGAATGGTCTTAAGCTGCCCTTGCACGGGCTCTTAAGCAACATGGAAATAAGGTTAATGGAAAATAAACATCAGTTTCTAAAAAAAGAAAAGTCTGAAGCACAAAAAATCCCAAAATACTTTAGGAGGCAGAGGCGGGCAGATCACAAGGTCAGGAGATCGAGACCATCCTGGCTAACACAGTGAAACCCCGTCTCTACTAAAAATACAAAAAAGTATCCGCGCGCGGTGGCAGGCGCCTGTAATCCCAGCTACTCGGGAGGCTGAGGCAGAATGGCGTGCACCCGGGAGGCGAAGCTTGCAGTGAGCCGAGATAGCGCCACTGCACTCCGGCCTGGGTGAAGAAAAAAAAGAAAAAAAATCCCAAAATATGCACATAGCAAATGAATGATTATAAATATTTATGGAAAATAAAGTTTAAAGAGGAAGAACTTTTTTATAGAAAAATAATAAAAATTTTGTTTGAAATGTCATCTTAAACAATTAAAGACTATTAAAATTAGATTAATTCTACTTTAGCTATAACATAGGTTAGATGATCATTGCAACTGAGCACAACTCCTTCAACTGAGCAAAGACTGAATCAAGTAATTTTTCTAACATAATTGGATAAAATCTCCAATCCTAATTTGTGGCTAACTTTAGTGGCAAAACCATAAACAGGATGCTTTTGGCATGAACGTTTCCATTTTTCCAAAGGCCTCTCTTAGTCTTTGATACTTAAATCATTCTCCTAGGAAGAAATATAGATTCATTTTCACCTTGCTATTGATTTGGAAGATCACCCACAAACCTATGCTCTCTAATGCAATTTCTTTAAAAGGAATGTCTTCACTTGTTGAGGGAGAACATTTACCGCTAGATAATCTGCCCACACTAAGAGCCCACAGGTTCAGTAAAGAGTGGATCTGGCCACTAATCCCAGAAATTACTCCCTCATTACTGAGGAAACTTATAAAGAAAATAGAAACAATCTTCAGACAATGCTACCCCAGAGCCAAATGAGGAGTCCATAGAACTTAGATGTTGCCTAAGTAACGTGTCTCAGAATGTGACACATACGTGCTATCTATGAATGTGAATTTTTCACATTTTCACCTGGACGCAAATTTGAAAGTTGAAGTTTAAGATCATTGGTGTCCTTAAAGCAAACTATACCTGGGTGACTGTGGCAGGGATGCCCAGGAGCCCCAGGCAGGCATTAGGGTGGTATAATGACTTGGGGATGAGGAGGAGGTGAGGAGAGCCCTAGTTGGTTTTTCTTAAGTATCGAAAAGAGGACTGGAAAATAGAAAGTGACTGCCTATTTTGAGGTTGGAAATCTTAAATACAGAAAACACAAAGAGTCAAATGCAAGCAAACACTCATTAGACCAGTTCAGAAAAGCTGGAACTGCTTAAATGGAAACACTCACAGCTGAATCAGAAAGGACTGTGAATGTTGATTGGATATTTGATTATATTAAGGAATTATTCATTGATTATACTAAGGAATTATTCATTTTTATCTATGATAATGGCATCATAATTACATTTTCCTAAGTACATTTCATTTAGAGATATTCATAAGAATTTATGAATGAAATGATATGATGTATAAGATTTGATCTTAAATAATCTGGGGGCAGGAGGTTGGCCATTGTTGCTATTATTGAAACTGAGTGATAGGTACATGTGGATTCATTATACTATTCTCTATTTTTGTATGTTTAAAATTTTCCATTAAAAAATACAACTGAGGCAAGTTTTACTTCTACTTTTTAATTTATTGAAGCTGGTCATAGAAAGGTAGGAGAAGGAAGCCAAGGGCAAACTGTGAGACACTTGGAAGACACTCACCAAAGTTCTAATGGCCAGAGCTGAGAAGGGCAAAGCAAAATAGAAAGCGTTTTTGAGGCTGCCCAGCAGGTCTTCAGAACTCTTGGTACAATAGAACAGGAGTTAGGAATAAGTTCAAGGGCAGGCAGAACACAAAAAATAACAGTGGCTTAAAACAGAAAGTGTTTATTCTCTTCTTAAGTTTTGTTTTTAATTGACAAATAATTGTATATATTTGTGGGTACTGCATGATGTTCTGATACATGTATACGTTGTGGAATGATCAAATCAGGCTAATTAACACATTCATCACCTCAAATATTTCTCATTTATTTTTGCTGAGATATAGAATACTTTTTTTAACTTTTATTTTAAGTTCAGGGTTACATGCACAGGTTTGTTATGCAGGTAAACTAGCCTCATGGGGTTTCTTTATCACATTAATGAAGACAGAGGTAAGTGTCCCAGAGCTGTCAGAGTGACTCTGTAGCCCTCAGGGATCCCTGTAGCCTTCAAGAGTGCAGGCCTATTCCAGTTCACTGTTCTCTCAGGCCCCTCATCCCTGTGGCCCAATTGTCTGCACTCCAGGCAGCAGGGGTGCAGGAAGAGAACTAAAAGTAGGCAAGGAGAGAGAACCAGCTGTCCCTTAAGGGAGGTTCCTAGAAGCTGCCATGCTAAGAGCTGAGATAGATGCATGCAGCATCTATACATACATTTTAGAGGCACAACTGAATCTGCCACCTATGAGAAGCAACAGCATTCCACCAAATTCTTAGCCAATATTTGCAGGCTGTCCAAAGACAGTAACCTCTTAAGGGGTAGAAGATTTCGCCATTTTTTCCTGGTTGCTTCCTATGAAAAGAGCAAGGCCTGCACAACAGCCTCTGTCTTACAGAAAGTTCTAAATCCCAATATTAAGGAGAATAAACATTTGGGTCATTACAATAAGCAGCCAGTTTCTTTTTTTTTTCTTTTTTTTTTTTTTTTTTTTTTAGTGTACTGTATTTCTGTCTTTATGTCTTTGGGGAATCACCACATTGGCTTCCACAATGGTTGAACTAATTTACACCCCCATAAATAGTATATAAGTATTCCTTTTTCTTCACAACCTCACCAGCATCTGTTACTTTTTGATGTTTTAGTTATAGCCATTCTGACTGGTGTGAGATGGTATGTCATTGCGGTTTTGATTTGCATTTCTCTAATAATCATTGATGTTGAGCTTATTTTCATATGCTTGTTGGCCACATGTGTTCTTTAGAAAAACTTCTGTTAGTGTCCTTTGCCACTTTTTAATGAGGTTGTTTGGTTTTTTTCTTGTACACTTAAGTTCCTTATAGATGCTGGATATTAGACCTTTGTCACATGCATAGTTTGCAAAATTTTGCTGTCATTCTTTAGGTTGCCTGTTCAATCTGTTGATAGTTTCTTTTGCTGTGCAGAAGTTCTTTAGTTTAATTTGATCCCATTTGTCCATTTTTGCTTTTGCTGCAATTGCCATCTTTGTCATGAACTCTTTGCCCATGCCTATGTCCTGAATGGTGTTGCCTAGGTTGTCTTCCAGGGTTTTTATGGTTTGGGGTTTTACATTTAAATCTTTCATCTATCTTGAGTTGATTTTTGTATGTGGTGTAAGGAATGGGTCTGGTTTCAATCTTCTGCATATGGCTAGCCGGTTATCCCAGCACTATTTATTGAAAAAGGAATCCTTTCTCCATTGCTTGCTTTTGTCAGGTTTGTCAAAGATCAAATAGTTGTGGGTATGTGGTCTTGTTTCTGGGTTTTCTAATCTGTTCCATTGGTCTATATGTCTGTTTTTGTACCAATACCATGCTGTTTTGGTATTGATACAAACTATACTACTGTAGCCTTGTGATGTCTCCAGCTTTGTTCCTTTTGCTTAGCTTTGGCTAAAAAATAGCCTTGGCTATTCAGGTTCTTTTTTGGTTCCATATGAATTTCAAAATAGTTTTGTCTAGTCCTGTGAGGAGTCTCAATGGTAGTTTAATAGGAATAGCATTGAATCTATAAATTGCTTTGGACAGTATGGCCATTTTAACAATATCGATTCTTCCTTTTAATGACCATGGAATGTTTCTCCATTTGTTTGTGTCATCTCTGATTTCTTTGAACAGTGGTTTATAGTTCTTGTAGAGATCTTTCACCTCCCTTAGTTAGCTACATTCCTAGGTATTTTATTCTTTTTGTGGCAATTGTGAATGGGAGTTCATTCCTGATTTGGCTGTCAGCTTGACTCCTGTTGGCATATAAGAATGCTAGTGATTTTTGTACATTTATTTTGTATCCTGAAATTTTGCCCAGTGTTAGGGAAGGGCAATGAGTCCCCTGAAATAAAGTTGTAGAGATCAAAAGAGAATAAAGAGAGGAAAATGGCTATCTCCCTACTCCCAGTGAAGTTGGAAAGAGAAGGGAAATGACAATTCTGGGTCTCTCTAGAAAGGAAGTCAAAGGCAGATTCCAGAACATGCTCAGACCCCAGCCCTTTTGGGGCAGTTGTAATCTCAGAAGTGGCTGACTCAGTAAATCAGAAAAAATACAACCCTAAGAGACCTGAATATTTTGAAAAGGAGCCATCATGAGTGTATAAGGATGACATATTGGAAATCACAGTCTGGGACCATGTAGCTGTGGTGGAGGAAGAGGGGTACCAACTTCAGACTGTATGTGAGAGACGGACCAAACAGCATAAACATGAACACATCCAATGCTTTATAAATTTATTTGCAAGAAAATAAATTCTACAAATAAAAAATCCAAAAGCAACCTTGAAAACAATTTTTGATGAATATGTGTTAGTTAACATGGTTGATAAGAATTCTTATAAATCACAATAGTCCAATTATTGAGATGGGTAAATGACACTTCCCATAAGAATATGAATCACCATTAACAATGCATTTTGGTCAAAGTTCTTTGTCTTTCAAGAAAACTTATGTGGCTGTGTTTCAAAGAAAATAAAAATGAAAAACTTAGTTCTTCCCCAATATCAGTTTGTCTCTCTGAAATTTCATGCTGTATCAACAAAATAACTCACACTGGCTGTTGAATTTTTCTTCCTCCTCAGACATTATCAGGAATTACACAAAACAGCTTGAAATAATGAAAAAGATATTGTCTATCCACAAAACCTAATATCTAGCTTACTTACAATCTAAGATTTCTCTATTTGTTATTTACTATAAGACAAAGGCATAGTATTGTCTCTAATTACCACAGCTGTTTGACTGAGATACAATTATCCGCATCTACAGACTAGAAAACTGAAGCTTACAGTACTTAATAACATCCCTAAAGACCCCAGTTACCTAGCTACAAATTCCACAAAATTTACCCCAAAAATCCGAAAATTGTTTTGCTACAAAGTCTACAAAATCTACTTTAAAAATTTACCAAGTCTTTGCACTATAGCACATTATCTCTTCCTCAATCATGCTGACCTTTCTCAGGCCAAAATTCTCTTTCACCTCTCAGAAAGCTTCTAGGAAGGGCTGACTTTCTCATGGGCAGATGGTCAGGACGTTGCCACTCTCCCCTTCTCCCAAGAGCTCAAGACAGAAGAATGGACACAAAAGCTCCAAAGAGAAGAAACCATCATGTGTATAGATGAGGACATTATTGTCAACATCAAAAAACTGGATTTCTTCTAAGTCAGCATCCAGGAAAATTCCCACACGGCGAAGGCGAGGGCTTGCAGGAATTCTCTCCAGGTGGGTGTTAGCATGGATTGCTCCTGCCTTCATGCTGATCCAGAAGCCATGCTCAGGGAATAAATCATTGCTCTTTCTGTCAGCCGGCTCCTTGCAGACGCCCAGGGACCATGACTTCACCTCTCCCACTTCAACCTCCCAGTAATGTTGGCCGGAGGAGAAGCAGGGAGTACCCAGGACACAGGCCAGCCTGGGATCTTTTGTCAGATCGTGGTGGATCTTCTTACACTGAGCGCTTCTTAGATCATTGGAGAAGACAAGGAGGGAGCTGGCAGTGGCTGCATCCAGGGTCACATCCTCCCGAAAATGCCGGAGCTCCTCCCTCACGTGCAGACTTTGCTCAAGTCGGCTATTGTGCTGCTTGGTCATAAGTGTTAGGACGCTCACTTGCCATTCTTCCAAAGCAGGTACCTTCACCACGTCTCGACACAAGGGGCACATCGCTCTAAAATCATGGTTTTCTAGTATATACCTCTGGATGCAATCAAAGCAGAACACGTGTGTACAAGAGAGAGAAATGGAACAGGAGAAAAAATCCAGGCAAACTGGACAGGACAACTCTGCTTGCAGGCGTTTGGCCATGGTTCTTAAGGGTTACTCCTTAGCCGTGAAGTAAACTGAAGTGATCCTTTATTGGCTTCTGGAAGCACTTGGGAGCCCTCAGTACACAATCCACTCTTCAATAGTCTAAATCCAAGATTAAATAATATAAATTAATAAATAAGTTATTGGCATACATAAATGAATTATATTATTTAATAAATAATAATAAATTTATTAACTAAGAAATTAAGAATAACAAAAAAATAATATTTCTGCAGTTTGTGTATGAAAGTGACACTAAATTGCTAGAGAATCACAGTAATGTAGTCATGGTGATAAAAATGATTTCGAAACTCTTCAAACTCTAGATAATCACAAGACAGAAATAGGACAGTGGAAACTTTCTTTTCAGACAGTGCAGCTTACCTAGTCTGAAGACTTCCAGGTGATGTGTTGGCTGCTCCGGCCAAAGTTTCTCCTAATGGGGGCTGAATTCAAGTGGGTCTTTAACAGAATCTCAGTATAGTCTCCACTCAGTATTTCTTTGTAGATCCTCTGCAGTTCAGGAAAAAGAATGTTCATGTCTAAATTCAATAATGAAAATAAAGCCAATTCTACATTAATCATCACAGAAAAGTGACTCTAAGGAATCCTCAGAATTTCCAGGAAAATTACCACATGTGAGTAAAGCCAGCAAAATCCACTGCAAAATGAGAAGCCCATAAAAGAATCAAGTTTAAGGACAAAGTGTTATTAGATGAAATGCTTTAAAGCACTCTAAGAAAACTAATTAAGGCTTGAATTAATGTGAATAAAAATATAATAGTCATCAACTTCTCCAAAATAATCATGCCTGAATACAAACCAAAAAGATGTTCCAGACAAGGAAGATGCCCTCCTGTTACCCCAACTGCTCCCAAAGCTTGAGAGCCTCTGGTGCTCCCAGAGGACTTCCCACCATGGCTATTATTCTTTGAGTGAGCTGTCTCTGACATGCTGGGCACAGCATATTGGACCAGGCTAGACCCATGACCCAAAGACAGCCTCGCAAAGCTGGACAGCACCTTTGAGATTATGTGAACAGAGGACTGTTCTCCAATAAGAGCCTGCACT
Organism: Homo sapiens; assembly: GCF_000001405.40. Taxonomy (NCBI): domain Eukaryota; kingdom Metazoa; phylum Chordata; class Mammalia; order Primates; family Hominidae; genus Homo; species Homo sapiens. Next base: position 112,348,634 of record NC_000006.12, on the reverse strand, counting down.
GAGCAGTAACTAGCAGAACTCCTTACCAAGAACCCACAAATCACACATTCAGTGGTGACAGTAGTAACAGAATGAGGGACAGAAAGAGGAGCAGCATCAACATTACCAGAGAGAGGAAGTGATGAACACCGATGAGGCCAGCCTAAGACTGAGTTACTAGAACTGTCCTACATCCCAGAACACATTCTCTAATCTCTTTCCAACAAATACTTATTGAGCCCCTTCTGTGCTCTTGGCCTCAACTGGACTCTGGAAACACAAACGTGTGTAATAAACAGGGTATCTGCCCACATAAAACTTTGTCTTCCAAGTCCTGATCAGCATTCCAATCTCATGGTGCCTGGCTGGCGGACAACCAGAGATTACCTCTTTCTTAAATTCTGTTATCTTTTTCAATTTAATGGGAAATTTAACATGGTGCTGGAAATCTAATTGCCTAACCCACCTTGGAATGTATCTAAGAAAACAATTTTACAAAAGAAAAAAAATGCTACACTTATTCACAAGTTGTTCATTTCAGTGTTAACTACCATCCCAAATGATCAGGAACAATCGAATTATCTAACAATAATAAAATGATTCAGCTAATTATGACACAACTACTAAAAGTGGCCAAGTATATTTAAGTGAAAACCCGAAGTGAAGTCTTTTTTTTTTTTTGAGACGGAGTCTTGCTCTGTCGCCCAGGCTGGGGGTGCAGTGGCTCCATCTCGGCTCACTGCAACCTCTGCCTCCCGGGTTCAAGCAATTCTCCTGCCTCGGTCTCCTGAGTAGCTGGGATTACAAGCATGTGCCACCACGTCCGGCTAAGTTTTGTATTTTTAGTAGAGACGGGGTTTCACCATGTTGGACAGGCTGGTCTCTTGACCTCGTGATCCACCCACCTCAGCCTCCCAAAGCGCAGGCGCGAACCATGGCGCCCGGCCGAAAACCCAGAAATCTTTTAAGAAATGTTGGAAAATAAAAAGAAACCATTTTAAAACCATTTAAATCCATTGTAGTTGAAAACACATAAAAATACAAGTTCATGCAAAGAGTGACCTGAGGTTCATATGTAAAAATTTAAATGGCAAAGTTATAGTTAAAGGTGAAGAAAGCTCCCTGGCACAGGAAAAAACTAGTTCTTTCTCCTCTAAAATAAATAGTTAAAGGCATTCGAAAACACCAGTTTGTAGCCAAAGACAGAATAGGACATTGGAAATAGCTTAAACAGAAGGTATAACTTACCTTGACTTGGAGACTTCCAGCAGAATTCTAAAAGATCCGAAGCCTACGTCTCTACCTCTACAGACCTCTGCTCCTCTCGGAGTTTCCGCGGAGAGACACCAGCGTTTTTATACTGCCTGGAAAACATTGTCCAACCAATCAGAGTCAGAGGCTCCGCCCCAAAGGTTGTACCACTCTAATCTGAGTAAACTCATCAACCCACCCTTCCGTTTATGATGATGACATTAAAGCAGGCTTCAAATTATATAGTAAAAAAATTCAAAATTTCTTAATAACTCCCTGAATTAGAGTGAATCTACTGCCATCTGCTCTTGTCTCTAATTTCAGAACTCAACTTTAAAAAGCAAAATGTGTTGGAGATCAAATACAGAAATGCACTGCTGAAACCTAATCACCTCGTGGCTAATGTAATCATTGGTGTTCCTATTCCTGATAGAATCATGAGCGGACAGGATCTACAACAGTTTTCATGTCCTTTGACTCAACAATTCTACTCTTAGGGGTACTTACTGGACAGGATAAGAAAGATGGCAGCTAGGCAAGGCTATTGTCCTGTAATTATTAATAATTCCATTTTTTACTCTCAAAAGTGTTCTTGGATGAACGGTAAATTTTATGGTGTCTGTATCGAGAGCAGAAGGAGCAGTAAAAGTCACAACAGAGGAAAGCTAAGACACAAACTTCCAAAAAAGGATTTGGAGGGTGAATGAAGTCCCATTGTAGAGAGGATCGCTGGAATATACGTTTTCCCCAAGAGAGGCTGCATTCTAAATAACCTCTCCTTTCTCAGGCTTCCTGTTCTGCAAGGCCCAACACACAGCTTACACAGCTTTTACTTCATTTTTACCTGGTGCTATCTCCTTTTCTGTGAGTTAAATACTTGCAGGAGCAGGTCTCAAGCGTTGCTGGGGTTTTTTTTTGTTTTGATTTTTGACACAATCTTGCTCTGTCTCCCAGGTTGGAGTGCAGTGGCTCAGTCTCGGCTCATTGCAACCTCCACCTCCCAGGTTCAAGTGATTCTTGTGCCTCAGCCTCCCTAGTAGCTGGGATTACAGGAGGCCAAGGTGGGCAGATCACATAAGTTTAGGAGCTCAAACTTTTTAAATTGTAATCTCAAGACCCTTTAAACTTGAGATTTTAATCTCAAGAATCCTTACACTCTCTTTTTTAATTATTCAAAAATGTCATTTTATTTTTTCTTTCATTTTATTTTGAAATAATTTTAGACACAGAAAATTTGTAGGAATAGTAAAAAGAGATATATTCTTTACCCAGATTTACTATTTGTTTTTTAATTGTCTGATGTATGTATACACTGTGAACTGATTAAATCAAGCCAATTAACATATCTGTCACTTCACATACTTATCATTTTGTCATGAAAATGTTCAAAATCTACTATCTTAGCAATTTTTAGGTGTGCTATACATTATCATTAGTTATATCCACCATGATGTACAATGGATCTCCAAAGAGTATTCCTTCTATCTACCTGAAAATTTTGTACCTTTTAACCAATATCTCCCCATTTCAGTCTTCTTTTCATCCCAGTGCCTGGTAGCCACCATTCTACTCCATGCTTCCATGAGTTCATTTTTTTTTACTTTTTTCCATTCCACGTATAGGTGAAATCATGCAGCATTTGCCTTTCGGTACCAGCTTATTTCACTCAACATAATGTCCTCCAGGTTCCATGTTGTTGAAAATGATAGAATTTCTTAAGACTCGATAGTATTCCATCATGTACATGTACCATGTTTTCTTTATGTATTCATCTATTGAGGAATATCCTGATTCTTTATGCATTCATCAGTTGATGAATATAAGTTGATTCTCTATCTTGGCTACTGTGAATAATGCTGTTATGAACATAGGAGAGCAGATATCTCTTCAATGTACTGATTTTATTTTCTTTGGATATATATTCAGAAGTAGAATTGCTAGATCACATAGTAGCTCTATTTTTAGTTCTTTGAAGAACCCCCATACTAGTTTTCATAATAGCTGTGCTAATTTACATTCCCACCAATGGTGTACGAGGTTTCTCTTTTCTTCATATCTTTGCCAGCATTTGTTATCTCTTCTCTTTTTTATTTATTTACTTTTTTCTCATGCCTGTAATCCCAGCACTTTGGGAGGCCAAGGCGGGTGAATCGCGAGGTTAGGAGTTCAAGACAAGCCTGGCCAAGATGCTAAAACCCCGTTTCTACTAAAAATAAAAAAATTAGCAAGGCGTGGTGGCGGGCACCTGTAATTCCAGCTACTTGTGAGGCTGAGGCATAGAATTGCTTGAACCTAGGAGGCGGAGATTGCAGTGAGCCGAGGTCGCACCACTGCACTCCAGCCTGGGAGACAGAGCAAGACTCCGTCTCAAAAAAAAAAGAAAGAAAGAAAAAATTATTCTTACAGGTGTAAGGTGATATCATTTGCACTCTTATACATAAATGAGAAATCCAAAAAGCTTTTTGTTCATATGAATTATATTTCTTCATATTTACAATATTAGAAATTCAAACTGAGAATTTTTTAAAGCTCTAATTAATTAAAATAAAACTATTACATGTTAACATAAATAATATAGTTTTATTTAAACAAATAACTATTTTCTAAAACAAAAACAATTACTTAGAAGAGTTCCATTGTCTTGAATGTTTGCAAACCTCTGTAATTTTTGCTTAATAAAAGACATCTGGATTCTTACATCTACTTTTGCTGAACCTGTTGTGATATGTTGCTTTGATTTAAATATGTGAAAAAAAATGTGGCTTCCCACAGATGTTTAGTTGGAAAAGGGAAGATTCTGCAGACTCACTAAAAGTGTCTCAGGGACCTCCAGGACCTCTCTAAACTATTCAAAGATCATTGCCCTACTACAAATTCTATAACTCTAAGTGGCAGCAGCAAATCTTAGTTCCTTGGTAACCAAAAACTCTAATGATGCATCCAGCCATCTTTTCGTCTGGCTTCTGCCATCTCAAAACTAATACATATGATATGGCTAAATATGGAACATTTTCTCTCCTTTTTCCAATAATGATGAGGCTTTTTTCACTTTTCCATTTAATTTATTTAACTGCAGTGATGATTCCAAATCAAGTTTTTCTCTATCACTGAATAACACCTACTAGGCCCTCAACAGATGTTGATAATAACAAAAAACATCATTCCTTACTGACTCTTACATTTTTCAGCCAGCTCTGACTGTGGCTGGACCATACACTGACTTCATGCCTCTAAGCTTTTGTCTGCCAGGAGAAATATTTTTTTTCCCAGAAGTACTCACTTTGATTCCCAGATTCTCCATTATTACAGGAATACTGAATTCAGAGAGAAGCACCATTTTTTTTAATTTTCAAGTGCTGGAAATATTGGAAGCCACTTATCTGTGATATCTTAATACTCTCATGACAACATATCAAAAATGTGCATGAAAATTTTTTTAATTTTTAAAATAATTTTTAATTATCATTAATGCTTCCATGAGTTAAGATTAAATCACAAATTAATTTTGTTTCCATAGCTTCCTGATTAAAAAAGGAATCAACTTTCACACATGCTAATTAGATAAGATGAAGCCACTAGTGGGGAGGAGGGAATAATCAGATCTGTCAGGAATCTAAGATACTTACAAGTGGATGATATGTTTGCTCAAAACACAGTTTGCATTTTTCAAGAGGCAGCAGCTGTAGTGGGGCAGCTTTTCACAATTAGCTTCCATCCCCTGGTGTGGGGCAGGTGCTGGCTTGCAACCTCCTCTTCTCTCCCACCCGTGTCCTCTCCTCTTTTCTGCCTGGTTATACATTAAAAGGGACCCTTCTGTCTATCTTAAAGAAGATAGAGGGCATCTCTCTGAATTATTAATGCCATCAAAGCCTGCTAATGGAGTTCCCTGGCTCTTCTCTTCAAAAGGAGCTGTGTTTTGCAGATCTGGCGAATTTCATGAAGAGGAATATTTTTGGCACTTAGGATATGTAGAGTGCTCCACTTCCACACTTGTTTTAGAGTACAGACTACAGTAAAAACCAGAGATGACATGATTAGACTCCATAGTTACATATTTGATAACATGTAGTTCCTACTATAGTTCTATTAATGAACTCCTTTATTTTTGTTCCTCTAAAATTTTTGTCAAACATGTTAAGAAAAAATTGAATAATGTTCGTGCATTTTATGCACATGGTGTGCTTATAGCTGTATAAGAACCAACAACAGATTTCCACTTCTACAGCATATTATCTGCAAGAATAGTTTGCTCTCACCTGAGTCCCTATGTAAGTTTCAACAACCATAGCCACTGTGGAATAAATGAGTAGTGCTCAGTTACCCCAAGTGTGCGCACCCTTCTTTCACTGATAGGTCCCAGACCCCAAGCAGGGGCCAGAGGGGGACAGTGTGAATCCAAGGGAATTTGAGGAGTTCAAGAATATGGACACACAGGTGACCATGCCACTTGAACTCTTTACTTTTGTGGTTTCTAGAGCCAAATATAAGTGTTTTCAGATTATGCATACATTCTCTCCTCTAGTTTAGGGCTTTCAGAATATTTTTGTGTGAATGAGGAAGTGTGAATCAAAATAAGCTTCCTTTCCACCCAGCTATCTGGCATTCAATGTGTTATCAAATGCACACTATGAATCTCTCAAAATGGCTGGAGCCCCACCCCTACTCCAGGATGCAAGATACATCGAGGCAAGCTGTCTACGGTCAGTCCCACCTGGGAGCATCAGCCCCTGGGGGTTGGGAGCTCTGGACACAAGCAGAGATCCAGCCTCATGGTAACTTCCTCCTCCAACTGATTGATCCTCGTTGGTGGTTGCCCATTAGTCTCCAGATAAGGACCCAAATCCCTAACAGGTATCCTGGCCTTGGCCCTGCTGCTCTCCAGCCTCATCTTCTGAAATCAAGACACAAAGCCTCCTTTCACTACTTTCTGGTGCCCCTCCTAATCCAGGACAGGTGGTTTCTCTCTGATTGGAACCATCCCCAGCCGGCCACCCAACTAACACCTAGTCATCTTTCAGATATATCTGGGGCATTAGTTCCTCAGAAGAGTATTCCCAGAGCCTCCAAACTAGATGAGAAACCCCTGTGATGTCCTCTCCTAGATCCCTCATCCTTCCTCCATGTAAGTTATCAGAATGTTAGTTACTATTTATTCATCACTTGAGTAATCTGTGGCTCCCTCACATTAATACATAACACCTATTGAGCATGTTATATGTGCCAGGTGTTTATTCAAGTACTTCATATGGTTTTTATTATTAAATCCTCTTAGCTCTATGAGGTAGGTGCTATTATCATCTTAATCTCTTGGATAATGAATTTAAGGGTTGCGCCACCCCCAAGCTGTGTGATCTTGATGTGTTACTAACACCTGTCTGGATTGCCTAGCTCTGGCCATCTTTCACATGAGATGGAAATAAACTTCTATCTTGTTTAAACCAGTGTATTTTATAATTTTTCTATTTTGTGCATTCAATCCAATCAAAGTTTAATTAAACCAGATGCTAACCTAATTCCTTTACCTTCATGGAACTATGAATCTATGCTATTTTGACAGTCATAGCAACTCATCAGACTTCATCCATGAACCTGGAAATCCAGAATCACAAATCCCATCTTCATTTTCTACTGTATCTTTTTTTTTTTTTTTTTTTTGACAGGGTCTCTCTCTCTGTTGCCCAGGCTGGAGTGCAGTGGTGCAATCTCAGCTCACTGCAGCCTCGATCACCCGGGCTCAAGAGATCCCCCACCTCAGCCTCCCAAGTAGCTGGGACCACAGTTGTGTGCCACCACACCCAGCTAGTTTTTACTTATTTTCTGTGGAGACAGAGTCTTACCCAGGCTGGTCTCAAACTCCTAGGCTCAAGCAATCCTCTCACCTCAGCTTCTCCAGGTACTGGGATTATAGGCATGAGCCACCATGCCTGGTTCATATCTTATATTTTACTGATAGTTTACATCCTAACTGAAGAGACAGATATGATTCATTAGAACTACCATACTATTATTATTAATTTTTTTTTTGAGACAGAGTCTCACTCTGTCACCCAGGCTGGAGTGCAGTGGCGCAATCTCGGCTCACTGCCACCACTGCCTCTCAGGTTCAAGTGATTCTCCTGCTTCAGCCTCCAAAATAGCTGGGACTACAGGCACGTGCCACCACACCCAGCTAATATCTGTATTTTTAGTAGAGACAGGGTTTCCCCATGTTGGCCGGGCTGGTCTCAAACTCCTGACGTCAAGTAATCTGCCTGCCTTGGCCTCCCAAAGTGCTGGGATTACAGCACGATGAGCCACTGTGCCTGATCTTTTGCTATACTTTTAAATGTCCTTGTCAGTACTTGGCTGTCTGACTAGCTCTTCAGCTTTTAAAAAATTCTATTAGTGGGTTCCCTAGCATGGTATTATTGCAAAACAAGAAAAGATAATAACTAATTAGCAGAGTCAGCACAGTCCTGTGAACTCAGTAGAGAGAGTCAAATCTTTCAATTATGCAGTGAAATCTTTCAATTAACTGTCATCTAAACACAACACATGATCTTAGTAGCATGTTGCCCATTGTCAGGACGTTAGGCAAAATAAACTAATCAAAATAAATATTCTTCTTCAGAAGTTACCAGGAAAGCCAGCAACACCCAAGAGCACATGAACATCTATTGAGCGTCTACTATCTTTGAGGTACTCCGTTAAGTACTAGGATCCCTTCCAGAAAAAAATCATGGAATGGCACAGCCGATGTCCTTTGTGTTATAGCATGATGAAGGGAGATAAGACCAGTACGTGAGAAGGGAAATAATGTTGTGAAGTAGACAAGACTGTCTATAGTATGTTGCAGTGGACTGCTGCTTACATATATACCTTTTTAATCACATCTACATATATATAAAAAAGGAGAATGTATTTTGACTTGTTTCAGACATTCTCTTTCCAGAACCTCCATACAAGTTACGTTTATTTCTTAAAATCATCAAAGACCGGCCGGGCGCGGTGGCTCACGCCTGTAATCCCAGCACTTTGGGAGGCCGAGGCGGGCGGATCACGAGGTCAGGAGATCGAGACCATCCTGGCTGACACGGTGAAACCCCGTCTCTACTAAAAATATAAAAAAAAATTAGCCGGGCGTGGTAACGGGCGCCTGTAGTCCCAGCTACTCGGGAGGCTGAGGCAGGAGAATGGCGTGCACCCGGGAGGCGGAGCTTGCAGTGAGCCGAGATCGCGCCACTGCACTCCAGCCTGGGCGACAGAGCGAGACTCCGTCTCAAAAAAAAAAAAAAAAAAAAAATCATCAAAGACCTTCCAAACCAGTGTTAATGAACCTATCCTACATGAATGGATTCAAGATAATTGCTATAGCTTTACTTTTCTAAACAAGCCTTCCTCCCACCCTAACACAATTCCAATTACCCATTACCATAACCGTCCTACGGGAAGTGACCAACAAGTATTATGCATTGATAATTTGCAATGAGTTTATTTCTTCATGTATTCTTACCACAAATAATACACTACTATACCCCTGTATCCCATGTCCCTACAATATTTGGGGTAATTTCCTAAGTTATAGATATAAAATAGATGAGCAAGCTAAGTATAGTTCCTGAACTTGCAGACTAGTGAGGGTTAGAGACAAGTAAACTAGCAAATGTAACATGTTCTGTAAATGTTATGGTAGGGAAAGCACATCGTGCTATAGAGCAGATGAAAGAGTGCTTTGCACAAGCTTGAAAGGATCAGGATAGGTATTAGGAGAAAATGGAATCAGCTGGGTACGGTGGCTCACGCCTGTAATTCCAGCACTTTGGGAGGCCGAGGCAGGTGGATTGCCTGAGGTCAGGAGTTTGAGACCAGCCTGGCTAACATGTTGAAACCCTGTCTCTACTAAAAATACAAAAATTAAGCAGGCATGGTGGCGCACGCCTGTAGTCCCAGCTACTCAGGAGGCTGAGGCAGAAGAATCGCTTGAACCTGGGAGACGGAGGTTGCAGTGAATCAAGATCAGGCCACTGCACTCAAGACAGAGCAAGACTCTGTCTCAGAAAACAAAAAAGAGAGAGAGAGAGAAAATGGAATCTAGGTGGACTAGGTGGAGGCCTAATGGCTGAGAAGAAGGAGTCAGAGCAAGGGAAGTAAGCCATAGAAGAGTTTTTTGGTTTTTTTAAGCAAGAAAAAACATGGTCAAATGAGCATTCAAGGGATATAATTCAGCTGCAGCATGGGAAATGGATTGCAAAGGAGCAAGGCTGAAGTCAAGGAGATCAGTCAGCAGGCTGTCACAGAGATCCAAGTAAAAGATGATGGTGGCCTGATAGAAGGAAACAGCAGAAGAAACTGGTGAAAAAAAAATTTCAATAGTTTCCCAATATATTTAGGAGCCAGAATCAACAGGACTTAGTCATTCTTTGGAGGAACAAAAAGAAATCAAGAATGAATATGAGATTTCTGGCCTAGACACAGATATGGATGCTGACATCAGTGGGATAAGCAGGAAGAACAATATGTGGGATAAACAAAGCGTGAAATGTTGGTCTTACGGAAGTGCCAGTGAGACATGTCAGTGTCTCTGTAGATGTGAGGGCCTACAGTTCTGAAGGTCAGGCAAGGGATCTAGGCTACCAACAACGACTTGGAAGTGATCAGCACGGAAGTGGAATGGCAACTGGGAACCAGAAAAGTGGTTGAGACGGCCCAGGAAAACTGTGCAGAGTGAGAAAGAAGGGCCTAGAGTCAGAGCCCTGAGAAACAGCAGCATTTAACGCAAGGGGAAAGGCAATCACCAAAAGCCTGTGTCTCAGACACTGAGGAAGGAGAACCCTGCAGTCAACAACCCAAGTTTGGAATTCCAAGACTTCTAGTCAAATGGTGGCAACTCTGAAAATGCCCAGTGGTTCAGCCTAACTGGGCCAGCCTTGGGTGCCAACAGAATGAGTCAGGCCAGGAAAAGCCAAAGCTGGGACTTCCAAGAGACCATGGAATTGGACAGAACTCTGAAATCTAAATGAACAAGAGGTCTGGAAAGATAAATACAATTGAGCACATTAGTCCAAGTAGGAAAGTCTACACAGGCCAAACACTGTAAAACAGAGATCAGAGCAAAGCCCCTAATCCTAAGACACAAATCCAGCCAGGAGGGAAGGCTTGAGAAAATGTGTGTGGGTGTGTGTCTATTGAAATGAATAAATCTCAAGGTAATTAAGTGCTGTACATGATTTGTATACGACATATCTCCTTTCCTCTGAGACCTCTTCCTCTCGGGAAATTCTCTTTTTAAAAATATCTGTTACTGGTGCTGAGTAAGGTCTCCTTTGCTAATGTTTAATAATAAGTATCATACTAGAAATGATTTATTTGCTTATAATAAGAAAGTAATTATATTAAGAAAGTAATTTTAATATTCAGCAAAATGACCCCAGTCGCCTGTACCTTCTATAATAAAAAAAAGTTTAAATATACTTTAAGTCTATTGAGGAATTACTACTAAATTTTGGGGAACATATAATGCAGAAATATAAAAATGATTTAAAATATCCAACACAGTCACCTAATTAAATATGGTCTTTGAGAGTATATGGGGGTACTCATATTAGTCCACCTACGATGCTGAAAAGTCAAACCACCAAGTCCTGGTGTATCCAACATGTGCTTATGAAATGTCCAGAGTGCTTATCTGTAGGTTATCCATAGTGATCTTGTTTTAATAAAATTAATAAAATATGAAGCACAAGGAGGTTCATATAAGTGACAAGTGAAGCATATCATATAAGTGAAAGATTATTTTATGCATTTAAGTAGAGTTTTGAAGTACAGACATTTTTCAGGCTTAAAGAAGCTTAACATTCTTTGGTGCCAAAGTAGCCCAAATAACTGCAGTTGACTGAATCAGCAAAACCAAGTTTATGCAGAAAAAGCATTTCCTAGGAAGACAACCTCTCTCTCTGACTAGGCTGGAAAAACAGCATCCGTGCCCAGAGATTCAACCTCCTCCCAGTCAGTTGCCCATCCAAGGCTGAGACGGTCGGGAATCTCACACTTCTGTGTTGCACACTGCCATCTACTGTGTCTCTGCAGCAAGTGGAGCCCCAGACTTTATTTATGATCCCAGGCCTTGATGGTGGGCAGGAAACCAATCCATGAGTATCACTTTCCTTCCTTTCACTTGTGGGAGGTTTTATGAATATCAGGAAAAGATGCAAATGAGAGATGTGCACGTATGCAGTTCGATTCATGGAGATCCATGGGACGATGGTTTTAGGAATGGTTGGGGGGTGCTAAAATTAGACAAGAAATTTCCTCACTGAGAAAAACCAGTTTATAAAATTTGTAATCAATTTTTTGACATCAGGGAGAACAGACAAAAAGACATCCTGGTTTTTTTACAATCAAACCCCAAAGCATACAACTGTAATTAAGATGTCTAAATTATGTATATGTGGAAGAAAAGAAAGCATTCATGCAGATGTTTCAATTATAAAAGAAATACTTGTATAACATTCTTCTAGTGTAACTAGGCATCAGTTTTTTTAAAGGTCAACAGCCTACATTTGGTCTATATGCTCCTATTTTTAATCCTTATACCTAACTTCCTGCCATTTCTCTGCAACAGTAAGACCAAAGAAAGCAGATTGTGCATAACACTGAACTGTCGCACACAGGCTTGTTAGCTGAGCTCTTTAGCAATTCTGATAGATCAGTGGGGAGGGAGAGATTTTGATAGGATTTCATTATGGATTTAATTCACCAAATCACCCATACTGCTAACTGAATACTGGGTGGGTTTCACTTTAATAGGTATTTATAAGCTGTGCCTAGTACATGGTTGGTACATAGTCCTAGTACCTAATTCTGGTGACCTCTTGTAAGGCCAAGTTTGCTAGGAGTTAGCCAGCTGCCGAAAAGCATTGTGCATTAACAGAGAGTTTAAAACACCCCAGTTCCAAACACATTTGTTCCTAATATGATAAACATGTTCTTGTAAAAATTACTCTAAGGAGAATAACAAGTTGAGATGATCCCTTGAGCAGGGAAGTGAGAATTCAGTCCCTGGAAAACAAAAGCATCTAAAAAGATGTAGGAGTTGTGGCAGCATAGTGGGGAGAAAGCAAGGGCATTGAAAGAAAAGGAAGAAGGAACTCCTGCTTTACTATTTGATTCTGGTTTGTTCTTACCCACTTGTTCCTCAATTTAAAAGCTAAGAAGGCTCCATTACAATTTTTTTAAGTTGACTATGTCAAGGGAAGAATAGTTTTGTTGTTGTTGTTTTTTAGCAGCCAGTTTTACTTAAAGACCTTTGCAAGAATAACTTGCTTTTCAGCCTTCACAGCTCTGCAGATCTTTCAGAGGCAGTCTGAATTCCTTTTCAAGGAAAGTTAACGGTTGCAAAGCCATGGCTGTCCCTTAGGTAAGGGAGAACACAGCAAAAATTCTGCATTTCAGCTGTTCTGATTCATTTCCCCTCCAGACTGATCTGACATTTTAGTACAATCCAGCTCCTGTAGAGTTAGAGGAGGCTTCAGACCTCTAACTGTGACCACCCACAGCTCTCATTACTCAAGGGACTAAACAAAATCACTGATTTTTCTCCTCTTCAAAGTGAGATGGGTTTGTAGAAGAGGAAAGTGTTTTGCTCTTTCTCATACTTCAAAATATTTATTTATCTCATTTTTCTAATTAGTTTCTAGGATGGGCAAGGCCAAGCAAACTGTGATTTGGGCTCTCATTTTAAACTTCCTCTGCTAGCATCATGCTTATACAAGTTCATCCAGAAATTCTCCAAGTCTTCTGTTTTTCCTTCCTTTCTGTATGTGCCTGCCCAAAGAACTCCCCACATCTCCCACCACCTTGGCCATTATCCCAGGCTAAGCCAATATTATCTCTAGCCTAACTGCCACAGCAGCCTCCTAAATGGTGGCTCTGTATCCACTCTGTACCCCTTTCAGCCTCAGACCCTTTACTCTGAGCCCCCTGGTTAAAACTCTTTAGTGGATCCCCATTGTCCCTGAGATAAAGACTGAAATCCTTACACAAGCCTACAAGGCCAGGTTTTGCTCAGTGTCTGGGTGTGTCTATCTCTTTGATCTGGGCTCCCACCACACTCCCCCTTTATTCGCCATACACAATCCTTCCTTCAGTTCTATGACATGCTACACCCTGCCCCACAGTACCTGAGCGTGTTCTGATAAAATACTCTCTTGTCCTGGAGGTCACCTCCCTCCCCTCATCATCTAGTTTATTTCTCCCTAGCCTTTAAACATTACTTCTCCTGAAAGCTTTCTCTGAGCATAAACCTAGATATCTTTCTTTGACAAACTGTCTTCTGGAACTTCACTCTTTCCCTTTGGGGTAATTATTTTGGTATATAATTACTAGTGTGTTTTTATTTTTATCAAATAATCAAATTGTTTAATGTGATCATTGGTTTACAATCTGTCTCCCTTAATAGACTATGAATTACATGAGGGGATAAACAGTTTCTACTCACCGTTATATCCTGAGCACCCAGCCAGGGTCAGCTTCGTGGATGTGTGAGCTACACAGTTACATAGAAGAGCTTAGAAGGGCTGTATGCCTTGTTTAATGCTCTGCTGTCGCCGTCTTAAAATTCTTAATTTTGGAACAAGGAACTCCATATTTTAATTTAGAACTGAGACCTGCAAATTATGTAGTCTATCTTGCAACTAGAATAGGGCTTGACATACTGAAGGTACTCAATAAATATATCTTCAATGAATGATTATCTACAGAATAACTAATACACAGATGACTATGCAGCCAATTTTGCACATGAAATTCACAAATTTGTATCTTTGTGAATTTCATGTGCAAAAGGAAGGCCCTTCAAAATATACCTGTCTCTTACTAACTTACACCTGAAATCCTCATAACACAGTTAAAACATTTTATTAACAATTAGACGGAGGCTAAAACTTCTGATCTCCCTAAGAGAAATAACAAAACAAGTTCACTGAGGTATATAGCTCTGTTATTGTGATTTTCATTAAGACAAGACTTGTGGAGGAAAGAGGAAAAGAATGGTGGCCCAGTCCTATACTGAACATTATCAAAAGGCTGAAAGTGCTGAAGTCAGACCTCATCTACTTTCTGGTGTTACATGGAACCTACTCTATCACTTGTCAAGCATGTACTACCACTAGATTCCTTGATTAGGTCAACGTCAGACATGAATTTTATTAACTCATATAGTGAAATTTGGTTTCCAGGAGGCTTTTCCTAGATGCGTGATCCAAGACAAGTTATTTAACCTCTGAAACTTAGTTTTCTCATCTGTGAATTAGGGAAAATAGAGCCTAATTTATAGTACTGTGAGGATTAGAGATAATATTTGTAAAGCACTTATCATTCTGGCATGTAGTCACAACTCAAATCATCACAATGATAATACTAAAAAGAGGCAGAAGTCACCAGTGGGGTTTATATGTATACCACCATTTGCTTAACATTTACTCAAGAAAAAGTATTTTTCCTTGCTTCATTTACCATTTACTGATTGTACTGAGTAACAAAATTTAGAAGTTATTTAATAGAATTAACCTCTTGATATTTATTTGAAGCTGGCTTTATATTATACAAATAATGTTACTATTAATCCAAGTGGTTTGAAAGTGAGTTAACCCTTTCCCATCCTGTGGAAGTAATCAGACGGACTCAAAGATCTTTATATATATGTGTGTATATATATATGTGTGTGTGTGTATGTGTGTGTGTGTGTATGTGTATATATGTGTATATATATGTGTGTGTGTATATATATATTATATATATATATATTTAGGGTTTCTTTGTTTTTTTGTTTGTTTGTTTGTTTGTTTGAGACAGAAACTCACTCTGTCGCCCAGGCTGGAGTGCAGTGGCACAATCTCAGCTCACTGAAACCTCTGCCTCCTGGGTTCAAGTGATTATCCTGCCTCAGCTTCCTGAGTAACTGGGATTACAGGCACACGCCACCACACCTGGCTAATATTTGTATTTTTGGTAGAGATAGGGTTTCACCATGTTGGTCAGGCTGGCCTCGAACTCCTGACCTAGTGATCCACCCGCCTCAGCCTCCCAAAGTGCTGGGATTACAGGCGTGAGCCACCACTCCTAGCCAAAGCTCTTTATACTTTAAAAATATTTCAAGGATTACTTTTTATCACTGGAAGTAGTGTGTCCATTAAACCTAGACTTTATTTCTACTTACTAATGAGTGACTGTGTTACAATCTTCTCACTAACCTGCAGAGATGAGCAAGGAGCTCTGTTGTCCCAGAATTGAATTATTGACCTAGGATACAGTTGGTCCCAGAGGGAATTGGTGATAAAATGATAAAACTGGGCCAGAGATTGAGCAAGTAGTGAGTGGAGGTACAGAAGCTAATTTCTAAGATCATGGTAGTAGAGATGAAGATATGCTCTTGTATTTTTTCAGTTTGTTACAAAAGAAAAAATAGCAGATATATACATGAGAGAATCTAATTCCTTGTCATTTTTCTCACCATGGTGATTTCATCCCTGGGTTCATAAAGCAATATCGGTAAGAGATTGAAACCAAAGGTCTCCAAACCCTGAAGCTTGTATCAGTCTAATTATGGAAGTATTTAGAGATGTCAGCTTTTGGGATAACCATTCATCATCCTGCCAGCCACCCATTCTGTGCTACAATAATTTTCAAGGCCTTCCTATATACCAAAAACACTGATGGGTGCTAAAGGTATAAAATGAATGTCACTGACTTTGACTCAAGAAATTCACTCTAGACTGGTAACCCAACTAACCCTAATAGAGTAGGTAGTTGCCTGACTCCGGATGTTGGGGGATGAGGAAGATGGACACTTGAATCATGAGGAAAGAGCCTCTAATTGTGCTGGAGTCATGGGTAAGGAATCCTTTGTTTACAACTCCCATGTGGAATATTCCATACACTACATAAGAGTAATTAGCACATGTGTCTTCTATTTCCTGCTGGGTCACATTCTCCTTACAAACCAGGAGGCCACATTCTACTCCTCCATGTCTCGCCTGCATTGCCCCGCACAATGCCCAGCATAGCATCACTAAAATTTCCATTGGAATGACTTCAATTACAGAATGCTTTTGAGAAAAAAAAAAATGAAACTTCAAGTACAAGTGGAACGAAAGAGTAAGCAATGGACAGAGAGGTTAGTCTTTCAAAGATATCAAAGAATTAGGGCCGAATTTTTAGGTTACTGATCTTGCCAAGGAACTGCTGAAGATGAGCCTTTTGCACCCATGTGCTGACTGCCAGATGTTCAAAAATGGTGACCCAACAAAAGAATAAAATGGTCAAATTTGCAATGAGGATTCTTTTTTAAAAAAAAGTAAATTTCCTTCAAACTACTTTTGATATTGTTAAAAGAGGCTCCAAAGACTTACTTTAAAATCATGTTCAAAAACTCCCATATATGAGCAGGTCCAATACCCTGGGCAATCTGACCTATTAAAACACAAAGATTCTCCACTGGCTCATATAACCATGGAACTTTTTTTTCAAATTTATGAATCAAGGCTTTAGTGTGAATAGACAGTGAGGGAATTTTTTCTGAATAGCCTCCCTATAATCATGGTTCATGACATTTTATAATGCAATTATTGTGGGACGTATCATAACATAATTGAGATTCTAGAAATGGGGATGGGAGGGAATAGAAGGGACACAGTTACTCAAGAAAATGCAAATGCCATTTTACTTGCAAATTAAATGTAAAATCTAATGAAGTGGGTGTAGAAATTGATTGAAAAATTAATTGAGAGAAACAAATTTGGAATATGTCTGTAAGGAACATCTGTAAGTAATTCTGCTCTGACACACCTCTTCAGAGAATCAAGTGCTTCCTGTTAGCTAAAACTTGAATGGAAGCCAGGCTAACGATAGATCTTTAGAACGTGTCAAAATAGTCCAATTTATACCCTGAAGCCAATTGGCGAACTCATAGACTTGCCTGGACTTGAACAAGCAACAGGGAATTTTCCAGTGCGAGCTCCAAATCAATATTTAGCCCAGAATTTGTTTGTTTGTTTAACATTTGCCTCCTTTTCTTTCTGTCATTCTCTGTCTCTCATTGATGATAACTTTTAAAAATAAGCTGGACATGTCAAGACATTTTGTCTTTAAATACTTCAGCATGTAGCACCTAAGAAAAAAGGCATTCTCCTTTATAATCACACTATCACAATTAAGAATTAAGCTCCAAGTTTCTACATTCTATTTGCTTGTCATGTCCCTTAAATCTCATTTACTTTAGAACAGCCAGCACAAGCACCACTTTTTTTTTTTTTAAGGTTTCCGGGACACTGACATTGTGATGAGTCCATGTCACTTGACATGTAGAATCCCCTCCCCCCACACCACCACCAATCTGTTTTTGTCTGACTGTGGGTCAGACTTTTGAGAAGTCGATCACACTGGTGTTTTACTATTCATCTGTATCTTTGAATGAGAGATAATTGTTTTTAAAAAAATTAAATGAGTTGGCCTTGTTAGATATTAAAAGTGTCAAAGAGAGGAAGAGGTAAGGAACTGTTGATTTGTTTTAGTGCCAGATTCTTCAGATTAGATTCAGATGGTATATTCATGAGGTGTGTGTGAATCTTGAAATTTCTGAGCATGTTTTTCAATGATTCATCTAGCCTTTGGAGATTTACTCAAAAACTCCCTTTTCTTCCTCCACTGAGAGATTTTTGAACTTGAGAATTTAGAAAGTGATTGTTCATTATCCAAATCCTTTTAGGAGAAAAAAAAAAGAGTGGGTGGCACTCTAAAGGAAGAATTTTAGTTGCTGGGATAAGAGACAAAATTTATGACTTTCCCACTGATTCCTCAGCCAATATTGCCCCTCCCCAGTACCCACTTCTCCAGAGATTAAAACATGCTTGAATTGGAGTAGGCATTTCCTTCCTTCTATTCAGTGCCAGTTCTCAGAGGAAAACATTCATTTTGCTCTTTGATTCCTGTAGCCCAGAGACAGCAATGAAAGGACCTGCTGCTTCCTGGAGTATAAGGATTTCATCTGGGGGGCTGCAGGGCAGGAAAGAGAGTTTAAAGGGTGTGTGCATCAGCGTGGGTGTGAATGATTTCCCCCAGGGCCAGTTAGCTGGCCTGGAGCCCAGAGTATGCCATTCATCCACCTTAAATTGCACCACACAGCAGAGATGGTTGAGGGAGAAGTCACTCAATGGCAGTGCCACTTGCTGCCAGTTTTCATTGTGTCTCTTTGATATGGAATGTCCTAGAAACTGATGCAGTTTTCTACTTCTTCCCAGAGGGGGAGTAAAAGATGCATGGTGTAGTGGGTGAATAAACTGTAAATGAAATAAACCAAAATGAGAATAGTGAAGCCAAGAGTTGAATCTCCTCTCATGGTACTGTGGTCCTACAAATGTAAAGATGCTTGAGTCTTTTGTCGTAAGTCCTATTTCTAAGCAATGAGGAGATGGCAAAAATAAACGATCTCTTGATACAGATATGGAATGTATTCAAATATCTGATGTTCAAAATGTAGACCCAACTTGATCCATTTTGATCTGAGAATGTTTACTTCTACCATTCAGCCTCAGGTTACAAGAAAAATAAACATGAAATCAAGTATGTAAATAAATCTGGCTGTGCTCCTTGCAACTTGAAATCAGTGTCTTTGACTGTTTCTAATTAAGGAAATAAGAGTTGAAAGCACTGGGGTTTTGTGGGGTTTTTGTTGTTGTCATTATTATTTGACACAAAGAGAAAATTTTGATCAGCCCACATGGTGGATTTGTCCAAATGTTGTGGGAAGTCAGGGACCCTGAACAGAGGGACGGGCTGAAGCCATGGCAGAAGAACATAAGTTGTGAAGATTTCATGGACATTTATTAGTTCCCCAAATTAATACTTTTATAATTTCTTACACCTGTCTTTACTGCAATCTCTGAACATAAATTGTGAAGATTTCATGGACATTTTTCACTTCCCCAATCAATTCTCTAATTTCCTATGCCTGTCTTTACTTTAATCTCTTAATCCCATCATCTTCGTAAACTGAGGATGCATGTCACCTCAGGATCCTGTGATGATTGCATTATCTGCACAAATTGCTTGTACAGCATGTGTGTTTGAACAATATGAAATCTGGGCATCCAAAAGGAACAGGATAGCTGTGATTTTCAGGGAACAAGGGAGGTAACCATTGGGCCTGACTGCCTGTGGGGCCAGACAGAACAGAGTCATATTTCTCTTCTTACAAAAGTGAATAGGAGAAATATTGCTGAATTCTTTTTCTCAGCAAGGAACAGCCCTGAGAAAGAGAATGCATTCCCAGGGATAGGTCTCTAAAATGGCCACTCTGGGAGTGTCTGCTTTATGCAGTTGTAGATAAGGAATGAAACACGCCCTAGTCTTCTGCAGCACCCCCAGGCTTGCTAGGATTAGGAAATTCCAGCCTGGTGAATTCTAGTCAGACCGGTTCTCTGCTCTTGAACCTTGTTTCCTGCTAAGATGTTTATCAATGACAATGTGTGCCCAACAGGACATGGACCTTCATTAGCAATTCTAGTTTTGCCCTGACCTTGTGATCTCGCTCTGACCTTCTGCCTTGTGATCTTTTATTGGCCTATGAAGCATGTGATATCTGCGGCCCACACCCTATTCGTACACTCCCTCCCCTTGGAAAATTTCTAATAAAAACTTGCTGCTTTTGCAGCTCAGGGAGCATCACAGAACCTGCCAACATGTGATGTCTTCCCCAGACACCCAGCTTTAAAATTTCTCTCTTTTGTACTCTTTCCCTTTATTTATCAGACCGGCCAACACTTAGAGAAAATAGAAAAGAACCTATGTTGAAATATCGGGGGCTGGTCCCCCGATATCCAAACCTACAGTGGCCAACTGTCCCAATTCACCTGGGACTAAAGAGTTTCCCAAGACAAGGGACTTTCAGTGCTGAAACCAGGATGGATATGGAAAAACTACCGCAATTGGTCACCCTAGCAAGCCTAAAATGTGCCCTTTGCTTAAAACATGAATCCATTGCCTAGTTGTTATAATTGCAAACTTACCTCAGAATTAGTGAAATGGAAGAGATGTATTATTTATTGGACTTATGCTGCAGAAAGCGCTGTATAAATATGAATGTCCATGAATGCAGATGACAGGATTTAACATGATGTGCTTGTGGAAAAGACTAATACCCATGTCCTTTCCAAGAGCTGTTTTGTGATGTTTCCTTCTAAGAAAAGTTAAAACAGATTTGTTTCTTCTTGACTTCTTCCTTTATGCTGAGAGCAATAACCATCCCAAAGTCTATAACCCCATTGGGTCAGGCTTTCTAATGAATGACCACAGAAAAATCAGCAGACACAGAAAGGAAGTTTCCTCTAGTGAAATTTTCTGCCAGTAAAATATTGATCTCTTTTGTCCTTGGGTCCCACAGGGAATTTTTGATAACTATTCTACAGTAAAGAACTTCCTGTTCACAAAACATATACTCCATTAACCTAATTAGAATAAGAATCTGCACTTCAACCAGAGCTTAGTATCCATTGTGAGGCTGGGTCCCTGAGGAAAATGTTCAATAGGAATTGGAAATATTGACAGCTATTCAATAATTTATATGAGAGCCAAACAAGTCATAGAGGAAAATATCAAAGCAAAACTACTTATCGCCTGTTAATAAGGATATACTGTGTCTTCTTCATTAAAAGTTTAAATAGGACTTCTGCTTCTTGCAGAAATTACTAAGTACCCCAATTAGTCTTCATCTAGAGCTCACATAGTATATGATACTTTACTTGTAAGGAAAATTTATTAAACAATTTGAGAAGCAGAAGAGAACCAAAATTTATTAGCATGAGCCATTAAGGTCTAAGAGTCAATGGAAAAGGAAGTGACAATAAAATTTGAAGCTAAACATGATTGGAAGTGGTAGTAGAACAACAGGTACTTATCCAAAAGTAGTTTGAATCTGGGGACTACAAAGACACTGGTTGCCTAGTGGTTTGAGTGCAAGGAATGAGGACAAAGAGATTAGATCACAAGGGTAATGAGAAAACATACTACTGTGATATAGAGTAATGGCAAGGATGGGCTGTGAAATCCACCGGCCCTGGATTTGAATCCTGGCTCCATTCCACACAACCTGACCTTGGGTGAGTTACTTAACAATGTAAGCTACTGTTTCCACTTATTAAAATGAGGATAAGCTGGGCACCATAGCTTGAACCTGTAATCCCTCTACTCAAGACGCTGAGACAGGAGCACTGCTTGAGCCCAGGCATTCCAGATTGCAGTAAGCTATGATCACACCACTGCGCTCCAGCCTGGGAGACAGAGCAAGACCCTGTCTCAAATAAAATAAAATAAAATAAAATAAAATATAAAATAGGAATGCTATGTGGTTGTAGCAGATGAAAGTGCTGTTTGTGTATTAAGTTAAAATGGGTAAATATTAGCAATTTCATATACCTCAACCTAAAGGGCACCTACCCCTAAGGTTGTTACAAGGATTCAGTGAAATAAGGGAACCAGTTCACCTAGGAATTAAGAACATAGTCTCTGGGCTGCTGTCCACCTGGCAAGGGAGTCCCATCTGTCCAGATTGTCCCAGATCTTGCTGCCCGCCCAGTGGCCGAAGTCCTTCAGGTCTGGAGGTCGTGGTGTCACAGTCTCCATGACATGTTGATGCTGGCTGAGCAGCAGCAGAAGCAGAAGTGGGCTGTGAATACTCAAAACACTGCCTGGAGTAATGCTGATTCTAAATTTGGCCAGAGGATACTAGAGAAGATGGAATGGTCTAAAGGAAGGGGTTTAGGGGTTCAGGAGCAAGGAGGCCCAGATGATATTAAAGTTCAAGTTAAAAATAACGACCTGGGACTTCAAGCTACAATCAATAATGAAGCCAACTGGATTGCCCATCAAGATGATTTTAACTGGCTTCTGGCGGAACTGAACACTTGTCAGAGGCAGGAAACAGCAGACTCCTTAGACAACAAGAAAAAGAAATATTTTAGTCTTGAAGAAATTCCAAAATCTTCAAAAACTGTGTTCATCATAGGAAATTTACAAAAGAAAAGGATCTATCATCTCGGAGCAAAACAGATCGTGACTGCATTTTTGGGAAAAAACAGAGTAAGAAGACTCCCGAGGGTAATTCCAGTCCCTCCACTCCAGACAGAACAAAACCACGATGACAACCCATGCCTTCACCATCCAGGAGCGTTTTGCCAAGCGAATGGCAGCACTGAAGAACAAGCCCCAGGTTGCAGCTCCAGGGCCTGACATTTCCAAGACCCAAGTGGAATGCAAAAGGGGGAAGAAAAGAAACAAAGAGGCAACAGGTAAAAATGGGGAGAGTTACCCCCCAACACAGCCTAAGGCCAAGCGGCCTAAAGAGGGAAAGCCTAAGAGAGACAAGGTCCAGAAGTCGGCATCCAAGGAGAAAAGAGCACGGACAGACGGACAGTGCAGAGGCCTCTGCTGGGAAGAGAGTTCTGAGGCCTCTGCTCAGGGTGCAGGGAATTGTGTGCAGCCACCTGATGGCCAGGATTTCACCCTGAAGCCCAAAAAGACAAGAGGAAAAAAAAAAGCTGCAAAGCCAGTAGAGGTAGCAATGGACACTACGCTGAAAGAAACACCAATGAAAAATAAGAAAAAGAAGAAAGGTTCCAAATGAATTCTCTCCAGCCAGGGCCTTCCGACCACTCAGCTTGTCAGGGCGCTGCTGGGGCAGACACCTCTGGCCTGAAGTCAGAGCAGAGTTCACCCCAGAGAGCCGGGGCACATCTTGTGACATGCCTGTGGGTGGCCGAGTCTCGCCCTCTCACCACATTTCTCCCCAAGTTATGTTCCCAGGAGGGCTTTTTTTAAATGTTCTAAATCATGGCTTTCATAAACAAATACATTTTTGTAAACTCTGAAAAAAAAAATAGTCTCTGGAGCCATGCAGCTTTCTTTTTAATGCTGACTCCACCAGCATCTAGTTATGTGATGCTGGGCAAATTACTTACTCTCCCTCCGCCTCCCTTTCCTCTTGCCTATAATAAGGTTATTAACAGCACCTGTTTTGTTGGCTTGTTGTGTTGGGATCAGTGGTTTGCAGACAATAACCAAGCAATAAATGTTAACAATATTAAACATCTTTGAGTACTAAGGCAGTCGGTCTAAAGTGAGCCTGGAAATAATTGATAAGCAATACAGTGTTCTATTGGCTCTTGTATATAGTTTTGTCTTTATGTACATAGCTAATTATTAGGTTGGTTCAAAAGTAATTGCAGTTTTGCCATTAAGTGATGGCAAAAACTGTAATTACTTTTGCACCAAACTAATATCTACCTATCTAATTATCTAAGTGATAATTTAATCATGACATTTGATTATATAGGTAAATAATATTGTGTGCATTTATATATATACACATATACACATATATGGTATATATATGCAGATAAATTTACATCTCCTTATTGGTGTTACATCAAAAGTTATGCCATCTAATAGTATAGTTGACTTATGAAGTTTAATCTTTCATTTCACACTGATACATAAAATTATAATTGATGTTCAGATTCAAAAAATTAGAAAGCCAAAATATTATTTAGTGAGTAAAAAAAATTTACTAAGCAATAGCTTAACATTCTGCAGGATTAATGACCTTCAGAAGACTCTGTAAACTTCCGATCAAAATAGTTAAATAGAGATTTGGGGGGAAAAGTGCAACAGAAATCTGAAATATTGACATAGGTTTTTTATTTTTTAGGATAACCAAATAAGAAATAGCAAAAATATCAAGTCAAAATTGTAAGATTTTTAAAATTCATGTATCATAATTTTATGAGAATTTTAATGGTCATTTGCTGTAATTTATGATGGGCTCCACACTTAAGTTTGAAATCAACCTTATTTGGTTCAGGTATACTTTATTATCATATTTATATTTAGAAGCCAGAAAATCCCTGGTAATTGTATTAATTTATCAGAAATAAAGGCTGAACTTACCTATTTTTAATCTAATCATGACTTGCTTTAATTGTATAATCCAGGTATATATAATTATATACTATATATTATATATTGTATATAATTATATATTATTATATATTATAATTGTATAATGCAGGTGCTTTTGAGATTCTTTGTGGTGTTGAATTTTCATTTTAGTTGTAGTAACGTTATTAAAAAATCTCCAGTAGTCATCAAAACTGGATGTCCTGTTATTTTAAGTCTTAGATGCTCTAAAATCCCTCAAAATGTCCCTCAATAACTAAAAATTCTAATTGGCTCTTTCATGACAAATTCAGAAAAGCACCTTTCTTTTATTTTTCCAAGAGTTCCTATAATATTTACAGTTGGAAAAGCCTAAAGCATGATGGAATATCGGCGTGCTGTTATTGTAAAACTGCAAATTGGAAACCTGATCTTTCATTTCTGAATGCTGCTTTATATAATTATCTCATAATGATTAAGTTTTCTTTCTGAAAAAAAGAAGAACACATTAAGTGCTGTTCCTGCATTATCTGATTTAATCATCCTCTTAACAATGTGAAATATTATCAAATCCATTTTAAAAGATGATGAAACTGGGGTACAGAGGAGTTTACTAAGAACCTATGGAAGCACAGATAGTAAGAGATGAGCTGGGCCAGGCATGGTGGCTCATACCTGTAATCCCAGCACTGTGGGAGGCCAAGGCAGGCGTATCACCTAAGGTCAGGAATTCGAGACCAGCCTGGCCAACATGGTAAAACCCCATCTCTACTAAAAATTAAAAAAAAAAAAAGAAAAATAGCCAGGTGTGGTGGCACATGCCTGTAGTCCCAGCTACTCGGGAAGCTGAGGCAGGAAAATCGCTTGAACCCAGGAGGCAGAGGTTGCAGTGAACCGAGATCGCGCCACTACACCCCAGCCTGGGCGACAGAGTGAGGCTCCATTTCAAAAAAAAAAAAAAAAATTATCCAGGCATGGTGGTGCATGCTTGTATCCCCAGCTACTTAAGAGGCTGAGATGGGAGGATCACTTGAGCCCTGGAGGTCAAGGCTGCAATGAGCTGTGATCAGGCCACTTCTCTCCAGCCTGGGCAAAACAGAGCAAGATCTTGTCTCAAAAAAAGAAAGGAAAAAAAGGAGACAATCTGACTCAAAAACCTTCACTCATAATGACCACCCAATCCAGCCTTCGGTGAACTTTTCCATAATGGCAGAGGAAGGGGAGCCTGCGTGCAAGAGAAGCACAACCCGGTTGGGATGGAGACTACCAAAAGAAGTACATAATGTCAGAAAAAGGAAGCAACACCATGTTTTAAAGAAGAGGGATTGGTCACCTTAGCCAAGTGCCACACACAGACCCATGAAGGCATGGACCACAAAAGGCCAATCACATCTTGATGAAAAGGGAATTTTGGTGACCTTAGTGAAAGCAGTTAAGGAATGGTGGAGTCAAAAGCCAGACACCTGTATGAGGTAAGAAAGCAGAGTCAGGGGTACAGTCCACTCCTTTGGAAATTTTGAGTTCTCAAAAAGAGGAGAGAGACTTGATGGTGGCTAGAAGGACAAATAGCACCAAAGCCAGTTTCCCTTTTTAGGAACCTGTGGAGGAGAGGGTGGAGGCACACAAGACAGGGACAATGACTATAGGAATGAGATGTCAGAGTTCAGAGTGACCTGAGGATTCATGATTTAGGTCAGTGGCCTAGAGGACTTCGACCTGAAAAAGGAGCAAGCCCTCCTCTGAGACAGGAAGACAGATCATGGGAACCCACGTGAATGTGAAGAAGGACAGCAGGTAGGTACCAGCTGTTGGCTGATAGAGGGCTTACCTGGGACCTAACTGTCCTCACTAAAGGAACAGCAAGATCATCTGCTAAGACTGAGAAAGAGGGCACTAAAAGGGGGCAGAAGTGTGGTGAGCATTGGAAATCTCTGAGGGAACTGGAGAGTTCAACAACTTACGAACAAGTGAAAGCATTGACAGGAACTGCTAAGGACTCTGTGAAGGCTCGAGGCTCGCAGTCAGTTGTTTAGCATTCCCTATTCTGTCAGGAGATGTGTCTTTTCATCCAGAGTGATTACTCTCCTGAGCAGGAAAGCAGAGCAGGCAGATAGAGCCAGCGTTCAGTTTTGCTTGTGAAAGCAGTGAAACGATGTAGTAATCAAGATGCAAGGTGACTGGCAAGAATTATTGCAGGCCAGAAATAAACTGAGGCTCTTGCACCAGTGTTGGTGAGGTTTTTCTCCCTGTTCCATATTTTCCAACACCCCTATTCAAGACCAAGTTGAGCCAAAAGTTAAATCATACGCCCAGGATATTTCCTAGAGAGTTCAAGTATTTCACAGTGTGGGAGCTTGACCTACAAACATTGCTCCTGGTGTGTAAGGAAATGAGCTTTTAAATCAGATCCTTACAGCAAAACATTAGAAACCAAGAAATATGCATTAACCCCTACACATCCCATGGAGAAAATGGATGGGCATACTCTGAATTCAAAACAGTGTTTGTGGTATGGCCCTGAGATGGAATTTTTCCCCGACTGTCACAGACAAGAATGTGGCCAGTTTTGACAATCTCTCCAAAGAAACAAAGTTCTTCCTTGGTTCACAAATCATGACAGAAATGTCATAACTTCCTTATGACATCTAAAATCCTAAAAAGAATTTTAGAGTTGGAAGAGAGAGCTAAGATCAGGTAGGTCACATCTTTAATTTGTAGAGGAGGAAACTCTCTAGAAACTCCAGTCCAAGGGGGTAAAGAATTTTCAGCAACATTCAGAACAAGAATCTAATTCTGCTCTTGTATCCTGCTATCTCTCATATTAGAATGTAATCTTTTTGTTTCCTTTCTCTAAAATTGTTTATGTGAGTCTTATTCCTTAAACACTTAAAAATGTGCATTTTAAAGAATTTTAGAAGCTAGCCAGAGACATCATTCAAGAAGTATTTTCTGGCAAGGATAAGTTGGGCTAAGTAAGAGATTGCAATTTTTGCAGATTTAATATAGCTAAAAACAGGGATTTGCAAAAAGGCAGTATATTATGGACTAAAACCCTTACTCTAAAACTTACTACCTGAGTGCCTAAATTATTAAGTTAACATCTCTATATGTCTATTTTCATTTTCACAAAATAGGTAGAGTAATACTATTTTAGTACTATTTTATACGGTTTTTACAAAAATTATAAGCAACGTCCTTAACAGAGACGATGAAATGAAAGAATATTTTCAAAACAGCTATTGTTGTTGCTACTCTTGCCAAAAAATGTTTGCTTAAGTTTTCTGTGATAACAGAGTAATCAAATAGTAATGACTTCCCAGTTCAAAAGATTCCATGGGGCTGAGAGTCAGCTTCCTCTGAATCAGCAGGGAAAACTTCACCTCTGAGCACATATTCTTTACATTTAAGACTCAAGGACATCAAGTTCCTAACATCTCCGAACATCAAGGTTTAAACTTTAGCCATCAGATGGTGGTGAGGGCCCCCTAAATGTGCCTGTCTCTCCTCCATCAGTCTCCCAATCTGGAGTGTGAGATGTCCCCACCCCGTGCCCCATGTCAGCGCACACAGCTTGCCTCTTTCACAGCACCCAGCACCGTTGATTCTTTTTTATTTTTATGGTACATGGTAGGTGTATATATGTATGGGGTACATGAGATATTTTGATACAGGCATATGATGCAATAATCACATCAGGGTAAAGAGGGTATCCATAACCTCAAGGATTTATCATTTCTTTGTATTATAAACATTCAATTATACTCTTTCAGTTATTTTAAAGTGTATGATAAATTACATTTACTGTAGTCACCCTGTTTTTCTACCTAATGCTAGATCTTATTCATTCTATCTAACTACATTTTTCTCCCCATTAACCGTCCCCATTTTCCCCCACTCCCCACTACCCTTTCCAGCCTCTAGTAGCCATCATTCTACCATCTTCATGTATTCATTTGTTTTAATTTTTAGCTTCCACAAATAAGTGAGAACGTGCAAAGTTTGTCTTTCTGTGTCTGGCTTATTTTACTTAAAATAATGACCTCCAGTTCCATCCATGTTTTTGCAAATGACAGGATCTCATTCTTTTTTACGGCTGAATAGTACTCCATTGTATATATGTACCACATGTTCTTATTCATTTGTCTGTTGATGGGCACTCAGATTAATTCCAAATCTTAGCTGTAGTGAATAGTGCTGCAACAAACATGGGAGTGCAGATAGCTCTTCGATTTACTGATTTCTTTTCTTTTGGGTATATACCTAGCAGTGGGATTGCAGGGTCACATGGTAATTCTATTTTTAGTTTTTTAAGGAACCTCTATACTGTTCTCCATAGTGGCTGTACTAATTTGCATTCCCACCAGCAGTACATAGGGGCACTGTTGATTCTTATCTATCTTCTTCAATGCATCATGAACACTTCAAGAGCAAAAAATTAATCTTACTCCTATTAATAATCCCAGTCACTAAACAGATAATAAATACTTGTTAAGCAGTAAGTAAATAAGACCAAGTTTCTGCTCTACCCTTACAATGAACTTCAACCCAGCTTTAGTTTAGCTAAGGGGCACTTCAGCTGATTAAACCTGGTGTCTTCACTTAGCGAATGAGGCTGACTATTGTTCTCTCTGCTTCTTTTCCATCCAACAAGTCTTGATTCCTACCTAGTACTTTGAGTTTTCCTATCCAATGAGGAGAAGCTTTGACTACAAAGAAAATTATAAAAGAACTATGTTGCCTGGGTCATATCCCAGGAAAATATAGTTGTTTATAATATAATAGAATAGCGTTGAAGAAACTCAAATTCCTCAATATGCCCAAAGTAAGTTACTGGGTCAGTGTGTAAAATCTGGTTCAGGATAAATTAGCCAGAAACAATGCAGTTTCAACTCATAAATGAGTGCGTACACTTAGGGAGGCCTTCAAAGGTATCAATATGTCAAGGTTATGCTCTGCAAAT
Source organism: Homo sapiens (assembly GCF_000001405.40). NCBI lineage: Eukaryota > Metazoa > Chordata > Mammalia > Primates > Hominidae > Homo > Homo sapiens. The sequence continues at coordinate 112,319,482 of NC_000006.12, read as the reverse complement.
ATAGAAAGATGACAGGACACTGGCCTCACTAGTGAACAGCTAGCCAGATAATAAAAGATGAAAAGTAAAGTGTTACTCTTTCGGGCGGCAGAAAACAAAAAGAAAGGCATCCTCTACCACATAAATTGTCCTGTTGTCAGAAGTATTAAAAAGAGGAGAGGCAGGAATCAGTGGACTGTGAACTGTGCCAGTTCGACCCACAAATTGCACCTTTGTCTGCCAGAAGTGTGTGCCTTTGCAATTTAGCCCTTTTCAGTTTTCCTATTTGGACCAAGTTTCACTCACACACTCTCAGCTGGTGGTGGAGGAGTAGAGATGGCACAATGGATGACAGCCTCGGGCATGTGATACAGCTGGATAAGTCCAAGCAAACTGATCCCTTTACTAAAGAAGACCTGGAGTGACAGTGGATTCCAATGAGACCCCTACACACACTACAGGTTGTAAGGTGGAGGAGCCTGCTCACTGTCTCATAGCAACTTGTCTAGGTCATTTTCCCCTAATCTACCTAATCTTGTCACAATCCCAATTTTATATTTATTTTACATTAAACTTTTTTAAAAATCATTTTTGATAGTGTAGACCATCACTACTTCTCAAAGGATGATTCTGGAGGCCTTCTAGCATCTCCAAATTCTGGAACGCAGTTACTACAAAAAATTATTTTCCCTCTCTTTCTTCAATGAAAGGCTAACTGGATACTTGTACACCAGTTTTAAATGTAATTGATAGGTGGCCAATTACGTGCACTCATGCGAGAAGAAATTCTCTCACAAATGTGTTTTTGTCAAAGCCTGTGAAATTCAAACTGAGTACAAATTTATACTTGCCATGGGCCCTTGAAGATAACTTGTGAATACTGAAAACCTCCACATTCAGCCTACCCGGCTCTGAGTAATACTCACTCAAATCAGAGTGGCCATCTTTGTGTCCCAGTTTATCAGGTAAATATTCGTATTTCTGCTCACCTTGTGCTCTGAGTTCATTTACTTATTCATTATTCTATAAAACCCTTGCTGAGCCCTGACTGTGTCAAGCCCACGAGATTCAAAATTAAATAAAACACAACTCCTTATCCTTGAAGACTATGCAATGCACTGAGAGAAGATAAATAAAAATATATTACAGTCCAGTGAACTAATTGCTATGGACAGAATTGTTTTGCTTTGTTTTTTAAGATAACGTTTTTTTAAGTTAGGAGCCTACAAACAACATAAATCCTAAGAGCAAAATTCTGGACATAGAGCAGATTTATTCCCTCAGAAACTATAGTAAACTATTTTAGAAAAATTGAGAATTAAAAATGATTTACCGGGCTGGGTGCAGTGTCTCACGCCTGTAATCCCAGCACTTTGGGAGGCCGAGGTGGGCGGATCACGAGGTTAGGAGATGGAGACCATCCTGGCTAACGCAGTGAAACCCCGACTCTACTAAAAATACAAACAATTAGCTGGGCGTGGTGGCGGGCGCCTATAGTCCCAGCTACTGGGGAGGCTGAGGCAGGAGAATGGCGTGAACCCAGGAGGCAGAACTTGCAGTAAGCCAAGATGGCGCCACTGCACTCCAGCCTCAAAAAAAAAAAAAAAAAAAAAAAAGATTTACCTTGATTAAATTTGCTACTGACTGAACAAATCTCATCAGATAACTAAGTGAACCAAGCATGCTATCAAGTAGCAAAGCCAAAACTTGAACCTAGCAGAGGCATCTCCCCTGCCATAACCATGAGCTCTAGGAAAGGAAGAAAGACAATTTCCCTTGTATCCTATGTTAAAAGAAAAATTTTTGACAAATTAAATTTAACGGAGTTTATTTGAGCCAAGAACAATTCATGAATGGGACAGCACTGAGAACCAGAAGAGAGGTTCAAAGAACTCTGCCTGGCAGTGTAAGCAGTAAGCTGTTGTTTGTTTGTTTGTTTGTTTGTTTGACAGAGTCTTGCTCTGTTGCGCAGTCTGGAGTGCGGTGGCATGATCCTAGCTCACTGAAGTTTTGAATTCCTGGGCTCAAGCAATCCTTCCACCTCAACCTGCCTTATTTGGACATTGTGTGATGAGACATTTGGCTTATTTGGGCATGATGTGATGAGTTGGCTACTGTGATTGGCTAAAACCTGGGGTTCCTGTGATTGGCTAAAATTCCGTCATTTTTTATACTCTTATGTTAGGTTTTAGCTTGTTTATTTATTCAGTTTATGGTTTGCTATGTAGGAACTCAAAGTATGGAGTCAGCCTCAGGCTAATGGCCTCCTGCTTACTTAACTTAATACCTCCCTTGCCCTCACTAGGCAACCCATGGGTTGGTGAAGACACTGATCTCTTCATTATAAATCGAAAGTGTCCAAATGACACTAGAATCTCTACACTAAAGACAGCTCCCCAGAAAAAAAGTCAAACGGCCGGGTGCGGTGGTTCACGCCTGTAATCCCAGCACTTTGGGAGGCAGAGGCGGGTGGATCACAAGGTCAGAAGACCAAGACAATCCTGGCTAACACGGTGAAACCCCGACTCTACTAAAAATACAAACAATTAGCCAGGCATGGTGGCGGGCGCCTGCAGTCCCAGCTACTCGGGAGGCTGAGGCAGGAGAATGGCGTGAAACGGGAAGTTGGAGCTTGCAGTGAGCCGAGATCGCACCACTGCTCTCCAGCCTGGGCGACAGAGTGAGACTCTGTCTCAAAATAAATAAATAAATAAATAAATAAAAGTCAAGCAAGAGCATTCAATATCAATTGTATGGATGGCCATTCACAAATATTCCAGAGCAAGAGTTGTTTACAGAACCTTGCCACAAAGCCTCCTGTGTGAACTCAGAACATAACATAAACTTCCCGTTTATCAGATCATCTAGCTGTGACCATTAATAATTCTAATATCACACTGCGTTTTGAGGTCTAACAGCCTGTTTTATTTTTCATTTTAGAATGGGAATTCTTCAACTTTCTCATGATAAGAACTTCCAGGTGCTTCCAGATGCAGTAGGTAGATCATTTTATAGGGTAAGTGGAAACCATCAGGAATGGTGTCCATATACAGAGTTTCAAAGCATCTTACATGGGATACAAATCCATACCACTGAAGAAGCATGGTAAGCCTTGCATTAATTTTAAAATGAACATGGTATGAAAGTTACATTTTGAAAGAAACACACAGAATAAAATGAGGTAAGAATCAGGGGTTCTGGAGTCAGGTATAACTGAATTCAATTGAGAGTAGCCCTCTTAGTAGCATATAAACTTCAGTGAGTTATTTATTTTATCTGAGGCACCAATTTTTCTCTGCAAAATGTGAGAAAAAAAATACCTATCCTATCCTATCCTGAAGAGGCCCCACAAAGTTAAATGAATTGTTTATGTAACATGCATGGCATGTTACACTCAGTAACAGTGCCTTGGTTGCAAGGGCAGAAGAGATCATTTGTAGGATTTTTGCAATATTCGCTCCATTTGTAATGATTAGCTCTAAAAGAAGGGATGTTTTTCTAGACTCATGTCCCAAAGGGCATATTTTAATATTGGGTGTGGGATGGGGAGACAGGTTGAAGTCTGTAAAAAAAACTCTTCGCAGCATGGCATATGACTTTATGTCTGGCAGCTGATGTATCCCGAGGAAGATTTGTAACCTTGAACCAAGGATAAAAACCTGCAATACTGACATAAGCAATGTTCAGATGGAAAATAATTGTTCCATTCTTTGCCTTTCTAAACAACCCATTACTCATTCTTTCAACAAGACCTAACACAATTTTGTCTGTCTCTCCTAGGTTCTATTCTTTGTTGAATGAGAGAGAGCATATATACTTTATTCATAGCATAGCTTGATATAAACACGTCTTTGCAAGATAGTGCTATCATCTGGATTGTTACTAGGATACAAGTGTTCCATCACATTCTTGGGGAAAAAAAAGAAAACTTGTACCCAGTGGACATATTCCAGCAAGCATAGTGAGCATGATCCACCATTTTGGGCTCAAGAAAAAGGACTCCATGCAGGTTAATCAGAACTTTTTATGAAAACTATTCAAAAGAAGTTGAATATACTCCTGAAACATTTACAAAAGAAAAAAGTGGGACCTAAAACTGGCCACATACTTTTTAATTATTAAAGTTGAACATTATATTGTATGTGCATTTATGTCTTTTCTGTGATTTGTATGTTCATGACATTTGCCGATTTTTCTATTACAGTGTTTATCCTTTTCTGTATTATTCAGAGTTTTTAATGTTAGAAATAGTGATATGGCTGCCAAACACATAGTAAATATGTTCTAAGTTTGGGGAAATGCAACGTAGTCAAATCTGTCTTTTCTTTTGTTATCCCTTTCATTGAAACATCTCTCTTTTCCTTAAAACCTTATATTACAACTCTTCTTAATGACATCTAATGCTGCAGAAAGGTCTAGGAAGATGACCAAAAAGCAGCTACCTGATTAAACAATTAGAATGTCTTTGAGCACTTTTAGAAGAAATTTCTTGTACTTGTGAGCTTTGACCCCAGATTGCAAGAGTATAAGCAATAAGCGCAGACCAATAGTTCACAAGCTTTTGTGTGAAGGGAAATTGGCAGCATCATAGGCTACAGGTGGGGGTAAAAGTTAAGGTGAAGGTACTGACTTTGATCTTGAACTCTGGCAGATCAGATATGCCTTCAGAGAGATGATGTTTCTTCCTCATGGTGGTAGTGACCATCTTTGGTTACAACCTCTATCCTCAGAAAGGAACTCTATGACCCTTTTGGGCCTCAGAATGTGATACCCCAAAGACTGGTGCTTTGGCCTGCTGGGAGGCCTTAAAAGCTGCCTCAGAATCAAGGTCCATTCAACCTTGTCTTTTCCTCACCCTACAAGTCAATGAGGGACTCTTTCTGAAATTTTCTTGTCTGACCAAGAAAGCTTCTTTCCAAAAGAAATGCAATTGTCTCAAGACTCATTCCCTAGAGATCTCATCAAATAACCTGGAAAGATCAACTACTGGAGGACAGAGAAGACTGGGAGTCATCACCATACCCAGACAGACTTCATCAATTCATCTGAAGGCAGCTTCAAGAGATTACCTAAGAGGCTGTTTCTGTGGACCATTGTCTGAGCACTGGGCCTTTTGTTTCCCCTGAAAATCACTTACTCCGATACATCTTACTTCCCTCTCCCTTATGAAGAGGGCACTTAAGCCTAAACCATCTGGTCCCTCCTTGAGTTCATATTTTATATGACTCCCATACACATGTGTGCACATAATAGGACTATAATAAACTTGTTATGCTTTTCTTTGATTAACCTGTTTTTTGTTGTTATGGGGTGTCAGTCATGACCCTTTATGATAAGGAGGAAAGAGATCATATCCTCTCCACCCCTACAACCCTATATTAGGTGGTATCTCAAGGGGGAAAATACATTCTGGATCATCATCATCATCACCACCATGGTAATAAATTAGTTTGAAAACTTTGAAGCATTTCTTCATACTATTTTTAACCTCAAGTGTCAAAATGAGACAAGTAGAGGGGTATTATTATCTCCATCTTACAAAAGAAGAAAATTAATTTCAGAGAGCTTAATTGACTAAACCCAGTATGGTATCCCAGAGTGAAATTCTAGACTATATTCTTATCATCAGAAACATACAGTTGGGATAAGCTGAAGGAACAATTAAGAGTACTCAAGAGAATATACACAAATTAAATACTAATAAGATTAATACATAAATACAATAAAATACTATAATGCATCATACTAATAATAAACGCCAAACAGGTAACTGAGAAAGGATTATACCAATGTTGGCTGGATTATTAAAGAAGATTTGATGGAAATATTTGTATTTCAAATGGGAGTTGGATATTGGCAGGTAGAGAGAAAGAAAACATTTCAGACAGAAGAGGATGAGAAAGTACTGAGGTAGGAGTGCCAGCCTGGTATGGGCAGGAAGGAGGCCGACCTGATTGGAATAAGCATTGTTAGGAGCAGGGTATTAGGCTAGATAAATCAAATCAGGATTTGAAGGGCCTAGAATATCAGGGTGAAATTTTTCAAACTGAACCTTTGAGCAATGGAGATGCATTGCAGTTATTTTACAAGGGAGAGGGAAATGATTAAAGAGTGTTCTTTAAAAAAAGGGGTATGATGAGTACATGCTGAACAGATAGAAGGAAAAGATGCCAGAAAAAATAGTTAAAATGAGAAAACAGCCATCCAGATGTGAAGTGACGAGGCCTTTATGATGGTAGTGGGGATAAAAAAAAAGAGACAATAAAAGAAGTAAATTTCAAATCAGAAATGCTGAAAATCTTGTTCCCAAGTGTTGAGCACCAGGAAGTGGAGATACTCTGATGCCAGGAAAAGAAGATGGGCAAAGAGAGAGTTTTGCTTAGGAAGGGAAATGACCAAGACAACTGTGGGGACATATAGTATTTGGAAAAAAAGTTGGAAAAAAGGGCTAGATAAAATACATCTATATATGCTTATATATTATATTTATGTATATATTTTCTATATATTACACACACATATGTATACTTGTATATATACGTATATATGTATATATACACGTATATATGTATATATACACGTATATATTTATATATACACGTATATATGTATATATACACGTATATGTATATATGTATATATGTATGTGTATGTATATATGTATATATATGTATGTGTATATATATGTATATATATGTTACCACTGTGCTCAAGTAGCAGGCACCCAATAAATGTTTGTTTCCTGCCTAGTCTCCAAGACAACACAGCTTAAGAGGTTACTAATTTAGACATTATAACTAGGATTGTGACAATAGATGAGTCCACAGATGCAACAAATGTAAAAATAACAACAATGACAACAACAAAATTAGAGGTCCTAGAAGTAAGATTCAAGGAGCATTCACAGTTAGTGGATGAGAGAATGTAACAAGGGCAATTAAGGAGCAGGGGAGAGTCAGTTTCCTCTGACTCTCCGAAAACTGTACAATTACCTTCTAAAGCATCAGGTTTAAACCTCCATATTCACTGTTAAGGGGGTGAACAGTAAAATTAATCGAGAAAGCCGAGTTATTCTGCCAAGGAGACCCATTTGAAAGTGAAATAGAGGTCAAAACCCTACTCTAACATGGAAATTGGAAACCGCCAGATTTTTCAATGCTCTGATATAGTTCAAAAAGGGCAGAATTGATGGATTATTAACTATGCCAACTGGCATCGTGGAATTTATGTTTTCTTTGTTATGTAAAATGTACAATCATAACAGAAACATCAAAAACCTGAGAAGGTTCAAGGAAGGGCATAAAACAAATGTAATTCAAATTTTACTGTAATAAATAAAACTAACAGCAGAGGGCTCCCCTCAACGCCTGGCAAATTCTCAAAGCAGAGAAACTACAAATGGGGCACGTTTCTGGTAACCTCTGGTTCCATTCGAAATTTTCTATACATAAGAGAAAAAAAAAACAACTATCCATTAGTAAATAAATTACAAATACAATATTTAGACCTGCAGGTGCTAAAATTCCTTTTTCTCTTTAATTTTGTTTTCCTCACTGTGCTTTTTGCTAATCAGAAACTATTGAAGTTATTAATGCAATAATTCAGAAGGTTCTGGATGTAAAATGCCCAAAGACAGTAGAGGGATTTCTATAGCCTCTCTAAAGTATTTCAGATTATCCACCTGATTACATAAACAACATTTCCAGAAAATTGCCATTTTTTTAACCTATAATCCTGGTATCCAAATGTAGACATTACAAACGCAAGGGAGCTGTACTCAACAGCTAGGAATCTTTAATAATTTGAGGCCTTGAGGAGAACTGACATCTGGTGAAACACCAAAATGGTTTCAAAATAAATCAAAATACTATTTATACTTTTAAAAGATATTTTGAAAGTATTTTGAGTTATTTACAGAAAACAGTACTCTATATAGTAGACTCTGTGTAGGTCATCCATGTTTTCAACCAGCTATTTTTTTATTTATTATGGAAATATGAGTTAAAGTAGCCTTTGCCTCAAAGTGTTGTCATTCATTTTGCACTTTGTCCATAGAAAATGCAATGATTTTTTTCAAAGGCCAGTTTTGTTGTAGGTCAATCAAGCACTCATTTGAATGCTGATTTATTTTTATGGAGATGCATATTTTTGATGGCTTCTTTGGATTCATCACAAGGTATATCACTAACTACACTAGGAGTCAGCAAATTATAACATAGTGGGGGCCAAACCCAGCCACTGCCTGTTTTTGTACGGCCTGAAAGCTGAGAATTATTTTTACATTTTTAAATGACTGCAAAAATCAAAAGAATTCTAACATTTTATAACACATAAAATTATATAAAATTCCAAGTTCAGTATTCATAAAGTTTCAAATTTCATCAATAAAAATTTTGTGGAAATCTGTTTTCTTCTCCTATTATGTAAGTACTTACATGATACTCTCAATTTTGCCTCTTGGCCCACAAAGCTTAATTTTTTTTTTTTCCATTTGACTTAATACAGAAAAAGTTTGCCAAACTCCGAACTATGCAAAATGCCAAAACCATTATTCAATGCTCCTTGGGTTATTTAAAATAATGCAAGATTTGCCCCTTTAACACTATAACCTAATCATCTGCAGCACTGGTTCCCAAAATAATCTGTACTTTGGAATTACTGGGTAGCTTCAAAAATTATTGATGTTTGTGTCCTTGCCTGAGATTGTGACTTAATTGGCCTGGGGAATAACCTGAACTTTTAAAAGATCCCCAAGTGATTCTACTGTGAAGTTTGGAAACCACTGATTTAGTGCTTTGGCAAGTTCAATCCTCCCAGCTTTATCTGGGCGCTCCCTTCTACTGGCAGCCCTTTTTGCTCTTCCTCCAGCACATGGCCCTCTGCAGCTAGCCCCAATTCCCCCAGATCACTTAGGCCTTTCATTCCCACCACCAGAGCTAAGTGACCTTCTCACCAACTCCACTGAGAAGATCAAGGCCAACCCATCCCCAAGTTTTCTTGTTTTACTTCCTGAATGAAATTCTTCCCTCAAGTCCATTCTCTCCTCTCCAGTCCTTCTAGAGGGAATACACCATAGTGGCTAAAAAGGAGTCTTCAATCAGGCAGACATGAATTTAAATCCCTATTCCCATAATCCCAGCACTTCGAGAGGTCAAGGCAGATGAATTGCTTGAACCCAGGAGTTCAAGACCATCCTGGGCAACACGGGGAGACCCCATCTTTACAAAAAATTAAAAATAAAAAAATTAGCCAGGCATGGTGGCATGGTGGTGCCCACTCATAGTCCCAATTACTCAGGAGGGCAGATAGCTTGAGCCCAGGATCATACCACTGTATTGCAGCCTGGGTAAGAGAGCAAGAACTTGTCTCTAAAAAATTGCAATAATAACAATAATAATAATAATAACCCTATAGGGATTTTTGTGAAAATTAAATGCTACTCACAGTGTATTAAATTAAATGTTACTTACTGCTACTTACAGTGTTGTCCTTGGACTAACATCTTCAGCATCACCTGGGCACTTGCTAGAAATTCAGAATCTCAGGTCTCACTCAGACCTTCTGAATCAGAATCTTCATTTTAATGAGATCCAATAGTGATTTGTGTGCACATGAAGGTTTGAGATTCGTGGTGCTAGGAAGCTTTTTATTTCTCTTCACAGTCCACATCCAGGCTGTTTCATCCTAGCCCTTCGACAGTTCCCAATACACATGATATTGATGATGCCCTAGAGTGTGGCTTTTACGTAGAAAAGGAGATTTGCTTGAGTTTAAAAAAAAATTAATGTCAGCTATGTATAGGACAACTTGAAATGAGAAGAGACTGGGGTGGGATCGAGGTGGTTAGGAAATACAGTGTCACCTTCGTGCAACTTAGGAAAAGACACTCCCTCTGAGCCTACAGGACCCCATGCACACCTGGTGAACTAAGACAGCCCTTGGGCAATTGAGAAAATGGTGCCCCTCTGGGTTGACACCACCCTGTTTCAGAGCAGGTGGCTTGCCAAATGCAGCAGGGCCTCAGCCAGTTGTCCTCAGGCAGTGTGTGGCAACCATGCAGAAGGAGGATTGGATGGGATCCTGAACTAGGGCGTGGAAGATTGGAATGAAAAGCAAGGATGGATTCTAGAAAATGCTGAAATGGTGGAGGGCAATGGGGGAAAGACAGGGAGGAATGTGGACCTGGGGTTATTAAGGAAGACTTCTGGGAAGAGGCAAGATTTGACACAAATTCCAAGAGTTTGTAAAATTGAGGTGTAGGATCAAATATTCAAGATGCTATGAACAGGATGAGGTTATGAGAGTGAAGACATTTAGAGAACGTCAGCGGTAAAGCACCATATGGCAGAAAGAACAGTGGACTATAATCAGGGAGGTGGTATTAAAGAGTCTCAATTCATTCAGCTATAAATACAAATTTTATTTTCTTCCAATAACTGTCCCCAATAATCCCAGATCAAATCCTCCCTAACAACACCTGAGCCCTATTCCATGTTTTCTTAGTCTCTTTGTTTCATTTAGATTGCATGTTGTATCTCATTCAAAACTTCCTTTCCCTTTCCCTAGCCAGGGGTGTAGTCTTTATCACATGCTTTCCCTTTCCTCCCTCTTCCCTGAGCTATTCCTTGAGTATTGGGGCAGGACAGTGAGGTTGCAGACCTCTCCTGCACAGCCCCCTCTGCTTGTCTGTGGCTCCACCATGCTTCACCTTCTCCAACATGCTCCCTCCATGAAGCAGCTCTTGACACTGGAAGCTCCTTGAGAAATTTGGCCACATCTCTGGCTGACCCCAGCTGACATTATTGCATCACATTTCTTTGTCCCTCACTGGGGAATTGCTCTAGAGATAATTGCCCCTGTTATAGGAAAACCTCTGGCATGTTAAAATTTTAAAGAGTTTATTAGAGCACATGGCAATTCATGAATCAGGCAGCTCCAAACCAGAGGTAATTCAGAGCTTTGACAAAGAGACATGAGGGGACGTTTTTATGAGGTGAATCAAAGAAATTGTTTGATTGGTTGAAGTTTGAGCAACTGCCTTATTTGAACTAGCCCAGTGGGAAGTTTAAGACAATACAGCTAATGCCCATTTGGCTGCCTGTGATTGAATGAACTTAAGTTTTATTTTCTTTTAAATTCTGAGTTAGATTTAGGTTTGCTTACATAGGAACCCAGGGCATTAGAGTCACCTCAGTCTAATGACCCCCATTTAATTATTTAACACTGCAACCTCATCTATACCCTGTGGCCAGTTCCTAAGTCTGCAAGGAAGAGCCATGTCAGTATCTCTTGAAAAGGGGCCTATGTTAATGGGGGCGGGGAAGGGGGGGCAGTGAGAAATCCTGGTGACCTCTCCACCTGATAGTCCTTTTCCCAACATGCAAGTTGGTGACCCTGTGTTTCCTCACCACCTCGATCCTACCCCAGTCTCTCCTGATTTCAAGTTATCCTATAAGTAGCTGCCATTAACTTTTTTTAAACTCAAGGTCACACATACGTGCCCATGTGTGAACGCACACATACACACACACACACCCTAGCAGTTCAAAGGCAGGCCACCAGCTCTGCTAACTAAGCAGGCACTCAACCATGGAATGAAGTGTCTGCCTGCCCTTTTTGGCCACCCCCACATTTATGAATGATTCTCTTGGACTTCCCCTTCTTGCCTCTAACAGAGGAGATGAAGAGGGGAAATGAACACTTTTCTTCCCCCAGATGACTCTCTTCTCAGTTTTCTAAGGTCAGCAGGGATCAAGCGACAGTGAAGCAGTGTGTTCAAGCCTGTTGGAATAATGCCTCTCAGAAAACCCTGCAAGGAGCTAGTGGGCCCCAGTAGCTGCAGTTATTGGGGCTTAGAATTTGGGGCATATTCTCTACTTTTAGCCTTACTGACAATCCGAGGACACCAGGGAAAACCCTGGTGTCACAGTTTTACAAGATTAAGAAATTAATTCTAAAGGAGGGGAAGATGTTTCCCTAAGTTTACATATTAAATAAGAGATAGGATTTAAATACCAATATCATCCTCCTTTCACTGGTTCTTGATAAGTCAATTTACCTATACACAACCTGAAAGCTTTTGAACTAGATTACTCCAGGAAAATGAAAGGGAACAGCCACATTTCATAAGCACAGCCATCAGTCTATCCCAGTGAATACCCCTACATGCTTTTTACAAATTGTTATCATTAGCCATACTGAATGCTGAACCAAACTCACTCATCAGTTACAAGCATCTCAATGTGTCACATTAGTTTAAGAGAAAAATTAAAATCCAATCCCTATTATTCAATGTACCTATTACCCCACAGACTTTGACTTGGTGAATACTTGGGCAAATACTAAAAGGCATGAACACAACCAGTTGGTGAACAAGGAAGGACTTCCCCTTAGGAACACTGCTTCACCTACATCAAGATACTCCAACCTATAGCCAGGGACAGCTACACCTGATCCAGCTTCCTATACCTTCAGAGAGGTTAAGCTGGAGATCATCTTAACTAAACATTTATTTTTAAGTTAGGTCAGGTCTATACAAGCAAAGGGAGAGAGAATGTGCTACCATCCACTAAAGCATTTGGTTCCTCTCCAAGGAACAAACTAAGATCATTTGCGATGTGAGTGAGAGGTAGGACACTGCATATTTACTTAAATTTTTAAGATACTGAATATTTATCGCCATCTTTTTGTTTTACTGGGGATTAAAAGGCTTGCCTGTATGGAGACACTACTCTGAGAAAGCTGGTGCAGGGCTGTGCCTGGGAGGTCCATAAATACCACTGGATCATTCAAAGTGCTTAAAGGCAATTCAAGTCAAATGTTACTCAGCGAACACGTACACTATTTATTTACCGAGCACCTGCTCTGTGCCCAGCACAGTGAGGGGTTGTACTTCATTTCTCAACATATTTTCTCTGTGAGCCAAAGAGATATTTTCTTTCCTTTTGTTCTAAAGGCACAACGGAAAGATATGGTGATCTGACCAAATTCTTACTGTCTTTTCCATCCTTGTTGTTTACTGATCCTAGGTTCAAGGCACATGCTGCCTAGGTTCAAGGTCTCCAGTTCTTTCCAGATGAAAAAGCTGCTTTTCCTTTCTTGATATAATTCATTTTGAGTTGGCATCACTTGGGAAATTCTTGCTTGCTTCACTTAACTGAGTTCTTAGTCCAGTCCTAAAACCAGATTTTTTAAAAAGAAAGGAAAGAAGGATGGATGGAAGAGAGGAAGGAAGAGAAAGAGGAAGAGGAGAAGAGATGGAGGGAGGGAGGAGGAAAAAAAGGCTAAGGTTAATTCTAGTCCCTAGGTTTACTGTCTCAACCCATAGCTTTTTGAAGGGGAATTAACATGCCTGCCATTCACTAGATGCTCAATATTGTAGGGGAAAGAGCGCCAGAGAAGTATTCAAGCACTACTGTTAAAAAGCTGTTAATAACTCTCTCGTTGTGGTTAGATGGTGTATTTCCCTCATTTATATGTGTATTCTCCTCGTCTTGAGCAGATATGATCAGTAAATATTTAATGAATGAGTGAAAGAATAAATAAATGACCAAAAGCAACCTGATTGTTTAAGTGCCTGCCTGTGGGAACTAATGATCTATAACACCTGGTGGAAGGAAACAAAGACGCCAAGAAAAATCTCTGAGACAGGCCGGTTGCGGTGGCTCACACCTATAATCCCATCACTGGGAGGCCGAAGAGGGCAGATCAAGAGCTCAGGAGATCGAGACCATCCTGGCCAACATGGTAAAACTCTGTCTTACTAAAAATACAAAAAAATTAGCCGGGCATGGTGGCAGGCGCCTGTAGTCCCAGCTACTGGGGAGGCTGAAGCAGGAGAATCACTTGAACTCGGAAGGTGGAAGTTGCAGTGAGCTGAGATCGTGCCACTGCACTCCAGCCTGGGTGACAGAGTGAGACTCCGTCTCAAAAAAGAAAAGGCTGCAGAGGGGTGCTGCTAACCCAGATTCCATGTTATTGGCCAAGGGGTAACCTGTAGGTGCAGAACATTTAAAACATGTAGCAGAAACAACAGAAGCTGCTATAGTTGGAAGATCTTTCTTAGGGCATGGAATAATGGAAATTTAACCAGCTTTCTTTGTAAAAATAGCTCAATCTTGTTTTTACAAAGAACCAAGCTATCAATTATCTTATTAGAAGAAAAATTTTATAACAATGCAGGATATAGAAAAGAGAAGCAAGAAGTGGGAACAGAGAAAGGAAGAGAGAGGAAGAGAAAGAGAGAGACTAGTTTCTTCCTTTAGTCAACCTGGGAGTACAGTAATGAAATAAAGAGTATGCCTCTGCTTGACAGATGGCATTATGCTCCAACTAATGCCATGTATGAAACATCAATTTTCTGCTAATGCCACTGAGAAAAGATGAAGAACTTCCAATGGATCAAGGCACCTTAGTTAGTGATGATCAGGAGTGCACAGACTTCTTGCCAAGTTTATATCAGAAATGGAAAAAGAATGAAGTGCAACAACAAAATTTATATTCTCCCTTAGTCCATAGCTGAAACAAGCTTCAGTGTTGGAGATTAATGTAATATCATTCCCTCAAGTGTTTTGTTTTCTAATGTGCTTGCCTGCTCCAGGAGAACTGATGTTTAGTAGAAAATGCAGCTGCATATAATCCATCGAGTGGGTGTTGTTATGATGTCTGTGTTTTTCTTTAAAATACTTCAGCATACCAGAATATGTAAGAAACTCAAACAAACCAGCAAGAAATAAAAACAAACAACCATTAAAAAGTGGGTAAAGGACATGAACAGACACTTCTCAAAAGAAGACATACACACAGCCAACAAACATATGACAAAACTCTCAACATCTCTAATCATCAGAGAGATGAAAATCAAAATCACAATGAGATACCATCTCACAACAGTCAGAATGGCTATTATTAAAAAGTCAAAAATAACAGATTTTGGTGAGGTTGCAGAGAAAAAGAGAACACTTATACACTGTTGGTGGTAATGCAAATTAATTCAGCCCTTGAGGAAAGCAGTTTAGAGATCATCAAACAACTAAAAACAGAACTACCATTTAACCCAGCAATACCATTTCTGGGTATATACTCAAAGGAAAATAAATCGGTCTACCAAAAGGACACCTGCACTAGTATGTTTATCAGAGTACTATTCACAACAGCTAAGACATGGAATTAGCTCAAGTGCCCATCAGTGGTGGGCTGGATAAAGAACATGTGGTACATATACACCATGGAATACTGTACAGCCATAAAAAAAAGAATGAAATAATGTCTTTTGCAACAACATGGATGCAGCTGGAGGCTGTTATTCTAAGCGAATTAACACAGAAACAGGAAACCAAATATCGCATGTTCTTATAAGTGGGAGCTAAATCTTGGGTTCACATGGACATAACCATTGGCACAACAGACACTGGGGACTACTAGACTGGGGAGGGAAGAGGAGGGGCAAGGGCTGAAAAACTTCCTATTGGGTATTATATTCACCATCTGGGTGATGAGATCAGCAGACACCCAACTCTCAGCATCACACAATATACCCTTGTGACAAACCTGCACATGTACCCCCTGAATCTTAAATTTAAAAGGAAATTTTTAAAAATACAATAAAAACAACATCACAATGAGATATTACTTCACACCCACTAGGATGGCTATAATAAAAAACACAAATAATAATGTTAAAAGAAAACCTTCAGCCAAATTAAATTTAAAGGAGTTTAACTGAGCAATGAACAATTCGCGAATCAGGCAGCCCCCAGAATCACAGCAGATTCAGAGACTGCAGCACAGTCAAGTGGTGGAATGAGATTTATAGACAAACAAAAAGGAAATGAGGTACAGAAATTGGAAGTGAAGTACAGAACAGCTGGATTGGTTACAGGTTGGCATTTGCCTTATTTGAACACAGTTTGAACACTCAGCAGTGTATGAATGGTTGAAGTACGGCCACTGGGATTGGCCAAGACCTAGCTATTATTACAGGCTCACACTCTTAAGTTAGATTTTCAGTCTTGTCTAACTATTAAGTTAGGTTCCTGTTCATCCACAAGGACTCAAATATGGAAGTACGGATTCCTTCTCAGGCCATGTTTAGTTTGCTTTAACAATAACAAGGCTGGTGAAGATGTGGGGAAACTGGAACCATCCTACATCGTTGATGGAATGTAAAAATGGTGCAGTCACTTAGGAAAACAGGTTGGCAGTTTCTTAAAATGCTTAAACTTCACTTTAACATTGGTCCAACTCCTAGCTATCTACCCTAAATGAATGAAAACATATGTTCACTCAAGGACCTATATATATATAAGACATATATATATATATATATATATATATATATGTTCATAGCAGCATTATTTGTAATAGTCAAAAAGGGGAAACAACTATATATATGTTCATTCACTATGTATATATATATATATATGTTCATAGTGAATGAATGACAAAATTCAGTGTGTATATGCAATGAAATACTATTCAGCAACCAAAAAGGGTGAACTACTGATACATGTTACAATGTGGCTGAACCTCAAAAGATTATGCTAAATGAAATAAGCCAGATACAAAATCCACACATTATATAATTCAACTTACATGAAATATTCAGAAAATCCAAACCTATAGAAATAGATAATAGATTAGTGGTTGCCTGGAACTGGAGATGGAATTCGAAATTGGCTGCAAATGGGCAAGAGGAATCTTTCTGAGTGACAAAAATATTATAAAATTGGATTGCTGTGATGGGTGCACAACCCTATACATTTTCTAAAATTACTAAATTGTACACTTACAATAGATAAAGTTTATATTAAAGGAAAGTAAATTGCATCCCAACAAAACTGTCTTACAAAAAAAAAAAAAAAAAAACCCTCAGCACAAACAGCATGTATTGGTTTAAGTACAGCCTTAGGTATTATCTGTTATCTGAAGCAGAAATTTCTGCCCTCGGGTTGCTTAGTTAGCTAGTCAGCAGTTAGTTGGGAAGTCTGCACTCCAGAGGCTAGCACAAGTCTTCTTGCACGGAGGCTTAGGAAATTATCATAAAGAATATCAGAAATAGGCTCTCAATGATGAATTAATGACATGCTAGATATACAGATGAGCCAAGGAAATGGTTTCAAGATACTCCTCACACTAGAATAAGAACCTGATAAGGCCTGTGGCCTGTGCCCTTGTGACCTGAATCCTGTTGAAAGGTCATAAAACTTCTGTTTCTCTGATGTCAACTCTCAGGATAAAACGATTCTGCTTTTGGGAAATCAGTGTGTCTGCCTCAAGTAAATCAACCTTCCATGTAACAAGTGGATGAATCACCTAAAGAAAAGACCTAGGAACTCCTGAGACTTACAGTAGGTGGCATGTAAGGTAGAAGATATGTAGGATGGGCAAGTCTAGTGATTCCATGTACAATGTGAGGACTACAGTTAATAAAATTATATTAGGGAATTCTGTTTGGTAGATTTTTAGCTGCTTTTGTCACAAGAAAGTAGTAATGTGAGAGGAATATGTTTTGATTTGCTTCACTACAGTAACCATTTTACTATCTATTTGTATCCCATAACATCATGTGATAAACCTCAAATATACACAATAAGATTTATTTAAAGAAAAAAACAATAGGTGGCATGAACCGGCCTGGCCTCACTTTGTAATCAATGGTAACAAATGTCTCCACTCAGAATTGTGACTCGGAATTGTGAGACTCTATTTCATCAGCACATGATGTTAAGGTGGTGAGAGAAGAACTAAACTTCACTCACATCGAACTTGTTGGAACCTCCTATTTTCTGCCAAATATAACTGAAGAGGTGAGCATTTCTAAAATGGCATGGATCAATTTGCTATCCATAATTAAGTTTAATAGGAAGAGCTGCTACTCTCTAATTTGCCTTTCAAGTGTTGAAAAGTGCAGCTCAGAAAAGACTCCCTTGAGTAGCAGCCCCTCGTGCCTGGATATTGACTGACAATTCTAGCTGCTGATGCCAGGGACTATCCTTGTTTGTGACTTTGGTCTAATCCTTGTAATCTCTGAAACAGGCTGCCCCATGCCACACTGGCCAATTGTTTCTCATCTCTGAATGCTGATTTCAACAGTCTGACATTTTCTTTGGTTTCCTGTTCCACATGGTCTATGTGCCCAACATGTCTGTATATCAATATGTCTAAGATATTAATGTAGATTGGTATGATGAAGAACATTGGTATACATTTTAGACAGAAGATATTTCAATAAAGTGAGCATTGACTTCCAAAAATGTCAAACATGCAATCCACAATTCACCATTAAGCTATAATAAATACAAGCCATAGTTGTAGCTGTGTTTAGTAAATACATTTTCAGCTGAGACTGAATGGTAACTTTGGCACAGAAATAACTTAGACAAAGACTATTTGATTCAATGTTTAGAAGACTTGGTGATAGCAAATTGGCTCATCACAACTGATATTTTAAAGCATATTTCCTTAGAGGTTTCAAAATATTTTATCAAGAGTTTTCATCTCTTAATTTTTAAAGCATTACTGTGCTTATTTAGCAGATGAGTAAACTGAAGTATAAAAATTCTTATGTCTAGTCCTGCAGTAGGATATACAAGTACAAAGACTAGATGAAAACAGTGCCTCTTTGGGCATATATTTTAAAAAATCCAAACAATACAGGAAGATATCTGAAAAAATTAAGTAATGCTAAAAGGAATATAAAGAAAAATAGCACTATATCTGCCCCACCCTTATCCTGCCCTGCTTTCCAATGGCACCAGTTTTTATTCTTTTAACTATTTTTTCTAATATTCACCTTCACATTTTTAAACATTCTACACATGCTGCTATTCATTGTTTATAAAGTTTACACTGTACTCTATTGATTTCCTATGTGAAAGTTGGAGATTCTACTGACTTTTGAGCCCATTGACAAGATCAAATTTACACAAAGAACTCAGAATACGAAGAGGAAAGAAAATTTCAGGAGCATTCTTTGGAGAAATTGGTGCTGTGACTACTAGCCCCCTTTTCACCTCAAGGACAGGAATGCTATGTCAGTTTCAACTTGCTTTGCCTCAAGTCTAAAAACAGTAGGCTCCAAAGTGACCATCAGAGGGATCCACAGGACCCTGCAGCGGGAACACAATAGACATGTGCTGCACTTCTGGAAATCCAGAAGGAGAGAGAGAGGTCAGCAGGCGGCTTTCATGGCAGAACAGGCAGAAAGTTGAGGCTCTGTGGGAAGAAACTGGCTCCCCTCTGACAGATGATCACAGGTCTGTGAAATTCAAGGACCAGATGTAGTAGGTATGGTGGGCATACCCAAAGATGACCTCCAATGAGTCATGATTCTTCTGTACAATCCCCTCCTGTTTAATGTAGGCAGAGCCTGTATCTTGCTTCTGGTCAATAGCATATGACAAAGGTAGTTGGATGTCACTCCCTTGATTATGTTACATGGTGTGGAAAAGGAACGGGATGTCTCTACCTTGGTTAGGCAAAGGTGATAGGATAGTCACTCCCATCATTACATTACATCCATATAGGTAAACCAGTTAGATTATCTTTCTGTCTTTGCAAGACATCTGATCAAAGGACCTAAGAGAGGAAGCTAAGAGAGCAAAGAACTGCAAGTGGCCTCCAGGAGCTGAGAGAAGACCCCAGCTGACAACCAGCAAGAAAACAAGGACCTCAGTCCTACAACTGCCCAGAACTGAATTCCAACAAGAACCACAAGCACTTGGAAGAGGACCCCAAGCTCCAGAGAGGATGCAGCCCATCAGACATCTTGATTGCAGCATTGTGAGGACTTGAGTAGAGGAGCCTGCTTAAGCCAGGCCCAGACTCATGACCCACAGAAACTGAGATTAAAAAATATATATGTGTTGTTTTAATCCACTGAGATTGTAGTCACTTTTTATACAGCAATAGAAAACTAATATAAAAGGAATGTTGCTCTGGGATAGTATCAAAGTGAATCCTGCCCAGAGCCCAAAGGGGTCCCAACAGCAGGAAATGTGTGGGGCTGGTCATCTTCTACAAGCAGAAGCTGACTGAGAATTGGAAGCAGCCTGCCCAAGGACAACATGAACAGCCCATAGTATCCCAGGGGCTGGAGAGAGGTACCTGATGATAGTGGTCTCCAAAGAACTCACACGTAGGGAAAGACTCAGGTGAACTGTCTGCCAAGACTATAGCACTCAAAGCCACCTAAACCCCGGAAGAATTTCCTATTCCCTAAGCCAGTGATGTGTTAATAAAACAGCTCTCCAAGGGCAGGGATGGGGAAGCCTTGATCTGAAATATTTGCTAGTCTCTGTGGTGTAGATACACCCACCATGACTAATCTCAAGCTACCAGCAGTTTAACAACCAGCTTATAACATTCCTGATATTTAAGTGGCTCTCAGGAGGCAATACTTTCACACATCACAACCACCTCCACTTCCCCATACCTTCCCTTCCACCTTCCACCCTGAGGAATCAGCCAGCCTGAAGGAGTGGGGCAGAGAGCAGAAGCCTGCCCTTCCATAACAGATCTGCGGCTGGGAGGGAGAGGAGAAGGGACTTCTCCTAGAATGGAAATGGTGTGCTGATTCATACCTTGGACTAGACATTTAGAAATTTGAGACTTCTTGTGACTTAAACTGCCTGTTCTACCAGAGTAAGTAAAAGTTCATGGGATCTTCCCAGATTTACACACACACACACGCACACACACACACAGAGAGAGAGAGAGAGAGAGAGAGAGAAATATAATGTGGTAAGAAATTAATTTTCTCTGTAGGTTAACTATCCAAGACACA
The DNA here is from genome assembly GCF_000001405.40 of Homo sapiens. Classification (NCBI taxonomy): domain Eukaryota; kingdom Metazoa; phylum Chordata; class Mammalia; order Primates; family Hominidae; genus Homo; species Homo sapiens. Next base: position 112,298,718 of record NC_000006.12, on the reverse strand, counting down.
GATAAAAATTGCAGAGCTAATGTTTTCTTTTTTAAAACTGCTTTTAAATATTCCCCTCGTTTCTCAAGAAGGCCTTAATGTCTGAGGTGACTTGTACATTCTTAAGTTCTAAATAGAAGAATGAACAGTTAAATGACTGAGTGAATTCGCTTTCCTAATGTGCTTCTCTGTTTGAAAGCTGCTGCTGATGCTCAGGAAGCCCAGGCGTTAATGCTGCTCGCCTATGAAGGCGAGCATGAAGGTGCAATACTGGGAGGAATCTCAGGAGAACGCCAGGGGAAAATCATGAAATTTTAAAAGCAGTGAGAACTGAGTGCCTTTGCATACCTAAGTGGAACTGACAGCTAAATGGGAAGAGACATGGGAGCTAAGCATGAATATTTGCTCCAGGAAACTCACAGGGTACAACAGAGGAAAGAAACTTAAGCCTTGGGTGGAGTTAGACCTCTGGGGTCAAGATGAATGTGTTTGCATTATTTCCACTGGATTTCCACCCAGAAGCTCTCTGGTGAGTCATCTGGGAGCAGTTTGTGCAGTTGCTAAGGGTTACCCTTCTTTCAGAATATTCTCCCAGGGATGGAGGCCCTGAAATTTCCCTCCCTGTATGCTGAGTTCGGGAAGAGTAGCATTTAGTTATATATCAAACAGCTAGACAGGAGTACCACAGGGCAGATGTTCTTTGTATCACATTATTATGGTACTTCTTCTGCCTTCTGATATGGTTTGGCTCTGTGTCCCCACCAAATCTCGTCTGGAACTGTAATCCTCAGGTGTCCAGGGAGGGACCCACTGGGAGGTGGTTGGATAATGGGGGTGGTTTTTCCCATGCTGTTCTTGTGATGGTGAGTGATTTCTCATGAGATCTGATGGTTCATAAGTGGAAGTTTCCCTTGCACACTCTCTCTTTCCTGCCACCTTGTGAAGAAGGTACTTGCTTCTCCTTCGCCTTCTGCCATTATTGTAAGTGACCTGAGGCCTCCCTAGCCATGCGGAACTGTGAGTCAATTAAACCTCTTTTCTTTCTAAATTACCCAGTCTCAGATATTTCTTTATAGCTGTGTGAAATGGACTAATACACTTTCATTAATTCTACTCAAGTGACACTCTGGCAAATAAACAGTTTAATAGAAGGAGCACCACAGTAATAAGTTTCTGACATATTTATATCTTCATAGAATTTTTGGACTACCCTTGCTTTTAGCTGCTCACCTTAATTCTCCCTTCACTGAGAAAATAGAAGCAGTTAGAGGAAAATATCCGCAGGCTTCTACCAAAGTATCTACCTACATTCTCCATGTTCCCGTCTCTTCCATAGATGAAATTTCCGTTTTTCTGTGAGCCCCACCCACCCTTTATGTAATAGATCCCATCCCTTTTGCCTAATGGAGAATATCAATCTGCCAGTTCTCCTCTCTATCTCCAACACCATTCATTTTACACTGTCTGTTGGGTCATTCTACCAGGACTCAAACACGCTATTTTTTGTCTTACCTTAAATAGAAAAAAAAAAACTACACACACTCGTTTGGCCTCACCTTCCTACCAGCTCCTGCCCCATTCCTTTGCTCCCCTTGGCAGCAAATCACCTGGCTGTCTAGTTTCTTTCCTCAAATTCTGTCTTGAATCCACTCAATCAGGCTTTTGCCCTTACCACTCAACTGAACTGTTCTTGACAAAGTCATCAGTAATAGCCATATTACTGAATCCATTGGTCAGTGCTCATTGATTATCTTACTTGATCTGTCAGGTCAGTATGTGCCAAAGTCTGTCTTTCACTCTTCCTTAATACAGTTACTCTGTGTGGTTTCCAGGACAACACATTCTTGGCTTTCCTTCTTCCTACCAGGCTGCTTCTTTTCAGTCTCCTTGATTGGTTCTTCTGCTTCCCCCTGATGACTTAGTGTTAGAAAGAGCCCCAAGACCCAGTCCTTGGCCTCTTCTCTTTGCCAGCTACCCTCTCTCCCTTGGTGATCTCTAGTCCTATGACCCTTACACATCATTTACATGCTGATGACTCCTAAATTTATATCTCCAAGGCAGATCTCTCTCCAAATTTCTAGGCCCACATAGCCAGTTGTCTCCTCCATATCTCCACTTGGAGCTTAACTTCTCAGACTTAACATTTGAAACTGAGCTCGTAATCTTCCTTCCAAAGCTGCTCCTGCCTGCAATCTTCTCCATCTCTGTGGGGTAAGACCTTGGAGTTATCCTTGACTCTTCTTCTCTCCCCACATCCCCTCACAACAAATCAGGAGATCATGCTGGCTTTACATACAGAATATATCAAGAGTGACTACTTTCCACCACCCCTACTGCTCCCAGGACTGTCCCAGTTGCTGTCCTCTCTCATCTGGGTTACTATAATAGCCTCCTAGTCTCCTGGCATCCACACTGTTGCCCCCTAGTGTCCTCTGCAACACAACAGCCAGTGATTCATTTGAAACAAGTTGTTATCCTCTGCTGTCATCATGCCACAGTACTCTAGCCTGGGTGACAGAGCGAGACTCTCTCTTTTAAAACAACAACAGTAACAAAAACCTACGGTCCTACAAATTCCCTAGCAAGACAATTCTTTCCTCAAGGGAGGCTAGTGCAGATTCTTCAAGCCAGGGGAGATGCTTTCTCTGTTAAAGAAGAAAAGCCACTTCTACTGGTAACGTAAGCTGAATTCAAAAGTTCAATTTCTTCAGCTACATTAGAGTTGACTTGCATGTTCTCATCCCAGTTTTGCCGGTCACTGCTTCGCAAATAATACTGAAATTTCAATGTAAGATATCCTGAGAGGTTTTGAATTCAATTTACTACTTCTGGGCAGCATATTAATTATATCATATGGGTTTCACTGTGCAATGTTTTTGTTTTTATTTTATTATTATTATTATTATGATTATTATTATTTGAGAGAAAGAGAGTTTTGCTCTCGTCACCCAGACTGGAGTGTAATGGTGCTACCTTAGCTCACTGCAACCTCTGCCTCCCAGGTTCAAGTGATTCTCCTGCCTCAGCCTCCCAAGTAGCAGGAATTACAGGCACTTGCCACCATGCCCAGCTAATTTTTGTACTTTTAGTAGAGATGGGATTTCACCATGTTGGCCAGGCTACTTTCGAACTGCACTGTATTTTCTGTTGTTAATTTTTCCATAGTTTGTAATTTCGGGTTTGATATGCCTGTTAAACCAAGAGATATGTGAAAGCGTGCTTTTAAATCTTTAAATATTTATATTTAAGAAAAAAACTATTCAAATCTTGTTAACGTCTACTTTTGTTGCACTGTTGTAAGATAATATGTTGTGCATGGTCTCTTCTTGAACATGGTGAGACTTTATTTGAGGTCTGATACATGGACAATGTTTATAAACTGCCCCTGTGTGTTTGAAAGCAAATGCATTCTCAACTTTTTTTTTTTTTTTTAAGAGACAGGGGTCTCACTTTGTAGCTCAGGCCGGAGTGCTAGTAGTACAATCATAGCTCACTGCAGCCTCAAACTTCTAGGCTTAAGCGAACTTCTTACCTCAGCCTCCCAAGAAGCTGGAACTAAGGCATATACCACCATGCCCAGCTATTTTTTCTTTTCTTTTTTTTTATAGAAACAGGAGGTCTCACTATGTTGTCTAGGCTGGTCTCAAACTCCTGGCCTCAAGTGATCTTTTCACCTTGGCCTCCCAGAGTTCTGGAATTATAGGCATGAGCCACCCAGCCACATTGTCTACTTTTAGAGCTGGTTGTTATGTTAATTTTATCAAATTCCCTCTGGATTTACATATTTTGTGTTGACTTGATTTATCCATTTCTGACCAAAGTATATTGAAGTTTATACTTGTGGATCTATAAAACAAACAAAAAACATCTGTGCTGGTTCCCATCACATACAGAGAGAAAGCCCAAGTCCTACAGTGGCTGCAAAGCCCTCACTGCCTCAGTTACTCCTCTGGCTTCTTTTCCTACTCTTCTCCTAGCTTACTGATCACTTCATTCCTCACAGTGAGGCCTCCTCACAGCTCCCCAAATGTCACCATTGCTCTTTCCCTCTACTTGGAATGTCCCACCACCCCACCCCTATCCCCACTTCAGGATCCACTGAGCTAAATCTCTTACCTCCTTGGAATCTTTGCTCAAATCTTACCTATTCAGATGGGTCCATCCTTTCACCCTATTTAATATGCAACTTCTCCATACCCCCAAGTGGCTGGTCCAACCCATCTTACCCTGCTCTTTTTTTTTTTATTTTTTTCCATAGCATTTATATCACACTCTAACATACTATGCAATTTACTTATTTTGTTTATTCTTTAAGGTCTATCTTCCCTAACTGAATGTAAAATTGATTAGAGATCGATATTTGTCTGTTTTGTTCACTAATGTGAACTAAAGCTCTAGAACTTCGCTCGGTACATAGTAAGGTCTTAATAAACATTTGACAAACTATTTTAATAACCTATTCTTATACCAAGGCTTCAGTTTGGATCATTTCAGGAAATGTTCATTGCATTCTAAGACTTTTCTCAATCCTCTATTGGGAAAAGTAAATAAGCTGTACATTAGCAATAGGTCTTATTACAAGATCATATCACAATGCCTCTACCTTTTACTTATTTGATTTAAAACAATAATTTAGGCCACCTAAAATTATGCCATTGCTTCTCAAAAGATTCCCCATGGTCAGTGTTTCTGACTGCTTTTTTGCTCACTGTCCTTATTGAGAATCCTCAACAATATGTACATACATGTATTTTCCTTCAATTTCAGAGAGTCCAAGGAACTCCTGACATCTCCTCATAAATCTCATGCAGCCCAGTGAGAGGCTTCATGCACACATACACTCACAGAGACATATACATACACACATGACCTCTCTAATTTCACTCTTTCATTACTCGTATGTTTTTTAAAGATCTCTGTAACATTTTTCCAAGTTGGGCATTTTTTTTTCCTGTTTATTGAAATAACCTTGCAGTGTTTCCATTTCCCAAGAAGCTTGCAAGTATACGCTGACCATATGAAAATCCTGCTGGAAATGTATCATGTGCAAATTTTCACTTCAAAGCAAAAGGAATGCAAAATGCTGTGGAAATAATTCCCTCACTCATAAATATTTAATAAGCCTTTAGAGTCATTGAAATCAAGTGGCAAACTTACAATATACTATATTTAAAAATAAAATATATGGGTTTCATGCAATTCTTTAAGTGAAAAACTATTCAACATATCAGTTTTATTCCTTACACTCAGGATCACTTCAGTCTTATTAAGTAGTATATTCCTGTTTTTTTTTTTTTTTTTGAGATGGAGTCTTGCTCTGTTGCCCAGGCTGGAGTACAGTGACATGATCTCACTGCAGCCTCTGCCTTCCAGGTTCAAGCCATTCTCCTGCCTCAGCCTCCCGTGTAGCTGGGGTTACAGGCATGCACCACCACCTCCAGCTCATTTTTGTATTTTTAGTAGAGACAGGGTTTTAGCATGTTGGCCAGGCCGGTCTTGAACTCCTGAATTCAAGTGATCCACCTGCCTCGGTCTCCTAGAGTGCTGGGATTTCAGGTGTGAGCCACAGTGCCCAGCCAGTAGTATATTCTTTATTACAAAAGATAATTCTGGCTGTCTATGATATCTGAGCAATGCTCTCTATAAAAAAAATTTAGAAGTCTATATCAAGGAAATGTCATAGGCAAGCTCTGTTTGTCCTGTAGACAAGTAATTTTGCAATACCTGGAGTATTTAAAAATATCCTGTGGCACCTGACAATTATGCAGCTTCCTTGGCTCCACCACAGTCCTGCTGAATCTAAATATCCCAGGTGGGGCCCAGCCACATATATTAAAAAAAAAAAAAATCCAGATGAGTTTTTCAAAATAAGTTGAGAAACACCGCATAAACAGTGGGAAGCCATGCTTTTTGTTTTGCTTTTTAGTTGTTGTTTTAGAAAAATTGTTGATTTGTAGAAATGTAGCTAAGATAGCATAGAGTTTCCTTATGCCTTTCACCCAGCTTTCCCTAATCTTTATATCTGCTAGACCCACAGAACATTTGTAAAAAACTGAAATTAACATTGGCACATTACCATTAACGAACTACAGATTTCGTTCACATTTGACCACTAATGTCCTTTACTTTCAAGGGATCTGGTCCAGGGTATGACCTTGCTTGTATTCATCGTGCCTCCTTAGTCATCTTCAATCTGTGAAAGTTACTCAATCTTTCTTGTTTTTACTGGCTTTGACACTCTTTAGGAGTGTCAGATATTTTGTAGAACATCCCTCAATTTCGGTGTGTCTGAAGTTTTCTTAAGATTTGGGAAAAGAATCCCTGAAATGATTAAATATTAGAGTGAGGTAGAAGGAAGACTTGAAGGACTCTGATGTTTTAAGATGCAATAGACCTGTCAACAGTGAGAACATTTACCAATGTCCATAAAAAGCACAAATCAAAAGACAGGCTTTAGAAAGAAGATAATGGTTTTAGCTCTGGCTGTGCTGAGTTTGAGGTGCTTCAGGTCTTCCAGCTAAAGCAGTTCCACACTTATTTGGAAGTCTGTGTCTGGTGCCTAGATGAGAAGATCAAGCTGGAGGCAGGAATTGTAGAGAAAATGGTGGCGCTCAAGCCAAGAGATTGGGTGACATCACTCAGGGGGACTTGCAAAGCTGATGAAAAGAACAACAAATAGGTTGGAAATTCAGATAACATTTAAGATTTGGGCAGGGAAAGAGGTACTAGCAAAGGATACAGGGAGGAAAAAAAGTAGTTCAAGAGCTAAGAAGACAACCAGATATGAGTAGTGTCTAGAAAGTAAACATAGCAGAGAGTTGTGAGAATGGGGTGCTGCTGTCATAAAAAATAAAAAAATTTCCAAAGGACCAAAAGAGATGAGGACACTAAGGTAACAAATGTCACCCCTCCTTCTAAGAATGTGAAGGTGAAAAGAAACCAGAAGCATAGTGTGGCATCTTGAGCAGAAGTTATGGTAGAAAAGAGATATTATTTCCTTTCTTTCTTTCCTCATTAGGATCAAGGAGACTGAGAAGCCAAAGGGTTGGAGGTGAGAAGGCTCAGAAGGCTGACAGAAATCTGACCAGGACAGTTGTGTCTCTTGACTTTCAAGTTACCTTTGTAGCCCAAAAGCTTAGGGAGGAATAATTGTGCAATGAGAAAAAAAAAAAAAAGGAAATTCTTAGTGTGGGTTAGGCAAAAGCAGAGCTAACAGAAGATACTGTGAGATTTCACAATTACCCGTAGGGAATAAAAGAGAAAATAATAAAGAATGTCATTTATTTAAAAGGTTTAGTGTTTGGGGAAGCTTTTGTCATACAAAATTGAAGCTATCATTTTAAAATCTAGGATTACTTGAAAAAAAAAGCATAAGAATACAACTTTATGCTTTTTACCCATGATACAGTTTTTGAAGTCAGTCAACCTATAATGTTCAAGTGGTTCAAGAACAATAATACAATGTGTTTCCTGAGGGTTTCAAAAATGAAATGACCTTGACTATGGATGGAACTCCAGTTAGCCACTATAATTCTGTAAGCAACATCTAAATATCAAAAGAAAAATTGACATTTCATTCTTCATGTGGGAGTAAAGGTTTTAATCTTGTCTGAACTAACAACAACTGATTCATACACTTTATAGAAGGACATATTGAAAACATAAATAATACTGAACTGAAATATAGACTATTTATTAAATGGCTCTTTAAAAAAACAATGATGTGAGTTACAGAAGTTTACTCTTCCCTTTTGCAGTGCAACTTGAAATTTGTTTTGATGCGAACAAATATACATTTATTTACAAGAAAAAAGAAATATTTAAATTACATTTACTTTTTCAAATTAAGGTACGAACACTGGTTTAAATCAAACCTTAACTGAACACAAATAGAAATTCTTCTCTACACTCCTCACTTACTCTACTATACCAGTCCATACTTTATTACGACGGAAGTATGTTCTGTACAAGAGCCTCCATGGTGAGTAGTGAGAGGTAGAGACTTGAGTCTAATTCCAGTTCCATTGCCAAGTGGCAAGCCACTACCTTCTCTGGATTTCAGTTGAAATACATTTTCCAGATTTTTTTATTGCTGTCTCCTATATTAAACACTATCTCCTGTATTATGTTAATCCATTCTCTTTTCCGAGAAGCAGAGAGATAACATTTTCTAATGGGGAGAGTAAGGCAAAAAGAAGTTCATTGACTGACAGGAGTTTGAGACCAGCCTGGCCAACATGGTGAAACCCCATCTCTACCAAAAATACAAAAATTAGCCAGGCATGGTGGTGCATGCCTGTCATTCCAGCTATTCGAGAGGCTGAGGCACAAGAATCACTTGAACCGGGGAGGTGGAGGTTGCAGTGAGCCGAGATCACGCCACTGCACTCCAGCCTCGGCGATGGAGTGAGACTCCATCTCAAAAAAAAAAAAAAAAGAAGTTTATTGACTGAGTACAAAGAACAAAGACATCAAGAGAGATGGAGGCGAAACACAAGCTGTCAGTCAACACCAGCATTGTACATTGTGGCTAACAGGATATGCTCTGCACTGCCAGAGTTCAAATCCAGCCTTTGTCACTTACTGGCTAGAGCCCTAGTGTGAGTTATTTAACTTCGTATTCCCATCTCAAAAATGAGGTAATTATAGATTTTACTGCTTAGGGTTGTTGTGAGGATTCAAGGAGCTAATATGAAAAAAATGCTTACAAGAAAATGGTAAATATAAGAAAAATGATCATACATGAAAAGACAAAAAAACTAACTTTCCATATTATTTGCACTAGCTTTCTTATATTTAATCTTCAATGGCTTCAATGTCTTGCAATAGGAACATGTTAGTCAAACATGGCGTAGATTGAACTACTGCTCAAAAAGACACTCAACCAGGGGCAGGTTAATGTTCGAAGTGGCTTAAAGATTATACAACTGGGGAGGCCATGTTTAAGAAACTGAAGACAGAATGATGAATTATGAATGCAACAGGGCCGCTGCCTGCCAGAATCCAGGCACTTATGCAGCCCGAAGCCCAGGCATCATCAGCCCCCAGGTACAGCCACCTCTGCGCTCCTCCTTCACATTATATGCACAGCATGTTGCAGTGACTTGGAAGCTCTCTTGGTACCCTTGCTGTAAAACAGAACAAATGTAAGAATTCTGCTACAGATTGGCTACAGCATAATCCTGACTCCACTGAGAGGTTCTTGGACCCTGTAAGATTCAAGGCTGAGAGACTCCCAGAATGCTCGAAGTTGGAAGAGACCCACTAGATGCTTTTACTATTAAAGCATGCTCTACGTGCAGGCCCAGAGGCCGGCTTTGTAATTGCTGGGTCCTGAAATCCAGAAAAAGCAGGCGGGAGTTGTGATGTTGCCAAAGAACAGGGCCCCCAAGCAGCTGCCTGTGGTGTGTGTGTGTGTTTAGAGCCAGCTTTCTCAGACAGTGCTTGGGGAGGGCTCAAGTTACTGAACTCCTGGGAGAAGTTAGCCTTTATTTATGCCAAAAGAATATAGCTGAGAAGGGAAAAGATAGAGGATTGGGTAAGAGAGAGGGAAGCAAAATATATTTCCTGTCTGTCCTCTTGAAAGGCAATGAGACATTGTCCCTAATGGCTTCACTCTGACAGAGACAACACTCCCTGAGGACTCCACTGTTAGGCAGTGAGCAAGAGCTGGGCCTTTGGAGAAGAGGAGCATATGAAGGCAAACAGCCAGTGAGATAATTTTTTTTAAATTGTTCTTGCAAACTATCCAAAACTTCTGCAGTGTATTTGTCTACATTAATCAAATTTTATATACTAATAGAATTTCCTTTCCTTAGGGTGGAGGGGTGAGGGAATGGTGTTGTAGAAGAAGAAAAAGAATATTATAATTATCTTTGTAATGCATCTATGAAACTCCTTCTCTTTTGTGGCAGGCAACAAAGTTTAGTGATTAGCATGGGTTTTGGGTGCTGGGCCTGGCTCCATCACTTTTCAGCTGCATCCTGGACAAAGGGTAGCCTTTCTTTTTTCTTTTTCCACCAAGGCTGGAGTGCAGTGCTATAATCATAGTTCATTGCAGCCTGGAACTCCTGGGCTCAAGTGATCCTTGGGCCTCCCAAAGTACTGGGATTACAGACATGAGTCACACCATTTTTAATTTCAGTTTCCTTATAAGCAAAACAGAAAGAAACATGGTACCTACCTCACAATAGTGGCAGGAAGATTGAATAAGACAAACCAAGCTCCTGGCAAGGTACCTAGTATCTACTAAGTGTTCTAAAAGTGTAGCTATTATTATTTCCATTATGCATGACTTGATCTTTTCTTAATCTAATGTATCAATCACTTAGCCGATCAAAGGAAATATGGCCTGAAATTTTCTGGAGAGTAACAGTTACTAAATCCTTTTTATTCTTTATTATTCATTTGTTTCTCAAATTGTAGACTTATTAATTTTTAAATGTAAAAAGTCACCCACTAAAGGCCCCCAAGTTGAACAATTCTATAAGCTATGACTGAAATTACTTTAAGAGATGATACCCTAGAAAAGAACACAATGTTTGAAAATTTGTCATTAACATCTTATTAAAGCTGTTCTGTATGTTTGAGTTTCAGCCTTCCTAAAATCCGTCCTTGGAAGGACATCCGGACTTGGAGCAGAAACAGAAAGTGTGGTCCTTGGCCTCTGAGGAGCTTATAATTTAATAGAGCAACTGGCTCTCCACAGCATCACATAAATAAACATAACAGAAGCACATAAGCAAACATTTATACATAGCTGAGCACAGCTGCATAGGTTTACACAGGTGCTAAATAGCATATCAGGGAAAGAAAAATTAAGAAAGTGAAGATTATTACATGCTTGACAACTGGAATATAGATCAATGTAAGTTTTGAAAGCCTTCATGGTACTAAATACAGTTGACCACTGAACAACACGGGTTTGAACTATGAGAGTTCACTTCTACTGGGATTTTTCCCAACCAAACACTAACAAAAGTACAGTATTAGCCAAGAAGAGGGATGGGGAATGTATCCTGGAACCAATCCCCCATGTATACAGAAGGGTGACTGTAGTATGTTGAGGCTAAGGCAGTTCAAAGATTAGCAAAGCAAAAAGAAATTCCAAATTATGGAAAGAACGGTAATAATGGATTAAAAATAAGTGAGGTTGAACTATTGATGACAATTATTTATAACTAACATATTATAACTAACATTTGAGCCCTTCCAATACCAAGAATTCAGCTTTACATAAATTATCTCATTTAAGTCTCACAACAACCCAATAAGATTGTGTCATTGTTTAATTTTACAGATGAGGAAACGGAGGCTCAGGGAAATTAAATGGCTTGACCAAAATTCATGTGTAAGTGTCAGCAAGTGCCTATACTGGGATTTGAACCTAAGTCTGTCTGACTCCAAATCGGCAGTCCTAAGCTATTGCTCCACTTCCCTGCTTTGTACACCAGAAAGGTAAGAGACACAAATGGGGCTATTTGAAAAACAAACAGCAGGATGAACAACTAGTTGATATGCCCCTTCAAGGCCCAAATGAAGAGCATGATTGGACCAGACTGTGTGGAAGAGGACAAAGAGGTAGGAGCAAGAAAGAGGAGCCTCTGGATGAGCAGAAGCCAGTAAAGGGACACCAATGGCACATATCCATCTTCCAACTAAAGCATTACAGGCTAACTCTTTTTTTCCATCATTGAGCAAGTTGCTTTGACCCACACACTCCCTAAAAACACTGCAGCAGCATCATACCACACAGTGGAAGAAATCTCATCCCAAATATGCACATAGATAACCAGAGAGACTACTGGTTATCCACTTGGTGACCTGGCCAACTGGCAACTGAACTGGAAAAACATCTGCTGACCTAAAAACTACTCTACCAGGCAACTTTCTCTCAATGAGTTCCCTGTAAAACATTCTCTGTTAACCTACTCATTAGTATAAGAGTGAGTCTTTGGGAAAAGATGTACCTGGACTCAAGTCCAGGCTCTAACACCTACTGACTCTGTGACCTTGAACAAGATTCGTATGTGTGCTAGGCATCATTTGTAATGCATGCATAATAATTCTATCCTAGGATTACAGGGAGGATTAACTGAGATGATACATGAGAAACAGTCCAGTGCTTGGGCTCTAATAAGTGCTCAAACAGATTAGCTGTTGTTACTTAAAAATTATGGCAAGTAAAGCCCTTTATAAGCTCTTCAAAGCAGTCAAAGATATCCATTTTTACTTTACTAGTGAAATCAGCAATGTGATTCTTATATTAGAGATATAAAAATCTGGCATTTAGGGCATTTGCATTAGACAAGTATATTTTTGCTTGGAGTAGCACTATGTATTCATGTGAGATAAAGAACTATCTAGATTGCCATATATTGGAACTCCAGTAACCAAATCCTATAGCTGCTGTGGTCTAGGGTGGCTGGCTACCCTTGCTAATTTAAACATTTTCTCTCAGGCTATTGGTTTCCTTCTGGCTTCCTGTGATGCTATCTCAGACACAATTGCAACCAGGTTTGCGGTGCGGTTTAATGACACATTTCATGAGGTTTTGTTTTGGTGTTGCTCTGTCAAAATGATGTGGGGGATAAGGGAGTGCAATCTATTGCAGCTGTTTGTTATCACTCAGATAAGCCTGAGAAGCTTCCCAATTAACCTTAGTGTGTCATAAAGCCAATCAGTACATGAAAACAAGAATTTCTCATTTACTGAAATGATATTTGCCTTGTAATTGCTGTCTGGGAATGTTGAACCAAGTAGAAAACATTAAGGAAACTGCACTCCTCCCCACAAATTTAAGCTTGGTGATTGTTAAAAATAAAAATAAAAAAGACCAAGAATACTGTAGTCCCAGCTACTTAGGAGGCTGAGACAGGAGAATTGTTTGAACCCGGGAGGTGGAGGTTGCAGTGAGCCGAGATCATGCCACTGCACACCAGCCTGGGCGACAGAGCAAGACTCCATCTCAAAAAAAAAAGACCAAGAATATTATTTGGTAGTCTAGCTGTTTTGTCCTGGTTTCAAGGCACCACATGTCTTTTGATGTAAAATAATATACTAAAACATGCTTACAGCTTAAAACCTGAAATAAATTTGTGGAGTATATTAATGTTTTCATCAATCCTGGTAATGAGGTATAAGAAATTAATTTGGAAAATGTATTTTCCTTACATAAATTTTGGTCTTTTCAGAGAAAGAAAACAAAGTAAAAGAAATGCAGCCTTTATACGAATAAGGGATGTATCACACAGCACCATAAAAATTAATAAGGCAATTGTCCAATCACTAGATGCCATTTTTTGAGGTCTTATTGTGTACCTATCAGTGTACATAGTCTGGATGGACAATATAAGATTAAGGGTAAGAGGACTAACATCATTCCTTTTGTGTCTAGTAGGCCCTCAAATATTTATTGAGATGAACTGAGTTTAACTGAATTGAGCTAAATTTACTTGAATGAGCACAATGAGACGTTGCCACTATACTAAAATCTACAGTCTAGCCATGGAATTAAAGTATGTATATATGCGTGACATTTTTTAAAATACAGCCAGTAAATAAAAACATGCAACTATCATTTTTTTATTTTAAAATAACTGTAGACACATAGGAAGTCAGAAAAAGAGTTCACAGAGTCCAGTGAACTCTTACCCAAGCTTCCAAGCTACCATTTTCCATTACTGTAGTACAATATCAAAACCAGGAAGTTGACATTTGCACAATAATGCTAACTAGACTACAGGCTTCATTCAGTTTTCAGCAGTTTTTACCTGCCACTCAGTTGGGGAGAGGGGGCATTATGTGTGGGGGTATGAACAAGTAAGTGTGAGTAAGTATAGTCTTTTGCAAAATTGAATCCCCTGTATGGATTCCTGTAACCACCATCACAATCAGGATACAGAATGGTTCTATTGCCATAAAGCAATGAGCAGGGCCTACCCCTTTGTACTCACACCACCTTCTTCACTGTCTCCTGGTAACCACTAATCTGTTCTCTATTTCTATCATTTTGTCATTTCAAGAATGTTATATAAATAGAATCATATAGTATGCAAACTTTTGAGATTGGTTTTTTCACTAAGCATAATGCCCATGAAATCCCTCCAAGTTGTTGCATGTGCCAATCATTTGTTCATCTTATTGCTGAAGAGTATTCCATGATATAGACACACCAGTTTGTTTAACCATTTACCCATTAAAGGACATTTGTGTTATTTCCAATTTTTGGTTATTACAGTTTAGCTGCTATGAGCATTCATGTACTATTTTTTTGCCAACCTACATTTTCATTTCTCCGGGATAAATGCCAGGAGTGCAAATGCTGGGTGTCAGGCTGAACACCTATTAACCTCAATAGAGATGGCACCAGGTTCAAGAGGCTGAAGAAGAGACTCAGACAGCAAATGAGACATGGGGTTTTATTTAGGGCTTATATTTAGGGGAGAGAGTCCCGTGGCAGCAGGCTAGACAGGAGAACTACACAGCCCAGTGGAGGTGGGCTGGGCAAGAAAACTGCAACAGCTTGCAAAAAGCATCCAGTTTATTACAGCATTTTCACTTAGCACCCTTTCTCTAAAACTTCCACCTGGCAACCTTCATTCAACCCAAAACCTGGAGCTTCAATATCCTGTGTGGCTGGTGTTCCATGGGATGAGCCGGAGACCCAGACGTTCCACATAGAAAAAGAATTAATCTTCAGGTTGTCTGCTCCCAGCTTCCCTAGCTAGGAACATACATTCAGGTGTCTCTGCCACACAGGGTCATTATCAGAGTATGCCTAAGTTATTGTGATCAGATGCATTTACCCTACTCTGGGTCACATAATAGTTGCATGGTTAGCTTTTAAGAAATTGCCATTCATTCCCACCATACGTACGCCATACATATCGGAAAACTAGTTTTTCCACATTCTCTCCAGCATTTAATGTTATCACCATTGTTTATTTTAGCCATTCTGGTAGGTATGCAGTAATATCGCATTGTGGTTTTTAACTGCTTTTTGCCAATACACAATACTTAAAAGATGTCAGAGGAGAGTTGATTGATTGCCAAATTGTATGGATGAATTTTCTCCTCTCTTCTAGTAGTTCTCAATCTTGGTGTTCTATTAGAATCACCTGAGAAGCTCTAACACCATTCCAGAGCCCAGGCCACACCTCAGACCAATTAAATACAAACCTCTTGAGGTGGACCCAGGCATCATTACTTACTTGTTAAAGTTCTTCAGGTAATTCCAGCATGCAGCCAAGGTTGAAGATCAATGCTGAATCTAATTTCTACACAGATACCAGAAATGTGACCATCCTTGAAATCCTTTGCTGGCTCCCCATCATCTGTACTGCAGATCTAACCCAGGCTCATTGGCAGGCTCTTCCCCGCTTTCTGTCTCACATATTATGTTCTGTAGTCATGAATTATTTGAGGCTTGCCACATATACCCCTATATGTCATGAAAAATCCTTGCAGTTAGAACCTGAGAATACACATTTTTATCAAAGTACCCCAAGTGATTGTGAAGCACAATAACATTTGAAAGCAACTCTACCTCCACTAATTGGAAAGTGATTTACCCATTTGTTCATTCCTCTATTCCTCCTTTCTTCATGTATCCATCCATCCAACAAATATCTGTTGAGTACTTAATGTGTGCCAAGTGGATAGCTATGGTGCAGTGGTGGAAGGTCCTGGTAGACAAGAAAAAATGTGACAAGGTGGGTAGCGGGTAAGGAAAGGGGTGGGGTCCAGGGAGCTCACAGGAGCAACACACCACCCAGCTGGAAGCTCAAGACCTAAAAGACGAGTAGGAATTAGCCAGGCAAAGAGAAGCAGGGGAAAATATAGTTTTCCTAAAACAAAAAACAGCATGTTTAAAGGTTAACAACAAAATGACATAGCTTATTCAGAAAATTTTAAGAACTTTGGTATTGCTAGAGCAGGAAGGGAAAAGACTAAAGATAAACATTAAGTATTTTAATTATATTACTTTAATGTCTCTTTAAAAAGTAATATTCATAAATAAGAATCAATGGCTGTGAATGAGTGAAGTCATTTTTTTAAGCAAACAGTAAATGCTAATTGCAGTCTGAAGCACTTTTGAAGACTCAGCTGGAAATAGCCCTCACCCCATTAACCTCTAAAACAGCATTTTTTTAAACTTCTGACCCTGCCCAGGAGTGGTTAGCCTCAACTTCAGGGTCAAGAGATTTGCTTCAGGCACTTTCAGAATCAACTTGTATGGGAATGAAGTACTCTCTGTTAATCCAAGTGTTCATCTCTGACAGAGGAAATTGCTCTGCTCCCTAAATGACTCCAACACTTCACTTTTCAAATACATGTCAGCTGTGCTGCTGAACATCCACAGCAGATGTCGTTCTGCTGCTTGAGTCAGCGACTCAGAGAGCCGCATTCCCAGTGTGTGTGTGTATGGGGAGGAGAGGCCGGGGGTGGATTAAGGCATAAGATCCAAATTGAAGCAAGTAAAGTTCTTAAATCATTGTAGTATTCCATTGGAATGAAAAAAAAAAAAAAGATGATTCTTCCACTGAACTGCAGAAGAAGTTATCAAGAAAACTAAAGAGGGAAAGAAAATAAGCAAAATTTAATTCTCAATGATTAACTGAAAAAAAGAAAAGGAGAAAAGGCACATCTCATCTCACTGGGGAACTTTGTTGTTCCAGAATGATTTTAAGTTCACTTAGGGATATATTTTAATTATATTTATGTTTTGGCAAAATTTATGAGCTGAAGATCATTTCCTGAAAATAAGACATTTGTACAATCCCTGCCAACACTGGAGTAAATTTTACTTTATCAAGAAAAACTGCTTAGGCTCACAATTTTTTACAAATAAAATTAACTCTGGTGCTTTTGTGGGACTTTTCTCCTTCCTCTGGATCACTGATAGCAACAAAACTGAAGTGTCCACTTGTAAGTTCAGCACTGCAACAGGAGACCCTAACCTGGGTGTCCCCACTAACCAGCTATGAATTAGGACATGCTGTTTAAGCTCCCTACACCACTACATCACTGCAAAGGTTTTTGGTTTGTTTGTTTGTTTTCTGAGATGGAGTTTCACTCTTGTTGCCCAGGCTGGAGTACAGAGGTATGATCTTGGCTCACTGCAACCTCCGCCTTCTTGTTCAAGCGATTCTGCTGCCTCAACCTCCTGAGTAGCTGGAATTACAGGTGTGCACCACCACACCCGGCTAATTTTTGTATTTTTAGTAGAGACGGGGTTTCACCATATTGGCCAGGCTGGTCTCGAACTCCTGACCTCGTGATCCGCCCACCTTGGCCTCCCAAAGTGCTGGGATTACAGGTGTGAGCCACCGCGCCTGGCCCACTGCAAAGCTTTAAGACCCTTTCTGAATATGAGACTGTGTAAACAGAGTAGCTATGGGGGAAAAATCTTCACATCAATTTGAGGGCATTTCAAGGACCACAGAGCAGAACATGGGAACTCAGGGATATCTTAGAAAATCTAGGGCACATAGTCACTGCTCCTACTCCCAAATGACTTACAATCCAAAATGTGTTGACATGGATGAAAATGAGGCCAAAGGAACAATCTTCCTTGAACATATAATAAACAGGGTTAAGAATTTATAGTCTCAATTAACTTTTTTTTTCACTGTCAACAATTTTCAAGTCCTTCGAAGCCTCTAAACTCTTTAATAAAAGGGAATCTTCAAAAGGCTCCTCCACCGGCCAGCTTCTCAAGCTACTCACTTTTGCCATTGTATGTAACAAAACTGAAAATAATTTGGCATGAAGTATGGTATTTAAGGATAAAAAATAAAACTCTCTCTTAAACAGAATTAAAACTAAAGGGTGTGTGTGCATGCATGTGTGTGTGTGTATATATGTGTGTGTGTACTAGGAGAGGTCAGACTTGGAATACAATGCTCAGATTCTACCACATCCTTATTAAATATCTTAAGCCAATAACTCATTCCATTCATGACTGCCCTATTTGAAAGTAAATTCTGGAGAGGCCAGCCCTTATAACATCAGTCACCGGGGCACCTCCTTGAAGGCTGCTTAGAAGTAGCAGAGTCTTTTTCTCTTGCTATCTGTCCAGACTCACCCAACTTTGGCCCTTGGATTTTGTTGTTAGAATAAATGCAAAATGCCCTACAAATCATTGCCAACATTGAGACAACTGGTCTTCCCCAAATCTCCTGTGTTATGTGTCTCTTCCCCACTCATCTCAAAAATTAAATAGAACAGGCAAGAAGAGCAGCAAATTTCAAACTATCATTTGACTCCCTCCCATGACCCACTCAGTCCTTAAGTCTTTGTCCTCTGCCCAAAACGTATTTTGTTTTCTCCATCTTGTCATCTGGCAGCCAAGAATATTGAATGTGGTTTAAAGAAATAACACTATATTATGAAAACATCATTTTATCAAGACAGCTGACAATACATGTGAATGCATATATTCATTCTCTACATTGCAATGCCATTTTTAGGGCACAGAAGGGGCTTGGATACAGTCTTTATTTATGCTATTTTTCAAATTTCATATGCTGTAGATAAAAGGCAAAGTTTGCCATTTTCCATTCTTGCAAGTTTATGAGAATTAGGGAGTACTTTCTCCATCCTGTGCTTTAACATGACTGAAAATTGCTTAACTCCCAAAAAGATTTTGATATTGTCAAGCTCCAAAAATAAAACATAGCTAATTAACAAGAATTCTTTTCAGAGGATGGTGTGGTACATTTTCAGGGTCTGGCTTGGTGAAGATGGGAAAAGTGATCCCTCACAAACACAGCGGCTGCAGGCCTTAAGCACTGTCGTCTTTCTGCAAGTGTGAGCTTTCTCCCTGGCTCCCATATTAAGCCCTGGCATGTTTATAAGCTGGCTGTTCCTTCCCTGCCCATCCCACCCTGTCTCCCTTACAAATGTAACTCCTCTCTTCCATAAGAATTAAGCTGCAGGATGGTAAAAGGAAATGATTTCATTTGGGTGGAGAAGGGAAAAGATACAGCTTTAGTACAAATACTGTAAGGCAAATATGCTGTATAAGAAACACAGCTGCCGAGCCACAGGCTGAGTCTTGCTAAGTGGCAGGGCCTTGCTTTAGCTGTTTCTCCAAGGAATAGAACAGCACAGGGTGGGAAGCAGGAGGAGATGGAGCCAAGGTTTGCATCTTTGTTGTATGTTCATAATTATCTTTATCCTGTAGTCCATTCCCTTTTTATTTTAGCAGAAACATTGCTCTCTAGAGGACTAGAGTGCTGTTCTGGTTGCTATAATTTCTCTCTCACAAACTGTAGAGAGAGGCAAAATGATGACTAACCTCCACCTTGGATTGTGCAAAATGTCTATTTCTTAGATTCGTGCATAATGTGCTGATTCTAAAATCTAATCTAAAACTATATTAAGAAAGTAAGACCCTTTTAAAAACTTGGATTTAAGATTCCGTCCAAAACCAGAAAAAGCATGGTTAGTCCTCAGAGTGGGGAAATATTGCAAGTCATGTGCTAATTAAACTTACTCTTGCTCGTTCATCATTCTTTATCTCCAGCATGCTTCAGAGGAGGACATGCAAAATACATTGAAATGGGCTGGGTTCCAGGGTCACAATCGCACACAGCATGGATTCTGGTGAGCTTCTGATGTGCAATAGGGGAAATGGAGTTAGCCTCTGCACTTAGCAAGGCAACCTACTGGTGAGCTAAGATTTGGGGATGGCTGTGAATTTACCACTTTATAATACCATGCCCTTTCCTTCCCACTTCACCAAGGCACCATTGCAAACCTCCCTCTCTGTCCTCCTTCAGTGGCGCAGAGGCGAGGTAATTTAGAGAACAGATCTCCCACAAATTGACTCTTGGAAACCTCAGCTGCTAATTTACCTAAGTTTCTTCCTGGACCTTCCATTGGCCTTCTGATACAAATAATTATATTAATTGTAATCCTGTTTGCTGACACACTCTCTTCAGTGATATATGTATGTCCTGCTTTTCTTTACCTAGTTATCTATTTAATTTAATATTTTAAATAATTTAATAAGTGCCTATGAGACTATCGCTACCCTTAAAAGTCTAGAGCTTTGGAAATAACCTACCTATATCCGTATGGCTCCTCCTCATCTCAACTCCCACTCCCCACCAAATAACCTCATCCTGAATACAGGGTTGATCATTCCCTTGCTTTCCTTTTTAAAATTGTCTTATTACATCTATACACATTCCAAAATTCATATTTTTATTTCACTTGTTCTTAACTTTAAAAAAGAGTAACATACCATAGGTATTCTTTGGGGACTTAATGTTTTTAACTTAATATTATATGGCTAAAATTAATCATTCATTTAGACGGTCATCTTCCTGTGTCTAAGCATTATCAGTTTGTTCACCCAGTATCCCATTGGCAGGGGATTTGGACTGTTTTGTGTTTTTGTTTTGCTATGAGCAGTATAATATTCTTATGCACATGTCCTATGAGGCATGTGACAGAGTTTCCATTGGGGATATACTTAGGAGTAGAACAGCTGGGCCACAGTGTGTGAGGATGTTCAGCCTCACAACATAAAGTCAAACATTCTGAGGCAAGTGTGCCCCTTAGTTTACATTCAAAAAGGGGCCCCATCCTAAAGAAGATGTGTCAGTGGCCAATGCAGACTCTAAACAGTGGCCATCCAAGCATGGTGATGGGCCCCAGGTCACAGATAGCAGAGGGCTTTGCTAATTCTGGTGTGGAGGGGCTCAAAGTTAACATTGGAAGCATGTTGGTGAAAAGCTGTGTTTTGTGGTGTATCTTTTATGATTAAGTTAGCTATTTCATAAACTGAGGAAAGTTATTTCTGTAGTGTGCAGGCTCAATCATTCTCAATAAATTCTTTTCTTGCTTTATGAACCTCCAAATTAAGACGCTTTTCTAAATATTGCTATGGTTAATCCTTGTACTAGGGGAGAGATGCGAGGGACACTAACATATGTAACAAAATTCTGGTATCTGAAGCCAGCAATTAGATAAGTTATACTGTCTATAGATACTGCCTTATAGATTTATGTGTGTATGTTACATGAACCACAATTATAGTGATGCCCCTCCATTCCAGTTAGATAGAGAGAGCTATTTTCATTTTTAAGAAAGGCTCCAAATGTTGTATTTTTTAATCCCTGAATTTTATTTTTAAAAGTTTTCTCTCTTCTCCCTCCTGTCAAATTATCAAATATCACTTCACATTCTCTTATAATTATGTCTATTTTTCCCCCTTTGAAGTACTTTTTTAATACACTGTGGACTTAGAAACCACTAGCCAGGGCTGGGCATGGTGGCTCACACCTGTAATCCCAGCATTTTGGGAGGCTGAGGAAGGCAGATTGCCTGAGGTCAGGAGTTCAAGACCTGTCTGGCCAACATGGTGAAACCCCGTCCCTACTAAAAATACAAAAAAAAAAAAAAAAAAAATTCACCCCGCGTGGTGGTGTACACCAGCTACTCAGGAGGCTGAGGCAGGAGAATAGCTTGAAACCGGAAAGCAGAGGTTGCAATGAGCCGAGACTGCGCTACTGCACTCCAGCCTGAGTGACAGAGCAAGACTCCATCTCAAAAAGAAAGAAAGAAAGAAAGCCACTGTTATAGTTGTGTGTAGCATAAGAGTAAACAGACTCTGATCGACAATCCGAAGAGGATTTTTTCCAAATAAAGTGAATTTCATGGACTTTATGACATACTTTTTAGGGTTAAAGGCTCCTTTTGCTCATGCTTTTGTTCCTAGTTGTGTTTTGGGTGAGAGAGTTTATTAAACAGCCAAATTCCAACTATTTAAGATGGTTGGACAGAAGATTTAGACCACAGTTCAGGTTCTGTTTCAATTCTGACATTTGATGGCTATGACTAAGCAACTATATCATCCTTTATACCTCTCAGTTTATGCATCTATGAAATTAAACAGCCACCTCTCTTCAGGTATAGAAAGCCTTGATCCAGTAATGTATATAAATCATTCTGTTATGAAGACACACGCACCCATATGCTCATTGCAGCACTATTCACAATAGCAAAGATGTGAACTCAACCTAAATGCACATCAATGATAGACTGGATCAAGAAAATGTGCTACATATACACCATGTACACCATGGAATACTATGCAGCCATATAAAGCATGAGATCATGTCTTTTGAAGGGTAATGGAGATGGAGGCCATTACCCTTAGCTAACAAGAACAGAAAACCAAATACCACATGTTCTCACTTATAAGTGGGAGCTAAATAATGAGAACACATGGACACATACAGGGGAGCAACATACACTGGGGCCTATTGGAGGGTGGAGGGTGGGAGGAGGGAGAGGATAAGAAAAATAACTAATGGGTACTAGACTTAATACCTGGGTGATGAAATAATCTGTACAACAAACTCTCATGACACAAGTTTACCTGCATAACAAACCTGAACTTGTATCCCCTGAACTTGAAATAAAAGTTTTTTTTTTTTTTTAAAGCCTTGATCATCATCGTGTACCTAAATCTTCCACTGCAAGGCCTTTCCCACCACAAAGCATTATCCTAAAGAATTAAGAATACCTTGGGGCATGTTGGCCTCTGCTTAGAAATCTCTAGAAAAAAAGTCTCAAGTTTCTAAGCCTTTCATTAGGCAAGGGGCCGAGAAGCTGGGCTTTCCTAACAAATATTCTACCTGGTACAATAACATCATGCCAGGTCCTAAGGCAGATATATGGGTGAAGAGAAAAAGTCCAAAATATTGGATATCTAGATATCTTCTAAGTTTTGCTTAAACTATTATATAAAGTACTATTGTGTTTAAGTGGGTAAAATGAAGGAAAAGGACAAAGAGAGCAGCATATATTTTTAATGATCTTTGACTAAATTTTGCCATACCAGATGATGGCAAACTCAATATGGTATATTGCAAATATGCCCAGAGACTTATCCACTTCCTTGCCCTTGCTTGCACATTGAAACTTGCCCTCTTATTCCTGTAACCTGCCTCAACCATGTGAAGAGGTCCAGGTTAGCCTTCTGGAGAATGAGAGAACTTCTGAAGGAGAACCAAGTACCCCAGCTGACAGCCAGCCTACCCACAAAAGCAGAGCCACTAGTCAACCCACAGCTGACTTCAGTCATACATGAAAGACCATACAAATTCAAAGAACCATCCAGATGAGCCCAGCCTAAATTGCTGACCCCAGCCTGAATTGCTGACCCCAGAAAAATGAACTAAATAAATGGTAGTTATTTTAAGCACTATGTTTTGGGTGGTTTATTACTCCATCATAGGCCACTCATACATTCAACATCCATTCTCCCTCCTTTCTTGCTAGCAGAGTGCAAATTAATTCAAGTAAATCAAAGGATAGTGACCTAATTCCCTTCTCTAAGACTAAGTCTTGATTGATCTAAGCCATCGATCTATTGTCTTGTTGTTTGTGGCACATTGCCTAAGCCATTGATAGCTACAGGCTGTAACTGATCTATTATCATTGCTTGGTGAGTAATGAGTAGTGATCCCTTTTGGCCAGTGAAATCTGAGGGGTGGTCTGCTGGAGGAATGGATGCTTCTCTGCTTCTAAATAATGTCAAGTCTGGCTGTGAGACCTGGAACTGCTGTAGCCGTTTTGTTCCCAGCCTAAGAATAAAACCAACATATAGAGGAAAGAACCCAAACATTCTCAGAAGAGCAGAGCTGGAGCTCTCACATCCTGTGCTTATGCCACTTCCAAGCCTCTTGTTAAAGAGAACCTGAATTTCCCTGTTGTCCATGCCAGTGTGAGTAGGAGTGTTCAGTTTCTTGCATTCTAACTCATACTTTGCCTTCCTTGGGCACTCACTTCCTGTACAGCAGAACATGCCACCTGGCAGCTAGAAATGTGTCACTTGCATTAAACATTTTACAGCCATTGCATAAAATTCATATCATTTGTTAAGAGAAATAGATACAAATGAGGTAGTTATTTTCCTTCTTTTCATACATTTTTATTTTATTACATTTTGTGAATATTATCTGATGTGAAAAGAAACATAAAATAATGCCATAGTAGCAATGAATATCATTTCTAGGCTATAATTTAGAGCTACATATCGGCTAATGTAGATATAACCAAAGTCAGTTCTAGGACCTAAAAGAAAGTATAAGATATTGTTTATCTATGTCAGCTTGTAATTAACTTTTTATAGAAGCCAAATGTATCAGTGTGTTTGAATAATTTTGGAGCACAGTTTTTTTTACTTGATGATACATGGAAATAGTGGCTCTCAAAGGAAATTAATATATACCACTTAAAAGACACCTATTTTTAAAACCCAAGCAGGACCAAATTATAGACAGAGTGAGATGTCTGATGAACACTTAAAAGAATTTTGAGCCAGAGTGATACTGAGTAAGCACAAAATTGTTTTAACCCATTTCTAAATGCCTGTGCATCTGTAATTACTTTTACACCAATTATGAAACTCACTTGCAATGAACTGCACGGATGTTTACTGTCTGGAATCAGCAACAATGTTAGGAAGAAGCCCACCACCCATTCTGCATGGCTTTCACCAGATCTGGCCCTTTCATATAGCTTCTTTCTGAATGAATTCAGTGAAATGACACATCAAAATGCTGTTTTAGAGAACGACATTTTTTCTATGCATGCATTTACCAAAATATATTCCTTAACTTCCTGAGAAACTTCAATAGATTTCTCTTGAAAATAAAAATGTATTTGCTCTATAAGGGGAGAAATGCATAGGAACTGTCCTTTTTAGGGATTCATGATGCAAAGGTATAAGAGGTATTGCAGTTTAATGTTTTTTAACTTTGTTTAACCCATTATTCTGTAAGATGCTGGTGTGTGAAATGCAGCCTTAGTAGAATCTATTGACTTGGCAATGGATGGGAAATGAGAGTCAAGAACAAGATAGTAGTAAAAACACGCTGACATTTTGAGCCTAGATGACTGGAAGAATAGTGATTCTGTTAAAAAGAAGGCAAGAAAGAAAAGAAAGAAGAAAGAAAGAAAGAAAGAAAGAAAGAAAGAAAGAAAGAAAGAAAGAAAGAAAGAAAGAAAGAAAGAAAGAAAGGAGGGAGGGAGGGAGGGAGGGAGGGAGGGAGGGAGGGAGGGAAGGGAAGGAAGGAAGGAAGGAAAAAGAAAGAGAGAGAGAGAAAGAAAGAAAGACAGAGAAAGAAAGGAAAGAAAAGAAGGGAAGAAGGGAAGGAAGGAAGGAAGGCAGGCAGGCAGGCAGGCCGGCCGGCCAGCCAGCCAGACACGGTGGCTCACACCTGTAATCCTTGCACTTTGGGAGGCCCAGGTGGGCAGATTGCCTGAGCTCAGGAGTTTGAGACCAGCCTGGGCAACATGGTGAAATCCCATCTCTACTAAAACACACACAGACACACACACACACAGACACACACAAATTAGCCAGTCGTGGTGGCACGCCCCTGAGTCCCGGCTACTCGGGAGGCTGAGGCAGGAGAATTGCTTGAACCCGGGAGGCAGAGGCTGCAGTGAGCTGAGATTGTGCCACTGCACTCCAGCCTGGCGACAGAGCTGGACTCTGTCACAAAAAAAAAAAAAAAAAAAAAACAAGCATAAGGAAGGTTTCAGGTGGAGAAAATGAATTCCATTCTGAGCATACTGAGATTGGCGTAAGGGTGTCTTTTGGGTATAACATTTCTGCAGTTGGAAATTCAGGTCTAGAGCTTATTAGAATGACCTTGACCAGAGATGAAGAGTTCAGACACATACAGAAGCAATAATGAAAGCCAGGGCAGTAGATTAGATCAGGAGGAAATGATAAAGGGAGAAGAAAGAATGCCAAAGGCCAAATGTCTCCCTGTATTAAGGGGGCCACATCAGAAAGCTAGGAAGAGAAAAACAGAAGAATGTTTCTGTAAAAGAGAAGGTCTTGAGAAGGAAGAAACGTTCCATGGGGGTTAAAAAGACTAAGCCCTCATTGGACGTAGTGATTTGAGGTGACTGGGGAGCTCCTTGAGAGCACTGTGGCATTATGATGCGGACCTAAACCTTATGGAAAGGATTATGAATTGAGGGAAGTAATGGCCAAGAGGAAATGAGAAAGATAGGTAACTTAAGAAATCACAGGCCGGGTGTGATGGCCCACGCCTGTAATCCCAGCACTTTGGGAGGCCGAGGCGAGCAGATGACAAGGTCAGGAGTTCGAGACTAGCCTGGCCAACATAGTAAAACCCCGTCTCTACTAAAAATACAAAAAAAAAATTAAAAAAATTAGCCGGGTGTGATGGCATGCACCTGTAGTCCCAGCTACTCAGGAGGCTGAGGCAGGAGAATTGCTTGAACCCAGGAAGCAGAGGTTGCAATGAGCCGAGACCACACCATTGCACTCCAGCCTGGGTGACAGAGTGAGATTTCATCTCAAAAAAAAAAAAAAAGAAAAGGGGCAGGGGGGCAGGATTGCCTAAGCTTTTTTATAGGTTAACGGAGTGATTGTGGATGCAAGTAAAGGGAGAATAGTTGATAAGTAAAATTTCAAAGATGATGGGGGGACTGGGGTCAGAAGTCTGGCTGCTAATGAGGGAAGATATATTGCTACAGCCTTTTTATAAAGTAATGTGAAAATATTGAAATTTTAAATATGTATATTCTTAAATATGCATAAAATTTTAAATTGCCTTCTACCTGGGCAATTTCACTAATATGATTCTGTCCCACAGAAAAACTCATGCAAATGTCCAAGGGTATTCATTATAATATTAGTTGCAATAGGAAAAAATGGAGAACCCAAGTGTCCTTCAATAGACAAATGTTTAAGTAAATTATGGTAAACCTCTTCTACAGAACACCGTGCAATTATTAGAAACAATGAGCAAAATGTGTATGTACTAAAATGGAATGAAGCTCAAAATATCCCTCCACTGCATTGTGAGTTCCACTGTGGCAGGGACCATATCTGCTTTCTCATCCTTGTATTTCTCATCCTTGTATATCCATGCCCTGGCATAGAGCTTGACCCACAGTTAGTAAATGTTCAATAAATACTTATTGGATGAAGCAGAATGTTGAGTTTTTAAAATATGTTGCAGAATAGCATGTATAACATGATTCACATTTGTTTTATAGATATATATTTAAAACATTTATATATATAAAACATTATATAATATATAATATATATATTGGATAAATGTGATACATATGTGTAAACATTCTGGAAGAATACCCAGCAAATTAAAATGGTTATCTTTATAAAGTAGGATTGGATGGGAAGTCATTCTTTTAATTAATTATTATTAAATGTTTACAAATATGAATTTCATTCATAATTTCAATCTATCAATAAAATATATAAAATCACTGAAGAAAAGGGAAAAAGAGTGCAGGAGGATAAGTTAGCCTTTGCAAGAGTCATGTGCCCTCTTCCTGAAAGAGAGGAGTGAATGACAGAGAAGTTATAGAAAGGAGTCAAAACTAGGGAACCAAACATGTGCCTCAATAAAGCAGAAGCCAGGGTGGTCCGTGAGAATAAGGGTAGTGATGAAGGACCGACATCTGAGGAAGACTGAGAAGGTTCAGAACATGACCTCTGTTTTACATCCAGGGAGACTTTGAAGACCTTTCAGTCCAACCACCCACTTTACAGAAGAGGATGTTAAAGGACTTGCCAAACAACACAATTTGTGAGTGACAGTGCCAGTCCAGTACAACAGCTTCTAAAAATATGCAAAAAAAATTCAAAACAGATGAACAGATGGATCGCCAGGCATTTGTGAGGATGCTGATAAGGTTAAAACCAAAGAATAGTGGTATTAAGTCCATATTATTCCATAGCATTCTGTGGCAATGCCAGAAAACCTATGAATGAGAGCAGAAGCAGGAAAAGGGAGTGGGGAGTAGATAAGATGGTGAGAGGGCCTGGTGGTGAGTCCTGGGAGGTGAAAAGTGTTTCATAATAATAAATGACAGAGTGAGAAGCTGAAACTTGTCAGCTAATGAGAAAAATGCCAAGCTTAGGAAAATGGCAGCAAACTGAGAGGTTGGTTGTTACACTGATGACCAACAGAGTGGCTGTTGGAGTGACTGATTGACTCAGACGACAGGCCACTGGCTTGCCCCACTTTCATCCAAAGCATCATAGCTTTGCTAATGTTATGATTAGGTAAGTGGATAGAAGTGTTGCCTCAATTGTAACAGCAGTACCCATTGGCTTATTTAAACATGAAATCAAAATGTCTGCTAATTCCCAGGATCCTGGGGGTAGACTTTGACCTACCATTTTGAGTAGGTTTTATTAGCAGCTCAGGCCTTCATTAAGGCAGTGGCTGATAAAGGCTAAAACATCCTGCCAGTTGTTTATGGAATAGAGGCTCAGCCACTCACCAGCCTTATTCCAGCTGCCCACCAGACACACTGTTGATATTGGGCCTTCTGCCTAAAACCAGCTGGCTATTCCCAGACTCTTTCAGATGTCCAGCCATGATGCAGTAATGGAATTGCCAGGGTGGAGGGTGGATCTCAGCTTTTGGTATTGTCCACCATCCAAGGAAGGATCAGAGGCAACTGTTTAAGTTATTAAAAGGGCTGGGAGTGGGGAGACGGAAGGCACAGACAATGTTCCTCTGATCTCTGTGTGATTGCTTTGTGTTTTAACGCTCCTGGCTTGTGGTTTTTTGTTTATTTTTAAATTTCTTTTCTTGTTGTGGGTTTGTCCTCATGACTGTGTCACACGTAGACCAGAAGGGCTGGGTTTGCCTGTGTTCTACTTTGGACATAGATGTTACTCAAAACTGCTTAATGATCTGGGTTTCATAGCTATTTCATAGGGTTAAATAAGAAAATTTTCCAGGAAAGATTGTGTTCTACTTAGTCTATGTCATAGATTATGTAAAATCAATGAATAAGCAAGGAATCTATAGCTAAAATTACATACATACTAATCTTCCATGTTCCTCAGCATCCTGCAAAAAGCAGGTGCTCCCTGTCCTACACAGTTCAGCCAGGCTTGTGTCTACACTGGGCCTTGGATTTGTGGAGTTCACGTACATTTTGTCATAGTTCTCCCTTTTGCTTTTTACCATTTGTAATTATATTAGGTTGGTGCAAACGTAACTGCAGCTTTTGCCGTTACTTTCAATGGCAAAAACAGCAATTACTTTTGCACCAACCTAATACATTTAGGGTCTTTGCAAACGGCAAGAATAACATTATTCACAGCTAAGAACAATAGAGGCTAAATAAAGAAAATAAAATTCAACTTCATTGAAAGACTTGTTACTCAATAAATGTTTTTTTTTAATGACCCTGCAGGTGAACTAATGGCTGAGAGAAACTACCGTGTTCTGCTGGCAGAGTCACAAGTTCCTGTTTCAGTGTCCTGTGTAGTTTGTCTGGTCTTTTTCCATCTGTGGCACTACATGATTTGATGGCCTATTGTTCTAGGAAGCACACACCACAATGCCAGTGGAGGGCGATATCACAGAGGGGTGAATCAGGGAAAGGAGACGCATTTCCTAATTCTTTTCCTTTTGTGGTCTCAAGCAGCATTATCTCTTTTCTGGCCTACAGTTCTGAATCTGGCAGAGTTTAAAGTAATAACTCATATTTCTCTTCCTTTCGTTGCATTTAATTTGTTACATGAACTGTCCACAGGCTTTTTTCGGCACCTAAAATATAGCTTTGGGCACAAATTACCAGACCCTGGGTTTAATGATTTCAGCAGGTAGCGCCATGGAATAGTCCTCTATGTGTTGCTTTCTAAACCATCCATCTGCTCTTGGCCATGGCCAGAACAGTCAGTGTCTGGGGATAGGTGCTTTTAGAACATCAGGGCTTCGAAGCTGAATGGGACCCCAGGCTCATCTTGTCTCACTTTTCATTTTCATACAGTGGGGAAAGTGAAAGCCAGGGAGCTTAAGAAACTAGCTCAAGACTGTGGCTCACAAGAGGCAGCCCTGGGATGAGAATACCAGGCTTCCAGGCCCCAGTCCAGAACTTTTTCTCCTCTGTGTGCTCTGTCCCATGCCCTCGATGGAACTGTTCTTTATCACTCATCTTAACACCAGATTTAAAATTGCACCAGCCCTTTCCCAAAGGCTATCCAGCTGAATTAAGCACAGAAATGCCACAGGCCCATTTTTAGTAGCTGGCTGGAGGAAATGCTCATTTCAAGGTCTTTGATACATAATCGTATTCACTGGGAAGATCTCTTCCCTACAAGCCTGAGCCATGGCAAGCCCAATTTTTAAATTCTCTGTGCTCTGACATTCTAGTTAATAAAGACAGAGAAAACAAGCCTTCACTTTTATTCAGTTATTTAAAGATGAAATGTGCCTCCTTCCATATGATCCTTCTCTCCCTCTAGCCCACAATCGACTTCTTGTCATTGGTGTTCTTGTTTTCTAATAATTATTAATTTAAGAATGATAATAATTGAATTCTTCCTCAAAATCTGAGGGACAGAAATTTTGAATGCTGCTGTCTTTGTATTTCTGCTGCTCAGCTGTTACTTAAGTTGGGTTGTAAAGTTTAAAATGTCAAAGGTTGACAACTCCAGGAGCCAGGAGGAATGGGAAGAAATTGCATCAGCCTGGGAGCCTGAAGATCAGTCACTGGGTCATTTTCCACTGCTCACCCATGACTCTGTTTCTTAGCTTCAAGTTGGATAATTATGCTTACCTCACAGAGATGCCGGGAGAATTATTTGAGACAATGTCGTGATAGTAGTCTGCATACTCAAAATGATGAAAAATTAAAACCAATGTAAAATGCCATAATTTGAAAAACCTTTAGTAATTACAGAGTCTGAATCAGTGCCTGACAATGCCAGAGAGAAAACTGTCCTCCAAATTATGGTCCAGTCTCCTAGAAAAGCCTATTCATTTTTAGGCACTTATTCCTAGGGAGTTTTACTACGTCTGAGTCTACAAATGAAATTCAAATACAGAACTGAGTCCGTTAAGGATGGAGAACTCATACTAAAATAACTATGGACTGAAGGAGCCAAGTAATTAAGGACAGAGTAGCTGAAGCCGTGAATTACCTGGATGGTGCTAAGAATTAAGATAGGACCTGTAGCCAAGGGCTAGATGTTGTCTTCGGCCCCTAATGAGACTGTAACCCTGTGGAAGCCTGGTTAGCAGCCTCTGAGAAACCTTAACAAATATTACATACCACGTTGATAATAATGTGTCTATAATTGTTGTTATAGCTTCTGAATATTAAAACAAATGAAAGAAAACAAGAATACTTATGCATTATGCTACAGGTAACAGAAAATTCTATTAATTTTATAGTTATCAACCTACCTGTCTGTCTTCTAGTTTTCTCCAGAACAAATTAGACATCTAACTGTTAATATTAGTAGTAGTAGTAATAATAATAGCAGCTAAAGTTTATTAAGCATTCTCTATGTGCCAGGCATTATTCTGGGCAATTTTCATACACAACCTTATTTTACACTCACAAAAACTCTAGGAGATAGATACAGTTCCCTTTTTACAGATGCGGCAGCTGAGGTTTTGAGAATGAAATAATTTCTCAAGTTCACAGAGTTGATAAGTTGGAGAATTAAAGGCTATAAAAACAAACTACAATACACAGGTTCACAGTCTGAATCCATAGGCTGAGTTTTTAACATCTAACTTCTCTTCTAATAAATGTCTACAGATTGATGAATTGTGGAAAATCAAGATATTCTCTATATTAGTTTTGCTTTCCTGAGGACTTCCTCTAAAAGACATTTCTGTTCAACAAACCACCTCCTATTTCTCACTAATTCACTCATCACAGTCTCTTCCAAAATCACGTTTCTCAAATCCCTACTGTTCTTGTATCAGTTAGAAACCTTTTTGTTCTAACAGAAAATCTAACTCAACTTGGCAATAAAGGGTATTTTTGGGCTTGTGAAATTGGAAAGTTCAGATTCCACAGCTAAATATCATCTTCTGGGACCCATTTTCTCTTCTCCTTCCACTCTGCCTTCTATGGAGTCAGTTTCTGCTAAACCTGGCTTCCCCTCGGACTGTCAACAACTCCAAGGGCAACAAAGTCTCTCTTCCACATAAAACAGAAAAAAAAGCTGTCCACCTTTGGAAGCTCTCTCCAAAGAATGAGAACTTCTCTTTCCAGAAGACCCCTGCACTCACAAGGGCTTCCGCCATGCTGCCCCCTCCTACTTCCTGCCCCCTCAAAAAAAAAAAAAAAAAGGAAGAAGCTATCTCATAGGAATTGCTGTCAGGCAAAACCTTCCCCTGGCGGAGGAGCCAGCCTGTGGCTTAGTAGACGCCACACAGTGTGTGTCGGTTGGGAAACACCCGTATCAAGCATTGCCTTCTTTCCTGGCCTATCCTTCCATTGACTGATTCCATTCAAGCTAAAATTCATGTCGGTTTCAAGGAAATAGTAGTTTTACAAAATTAGTTGTCTGCATTACACCTGGATTAACTCAGGGATGGGACATTGTGTTCGTGGACAGTGACAGTTCATAAACGTTATTCTTTGTCCCCACTTGAGGCCTACATTATTACTGCAGCAATCTCCCAGCTGGACCAGCCTCCAGTCTCTCTCCACTGCAGTGCAACCTCCACATGGTTATCCGATGAACCCTTCTTAACTCTCTGGTGATCTTCTCTCTTTCTTCTAGCAGCAAACTATAAAATAATCAGGCCATACCTATCTTACCTATATTACCTCCCATTATTCACCCAAACCAGCTTTGTGCAGTGCTCAGCCATCTATCAACTTGCCTTTGCCTGAACATGAATGTGTTTTTCCATTCCTACACCTGAGCCTATGCTGTTCCATTTGCCAGAAATTCCTTTCCTTGTGCACCTTCCACACCCATCTTCCCACATCTAATTCCTATACTTAAGAGATCCTGCTCATTTTTTTTTTTTTTAACAGGGTCTCTTCTGTCTCCCAGGCTGGAGTACGGTGGTATGATCTCGGCTTACTGTAGTCTTGACCTCCTGGGCTCAAGTAATCCTCCCACCTCAGCCTCTTGAGTAGCTGGGACCACAGGCTGATTAAAAATTAGCCACCACATCCAGCTAACTTTTGTGTTTTTTGTAGAGACAGAGTTTCACTATGTTGCCCAGGCTAGTCTTCAACTCCTGAGCTCAAGCCATCTGCCCGCCTCAGCCTCCCAAAGTGTTGGGATTACAGGCATGAGCCACTCACTGCACCTGGCCCCAGTTCAAATCTTTAATCCCTTCTCTTCTCATGGAGTTCAAAGTGATCCCTTCCTGCTATCTCTCCCAAAGGCAATGGACTTTTGCCCATCTTGAGCACTAGGTGATTTGAATTGTAGGTAATGGAGTTCATGCTACAAATCTTTCTTACTAGACAATAAGGATGTCCTATAGTTTTATCTACAGTTCCTTGCCCGTAATAGATTCCAGAAAAAAAGTATGCCTTACATATTATGGATATATAATGTTTAAAATAAGTATGGATATATAATGTTTAAAAGTAAGTATCTTTAAGTAAGGAATACAATAAGGAATTCTTAGTAAGAATATGATCTGAGTTAGATTTCAAAAAGAAGCCTTTTTTTTTTTTTGAGATGGAGTCTCACTCTGTCACTCAGGCTGGAGTGCAATGGCACAGTCTCAGCTCACTGCAGCCTCTGCCTCCTGGATTCAAGTGATTCTCCTGCCTCAGCCTCCTGAGTAGCTGGGACTACAGGCACATACCACCATACCCGGCTAATTTTTTTGTATTTTTAGTAGAGACGCGGTTTCGCTATGTTGTCCAGGCTGGTCTCAAACTCCTGACCTCATGATCCCCCCACCTTGGCCTCCCAAAGTGCTGGGATTACAGGCGTAAGCCACCGCACACAGCCTCAAAAAAGTCTTGTTCAAAACTAAACTTTTCGTGTTTCAATTACCCTGACCTGCTCTTCCCATAGTCCTTCACATTCTCTTAATAGCAAATTCGTCATTCCAGCCTGCTCAGGACAAAACATGTACAGCAGCCTGGATTTCTTTCTTACTCTCATTCCCCATATCCAGCAAATCCCATTGATTTAACATTCACAATAAATCAAGAATTTAAGTACTTTTCATACATAATGCCAACATCCTAACCCAAGTCATCATCATGGCTCAACTGTATTATTGCAATAGCCTTTAAATAGCCTCCCTGCCTCTTTCCTTACCTCTTTCCCTACAATCTACTCCCCACATCACAGAAAGAATAAGTCAGATCATGTCACTTCTCTGCACAAGACCCTCCAAATTCTTCCCCACTCACTCAGGGAAGAAGCCAAAGTCTTTGTACATAATGATCCCAAAGGTCCTACATAATCATCCTCCCCACAGCTCCTACATTTCTGACTTTATCTCCAGCTATGCTTTACTTCCATCACTTCATTCCAGTCTCTTCCTCAATGAGAGAAACACCTTCTTCCTTTCTATTACTCAGTTCCTGTTTCTTCTCTCTGCCCTGCTCTTCTACATTAATAGCTGCCTGGATTGCCCCCTCATATCCCAGATTCTGCTCAAATATTGTCTTGTCAGTGAGGCCTCCCTGATGACCCAATTTTTTTTTTTTTTTTTTTTAGACTGGGTCTTGCTCTGTCACCCAGGCTGTAGTTCAGTGGTGCCATCTCAGCTTACTGCAACCTCCACCTCTCAGGTTCAAGAGATTCTTGTGTCTCAGCCTCCTGAGTAGCTGGGATTATAGGTGTGTGCCACCATGCCTGGCTAATTTTTGTATTTTTAGTAGAGACCAGTTTTCGCCATGTTGGCCAAGCTGGTCTCGAACTCCTGACCTCAAGTGATCCACCCACCTTGGCCTCCCAAATTGCTGGGAACACAGGTGTGAGCTGCTGCACCTGGCCCTGATGACCTAATTTAAAATACTTTCATCCCACTTTTCTCAGCTTACATGCTCTACCACCCCCACCCCCACTCTGCTCTATTTTTCTCCAAAGTATTTACCATGTGACCTACTATACATTTATCTTGTCTGATTGTTTATTCTTTAGCTGTCTTCTACCTTGCTTCAGTTAGATGTAAACTCCATGAAGGCAGGAATTTTTGTCTGATTTCTTCTTTGCTATGGAGCCTAGAAAAATGCAGGTTGCAAAGTAGACATTTGAAAAATATTTGTTGAATGAATGGATGGTGAATGGATGGTGAATTGATGTTGAATGAATGGATGGTGAATTTAACATCTTATTTCGATTATTAAATACTCAAGGAATAAGGGATGTGGTGGACTGTGATATAGGAATCTTTCTCCTAAAAGTCTGAGTCTATGCTTGGCATTTAAAGCCAGATCAGTCTCACTTGTAGAAGAAGAAAGAACTATATATCAATTTCAAATCATAAGGCACTGTGAAAATTTGAAGCACTATTATGGTTATGCCCTCCCTACTTCCAAAGTTTCTTCTGAAGTCAGTTGATATCCTAAAGTGAGCATGTCCAGCATGCATTTTCCATTATAGAGCTTTTGAGTTAAAATCTCACAGACTAGTTTCTGCAGCTGCTCACACAGAGCAGGTTAGAACAGATTTTAACATTTCATTCTGTGTATCTTCCCACCATGCTGACAGCAATCCTGTTCTTAACGGATAGTTCCTTTGTGGTACTGGGAGTGGGGGTGGATGTACGGACACAAAAGTCAGTTTCTTAGGCCTCCTTTTTTGAAAGTTGTTCCATTCTTCTTAATTATATCATTTCATTAACAGGTCCCAGGAGCTCCTATGTTATATTGATCTCATCAACTGAGCTAATTGATGTTGACACCTGCTGTTCTCTATTGAAAACATTACCGGGAGCATCCATCACTTTCCTTTATTGCTGATGAAGTAATTATCCTATTAGACCTAAAGGAATGGCCACAGCAGAGGCTGGTCAATAATCCTTGTTAGGACCATGCTCTCATCTGTTTGTTTCACTCTCCATCAGGCCAACCCAATCATTGCTACTATCATCCCCAAAAGCTTCCTGAGTCCCCAGTTCATGAGTATAGTCCCTGCCCTTGGGGTTAACAGAGCTTGCATGAGAAGCAAGGGCTTTCCCAGCCTCCTAACTGGTCTCTTAGCACTGTCCTCAATTCCAGGCCCCATCCACACCAGGAGGTCTTCCCAAAATTCAAATCTGAACACTGCAAGCTATTCATGGTAACATACTGGAGTTACACTGACATGGAGAAAAAGTTGAAATATATTATGTACAGTTGGATTCATTTTTGCAAAAAAAAAAAAATAGATGGAATAGACAAAATGAATACGTACAAAACATATATATAATATATAATAAAATATATAAAATATAAAAATAGATGGGTCACATTAATATAGATGTCACAAAAGTCTGAAGGTATTTACACCAAAACGTTTTCAGTGTTGTAAGTTATTGCCCCAGAATAGTATGATTTCTGGTAACTATTATTTCCACCTTTTGTGATACATGTAATTTCTTTTCCTTTTTTTCTTTCTTTCTTTTTTTTTTTTTTTTTGAGACGGAGTCTCGCTCTGTCGCTCAGGCTGGAGTGCAGTGGCATGATCTTGGCTCACTGCAGCCTCCACATCCCAGGTTCAAGTGATTCTCCTGCCTCAGCCTCGCTGAGTAGCTGGGACTACAGGTGCATGCCACCACGCCCAGCTAATTTTTGTATAAAATTTTAAATGTACCAGATAAAGTAATTATAGTAAAATTAAAAATTACATATATTAGAAAATTAGCTGGGCATGGTGGCGTGTGCCCGTAATCCCAGCTACTTGGGAGGCTGAGGCAGGAGAATCACTAGAACCTAGGAGGCAGAGGCTACAGCCAGCTGAGATTGCGCCAGGCAACAGAGCAAGACTCTGTCTCAAAACAAAAAAAATAAAGTTAATGCAAATATGATCATGTCATTTCTACACTTAAATTTATTCACCTAAAAAACAGTGAAGACAATTTTATGGTAAGATCAGTCAGAGATGCAAGCACCAGCTCTCCCCCACCCTGTACCCTAACTGGTACCCAATGGTAGGAATGAAACGTTTAAGAGGGACAGTGTCTCTTTTTCTGCTGATTCTCCTCTCAGATGGAGATTCTCTTTTATGACTGACTTTGGTGGAAGTTCAGGCTGTTTGAGGTGCAACAGCACAGCAAGGGTGCTAGGAGAGGCATGGAGGCCTTTTAAAAGTTGTTCTTTCTCCCATCAGTTTTATTGGGTTTTTGCTCAGGGTGTAAATACTAGGCCTAACAGCTCCCAGTGTTCAGATTTGCAATGGGGAAGGATCCTCTGTTACTTACTGGGCCTGGATTGGTGTGCAGTGCTGAGAGAGCAGTAGGAGGCTGGGGAAGTTCTTTCTTTTCCTGCAGGCTCTGTGGGCCTGACAGCAGGGACGGTACCCTGTGAACGGTTGGCGGGGCTCAGAGAGCAACTAGAAATCATATGGCTTTCTCACCCTCCCATGGCATCATGTTCCCTGATGTGTCTGTTCCTCTGGTTTATTTTATTTTAGTTTTTTAAGACAAGCTCTCACTCTGTCACCCAGGCTGTAGTACAGTGGTGCGATCTCACAGCGGCCTTGACTTCCCAGGTTCAGGTGATCCTCCCACCTCAGTCTCTCGTGTAGCTGGGACTACAGGCACATAGCACCATGCCTGGCTAATATTTGGGGTTTTTGTTTTTTGGTTTTTTTTTGTTTTTTGTTCTTGTAGATATGGGGTCTCACCATGTTGCCTAGGCTGGTCTCAAACTTCTGGGCTCAGGTGATCCGCCGCCTGAGCCTCCCAAAATACTGGAATTACAGGCATGAGCCACTGTGCCCAGACTTGTCTGTCCTTCTGCATCTGCACTTCACTTCTGGAGCACCATCCTTCCCCTTCTCCCATCAGTTCAGACTCAGCCCGGTTGCTCTCTTCTTCTCAAGCCTCTCTGACTTCCCCTGGGTAAAAGGCTTGTTTGATATATTTTATCAGAAGCCTTTCTGCACTTCCTATTTGAAGTGCATCTGGATAAAAGGCTTGTTCGATATGTTTTATCAGAAGCATTTCTGCACTTTCTCTTTGAACTCCTGTTAATCATTGCATTCCTTACAGAGTCCAACCAGACTCTTAAAAAACTCCTTGACAGTCAGCTGGGCGTGGTGGCTCACGCCTATAATCCCAGCACTTTGGGAGGCCAAGGCAGGAGGATCACCTGAGGTTAGGAGTTCGAGCCCAGCCTCTGGTCAACATGGTGAAACCCTGTTTCTACTAAAAAATACAAAATTTAGCCGGGTGTGGTGGCATGCGCCTGTAATCCCAGCTACTCGGGAAACTGAGGCAGGAGAATCTCTTGAGCCTGGGAGGTGGAGGTTGCAGTGAGCCTAGATTGCACCACTGCACTCCAGCCTGGGCAAGAGTGAGACTCTGTCTCAAAACAAATAAATAAATAAATAAATATTTTTTTAACACACTTGACAGAATAATGTCTTTAGCATTTTATCCTCAGCATCTAAACCTGGTGTACTGAGCTACTTAACAAATGATGATTAAATAAATAATATATGAATAGATGGATGGATGAAAGAATGAATGATGAAGAATGCTGATAGCATATACTAAAAGCCAAATGAGTCTATGACTGCAGAGGAAGCATAGATAGCACATACTATTCATGTCCTGGGCAAAAGCCTGAGAAAACTAACAGAAGAAACAACAAGTTTTTTGTTTTTTGTTTTGAAATGGAATCTCACTCTTGTTGCCCAGGCTGGAGCGCAATAGCTCAACCTCGGCTCACCGCAACCTCCGCCTCTTGGGTTCCAGCGATTCTCCTGCCTCGGCCTCCCGAGTAGCTGGGATTACAGGCATGCACCACCTCACCTGGCTAATTTCGTAGTTTTAGTAGAGATGGGGTTTCTCCATGTTTGTCAGGCTGGTCTCGAACTCCCGACCTCAGGTGATCCGCCTGCCTAGGTCTCCCAGAGTGCTGAGATTACAGGCATGAGCCACCATGCCCAGCCAGGAAGAACAACTTTTAAACCCTATTCACCTCCTAGCACTCTCGCTGCTGCTCCTCCTCACAGAGACTGAACATCCACCAGAGTCGTTCATAGAAGGGAATCTTGGTCTGAGAGGACAGCAGGATCAGCAGAAAAAAAGAGACGCCATCTTACACTTTCTGGTCCTGCTACTTGAGTGCCAGTTAGAGACCTCATGGTGGGGGATAGTTCATACTTGCTTCTCTGACTCATCTCATCACAAAATTATTGTCACTAGTACACAGTCCCCACAACAATCCTCTGTCTAGTTATGTCAAGATTAGCACTTACAAGTTCAAAATAGCATCTGACGTGACTTTCTATTTACAGAAGGGCACATGGGATGTGTTAATAACACCCTCCTTAGGGCTTTGGATGCTGAGGACAGGTCTAACAGCCAAGCTCTGAAGGGGTAGGCAGCCCTGATATTTATCTGCTGATTATCACACTAGGGTCCTCAAAAGGGAATTCCAGAAGCTTCTTTTGATAAAACCTCAAAATCATCAGATCTGCTGCTGCCAGAACCAAAAATAGCTCGGCCTAGTTGGGAAAGTATTGGTCTGGGAGTTGGATGGTGTGGGGGCCCTCGTTTTGTACTAACGGGCTTAGTGTCCTTGTAGGCACTGTGAGCGTCTCTGCATGTCCGTGCTGTCTTCTATGCATTGTGGATGATGGAGCAGCACCCCTGTCATCACGGGGTAGATAGGTGTCCCGAAAACGATGACAGCCATGAAAAGACTGGGTGAACACCAAGCCTCAATCCCAGGAGGGAGAGAAAGGGAGAGCCGTGATAAGAAAGCAGCCGCACTAGAAATGCTTCCCAGTTGCCCTTGTGGCAGGAATAAAATCCTCCTACACTCAGGTGTTTGGTGGTCAAGGAGTGGCCCTTTGGTGAGGAGGTAACTCACCAAAGGTTTCTGCTGCCTTTTAACTTGCTGTAAATTAGTCAGCCGTGCTCTCTCCTCATCTGCTTGACCTATGACTCTGTGGCCCATGACTGCCTCATTCCTGGTTAATGCAAGGAAGGGCCCAGTAGCAGCCAGAAATGTGAATGGCTATTCTCAAACATGGGAGGTTACCTACACCAGGATAAATAAAATGGTTGCCTTTCCTCTTTTACAATAGTCATTTTGTTCTTCTTTAAGATTTGAAAATATAGTAAGGCAGGTCCCAGAATAACATTGTTTCTTTCAATGTTGCTTTGTCATAATATTGGTGAGAAAAAAAAAAAAATCAATTCCTGGCTGGAGCCACTGTCTGTGTGGAATTTGCAAGTTCTCACGTGAGTTTTCTCCAGGTACTTCAGTTTCCTCCCACATCTCAAAGATATCCTCGTTCCTTGGTACGTCTGCATGGTTCCAGTCTTAGTGAGTGTGGCTGTGTGTGTGTGAGCGTGCCCGGCAATGGAATGGCCTTCTGTCCAGGGTCCCCAGCTTGAACTCTGAGCTGCCAGTATGGGCTCCAGCCACCCAACACTCTGAGTTGGAAAAAGCAGGTTGGAAAATGATTGAATAATGAACAAAAATTGTTATCAAATAAAAATTCATGAAGTCTACAATAATCATACAGGCATATGACAATAAATGATGCTGCATGGAAGCGTTCAGCGAGCCCATCATATTTGTTGTTGGGTTTTTTTGAATTGCATGGTGGTAGGAGGTGCTTATAATTTTTGCTTTAAAACATTTATTCCTTGCTTTAACCCACCACCACTATGACTGCTGTCACTCACTGATTCACCAAACATTGGGTAAATAATTCTCACACTTGTTTCTATTAATCTTTCTGAAATGTACGTATAGCTCACATTTATTTTCATATTTACCATTAGAAGCATTTTGGTCTTTCTTTAGAAGTTTAGTGATGTTTTTGTGACCAGAACTATGTCATAGGAATTTAAATAAATCTTAATTATGTCAATTAGCCTAAGGTAAAATTGGCTTCATTGTATGTTGTTTTGCTTAAAGTTGCAGTTTCCAAGAACATATAGATAATGTTAAATGGGGGCTTATTGTATAATTAAATAGTATTTATTGAGCTCTGACTACATGCTAGTCTGTGTTAATGTTTATTTATATTCTTTCATTTACTACCCATAATAATTCAGTGAAAATGTTACCAGAAAGAGGTTTCAATCCAGACCCCAAGAGAAGGTTCTTGGATCTCACGCAACAAAAAATTCCAGGCGAGTCCATAGAGTTAAGTAAAGCCAAGTTTATTCAGAAAGTAAAGGAATAAAAGAATGGCTACTCCACAGGCAGAGCAGCCTCAAGGGCTGCTGATTGCCTATCTTTATGGTTATTTCTTGATTATATGCTAAACAGGGTGTGGATTATTCATGAGTTTCCTGGGAAAGGAGTCGGCAATTTCTGGGAACCTAAGGGTTCCTCCCTTTTTTAGACCATATAGGGTAACTCCCTGATGTTGCCATGGCATTTATAAGCTGTCATGGTGCTGGTGGGAGTGTATTTTAGCATGTTAGCGCAATATAATTCACGTATAATGAGCAGTGAGTCCGACCAAGGTCACCACCTTGGTTTTGTTGGGATTTGACTGCCTTCTTTACCGCATGCTGTTTTATCAGCAAGGTCTTTGTGACCTGTATCTTATGCTGATCTCCTGTCTCATCCAGTGAGTTAGAATGCCTAACCTCCTCCAAACGCAGCCCAGTAGGTCTCAGTCCTATTTTACCCAGCCCCTATTCAAGATGGAATTGCTCTAGTTGAAATGCCTATGACAAAAAGGCATCATTATGCCCATTTTACAGGGAAGGAAACTTTCAGAGGGACTAAGTTACATGCCAAGCTCCCAAAAGTACTACATGCAGACCCAGGATTTGAACCCTGTTTTATTTTATACAAAACCCATCCCCCTGCATATTATGCCATTTTGTCTCAAAAACAATAATAGTACCCACAGAAAGAAGATGAAGAGGAAGAGCTGGGAGCACATATTTAACCAAAAATAAGAAGTCCATAGGTCTTGGACGAATACACTCCTACCAGCACTGGGCAGGCAGACAGAAGAGGGCCCAGATTAAATTAAAAAGTGTGTGATTAATTGGCAGCTAGTAAAGAACAAGATGAAATCCTTCAGAAAACAAATATATGAGTTTTGGTGAGCTGAAGAGATCTGTATCTGAAGTCAGAATATTTAATATACATCATATATAATTAATATTATTATTATTTAATGTTCTTTTAAAGGGTGACTGGGTCAGTATAACTGAGCATAATCTGTTTTGTCTCAGAGTCTGGCTATCTTTTTTCCCAATATCAGTCTCTCAACTAAACCAAACATGTTTTTAACTTCTCCCACTTAATTTAGTAGGTTAACAAGTCTATGTAAAAGAAGAGTATCATAATTTAGCTTAATAGTCCCTTGCAATACTATTTTAATATTTTAAAATCAAAATATCACTTTAAAACCTATAGGAATTATTTTTGCTTCCTTTGGCTTTGGTTCTTTTGTATCATACAATTTTATCATTTAAAATCAAAGATCTTACCATCAGATTTACCTGGGCTATAGTAGTAATTTTACCACTTACCCATGGCCAAATGTGTATGACAATCCCTACTTCATGAGATTATCATAAA
This sequence comes from Homo sapiens, assembly GCF_000001405.40. Taxonomy (NCBI): domain Eukaryota; kingdom Metazoa; phylum Chordata; class Mammalia; order Primates; family Hominidae; genus Homo; species Homo sapiens. The sequence continues at coordinate 112,256,235 of NC_000006.12, read as the reverse complement.
GATGAAATTAAATGAGACAATTTTTTTTTTTTTTTTTTTTTTTTTTTTTGAGCTGGAGTCTTTCTCTGTCACCCAGGCTGGAGTCAGTGGTAAAATCTCTGCTCACTGCAACCTCCACCTCCCGGGTTCAAGCAATTCTCCTGCCTCAGCCTCCCGAGTAGCTGGGACTACAGGCGCCTCCCACCATGCCTGGCTAAATTTTGTATTTTTAGTAGAGACGGGGTTTCACCATGTTGGCCAGGCTGGTATCGAACTCCTGACCTCATGATCCACCCACCTTGGCCTCCCAAAGTGCTGGGATTACAGGCATGAGCCACCACGCCCAGCCCTAAATGAGACAATTTATGTGATTTTTTTGCACATGGGAGGCACTCAAAAAATAAAAGTGTCCATTTCCTTCACCTCTGAATTCATACTCTTTATTTTAAAGTTGCAGTGTCGTGTATACAGATGTAAAAGAGAGCTTTGGAATCAGTGAGGCCTGGATCCAAACCCCATCTCTGCTTTCCACCAGCTGTGCGACCTTGGGCAAATGTCCTAGTCTCTCTGAACCTCACTTTCTTCTTCTGTAAAAGGAAAATAATGGTACTACTTTGCAGGAATGCTGAGGTTTACAAATAGCATATGCCAAGTATCTGGCACATGTTAGGTGCAAAATAAATGGTTTTGCTTACACTTAGATAAAATGACTTTTGTTCTATGAAATGGAGCTAATGATTAGGTTTTATGGAAAGGCTTTATTTATTTATTTTATGATTAGGTTATACAAAAATGCTTTATTTCACCTGGAAGCTTACCTGGGTGTCATTTTATGGTTGTCTCATCTGACCATTTTTAAACCATGGTTGGATCTTGTGGAAATGTTTAGAGCTCGTTATGAAGCCAATGTAAACAAAGGTACCTATCAGCTGTTGCAGACACTATCCCATCCACAGGGGCACCCCTGACATAGCTGTAGCCCAACTTCACCCTGAAGTCTTGGAAAGGTTACATGATTCAGACAGATGTAGTAGGCATGAGATTACAGGCCAAGAGGAAGAGGCCGGGGCTGTAGGCAGTATACTTGACAGGCTCATACACTGCAAGCCTTGTTCCGGGCCCCTTACAAAGCACCTCTTTAGGATGAAAACAAGATGGTCTTTGTAAATAAAAGTTCATGCATTTGGGTAATGAAGTCATTTTCCAGCGCTGCAGTGAAAGATATTCTTCTCCCAAGCCCTCTGGGTGAGGACTGGAGGGAGGAAGAGGGGTGGCCAGTGAATCTGAAGAGAAGATATTAGCACAAAGAGTGCAACAGTCTATCCCCCAGAAAAAACCCGAGAAACCTTGCTCAAGAAAGTGGGCACCCTGACCCTCTGCCTTCAGAGATCATCTACCTTTGGTTCCTGCCCTGGAATCCCTTTTCCACCCACTTTCCTGCAAACTAGCGGGGGCCACATAAAATATCTATGTAAATATAGATAAGACATCCGGTACCTTGACTACATAAATAAGAGTGGTGAGGAAGCGTCACAAAAGCTGAATATTCTTCTGGAGCCCTTGGAGGGGCTCCAAACTGAGAGGGGAGGGAAGACCGCAGGGAAAGGCGGACCTCAGTGTCTGAAAAGCCAGCTTAGAGTGGGAGGGCCTGGGAGTAGAAGGTAAAAAGGGAGTGGTGAGAATGAATGTGAGAAGGAAGCCAGGACAGCGCAGTCCCCAGTCCCGAACGGCCAGGGAGAGGAGGTGGCCTAGCGCTGGCGGGGCTCACCCCAATCCGTCTGCCTTTTGATGCCGTACTGTAAGCTCCGTCCATCTGTAGGTTCTTGAGCCAGAACCTCTGCGGGAAGGAGAAAAAGTGAAAGAGGGAGAGGGAGAGGGAGAGAGAGGGGGAGAAGGGGAGAGAGAGAGAGGGAGAGAGAGGCTGGAACTCTCCCTTACTCTCGCACTTTCCCTTTATTTCCTAAGCTGCTGGTTGCGCAGCCACCTCGGGATACTGCACACGGAGAGGAGGGAAAATAAGCGAGGCACCGCCGCACCACGCGGGAGACCTACGGAGACCCACAGCGCCCGAGCCCTGGAAGAGCACTACTGGATGTCAGCGGAGAAATGGCTTTGAGCTCAGCCTGGCGCTCGGTTCTGCCTCTGTGGCTCCTCTGGAGCGCTGCCTGCTCCCGCGCCGCGTCCGGGGACGACAACGCTTTTCCTTTTGACATTGAAGGGAGCTCAGCGGTTGGCAGGCAAGACCCGCCTGAGACGAGCGAACCCCGCGTGGCTCTGGGACGCCTGCCGCCTGCGGCCGAGGTACAGTGTCCCTGCCATTGCCACCCTGCTGGGGCACCTGCGCCCCCGCGGGCTGTGCCACACTCGTCCTTCTCTCTCTCTCCGCCTCTTTCCTCTCCCCAGTGCCTTGAGAGTTTCACCTGGGCTAGGTCAGTTCGGAAACTTGAAATAAAGAGTTTTCCTTTGTAAGTTGCATTTGGATGTTGAGAGTTGAAAGTTGAGGCTTCGGAATGTGTCTGCTCAAAGGGGTGAGAGTGCATGTGTTGGTGCTCTGAGTTCATCCGCTAGACTCTCACCGGGGACTGCAGCAGCACATCGGTGACTTCTGCCACTTGCGTGTCCCAGTAGTCATTTTGTCAAGCCACGGCACTTAACGTGTGTGCCCTGTCACTGGCTTCCTGCTCCTCTGTGCTGTTAGGACAGTGGGAACACTACTGCAGGATCTTTTTGTCTCATATTAGACAAGAAGTCTTCTGCAGCAGGGAAGGTGAGGGGGTGAGTGAGAGTGGCTGGTCATGAAAGGAGCTGTTAGACAACTGCTGAGAGGGTATCTTAAGTAGAAACGAGCCATTGTATTCCAGAAACAAGATGTTTCCATTAAAATCAAGCCTCAGGATATGCTATTGATAATATGTTTATTCAAAGAGCTGCTGTTTGAATACCTTACAATAGCTTTTAAGTTGGAAACAAAACCAGAATGTAGAGGTCTGGTAAAGGAGAATGAATCCAGAACAAGTGATTTAAGAACCCCTGAACTGAAACAGACAACAGCATGCCCATTGCATGGGACATGCTAAGAGGGAGGAAAATAAAGTCACCTAAGTTCATGGGAAAGGAAGGAGCAATTGACCTAGCAAAACAAACACCACACTCTATAGCTATGGTTACAGCAACTGTACAACTAAAACAGTTATGTGGATTGACACCATTTCTAACATCACTGATGCATGGATTATTGCTATGAATTCTGTTAATTGTTAGTACAATTATAGTTATTAATTATTGATGATTAAAAATAAGGTGCATGAACATGGTCCTTCTTCAGAGTAAGCCCTACCCACATTGCCCCAAAAAAGAGAGTGGACAGGGTCAGAATATGCCAACCTCTCACTGTGGTATAAAATGTAGCCTCCATGAAAAAGAGGGAGCATGGCTTCTGGTCAACTTCATACCCAGAAACTTGGGGAGAAGCCAGACCAGGAGGGACTTCATGCAATGGGAAGGCTTTGCTTCTCTACAGGCTTGGAATTAACCCCAGGGAAGCATTATCTCCACCTGTTGCTTTGAGCACGTAAAGTCCCTGAATGAAATGCTTAATTTTACTTAAGAGTAAAATTGGCAGATAAATTGCAGGACACTCAAATGTGAATTTCAGATAAATAATGAATGAATTTTGATCACATCCCAAATACTGCAGAGGACATATTTATATTAAAATTTGTTTTCATTGTTCATCTGAAATTCAAATTTATCCGGGCATCCTGTATTTGTATCTGTTAGGTCTAAAGAGACAAGCCATATACAACTGTTTTTTGTAACTCTCATCCCACAAAAAAAATAGGAAAGTAATTTTTTGAGTTTTAGAGAACCTTAAAATTAATGCTAAGACCCTAGGAAATTTCTTATGTGCTCATATGTTTGGTGAAATAATAGGAAGGCAGCACAGCAAAGTGTTTCAGATTGCAGGTTTTCAGTCTGATGGTCCCAAGTTGAAATTTCAAGCTCTTTGACCTTGGTCAAGTTACAGATCCCCAGACTGCAGATAAACTGATACTGACAGAATTTATTGATGCCTGCTTCATACCTCATACTTTTATTGTAATGAAATTAGATAAAATAGAGTGCTTAGCATAGTGCTTGACATAGTATAAATGCCCTATATATGCCAAGAGTTGTTACAATTGTTACTATAAAAAATGTGGATGATGATCAGATTAAAAGAAACCCTTATTTGAGAATATTCCTTAGAACCTTATGTTTATGGTTTTCTTTTACTTAATATTATTATATCTGTTTATCTATATTCTTCCAGCTGGAAAAAAAATGTCACGTAGTGAATTAAATTTGTAGTAATGTCAGAGTCTAATAGGTTCAGAATGCCAGTGGAGGCCTTCAGTTTTGAAAAACAGAAAGAAGATATTAGTCATTCCAGGAAGGTCAAAGTATATGGTGTAGAAAGGGTGAGATTGAGGTAATTATGTTCCCACTGCATAGTTTCACATAATGCCTCCAGTTAGCCTGCGGTCCCATGGCGATCCCAACGCCCCACCATCAGGTTTCCCATGCTCTTTATAGCAGTAACCAGACCTTAAACCAAATACATTCCGGAGACTTAATAACATGGTACAAACACTTTACTGGGTTGGCTCAGGAGACTGTATTTGTGTATATGTGGAGAGAGAAAGAGAACACGGACACATTATTCATGGGAGAGGTTCAATGTGTGGATGGGAAGATATTCTAAAAATACATTCTCTTTACTTGGATTTATATGAATGGTTATTCTGCAATTCTCCTTCAGAGGGAATGAAGAAAAATATTAAGGCAAGCATGGAGCAGTGGGAGGTGCTTGGCTGAAGGCCTTCCTGAGGTTCTCCTAAGCTCTTCAATAGCCCAGCTTGTGGACTCTCCATCCCTGAGTACTTGGCCCAAGACACAAACTCTGGCATGCTGTATTGCTCCATGTGAGCTGGGGAACAAATACATGAAATATGCACGGAATAAAAGGATAGAGATTGTTGGCTGACCAAAAAGGAAGTCTCCTCTTTTCCTTGTAAAACAAGCCAAAGCTTCCCCCCAGATGCAAAGTATTTGAAAAGAAGAGCACCTGTGGGTAACTCCGTACTAGTTGTGGGGAGGATTTTCCCACCTTTGCTTCTTGACACTTAATCTACTGAGTCCTTTATTGCTGAGTTTATGGTGAGAACAGTGATTCTCAACAGGTGATTCTCAAAAGGGAAGACTGGGCAGTTTCAATAATGATAATCAGTATTCTAATATTTCACATTAAGGAAAAGAAAGTCTATTCATTCCACCACACACACTATAGCAGGAAAAACTAGGCCAAACTCTTCTTGACCAATATAGATATGGTAGATATGGAAAAGAACTGGTGTGGGGGCAGGAATGAAGATGGGAACACCCCCACAAGAAGCCAGTAACAGAATGTCCTTAGGAAGAATGAGATTCTTGTCCATCAAAAAGAAGTAGGAACTAAACAAGGTCAAGAACATGAGGTTGGAGGTTACATTGTGTGGCTGGAAAGAAGCCACACAGAGACTGAGAAACTGAGAAGGCAAGGACTCTTCTGACAGGGCAAGGTGGAAGGTGGTGGAGGAGGTGACGGTGCTATTACTGGCTTTCACAGATAAATGATAGAATAAGGGATACAATTGACAACATTGAGTTGTCAATGAGTTGCCCCTCAGAGGGGAAAAGAGGAATTTCTCTCCTAGAAACCTCAGTTTTGCTATTGTTGTCATTATTGTTGTGTTAACTTCACTCCAAGAAGATCAGTGCCCATGAACATACCTTACACTGGAAAAACTGACTTGCTAAAAAGAAACTCTATAAAGCAGACTAACTCTGAGGGACTTTTCCTCTTGACTTTTTTCCTTGTTGATACGTGACCCCATGTCCCAGCACATTGTTAGGGTCCTGCCATTAAAAGATTGCAGAATGTTTAATAAAAACATTTTAGATCTCTTTAACCATCTGCTTTCTTTTTTCTTATCTTGGTCACTTGCTTTGAAAAAGGTCCCTTGAGATCACACTAAGACCTCCAGTTGCTAGCCTGGGTTATCACTCTACATTGCTGTTCCAACAATTCAATTAGGTAATCTGAACCCCTTACATGCAGTCATTATTTCATTCATTTATTCACCCAACAAGCTGGTTTGGAGCCTTACCTCGAAAGAGCAATAAAATAGGTACAAGGAGCAATAGAAAGAAGGTATAGTCTCATCTTTGCCCTCAGGGGTGAGCAATTGAAGAGAGAAAAAAAATAAGTGGCCATTATATACAGAACAATGTACTAACATTCTATAAGAGTGGCTACAAGGTAAGTGCCATGGAGGTAATGTGAAAAAAGTATTATTCCTGTGCTAGACCAGTAGGGCACAAAACTTACTTGCCAAACACCAAAATAGGCTTCAAAAACCTTATTTTAGAAGAACTGGAATATAGCAGTGGTGGTAATAGCAATAATAGTATGGCTCATAGCTGATACTCGTTGAGTACTTACCACATGCCGATACTGATGTAAACACTTCCCATGAGTAATTTCCAGTAACTTTCATGACAAATCAATGTGACTGGTATCGTTATTATCTCATTTGATACACATAGAAACCGAGGCACAGAGCATTTGCCCAGGCCCCTGCTTGTAAGCAGCACAGCTAGGAAGGAGTTTATAAAAGCAGTTCAACTGTGCAAAAGTAGCTAGGAAGAGGTGATTAGGTAAATAGAAATATATATAGGAATACTTCTAGTCAAAGTTTTGGGAATTCCTTTTTTTTTTTTTTTTTTTTTTTTTTGAAACAGAGTCTTGCTCTATTGCCTGTCTGGAGTGCAGTGGCTTGATCTCAGCTCACTGCAACCCCTGCCTCCTGAGTTAAAGCGATTCCCCTGCCTCAGCCTCCCAAGTAGCTGGGATTACAGGCACATGCCACAACGCCCAACTAATTTTTCGTATTTTAGTAGAGACAGGGTTTCACCATGTTGGCCAAGATAGTCTCTATCACCTGACCTTATGATCCACCCGCCTCGGCCTCCCAAAGTGCTGGGATTACAGGCGTGAGCCACCGCACCCTGCTGGGAATTTCTTTAAATGAAGAAATATAAAATGCAATTTAAAGACCATTTTTGCAGTGCTTGTTAGATGAGTAGCATAAGTTACAAAAAGTTGAGATAACTTCCCTTCTCCGTCTAGCCTAATGACTACTTTTTAAAACTACTCACGTAAGAAAGAAAAAAACTAATACTTGTTGACTTCTACTATGTCCCATCAACCTCCATGAATTGTCTTAATACTAAATAGTGAAAATTATACCCATTTTACAGATGAGTTCATTGACATTTAAGAGTGGTAATTACCTTAACCAAATTTTCATATTCCTTTCTCTGCTTTCTGTATACCAGGGAGTCTTCCTGATAGAGCACTTTTTTTTTCAACTATAGAGTCTCCTTATCCTATTTTCTCTTTATAATGATATTCTAGGGTGTGTCCTCCACGTGATGCTACAGTCTATCTTAAAAGCTGTTGATTTAGATTAATAAGTAGGAAATTCATAACAGTATTACCTATGGAATACCTGGTCTATGTTATGGAATTTATTATAACATTGCTAAAAAGTAAAGAATTCCATTCCCTAGTGTTCCAGGGTTCTCTGATTTAACCAGAGGAAGTCTTTTCTTTTAACATGATAAAATAAAAATAACAGAAACTTTGCCATTTGAACTTTTTTTTTTTTTTTTTTTGAGACAGAGTCTCCCTCTGTCACCCAGGCTGGAGTACAGTGGTGCTATCTTGGCTCGCTGCAACCTCTGCCTCCCGGGTTCAAGCAATTCTCCTGCATCAGCCTCCCGAGTAGCTGGGACTACAAGCGTGTGCCACCATGCCTGGCTAATTTTTTGTATTTTTAGTAGAGACGGGTTTCACCGTGTTAGCCAGGATGGTCTCAATCTCCTGACCTTGTGATCTGCCTGCCTCGGCCTCCCAAAGTGCTGGGATTACAGGCATGAGCCACTGCACCTGGCCATTTGAACTATTTTTAAGGGCACAGTTCAGTGGCATTGACTATATTCACATTGTTATAAAACCATCACCATCAATCTCCAGAACTTTTTCATTTTCCCAAACTGAAACCCATTAAATGATAACTTCCGATTAACTCCTTCCTCCAGCCCCTGGCAACAACAATTCTACTTTGTCTCTATGAATTTAACTACTCTAAATACTCCATATACATAATCATGCAGTACTTATCCTTTTGTGCCTAGCTTATTTCATTTGGCATAATGTCTTTGAGGCTCACCCATGTTGTAGCATGTGTCAGAATTGCATTCCTTTTTAAAACTGAATAATACTCTGTTTATATGTACACTATGTTTTGTCCATTCATTTTGTTGATGGACATTTGGGTCGTTTCTACCTTTTGGCTACTGTGAGTAATGCTGCTATGAATATTGCTGTACAAGCCTCTGTTTGAGTTCTTGCTTTCAGTTTTTTGGGAGTGTATACCTAGAAGTGGAATTGCTGGATCATATGGTACAGAGAAAGTTTTAAGACTTGGAGTCTTATAGGGGCCAGGTAAAAAAGAATTGAGTGAATCTAGCTCGGTAAAGAAACGCATCCTGTGAGTGGTGGGCCTCGATAACAGGAAATGGAAGAATCCCTCTTCCAGAGTGGCAGCCACCTCTCAGCATTGCCAGGTCTTCTGGTTTTGTTTTGTTTTGTTGTGTCTTTTTCAAAAGAAGACAGAATTTGGATTCATAAGTGAAATTGCTGACTCAAATTTTTTTTAATGCCCTGTAGGCTGAGTACATCTGAGGGCCAGATTCAGCCTAAAGATCATTTATTTGCAGCCTCTGCTTTACAATATTTTGAAGTTCACCTTTCGTTACAGGCAGAATATGGGCTTACAACCAGACAGATGCGCTGTGAATCCAGCTCCACAACTTTCTAGCTGTTTGACTTTGGGCAAATTGGACCATCTTTTAGATACTCAGTTCCTTTGATTGTAAAATAAATAGAAATACACCTGCCTTGCAAAATTCTTGTGAAATTTAAATGAAATAATATATGTAAGCTGCCCAACACAAAGTTAGCCCTCATTTCTCTCAGTCTGTCCCTCCTTCCTTTCCCTCATTTTTCCACTCTCTGCCTCTGTCTATCTTCAGGTAAAGCTCTACACTATCTTGTTAAAAGTATTTTGTTATCAAACTCTTTACTTATTCCATAAATTCGAGTACTTTTAACTTTTGCTTAAAATTTGCTGATTATCCAACATTGGAGAAGAAGGCTGTCATTTAGTTTTTATAATCATTGTGTCTTTTATGGTTCTTTAAACAGCCTTTCCCCAGCAATAGGAGGATCTGAGCAGTTAAGAGAAATGAATGCTAAATCCCTAGAAAAGCTAAAGAAAAAAGCCAACAGCAGCTGGGCACGGTGGCTCACGCCTGTAATCCCAACACTTTGGGAGGCCAAGATGGGTGGATCACAAAGTCAGGAGTTCAAGACCAGCCTGGCCAAGATGGTGAGACCCCGCCTCTACTAAAAATACAAAAAAATTAGCTGGACATGGTGGCAGGTGCCTGTAATCCCAGCTACTTGGGAGGCTGAAGCAGAGAATTCCTTGAACTCGGGAGGCGGAGGTTGCAGTGAGCGGAGATTGTGCCATTGCACTCCAGCCTGGGCGACAGAGCGAGACTCTATCTCAAAAAAAAAAAAAAAAAAGCAGCTTTGATATGACAAGGATAATACCTTTTTTCCTCTCATAATTAAATACTAAATCTGACTTGTCACAGTTTCTTGAATTAAAATGCCAAAAACACTCCCCTACTTTAGAGTTTTTTCTGGCTTATAGTAACCACATAAATATAATGATGGCCAGACATAATTTTGAGAACTTTGATTGGTTAAAAGCCATTAAAACCAGATTGCTAGTATATGCTTTGAGTCCAAACCTTAGCATTTCCAAACAATCATTTTTTTCTAAAATAAGTAAACCTAGTCTATTGATGTATAGTGACCATACAGAAGAATATTTAAATACCTACTCATATTTGCAAAAGAGCAGCATTCTTTTTTCAACTGTTTTTCTTTTTGGCTCTTGGTGTGGTAAAGTTAAATTCTGGGAAATGGTTTACTAAAGGGAAGTTTAACCACAGATGTTTGTAATTCCAACTTAAGTTTCCCATCAAAGTCTTAATGAAATTCAGCTGCCAGCAGTTCGGCTCTGAATCTGAGTCTTTTTATCATGAGAAACTTGGGGGAAACAACATTCTGAAGCTGAATGGTAATGGGAAAATTTCCATATTCAGCCCAAATCCTCTCCATAAAGAAAAAAATACATAAACAAATTCTGTTAAAAGCGGGAGGAGAGACGGGTGAATATAATTTGAGTAATATGCAAAATGACCTTCTTTTCACTCCCAGGACTTTCTTAGTTTTTATGTTGTGTTTTGGTGGAGGCTAGAGATCCGTGTTTACCTAAATGGAGTGAAGTATACACATTTTTTACTTCATGAGAACTGATGAGTTAGAGAAATCCCGTAACATTAACAGCTGCATTAGCACAAGTCTTTGCAGAGTAGACCAGTCATCCAGGCTGTACTCTACAGCTAAAAGGGCCCCTGAGCATGATGAAGACTTTGCATATTAATATTTATTTTGAAATTATGCCATTTTGGAGTGGCATGATTGCTTCAAAGGAAATCAAGGACTCTAGGAATCAAAAGTACCTTCACTAAAACTTCCCTCACACACACAACTATTACATGGAACACTGTTGTCTATGTACAAAGTGAAATGCAACATGGCATGCTGAACCAAGCAGCTCTAGAAAGCCAAATGTCAGTCCAAAGAAACACATAACATAGACACCAGCCAAAGGGAAGAGAAATGTCTAGTAAGCCTCAGGCCCTGGGATGCTAGGACTATAGAACCCTCTAGAATCACAACACAGAGCCACAGCACAAATTCGGGTTCTGAAAACCCTGGCAAGCCTCTTCTTCCACAGCAGAGGTAGTCCAGGATGCCTTTCAAACTTCATGGCTACATGTGTGTGTTTCCCTTTGATGAACAGTGATACAATTTGACAAGCTGAAGGTGTTACCTAAGTGTTACCTCTTTTCCTGCTATCTGTCCTGAGTCCTAGGTGGTTCTGTCAACCCCCAGGTCACAGATGAGGTGTTAAATGCCTGCTATTTGGAGATTAAATGGTCTGAATATCTGGAGATGGGCTGCGGTTTAATTGTAGTACATGAATAATTGCCTCATTTTATATTGTTCCTTTGAAATTGTTGTCTGCCACCATTAATGCCAATAGACACCCTGAAATTCCATTCATAAGAGACCTGAAGCTTCTCCTGCAGCACAGAATTCAGCATAAAGGAGACCTGTTTGAAAGCAGAGTCAGTGGGTGGTTATTATTGGTTACATAAATCTATCATACCTTGCAATATGAGCCATGAAATCAAAGGAATCATAGAATGTCAGACTTAGGAAGTTTAGAGATTCAACTCTCTCATTTTGTACGTGAGAAGAGAGGGGAGGTGTGGGTGCTTGACCCCGGGACACAATGCCCATTAGCAGTAGTACACGTGTCACAGGGTAAACCCCCAAATTGGAGTTCAGCCTGGGAGGCCATGTGGGTTCTTGGCTTCACACAGGGAGGAACTCAAGAACCAGCCGACAGAGTAAAATGAAAGCAAGTTTATTAAGAAAGTAAAGGAATAAAAGGGTGCGTACTCTATAGACAAGCAGTCCTGAGGGCTGCTGGTTGTCTGTGTTTATGGTTATTTCTTGATCATATGCTACACAAGGGATGGATTATTTATGAGTTTTCCAGGAAAGGGATGGGGAAGTCTCAGAACCGTGAGTTTCTCCACCTTTCAGGCCTTATAGGGTAACTTCCAGACATTTCATGGCATTTGTAAACTGTCACGGTGCTGGTGGGAGTTTCTTTTGGTATGCTAATGTATTATAATTAGCATGTAATGAGCAGTGACAGAGACCAGAGGTGGCTTTTATTACCATCTTGGTTTTGGCGTGGTTTGGCCAGCTTCTTTACTGCGGGGTCTTTGTGACCTGTTACCTTGTGAAACCAGTCCTGCTGGTTCTCACTTTTTGCCTTATGTTCTTTTCAATTGTTTTAATGGACTGAATCATCCTAGCTTTATTTTGTTTATTTATTTATTTTTGAGGCAGAGCTCTGTTGCCCAGGCTGGGGTGCAGTGGTGCAATCTTGGCTCACTGCCACATCCGCCTCCCAGGTTCAAGTGATTCTCCTGCCTCAGCCTCCTGAATAGCAGGGATTACAGGCACCCGCCACCATGCCCAGCTAATTTTTGTACTTTTGGTAGAGACAGGGTTTCACCATGTTGGCCAGGCTGGTCTTGAACTCCCGACCTCAGGCAATCCCCCTGCCTGGGCCTCCCAAAGTGCTGGGATTGCATGCATGAGCCACCATGCCCAGCCTCATCCTAGCTTTAGAACTAGTGATTATTACCTGAGCATATCTAGATATCTTGTAAAAGATATCTACTTCTAATATATTATTACTCTTTTACTCTTTATTGTTTCTGTTTATCCTTAAGTTGAGTCATCAGTAGGAGATTCTCATGGAGCTGAGTAGAGCTAGACTATGAGTCTGTAACTTTCTGATTCTTGGCTCCATCACTAACAACCAGATCACCCTTGCCAGGTAAAGAAACCTGGTCAATTCCTCTACCCAGCAGTTTTAGTATAACTGCTGGGGCCTCAATTATACTAAAAAAAAATTAAAACTGATTACTTCTAGCAACAAAATTCTACAATTATTTAATAAATAAGTTAAAATTTACGCCAGTTAAAGGGAACCTGGCTTAAGATACTGAATCACATAGTCATAGCTGTTGCCCTAGTTAGAACCCAAGACTTTAAGAGTCCAGAGCCTGAAAGAAACACAGGGCCCTGGCCTGTGGTAGGGGGTGGGGAGGGGTGGTTCCTAACAACTCCAGATGTGGGGCTGGGGCTGATCTGCAGCACAGGTTACCAACCCAGCCACAGACATGAGCCTCTCCAAGGTGACACAACAATGAGGCTTCCCAGACAGCCTAAGTGTGTCTCCATGTGGTCAATGAATGTTCATGGGTCTCCCATGCCAGGGTCCAAGGGTGCTACCCCCTACTCTATCTGGACCCTCCAGAATGACCCTAAACCTATCCCCACTGCAGAGAGACAGCAAAGTAGACAATGGAAGAGATCAGGGACTGGAGACCTACTGAGCAGAGACTCATGTCAACACATAACAGTTCAGTGCCAAATGGCAGAGGGTCCAGAGAGGAGAAGGTATTTTTACTCAATGAGAAAGGAAGGGAAAGCCAGTGACAGATTATTAATCATTATAAACATCAACATGAAATACTCACATTATATTATACAGAGTAGAGCTGTCCACTAAATCTTAATAACAATGTAAAGAAGAATCTTGCAGAACACAACATGTGGAAGCAAATATGTTCAAGGAACTGTCTCGAAGTCAGAATTGTTGGTGTGTGAGGGGTGTGCACTAGTGTCTAAATGCGCTGATTGTCGCTGGCTATGGGGAAGAGGGGTCTAAAACATTGCTACTGAAAGTGTGGTCCAAAGATGGCAGCATCAGCATCACCTGGGAATGTGTTAGAGATGCAGAACCTCAGGTTCCACCCCAGAATCAGAATCTACATTTTCACCATATCCCCAGGCTGTTTATCTGCACATTAAAATATGAGAAATGCTAGGCTCTCAAATACAGGTGGGCTTGAATTTTGAATGGATGTAGGGGAAATTGCAAATGCAGAAAATGGCAAAAATGTTTGATATAATTATGGAGGAAGACCCAAAAAACATAAATTATGGCTAAGTCTAGTAAGGGGGTTCACAAGCTCACCCATACTACCTGAAAATGTGTACTTCAGAATAAAACACAAGCCTCAAAGCAAACTGCTACTTTGAGGCATCTAAAGGAAGCTGATAAGATAAAGTCACTTCCTGAAACCATGGCACACACACACTGGGTGCTCAGAACATATTTTTTGAGAAAAGACATGAAATGACATGGCAGGTTTTTTTACTCCCACCTAACTCTTCTCAGCACCCATAGCCCAGATACCAAAACACTGAAGACTCTGTGTCCTTGAAGGAAGTAGAGCAGAGGCAGGGGAAGAATTTACTTGGGGAATCTGCTCAAAAATAGGATGTTGCTCACACTTTTCAGGGAATAGTGGGATTGTGATGTTTTTCTTGGTAACAAGGGAGTCATTCTGATTCAGGATGTGTCTTCAGGGAGTGAGGAGTGCAGTCTGTGTCCTAGACTAGAAAGATAATGTTAGGAGACAGGGAAGACCCAGTTCCCCAAAATGAAAATTGCCAATTGCTCTTCCTCCAGCTGGTCCTTTTCTATAGGGATTGAAATCTGCAGGAAAGTGCTTTTGAGTCAGGTCTGTGTCTCCTTCTCTATCAGAGCCGACGTCCCCATTCTCCCTGCAGACTCCAGCTATCCTTGATGCAGCATTTTAGCTATAATTACTAAGCACTTGATTAGCACTTGCTGTGTTGCAAGTACTGTTCTAAGTACTTATGTGTATTATAAATTCATTTATTCTTCATAACAACCCCAAGAGGAAGGCATTAATATTAACCCCATTTTACTGATGACAAAAATGAGCCAGATAGCAGTTAAGTAACTCATGGTCATAGCTAGGAAATCTGACCTCAAGCTCCTAACCTTCACATTATAATGACCCTCTAACATCTGTTTCTAAGTCTCAGAGTGCCTTAGCAATACCCCAGCTAATAAAGGTTTCCCGTACTACTGCAGTAGTCTTAGCAGTTGACAAGTCTGTAAAGAACATTTAAATAAGTGGTATATTTGGTCTTTGGCCTTGTTTTTAAGTTATAGAGTAAGTATCATCTCAGTAACAATGGGGAGTCCTTCCCTTAAACATAGGAGGAGTAACAGTCGTTGAGATTTCTGAATGTGTATATATATACACATTCATATATATATCATATATATACATTCATATATATCATATATATTCATATATATTCATATATATTCATATATATTCATATATATATTCATATATATATTCCTATATATTCATATATATATTCATATATATATATATATTCATGTGACTCCAGCTATGCTGAGCATTGGTTTTTCAATAGAGTCCTGAGTCTACTTTGTGGACCTACAACTTAAAAGATCTTGAAAAGGATATGGAAAGAGCTGACACAGTAGTAAAAACATGACCTCAGTTCCTAAAAAAAATAAAAAATAAAAATTGAGCTACAATATGATCCAGCAATTCCACTGCTGGGTATATAACCTGAAAAAAAGAAAATCAGTATATAGAAGAAATATCTGCACTCCTATATTTGTCACAGCACTGTTTACAATAGCAAAGATTTGGAGGCAACCTAAGTGTCCATCAACAGATGAATGGATAAAGAAAATGTGGTACATATACACAATAGAGTACTATTTAACCATAAAAAAATGAGATCCAGCCATCTGCAAAAACATGGATGAAACTTTATGTTAAGTTAAATAAGCCAGGCACAGAAAGATGAATGTCGCATGTTCTCACTTATTTGTGGGATCTAAAAATCAAGTCAATTGAACTCATGGACATAGAGAATAGAAAGATGGCTACCAGAAGCTGGGAAGGGTAGTAGGGGGTTGGTGGAGAGGTGGGAATTGTTAATGGGCACACAAAAAATAGAAAGCATGAGTAAGACCTACTATTTGATAGCACAATGGGATGACTATAGTCAATAATAACTTAATTGTACATTTTAAAATAACTTGATGTAATTGGATTGTTTGTGACTCAAAGGATAAATGAGGGGATGGATACACCATTCTCTATGGTGTGCTTATTTCCCATTGCATACCTGTATCAAAACATCTCACATACCACATAAATATATACACCTACTATTTACCCACAACAATTTTAAAAAAAATACAAAGATTAAAAATAAAACAATTAAACAAAAAAATGACCTCAGGAGAAATGATTAGACAGAGTATGTCAATCAGGACAACTAACGAAGGTTTAGAAACAGTTTACCTTTTAAAATGTTTCTTTACAAATGACAATAGAAAAAGAAAGGAAATTTAACAATGAAAAGGATTCAAAAGTCAGACTTTTTTTTTGTTTTTTTGAGACAGAGTCTCGCTCTGTCGCCCAGGCTGGGGTGCAGTGGCGCGACCTAGGCTCACTGCAAGCTCCGCCTCCCGGGTTCACGCCATCCTCCTGCCTCAGCCTCCCGGGACTACAGGTGCCCGCCACCATGCCTGCCTAATTTTTTTGTGTTTTTAGTAGAGACGGGGTTTCACTGTGTTAGCCAGGGTGTTCTCAATCTCATGACCTCGTGATCCGCCCGCCTCGGCCTCCCAAAGTGCTGAGATTACAGGCATGAGCCACCGCACCCGGCCTCAAAAGTCAGACTTAAAGAAACATAGGCTGCTAACTCCTTTAAGCACTATATAAAACAATTTGTCTGAAATAGTGAGTTATTCATTCAGCACCCCAAGGAATACAAGTGTAGTGCTGAAAGGTACCATTCAAGGTAGTAGTGACTTGATCTGGAACAGACCCAGGTAGTCTTCCGGCCTTCTGAACTAAGAGAAGGACTGTAGCAGCAGTCACTTGTGAAATGCATTGTAACCTGAATGGGGGAATGTGTGAGAATAATGTTACCCCAACTTTTAATGTGCAGGCATCTCTTTGCTATTTCTCCTCCTCCTCTAGCCTCATGTTTTAAAATGTTTTTCCTTCTTTATTAGTCTGCTGGGGCTGCCATAAAAAATAATCCAGACTGAGTGGCTTAAGGTCAATAAAAAATGCCATAAAAAATACTCCAGACTCAGGTCTCTTTTTTTTTTTTTTTTTTTTGAGATGGAGTCTCACTCTGTCACCTGGCTGGAGTGCAGTAGCACATGATCTCTGCTTGCTGCAACCTCCACCTTCTGGGTTCAAGCTATTCTCATGCCTCAGCCTCCCAAGTAGCTGGGACTACAGGTGCCTGCCACCACACCCAGCTAATTTTTGTATTTTTCATAGAAACAGGGTTTCACCATGTTGGCCAGGCTGGTCTTGTACTTCTGACCTCAAGTGATCCACCTGCCTCGATCTCCCAAAATGCTGGGATTACAGGCATGAGCCACCGCACCCAGCCCATTTAATCTTTATTATCTGTATTTATTACCTCTTTATAGGCACTATCTCCAAATACAGTCACATTAGGGGTTAGGTTTCAACATGAATTTTGAGGGGACACAATTCAGTTCATCACACCTACGAAGTGAAATGTATTAAGTAGTAACTCATTTCTTAATAAGGCAAAGTAATTTATAACCACAAAAGAAATCTTCTGAGAAAATAAGATAGTGCGTGTAATTGCCCTGTTTTAACTTTAAGCAAAAGCCATATTTAGCACTTCATTTTAATTATACATTTTTAATAAATATGTCACTATTACTTTTATTTATTTGTTTATTTATTTATTTGTAGACAGAGTCTTGCTCTGCCGCCCAGGCTGGAGTGCAGTGGTGTGATCTCGGCTCACTGCAATCTCTGCCTCCTGGGTTCAAGCTATTCTCCTGCCTCAGCCTCTGGAGTAGCTGGGACTACAGGTGCCCAGTACGCCTGACTAATTTTTGTATTTTTAGGAGAGACAGGGTTTCACCATGTTGGCCAGGCTGGTCTCGAACTCCTGACCTCAAGTGATCCAACCGTCTCGGCCTCCCAAAGTGCTGGAATTACAGGCATGAGCCACCATGCCTGGCCAACTTTTAATTCAATATTTTGAAATATGGAAAATAGTGTGTCAGGCTCTGTACTGCCACATTGTATTTCTTAGGTATCCAGGGACACTCGATTGATCAGTATCAATATCTTCACTCTCTTTTTTAGCAAAAAGGTGCACACTACCTCAGCAAGTGCCAAGTATCCTACAAAGATGAGTAAAACACAGACGAAACAAGCACACTAATAATGCAATACAACTAATTTCTTATGTTACAAAAACTCTTCAAGGATATAGAAGGAACATTCACTCCTGGTGGAACATTCCCAGGTGACTTCATGGGCAAGGTGGCATTTGAGTTGAATCTTTGAGATTGAGGAAAAGAATACAAGCTGAGGGGACAGGATGAGTAAATAAAAAGACACAGAGTTTCTTCTGGAAAGGGAAGTAGTCTCAGTTTGTTGGGCTGAACCACAGGGATCCATCAAAGACTTCATAGCAGAAGAAAGAGAAACACAGTGAGAATCATGATTTGTCAACATTAATCGGGAAACAGTCTCCTGGCTAGATTGGGCAATAGGTGGCAGAGAGCCTGGAATCAGGATAACCCATGTCGTGCATTGGTAACCATCCAGGAGGGCCTAAGGAGGCCTGGATTTGGATGCTAGCTGTGGTCTGGAAAGGAGAGAACAGATGCTGGGATCATCGCCAAGGTTCTGTCAAGATGGTTTGTCATATGTTTGAAGAGTAAGGATGAAGGAGAAGTCAAAGTTGCTGCTGATGTGTGTAGAAATGTATTAAATCATGGGAGAGAAGTCTCTGCAGAGACCTTTCAACATAAAACCTACTAAATCAGTGGCTCTCAGACTGAGGCTCCATGGAAATGCCTGAGGGTTCAAGTCCTCCGGAGCAGCGGGAGGTTGCTCCCTACCTCCTTCAATCACAGCAGCCTCTTTTTTATCTGTTTTATAGATGAATTTCACATGAAATTTTACTGGTTTTTAAAAAAGGGATTCTCTGCTCTAAAATATTTGAGAACCACTATGCTGGGGCCTCCCAAGCTGATATTCTACATCAAGACTAGTCTCCAAAATGTTACTCAAAATCTTATTCAAATCAGTGCCTCCTAGGCAGTTTCCCAGCAGTACACACGTCTGCCTTGGGCCAGTACTTGTCACTGGTTGCATTGAGCAGCTGATGCTCAGAGCACCCCTGTAATAGCTCCAAACATGAGCTAGAAATCTTTAAACAATTGGTGCTCTCCTGAGAGATATTTTTATGCTTCCTGTTCCCTGTCTGACGGTATTTTTGGCCCTTTTCAAGGAAATTAGGAAATTCCACTTTTGTCTCGGTCATTAACCTGGGAGTACTGAGGACAACAACAAAGGAGCTTCGGAGAGAGGATAGGATGGTAGTGGGTAGACCAGATAACCACTATCATTTGATCTTCATAGGAAGGACCAGATGTTCATTCAGTTTTTATTCTTCTAAACCAATTATTCCATCGCAATGAATATCATCTTATTCTGAAACATAAACCACAGTTTCTTACCTGCACCCTGAGCTAAAAAGATAGCTCTCAAGTCTTACTCTCTCCTTTCTCGATACAGTAGTTCACCCCATTTGTGGTCCAGAAGCTGTTTCCAGTGATCTCCAAAGGGGAAAAGTACTTCCATGATGAACATTATGTCTATAAAAATCAAGAAAATAAGCATCAAAAACTTTAGTTTTCCATGCGAATTAAAAAAGCAGCAACCTAAGCATTTCATAGTGTCATGAAGGCAAACTGCAGCTTGTTTTAATTTGCCTTATAACATATCTGCAGTATACCTGGGGAGAACTGATGTTCTAATGAATTAGGAAAGCTTCTTTTATCTCCTTCTACCTGTAGCTTGAAGACCTCAGCTTTTAAAAAGCTGTTGATATTGAACAACTGTTAAATTGGCAGTTATTCACAACTGCCAAATATTGGAATTTCCAATGACTACTGACTCAGGTAGAAAATAGTGTTGATACTTATTAAGCTTTCATGATTTACAAAGTGTTTTCCTATATATTTCCACCTTTAATCTTCACAACCATCTTACAAACCAGGCAGTCCGGAGGTTATTCATCTAATTTATGAAAGCATGGAAATGTTAAATGATAAGCCCAAAGTCTCCTAGCGTGGAAAC
Organism: Homo sapiens; assembly: GCF_000001405.40. Lineage (NCBI taxonomy): Eukaryota > Metazoa > Chordata > Mammalia > Primates > Hominidae > Homo > Homo sapiens. The sequence continues at coordinate 112,236,294 of NC_000006.12, read as the reverse complement.
TTGTTGAGACAGCAGGAAGTTTCACAGAGTTCTAGACTGTTAGAATGTGAAGAGCCTGGAAATCATCATGCTGCTAACATCATTGAAGAGGAAGAAACCAGAGCTAGAAGTTGAGTCACTTCCCCAAGTTCCCACACAGGGTTTCTAGAACTGGAACCACAACCAAGTTTCCTGGCTCTGAGGTCAGTTGTCTTTCTCTACTGCATCACAGAGCAGGGACGCCGTCACGGGGGTGTTGAGACATTAAGTGAGCTGGATCAGACAAGAATATATCCATGTTTACCTTCGCCTTATAACTTATGTAGTCATCTGTGTCCTGGAACTAAGTAATTCAATTGCTAAAACGTTGAAAGTTCTCTTCGCCTTTGGTCATTATATTTATCTCAATTTTGAATTTAATTTATAACCAAATCATGCATCCCATTTCTTTCATTTCAAGCATTTTTTGCCTTGGCCCCATATGCTATCAACCCCTTAAACCATGCTCTCAGCACCTATACTTAGAAAGTAAGCATTCAAGTGCATTAAAATTTCAGAATTTCCGGCTAGAGTTTTCTGGTGGTCACATAAAAATAAACAAAACATCCTTGATCTTAAAAGGAAGAAAGAAAGATCTATTTCAAAAATGAACAATAACATTTTTGTTTTAAAAGTTTAAGAATTAATTTTTAAAATTCCTAGACCATATCATGTCTGGTATTCCTCCTGTACACAGTGATCGGTCAGGTTTCCACATGACCTTAAGAAACTTCCCTATCATGTACCAAAACAATTGAAATGTGAGAAATTAATGAAGAAAATGAAACGTTGATAGCACCAAAGTGGTCCACTCTGGCACTTGTACCCCTCCATGACCTTGTCAACCTGATTTATAACAATTCTGAGTTTCAGCAGCTCCATTTTTATATGTAGAATTTTTCTACTGTTAATGTCACAGGGAAATCACCCTAGTCTTCTAACAGCAAAAAAATATATATAATACCTGTTTCTCGAGAAAATCTGCCAATTCCCAGCAGAACTACAGAACTTTATGATATAATCCAGGGACTTTGCTATGAACAGCATCTGCTGAGATATGCCCTGAACCTAATAGAGGACAAGGAAAAAGGGGTATTTCAGGGGTTTGGGGCAGCCCCACATGGTCTGCAAAATAGGAAGGTTTTTGGGAGGCAGGACAGTTCTAACCCTGCCCATTCCATGGTCCATTTTCAAAATGGTGGGCACTTTCACGCCTCATTCTCACCCTAGTCTTTGATGTCAGGAGGATCCTCAGTATGGTGAGAATAATACTGTATTTAAGATGAAGCTGATGTCTGTGTAAGGTCAGAGTAATCATCTTTATGAGTATTATCCGAAGATATTTGGATATCCGAAGATATTTGGATATCCAAAGATATTTGTAAGGTTCTCCAAACTTCTAGGTTTTTATTAAAGGGCTGGGCTCTTCCTGGTCTCAAACAGTATTTGTGGTTACTTTGGCAGATGAAGCACATTTTTCCTGTGCCCTATGTTTTTGGACATGCAGTATATCAAAGTGTTCGGTGGAAATAAGCATTCTGTTATTTTTTTCTTAGCACATTTTTTGTCTTCTCTTCCATTCAGTTATGTTGAAAGCTACGTGTTGGATCTGTTTTTTAGTTATGACATTAGATCTTCATCTGAGATTATCTAAACTACGTTGGTTTTCTTTTGATTACAATCTCTTTTTTTTTTTAATCTGCTAACACAAGCTCATGTTTATCTAGAAAATGCGCTTTCTCCTCAAAGTCATGAATCAGCATGAATTTCCTTTGAGTTAGTTCAAATCATCCAGAAATTAACAAATTTCAAAAAAGAAAAAATATACTAAAATGTAGTCAAAGCTTTATAAGAATACTTTATGTGCTATATCTCAGCTAGTCACTGAGTAGCTGTCATAAACCTATGACATAAACCTACTGTCATATACCGATGACAGTAGAGTATTGAAAAACCAGGTGCACCAGGTTCTTGTTTTCATTCTTGATAGGTTCTAAGTTCATTAAACCAGTCTCGCAGTTACTCAGAGAATCACAAAACCAAGTGTTCCTCTTATTATCTTGCTTAGCTCATTTTGGGTAAAATGCATCAAACGGCAGAATGAAAAATAAAAAAAAAAATTTGTTTTTATAGTTGAATGACGTTCTTCCTATGTATAAGTTATAACTTGAAAATTATTACTGCTTCCAAGATTCCTAACTTTCAAGCCACATGAGAGTGACTCATGGGATCCTGGTGGCCCCAAAGGATTAACAAGGCTTCCAGATGTGCCTAACACTTATTTCAGGAACTAGGGCAAGCCTCCAATATTATCTACAATGTGTGGAGAGAGGGTGGCGTGTCCATGTGAGTATACTGTAAGCCAGAAGGTTGCTGAAGATGTCACAAAATTTAATTGCTGATATTAAACTAATCCTTCCAAAGAAATTCCCAGCAAGTAGAAAAAAAGTAAATTCATTGGTGTTTTTATTGAGAGAGATTACCAGGAGTGAAAGATGCCTGCTTGAAGCAATGAAACAACAGACAGAATATAAGTTTAGCCTCTCTACCTTATGAGGAGTAAACTAAAAATTGCCCTATGCTTTCTTTCAGCCTCAGCTTTCCTCCTTTCAGAAAATCCTCCACAAACCGCACATCTACCAAAGAACCATTTTTGATTCCCGCTCTTCCCTATGTTAAAAGTAATCTCTTGCTCTTCTTAGCTCACTCAGCATTTCTTTGTACCTCTCATGATATTATAGCTCTTAGCACTTTCTTCCAGATATTCTAGTAAGTTACAGATACAGCTTAAATTTCCCCCATTGAACCCCTGAAGGCCAGAAGGGTCCATGATTCATCTTCTGATTCCCCAAATTGCCTGTGCAAGTTCCTTTTAAAATTCGTGCTCAAAAAAAATTGTTTATGCATTCCACAATTATTTGTTGAAAACGCATTTTGTGCCAGCCCCTGGGCTGGGCCCTGGATAGCCAGTGGTACATGAAGCAGAGACAAAATGAATAAATGACCATACCAAATACTGAAATCCAAAACAGTGCCTACTTTTCTGCTCATGGTATGTGTATGCTCTGATACGATTCTGTTGTGTAATTCTGAAGAACAAGTCAAGATAGCATTTGGCGTGACATCAATAGTCAACCACGGTGTCCCTGGCTGCTCATTCCAGGAGCTCCGTGCTGCGAGTGAGAATGCCTTTTAAGCTAAAAGCTTTGTCTTTCCCACTGTATATGGAAAAATTGACTATGCACTTTCATGGAGAAGGTCTAGCTAAGAAATGTTTATATTGGAACAAGTCCCATCTCTAAATCTGGGCTGTTGCTGAATGGTATTTTGTTTCCTTGGATCAGGGAAGGGGTCTGGAAACATCTGTAATGAAAGTATTGTTTTAAAATCAGCACAATTTTTTTCTTCAAATGACAGATAACAGAATTGCTTTAAATCAAATACTCTCAGCCTTCCCCATTCATTTCCTTTCATAAATGTGTATTATTTTGTTGTCATTAAAATGGCAGTGTGAATACTAGATTTGTTGCACCCCAGACATTGCCATTCCCTTTGCAGTCATTTTCTTTTCACTTTAGTTTGTGTTCTTTACCTTCACTTTTAGAAACGTGCTGTAACAGAATAGCTATCTCGATCACAACAGTTATCTGGGGGCAAAATTTCAAAGCTACAAAATGATGGTATATTGTAAAGCAATTCTGAAACTATCCTCCAAAATTTTTACTCAAAAGAAATGTACACATTATGCTATTTATAAATGAAAAGTTAAAGAAAATACATATTTACATTAAATAGTATTTCACAAAAATCTAAAAATGAAATCTTAGGGAAGGGAAATTAGGGGAAGAAATAATACAAAATACCCTTAAATAACATGAAAAGGATGGAAATTCTGTAGCAATTTTGAATACCATTCATGCTTTAAAAGGAATAGAAGTAGCTTATGAATGGTTTGTGATACTGTAGTTAAAATTATATTCCTGTATATTTACCACTTGTTGCAAAATCTGTTTTTTAAATAAGCTCCCCAAATTAAGGAGCTGAGTGTTCAGGATGGTAATTCATCTGCCTTGCTTTCTGTAAGCAGTTGGTGCTTGGTGTATTTGTTTATTAATGAACTATTTGGAAATGGCCTTGTTACCAGTGTCCCTGAGCCGACTGCCACTCTGAAATACTTGGATTTTAGCCTAAAGATCCATTCTTCTGAGGCTTTTTAGGTGTTTGACACATAGCAGAGTTGTAAAATATTTGCTAAATGGGTTCTACTGCTCACATTTTACAAATAAGAGCACTTGGAGTCGAATTTCATTATCATTTGTCTCATAAAATTTGACTCATAAAACACATGACAGAGTGGGAGTTCAACACACAATCCTAAGTTTGGAACGGGTTACAAACACTCTGTGGGGTATAGCCTTCCTTAGTGTTGAAGGATGAAGGTGTTGGTTTCATGGCTCAGTCAGAATTGCAGTGATGGTATTTTATTAGTACAATTTATGGGCCACAGTTTTCCTGTTAGGTGGGGCCAGACATATGTCAAGCTGCCACATATTCTGCCTGAGCAGACATCTGCCTCTGATTCATGAGGGAAACACCTGCACACATGCTGGTGTATATTACACAAAGAGGCATCCTTTTCCAGGGCCCATTGTCAGATCCCTCAAATGGAACAAAGGAGGTGTCAGGGATACAGCTGGATGTCATACGACTGGCTTCTATTGAGGTTGACTTTGCTAATGAGGGATCTGCATTATTTGCTTCGTGGTCTATTTCTATCTACACTATATAAAAACTGTTAAAAACTAAAACATCAGTTATAAATTATTGTATTTAAATTGAGAATAATTGCCATATGTCAAACCAAGTAATAAGAGAGGCCTAATGGGCTGTCTCTGAGGACTATCTGATAGTCTGGGTGTCCATATGGACTCAGCCACACACACTCATGGAGCAAACCTGAGTTTGCTTAAGAGAGGTCACTCCACCTTACCCCATCCATCACCTGCATTCTCCCCTCCAAGATGACTGGGGAGTGGTATTAAGACCTTTTGATGACAATGGCACTTTCCTGAGAAAAAAGGGAGACATACTAATGGGATATCTTCTATGAGACTCTTGATAAATTTGATAAACTTGAACAGAGATGACTTTTATCCCGGGTATTCCAGGGAAAGGCAGAGATGGACAGCATAAGTTTGTTTGCAGGCCCAAAAGAGGTGTGAGCTTCAGCAATAACGCCACAGTTTTCCAGCATCATTTTCTTCTTCATCATCATCCTCATCAAGAAGCGTGGTTGAGTGACTAGAGCACTAATGGTGCATCACCTTGCTCTATGTAAACAGCTTTCAACAAGTTGCTTCTTCGCTAGGCCTCAGTTTTCCCAAATTTAAAATTAAGAATTAGATACAGTCCTTCCCAGCTCTGGCATTCTGTGTTTCTGTAATGCCAAGACACATCCAATACATATTGATTAAGCATCTGCTCTATGAAGGCACTGAGGATTCAGCAACAAATCAGGTGAATCCAGTTTCTGTGCTCAGGGAGTTAAGTCTTCCAAGGAAGAAAGACAAGGAACTACTAACTTAAACATTGCTAAGCTGTGTGCCCTAAAGAAAAAAAGAATGGCAGCTCACTCAGGAGAACCAGTTAAAACAAATAACCCTGGTACAGACAAGTCCAAAAAGAAGAGAAGAAACTAATAGTTACAGAACAATTTCTATGCCTTTATATTGAACATTAAATGCATTAAATATTAGTTGATCCTCACAACCATTCTAGAAGGTAATAAGGTGAGCAGCCCCATTTTTTCAGAAAGGGAAACCAAAGCCTAGAGTTAAATAATCTGGGCAAGGTCACCCAGGTAGAGCTGGAACTGAAATACTGATGATCTCAGACTTTCTGCTGCCTCAGGCTGTCTCCAAAGGACTTAACTATAGGAAATTACATCCACTGCAAGGAACAGATTGCAGTGTGTCATGTCATGCCCATGGCAGATCAATCAGTTAGGTCTAGAGGCTGTGCTATCTTAAATGTAAGCACATTTGGAGGAGAAATTCATTCATTCACTCAACAAGCATTTACTGCACAGCTGCCAGGTGCATGGTGAACAAATGGGGACTGAACACAGACATACATGGACATTTCTTAAAATGGCAAAAAGTAGATTTATCATATCCTAGCCATTTTGTATGTAAATGCTAAAGAAGTAATACCTAAATGTGCATGTTCCTGGGGAAATAGAAGTAGTTACAGAGCTATTAGAAGCATAAGAAAAAAAAAAGGACAAAGAATTTTAAAGAAATTTGTTCCCCACATATGAAACGTTCTTGATTCTTTCATTTAACATTTAATTCACTACAATTGTATTGAGAAACCTATCAAAATTGACTAGTTGACATGGATCCCACCTTTGAATACAAACCCTTATCTATTTTGATTCTCTGAAAATATGCTCCATCAATTGAACAGGGGAAAATGTCATTTTGCTCAAGTTGTTATAAATTATGATAGAGGAATTATGATACGCGGAGTGAAATCCATCTTTCTTTAGATAGTGCAATCATCTTTCTTTAGATAGTGCAACTTCAATCCCCAGATGGATAGAATTCCATTTGTTAGCTCTGTTCAGTCTTCTACTAGCTATTCCAGAAATATGCCTTGTAAGAAGCACTTATGTCCATGCCGTTTCCTACCTATGGCCCCCAGTGAGACCATGCGAAATTTTGTTGTCACCACTAAATGAAGGCTTAGAATAGTTACAGCTAAAAAGACCTTTCCATTTCAACAAAGAACAATTATCTTGCAAGAGATGACTTCAAAGAGTTGAACTCAACTTTTTGAAATGGAAAGTTGAGTTCAGGATGTTGGAGGAGATAATGGGTGTTGGTATGGTTTTGGCTGTTTTCAGAGACTTTGCCTGAAGAAGGCTGAGGAGGATTAGGGTTATTTAAAGAGGAGGAGAGGAAAGCAAGGGAGATGGGCTGCTCTCCACCAACAAAGAAAGTGAGAAATGGGGCCATGAGGAAGACATGATTGAAAGAAGCTGAATATAAGTAAGCCTAAACTTTTGGCCTATTTCTAGCTCAGTCTATGAGCCACAGGGATTTCTGGTGTCGTATTTAATAATTTTCTAACAAAAGCTGACTGTGCTTTTATTTTAGGATTTAAAACCATCCTAGTTGGTAAATTAACATTTTTCAATGAGCCTTTGAAATTTGGTAAAGGCAACTTGATTATTTGAAAGAGTCCTTGACCTTGGACTGTCTGAGAAAGAAAGTGAATCAGGTATCACTTCGCACATCTGCTGGACCACTGAATAGTCCCCAGATCAAGAGCCAGCTGGTCTTTCCTACCACTGCTTGAGCACCCTGAGAACGAGGGTGTGCTGGTGACTCTGCACCTGTCCCCCCAGATCCAGAATCTGCCCCTGCCTCAAGAGACTGATGCCCAAAGGCTACAGCACACAAGCTCCCTTGCATTTCAGGGAAAGTAATAGGAGAAGGGAAAGTTGGGGCCATTCTGCTCCACTTCCTCTCTGCCTCAGCACGGCTGTTCAGGCAGAAGCCATGACTCCCAAGATGGCAGCTCCCGCCGGCAAGCTCCCCTCCTCCACAGTTCCAGCTTTCCCTGGCTTTGTGTAACAGGCTTTCTTTATCCCCTTGGGCCCTAGAGGGAGCAGATCTTTGCAAATTTTACTGTTTCTAGCTTTTATGGCCTCTCCATTCCTTGCTCCCTTAACCTGCCCACAATTCGGTAAACTCTAATTCTCTTCTTTCTCTTCATTTACACTCTCTTAGGTGAATTTTGATTATTCCTGCTGGGCCTGACTACCTCAGTGACAAGCCCCCTCCTGAAATTCATGGCTTTTTCCATTTCCTTTTGTCTAGAGGAAGCCTTCCCAAAAGCATCTACTACCATCTGCTTTAATTGACAAATTATTTTACCTTCACATAAAGGAAGAGATTATATAAAAAATTTTTAGCAAACTATAAGAACATAATCTAAATTCCGTAGTTCAGCTTCATTTGAATTATTGCACAATCTTCTCCTGGTTCCCCCATTTCAACTCCAGGCCAGCTGGACAGGGCAACCTTTGGCCTGAGCTTGTGGGTTACTCTTGTCATGTTCTGCCAATCTAAGGCCACAGATAGTTAGGGCTCCCATTATTAGCTCTCTTGATCCCTAAGGAAGCAAGACTGTCTGAGTTTGGGTCATAGATCCTTTCTTAGGACAGAAAACTGGCCTCTAAACCCTCTTACTTAAATTTTAATATTGTAATTTCTCAGTCAACTGGAAAATGAGAGTATTGTGCACTATTTTGAGGATCTTTTACCTCTGCCTTAAATAGTAAGGCCCAACTAGAATAAATAAGCACCGTAAAAGTCCTTTGAGTTGCACATGTAGCCTCGGACATGTAGCTTTACTGCTAGCATAAAATAATTAGTGGAAATCAGATTTAGTAGCCACTCAAATATTATAGAAGAACCTAAAGGCTGATGTATGCTTTAACTAAGACAGATATGTGTGAAATGTGCCACATGGGATGAGGCAGCTGCTAGCTGTAAGGTGAAAAACAAAGGAAGGACAAATTAAGTAAGGAATGTTATTTTGCTTATTTTTAAACTGTGTTAATAATAATGATACATAAAGTGAATAACCAGGAAGTTGGGGAAATTATACACAAGCGTCTCAATCTATTGTCAAGACCACATTAGTCACTTCCTAGAGATGATGTTTTAGAGATCTCACCGGGTATAGACATGGAAATCCTATATCCAGACAACCTAAGTAGGATCTTTTGTTTTCCTTTCTTTTCTTTTTCTTTCCTCATTTGCTCCTTTTCCTCTTTCTTTCATTCTTTCATGAGAACGTGTATGTCCTCCATGGATTTTAAGAAATAACATAGTCAGGCGGGGCACGGTGGTTCACCCCTGTAATCCCAGCACTTTGGGAGGCCGAGGCGGGTGGATCACGAGGTCAGGAGTTCAAGACCAGCCTGGCCAAGATGGTGAAACTCTGTCTCTACTAAAAATACAAAAATTAGCCTGGCATGGTGGCAGGTGCCTGTAATCCCAGCTACTCAGGAGGCTGAGACAGACAATTGCTTGAATCTGGAAGGCAGAGGTTGCGGTGAGCTGAGATCATGCCACTGCACTCCAGCCTGGGCAACAGAGCGAGACTCCGTCTCAATATAAATAAATAAATAAATAAATAAATAAATAAATAAATAAATAAAATAGTCGAAGCCCTGAGACTCTTTCTCAGTCTCATCCCCACTCCTTTACCCTTAACTGGCCTGATTTCTCAGATTCCTATTTCTTTCTTCATACTTTTCTTTATATATGTGTATCCCTACACAATATATTATTACATCATATTATTTTGCATGTTTTAAAATACAGTATAAACATCATACTGTTTCTCCTTTGCAACTGACTTTTTCCTCAATATTGTATTTAAAAGATTCATTTGTAGTTAGAGATATCTTCACTTGTGAAATTTGCCTAATTGCTCTCCAAAGTGTTGGCACAATTTGCCCTCACTTGCCTCATTCTTTACCAATTCAAACCCATTTTTCTGCTAGCATATTTTTGGCATTGACTTGCTATTTGCGAATGACTATGATAGGTGATGAGGACACAAAAATGAGTAAGACACTATCCCTGTTCTGAAGGAGTTCACAGTGATTTCAGGGAGGCAAGAGTATAAATTAAAATTTATAATGTCATGTTCCGTGTGCTCTGATGAAGTCTGTGCAAGGTGCCATGTGAGTGACTGAGTCTGAAAGTCTAGGGAAATAGTTCCCAGGTGAGATGAAGTAGGGAAAGACATCCCAGGCCTCTGTAGCGTATGTAATAGTATATGCAAAGGCAAGGCGGGCCAAAGCATGATATTCATGAGGGTTGTGGGGTATGTGATTGCATTAGAGCAGAGGGAGCCAAGGTTGATCCTAAAGAAATAGTTTAAGGTTGGATCCTTGTATGTCATGCTAAGGAATTTTACATATTCATGTAGGTAATGAATGAAGAGCCACTGAGAGGTTCAAAGTAGAAAAGTAGTACGATAAGAGTTTTTAATTAATTCTGGTAATGAAGAATGAACTGGAAGGAAGAACTTCTGGTGATGGAGAGAGTAGAGTGGAGAGAATTATAATTATCCGAGAGAGAAACACCAAGATCCTGAACTAAATAGTGGTATTGGGAACAAGGAGGAAGAATCTCCTTGGTAGTATTTCAGAGGCAGAGCATAAACTCTACAAGGCAGCAGCCTACAAAGGGAGGCAGGAGGTAGGAACAGCCTAACCCAGGAGGACGCAAGGGCATGCATTATGTGTAGAGAATTTAAAAACAACAATAAAACTTACTAAAACTCAGTCTGCTTTTTATTATCACCATGTGCCAGCAATTCTAAACAATGTCAATGACAAAATTATCCTCCCTGAGAACTCTTTTGTTGTTTAAGGTCTAAGCAGTTGCTGTGGTTACTGTTGAGTTTTGATAATATAACAAATATGTAAACTTCAAATTAGCACATTCCAATTTCTTAACCTTTAGTAAACATTGTTTACTACATTTGGAGAACTCCTAGTCCTACAGCCCACCCCAGCATAGGTAGGGGTATCAGTTTAGAGAGTAAGTTTATAACAGTTCAGAACTGTGTAAGGTCAATCTCACTTGAGACTCTAATCTCTGTGGTACTTCATATATCTGCATTTAAACCTCAGATTCGAAATAAACGATAATAGCACAGTGACTCTGAAAGGTAAGATAACTTGAGTGCTTACATTGTGTCATTCTATGTGCAAACCATCCTCTGATCCTTGAGGAATTCCCTCTTCTGGAAGTATTTCCAAAAATTACTTTAATGCAAAATACATTAATGTAATTTAAAAGTGTTAGCCCATTACCTTTTCTTTTTATGTTATATATTCTTTATCTTTAACTGAGACATAATATAAACATAATATAAGGAGAAAAAGAGATTTGGGAGAGGCTATGATAAAGTCAGTGTGGGACACACTCAACTTCAGGTGCCTATAAAATTGGAGATGGGCTTGTCTAACAAGCACTTAGAAACAAGGGGGTGGCATAAAAAACTAAGATCAGGGATATGTAGAGAGACTTAGGAATTACCAAAATATAGCTGGAGGATAAAATTGGGGGAGGGATTAACATCATCCACAAATTTCATCCATACATAAAAGTGTATAGATAGAAAAGAGGGCTAAGGAGGTTACCCTGGAGAACACCAGCAATGTAGAAGCAGCAGAAGATGAACCACTTGCTTCTGCCCCTTCCCCGTCCCCTGCCAAAAAAAAATTAAATTAAAAAAAAAAAAACTGAGAAAGAAAGGTAGGCAGGGGAAAAGCCAGAAGAAAGAGTTGTCCTGGAAATCAGGAGAAGAGAGAACTTCAAGGAGGGAAGAAATTTCAAAAATGTTTGCTTTTTTTTTTTTTTTTTTTTTGAGACAGTCTTGCTCTGTCGCCCAGGCTGGAGTGCAATGGCGCAAACTCGGCTCACTGCAACCTCCGCCTCCCGGATTCAAGTGATTCCCCTGCCTCAGCCTCCCAAGTAGCTGGGATTACAGGCAAACACCTCTACCACTGGCTAATTTTTATATTTTTAATAGAGTTGGGGTTTCACCATGTTGGCCAGGCTGGTCTCAAACTCCTTACCTCAAGTGATCTACCTGCCTCAGCCTCCCAAAGTGCTGGGATTACAGGCGTGAGCCACCGCACCCAGCCATCAACAATGTTAAGTACTGGAATTCCATCTTTGTGAGGGCAATTTCAGTGTGCAATGGAAGCAGAGCCAGACGATGGATGGAGGCATGGATCAGCATAGCATGAAGGAAGCAGAGCCAGTGCGATTAAGTTCTCACTCAAGATCTGCTGGACAAGAAGAAGGAAATAAAGGGGAGGCAGACAATAAAGGGGAGGGAGGATATTCTTGGATATATACCCAAGGGAGGGATATATGTATAAAAGGGAGGGAGGATATTCTTGGATAATAAAGGGGAGGGAGGATATTCTTGGAGGATAATAAAGGGGAGGGAGGATATTCTTGGATCTGAGCCCAGGTAAAGATGTCAAGGCTCATCCAACACAGGTTGAAGCACCTAAGTGTTCTCTTTGCCTCCCCTCATCCCTGTGGATGTGAAAGTGCATGGTATGTGAGAGGAAGGCCAGATGATGGGGCCAGGTGTGATGGCCAGAGATGCGTGGATCCCAGAGCACAGATAGAAGGCTTCTCTTTCCTATAGTGAAAAGAGTACTGCTTCTGAGATGGGCAGAGGACACAAGGATGAGTCAAGACAAAGGGGAATTTAGAAAAAAAAGACAGTATGAGATTTCCCACCCAATAGCCTCTGTGTTTTCACTAAAGAAGCAGGATTAGCTGCTGAGAGTAAGAGGGTACAATAGAAGTTTGGGATACATTTATTTTTTCCTATTAATTCACAATAGCATTTCTTCAGTGATGCAAAAACCTGTGAGGAAGAGCAAAAGGAAGGAAAGACATGTCCTGCCAGTCACTTTCACTTTGTGCCTTGCATCTTGAGAAATCTAGGGTGAGAATAGCACTGAAATACCCACAGGACCTCAAGACAGAAGCAGGGTCATCTACCAGCAATGGACGCTGATGAAACAACCCAACTGCCTTCCCTGAGTACACTGAAGAGAAGCTGTTGTCATTTATAGACAGTTCATCCTCCAAACTTCTTATAAAAAGAAAAGTAATTTAGGCAGACTTTTGCAAGACTGTAGGTCATTAAATGGTAATGATCAAACTGGATCATCCATAAAAAGCACTTAGCTCAGTGCTTGGTGTCTGTCAGTAAATTATTAGCTGTGATTTATAAAAACCAGATGAAGATGACAGAGATGTCTTTCACCTCACAACATTGATTCCTTCTAAGTAGCTAAGGAGTCAAATCAAAATCCCCTAAATGCCTATAATTCTGAAGTCCTTTCTCTCTACTCATTCTTATTGCTAACCCTTGTGTGCCGCATCTCTTCCTTTCTTGGAAATGTGTCCAAGGCATTTGCCCCAGTAAATTAAATAAAACTGAGTCAGTTTTCAGATGTAAAAAAAAAAATCTGGCAGCATCAGAGGCTATGTTGTGTAACCATAGCTTGGAAGGCGAGGAGTGAAAAGAACAAGCCAGTTACAGGAGGTGATGTGAGATGAACCCAGAGCAGAAAGCCAGATGTTAGCAGGAGATTTATTTCTAGAAAAACCAAAGGAAAAAAGGCAGCACTGAAGCCTCGTTATGTTATATAAGCAACAATCTCTACTATAAACAAGTGACTTGACAATTACTTTAAATAATTTTCAAGAAGCAAATTAAAGAAATGTTCATTAGTATTAATAAATACAATCATCCTCAAACCCAACATTTCTAAAAGAAAACCTGTACGGCTGTAGGGGCTGTGGATTTTCTTAGTTTATTGTTTCAATTAGACAAATAAAGAGGGCTATTTATTAGCAAGCGTAGCAAGTACTTCAACACACGCCAAGGCTGTTGGTATCTACAGTCCAAATAGTTGATGAACAGGGTTCAGGGACTGTTATTTGAGAGCTGTGAGTGGAGCACTGGTTTCCACCCATGAAGCCCATGAAGAGTGCTGAGGAGTAGCCACAGAAATGTGATGTAAACATGTGATAACCCTGTCTCCACTCTTTACAAAATTAAAGGACTTGGCTTAAGAGTGGTTAGGATGGCTCTGTGCTCCTTGGAATTCCTCAGGCTCTAAGTCACAGTCTCTATTTTATTGATGGTTAAATTGAGAACTGGAGTGTTTTGTAAGCTGAGCAAGGCATGGCGGATATGGGGCCTGAGCAGTAAGCACAAAGGTAACTCTCTAGGCCAAGTAGGGGAAACCAGCACCATAGTCTGTGTTTGGTTTTTGGCCTAGCTTTATTATGCCAACCTAAGAAAAAAATGCCTTTGAACTGCATAAACCTCCGAAGAATGTTGAAACCACTTTCCTAATTGAGTTATGGTGAAATCGCTGTCAAAATCTAAAAATTAACTTTGCCTATTAAAATGTGGGGAATTTCAATTATGCAAACAAGAGCTTAGAGATACCCAAGGGAGGATGCGTGAGTAATTGTCTTCAGATTCAAGTAAAATCAATCAAGAAGCCAACTTCTTGGTAACTGCAACACATAATCCATTTAGCTCATTTTGGCACTTTATAGGTTTGTGCACTAAAAATCAGGACATGTTAAGCCTGATCTGAAAAACATATGGAGCCAAAAGTTAGCAAAAGCTTAAATTCAGAACTGCTTGCCATTTCAGATATTCCATATTTTATTTTTACTGACACAGAAAAAAATGGCTTGTGAAATACCTACTCATTTAATATATTCATATGTTCTCAGAAGTCATTCCTCCTTAGAAAAGGGTGGAATATTTTGGAAATTTTTGAATAGATTAAATCATGTTTTTCTCCACTAGAAAATCCTTGAATACTATCTGATTCTTAAGTCTGCCCAAGTTTTAGGCAGATGGAAGTCAGCATTGTGCAGAAACCACAGACTCTTAAGTAAGGGCACACAGTTTTAGCTCCTAACTGAGCATAACATTCTATCTTAAGCTGACTTTTATTATTTGCTAAAACAAAACATGGAACTCACTATAACTAAACTGGAACTAAAAATCATTGTTGTCTGGAAACAAGAGAAAAGTGGATTCATCAAATACATACAAAAACCTAAGCAGAAAGATAATGTAATGTGGGCTGTTAAATTTGAAGAAGACTAATTTGGATGGTAGCAATGATTCTGAACACCAGTGAATGAATTTAGAGGGATTTTGGGTTTGTTTTTGTTTTTATCCTTTCTATTTGGAGCCTCAATAAACTGAAGCAAAAGTTGTTGAATCAAATTCTAAGTCTAATTCAGAAAGGAAGATGAGTTGAGTCAATATATGTCATATGTTCGTAGATCTTTGGTTGGAAACACAATGCAAATAACTATTCCAATCAGCTCCTATGAGAATAGACACTAGGGCTGTAGAGTGTGTTCTTTCTGATGGAATTTTGTTATAATTAATTCTTCATCATTCGCTGGAGCTGGAGACTTGGGTCTGATCCTCTTTGGGACTCAGAAACCTCAGAATTTATCTCATACTCTCCGATGACAACTTCAAACTCTTCCTAAATCCCATCAAGTTTTGCCATTGTTGGTTTGTTTAAATGGGTAATTAGGGACCTTAGATCCCTAGAAGATCTATTCGAGTATGTAAGTGATTTAATAAATCAGGCTTCTCAACAGAAATTCTGAAGTTCTCTGAGATTCTGTATCTATGCAAAAGTAGTGGCTTGTGGGCAATTAATTAGCTCCTCTGTGATAGTGTTTGGGAAACGGTGAGATTTTTGTGAAAATTTTTTAACTAAAATTTTGTTACTTAGATTGGTACCCACTTTATTTAATAACTGCAAATGACTTAAAAGTTTGCCATAGCCAAAGCATGCATACTGGACTATCCTTCAAAAGAAAGTGATTTAAATATTTTTAGAAAATGTTTAAAATGTTATATCCAATGACAGTATTGTTGGTATGACTCTAGTGCTCTCAAGGGGCTCTTCAAATGAAGACAAAAATAATCAGATACTCGTATAAAGGTCATTCACTTGGTCCTCTTTGTTAAACAATCTTAATTCATTATAACTATATCTTATGAAATAAATAATATTATGATCATATGATAAACCTCTGGAAATAATTCCTTCTGCAGTGATAACAACATGTCCTGTCATCCCAGTTCCTTTAAATGTAATTGACACATGTAGATACACCACACTCATTTCCTCATAAAGTTACATCTAGTTCTCATTTCCATAAATGTAAAATTAGGCAAGTACACATACAATGATTTTACTCCAAGCCAGACCTCATACTAAATATAACAAAGTAAGCAAATGGGAATTTTCACTCTTATTTTTCAAAGGCAGAAGTAAATGGTATGGATTAATTCAGTCTTAATGGTAGAGCAGGAGGCAAGCTGTGATAATAGGAGTCTCTTAATAATAAAGAGCTGTAAAAGATCTACAAGTAACTTAGTGGAAGGTAATTGGTCAAAGAGAAAATTTGGCTAAAATAAATATTTTTAAAAGTCAATATCCCATTCAATGGTTTTCATATATTAATAACTATGTATTTTTAAGTATTGTGTCTATTAGCAAAGATTTTTTTCTGGGATTTAAAGGAGGCATTTTACATTTTTTATCCATTTCAGCCTGCTTTGAAATGTTAATAGCAGCAAAAATTTGGAAATAACCTAAATGTCCAACAAGAAATGTTTGGTTCAATATATTAATGGCACGCAAGATGGTTAAGAGCTAAAACTTGAGGGAAAAAATGAAGGATCTAAATCCTGGGTCCACCATTTCTTATCTGTATTAGCCGGCTTCAGTAATACATCTCTGTAAGTCACAAAGTCCTCACCAGTAAAACAAAGACAAGGGAACCTACCTCATAGGGCTACTGTGGTGTCAAGTGAGAGAATTGTGCAACATAACTGACACAGTGACTTAAACATGGTAGATATTCATGTTCAATTAAATAAACTTTAGGTATGTATTTATTTATGAGGGGCAGCAAGTTATAGCAAAGAAAGAACAAGATTTGGATCAGTCTGAACTCTTGGAGTTGTATGACATTGCTGGCCACTATATTATAATTATCATCATCATTATCCTTGTTATTACTATCAATTTTTAAAAAGGCCATGGCACCCCAGAAGGTACAGATCCTCTGAATGCTAAGATTGTGTTTTTACAGTTGTCTAGTATAGGACAGGCTTCTCATGTGGAAAAGAGGATTCAGTGTGGTATCAAAAAATTGATTGGAAGGCTTCCTCTCTTACTCTCTCATACATAGACATTCACAAACACCATCTTTGTTTAGTAAACTGTGGAGACTCTTCCAAAAGAAAATAGACACTAATTTTTGGAGAATCCATTCAGCTTTCACAGGCCTCTAAATAGCACAGGTGTTAGAATTACTAAGGATAACGATTACATTAACCAGGAGCAAAACTAAAAATACATCGTTCTACTTTCATACTTGGAAATATCGGCCTTTTGATATTACAAAAAGGCCAATTTTGCCAGGTCCTTCGAAATTTCAAAGAAAGATTCAGTAAAAATAAATAAATAACAGGACTCACTGGAGCCATGATGAAATATTTCCACCTAAAGGAAACAATCTTTAACAGCTCATCCTTCAGTACACTCAAACTTCTCTTGAACCACTTAAAAACTCCATTCCAGGGAGTCCTCCAAAGTTCCACAACACCAGACGCAAGCTACCCAGGACATGTGCTCTAGCAGGGCATGCCCAGGGCCCCCAGATAGATGACTGAAAAATATAATTCTTTCAGGTGGACAAGGCCCAGCAGGAACGTAGTGTGCCAGGTTTCCCTGCCAGCCCTCCTCGCCCTCTCGGCGGGGGGCCAAATGACTCAACACAGCCCTGTTCGTACCTCCCTTTTCTTCCCATCTCCCACATTATAAGAGATCAGAGCCAAGTTATCCTTCACCCAAGGTCATAATCTCAGATTGGGGAGTGGTAAGTGGATAATGACAGGCTCTCACAGTGAACTCTCCTCCTAAACTTGGCACATCACAAAGATTTCATCTTGCATGCTGTCCAACCTAGGCACTGGCTGCTGGACTGTTGACAAAGAGTTGAGATGAAATCCACCCTTAGGAGAGAGCAGTGGATGGATTATCAGTATATTCTGTGGGCTCCCAATAGTATATATGTCTCCAGTTTGCTGTCCTTGTCCAAACCACCCAAATCACCAAGAGTTCATTGAGCAATTAATATATACAAGGCATTGTGAGAGATGCTTCCAAACCTGGCCAAATATCAGAGTCTTTGGGGAGCTTTTTAAAAATGCAGATCCTTCACAATTTTTCTGTAAATCTAAAGTTATTCTAAAACACAAAAGTTATTTTTTAAAATGCAGATCCTTTGGTTTCACTGAATCAGAAGCTCCCCAGAAGACTGTAATATGGTCATTTAGAGAGCTCAGAAACCACCATTTAAGAGGCTACTAAGATAACTAATATTAAGACCGTCACTACTCTTACCCACTACTCTTATAAAGAAAACCCTGCAGTCATGCAAAACTGCAACACATTCATGGGTCATCAGATCAATTTTATGGGTCATGACCAGGATATACTCTTAAATACAATAGAGAAGTTTTAGGTACATTATTACTTTGTGAATCTTTTCTCTGAGACACATATATATGGATATCTATATCTATCTCCATATCTACACCAATATAGATATAGATACCAATCTGTGTACTGCATCACAATGAAAACATGTATGTTTTACTTTGCGGCAAAGACTAAAAATGTGAAATTAAATGGTCTAAATTAAATGCTTCCTACTGCAATCTTAGTGTCTTCCCTCTCTTGTTTTCTAGTGGAAACTAAGAAGCTTACCATCAACCACAACTCTCCATTAAAAAATTATAAATTGATCTTCTCTTAGCCTTATTTCTCTAACTTGGAAATGTGGAATTTCCTTGCCTTTTTTTCATAGACAAATGTTGTTATTCTTTATTAAACTTCCTCCAAATGGGGTTTATTAAATTTTAGTTTTAAAGTGTGAACTGATGTGTGTGTTTTTTTTTAAATACTGTGAATGGTGTTTAGTGACTCTTTCTTTACAGAGTAAAAAGCAAGGGGAAATAGGTTTGCATAGCAATCAGAGGGACTTCAGCCAGATATAATGAAAATTTCCTGGTCGCCAGGGAAGTGCAAACTACAATGGGTCAATGGGGGTGTATGATGTGAAATCTTGGACTCTGTAAGTCTGTGGAAACAAAGCAGATTCTTATCTGTCTGGAATTCTTTAGACATAAACTTGTCTGATGGGCGGGGAGCGGATTTCCAGGCCCATAATGCCATTTCTGCCCTTCATCACTGAGACATTCCAAAGAAATATCAAATGCATATCCACAGCCTAATCACATAAACCAGGAACAATCTCATAATGTGTCTCAAATGGCACACTAATGATATCTGGGGAGGGCAGCTGATGATTGTGCAGGTCAATTGGTGCATGACAGGATAGTTTAACATCCCCAAAAGCCACTTAGCACCTCTCAATCTCATGAGCTCATCACTAGGATAAGGGAAAGTCATGTGTTCCTCGCAGCATTCTGAAGACAAATGAAATACATATATGAACAGCACCCACACAGGACTTGACAAGTGTAAGAACTCATTAACTTCCTTATCCCTCCCTTTAACATGTTAGCATCTGAAGAAACAGATGCTTTTAAGAACTGAAGTTCATGAAAGACTCAGTTGCTATCCTATAGCTAAGTTGCTCTCCTATAGCTAGTGATTGCTGAAACGAGAAGTCTTTCTTTATTTATAGGGAGCATGACCTCACCCTGACTAATACTTAATTGTGGTCTTGTTTTGTTTTGCTTATACTGGAAGAAAACATTAGCATTTTTTTCTCCCTTACTGTTACGTAATACCTTCTTATTCTTCCTTGCAATGATAAGACAGTGTTAAAGGCATTTCTGTTCTCCTGAAAAGTGAAAGGAGGGAAAAAGTTATGTAACAAAGAAGATTATATATACATCATCTATCACTGAATGGTAGTATAAATAGTTTATTTTAGTATGTTTTGTATGTATCATTTAGTATATTCATTTTAGAAATGTTTAGATTGTTTAATAATCACTTTCTCTGATTTCTTCTCAGAAAATATTGACCAAAATCAATCTTTTCAATAATCAAAATGGTTTGGTGTGTCTGTTGCAGAAATGCAATGCTGGATTCTTTCACACCCTGTCGGGAGAATGTGTGCCCTGCGACTGTAATGGCAATTCCAACGAGTGTTTGGACGGCTCAGGATACTGTGTGGTAAGTTGGGGCACCTATAACACTTCACGTACTTCACTGGGCATTTGCATCTTGGGTGAAGATAAAATATTTTTCGGATGTTTGAGCCACATAGGAGCAAACTGCTAATCAAGTGCTTTTGTTCACCCTTCAGCTTTTCCTGTGAAACAACTCATATAAACTACTTCTGATTTTAAGGGTCCACCAAGGCATATGCATGAGTGTGCACGTGCACCCGGAGGCTCCTGCCCCACCACCCTCAGCAGCTGGTTGCCTGCTGTAGACCAATGGCGGTGGGATTGAAAATGATACATAGAGGAGGAACCCATACATCCAAATTCCTCTGTAATCGTATAGTTTGCCATATGTTTGGCTTCGTTCCACATAAACCAGGAGAATGAAACAGTTGTTGCCTAGCCTATTTTAGAACCTAAAATAACCAGGTCTATAGATCAAAATTAGTTTTTAAAAAAGAAATTTAAGTTTGAACCCAATAGCTGATGAAAATGAAAGCTTTGCCCTTGTGGTCTTTGCAAGTCTGTGTTTAAGCCCCCAGGAGACTATTTTTTTCCTTAACTGAAATGAATTCTCCAATAGACTGTTCTTCATTGAAGCATGATAGAGCCTTGTGCGAAAGATTGAGAAGTCTTCCAGCAGAAAAGTACTTGCTACATATTTCCCATTTTTAATGAATGGACTGACAACTTAAGTGAAAATGGGTGTTGAAATATTTACCAGAAGTGGCTTCAGTGGAAGTCATAGAGGGCATTTATAAGAACTTATGCTCAAATAGCATGTTTTCCTTCGTGAGCTGTGTGATACAGCAGAAAAATTCTTCAAGTTCCCATCTGGCAAAAAGAGGTTTTCCAAAACTACAAGAGTATTTTTGCATAAACTATAAGAATACTTATTTAAATGCACTCAACATTTGCATAATTGTCCCTATTAGATAATTTTTATTTTAAATGGCCTCTTAGGTGTGTACATGAAAGTGATATTTTATTCACACATTAAGATGCAAATGCAAATGTTTTTATTGATCTTTAACCCTAGAAGTTGCCATTTTTCTAGGGACAGAGAATTAAGTGACAAAATACTAATGTTGCTATCTCTTTGTAGTGTTTATTTAGTCCTGATATTTGTTTTCCCTTCCCCCATCTTCTTAAATAAGCATTACAACCAGGATGTCCTCTGTCACAGTGTAGGCTTCTGCAGCTGCCAAAGTCTACTCCTTTCTAATGCTTCCATCTCCGGTTTCCTGTTATTTTAATCCCAGTGACATTTGGGGGGAAAAATCCCATGGATACACTTGAACTAATAACGTACATCTCTGATAATTTGACCAATTAAAGGTTGTTTGTTATCTGATTTATTAAAATATAAAGCAGTGGAGACTGTCAAGCACATCAGCTGCTGTTAGGCAGTCAATATTATGCAAGACTGAGATAAATTAAAGAGGGAAGAAGTCCCTCCTGCTAGAGTCTATTGAAAGAAATGACTAAGCCACTCTTTTTACAATGACATTGTCAGAATGGGAGCAATCATGGCTTTATCTCTGACCTAGTGGTGAGAGGAACAAACATCATGTGATTCCCTCCAAGGTCCTGTGACATAACAGGTTCTAATAAATGTTTAGGGATGGGCTAGCATATACACATTTACATGTGCACTCAGTGAAGCTGCCAACATTCCTCCAACTACTTTGTTCCAACGCAGAAAATGAATACAAAAAGAAATAGCCATTTTATTCATCTTAATGATGGTTTCTCCACCTCATCCTGTCCGGAGAAAAATATCTTTTTTCCCTCATTAATGTAATATATGTTCAGTGTAAGAAAACAGACCAAAAATATAGATACATTAGTATAATTTTCCTATTAAACAGATTATTTTAATTATAAATGGCTTGAAGTACAAAGTAAAAATCACCCACATTCCTATCCCCCAGAGCGACACATATAGATATATTCTTATAAATTTAATTTAGAAAGAAAGAAGATATAGTGGCTAGGGATGGTGGCTCACACCTGTAATCCCAGCACTTTGGGAGGCCAAGGCAGGAGGATCACTTGAGTTTAGGAGTTCAAGACCAGCCTGGGCAACATAATGAGATCCCATCTGTACAATAAACAAACAAAAGAAAAAAAGAAAAAAGATATATTTATATTTAATTAAATGTAAGTGAAGGGGCAGAAAATGCTTGCACATGAATATAAAAAGAATTTTTTATTTCACTTAGTTGCAAATATGTTAAGTCTGTGGTGTCACACTGGAATCAAACTCATTTTTTTCTGTTTCCTTTGGTGCCGCTATCCCAGACTACTGACGGAGAAGACCCAGGTTTTTCAGCTTCTGCCCTATCGTTCATTCTCAGCTCTCAGGGAGCCAGAGAAGCCAGGGCTCCAACATGAACACTTCTTGTAGCTCACTGTCATGACCAGTGTTTCAGTCAGTTCTTGCAGGTTGCCTGACTTACCTCATTTCTCTCATTTCCTGTAAGCAACCAAAAATAAAAGGCTTTCTTTTATTTCATTTTGTCTTATTTTGCTTTTATCTTGAAGGCATATAAGACCTCTGTATCTGCCTTGTTCACCTTCAACTGCTTCTAATTCTTCCTCAATTCCAGTGTCCAATGTCAATTTGAAATTAAAATTTACAGACTGATTTTAACTAAGCTGTTGGTAAAGCTGACCTAAGCCATTCAGCCACAAAATATAGAGTATACAAAATTATGCTACCATTTTACACATATCAAGCAAGCAAAGAGATTTTTTTTTACTGGTGGAACACTAATCTTTCAAATATAGAATAGTGGCTAAATGAAAATAAAACAGCTTAGAAATCTACTATGTTTTGAGTGTCTTTCCAATGGGCCACTTTGCATCTTATGAGAACTGGAACACATTGGACAGGATTCTCAGCTGAGTCAGCTCGGTGGGGCCCCAAAGGCAGGCAACTCTGGTGGATATGGCTGGCTCTCTATAAAGGTACTAGAAGGAGGCACAAGATAAAAATTGAGGGGAAAAAACAAGTGGAAGCAGATAGGTGGCTGGTGGCAGAAATGCCTGGTCACAGATAATCCATATTTCATCCCAGCCCTAGAGGCTTAAGTACATAGAACCCAGAAGGAGCTCTAACTAAGGTTAGTTACCATCTAAAGAATGGGTGCTTTGTCATTAGGAGAAAGCCAGGAGCCCAATGACCAGAACTAGAATGGGACAAACCTGACCTGAAGTTCACCACAGGCACAGGGCTCCTCATTTTCCTTTTGATTAAGCATTAATTTGTCCATTAATTTAATTCACCCAGATGAACTTCCAGCCTACCCTAGGCACAATGAGAAGGGAAGCAATCCAATATATTGAAGGCTAATTTGTTTCTTATTAGTCTCAGAGCTTAATTAAAACCCTATTCAGGAAAACAAAGGTATTACATCTCAGTTTCTGCAGACACTAGCATTTTCATGATTTTTGAACTCTATTTTATTACTGTGTAAGGCAGAAATCAACCATATAAGTCCCTGTAAGACTAAGGATGTGTGATCAATAAACCAGCATATTCATCAGGTGTCGAAGAACAGGAAGAAACTGATTATAGAGACTTCTTGTTCCTGTTTTTCTTGCAACTGTAAATTGGTATCTAGATCAAGTGCATAATCCTTTCATGAAAACTTTGACAATTTTTCCATCTGTTGCAAACCTGGAAAAATTTGAAATTTTGGAAAGCATCATCAGTTTGGTTCCATGATAACTGAAGTTCTGAAAGAAAGTCAGAAAGTTTCGTGTCCAAAGGATTCTAAGGTTGGACAGCTCAATGGAGTCCCCTGTTGCTGTGTGCCCATCAACATAAGAATATGACAGAAACTGGCCGGGCACGGTGGCTCAAGCCAATAATCCCAGCACTTTGGGAGGCCGAGGTGGGAGGATCACCTGAGGTCAGGTGTTCGAGACCATCCTGGCCAACAGGGCAAAACCCCATCTCTACTAAAAATACAAAAATTAACCAGGTATTGTGGCGGGCGCCTGTAATCCCAGCTACTTGGGAAGCTGAGGCATGAGAATCACTTGAACCCAGGAAGTGGAGGTTGCAGTAAGCCAAGATCACACCACCGCATTCTAGCCTGGGCAACAGAGCAAGACTCTGTTAAAAAAAAAAAAAAAAATGACAGAAACTGAATGCAAGTAATGAGTTATCTATACATTGTTCATCCTTTCTCTCCCAACCTGAACTTGGTCCTCCCCATATACTCCTCACCTGAGTTGGTGACAGCATTACTCTGCTGGTCCCCCATGCTCCATCGACCTCCTTTTTTACCTCCCCAACCATCAGTTTCACATCATATCCTACCAATTCAAACTAGGAGAGAGCTCTCTTCTATCCCTTCCCACTGCCTTAATTCACAGCCACAACCTCCCTGACCACTGACACAGCTTCCCAACAACTCATCATCCATCCCCTGCTCCAGACTCTCCTTCCTCTACTCTGTCTCCCACACAGCAATGGAGACGTCTTTCAAAAACACAACCCAATCAAGGCATCCCACTTTCCAAAATCCTCCAGGAGTTTCTCCTCCAGCCACACTGAGCACACTGCCACCTAAACATACTTTGTTCTTTCACTCTCTTGTGCCTGAACTTGTTCCCCTGTTTTCTACCTGAGATTTCTTGAAAGACAACTTTAAGGCTTAGTTCAAATGTCACCACCTCCATTAAGCCTTCTCCAACTTTCTCAGGAAGAGCTAAAAGCTGCCTTTCCCTCATCTTTGTCCCATAACAGGTATGTACTTTCTGCATACCTCAGACATAGCCTTCACACACTGTATTGTTCTTTGTTGACCTGTCTCTTTTCTTCACAAGTCTGTGAGTTACTCAAAGGCAGGAACCAGGTCTTCTTCATTTTAATAACAGATATGGCTCATTGTCTATTATATCTGCTTAATTCAGGTTTGTTAAGTGAATGAATGAATAGGTTACTAAAATAACAAGCTACCCTAAATGCAAAAATCTTTAATTTTGTAATTTATGAGATACTTGGGTCACTTCTTTATGGTACTGTTATGAGATACTTGGGTCACTTCTTTAAGATGTACTGTCTTATGCTAGAAACTGAGGCTCAGGCCCAACCCTGTATGTAACTAGCAAACAGTGCTGCCAATATTAGGTATTTTTATTTAGACCCTTGCTTGTCAGAGTGTAATCCAGACCAGCTGCATGGATGATATTTGGGAGCTTGTTAGAAATGCAGACCCTCAGGATGCAGACATCCTGACTCATAATCTGCATTTTCACCAGATCTCCAGGGGATTCACGTGCACATTGAAGTTGGCTAAGTATTGATCTACACAGAGAGCAGTTTGCAGACCTTATGATCTCATAAACCTTTACACTGTTAAGGATTATTAAAGATACCAGAGAGCTTTTTTTAATGTGGACTATATATACCAATATTTACGGCATTTGAAATTTAAACTGAAAAATTTTCTAATCCTTATAAATTCATTTGAAAATAGCAATAATATACCAATTCCATGTTAAGACAATATGTTTTTATCAAACAAACATATTTTACAACTTGAAAATATGTTTAATATCTGGCTTAATAGAAGAAGATGGATTCTGCCATCTGCTTCTGCATCAATCTGTGTGATATCTTGTGTTGTGTAGCCTCTACACAATTTCACCTTACACATATGAGAAAATGAGAATGCAAAATATAAGAAACATCTTAGTATTATTTAGAAACAGTTTTGACCTCCCTGGGCATACTTAGAGATCCATGGATCTAGTCTTGCATAAAGCACACTGACAAACACAGGAAGGCTAACCAGATTCTTTTGAGCCTTCTTCCTACATTATTCTGGTCCTGTGACCAAGCACATGAGAGATATCATTTCTCATGTTGGGGAGACACAGTTGGTGTCCAAATGGCAATCCCAACACTTATCTGCAATCGATTATCTAGATATAGCTTTCTTAACCACTGGCTAAAAGTTCAGAATGCTAATTTCATTTTTAAGTGGAGTCAGTTTTATTAAAAAATGAACTTTTCCTCCTGTATTAATCCATTCTAACACTGCTATAAAGTCATACCTAACTGCTGTGTCTATGGAGTGGCCATTCTTTATTCCTATGCTTTGCCAATAAACTTGCTTTCACTTTACTCTTTTGATTAAAAAAAAAAAAAAGACGTACCTGAGAATGGGTAATTTATAAAGAAAAGAGGCATAATTGGCTCACTCTTCTGTGGGCTGTACAGGCTTCTGCTTCTGAGGAGGCCTCAGGAAACTTACAATCATGATGGAAGACAAAGGGGAAGCAGGCACATCTTCACATGGCCTGCAGTGGGAGGTGGGGGAGAGAGAGAGAGAGAGGGAGAGCACAAAGGGGGAGGTGCTACACACTTTCAAACAACCAGATCTCAGAACTCTATTACAAGACAGCACTAGGGGAATCACGCTAAGCCATTAGAAACAACCCTCATGATCCAATCGCCTCCCACCAGGCCCCACCTCCAACACTGGGGATTAAAATTCAATATGAGATTTGGATGGGAACCCAGAGCCAAACCATTCACCTCACAACAACATACCTTTTTTATTGTTGTCATATTTGTTTTCTGTTTTTTAAATGCCAGAGCACTGAAGGTAAAACAGAAGACATTTTGCAATCTCAAAGTAAAAAATTATCAGAGCTAGAAGAAACCTGAAAGGCCATCTAGTCTAAATCATCACTTTGCAGATAAGGGAATAGAAAACCAGGAAGGTCAAGAGACTTGTTCAAAGTTGACCAGCTAGAAAGTGGAAGAGCTAGGGACCTTTTCTCCCTGCCTCCAGCACTCTGTCTGCCAATCTCCCAGAATGTGCATTGAAGCCTTTTAGGGAGTTTCATAATAAACCTTTTGAAAGAAGGCAGATGAGGAAAGTTCATACTTGCATTCTGAGCAGTTAGAGGGCAAAAGAAATTTGGTGGCTTTGCTTTTGAGGGTCACTGCTTCCCATGGCTGCCATGGCAGAATTAAAGCCCTGACAAGGAATCTAAAGCATCTATCGAGCCATAAGGGGACAGAATTGGGAATTAGCTCATTTTTGCAACACAGTAGTCACTTTGGGCACAAAGAATGGCCTAACATCTTACAATGGGCCTGTTTTCTTCTGCAGAGAGGGGCTTCATCCGTCCAGCAAGAACTCAGACAAATTTAACCCCAGCCTACAAGCAGCCCTGCCAGATTGTTTATGGCTTAGTTTCATGGTAGTTGGGTAAGGCTCATTGGTTTTTCCTGGGATGAGAGATTGCTGCAACTTTGTATTAGCTTTGGGTTCATGTTAATTTCCTTTATTTGCTCCAGACACAAATTCATTAATCCATGCTTTTCCCTTTTCCTTCATTTTTCCCCAATAAATATTTCCAAAGACTGACTTAGCACAAGACACAGTATTAAGAACTGTAAGGGAAATATGTTAACATCCTGTTGTCTGCATATCATACTTTATTTTTCAGAGTTTCTCATTGATCTGTCAGGCAATCTGAACTAGCCCCTAAATTCTACTTTGCAGACATAATTTTAATCAGGGACTAAAGATTGCTCATACCTAATGGCTGATCAAATGCCTGAAGAACATTCAACCGGGATAGCTAGTTGCCCTTATTAAGATTCTTCCCCTTTGACTAATGTATTAATATTATATTTCAATTGAAGCTCAAAGTGTTAGTAACACTGATGCCTTCTAATGCATTCATTTTACTACTGTTTGTTAAGCCTTTTCTTCAACATTACTGGAGAAGCAGTATAATATGGAAACTAACAAGTTCACTTCTGGAGCCAGATTTCCTGAATTTGAATCTCACTTTTGACACCTACTATCCGTGTGACCTCGGGCAATTTGCTTAATCTTTCTGCACCTCCATCTCTTCAGATGTAAAATGGCAGGGGTGAGGGTGGCAGGGGAAATAGGAACCTACTTCAGGATTGTTGTGAGAATTAAGTCAGTTAATCCATACAAAATGTTTAGAGCAGGGCCTTGCTATTCTTTTATTCTGAACCTCAAATAAAGCATAAAGGCCAAAATAAGGACCTCAGAGTTCAGTCTACTGCTACTCCATCTTGCTTTCCCAAGGCTCCTCCACTGTTTTAAAAAAGTTGTCCTGTTGAAGCTCTTATGCATCGGTGTGACTAAGGCAATTGCTCAAATAGGAGGGTGCTTCTTCAATGACATTCTAACAGTATAATTTTTCACTGCAACCCCAATTCAACCTTTATACACTCTGATGAATGTAAAGATGAAAAAAATAGAGCTAATGGCTTTGCCTTGTACCACTAGTATAGTCCCATAGAAGAAAGCTGTTTGTGTGTTAGCTCACTGCCCCTTATAGAAATTAATCCATCAGTTTGACAGTTACTGAGTGCCTACTCCGTTCGAGTTAATGGCAATACAGTGCTGAAAGACACAGAGTTGGGGAGGGGTGATGAGGCTGAGAATAGATAATAGCACTACAATATGGGTAGTGGAAAAGAAGGAAGGATCCTGAAAGGGAGAATTAGGATGTACTTTCAAGAGATTTTGCAGCCTAGTGTGATCTTGAATGATGAATGGCATTCCAGACAGAAGGGTCAGCCTGCTTTGTGCTTTTACTCCTATAATCTTTACTACAAGTGGGAAAATCATACAAAAAAAAAACCTCCTTACTGATTCTTCTATGTCACTATCCAAGATACCAACCCATGAGCAGAATGCTCTTTATCTACCTTCTACTCCATTTATACTACAGTCTGACACATTTTATCCTTCCAAGACCATAAATCCTTATTGTTCCCATTGCCATGGATAAGTACCAGGGGGATGTTTGTTTGTTTGGTTGGTTGGTTGGTTGGTTTCTCATTTCATATTCATTCGAAGTCAATAAGCCAATATTTCTGGAACATCCAGGGTTTGATCATTCTGATTATCACTCTGAACTGAAATAAGTAACTGATGAATAATCTCCTCTGCACACAAACTCTAGAGTCCCCAGGCTACTAGCACACACACACAAAAGCCCAGGAAAAATTAATTCACCACTTACCCACACTTTCTGGCATTGACTGGGGCCAGTGTGACTCCTCATGCTAATCTGTACTGCCGCATACAGTCTGTGCTGTCTGATCTGATGTCCCTTTTGCTTGAAAAAGTATTGCATGATGCTTAGATGTGCTGTCTCTAAAATTTCTTTCGCATCCTTGTCAATCTTCTTGTCTTTTGTCTCATAGCACTGCCAGCGGAACACAACAGGAGAGCACTGTGAAAAGTGTCTGGATGGTTATATCGGAGATTCCATCAGGGGAGCACCCCAATTCTGCCAGCCGTGCCCCTGTCCCCTGCCCCACTTGGCCAAGTAAGTCCTAAAGGAGGATGGTCTCTTCTAATGATCAGTCTATGTATTGTTTTGTTTTGTTTTGTTTTGTTTTGCCTTATCCCAGAGTTCTGAGGTTTCTCCACAGGCAAAACCTCATATTGAGATGAGACTGGAAAAGATATAGAAAAAGTTTCTAGTCCAAATACACCACCTGGAATGCTTAAGCACTTACAATATAGATGATGACTGTGTTCCCGAAATATTGGGGTGCATCATGAGGTCAATAAAGTCTCCTAAGTTTTATAAGCAAGGATAGTCTCATCTTTTCTTGACTTTCTCTTGACCTAGAGCAATCACAACTGGTAATCCCAACAGACTCATTATAATATCATATTTTCAGTAATATTGCCTCTTCTGACTTTCACAAAGGAAACATTTCCCTACATATGGCTTTTCAGTCAGAATTAGAACACAGATCAACAGAATGCATGCTTTAGGCCAATCAGCTCACAGAAGATTTACAGGAACACTTTCTGGCTACGTTTTGACCTGAATGAGTAGTTAAAGGAAAGAGACATACATTTTAATGGAAATAATGGAATATGTGTAAATCCAGTAATTAAGTCATCAATGGCCATTTTATTCTCTTTAAAATGACAGAATATGGAATTTAAGAGGTATAGTGATATATGGTTTTCCAAATGACCAACTCTCTGACACCAACTGGGTGTCCTACAATCAATTCAGTTCTGACACTAAGTTTCCACAGTCAGTGCAGATCCCACAGATTAAGAGATCAGTTCCACAAGAATGCCCCCACTACAAATGCCAGCCAAAAATGGGGTCCCCAGGCTAGTCACACTTCTTCCCAGAAGACTGTAAATTTGAGAAGGATCCCTCAACCTCTCCTCAGGTTTGACAGTTCATTAAGATGACTCACAGAGTTTAGAAAAGTGCTATGCTTATGACTGTCAGTTTGTTAAAAGGTTACAACTCCAAAAGAGCTACATGGAAGTGATGCATAGAGCAGGATATGGAGAAGTGGGAGTGAAGAAGGAGTGCGTGCAGAGACTCCAGGCTCTCTGCTGGAGCACCATGCTCTCAGCACCTCCACGTGTCACCAACCGGAAGCCCCCCAAGCCTTGTTGCTCAGGAGTTTTTATCAAAGTTTCATGTTGTAGGTATGATTGGTCAAATCATTGGCCATTGGTAACTGAACTCAATCTCCAGCCTCTCCTCCCTGGAGGTTGGGGGTGGGGAGGGTTGAAATTCACAACGTCCAATTACATGTTTGGTTCCTCGGTGGTGCCTCTGGTCATAGGCTCCCACTCTCAAGGTATCCAGGGGTCCACTGTGAGTCACTTCATTAGCATAAACTCAGATATGGTTGAAAGGTGCCTGTTATGAATAACAAAAGACAGTCTTTTCCCTCAGGAAATTCCAAGAATTACAGGAGTCTGTGCCAGGAACCAAAGGCTAAATACTGTTTTTTTTATTATGCCACAAGTAGAAAGAGTAGCCAATCTAGGTTCATATTCAAATTTGGACACATAATACCTGTGTGATCTCAGAAAAGTTACTTTCTCCCTAGATCTCACTTTCCATGGGATTTGAAGTCAAGAAGCCTGGGTTCAGATCTTGGCTCTACTCCTTGATTCATTTACCAGCCCAGTATTTCAGATTTTCTCCTTAGTACAGTAAATCAAACTAGGAAGTAAGGATCTGCATCATAGAGTTGTGAGGACTGGACTAGGATAATATGTGTGGAGGATTTGGGTTTGTACCCTAAACATGGAAAGGCATAAGGTAGATGTTGCCTTTACTGAACACATACCGCTATATTTTTTCTAACACTTGGATTTTTCTTACTCTATGCCTGGCATTGTTCTAAGTGTTTCGATGTAATATTTACGTAATTGATAGCTGTTGTAAAGATTAAATGATACACATAAAATGACTTTTTAAAATCTGAATGCTTACTACACACACGCACTCACTCATACTCACACACTTACTGATAAACAGAAAAGAAAAAGACAGATGGCAATCAGATTCCCCCGATGTTTTTTCCTTAATTGAACACCAATATCAACTAACATTTCACCTAATAGCTTGTGATGTATTCAAATACTACAAGTCTAACAGTCAGAGTAGTCAGACGAGTTTCAGTCCCATCCTTCTTCAGAAACTGTTAAACTGCCTCAGACCTTGCTCTGTAATTTTTCATGTATGATAGTATTAATAACATGTGCAAAAGGGATGGTACTCACAGTGAGGGTAGAAAACGCAAACATTAACTGTTCTGTTATTTTCACTCAAGTATGTCCTGATTTATGAGCTCCCTTCACTCCGTCTTGGTATACTTTTTCATTGTTCATTAATATTCTGCTCTCAAGCATTCGTTTTAATCACGTCTGGTGAGATATTTAGCACAGTTCTCTTGCCATGGTATATATTGTTAAATATATTACCTCCAACTTCCTCATAGCTGGTTTCACTCATTCTCTCATAAACATGTTGTGTAGCCTCATCTGCTCAGAAAAGGTTTATAGGCGTCGAGCTGCAGTGTTTGTTTTTTTTTTTTTGGCAGTAGCAGATGAATTAGGCAGGCAATCTCAGATGGTTCTTTCTAATTATGCTGTTCCACTTTTGCACTTTTCACCCCATTTGCATGACAAGACTTTCTTATCTAAATTACCTGGTCTTGGGATATGAGACCTTTAGAACATCATTCCCTATGGACTGAGAAGCCTTGTCTACATGCAATCAGATATTTATCGAGCACTTATTATACACTGGTATAAAAACTGGTAGTCAGTACTTATTATGTGCCAGTCATGCACTAGTCACTGGTGACACAGCAGTGAGTAAAACAGTCAAAAATCTCACCTTTATTAAGATAGGTCAAAATACAGCAGTGTTTTGAAACTCCTAGAGCAAATGACCCTTTACCTTTTGAATCACAGTATCCGGTATGTTAGTTGAGCAAGAAGCGTTTCTGAATGCTGTTAACTCTTTAAGAAATGAAGTCAAAAGTTGCCAACTGTGGAATGAGTCTCCTTTCCTGAAAGAGGAAACAGTTTCCAAAGGCATCAAGGCACCATGTCTGCCCATGTTTTTTCTCTGTGTAAGTGGATCCAGGGTTCAAAGGAGCACTGAAGGGACTTAGAGAATGTGCTCTAAATCTAGATGCATATTCACAGACACGAAAACTCAAGTCTCTAATAGTACAGATTCGAGGTTGAAAAACCTACTGAAAACGAAAATGAAGTAAAAAGTGTGTCACCTATAAGTAAATATCATGTAGGAGTAGGGAGGAATTGGTAAGGGTGTGAGAGACCAAGGGATTTTACAGATTTTTCTCTGTAGTGACAACAGCTCTACTTCTTGAATCCCTTGCTGGGGAAACTGGCTGCAAAAAAGGAGAGGAGGGGTTCATCTGTGGTCATGGAACAGAACAAATATTCTTGGGTCCTAAAAAGTTCTAACCTTTGATCTGGACTTATTATTAACTTAGTTAGCTAATCTCAAATACTAATCAAATATCTTATCAAAAATCAAATGCCCATTGCCTCTTTCAGCTTTTTAAGAAATTCATATTGCTACTTTCTATAAAATGAAAGTTCCAGGACTTTTCAGAAAGGCGTCTAGTTTAGACTCTGAATTACATTTTGAAACATTGATGAAGCTGAGCCCACAGACGCAGGATTTGGATTTCCAGTTACAAGAAAGCAAGGAAATAATGCTTCAGGGGATTAAGCAAACAAAGGGCCGAGTCTATTTTTCTCTAAGTTCCTAAGGATTTTCTAAGAGCAAAAGGCACCCTTCCACTTGAAATGGGCACCACAGTGGTTACAGTGGGCTGAGAGAGACGCAGTGTTTTCACTTCCCTAGCCAAAACCAGACAAAACATAAACAGTTAATGCTGATGAGAAACAAAAACGAACCCTTGAGGGCTGGCCCTGCCACCGAGTCTGCCTTCGCCACAGAGACCAGTGGTCATGCAGTTGTTCCCAGGGACCATTTGCATAATGTTCATGTATTTATTTGGGGGTTGGCCAGACGTCCTCCATCTCTACCAGTAGCTATGGAAATCGCTCCAGTTAAGGAAAATGTCATCTGTTTGAAACAGCAGGACACCAGCTACAGGCGGATGACTCCAGATGCCCCTAGCAGATGTTGCATGCTTCAAGCGTGGGCAGGCTGCTGGGTGGAACACCTTCAAAGAAAGATGGAAGCGCGGGTTCCTGTTCTGGACTCTTAACTGACAGTGGTTCTTTAAGTAGGCTAAGAAATCAGAACAAGCAAAATAAAGGGTAAAAGGCCAAAGAAATGTAATTCTGTTGGAATGTTTTTACCCAACTGTTTGCGAAAATAAATTGTGGGTGTTGCCTTTCACTGAGAAGCACATATTGTTTTCTGACTGATTTTTTAAGTGTCTTCAAACAAATAAACACATCTATTTGCTTTCCTCCAAACACCATTAGGGTAAGAAATGCTGATACATAAAGGAACAAGAGAGCAGCGGGTCACACTTTATTGGTTGTATAGTACCAAAGCCAAAGCTAATTTAAAAGTCCTTAAAATTTTACATACACACACACACACACACACACCCCTATGCCCCACACAATTCATGTGTCTATGAAGAATTTTCCAAACACGTGGAGACCATAACCCCATTTCCCTTGCCTTAATAGTGAGGAGACTTATGTATTCCACTAAACCAATATTTTTATTACTTTTTTGTCCTGTGTCCTAATTTTTATTATCTTTAAAAAAGGAAGAAGAAGAAAGAGAGAGGGTTCCATGGGATAAAATCCTTTTATGGTGGGTCCTATGTTTTGCTGCAGTACTTGACTGGGACTTTCATCGACGCAGCCAGTCTCAGCAACCTTATTTCCAATATTTAAAGTACACATGAAAGAAATTATAATTCTGTGGAGATTATATAGTTTAGAACTGGTTCCTTCCCTTTAAAACTGGACAAGTTCTAGTGCAGAAAAAAAGGGGAAACTTTTAAATGACTACATAGACAGTGATGGAAATAAAAGGGGATTCTCTTATAAATCCAAAATTGCAGGTAGAATTTGATCATTTTATTTCCAGCTTTGGGATACATGTTTTGGACTAGTGCTTGAAATATATATATAGGACCTGGGAAATGGTCCCACCAACAAGTGGCATTTTCTTTTGGGGCCTGCTAGCCTAACCTTTCCTGCAAGGTAAATGTGTACAAGTTTAAATAAAGAAAATGATTGCACCCATTAGAACTTTAATGGGACCAACATAGAGGTAATCTGATAAAAAGTTAAGACAGTCTCTTTGGTGATGTATGGAATTGACTTCCAATATTTGCTTCCAATTTTAGTTTTGCAGAATCCTGCTATAGGAAAAATGGAGCTGTTCGGTGCATTTGTAACGAAAATTATGCTGGACCTAACTGTGAAAGGTAAGCCAATAAAATTCTCTATTTTCTGTGTGGGTCAAAGGAAGCTTTCTGTTTCTCACACTCAACAGCTCTGCCATACTCCCATTCAGTGGGTCCTGAAGGAGATGCTTAAGAGTGGTTGAGGGACTGCATTTCAAAACCCCTTAGGGAAGTTTTCCTAAATCCCATCCCCCAGATACAGCAAATAACAATATGCTTCCTAGGGCTTCAGGCCAAGGCCACATCTCAGGATAAGCACACAGGGAAAAAGGAAATTGAGGATGTGTATTTTGAAAAGATTCTCTAGATGGTTTTGGTAGTACTCTTTTCTCTCTCCATCAATGAGAAATAGTACTAAAATTAGTGTTCCCCAGAAAAGAGTGAGGTTTCCTCAGTAAATAAAATGTGAATCACCTTTTGTCAATAGAGCAATAAATTAGAAAAAAACAACCCACAAAGCTGTTATTTCGCCCATTCTTTATACCAGCTTTATACCATACTAAAAAGTAAACAAATTCCACAGGAGTTTAGGTTTTCTGGATCTCTGGCTGGTATTTACATATGACACTCTTTTCTTTTTTTCCTTTTTTTTTTTCAATTATATTTTAAGTTCTGGGATACATGTGCAGAACGTGCAGGTTTCTTACATAGGTATACACGTGCCATGGTGGTTTGCTGCACCCATCAACCCGTCATCCACATTAGGTATTTCTCCTAATGCTATCCCTCCCCTTGCCCCCCACCCACTGACAGGCCCCGGTATGTGATGTTCCCCTCCCTGTGCCCATGTGTTCTCATTGTTCAACTCCCACTTATGAGTGAGAACATGTGGTGTTTGGTTTTCTGTTCCTGTGTTAGTTTGTTAAGAATGACGGTTTCCAGCTTCATCCATGTCCCTGCAAAGGACATAAACTCATCCTTTTTTATGACTGCATAGTATTCCATGGTGTATATGTGCCACATTTTCTTTATCCAGTCTATCATTGATGGGCATTTGGGTTGGTTCCAAGTCTTTGCTATTGTGAATAGTG
This sequence comes from Homo sapiens, assembly GCF_000001405.40. Classification (NCBI taxonomy): domain Eukaryota; kingdom Metazoa; phylum Chordata; class Mammalia; order Primates; family Hominidae; genus Homo; species Homo sapiens. The sequence goes on along the minus strand of NC_000006.12, from coordinate 112,200,597 downwards.
CTGCAATAAACATATGTGTGCATGTGTCTTTATAGTAGAATGATTTATAATCCTTTGGGTATATACCCAGTAATGGGATTGCTGGGTCAAATGGTAATTCTGGTTCTAGATCCTTGAGGAATCACCACACTGTCTTCCACAATGGTTGAATTAATTTACACTTCCACCAACAGTGTAAAAGCATTCCTATTTCTCCACATCCTCTCCAGCATCTGTTGTTACCTGACTTTTTAATGATTGCCATTCTAACTGGTGTGAGATGGTATCTCATTGTGGTTTTGATTTGCATTTCTCTAATGACCAGTGATGATGAGCTTTTTTTCATATGTTTGTTGGCCACATAAATGTCTTCTTTTGAAAAGCACATGACACTCTTTTCTCTCTTTTTCTAAACTGCTCTGGGCTTTGCTCATGTAAGAAAGGCCTTCTCCACAGAGCACGAGAGGCTTTCCACTGAATGACTCGGTAAGATATTTCCCATTCCCTCCACCTGCCAGCTGCTCGCAGTGTTGTAAGATAAAATGGCTTTTGCTCAAAGAGTCTCTCAGACAGGTTTTCTTGTTTTTAACAGAAATGCCATTAGCATTGGCCTCACCATTGTGTTTAGGCAGCTAAACGATATGTAGTGCCCTAGAGACAGGGAAGGAAGAGCCAAGCGGAAATAGTCAAGCACCCAGTCACTCATCTGCAGGCCCTCAACAGCACAGATGGGCTCACAAACTCAACCTGGGGCTTAAAATGTAAACTTTAAATTATAAGCAATCTCACTTCCAAAGAAAACACCCTCTATCTCTCAAAAAGTGGGTCTGAAACTCAAAAAAAAAAAAGCCACAGTATCTGTGATACAGAGAAAAATCTTTGCACTTGGAAGGCATTGTTATTATGATTATTAAATATGCAAAATGTGGATAATTATTTCACTAAAGGATTGTGGATTTTTTTGAATTTATTTATTTATTGCCATAAGAGGGAAAGCGAGCTTAGGGTCCACATGAATTTCATCTATTAGGAGGGACTGACAGAGATGATCGATTACATTGGGTTGATTGAAATTTGTGACACACTTATCCTATATTTCCTTACTTGGAGACACAGGAATAGGAGGCACCTGATTTACTCATTTTCTGGCTCACTGGAGGTCTGTGGCGGTTGTTAATCAGCCAGGATGGAGTTTTTTCTCCTCAGTGTCTGAGGTTAAATTCAATTTAGTTTGATAATGACCAAGCAGTATTGCTAATGGGTGTTCAATGGCCCCCACGGGGAGAGTTAATGGCCTTAGATAGAGCCCTGCTGACCAAATGCAAAGCTCGCAGAAGTGAAATCACCTGGACCCTAAGGGCACAGTCCTGTAAAATCACACAGGGGTGCAGAGAAGGGTTCTGTCATCCCAAACCATCAGCAGGACTGCACGCCCACCTCTGACAAGGAATTACAGATGATAAATGCCTCAGCCCACATAGGATGCTCATGAGCTCTGCCATTACCCAGTAAGGCTGGGTCAGATCTGCTGCTGGAGTGGAAGGCTCCAGACAAGAGCACTGGTTTGGAAAGTGAAAGTAGAGTGTTGAAAAGAAGAGATTTGAGCATTAGCCTGGGTGAGTGTGAATCTCAGCTCCACCACTTTGTGACCCACCCGGGCAAGTTCTTTGACCTCTCCAAGTGGCAATTTCCACTTGTACAGAATGGAGAAAATAAAGTTACCTGTCTCATAAAACTGTTATGAGATAATACTGCAAAGTTTTGAGTGTGGGACCTGGCACTGAGTAAATGCTCAATAAGAATTAACAGGTGACAGTATGAGTCATGGTGGTCATTGTCCAACTTCTGCCACTGCCGATTGTGTTCCTGGGACACGTTGGCTCATTTCCCTGAGTCTCGGTTTCCTTAGCTAGAAATTACAGCTCTGAGCTAAATAGTGCCACTGATTAATTATCACTTATGTCCTTGTTGCTTTACATTCTTCATCTGTCATCTTCACAGCCACCTTAGAGAAGGTTGTATTTTGTCATCTTGCAGATGAGGAAACTGAGCCAGAAGAGCTATGTCTTCCAAATTGCGGTGGTCTTTGCTGCTTTTGATTTGTTTGACCCTGGGGTTAAGAGGAGGGTTTCTGCTTGAACAGCCAAGCTCTTAAGTTGCCTGAGTTAACCTTCGCCTAATCTGTGCTTTCAATGTATTTGTGAACTTGAACCTCTCCAAAAGAGCTTTTCTAAATATGCAACTGATTTGTATGGATATCTGTTTTAAACAAAGGTAATAATTAGTCCAAACCAAGAACCTGCTAGGTCTTTTTGCACTTTAGAGATCATTGAGTCAAGTGGTGGTTTTAAAATCTGTGTCCAACTGTCTCCAGGAAAACTTTGGATTCCTGAGCCCTCCCCAACTCCCCTTCACCACCCACTGAAAAAGAATATCCAGGGCTGAGGCCCAGGACCTGTATTTTGACTTCCCGTCGGATTCTCATGCACCAGGACTCTCACTGCTTTGTGAACTACCGCTCTACCTTGACCTTCAATACCACACTCTCATACTAGGGAAGTATTTCTCAAACCGTGACCTAAGAACCTTGGTTGTCCTTGGAAATGAAGGTTCAGGAGTTCTCAGTGAATATTTTCCTAATTTTATGTTTAATTTTAATAATAACTTTAAGGAAAACATTCATTGAAACATGTTCTGGACTTTCTGCTGTGTCACGTTATAATAAGAGAAGATCTCCCTCAGTGCTGGGAGAAAATAACAGAGGTGACAGTCTGTCAATGACACATTACAGACAATTGGAGGTCAAGTGGCATGACATCAAGGCAAACTGTAAAACTAAAGATTCCAAAATGAAAATTGGTGAGAGACATGAGTCGTCACATGGCACATGGCTGGATTTGCATGCTGAACACAGGCAGTCTCTACCACATCATTTTGCAAGTGGACATTTGGTTATAAGACAACATCAATTATTGAATTAATGTGAATCTGAAATTGATTAGTTTCATAGTTTTATTTATGTTGTATTTGAAAATTTATTTTGGTTTTCAAGACATGTAAAAACCATAGACATAAGGAGTTTCTACCTAGCTTCATGTTTGAAATATTTAAAGATAATTTAAGCTAACACTGGAAGGGGTATTACATGAAAATGCTTTTCCTTTTAAAAGGATCCATGTTACATGCAAATTCGCGAAACACTGGTCTAAAACATAAAACATGTTTTACTTACTCTACCTCTTACACTACTGTGTAAAAAAACAGCTCAAACACGCCCACCTGCCTTGTCTTAACAATTAGGTCCATGAATATTGGCCTGCTCTGGGCCCTACCTGTCTTTCCTCCCTAAAAACCTTCTCCCACCTCACACTTTAAACTCCCCGTGTTGGACATGCTACTCACCAAATCCACCAGATCAGCTGGCAAGCTTTCCACATTGTATTGTATTTAGACCATGATCATGATGATAAAAATAATAACATTTATTAAGTACTTACTGGGTGGTATGTCAGGCACTGTTGTAAAAACTTTACAGACAATGATTTAAGCCTCAAAAGAGCCCCAAAAATCCTATGGAATACCATTTTCATCCTTATTTACAGAGGAAGAAATGCGACATAATTTAAGTCACCTGCTCAGAATCACACAATGGCTTCTTTATCTGTGAAACTATGAGCTGCTTGACAGACACAGCATCATATCCCTTATCCCTCCTCTGTCTATTCTTCCCTCAGCACACTATCTGGCATGTTGAAGGCCTCAGTTGTTTTTATTTAAGTAAAAATATTTTTTCTCAATAAGAAATAGCAACAGCACTTTTCATGTTCCTTTAAAAAAGGTACTATGTAGTGACAGGAGTCAGTCATTCCTTGCCCTGTTTTACCCCCAATCTCCCACCCCATTCCAGGAAAATGGAAAGGGTGACCCAGAGTTGACTGAGTCTGGCTGAATAGAGATTGCAAATGGAAGTTGTCTTCTGATGCAAATAATTGTAAAATGCACAAGCCTTGTAGAGTTTTGCAATTCTCATCCTCATCCCAGTAGGAACAACTAAGAACATTTTGAAGATGAGGTGCTCCCTTGGGCAGCATATATACTAAAATTGGAACAACCCAGAGAAGATTAGCATGGCCTCTGTGCAAGGGTGATGTGCAGAATCGTGAAGCAGCCCACATTTTTTATCCTGCATGTTCTCCCACATATGAGGAAGCTAAAAAAAATTGAGCTCATAGAAGTAGAGAGAATAATTCTGATTATTAGAGGCTGGGAAAGGTGGCAGGTGGTAAGTGATGGGGGAAGGATAGGGAAATGCTGGTTAACGGACACAAACTTACAGCTAGATGGGAGAAATAATTTGTAGCTTTCTACAGCATTCTAGGGTGAATATAGTTAATAATTTAGTTTCTGTTTTCAAAAAGCTAGAAAAGAGGATTCTGAATGTTCACAATACACAGAAATGATAAATGTTCTAGGTGATGAGATATTAATTACCCTGATTTGGTCATTATACATGGTACACATGTATGGGAATATCACTCTGTATCCCATAAATATGTATCATTACCTGTCAAGAAAAAAATAAAAGGGAAAAAAATCCTTGCCCAAGACTCACCAGCTTCACCTGCCCCCAAATATATATAGCAGTGTGTGTAGTGTGTGTGTGTGTGTGTGTGTGTGTGTACTTAGTTCATTTAAAAAGATGAGGAACCTGAGACTCTGAGCCATGAAGTGACTTAATCTAACATCACACAATTGGGTTAGCAAGAAATCCAAAACTAAAACCCAAGACCCTCAACGTTCAATACCATTTTCAGTCATATGATCTCAATGTTTCAGTATTCCACACTGCCTCCCATAGCAGCTTTAATAGTATACTTTCATGCATTAAATTTGGTGGTGGAGTGAGAAACATGCTAAGACTACATGATGATTGATCATGTGAATCTTGTTGCTTAAAGATCAGAAGAAAAGAATGGGGCAAATTAAAGCAAATCCAAAGTGACTTAAACCCCTAACAGAAAAGGCAGAACACAGTATCATCAGAGATGAAGATGATAATCATAATGATTTCAATGATGGCCTTGATAATGGAAAAGAAAAATAAGGAAGAAGAACAAGAGAAAGCTAACCTTTATTGAGGTTTACTGTGATGCGGGGATTTAGTCTAATTCTCTCTGAAGACATCAAGTTTTTCACACGTAGACCCTGTTGTTTGCATAGAGTTCTTATGATTCCTTACTCTCTAGCTTGCTCAACTCCTGAATTCTTGCCCTGTGACCCTGAATAGGTTACATACGTTTTCCTAGCCTTATTTCTCAGTCTTTCATAAAGAAGTGGAGAGCATTTACATAGCACCTACTTTGGAACAAGTTCTTTTTTTTTATGTCATTTTATTTAATCCCAAAGACAGCTACAGAGTGACATCCCTCCCAGAAAGGTTTCTGAGCCACCTAGCCCAGGAGTTTGGGCACTCTTGACAAAGACTTTCAGTGCCAGCTGTATAGCCCTGGGAGGAGGAGCAGAAGAGAAAGAGAAAGGGCAGGCAGAGCAGGGGGAGCTTCAAGCATTCCTGAAACAGTTTTTGGTCAAAATAATCTTTTTTTCTAAACATCATATCTTTTGGTTTTCCATTTTGCCCAAATAATAAAATCACTAACCAAAATGACAAAGTTCATATGCCACAATCCTTTCATTTGAGCCATAAACTTACCAGTTCTGTTTTCCTTGGATGGATCAAGTCATTAATAGACTAGAAATGAGATTACGGAAGAAAAAATAGGACCAGGCTACTGGGCACCAGGGCTCCAATGCTTACTCTAAACTCAAATACTGGTGCTTTTGTGTCTTTGTTGTTAGTTCTTTGAGGGCAGGCTTGGGCACTTTTATAATCACTAATTTATTAATTAGTTCATTCTTTAATGCTAGACTGCTGGAGTGGAAAGAACATTAAGCCTGGAGTCCCACAGAGGTTTGAGCTATGCAGCAATGAACAAGTCATTTAGCTTCTCTGCCTTCTAGCTTTCTTATATATAAAAGTAGGGGTTTGTCAGGGACTATCATAAGTAAACTTTTGTATGCTCATTTTGTTAAATCCATAGGGTCCAGAGTTTTGACTAAAACTTCAGAGTTTCCTCTAAACCTACCACCAGAAGATGTTCTTAAGACTCAGAGTAACTCAAAGTAGGTTTCCACTGTGATAGAGATTCCAACTTACAGAATAGAAAATTTGAGTTTTCTCTTGTAAAAGACCAGGGGACCTCCTATGGAGAGCAAATGCAGTGGAATTAAATGAAAAAGTTACTGGCATCTGACCTCTATGAGCTTGGGCAAGCCCCTTCACTCCCAGACCTTAAGATTCCCAGCCACACATTGAGCTGGTAGATCTGAGTCTCATTTCAGTCGGCCAAAGAGCCTAATATTCTCTGTTTGGTGAACTTCAGCAAAGGCCAGAAATTCAATCCAGCCACAAGTTCCATAGAGGAATAATTTATGCTGGCTTAGGGACCTGCAGGCCTATAAATCTGAGGTGCAAAGACATGAGAAAGTGCGAATAACAACACTCATTGAATATTTCCTCTTGGGGTGTCTCTTTGTGGGTTGTGTAGAATTTACATTCATCCCCATCTTTTTCATAGACCAGATTTCTAGAGTTCATATTCTGTATCATTATGGTTAATTTATTTCCTGTTCTTTCAGAGAATGGGCTATGTGTTTTTCTTCATCCTGTCTCCCTCTATGTCTTACATAAAATGGACATGAATTGTCCTTGTGTTGGATGAATCCACTCATTCATTTATAGCAGCAGCAGTGTGGTCCAGGGTGGAGCAAAAGAAAGAACTCCAGGGTCAGAAGGTTTGGACCTTGCACTGTGACTTTCCAGCTATGTGACCCTGGAAAACTGAAGTAGCCTCCCAGAATGCCAGGCCTGTGTGGCCTCCCTCCCAGGGTGTCTGTGGTAACTAAATAAACTCACATAGATGAAGCTATGAGGTTCGATGCAGGTAAAGAGTTTAAAGACTGACCATATCCTATCACTACAACTACACCAAGAAACTGAGACATGGGAACAGAGGCTGAAGGAACATACACAAAATGTTGACAGTGACTTTTTTAGGGTCCTGGGATTACAGATGTGATTTTTTTTTATGTATCTGTTTTTCAAATGTTCTGAATCATGATTCCCTTACTTTAAAGGGAATCCTTTAAAAAAAATGTAGTGTTTTATTATTACTGGCCAGGGCTTGTTGATTTCCTTGGAAAGCTCTCCCTTCCTTTCCACTCCCAAGGCCAACACCCCAGCCCAGGCCCTCTATACCCCACCCCATCCCTCTGCTCCAGCCTGAAGTCCATCCTGCATGCTGAAGCCAGCACCAGCTTCCTTCACTACCACTTCCATCATGCTCAAAACCCTTTGCTGGCTCTCTTTCTTTTTCCCTCTCATGCAACAGAACTAACTTCTCTACCCTACCTTCAATCCCATTATGGTGTGACCACATGTTCTTTCCAGCTACTCTCAAAGTGTCTGCAGCTCCAGTTGGCCCATCTTCCACACTAGTTTAGAGTCCACAGCAAAAGAGAGTGCACAATCAGCCAACAAGCATGTAGTTTGACTTGTACAGTACTCTTACAAGGTTTGAATCAACTTTTAAAAATTGCAATTTCACATAAACATCCAAATTTCCACTTTTTTCTCCAAAAATAAAATATGGCAACATAGGTCCTTCATCCTCTCAAGGCTCTAGGCTGGCAACAATCAACTTGAGCCTAGTAACAGCTCTTCCCTTACATGGGGCCTACAGGCCCACCACTCACAGCAGGGCCTCTGCTGCCCTGCACGGCAGCTTTGGGAAAAGTAGGGAAAGGCATTTCTTCCTCTGGGCAGAGACAGCCTCACCTAGAGTGCACAGCTTGGCAAGGCAAGCAAAGGCTAGATGGATTTCAGTCTCCATTCTCCAACTCAGCTGGGCTCTCTCATCAAAGGCCCAGCCAGCCTGACCATAGGCACTGGCTCTGCCCACACAATAAATGCAGGTAGGCACCTGGCCTCTGTAGGTGCGCATATCTAAAACATCCAGAAGAATGGCAGTCTGGGCTCCAACTCCATTGATCTGTGGTACTCTCAGCTCTGCCATCTGCTTTGACTCCAGGCTGGCTTTGCTCAGTTACAAGTTGCTGCCAGGAGCTAAGCGTACTACCTGCTGCCTCTTCCTTCACCTGAAGATGGAGAGAATGCCACCCCATGACCCTCAAACAAGAGCCCAAGCTACACTCCTGAGTCAATCCCTTTCAGCCAGGAGAATAGCAGGCACTGAATGGCTCAAGCTTAGTTACTTAAACAATTCATTGTGACTAGACTGATCAATGTTTCTCAATAGAGGTGCTATTAACGTTGTGGCTAGGACATTTCCCAGCTGTACGCTACAGGTACATCTCATTGCAGTACCTTTGGCATATCTGGTCCCACCCATCATATATCATTTGTGTACACCAGTTCCCTGGCTGGATATACCAGTTCAATCCTATAGCTGGAAGCCTGGCTGAACTGAATGGCCTACAGATGAAGTGAACCAAATGATCTATAACATAATGGGGAGGGGTAGTTCCTTAAAAACGAAATCTGGTCCTATGAAGAAGATGAGAGAGTGCAAATGAATTCTGGGAGGGAAATCAATAAATATCCACTACATCTTTCTTCTTTGTAGGAAAGAAGATTAAAAGGAAGAAAAACCATGATGCTAAATATTTAAATGTGTGATATTCCTCTTCAGATGTGCTCCCGGTTACTATGGAAACCCCTTACTCATTGGAAGCACCTGTAAGAAATGTGACTGCAGTGGAAATTCAGATCCCAACCTGATCTTTGAAGATTGTGATGAAGTCACTGGCCAGTGTAGGAATTGCTTACGCAACACCACCGGATTCAAGTGTGAACGTTGCGCTCCTGGCTACTATGGGGACGCCAGGATAGCCAAGAACTGTGCAGGTGCAGTATCATAAATACTAAGCCAGCTGCCTGGCCAGCATGACCCTCTGCCAATACTGAATTTAGATGAAGAATTTCTCTTGGGGAAGTATTGTGAGTGCCCCCTTGTCACTTTCCCAGGGCAATGTACATTCTCAGGAATATGCATCCCAAACCCATCAGGGATAGAAATTTTTATCAAGGCTACTAATATAATTTTGCTCATGGGTGGAATAAACTAGGAGACACAAACACAACAAATGAACTTTTGTCTTAGCATCTTATATCCTTCTAGTTTTAATCAAAGAAATAAATCGGACTTCTATGGATTACCTGCCATTAACCAGGAGACTGAATGAAATCTTGCATGGTTCAGGCCAGGCATGGTGGCTCACTCCTGTAATCCCAGCACTTTGGGAGGCTGAGGTGGGTGGATGGCTTGAGGCCAGGAGTTTGAGACCAGCCTGGCAAACATGGCAAAACCTTGTCTCTACTAAAAATACAAAAATTAGCTGGGCATGGTGGTGGGTGCCTATAGTCCCACCCAGCATCCCTTGAACCCAGGAGGTGGAGGCAGAGGTTGCCATGAGTCAAGATTGTGCCACCGCACTCCAGCCTGTGTGACAGAGAGATTCTTCTCTGAAAGAGAGAAAGAAAGAAAGAAAGAGGAAAGAAAGAAAGAAAGAAAGAAAGAAAGAAAGAAAGAAAGGAAAGAAAGAAAGAAAGAAAGAAAGAAAGAAAGAAAGAAAGAAAGAAAGAAAGAAAGAAAGAAAGAAAGAAAGAAAAAGAAACCTTGCATGGTTCAAATCAGTTTTCTTATTCAGAGGGCTATATCTCTCGTTCAGTTATGTTTGGTAAAATCAAGATTTCCATAAAATAGATTAGCAAGTCAAGGGTACCATTTAATCACCACCATCCTCCAATTTCCTCAAATTATAAGAGGTAAATATTTCAAAGATAGCATAGAAAACTTTCTGGTTAGGCTTCAGTTAGACTGAAACGCACAGATCTTATTCATCCATTTGCCACATAGAGTGAAGCTCTTCAAAAGTGAGGTGACATTGCTTTCCTCTAAGAGTACAGGAAGGCTGAGATTGAGTATGTCTTACTCTTATGTGACTTTGAGGGGAGAGTGGGAGAGCAGGAAATATTGTACTCCTGTGGCATGCCTCTATAAGGAATTCTTTCACTGAAACAGATTTCCACTTGAAAAGATTCAAGGAGTAAGGAGTTTTAAATAAAAAAAATGCAACATATATGTTCTGCAGAAGTCACAATAAAAGTAAACATGTCTACAAAAAAGCAATGTGCATAGAGGCATAACACTGAGAATGACAGCAGAAAGGAAGGAGCACTGTGTCTAGTCAGGCTAAAGAGAGAGAAGGCGGACAGCAGAAATAATGTTGGCAAAATCAAAGCCTGAAAGGTTGACATCCTGATTCTCAAAACATTTACTAAATTTGTGTTTAAACTATAAAGATGCAGGTCACTCTTGGAAGAGAAGCTAATTTTAGAAGCAATAAAGCATGATCTTGCTGAAAGATTTAATAAATCTGCATTTTGTGGAACATTAAACAGATGAAATGTAATAAATAGATCTCCCATGAACCTGGTTTTTATGATTATTCTGTAAAGACAGTTAAGAAGTGGGGGGAAATGCACAATTCTATTCCAGTTAATTGCTAGCATAGATGGTAAGAGAATTCCTCTTTAAATATTACAAATTAGTTCCCACCCAGAAACTCAGTGGAAATTGAACAGTCTGATGAGATTGGGCTTTTGTTTTTGCTTTTTCCAAAAGGCATTACAGAAAATCATCAGTAGATGAATAATGGGCTCCCACGTCTTCTAAATTCATGTAAAAATGTTCCTGATTCCTTGCAGCACATTATTCTTATTGCACTCATAGCTGTCATTTGGAGGTTTGGAGTCTGTCTTGCCAAGGGTCAAGCGCAGTGGGAGCCAAGAATCGCTCCTGGGCCTCCTCACTCACTCCTTGCTAAGCTGCTCCTCCCTCACACCTGGCAATGATCAACCCCCGAGTTAAATTAAACTGGAGTATCAGTCTGCAAGGAAGGGATGGCTTTCAATTTCCAGTTGAATGATGAGCTCGTGGTCATTTAGTATCTTGTGAAACTTACCAGGACATTTTTGGACTAAAGCAATTGCACTGTCATGTCAGAATCCCAAAGAGTTGGGAGAGAAATCCTAGAAAACTTAGATTCAATTTTGCCCAGGGTCACCTTTGAAAATCTCATTGGGCTGGAGCTTAATCGGATGAAGGGCGTAATCTCTGTATCGTAGATTCTACACAGTCTGAAGGAAGAATGTAATTAATTCCCATTGATGAATTATACACTGATAGCTAGTGTTTCTAGAAACCAGGAAAATATTGCCATATTTTAAGCATTAAGAAGTGCATTTCTCGTCTCTTGTTTTTGTTTCCCACAGTGTGCAACTGCGGGGGAGGCCCATGTGACAGTGTAACCGGAGAATGCTTGGAAGAAGGTTTTGAACCCCCTACAGGCATGGACTGCCCAACCATAAGTAAAAATAACAGTACATGATTGACTAACCCCACTTTCTCTAATGTGCTGCAGGTGTGGGATTAAGAAAAGCTATGCAATATCACTCTCTAGAAACTGCTGAGTCCCACCCCTGGACTTAACCCTTTCTGCACCTCAGCAAATGGAGCCTGCACCAAGTACTTGGTGGTCCACTTGATTCCCTAGGGCAAATGGGTGGTTTACATTTGCATAGCTCTATTTTATCCAGTCTTTACATTCAGAATCTTACCTAATGGCTAAAGGCAAAGTCAGAAACACAACTCCCAGTGACAGAGCTCTTTTCAGCTCCTTTTCCTATATCGTCTCTTCAGGTCCCTGAAAATACGACGTACAAACAATTTACAACACCTGGGGAAACTGAGATACCAAGAGATTTAAGTGGCTTCTCCCAAGTTACCTCAAATCTGAAGTGGGAGCAGAAGTAAATATTCAGGCTTTACAAAATGGAACTGCCTTTTATCTCTCCTGGTTTTCTCTGGCTCTCCTGTTAATTAAATCATGAGGAGTTACACTAGGAACAAAACTTTTGGTTTAAAAACTATTTTAATAGTAGGCATCCCCTCCCCCAAACAGATGTATCTTGGTCTCTCAGTCCCTCGGAGCAGACGAGATTAACCTTACCATTGGATTACATCTTAGAAGATGCCATAGGATGTGAGGCACAAGTAATGCCAAGTTTACACCCTGATTGAACAGGTGGCCCCTAGACAAGGCCAATTTAAGAACATCAAGATGCCTGCCTGGTCCTAAGCATCTCCCCCACCAAGCCTGAAGTACTGGCTGGGAATCATTCCCTTGAGAGAGCTTATAAGTAAAACCATGTTAAACTTCAAATAACAAATTAACATATTAACAACCATTAACACGCCAGTCTCCCTTTATCACGTCTCTAGAAGAGAGCACCATCTGAGGGAAAGAGATCGGGAACAGGCACGTTGCAAAAGGTGATCAAGGCAGTTCTGAAACACAGAGTGCCATCCTTGTGAGTGTGTCACAGGAGGGCCCTGGGTTCTGGAGGTGATGACAGTGGTCAGAGGAACTCAAATGTGAAAAGTGAGAAGTGATGAGGAACTGGGACCTGCCTCCCCATGTGCCCACGTTCAGCCTGAACTTTGGTACCCTCATCAGATGTCAGGAAGCGACTCTCGCAGCGATAACCTCAGACCTCCCGGTGCTGAAGTGTTCATCCTGCCAGGAAGTGGGGCTGTGAGGAGGAGCTGTGCCCTCCCTGGGGTGGGGAGAAGGCTGGTGCTAGCCCCTGAATACTGAGAAAAGCTAATAGGAGAGGAGGAGCGTCTAGCCAATAGCCATCTTCACTAGCTAATGCCAAGCAAGATACTAAAGCCTGACAAGAATAGAATTACAGCTCTTCATGAGACAAAAATAAAAATGGTATTAACCAAGGAAATAGAGATTTATGTTCTGCTAAAACGGCCTGCCTTTAGCATGCTTTTGACTTGTGATTCTGAAGAAATGTTTCACCTCCAGGCTGTGATAAGTGCGTCTGGGACCTGACTGATGACCTGCGGTTAGCAGCGCTCTCCATCGAGGAAGGCAAATCCGGGGTGCTGAGCGTATCCTCTGGGGCCGCCGCTCATAGGCACGTGAATGAAATCAACGCCACCATCTACCTCCTCAAAGTACGCAGGAATGTTCTACTTTCCACTCTGTTTTCATCCTGGCTTCACAGGCCCGCAGCTAGTAATTCCTTCTACCCCTTTTTGTATCTGAGTCTCATACCTGTATTACAGGTTGTTAGACCTGTAGGTCTAACATAGAAAACATAAGTAATTTCATAGGAAATTATGAAAAGTTGATTGTAACTATGAGCTTGGGCCAAAACAAGAACTACTGTCTACAAAAGAGGTTATATGGGAAATGAAATGACTAAAAGACTAGTATCTATGCCCAAAACTACTGAGGAAAGAGAAACACTTATTTCCTTGGCGCAGCCATACATTACTTGTTTAAGTCATTACCACAAAAGGTACTGCAAGGCTACCATTTCCTTAGCCTTAATTTGCAAGGTTTTGAGTTTGTCTAGAAGCATCCTTCTTCTTCTCTGTCTCTCCTCACCCCACCACCCACCCACCTTTCCTTCTTATTTACACACATTCTCTCTCATTTTCTCATACTCACAGTCAAACGCAGACATTCACACACACCTTGTTTCTCCTCATAGCTCTACTGGTTAATACCTAGTAAACAAGTTAAAAGCAGCCAACAGATTAAAAAACAAAAACAGTAATACAGTTGGCCCTCCATATCCACAGGTTCCACATCCTCAGATTCAACCAATCACAGATAGAAAATATATTTTATAAAAACAATAAAAAATAATGCAACAATTAAAAAAGAAAAATACAGTGTAACAACTATTTACACAGCATTGACATTGTGTTAGTATTATAAGTGGTATTATAAGTAATCTAGAGATGATTTAAAGTATTCTGGAGGATGTGCATACATTATCTGCAAATACTAGGCCATTTTGTATCAGGAACTGGAGCATCCCCACGGGGTCCTGGGACCAATCTCCCACAACTACCAAGGGATGACTATATAAAGGTCCTTGTATAGCTAAGATTTACAAGTTTTCTTTCCCACTAAATCATGGGCTTCTATCACAACAAAAGGATATTTTTAAAATAATAATCATTAGCTGAGGGAAAATGGAATTCAATACCAGCACATTGTTTTGCTTTGTTAGTCAATTTAGGAAAATGATTGAGAGCATGGACGTTGAAACTAGGTTGCTTGTATTCAAATCCCAGCTCTGACACCCACTAGCTGTGTGACCGTAGGTAAGTTATTTAACCTCTATAATTCCTCAGTTTCCTGAATAATTATTGCCTCTATCTCATGAGCTGTTGAGAGAATTCAGTGAATTGATATATGTACAGAAGTTAGAACAGTACCTGGCATACTAAGTACTCATTGCTTTTTGGAGGTGCAAATGATATCCATAGCAGTTGGCCAAATATGTAAAGTGTAAGCAAAAACAAAAATTGTATTGTAGCCTGGATAGAATCTTGGTGTGAATTTTATTCTAAACTTTGAAATTGTTCTTGTCCAAAATTACCTGTTGGAACACATGAAGACACTACCCCCCAGGGGAGTCACCCAGATCCAGGCCTCCTGAAACCACTCAGATTCTCTTTCCTCAAAGGCACAACTTCAAGACAGGAATCATTATGGCAGACAGGAAGTCAGTGTCAAGATTGAAGGGCTCACTCCCAAGTAATCTCAGTAAAGCCGCATTTAGACCCAACTCCTCGAAAATGAAAAAGGAGAAAGCCAGGGGTCTGAAATAAAGAGACTTGCATTAAAATGAGGAAAGTTAATTTCTATACTCCATTTACATCAATACTGATGGGTTGGTCAGTTCTTCCAGACCTAACAAAATTAAAATTCTAAAGCTCAGACACCCAGGGCCACCACCAGCCTATATTGTACCTTTGTACAAATTAGAAAAAGGAGCCCTTTCCCCATGGTCAACCCAGCCCCTGACCAGCATCCCTGGTCTAGTGAGTGGAGCTTGCAGAATTTTAGCCCCTAAGGGCCTCAGTCCCCTCTGCAGACCCCACCCTTCATATCAGGCTGCAGCAGCCTGCGGACCCCACTATTTTGAGAAAAGAGCCTCACACTCTACTCTGAGTCCTCTTACACTGAAAGAGTTTTATGTACATTTTTTAAAACCTGGTGTGCCCATTGACTATTCTCAAAACACATTCTTCTGCAGACAAAATTGTCAGAAAGAGAAAACCAATACGCCCTAAGAAAGATACAAATCAACAATGCTGAGAACACGATGAAAAGCCTTCTGTCTGACGTAGAGGAATTAGTTGAAAAGGTACGTATGTATGTATTCAGTTTCTGGGACAGCCTTCAAAGAAAGGATTTAGCTGATGTGAGGCTGGCTGGTCACAAACGACTGAGGCTTAACACAGCCCAGAAAAAATGCAGTGACCCATGTGCCTTAAAATAAATCAAGACCAGACCTGTGGAGAAAGTTAACATACTCAGTCTCTACCGTCTCCTCTCGTTTTGATTGTTTTTCTTGAAAAGCTATGTTTGTGGAGAATTTTCTGTGTATTTGCGGTGGGTTGATACGGTTGATTTGTTTAATTAGGATGGTCATTCAGGTGTTTGCCAAGGCATCTTATGACTAAGAGCTACAGAGCATCCAGAATTAAAATTTATTATATAGAATATAAAATTTAAATATTGGTTAAAGTATACATTAAATGATAAATGGAAAGAAAGGGAATTGTCCTGAGAAAGCAATTTCGCTCTTTGGCAGGGAAAAAACCACTTTCAACCATCACTTTATACCACAGACTAAAATAAATTAGCCCGTTTAAAGAGTTGAGTATAAATCTCAAATCCACAAGAAAATAGAACAAACTACTTATTAAATCTTCAAAGGGAATAACAGAACACTTAAATACAACATAAAGAATTTCAATAAAAAGATAGATTTGACAAGATAAAATTTCAAATATCCAATAAAACAACTAAATAAACAAAAAAGACAACTAGACAGAGAAAAATATTGAGAAAAATACAACTTGTAAAAGCTGTCAGGAATTAACAGGAAAAACATTAAAACATGAGCAGAGTCAATGTGAAAGGCTATTCAACGCACTCCGCAACAGCCTAATGGAAAAACATCCATCCATGTGCTATACTAATTTTACAAACTAAGTCACGAGGCACCATATTTAGCATATTAGAATGTTTAACACAGTTTTTTTTTTTTTTTCTAATGATATTCCACCAGTACTGGCCAGAGTACTTCAGAATTGCCGCTTTCCAAAACTGGTAGTTGACATTATAAACAATTCTCATGATCAACAAAAATTTTAAAAAAATAAAATAACAATAGTATTCTCTTTTGACCTTGGACCCCAAACCCTTTAAGAGATTATCATGAAAATTGTGTCCCTAGTTCCCGGCAATGGCACATATTAATCCAACCACTAGTGCTTGAAGAGCAGTGAAATCTCTTAAATAGTAAAGGAAATACCAAGAAATAAATATTTGTGGAAACTCATTGTTACTTCATGTTGGTATCAGATATGGTTGAAACTTGCTAAAACTATCTTAATTCTTTTTTCTTTTTTTTTTTTTTTTTTTGAGATGGAGTCTCGCTTTGTTGCCCAGGCTGGAGTGCAGTGGCGTGATCTCGGCTCACTGCAGCCTCCGCCTCCCGGGTTCCAGTGATTCTCCTGCCTCAGCCTCCTGGGTAGCTGGGATTACAGGCACACACCACCACGCCTGGCTAATTTTTGTATTTTTAGTAAAGACAGAGTTTCACCATGTTAGCCAGGCTGGTCTCAAACTCTTGACCTCAGGTGATCAGCTCACCTCAGCCTCCCAAAGTGCTAGGATTACAGGCATGAACCACCACGCCCAGCCTTAATTCTTTCTTGAGGAAAGAATTTTCAAGAAAACATCTGAGGAAATGTTTTCACCAAGATTAGCTCCTCCCACAGCCCAGGCAGAATTCCTGATCCTTTTGTTGTACAATTTCCCCACTTCTAATGTAAGCTAAATGCAGGCTTTCGTGGAGAGGAAATAATGTACGCTTGAAAGTTAACATCACAGTAGAAAAGGCTCCCGGACAAGAAGGGCAGACCACCAACACAGGAGGTTGATGATAAAGCTACTAGGAACTTTCACCCAGCTGTTTCCATCTATTTTTATTGAATATAATGTTCTGACCACAGTCCTGATGGTGCAAAAACCTGCTGAAACATTTCAAAACAAATGCCCAGGGCTGGTCTTAATGACTTTTTAAGCATTCTTCAAGCCCTTGCTCTAGAAAAGTCCATGACTGATTCTTAGATTTAAGGAAAGCTGTGTCTTAGAAAGCCTTCTATCAAGAAAGTAACTAATATTTGGCTTTAAATAGAGTAAAGGAGTTCATTGTGTATAAAAATCAGTAATATTGCCCCTTGAACTTGATAAGTAATACCACTTTTTGCAAATTACCTGCCACATGGATTTCATGTGACCCAAATCTCACAAGTTACATCCACCTAGCTACGGGTTTTGTCTGAACTTCCCTTTCTAAATTCTCCAGCCTTCTACTGGGAAGTCCTACAGCCCTTTCCCACCACTTATGTCTGGGATTCCCCTAAAGGATGCCCATCCATCTGTGTTCATAAATACCCAGTGCTCAAAAGATGCTCCCTTTGGTGCTGCTGATCTTGTCTGCAATGAAAATTCCAAAGATCGTGCCAAGATTCTACTTTTCCATGTTCCCAGAGCCACTGTGCTCAAGGTCAGAGTGTCACTGGGCTACAAGCAGAGGTGAGATGTGGCCCTCTCCCAATCTCAGTGCTGCCCCTCACCATCTGGATCTTGAAGGTCCACTGCAGAGCCCAGAGTTACAAAGCACAGTCTCCAAGGGCGGCTCAGGAGGTACTGCACCATCTCCTCCACTTCTACTCCTTGAACCACAGCAGAAGCTACCTGAATGACAACTCATGCAGAGAGACCCACAGGACTAAAAGGAAAGTAGGCTATCTCCAAGCATCAAAAGCATCTGAACCTCATCTCTGGTCCTGCCAAAAAGGCAGGAGAAAATTAAGTACAGTTGGCCCTCTGTATTCATAGATTCAATCATGGCTTAAAAATATTTGGAAAAATTCCACAAAGTTCCAAAACGCAAAATACAAATTTACCATATGCTGAGTATTACTTTGAATCCATATGAACGAAGTGATGTATAGGCATTGCATTAGGTATTAGAGGTAATTTAGATATAATATATATAGGGGGATGTGCATAGGTTATAGTATTGCAAATACTACACCATTCTATGTAAGAAACTTGAACAACCATGAATTTTGGTATCTGTGGGGTCCTGGAACCAATCTCCCATGGATGCTGAGGGATAACTGTTTACATTTCTATTCCAGAAGCATTATTGAACATCTGTATATAATATTTATTTATTTATTTATTTATTTATTTATTTATTTTCAGACAGAGTCTCGCTCTGTCATCTAGGCTGGTGTGCAGTGGCGCAATCTCGGCTCACTGCAACCTCTGCCTCCTGGGTTCAAGCAATTCTCCTGCCTCAGCCTCCTGAGTAGCTGGGATTACAGGCATGTGCCACCACGTCCGGCTACTTTTTGTATTTTTAGTAGAGATGGGGCTTCACCATGTTGGTCAGGTTGGTCTCAAATTCCTGACCTCGTGATCCACCCGCCTCGGCCTCCCAAAGTGCTGGAATTACAGGCGTGAGCCACCGCGCCCGGCCTGTGACAGTTAGTGTGCTAGGTGCTAGGTATCCTGAAATATAATAAGGCCCTGTTTTCAAGATGCTTCAGTCTAGCAGGGAAACAGATAAGTAAAAACATAATTATGATACAGCATTTAATAAGAGAAACATGGTACAGGCTAAACGGTAACTCTAAGGAAGAAATAGTGAAATATTTTGGCATGGGTACACTAGGAAAGGCTTCTCAGAGAAGGTGAGTATTGGCCTGTATATTGAGAATGAGTAGGAGTTTATCAGATACTCCCAAGCAAGGGGTAAGTACTATGAGAACAGATAGATGTGAAGCAGCGTGCTAAGTTCTTGGGACTGGAACTGTGGCCTTGTGGAAGATTCATTGTAAGGCAGAGAGAGGAGGAGATAATGCTGAAGAAGCTGTCAGAGGCCCAATTGTGAAGAACCTTCCCAAACACGCTCGTGAACATGGGGACTTCAGCCTGTGGACTCTGGAAGTCATTCAGGTATTTACCCAGAACAATGAGCTGATTAGATTTGCACTTTAGAAACGTCCCTCTGCAGTGTGGATGATAGACTAGCCAGTGAAGACTGACAATAGGGGCACTGCTTAGGAGACCGCCACAGTGGTCTAGAGAAGAGAGCAGTGGGTTGCTGTCTTGCCTTCATTTGAAAAGAATTTGCACAGAACAAGGATGAACTGAGACTGTGGTCATGGAAAAGAGGAAGAGAGGCCAGAGTGGCAGGTGGAATGAAACAGACTTGGTGACCAGTTGGAGGTGAGAAATGGCAAAGAGAGAAGCTCCATCCTGAGACGTGGATGACTAAGACTACGAACACGAATGGATTACTCTGGACATTTTAAAAGTGAAATATCTGTGATGGCACAGAGGGCAGATAGAGATGTGAATCTGCAATTCAGAGGGTAATCAGGGCTGGAAAGGAATTTAGGGTCATTAATGTTTAGGAGGTAGGCAGAAGTAGATATTACTGTACAAATTCTGAAGTAGCACACCAATATTCCTACTATTGGTTTGTCCAGGACTGTTGCTGTTTATGCTTGTGTCCCAGAATAATTACTAAAAGTTCTCCCTTTCATGTGCAAAAATGCCCCAGGTTGAACCATAAAATATATGATCACCCTAGATATTGGTTATCATCCTCACGTCATCTACCTTTTATGTACTATATTACCAAGACATCCTTGCCACTTTTATGTCAAATATGTACAAGAAGAATTTTCTGTTGAGATGAGCAAATGACTAATACATTTGTAATGTAAACCACCAACTAGTTTACAGTTACAAGGTAATTTTTTAATTTCAGCTTTTCTTAAACCGAGGCGCACCTGTTTTCCCACGTGCCTATATCATTATTTTCCTTCCACAGGCAAAGTTACAGGAAAAATAAACATTCATATAAGCCATCACTATAGGTTCAATTCAGTCATCTTACAATGTAAAGGAATAGATGTTCCTCTTTGCCACTGATCCAGTCATATATACAGTATATCAATAGCTATATATCTCTATCTACCTGTATCTTAGCGCCCTCTGGCGTTTGTCAAAAAGAAGAGGTTTTCTTATAGGCATGACATTTTTCAGCTGTCTCTCATCACTTCAACTGAAGTTTCCATATCAAAAAATAATAAGTTTAATGACATAGGAATAACAATAGAGCTTTACTCTGAAGTATCAAGCCAAAGTAAAAACTAGGGGTGTTGTGCTTTGCAAATATAACTTAAACTGGATCAAAGATCAACTCATTAAAAATTCTAAAATTTTAAATGCTTGTGTCCGTATTTTTTAAAAGCAGGGAGGAGTAATATTAAGATTTATTATAGTTTCTGCATATTTAATTTTAAAATGACCACAAATACTGTTTTTCTGGAAAGCACTGGAACAAGCCAAGAAGAAGACTGGAATTGCAGGAAGGAGTATAATGACTCAGAAGACAGTGTCCATTCAGAGAGCCCACAGTTTATGAAGGGACTGATGACCACATTGCCGCTGCACAGTGGGCTCTGTGACTACAGGAGCCTTGCTCTGTAGGGAGGGGATTACCCTTCTCCAATAAAAAGCCTCTGGGCATGTGTTTGTTATAATACCATTTCTGCATTCTCTTCCTTGACCATCTGAGAGGGCCACTTGCTTGGGTTATTCCTGGAGAGTGTAAAAACGTTCCCGGTAAAATCATGGCATAATCCTCTGGGTAGAATACTGGATGAAAGGAGAGAAGTTTAAAACAACCACTTCCCTATCCTCAGGAAACTCTGTATAATGGGTCTACCAGCGCTCTGTGTGGCAGATCACCCCACAGCTCCTTCACGTATTGTAGCAGTTTTTAAAGAGCTGAGCCAAAAAAGCAACAGACAAGGCAAGTGGGCATTCGACCAAATGCCAGACTAAAGAACTTCTCTTCCTCTTAAATATAACCCATAGATCAGTCCTTCAAATCCCAAAAGTAAGTACATGTCGCCCATGCTGTGCATACAGGGTGGTGTCCTAGCCTTGAATCATTTCTGTGCTCTTAGATCACATTCTGTCCTTCACCACGCACACAAAAACACACACATACACACAGACGCCCACACAAACCCTTTCTTCAGAGGCCACATTTGAGTTGGGCATTATTTTTGACAAATACTGTGTGAGATCTCTGAAACAGAATCTCCCAAGTTGAGAGAATGGAATCAGCTTCTCGGAGAAGAGCTCCATTCACGCTGAGCCAAATCTGCTTGAGCAGTTATTTGTACACAAGTGCCATCAATGTTGATGGGAATTTGGAATGAAGCACTGAAAACAGCATGTTAGGCCAGTGAGAATAATCCTTGAAATCTCTGTGGTAATTCAATTTCAGCAGTGGTTGGACCACCCAGGAGCCACTGGAAGCATGGTGCATTTCAAGGTCTGCCTATTTTTTCAACAATTTTCTCTTTGAAACTTTAAGCTCTTCAGTCAGCACAATGTCAAAATGATAAGCAGACATGGGCAATTTTCTAGTCCAGCAACTTGAGATACAGTAAAAATTTGAAGAATAAATTACATATGAAAGGCAGTTGGTTGGGACTGAACTGTGACTGATGATATAGGAATAGCACCAGATTTTATAGCATTCTGTCATTCTAAAACTGGCCATCAAGTGAAGTAACTTAGGAATGGAAAACCAAACATTGTATGTCCTAACTGATACGTGGGAGCTAAGCTATGAGGACGCAGAGGCATAAGAATGATACAATGGACTTTGGGGACTTGCAGGGAAGAGTGGAGTGGGGAGGGATAAAAGACTACAAATATGGTGCAGTGTATACTGCTCGGGTGATGGGTGCACCAAAGTCTAACAAATCACCACTAAAGAACTTACTCATGTAACCAAATACCACCTATACCCCAATAACTTACGGAAAAATTAAAAAATTTTTTAAAAGTAAAACTGGCCATCACATTACCTTTCATGCATTATTTTTGGGATGATTTCATGTGTTATAGAACTTTCACATGCCAGGAAGATTTACGTTTAGGAAATACATTATGCCCACCCACCCCTATCTGTGCTTATACAACATTCTTTTCTCATACATTTAATCTAGCCTTTATACGGATTATTTGTAGGAAAATCAAGCCTCCAGAAAAGGACAACTTGTTCAGAAGGAAAGCATGGACACCATTAACCACGCAAGTCAGCTGGTAGAGCAAGCCCATGATATGAGGGATAAAATCCAAGGTAAATATATTCTCTTCTGGTTCAGTTTAATATCAAGGAAACACTTATGTTATTAACATCAGTAGGCATAATGGCTACTGTTAAGTGTTTGCTGTGTGCCAGGAACTTGTTGGTACAGTATTATAGGTTTAAACTTGTATAAGGTCTTCATTTCAAGTTTGTTTATCTGGAATTTCTGAGCACTCATCCCTACTTACTATCTGTTGATGTTCAATAATCAATGTATAAAATCATTCCCTTTTTAGGCATTTCACAGAATAACCTTCTGACAGAGGAGATTGCATGCTGTGGTGTCTCTAAAATGCAAGAGTTGAGTAGGAGTCACAGATTTTTCTCAGTTATTTGCAGAGAAAACATTGCTTTTAGAATGCCAGTAAACTATCAGTTGACCCAAATCATCACAAGCTCTTTCTATGATGGGCTTTCCCAAAGGCCAATCAGGCAACATGCTTGGGCCCCAACCCAGAAGAAAAGGAAGGAGCGGGGCTGTGGGAGATTTCTTTGTCCTAAAGCATTGTGAATGATTGTACCTTCCCTCTTGGAGGTTTGCTTAATTTGTGCTCTCACTTGCAATACATGCAGGATAATCTTGAAGACTATTTTAATAGTGCACTAATAGTTGGCCTTCAATTTACCAGCAGAAAACAGCAGATTTCATCTGTTATAGGATAAAGAAGATTTCCTTGGGTGAGAGTTTGCTAAGATCCAGTATCTGCATTTCCATAGTTTTTATTATACTATATATTAAGGGCTGGATGACAACACCAAGTGCATCCCAGGGCACAGTAGCGATAAAGGGACCCACAGTGGAAGATTCATGTCTTTATACTGGGGCATATTGCATGCAAAGGGATACATAAAAGCAAGATTAATCATTTGTCATGTTTCCTTTGATGTCTATTATAAACAATAAAAGCAAATGACATGCAATCCAAACACTCCTCACTCACATACTCTCTCATGGCTCATATTTTTGAGTTTCCTGACAAAATATTCTTTTTCTATAGCATTTTAGAGTTACTATTGATTTGTTCAAAAAGTGAGATTGAACCTAGAAGATAACATGACCTTATCCAACTAAGAAATAAATGCCTCTTTAGGCAGCAAATGCCAGGACCCTAGTAAGCCATTCAGAGAAAATAATTCACCTTTGCTATTATAACCCATGTTTTGATTCAAAAGTGTTTCATTTGCAAAGGATCTGAACCCTCTTATTTGATCCTTTAAGCATGGGAAAAGATGAAAAAATGCAAAGGAAATGTAAATGGGAAACAATAACTTCTAACAGCTTTTAAATTTTTAAAATAATGTGTGAATCGTCTCCAAAAACCAAAGGCAAAAATACTATTGTCTGTATTTCCCTTTTCTAATCTATACTGCAAGTAGCTAAACTAAAACAGGCCAAAATTATAAATATAAGACTTGCACCAAAATGCCAGAGAATTCAGCATCACAAGTGCTAGAGCTGAGGAAAAAATATTTACATTTAGTTTATTTCGCAGGTTAATATTTTAGACTTTACTTGAGGAGTGGATGTTTAATCCCTTTATATAATTCTGGAATGCTGTAAGACACCAATTACATGTCATTCCTTATTCCCAACCATCTCTAAAATAACCGCTGGCGACCTTCAAGCTATTATCCACATAAAATACAACCCCTTATCCTGGTATGATTTATGTGACACCAATGTTTGTTTACCCATCTTGTCTGGTCAACCACATAGATCATAGTAAACCACAGACACGCAATTTCATTTATGCCAGCAAGATAAAATGCTTCCTCTTGGAGCTGCAGTAGAACAAGGTGACAATTACATACCTTCCTTCTCATCATATGTAGTAGGAATGAGGGATTCAAAGACGTATTTCAGTCTGCTAATATTTAGACAGGTCACCTAATCCCTTTGAGCCTCAGTGGTCCCTCCAGTTCTAAAATTCTCCACCTGACTTATGGAAGTGGGGTGAAAATGACCTAGAGTAGTCACGCTCTAGAAGGCAAACAGCAACTGCCAAAAAATAACTATCAATGAGCAAAAGCTCACATCATATTATAACAAACCCTCATTTTGTATTTAGCCTGTGAAATAATTTGAAAGACTCATTTGGACAGCTATCAATATGCTCTCATTTGGGCTTAAAGCTTTGATCAAATCTTTGTCTAAAATACAATTAATAACTCCACACATTAATAATCTCACCCATGACAGGAGTGATCTCTGAGCATTTTCTCCAAGTTAAGTATGTTATATAAAAGGCTGATCAAAGACTGTAGATTTGGATGCCTTGAATATCAAGTTACAATATTTAACGCTAAATATTAGCATTCTCAAATCACTGTGGAAACCAGATGAGGATGAGAGCAGAGCAGGCTTTGCATTAGCCAGTTCCCATTCTGAAGACCCCGCATGGGAAGCAGAGAAGAGTGGTTTCCTCGTGTCTTTCTCCTTCGTGGAATAGATGATGAGCTTCCATGCTCGCTGGGATTCACAGCATGAACACTAGCACGCTGCTTTTGAATGAGTCTCTCTTTCCATTTCAGGATCAGCCCTGCCCTTTGCCCACAGCCCTTGCTCCCTTGCATTTCTAGTGCCTGGTCATCTCTCCCTGCTGCCTTGTTTCACCATGTTCTTCCTTTCAGAGATCAACAACAAGATGCTCTATTATGGGGAAGAGCATGAACTTAGCCCCAAGGAAATCTCTGAGAAGCTGGTGTTGGCCCAGAAGATGCTTGAAGAGATTAGAAGCCGTCAACCATTTTTCACCCAACGGGAGCTCGTGGATGAGGAGGCAGATGAGGCTTACGAACGTAGGTGTATTCCTCTCATAGCTGACCCAGCACATGTTTGCCCTCTTTGTGGGTCCAATAGCAGACATTAAACCTAGGGCAACATATAATCAAAGCAACCAATTTCCAGTGTTCAGAACTATTTAGAATCTACATGTGGCCACAGGGAATCATTCAGGACAACTTGACTTTATAACCAAGATTTTTAGATTCAGGCCCAATTCTGAGCCCCTGAGAAACAACTGAGATGCCACAAGGAATCTATAGCAGTTGGTGAAAAACGTATAAAACAGTAGAAGGAAGACTAAAGGAAACCAATTCCCAGAACTACATTTAAAGAAATTTTATTGAGAAGGCAGGAATGCTACAAGGCCAGAAACATTCATGTTGTGAAGACCATGAATGACTTTAATATCTTTTAGCCTCCAGTGGAAATTTAACATTTCCTTCAGCAATGAGTGTAGGCACCAAATCACAGTAGTATTATTGAATCTATCACTTGATCACTGTATCAGTTATCAATTGCTATTATAACAAGGCCCAGGCCGGGCGTGGTGGCTCATGCCTGTAATCCCAGCACTTTGGGAGGCCAAGGTGGGTGGATCACAAGGTCAGGAGTTCGAGACCAGCCTGGCCAGTGTGGTGAAACCCCATCTCTACTAAAAATACAAAAAATAGCTGGGCGTGGTGGCATGTGCCTGTAGTCCCAGCTACTAGGGAGGCTGAGGCAGGAGAATCGCTTGAACCTGGGAGGCGGAGGTTGCAGTGAGCCAAGATTGCACACTGCACTCCAGCCTGGTGACAGAGTGAGACTCTGTCCCAAAACAAAACAAAACAAAAACCACCCCAAATGTATTCATTTAAAACAATAACCATTTATTGCTCATGCTTTCATGGGTTGGCAATTCAGGCTGGATTCAACCTGGACAGCTCATCTCTGCTCCATGTGACATATATTGGTTGAGCTCACTCAGATGTCTGGGGCTGGCCGGGAAGGCTGGGCCTCTCCCTCCATGTGGGGTCTTAACTCAACAAGGCTAGTCCAGGTTGTTCACATAACGGCAGCTTTAAGAGAGCAAGAATGAAAAGCACACGGTCTCTTAAGCCTAGGCTTGGAGCTCAGCAATGTCATATCCATTTTACTGATCAAGACCAGCCCAGACTCAAGGAGTAGAGAGATAGACTCCACTCTTGATTGGAAGAGCTGCAAACAATTGGTTTAATCTACACAATCAATGGAAGAAATCACAGATTTGCATATTATATTTTAGCTGCTGCTGATATCTCATGACACTATTTAAATTCACCAATAACTCAAAATTATGGTAACTATTAGATCCACCTTTAGATCTTGTTAGTTAAGGGATTAGTAAAGAAGCATATACATTATTATATTACATTTGGTTTTTAAATATATTAGTCTCCTTTTAATTTCTATATATTTTATTGTATGCATTTTAGAACACACTCTAAGAAGCAGTCTGAAGGCTTCATTAGATTACAAAGGGACTAATGACACAAAAAGGGATAAAGGGCAGTAGGTCGTTTTCCTACAACTGTCACTATCAACTTCTGCTAACAATTATTGTGGATACTGTAGAAAGACATTACTGACATACAGGTTTATTATGGTGGCAAATATGTAAAGTCTTAGAAACAGTAAGAACCAAAGAAGAATCTCAGGCCCCAGTTCTGAGTCAGACTCAGAAAGGCTAGAGCTCAGATGTCAGTCAATGCCAGATGTTTCCAAGCTTGTCACCTCCTGTGGAATTTAACAAGACTTCCCTGGAGAAGTGGGACCAATCACATCTCCCACTCGGCCTCCTTCCACCTAGAATGCATTTTCCAACACTTTCTATACTCAGCCAGGAACTTTTGTGTTCTGCTTACAGTGATGGAAGAAAATCTCAACAAGACAAGCTAATATTCCCTGAAGAAAACAGAAATTAACATATTCAACATATTCAACACATGTGCCTTTGAGCAGAGAATAAAAGACACATGCAAAGTTTAAGAATATCATGTCATTGCCATTTAATCTTTTTTCCACCAAAATCATGGTTTGGATTTGACCCAGTGGAGCTAACTAAAAACAGTTGCCTAGAGAAACTACAGAAAATGAGTGGGTATGAACATCATTTTGCCTTATTACCGACAAGATAAGTTTGGTTATTTTTAATAGTAAAAACCATACTATACCCAAGTCCCCTTTACACAGTAAAATTATTAATAATCTGGATAATAATAAGCATAGTATAATGATATGGTTTTCACAAAAAGCACAACCTCTGTGGGAAAACTAATCAAACCCTTCTTTCAACTGACAGTTATCCAGGGACTCCCAAACTCTAAAAAGTAGCATTTTTTACTTCAAATCTAAAAGGTGGAGCTAATTTTGTGAACAATAGCTTCAATCTCCATTGCTAAAGAAGGCATGGCCTGAGAATTTTGCAACTTTGCAAAATGCTGGGAGGAATGGAAGCGAACAGGAGAAAGCCACACTGAGCCTTTATCTCCATTTCTTCCCAGTACTGAGCCAGGCTGAGAGCTGGCAGCGGCTGCACAATGAGACCCGCACTCTGTTTCCTGTCGTCCTGGAGCAGCTGGATGACTACAATGCTAAGTTGTCAGATCTCCAGGAAGCACTTGACCAGGCCCTTAACTATGTCAGGGATGCCGAAGACATGAACAGGGCCACAGCAGCCAGGCAGCGGGACCATGAGGTACAGCGGACACTCACCATCAATGCATTTCAGCATCAGCAGTGTGATGGTACACCAAGAAGGGGCTGTTGATATAAATTTTTTTAAAATATTGGTATAGTTAAATACTTATATTTTAAAATATTGGTGTGTTTTTTGGTGCTATAAATTACTAACTTGTGTGTTCCTAAAATCAAGTTGAAACTAGGATAATTGTCTAGTTCTTGCTTTGATAAGAACGCAGTAGTTCTGATGCTTGTGTCCATGTGTATGGGTCTGTTATTCTTGCAAGTGGGTAAGCAATGCATAGCTTTTTTTATACTGAGAGCACTAGAAGGCCAAAGCATCTCAAAACCATGGGTTCTGGGTATGCATAATTTTTGGAAAGGCACGATAAGCAAATCTCACAGTCTGGCTGGTCAGCAGCTGCAGGGATAAGGAGACTAATTGCCAAGGCCATGCAAATGCAAAGAGGAAGGTGAGGAGGATTCCCAGATGTGATCATAGCTTGCAAAGATGGTCATCTCATGGGGCCAGAATTCGTGCATGCCCACACCTACAAAGCTGAGAACTGGTAGTGGTCATGTGTCCGCTTCAAGCAATGCATGTATTCACAGCCGCCAGCATCAAGAGGGGCCATCTTTTGATAGGATGACACATGCATGTTCAAACATATTTTAAAAGATTAGGGAGAAAAGAATACTGTGAACAAATAGAAACCAATTATGAGCAAATTCACGAATTCGGTTATGTACTATTGTGGCTGGCAAAAGCCACTTAAACTAGGCTCTCTAGCCTGATTTTCAGCCATCATTACCCCTCACTAAGAATCCTTGTAAAATTTCTTCCGTAAAAGTTAATTACACTCATCACCACTGTTTGCTAATGGGAGCAAACCCCTAGCCAATATTTTTTAGAATAATATGGTTGGGATAACTTTTTTTTTTTTTTTTTGCTAAATGAATGCATGATTATCTTATACAATAAAAGTATAACACAAAATACTGTTTTAAGATAGTCGCTGGGACTCTCCTTACCCTTGAAGTGTCCCCCTTTCCCTCCTCCACATCCAGTCAACCGCAGGTTCCTCCCAGGTTTACTATCTGACATGTTTTAGCTCTCTTCCTTCTTTTCCATTCCTCTACAACTTCTCTAGTTCTGGCTTTCATTGTTTCTCAACCAAAACAGTCTCCCCTTCTCTCTCCTCCATTCTTGCGTCCTTCCAAAACATCCTCTCCACCCTGCCAGAGCAGCTCACCTTAGTCACAGTCTGACTGCAACTGCATGTGCTTATCAATCCTCTCATTTCTCCTCATCACCTATAACAGTGCTTTTGACGCTGCAACTTGTGAGCCATTTCGCGGGTTAGAAAATAAGTTTCATGGGTTGTAACCAGTAGTTTAAAAAAAAAAAAAAGGAGAGACAGATAAAAGGAAATGAAATCAAGGGAATAGAAAATATCAAAGTACACATATATAGTAAGGTGTGGTTTCATCACGGTTCTGCCTTATATATGTGTACCAGGTTGCAACGTACAATTCTCTGTTAACCTCTGAAAGACACTATCCTGTGGACAGCCTATGCTCTTTCACGTGGCATTCAGGACTCCCTCTGATCTGACCCTACCAGCCTCCTCAGCCTCACCTCTTACTGTTCTCTGCCTCACACATTAGGTTCAGGCAATATCACACAACCAGTAATCTCACCTGCCTGGAATGGAAACCGCTTTTTCTTTTCTACTCATCTGGCTAACCTCACTTATCCTTTAAGTCTTACCTCAGGCATTACTTCCTCCAGGAGACCTACCCTATACTCCAATCCTGTAACATGTCTTGCACAGCTCTGTTTCTGAATTGTGATCATCTGCTAATGAATCTGTCTTCCCCATTGAACTCAGGGCTCCAAAAAGTAAGGGAATCTGTCTTCTTTATCTTTGAATCATGGAGCATTTAGCACAATGTCTGACACAAAGTAACAACTCAGTAAAAACTGGGTTGATGTAATGAAAACCTTAAGGACTTTCCAATTTGGGGATCCTGTAGTTTTGTCAGATTGTGCCCAAGTTTATTGAAGATGCATTTTCAGTGCTAAGTAATAAGTGATTCTTCTCATCCTGAAAGATTTAAGCCCATACCCCTAGCCTGCAGGATAACACTATTCTACTCCCAAAGAAGATTAAGAGCATTTAAGTAAGACAGAAACAACACTGCAACCTCATGCAACAATTCTCAGGGTTCACCAGTGAAGACCCAGAACTATGTTCCGTACTGCAAGCCCTGAAATGAGAAGTGGACCTGCCAACCCAGACCGGTCCTGGTAGGACAAGGGCAAGCAATGGCCTGCAGGAGATCCCATCCAGACCACAGCTGTGCCCTTAGCCACAGGGAGTAATGTTTATTGCTGAGAAAAAAGCAAGACCTATTATTAATACTACCGATAATGATAAACTGTATTTGGTTCTCATTTTAGATTGTGAGTTCTCGATCTCAGCCAAGTGCTTTGTCTTCTACATAGCCTTGTGCTAGAGAACACATATGTTGTGTGTTAACATGTTCCATTCTCTTCTGATTTATTTTTAGGAATAGATCTTACCTCCAAAAGTCCTTTGTAAATTTTATAATCAGGAAGGGGAGCACACAGTCAATGAACTGAGAACCAAAGTATCTGCTTAGGCACAAACCAGCCGATTTGCTGGTGGTTGGTAAATGTCAGGGTGTGTGCAAAACACAGTGGACTTTGTAAATGTAACAAGCAAGAGGACAGTGTTGCCTATATGAAGAGACTTCAGTTCTAAAAGTGAATGAATGCCAGAATAGCTTTTAAATAAACTTATACAGATTTTTTTAAACTTCATGCATATGGCTACCAAAAATTTGGCATTTTTGATTCAGACAGATGGTAGTGCTCATTTTAACTTTACCAAACAAACCCTTCTACTGCATACAAATGAACAGCATGAGCAAGATTTCAGGAAGGGAACAGCATAGCGTTGAGGAATTTGAAAGCCCTGCTCCACCTCAGTTCTCCTTCCTCTTCCTGATCTTTGGATCTGGCATTAGCCACAGTTGCACCCCTTTTGCCCCCATCTCTTCCCTCAGTGACTTCACCCAATCTCACTGCTTCAGTCCTTAAAAGGGATTTATTTGTGGGTCTGCATCCTTATTCAAAACTGAGCCCCACAGCACAACTTTCATATTTGTGTCTTTCTGCAGGAATAGCCACGTGGATTAGCCTTGCTATTACCTGCTGAAAACCAACACCTTTTTTCCTCCAATTTCCTTTCCTATTTTCTCATTCTTTCTTATTCTTGTCCAGGGTTCTCCTCTCCCCTCCAAGTCCCCAGGGTCTAAGTCAGCCCCTCCTGCTCTGGGTTCTCCAGTGATTTCTCCATTCCTTTGTGTCTCACTTGTGGATATTTTGGTCTGCCCCCTGCCTAGGGTCCCAGCTTCTCTCCCCTTGAGATTACTGCCAGATTCGATTTCAAGGTATCTCTAAATGTATAGAAACTATGTAACCAACCTTCATCAAATGCCTTCAATGGCTTCCTACTTAAGAAAGGTAAATTCCTCAGCCACCCATGATCTGAGTCCACCTACTGTTCCAGTGAATTTCTTGACTTTCCTACAAACTCTGCCTCTTAGCCACTGGAGACCGTGCACATTTTCTACTTATTGCCTTTGCTCATGGTGTCTCCTTTGCTCATCTCTCTCATCCATGAGTACTTCTGTCTAGCCTTTAAGCCAGGTTAAGTGTCTCCCTCTGTAGAGTGCCTCGCCTACTCATTCCAGTCCAGTGGTTCCTGCAGTCTTATATCCTTTTGAGAATTCAGTGAAAACTATGGAATATGCAGGCACACAGACACACACACAGACACACATGCACATACACACACATATATATCCCTGCCATGAGAAAAATGTGCACTTGTTCGCATGTATAAGATTGACAGGCAAGTTCAGGTAGTCCACCTTAACCCTGGGTTAAGAATGCTGGCTCGGTGGCTCACGCCTGTAATCCCTGCACTTTGGGAGGCCAAGGCAGGTGGATCACCTGAGGTCAGGAGTTCAAGATCAGCCCAGTCAACATGGTGAAACCCTGTCTCTACTAAAAATACAAAAATTAGCTGGGCATGGTGGTGGGCACCTGTAATACCAGCTACTTGGGAGGCTGAGACAGGAGAATTGCTTGAGTCCGGGAGGCAGCGGTTGCAGTGAGCTAAGATTGTGCCATTGCACTCTAGCCTGAGTGACAAGAGTGAAACTCCACCTCAAAAAAAAAAAAAAAAAGAACACTAGCTGCCAGAAGGAGTCCTTCCTTCCTCTCTACTGGTGCAGCCATTGGTTGTATCACTGGAATGATCACCAGGCTTCATCACACTAAGCATATATTCTTCTATGTTCCTGTCTAGGAGTCACTCCTTTTTTTTTTTTTTTTGAGACGGAGTCTCGCTCTGTTGCCCAGGCTGGAGTGCAGTGGCGCGATCTCAGCTCACTGCAAGCTCTGCCTCCCGGGTTCGTGCCATTCTCCTGTCTCAGCCTCCTGAGTAGCTGGGACTACAGGCACCCGCCACCACGCCCGGCTAATTTTTTGTATTTTTAGTAGAGATGGGGTTTCACCAGGATGGTCTCCATCTCCTGACCTTGTGATCTGCCTGCCTCGGCCTCCCAAAGTGCTGGGATTACAGGCGTGAGCCACCGCGCCTGGTGGAGTCACTCTTGATTGCTGAATGCATAACTCTGTGTGTGTGTGTGTGTGTGTGTGTGTGTGTGTGTGTGTGTGTGTGTGTGTGTGATGGTATGCATCTAGTCTAACCCCACTAGACCGTGAGCATCCAAGGGCAGCACTCCAGCCTTGCACAAATTGTATCTTCCTAGCACCAAACACAATAACTTGCATTTGTTACATCTATTGATGAACAGATGGATGGACAAATGCTTGGAGCACTGTCAAGTAATACAGATTTGATTTATGTACACTGGTTCTTCATGATCACAAATACTCTTATTTCATATTAACTTGGACTTCTAAATTACTAAACACTACTTTCACCATTCTTTTGCATACTTTTGCAAAATATCATGAAATTTTAATTCCTTCCAACAAAATTTAAAATCCAATGTTTTATTTATAGTCTTTCCTACGACAAATAGATTTGAATGGATCTGACCTTACTGGAATTTGACTCTGTGTTTTAGAAAACAAACTTAAGTGGGTTTGTTGTTGTTGTTTTGAGACACAGTCTTACTCTGTCACCCAGGCTGGAGTACAGTGGCACAATCTTAGCTCACCACAACCTCCACCTCCTGGGTTCAAGCAATTCTGTTGCCTCAGCCTCCCAAGTAGCTGGGATTACAGGCATGTGCCACCACACCCGGCCCAAATTTAATTGTTTTAATTTTACATTTCACTATTACACCTACAGCATGGGCTAGAAAAGAATAATCCCCAAATTTCAGTTATCATACAAAACCAAAAAAGTACCCACAGAGCTTAATCATTTTGACATGTACCAACAGTAGCCATACAACTAGCAATTACATTATTTTGTCATCTTACCTCTATCTCCAAAGGGTAACAGAATGATTAAAAACTTATCAGATGAACATGAGATTGTATAGTTTAAAAGTAAGTAAAATACTCCTTCAAAAGCACTGTTTAGGGATTACTATATACCCAAGCTTTACCTTCCCAGGACTGTTTTTTGTTGTTTTTGTTGCTGTTGCTGTTGCTGTTGTTGTTGTTGACCGTGGAACTTTTTCTATTTTTTTGCATATGTAATATGCACAGTGAAGCATGCTGAATAGTGACAATTGTGTCATTTTCATAATTATCAGTTTTCAACATTTTACTTTGTTCAAGTTGACCACTTTTCTGTGGAAATATCTTTATTTGTTTCAAAGCTAATTTTATTCATTTCTGTCTAATGCTATATACGGTAAGTGGGAGAAACTCATTAACTTGAAGCATATTGTTTTTCATCTACTGCAAATAAGCTTATATACAGTGCTATTAGCACACAGCTTTGAAGTTTGTCTCTGACTTCAGGGTGTTAGCAGTGTTCTCCCGCAGTCACCCAGAGAGAACTTACAGAAGGGGTAAAGAACACTGTAAAAGGAAAACAGTTCTGTGAGAGGTAAATAATACCAACCTTTTTTCAACTCCCTTCTTTTACATATTTTAATACACATATTTTACAGTATTGCTTTTGCTGTATAACTCCCAGTCTTTGTAAAGATAAGAATAATTGATCTCAGATAGTCACACTGTATTAGGCTTGATGGATATTCAGGGAAAATTGTTTCTTTAAAAATGTTCTTGCATTAAGAGGATGTTCAAATGTGATTCTTTTCTGTCTCTAGACCTACACCTACCCCATAACAACATATCTGGAGAAGATGGGTTCCATTCTTCCTTTTCTTTAAGCCAGAAAAGACTGCAGGGAGTAAGAAAGGACATTAAGATGAACTTAAAAAGCTTTAAAGTATTTCCTTCTCTATCTAGGCTTCTATAATTATTTCTATGATATTCTAGATTACACTATAATGTATATTTCAACTCTGACTTGTTACTATTTCTAAGGTAACTTCAACTCATTTTTCACTCAAATTGTAAAATGAGTCTTTTACTTTTCCCTCCTAAAGTTTCTTTCTATGTTTCTTTCAAACTCTAAACTCATTGGAAGCCCCATAATATTTCTTCAGAATCACAATGTCCCTGCCTCTAGAACCTAAAAGTGATGGTAGAAATTAAAGTACTCATCAAGACATGTATTAGTATTTACTTTCCCTTCTCAAAACATCTGAGCATTTACAATAAAGAGCTCTGAGAGGTATGAAGCAAGATTAAAATTTGATGCTTTAATAGTAGGGCCATTTTTAATTTTTAAAAGGACATAATAAGATTATTTTTGTATATTCTCTGTTCCTGTCCAAATGGGCTGTTTGTGTCAGGCCCAAGGCTGGCACATGATAAATACTTTTTGAATTAATTCATATTCCAATCACTGCAAATATAGAGCCTGTGTTCAATCCTTTCTCCATAGTCCTCTTTTATATTCTGGGAAAAAGAGACAAATGCCCTCTCTAAGGCGCTAGCTCTCTTTGAAATGACGGTGTTATAATAATCCTCCGTATGTCTAATCTCCCAAGATTCTTACTGTTGTTATCTCTGTATTATAAATGAGAAAGCAGCATCAAACAGGTAGCATTCCCCAAAGGCACACAGCAAGGATGGAGCTGGGATATGAACCCAGATTTGTCTGAGTCCAAAGAGAGCAAGTTGACATTTACTGCTCTCCCCAACGCTTTCCCTAAAGACATATTCACTTCACTCTCCCTTACTCTTCCTTCCCGCAGAAACAACAGGAAAGAGTGAGGGAACAAATGGAAGTGGTGAACATGTCTCTGAGCACATCTGCGGACTCTCTGACAACACCTCGTCTAACTCTTTCAGAACTTGATGATATAATAAAGGTAAGGACGCACGTGACTTGTTCAGGTTTGTATTTCCAGCAGGTTACAACAGCAGCTCAGTGTCACAGAATAATAATAAATTCATATCTAACCAGTGAGCAGGCATTATAAAGATCAGATGACTGAATGTTTTAGTTTCTTGCACTGTACGATGACCACCAGCCACATATGACTACTTAAATTTAAATTACTTAAAATTAAATAAAATTAAAATTTTAATTCTTCAGTCACATTAGCCACTTTTCAAGTCCTCAGCAGCCACATAGCTAGCAGCTACTATATTCAGTGGCACAAGCATTGTGCAGAAACAGGCATTGCGCCACTGAATATAGTGGAACTTCTTGCAGAGAGTTCTATTGAAAATGCTGCTCTCGATCCATCCTACTCACTCTTCACTCATAAAGTTGTGTTTGATAAATCTGGCATTCAAAATCAATAAAAGTCACATTTTGTAAAAGTAGAAAATTTCCAATAAAATGCAGTGAACTGAACTATCATGAAATTACTCTTAGTTCATTTTATTACCTTTCGAAAGATATCACTTTAAGGTCATTTGATTGTCCGTTGACTATTTCAGCACCAAACTGTCTTTCTCTCCAAACTGACTCCCATCACTCTCCTTGGTGACAGCAAAATCCATATGGATGAAGTCACCGACTCTCTGACCTCCAGCTCCTTGAACTTGCCCTTTCCAGCAAGCTTATCCTCCAGTCCACCTCTGTTTTCCCACCTATGGCCATACCCAGATCTTGTCCTCAGTAACAGTACCTCCTCCCAAACCCTAGTTTCAAGCACCTCCCTCCCAGAGCACCATCTCCTATCTCACTTATTCTAGAATGCCCACTCCAGTAATTCTCTGGCCACATGGAGACCTCCCTGCCTTTTTTACCGTACCCCTCTCATGTCCTTTCTTCCCTCCTTAAGCAGCTCAAATTATCAAATATAATAATTCTTTCAAAATACCCTTAACTACCATATCTGCCTGTTCCTCTGTTGTACCTACCTGAGATTTCTGACTCATCCCCAGCACCATGGCCATACCAGAGCAGCTGCATGCGACTGGTGGGAACCCACTTCCCATGCTATCAGTTCTGCCTGGTGACTTGGCTTCCTGCTTTCTGAAAAATTAGAAACAAAGAGAAGAGAACTCCCTTCATCCTTCCTCCCCAGATCCGCCGGCCCGCCTGCATCTGTGCCCACACCTCTGCCTCCCCTCCGTTGTAAGCATTCCTTCTCCTGCCCGGCCTTGAAAACAGGTTGCAGGGTTTCACTCCTCAAGTTATGCCCTTTCTTCTGAATCATCCCGTTCTCATTCTTTACTTAATCATTACCATCAGCGTACAAACGTGCTGTACTATCTCCTATCTTTTAAATATCAAAAAGAAAAAAGCCCTGTAAAAAAATCTTTTATAAAGCTTGCATCCCCTCTAACTTCTGCCCTACCATTCTGCTCAGCTTCACAGCAAAATGTCTCGAGTGACTTATCATTGCTGTTTCTACCTCCCAGACTCCCACTGTCCCCTATACTCGGCCGTTTCTGAAGGGGGTTCCATCCCCTTCACTGAGACTGTTCCTGTCCAGGTCACCAGCGACCCGCCTGTCTCTCCCGGGCTTTCTCAGCCCTCCCTCCTCTAAACACCAGGTGGCGCCCTTGTCCTGGCTGCTCTGGTACCGCTCATGGCCTCTACCCTGGCTAGCGGTTTCTTCCCAGCCCCCTTTGCTAGCCTCGCCTCTGCACACCCTCTAAGTGGTCAATATTTTAGGCTCTGCAGGCCACGTACAACCACTGTCTCTTATTTTTTTCTGGGTTTTGTTTGTTTTTAATTTTTTTTTACAACCGTTTAAATATGTAAGATATATTCTCAGCTCAACAGGCTTTGGTTTGGTGCAGTGGCTCACGCCTCTAATCCCAGCACTCTGGGAGGCCAAGGTGGGGGAAAGTGCTTGAACCCAGGAGTTCAAGACCAGCCTGGGAAACATAGTGAGACCCCCTCTCTACAAAAAAGAAAATTTTTTTTTAAATAGCTAGGCGTGGTGGTGCATGCCTACAGTCCCAGCTGCTCAGGAGGCTGAGATGGGAGGATCACTTGAGCCCGGGAAGTGCAGGCTGCAGTGAGCCGTGATGGTGCCTCTGCACTCCAGCCTGGGTGACAAGGTGAGACCCTGTCTCAAAAAAAAAAAAAAAAAAAAAAAAGATTTGAGCTGCACTTGACACTGGGCCATGTTGATCTCTGCTCTGGATAATGAATGGCTCTGTGCTTGGTCCTAGGCCTTCTTTTCTACCTATACTCTCTCCCTAGCTGATCTCATTGACTCCCTTGGCTTTAAAGAACAATTACACACCAATGAATACACAATTATACCTCCAGCTATGACACCTCCACGGAGTTCCAAACTCCTATATCCGAGTGCTAACTTGACATTTTCAAGTCAGAACTCAGTACGACTGTAATAAAGTCACAGTCTCATCTATGATGTATTAATAATAGACATATCAAACTTGACATGTCTTAAATAAAACCCACTCCTTCCCCAGTCTTCTCCATCTCAATAAATGGCACAACCCAATTGCTCAAATCAAAACTCCAGAGTCACTACTGCTTTCTCCTTTCTCCTTATCTCTAAAATGAATCTTGATTTCTTTCTTTCTATTTTATTTTATTTATTTTTTTATTGTTATTTTTTTTGAGACGTGGCTTCATCCTTGTTGCCCAGGCTGGAGTGCAATGGAGTGATCTCGGCTCACTGCAACCTCTGCCTCCTGGGTTCAAGCAATTCTCCTGCCTCAGCCTCCCGAGTAGCTGGGATTACAGGCATCCACCACCATGCCCGGCTAATTTTTTGTATTTTTAGTAGAGATGGATTTTCACCATGTTGGCCAGGCTGGTCTCAAACTCCTGACCTCAGATGATCCACCTGCCTTGGCATCCCAGAGTGCTGGGATTACAGGCGTGAGCCACCACACCAGGCCTTGAATCTTGATTTCTGACCACTTTCCTTGTCTCTACTGCTGCTCTTTGGTCCAAGTCACCTCATCTACAGTTTAAATTGCCACCAGAGCCTCCTAGCTGATCCAACTGTCTCCACTCTTGTCCTTCAAGACATATTCTTTATGCAGTAGCAGAACAATCCTTTAAAAACATAACCAACATTATTTCTACTATAGACACTCCCCAGTGGCACTTAAAGTAAGAAACAAGCTCATTTTGTCATGGCCCATGAGACCCTACATGACCCAGCTCAGACCCACTTTTCTGACCACATACCCAACTCTTTTCTCACTCACTGCACTCCAGCCCAACAAACTCCTCTCTATTTTTCAAATATACCATACTTATTTCCTGCCTCAGGATTTCTGCACCTGCTGCCCTCAGATCTTCAAATGGCTGGTGTCCTTATGACCCTGACATCCAAATGAACCCCTTACCCCACTCACTCCTCATCCCACCCCACCTGTCATATGTTATTCAAAATATCTTTTACTCCCTGAAATTAGCTTGTTTGCTTGTTTGATCACTTGTTTATTACCTGTATCTCTCCCACTAAACTGTAAATTCCTTGAAAGTGGAGACTGTGTTCAAAGGTATTCTACCCCCAGAAGAGTTCCTGGTCCATAATGAGCACACAGGGAATATTTGTTGATGGAATGAATGAGTAAAAGTGGTATGTCCATGGTCTATTTTCCACTTATACAATTAAAAACATTTTTTTCAAAGTATTGTTCCCCAGATGACCAACCAAAATGGCTAGAGGTTTAATACTGCCTCCATAAAAGTAAACCCTTTGTACTACAAACCCTTTGTGCTACATTCTGGGATTACAAAAATAAGTTAAACTCAGTTCCTGCCTCCTAGGATTGTATGATGTGATGAGTTAAATAAT
Organism: Homo sapiens; assembly: GCF_000001405.40. Classification (NCBI taxonomy): domain Eukaryota; kingdom Metazoa; phylum Chordata; class Mammalia; order Primates; family Hominidae; genus Homo; species Homo sapiens. Next base: position 112,161,277 of record NC_000006.12, on the reverse strand, counting down.
CACTTAAAATTATTACAATCATTTGACACATGAATGAATAATAAAAACACATGGCAACACTTAACTCATCCTGAGGAGGTTAGGGATGGCCTCAAAAAGGAAGTGATATTTGAGCTGAATTTGAAAGGAGGAGTAGAGCTTTCCAGGTAGATTAGACAGAAAATAAAGGAAAATTATTCCAGAAAGGGAAAATATTTGCAGAGGTAAGAGACCAGAAAAAATTGTGGAGCATTAAAACAACAACCAGTTGGTCAAGATTAGACCATGGGATATAGCAGGTTGGGGGTCATGAGAATTGATGAAATTGGTGAGAGAAGAGCGGTCAGCTGATGATGTCATGCTTAGAAATTGGACTCATTCCTGCAAAGCAACTGGCTGATTCTGAGAAGGGAAATAACATGGTCAGATTTTCTTAATAGGAAGATTACCTTTCCTGCAAGACAGTGGAGAATGGATTAGAATACTCAAAGACTGCCCTCAGAGAAAGAAGTGAGATCACTCAGGGGAGAGGAAAGGGCTGGGAGTCAAATGCCAAGTTTCACGGTCTCTTTCTTGGTCAGGGAAAGAGGAGACCCAGGAGATAGCATAGTCACAGAAGCTAGGAAAAGAAAAGAGTTTTAAGCAAAGACAGTGGCCAACACTGTAGCAAACCACAGATGGGTCCAGTAAATAAGGATGGGAAAATGTCAAGTGGATCTGGAGATTTGGGGCCAGGTGTTGGTGATCTTGGCAAGAAACATTTCTGTAAAGTGCACTGTGTCAAAGCAAGAGAAAAAGCTAGAAGGGAGCCTAAAGTGAAAGAATAAGGTTTTTTGTTTGTTTGTTTGTTTGTTTTGTTTTTTGACGGGAGATACTTGAGCATGTTTATATCTGAGAAGAGTCAGTAGCTAGAAAGCAAGAATGAATAACGGGGTTACCAAGACAATGGGGCAGCATGCTTTATACAGAAAATGAACATTTTCCTCTTAAAATTGGAGAGAAATTTTTGTGTAGGTGTAGCTATAAATACATCTATAGAGTTTGCGGGGAAGGGCTGGGGGCTGGTTGCAAAAAGCTGGGGAAATACCTGTTCATTGGTTTTGGAGTCTCTGAGGGAGTTAACCAATAAATAGTGACCCTTTCCAGAACCCAAGTTCTAAACAGGTGGAAACATAAATAAAATAGTAAATACAGAGACCAAGGAGGTTGCCTTATTTCTGAAGCAGCTAAGCAGCAGGCATGGCTTTAGGTCTCTTAGCCAAGTGGGGTAGCTGACATTCAGTCCCAGTATTAAGCAGCTGTGCCCACCCAGACAGGCAACACCGTAAGGCTTAGATGGGGGTTCTGCCCAGAATAGTTTTAACATGGAGGAACACAGGAAAACTCAGGCTTTCTGCTGGCAGCTTGCTCCCAGGACAAAGAAGGGTGGAGTTGAGCAGAGCCTATAGAGTTATTCTTCCCAAATTTACCCACAAAATCAACCACTCCCCTCTCACAGGAGTAGAGTGAGGAAAGGGGTAGAGAGGTCTGGAGTTTCACTCACTGTGCTCCCTGCATATAAAGGAGACATCAGAAGTGTGGAAGAAGTGTCCCCCACTAACAGTTTATGACCTCCAAATAAAAAAGAAAATAAAGTGATCTGTTTACAATCAGATGGGGGTGGGTGAAGGAAATGTTGGCTTAGGAATCATGACAATGTTTAGAATCACTATTTGGGTGACTAGGAGAACAAATCTCTTTGCAGCATTGAGGGGCCAGCCAAGGCTGAAACTCACGGGTTTGCAGGAACATCCGTCTACACAGTTGCACGATCTTTAAGCAAAATCGTAGGTCTGTGGTTGTATTAAAAACCAAGAGAGCCTGTGTTACAAGGTGATTTTTAGGAAGTAGTCAGTCACCTGAAAGGTAACTGAAAGGTCAGATGAAAACTGAATGATGTCCATTAGATTTAGTAACTTAGATGTAATTAACTTCTCTTTTGGTAGAGTAATGGAGTAGAAATCAGACAGGACTAGGTCAAAATAGGAAATATAAAGTGAGAGAAAATAGAGACAACATATATAAACAACTTCCATTTTTTGAAATATGTTGCTATGAAGAGAGCAGAAAAGTATTGTAGTAACATTAGGGACATGTGTGGATAATTGAAGGTTTTAGTTTAGTTTTAGTTTTTAGGTCTGAAATGGTAGAGCATTTCTGGGTTGTGAATGCTAGCTAGGGAAGCAATCAATACAGAAGAAAGAGCTGGCAATGCGGGATAAATAGACATATACTTACAGTATTTTAGACTTATGTGGTCCTGCACTGAAATTTACTGACCTTCATAATAAGAAAGAACAGAGATTATCTTTTGGTGCCTAGGAAAAATGTTTTAAGTTCTTCTAAATTCAATGTATTTATTAAAATTTTTTTCTTTAGAATGCGTCAGGGATTTATGCAGAAATAGATGGAGCCAAAAGTGAACTACAAGTAAAACTATCTAACCTAAGTAACCTCAGCCATGATTTAGTCCAAGAAGCTATTGACCATGCACAGGACCTTCAACAAGAAGCTAATGAATTGAGCAGGTAATATCCTGGTTTTAGAAATGCAAATATCTACATGGGGTGAATAAAATATTACTATTCAATTCCATATGTCAGAACTACTGGGATACAATTTTACCAGGTTGATTAAGGTTGGGTATGCTTATGTGTTGATATGTTGGTTGGTTGGTTGGTTCCTTGGTTGCTTGGTTGGTTGGTTGGTTGGTTGGTTGTTCCATCTGAGAGTCCATCATTGTTCATTGCAATTGTTTGGGGGAGCTGGTCTTTTTTATTTAAAAAAAATCTGTCATATTAAAGGTCTGTGTTCCGGGAAGAGGGGGGTGTCTGTTCCACAATTTTTAGTAGGATGACCAAAGACAATGTATAAAACATTGTCAAATAAATCAGATCCCTTTAGAAGGTCTAATTCTAACATTACCTATTTATTTCATAGACAGCATTATCTTTCCACACCCAAGTGTCTTAAGTAAAACTGGTCGGGAATTGGCAATATAACTGACTTCTGATAAATACTCCACAGTGCCCAGCAGGAACTATTTGATTTCAACACCTGTTAAGAGAAAATCAATTGGCAATTTTCCTCCCAGCACCTAGAATAGAATCACACACCTCTTGGACACTCAATTAATGTTAACTGAAAAGTACTGAAAGATCAGAATTGAATTCATGACCCTGAAATAATAGGCAAATAATGAGATCATTATAGAGAAAGACTAGGAAAAAAGGACCAGTAAAGGTCATTAATAAAATAAGAACCAATATTAACTTCTGTTCAAAATATAAATCACCTTCTTATTCTTGATTGCCAAAATTTTCAAACACTCTTCCAAATCTCCTACGAAGAGAGAAGAAAAGAAAGAGAGAGGTCATATAAAATCTTGGTGTGTCAGTGGGTGAGACAGTGCCATATCCCACTCGGTATCATGGCCCTAGAAACATGAGCTTTTGATGAAGGCAATAAAATGGAGCTTAGAAAAAACACTATTTTGATAATATACTATATTAGCAGAATGTTGTTTTTGAGATCCATCTTATGGCTCTCTTCATTATTCTTTTGTCATTTTGTACCTACATCCCATTCATTGGGATTCCAAAATATAACTTCTGTGTATAATGCCACTCTGCAACAAACAGTGTTCCAGCATGATTCTAAGACAGTTACTACATGCTTTACGTGAAACATGATCCAAAATATCAATCACCCTCAAGTCCTTTTGTATTTAGAATATTTCTGACTATATATTCATGAAAGCATTTCAACTTAGAGACATCTTCATTCAAAAGGTGAGTATCCTTCCATATCTGTCTGGTGTACACAATGATTTACGTGCTATGCTCGAACAAAGATAAACAAAATTCATTAAGAAGCTTCCATTTCAATAGCACATGTTTAATTTGAATACTGAGTTAGTACTTGTTCTGTGCCTAGTATTAAAAGCAAAGTAATAAAGGCTTTGTTTCATGATCTTTGGTACATCTTACCACTCTCGCCAGCAAAATTTTAAAATATTAATAAATATTTGTAACATTTTGTTTCTTTTGTCCCTTTTTTAAAAAATGTTTTCTTGTCTGCCTTCCCCAGATTTTGCTATCTGAGGCCATTTTCTCAGAAGGGGTTGTGGGGAGGAACAGGTAGTGAGTATTTAGATTAGACTCCCCTCTGTAGAGCAGAGCCCCATGACTTCTATAGGCCCTAGACACTTTTGCCTTGGTGGGTTCCTTTCTCCATAGAAAAAGTAAAACCTTTATTTCATGTCTGCATTGGTATAAAGATTAATACCATTATTATTGTTATCCTCATTTTTTCCTTCTGATTGAAAAAAAAATGAAAACGCTGTGCCTAATGGATGAGTCAGCCCTTTTGTAGAGGGGGTAGAATGATTATAGACTTGGTTAACAGAGAGGGAAGTAGCCAAAGAAATATAGAGAAAGTCCCTCTAAGGGAGCACACAGGGACTGGAACTGGATGCTGGAGATTGAGGAACAATTACCGAGCTCAACAGGTCAGGCGGTTTGAAGACAGGAGCCAGTGTGGGATCTGCAATGTCATATACTGGGTCACGGAGGACCTTCTGGAAGTTACTGACAAATGAGGTGATGATACTAATCATCGATGTTTGGGACTGAGAAAAAAAAATAAGGAATTGGTGGATTTAAGACTGAATAAAATTAAGACAAAGGATTTAGACGAACTGCGGAAGTGGAGGTTAGAGTTTATATTACAGAGGCAGTAGAAGTATTTGTCAATAAAATAAATTATGCGGGTACACATAGAGTTTTAAAATCCCAATTCAGGAAATGGTGTAGGTATAATAATAAACCCTGACGATTAGCAGATGCCAGGCATGGTATACCAAGCATTTCTATATTTTATTCCTGTTATATCTCACATTATTAGCCCCTGTGTGCAAGTGTGCAAGTACCCTGTGTGATGGGTACTCAGTAAATGTTGGATGAACCTTACACAGGCCAGAGAGGGGCAAAGGCAGAGACTATCGTGTGAAAGGGCAGGGGTGAGGGTGGGCTGAGGTGGGGCTGTGTGCTGAGGAAGGGCTGGGGCTGTCTCACTCCTGAGGCCCAGGATGCAGCCAGGCCTCAGGAGTGAAACAAACCTTGACAATACGTGCCCTGGCCAAGCTCTGCATACTCTCCTAGAGCCTTGGCTTCCTCTACAGAAAGGAAATAACAATGCTGATTTGGATAAGCACTAGGTAGTCATCATAATGGTTCATTCCTCTGCCTGACTTCCATCACATAAACAAACTCCTGCAAGAAGAAGTGCAGAGGGCTGTTTTTAAATCGTCATTCCCTTTTCCTGCTGCTACTGCCAGACAGGCAGCTGTCAGAGAACCAAAATGCTGTTCAGCAAAGACAGAAGAATGCAGAGGAGGTGTGACCCTCAAGAAAACCTTGCCACACTAGGTGACTTTGAATAACAGGAAGGAAGCATCTGTGATCCTAGAAGTATTTAAAAAGCAAGCATTAAACATGGCCCCATTCCCCAAGAAGGTAAGAAGGAGAAATAACAATGTTTGTTTATTAACAGGAAGTTGCACAGTTCAGATATGAACGGGCTGGTACAGAAGGCTTTGGATGCATCAAATGTCTATGAAAATATTGTTAATTATGTTAGTGAAGCCAATGAAACAGCAGAATTTGCTTTGAACACCACTGACCGAATTTATGATGTGAGTATTCCCTGAAAGTTCTTTATACCTTGCCTTTCCCACTGGCTTTTCTGTTTTCTGATGTCATCTCTTGAACTTCCAGTGTGAAATCCAAATGGCAGAAAGAGTGGAAAAGGCAGGGGAACTAAGGGAAGACCATTTCATGAATGCCTTGAAGGTTTCAGTCTGCAGATTCTTCGAGATGTGCTGTAGTCCAGTCAGCAAATGCCAGTTCCTTTGACAGTTTATTTTTTTAGCCAAAGTCCCTGAAAAAAAAAATATGTATTTAAAATTAGTTCTTGCTGATAGAGAAGATACTTTATGCATTCATTTATATTTTTTTCAACTCAAAATTATTTATTGTGTGGCTTCTATGTGGCAAGCACTTTGGTGGGGCCTTGGCCAGGGCTTTGTTCTAGGTTCACTGAATCTTTCCCAAAAAAACATTACCTTGAAAATGCCAAAGGCATTACTTCCTCATGGTCACATATTTGACCTTAATTTTAAGCTGTGAAAATAAAGCTAAATGCATTTTGCTTGGTGTTTAGCAGATAAACTGTGTCATTTAAATCCTTCAACTATGAATAGCTGATTTCTTCTGCTGTCATTTTTACCCTCTTCTCTCAATTCCTTTGTAGGCGGTGAGTGGGATTGATACTCAAATCATTTACCATAAAGATGAAAGTGAGAACCTCCTCAATCAAGCCAGAGAACTGCAAGCAAAGGCAGAGTCTAGTAAATATCTTCACTTTCCTATCTCCTTTCTAATTTATAGCTGCTTCCCTCCTTTCATACACGTAGACAGAGATTTCCAAATCTAGGATTAAAGAATAGTATTATAACTACATAACATATCAGTAGTTCCTGCTCAGAGTCAAGTTACAAAAGAGCAAAGATTTGATACTTTAAATTGTGATTGAAAAAAAAAATGCTATGTAGTAAACTACATGGAAACACATAGCTATCTCACATACTGTGGCTATTCCTGCTAATCAAATAGGCTGATTAATAGAAACTTACCATAAATACCAATTTTTAGGGGAAAAATGTCCTAAAATACACTTAACACTAAAACTATATTGCACAAAATTTCCTCTTTCTTGAACAATTTCGAAGTCCTTTTAAAATGTTTCCCATGAAGGAACGAGTCATCACTGTGAGTCAATTAGGATGACAGGGTACCACAAAGCCATCTGGTTATTTGCTTTTCTTTTTTTTTTTTTTTTTTGTAGTTTGTGTTCTACATAGGTTACTGTATTTAGGACAGACCTAACAAGCATATGGTAAGAAGCATTTCCAAAGGCCAGTGTTTGCATCTGCTGAAGTGTGCACATCCAAGGGTGAGGGAGGGAAGGAAAAATAAAAGCAAAATCGCATTAGACAATTTTGAATCTTGTGAGTTACTCTTAAAAACAATCGAATGGACTAAGAAATTCACTAAACATTATTCATCTCTGAGATAATGAACTAATTCCCAAGGATTTTTGAACATTGACTAATGAGGTTGGAAATTCATCATCTAGCGAACTTCTAACTGCCACCTAAAAACAAAGGCCAAGTTTGAAACTAAAAACCTCACCCAATTTTGTTGAAGTAATTAATCTCATTTAATCATGCATTTTCTTTATCTTTTGCAAAGAGCCATTACACAGAGAAGATAAATGCACTTTGCTTTTCATACACAGATACTTATTTATTTCCCATAAAACAACTGTTATTTTATTTTTCTGGGCAAACAAAGGCAATAAAAAGTGTCATTGTTTCTCTAGTCTAATTATTATATGTCTAATTAATTTATTATGTAAGTCTATCCTGAACATACTCTATGGATTAGAATATCAGTAGTGAAGAATTAGAATATTAACAGTAAAATATTTTAAAATAAATGTTGCTATATCTATGTATTGCTTTTGTTTCTTGTGAAGATCAGAATGTGTCAGTCTTCATGACACAGTGACTTAAATATTTTATTCTTTTTGATAACTTGTAATATATTCTCTCAGTCTTGTCATTATTGAGTTATTGAACCTCATAAAAGCAACTTTTCTATTTTAAATTTAACCATTAATCGATCCCTACCCACATCCCTTCAAAGTTCCATATTTTATGTCTGATAAATCTCTCTGCATTAGCCTGTTTGAATATTTTGCAGACCTGTTCACCTATTTCATGATCTCATTTGGCCAAATCCCTTTCTGTATTTATTTGCAAAAGGAACAACAACAGGGAGTTAGTACTGTGTGGCTTAGAACTTTATAGGACTGTCTTCCTTTGATAATACACACATTTGTGATGTACATTCAGGTTTTCAAATTAAACCATAGTCATCTACTGAATTACATTATAATTTCAGATTACATTTCTCCATTCCAAATTCCTTTCAATGATCAGTAATCTTTATTTCCCAAATTTCCTTTTCATTATATATCAAATAGTTGATAGTCAATATAATCTCAGGAAGCTGCTATTTAAATGAATCTTCTACTTAACTCATTTGCAAAATGAAAAGTATTTATGCAAGTCAGTAAATTCCAAATAGAACACACTTCTTATGAAACATTTCTTCTTATAAACATCAAGCCCAAAATTGATTTTCTTCCTCCTCTTTTTATCAAGTGCTCCAAATATAGAGTTAAATATATTCTTTCTCAGTATATCAGGTAGTATTTTTTTTTGTTTTTGCAGTCATGAGACCCAAAATAAGAGCTAAAACATTGTTTGTATTATAATGTTTGGGAATTGAAATTAGAAAAGAGGAAGGAGGCAGGGTGCAATGCAAATTCTTCACACTACCCAGAGAAAATATGAAAGAAGTGCTTGTATTTGGTTAACTGTACTTCATGACACCACCACCCATTATACACATATCTGGGGGGGAAAGATAACATTAAACCAATCACATCAAGACTACCTAATAGAACAGCAAAGGGGTGCCGTCAGAGAGTGTATATTTACAATCCCATTGGAGAGAAAGAGAAAAGTGTAATTAGAAGTGATAAAACTATTTTTCTGTTTGTTAAGAAACAAAATTCTCAGTGCTTTGGAATTAAAGCACAAACAGAAATGAAGAATTACTGGCAAAGTTGATCCTTTAGTTCAGATGATGAGGTAATTACATCATGATCTGTTGGGATTTGCTCAAAGATAACCAGTCTAGTGACTGTGCCACAAGTGTGCTTTCAAGAACAATTTTATAAGCAAAAGACTCTCAAAACTGATGCAAATACAAAATCTGATAGAACTGTATGTACATACATATGTATAATAAATTTAACCACTAATCGATCCCTACCCACAAAGAAATCTCAAGGCTCAGATGGCTGCCCCAGTGAATTCTTAAACATTTAAAGAAGAAATAACACCACTTTTATACGAGCTCTTCTAGAAAATAGAAAACAAGAAAGCACTCTGGAACTTGTTTTATGAAGCCAGCAAAACTTGGTTACTTGAATCACATAAGGATATTATTAAAAAGGAAAATTATAAGCCAAATTCTCTCACAAAAAGAGATGCAAAAATTCTAATCAATATATTAGCAAATCAAATCTAGCACACCTATAAAGTGCAATATATGATGACCAATTTGAGTTTATTTTAGGATTTCAAGAATAGTTTAACATTTAAAAAATCAATTGTAATTTGTCACATTTATAGGATATAGGAGAAATTCATATGATCATCTCACTACATGCAGAAAAATTATTTAACAAACTTGACTTTTAAAAAAGATTTTTGACTTTTAAAAAAGACTTTCGGCAAACTGAGAATAGAAGGAAACTTCCATAATCTGAAAAATAAAATAATATTCAGCAATTAAAATGGAAATATTGAATGCTTTTCCACTAATATTAGAAACAATACAAGGACACCCTACATTACCAATTCAATGTGTAAAAATCCGATTTAATTTTACATACGACATTGGGAAATTAACTTTTAAAAATAACAGTGTTTGCAATAGCATCAAATACATAGGAATAAATCTGATAAAAGAAGCTAAGGTTGCTACGCATAAAGATCTAAATAAATGAAGATCTAAACAAGAATTTATATATAAATGATAAATAAATACCATATTCATTGAGTAGAAGATTAAAATGTGTAAAAATGACAATTCTCCCAAATTCATCTACAGATTTAATTCAGTATTAATTAAAGTACCTGAACTGAATATTCTAGAATTTATATGGAAATGAGAGGGGAAAGCCAAGAATAGCCAAGACTGTCTTGAAGAATAAAAACAAAGCTGGAAGACAAACTACATTATCAAGGTGTATTATAGCTCTATATAGTAATAATTAAGACAGATATAAAAGATTATAATACCATATCCTCACTTGAATAATGTTTAAAAACAGACACAAACAGATGGAGATAGAATTCAAAAAAGTGATTATCTTTGGGTTATCACAGGGGCTCTAGGGAGCTTCAAAGGTGGTAATAAGTTTCTATTTTCTTGACTTGGATGCCGGTTATGTTTTGTGTTCATTTTGTGAACATTTTTGTCAAGCTGTGCATTTATAAAGGGTGCCTTTTTCTAGATGTATGTTATATTGCAATTAAAATTTTATTGAAACAAATAAGAAAACAAGGATTATTTTTATAACCAGTCGTTATCACATATATGTAGAGAGAGAGAGATTTTTTTCTTTTCAGCTCTTTAACAATTGTGCTGCTTGGTGTTATTAGTCATGGCAGGGCTATATGTTTCAATCAAAGAAAGTAACCATGATGGCATCCTAAGTCACTCACAAGCAGTATTACAAGTGTTCTGCAATTCTGTACCTCGAATTTTAAATGCTACTTTCCAGAATTGTTGATCTATGTTCAGAGTATTCAGAATACTGCAAATACTGCAGATGACTGCATCGTACAAATGAGAAGTTTCCTTGTTGAAATGGAATCCTTTTCGAGGCATCTTGGCTCCACTAGTACTTCTTTCTGCTGCTCTTCCACAGGCAGTGATGAAGCAGTGGCTGACACTAGCAGGCGTGTGGGTGGAGCCCTAGCAAGGAAAAGTGCCCTTAAAACCAGACTCAGTGATGCCGTTAAGCAACTACAAGCAGCAGAGAGAGGTAAGCATCAGAGAGAATTGAAGTCTCATCTGTTGATTCACTGGAGTGTAAGGTAAACCTTCAAGGAAGGATTAGGTAATTCTTTGTTTGTCAATGATTTTATACATAAATGTTATTTTCTGATGACAAAATACGTTCATCACAAAAAAAAGTTCTAGAAAACAAAAAGAAGAAACTAAATATAAATGCTGTAATCACACCACGTAGAGGTGACCTTTAGATTTGAGAGCCTTTTTTTCCAGCATTGCCTCTGTGTGTGTGTGTCTGTGTGTGTCTGTGTGTGTGTGTGTGTGTGTGTGTGTGTGTGTCTTTTAATGGGATCATGCTGTTTATAGTGTTTGGTAATGGCTTTCTTATGAACATCCTTCCTCATAACAATATGCCCTAATTTGGTTATTGGATTTCTTTGGCCCAGCTGTAAACAGCTTCCCTCTGTTACATGTCAAGTCATTCTTACCATATAAGCAACAGGCCCAGAGACCAAATAGAAACCAGGGAGACCAACAAGCCCAAATAGAGAAACAAAAGCACACGTTTTGCTTAATCTGGGACTGCAGTGGTATCTTAGATAGATGTGATTGGAAGCAGATGTGCCTTCCTTCGCGCAGTGAAAGTTAAAAAACTAGTGCAGCATATGGGTGTTTTACTAGAATGAGCAAATCCTAGCTACAGTGCTACAGTGCACCAAAGCTCTGGCCAGGAGAGTGGTCCTTCATGGAGAAGCCTCATCATCACCGTCATCAGAATGACTGTTTATTGATGCTTAGTGTGAGCTGGGCATTGTCCTAAGTGTTCAACATAGCTGTATTAGTCCGTTCTCACGCTGCTATGAAGAAATAGCCAACACTGGGTAATTTATAAGAAAAGAGGTTTAATTGACTAACAGTTCTGCATGGCTGGGGAGGCCTCAGGAAAACTACAGTCATGGCAGAAAGCACCTCTTTACAGGGTGACAGGAGAGAGAATGATTGCTGAGCAAAGGGGAAATGCCAGACACTTATAAAACCACGAGATCTCATGAGAACTCACTATCACAAGAATAGCATGGGGAAAACTGTCCCCATGATCCAATTATTTCCCACCCATCCCTCCCATGACACATGGGGATTATGGAAGATTACAATTCAAGATGAGATTTGGGTGGGAACACAGCCAACCATATTAATACTTTATGTCATGGGGATAAGTACCACTACTGCCTTCAGGCTGATATGAACCCTGAGGTTCATGAAGGTTAGGGAACTTGCTGCAACAGGCACAGCCAGTAAGAAGCAGATTCAGGATTGAAACTAGCATTTATCAGAATCCAGAATATGTGAGGCTAAATGAAATATATCCTCACTTTAATAAATTATTTATTATTTATATATTATTAAATTAAGTATTATTTTTATAATAAAAATAATTATAATTCACTTAGGTGATGGTATAACTTCAAATTTATAATTGTTTTACAGTTCTAATTACATTACAGTTGGGGCCAAAGAAATCCAATAACCAAATTAGGTCATATAACCAATCCAATAACCAAATTAGGGCACAACTTCAAATTTATAAAATTTGAAGTTATAAAGTCACCTAAATGAATTATAATTATTTTTATAAAAATAATAAATAATTCTCATAGAAATATTAGAAAATGCAGATAAGAAAAAAAGAAGAAAATCACCTATAATCCCATCCCCTAGACAAAATTTTTTGTTGTAAATTTACATCATGGTTATTTTAAAGATGTAATTTTTAACAAAAATGGGAATTCACTACTAAAACTCTTTGAAATTTGCTTTTTTTCTATTAAAAAAATATCTTTCTTTATTGATTAACTTCTATAGAATCATTTTTATGGCAGAAGTGTTCCACAAGCCTACTTTTTCATAAAAGACAGTGATATTTGCAATTAATTTCAGACACAAACCTCTTATGAGTTAAAATCTCATGTGCATTTTCTATGGCTTTCTTACCAGGTTATAGGAAATACAATTACTCTTCTTTTTAAATTTACCTCTTAATTTGGAAATGTTTTCGGTGAGCCACATGGTTATCCAAAAATCTTACTTTTGCTTAAGAGCCCAAAATGTGAGATCTGTTTCATTCAAGGGTTAAAGGGGTGTTAATGTTCCCCAACAAATATCCGGCTTCTCTGCAAAGTGAATGACCCTGTGCTCTGTGTAAAGGGGATGCCCAGCAGCGCCTGGGGCAGTCTAGACTGATCACCGAGGAAGCCAACAGGACGACGATGGAGGTGCAGCAGGCCACTGCCCCCATGGCCAACAATCTAACCAACTGGTCACAGAATCTTCAACATTTTGACTCTTCTGCTTACAACACTGCAGTGAACTCTGCTAGGGATGCAGGTATCACTTAGAAATTTCACAATTTGAATCTAATTAAGGAATTGGCCATTAAACTCTATACATCTTTTGTCAAAAAACAGTTTTCTTCATTTGGGTTTTGGATTCGAAAATTATAGAAGTTAGCTTAGAAAAAGAAAAGCTTTTGCACTGTTCATCTATCTATCTATCTATACCTGTCTAAATACATATGAGAAACATACATATATTTCGTATGAACACTAGATGGATTGGTAAAGAGTCATAATTTTTTCTATGTGAAATTATGGTAGCAATTGTATCAACGTAAGACTTATCTTTTAGGGAACAAGGTTAATCAAATGTTGGGTAAATAATCTTAACAAAATACTGCTTAGCTTTTAGAAAAAAAATTACTAAATGGCATTGCTTCTACTAGGCAACATTGCTTTTTCTTTATCTGAGTAATTAGGTTATTACCAACAAGTACTGAATATGGCCAAACATAACTCCAGCTTTCTATTAAGAACAGCGTGTTGGCCAACTTGAATATACAGTTCTATAGAAATGAAAATGAAATATTTTCATGTCTACCTAACTTATTTTGTAGATATTAGAACCAGGCAGTACTTGTGAAATTTCGCTTTTTCCATTCTCACATTTTTATCCAATCCCTTCATAACTTCTTAAACAGCAATGTCTGTCAATATCATGACAAATCATGACTAGAACTTTTTGTTCTCCAATATGGTTTTGCAAACAATACTACCTTCACTTGTATCTGAATTAAGAAAGGTCATAAATCCATATATGATCTGTCAGTACAAATTTTATTCCAATTTACAAATACCCATTCCCATAACAGTAAAATAGCTCTTTTATAATGATCTTTTAAGTATATATTCATTTCTTCCATGTAACCACTCAAGGAAGTGCTTTTAAAATTTTGTCTTTAAAAGATTTGCCTATATGAAATTCAATTATTACATTTATAATGATATTGCCTCGGGAATATGTACCAAATCTGTTACATTTTTTTCCCATTTTTTACCAGTCTTATCAAGTGATTCCAATAAGCATCCAGAAGTTTCAAAAAATTGAAATTGTTTACTGTGCTTTTCTCAAATAGCATTTTGTGGTTCAAAACAAAGGAAATGAAAGAGGATACCATAATGTAAGACACTTTATAAGTACTCTAATATAAGGTGGCTCCCTTTTTCTAAGAGAATTGATTGTAGGGAGCAGGGGGACTCTGTCTTATAAACATTTCCATAATCAATATCTAACATAATTCATTAAGTATATTATCTCTAGTTTTTAAAGACTAGTATACTCTAAAATAAATGTCGTTGTCAGTGATCCAAACAATAAATATTTACCTCTGTATTAATCAATATAATAAACTGATAGTTGCTATTATTTTACTTAATTCTATTCCTTGCACTGGAGAAACATCGTGTGTCCTAAGTACAGAGAAGGGATGTTTCCTTGATCTGCACTGACATAGTCTCCTGAATGTGAGTTTAGTTTTTCTCTAGGAAGACGCTTGCTCTTGCCCAGCTACTAATGCTTAATGACCATGGCCCTGCCCTTAGGAAAGAGAATACCTCAAAAGTATTTCGTCTCTGAGCCAATGGTTCTCAAATACTAGTGTGCATTAGAATCACCTGGAGGCCTTGTTAAACAGACTGCTGGATCCCACTCCAGGAACTGCTGATTCAGTGGGCTCGGGACAGGGCCAAGAACTTGCATTTCTGACAAGTTCCTGGTGATGCTGCTGCTGCTTGTCTGGGAACCACACTTTAAGAACCACTGTTCAGTCAATGAAACTCTGGAAAAATTTATGCCATTCTCTTTGTTTTGAGTTTCTCTCATCAAGCTGTATTCTTATGACTGGTGCTTTTTTTTTTTTGAGACATAGTCTCGCTCTGTCGCCCCGGCTGGAGTGCAGTGGTGCGATCTTGGCCCATTGCAACCTCTGCCTCTCGGGTTCAAGCGATTCTCCCGCCTCAGCCTCCCGAGTAGCTGGGATTACAGGCGTGCACCACCATACCTGGATAATTTTTGCATTTTTAGTAGAGATGGGGTTTTGCCATGTTGGCCAGGCTGGTCTCAACCTCCTGACCTCAGGTGATCCACCAGCCTTGGCCTCCCAAAGTTCTGGGATTACAGGTGTGAGCCATCAAGCCCATCTGACTTGCGCTCTTTTCTATGTTTAGAAAACATAGAAGAGGAAGAAAACATAGAAAAGGAAAAAAGGTGGAAAACAATCTTCCTACCTTTTTTCCCAGTATTCCTCTTGACCTGTTATATCAGTTATATTAGAAATGCAAGCAGAACCTGTGCTATATGGTTAAAGGAACATTTGTATATATACCGTGGTCCCTGCCCTTTAGAAAAAGCCTGCTCTAGATACAATTTTTAGATCAGTAAGTACTATAAATGTCACAAAAATAGAAACAAACTGTGCTTTGGGCTTTGTTAGGTCCACGACTATGCCAAATGTCATGCTCGGGGTCAGGTTCGAGCCCATACTGAGGTCTGAGTGGAGTGGGTGGGTGGCTGAAAGAACACTTGAGGGATGTAGACAGGTGAAATATAGTTCTGTTCAGCAGCTCTCTCATCAGAAGCTCTCTCACACTGCCTGCTCTGTCTCGGCTGCTTGCTCTGGCTGCTCCCACACACAGCTGAGCAGTCGGCTTGCTCTTGCCTTCAGGGTTAGCAGCTTAACTTTCTCTCTTTCCAGGTACAAGCCAGTTCCTGGCTCCCCCATGCCTACCTTCAAGGCAACTGGCTCTCCCCTACAGGGGTCAGTAGCGTTACTCTCTCTTTGGGCACCAGCACGCCTGAGCCATGTTGAGCCCTGGCTCTCCCTCTGTCCGTCTGCAAGACAGGCGGCCTTGGCATTCTCTCTTTCTCTGGGCGCAAGAGCACGCATCCTGTGCATGGCATCGGCAGGGCAGTTATACATTTTCAAACAATAGTGGCTGTGAGCCAAGTATGAGCTTACACAAACAGGTTATATAACAAATGGAGTATGCACCTGTGCCCTAAACTAGCTGAGTCCGTCTGGCCCAGATGTCTGCCTCAACCTATTCCCTGATCAAAGCACATCTGTGTACCTTACAGGTTTTACTATTAATTTTGCAGGATTAAAAATCATTTCTCTTAGTTCTACCATATGTAATCCATGTTTATTGTCTACATCTGATTCTTGAAATATAATATTGAGTTATTTTCTTAAATGATTAATTTTTATTAACTGCAGTAAGAAATCTGACCGAGGTTGTCCCTCAGCTCCTGGATCAGCTTCGTACGGTTGAGCAGAAGCGACCTGCAAGCAACGTTTCTGCCAGCATCCAGAGGATCCGAGAGCTCATTGCTCAGACCAGAAGTGTTGCCAGCAAGGTAACTGATGAAAAGACTCATCAGTCAGTCAGCGGTAATAATAACACGAAGCTGAGCTCCAACTGCTTGGGCAGCTTCCAGAGCCTGGACCTTTCTGCTGTATTCTCCAACTCAGTAGTTCTCAGCCCCATTTGCTAATTAGAAACACGTGAGGAACACTGAAAACGAAACCAATTCCTGGTCCCAACCTGAAAGCAATAGATCAGACTCTGTAGAGAAAGGGCTCAGTACCTGTATGTTCTTTAAAGCTCCCAGGTTATTCTAATGTGTAGCCAGGTTTAAAAACCACAGAGTTAAACTAGTCAATAAAGCTAATATAGCAAAAGAAGTAAAGCCTCAATAAAAGCCTCAATTCGTTCTTATATTTTATGTTATTTTAACAGCTGCTTTAGTGCAATTACCATAATGGAATAATCTATCCCATCTGTCCTACCCCTTCAAGAAATTATCTGGTACAACACAAATTATGCAGAAGCTTTTACTGACCACCCGCAGGGTTAACTGAGGAATCACATACTGGCTAAGAGGAATAAACTCAACAAACACACTATATGTGTTTTGGGACACATATAGAAGCAACTTAGCAGAAGATAACTAGGGCTGGCATTTGTAGGAACATCTCCTGACATAGCAATTACTTTTCAATGTGGCAAAGTGGAGCTTGTTCTTGGACCTCTTGAATTTTTTTAATTGATTCATAGACCAGACTCACTTTTTATGACCAAAGTATATGGTTTTATTTTCTCAGTTAAGAATCGGCCTGAGCAGACTACTGGTCCTAATTACTGACAGAAAGAAGAGTTAGAAATCAACTATTTCGTAATGTAGAAGATTATTCTTGGTAAATAGACCTGACTTTTAAATGATGATAAATGGTCCCTTGTGACAAATTACCTTATTTAGATGCCCCAGTGAACATTTTCAAAAAAGGTTTATCTAAAGGTACATCAAGAAATGGCATTCTAAAAGCTAGGTTTTTATGAGTGCTTTCTTGTAATATTATTTCTATAAAGAGTATGACTTTGGGACCTTAATCACCTAAGACCATTTGCTAAAGACAGACTTAGCCCCACCTTTGGGAGTTGGGAGCTCACTCAGTGCCCCCAAGTGGGATGCTTTTCATGCAGACATGCACTATTCTCAGACTCTCACTTATTAATGTAAGACTTTAATCCCCCACACTGCTTGTTTATTAAGATGTATTGGTCTTGGCCGGGTGCGGTGGCTCATGCCTGTAATCTCAGCACTTTGGGAGGCCAAGGTGGGCAGATCCCTTGAGTCCAGGAGTTTGAGACCAGCCTGGCCAACATGGCAAAACCCTGTCTCTACCAAAATACAAAAATTGGCTGGGCGTGGTGGCGCACACCTGTAGTCCCAGTTACTCAGGAGGCTGAGGCACGAGCATTGTTTGAACCTGGGAGATGGAGGTTGCAGTGAGCTGACATTGTGCTACTGCACTCCGGCCTGGGTGACAGTGAGACTGTGTCTCAAAAAAAAAAAAAAAAAAAAGTATTAGTTTTTACTCAACTGATAACATAGGACAGCTGCACTCCAGTCATTTGGAAATAGAGCCTTGAGCTCACTGACCACCCACATTAGCCAAATCAATATTAATAAATTAATATAAAGATGCCTAATCATTTGGAAAGATTCAGATAAATGACATAAGTATACACAATCCATACACTTGTAAATACTCTAAAAATTATCCCTGAATCAGACCAGCTCAGCATATCATATTGGGCCTCTTAGAAATGCACTTACTGAATTGTGCTTTGTTGTGATGCCTTTCTGTGAGCCATTATAAGAGGCACCTTATGAACTCATTATTACAGTTATTATAATGGTAGGACCAGGCACTGGAAAGCACTTTATAGTTATCGTATTTCATGCTCACAACAAATTTATTATCCTCATTTCACAGATGAGGAAACTGAAGGTTAAGTGACTTGCTCAAGGTTACATAGTTAGGAAGTGGTAGAGCCCACCTGGTCTGAGACTACAAAGCTAGTCCAGACCCCTCCCAACTGTGTAGACAAGGGCAAGGATGTTGCTCACAGCCTCACCCCATGTCCCTTTTATGAGGACCCTAGGGACAAAGTCCCAGCTGTATTAGTAACCAAAATTAGTTCTACTTCTCCCAAACAATTAGTTTTGTATAAATTGTATGAGCCTTGTGAATTGTATACTGACCAGACAACTTGAGCAAGTTGTTTAGTTCACCCAAACCAAGTATACTGTTCATGGTGGAATTCATATTTATCCTCATTCTTGGATCTACTTAGTCACCACTTTTTTTTTGCTTTCTTTCACCCCACTTTAAACTACTGTGTCACAATCTGCCCTAAGTCTTCTCTTCAACTAGGGGAGGATGTGGTAAATAACTACAGGTATGGAGGTGAAGAGAGTTTATAGGCCCCTGTCACGAATGAGGGAAGCACGGGAAAGCACTCTGCCCATTTCTGCAAAGCACTTTTAATGAAACCGTTGTGTCACTCCAGATCCAAGTCTCCATGATGTTTGATGGCCAGTCAGCTGTGGAAGTGCACTCGAGAACCAGTATGGATGACTTAAAGGCCTTCACGTCTCTGAGCCTGTACATGAAACCCCCTGTGAAGCGGCCGGAACTGACCGAGACTGCAGATCAGTTTATCCTGTACCTCGGAAGCAAAAACGTAAGCACATGAGTTTGAAAGGAGGGAATAATATTTACAAGGAAAGCTGCTTTTTCTCTTGCCTAAAATAAAGCCACCTAGGCAAACAAACCAAAACAATGCCCATTCTGGTAACTCAGAAGATCTCATTTTAATGGCAAAATTAAAAGAATGACTAAAGGACAAGTCATTTCTTCTCTGTGTGGGATATTGTGGGGATTGTTTCCTATCACCATCACACTACTAACTTTGATGAGTCTGAATGAAACACCTCAAAGACTTTCAGAAAGACAGAAGCCTATTCTGTTTGATGCTGAATCCTGTTTAGAGATGCATAGTGATCGGTACTGTCAGGCTGTATTATATTCCTGGGTTAGCCTCACAAAATTAGCCCATTCCTGGCAGCCAACAAATTTCCACGAGCCTGAGCAAGATGGGGCCAGCAGACTCTGATGTGGCCACAGGGAGGCTGGAAAGGAAGAGACACTGCCTGCTCACAGGAGCTTCGGATAATAATTCAGGCCAGAAGTCACTTGTATATACCCAAATATTTGGATTTCTGATTGTCCTTTAAAAAAGATGATGTTCATTCTTATGAATTTTATTTAAATGACTTCTTACTTCTTGATATTTCAGGCCAAAAAAGAGTATATGGGTCTTGCAATCAAAAATGATAATCTGGTATACGTCTATAATTTGGGAACTAAAGATGTGGAGATTCCCCTGGACTCCAAGCCCGTCAGTTCCTGGCCTGCTTACTTCAGCATTGTCAAGATTGAAAGGTACAGTGAATCCATGACACAGGGCATATATGCACATATCACAAGAAACCTGTTGAACGTGCACATGTGCGTGCACACACACACACACATACACAGTCTTCCTGTGGATGTTATAAATAGCATTTTCCTCCCTTTATTCTTGCTCCGTTTTCTTCCATTATTCTTATATTCTTTCCCAAACACCTTAGTAGGAAAGAAAAAAAAAAGTCATTTCTAAATCACGATCTGATTATTAGATTTTACCTGGTCAATCCATGAATTAACTTCAAAATGGAATGTCTTTCTTCTCTTTCTCATTGATTGTGGTATTTTGTAAATGCTTATTAGTGTCACAAAATTACCCATTTTGTGATGAGGGAGCATTAACATTTTGACATTTAAAAAGTATTTTCTATGAATTATATAATAACAAGTGAAAATTATTTATCTCAATAGGGTGGGAAAACATGGAAAGGTGTTTTTAACAGTCCCGAGTCTAAGTAGCACAGCAGAGGAAAAGTTCATTAAAAAGGGGGAATTTTCGGGAGATGACTCTCTGCTGGACCTGGACCCTGAGGACACAGTGTTTTATGTTGGTGGAGTGCCTTCCAACTTCAAGGTCAGCCATACAGCTATATTTTGACCTATTACAAATCTACAGTAATTGTTTTTATAAATCCATAAACCTATAATGACTTGGGGGTTGCTGATATCACTTTAAGAGCTTAGTTCATGGGGGAGTAGAATTCTGAACCAGAATCTATAAACCTGATGTGTAAATCTGGTCTATGCTACTCATATTTTCATAATGTCAAATGCTTTCAAGTTATAGCTAACTCCTGAAGATCAGTTCATTCATTCTGATACATGCATATGTAATTAATATTACCCCCACCTGCCACAGGAAGGTCCGTAGCTTGTGGTGTCACCACAGTTTAGATCTAATCTTCAGCTTTGCAGTGGTGGTTTCAAAAATTCAGTTATCTCACCTAATACAGGTATGAAATAAAGTATCTGGGATGAGAGAGGGGGTGAGACTTCGGAGAGAGTATGAAATCTGATGAAGGGGGATAAAGGAAAGGTCGAAGAAGATGGGAAGTTGATCTAGGGTTCCAATTTCAGGACTATTATTACTAGTTATGGGCACATAATTGGAATTTATCTGAGAATTATTTTCCCTCTCATTATATGAGAACAAGAATACCTACCTAACAAAGCTGGCGCAAGGACTGATTTTTGTCATGAATTCACTGTACAGCCTATGACCAGCACATAATCTATGCTCAGTAAATCCCACTTTCTCTGCTAAGATTTGCACAACTGACAAGTTACGCCATATCTAAATGATTTGGCATAAACACACTCGGGTCTAGAAAGATATTTCCACAAAGGGGTAGGTCTCCTTGACCTACTATTAGTTGCATTGTCTGTTCTGTGATGTCTGAGTAAAATATGACCATGAGACAAGTGGTTTTACTTTTTCTATTGCATAGCTCCCTACCAGCTTAAACCTGCCTGGCTTTGTTGGCTGCCTGGAACTGGCCACTTTGAATAATGATGTGATCAGCTTGTACAACTTTAAGCACATCTATAATATGGACCCCTCCACATCAGTGCCATGTGCCCGGTAAGAGACAGTTAAGAGTACTAAAGACTTGGATATTCATGCAAGAGCAGCAGATAGAACAAGTATGAGTCAATATTCAGGTTCTCAAACTTTTCTTTGGGGAAGCCAGTTTTGAAACTACATAAGTCATACCTGCAAAAAACTCTTCACCTGTTCTCTATCATAGATGAGCATGCCCAAGTATGAAGTGTTAAACAACTTGTTTGCAGCCTTGATTAAGGATTCCAGAGACTAGGGTGTCCCTGGAGACTTCAGTTGTCTTAGCACACAGGATACAGAAGAAAACAATCCATTTAACATACCTACAAATACCTCTTTATCTCTTCCTTGCAGACAACAGGACTTCATTTAAATGTTGTAAGGTCCACAGAAGATGTTAGAAGAATGGGTTAAAAGGGCTTCACTTGAAAAGCATAACAGAAACTGTAGTGTTCAAATGACCGTTGTGTTTCCATTTCAGAGATAAGCTGGCCTTCACTCAGAGTCGGGCTGCCAGTTACTTCTTCGATGGCTCCGGTTATGCCGTGGTGAGAGACATCACAAGGAGAGGGAAATTTGGTCAGGTGACTCGCTTTGACATAGAAGTTCGAACACCAGCTGACAACGGCCTTATTCTCCTGATGGTCAATGGAGTGAGTAAAAATACAAGTCCTACTACTTCTCCTTTATTTCCTTTACTTTCTGCTACTCATGTTTCCAGGAACCTTCCCAGGTCTAGTGTGTCATGCCATCAAACTGAAATTCTAGTTTAGAAAGTCAAATTGGATTTTCTTCTTCAGGAAAGTAATGACAGCAATAAATAAAAGCAACCCTGAGATGCATTTCCCCACAGTACATTTTTGGATATAAATAAACTAAGAGAACTTTGAGGAAATTAGAACCAAGATCTAGATGAGCAGGGTGTCTGCAGAAATTTTGCACTGGGCTCCTAACTTTTCCAAACCATATGCCCTAATCAATTTTAAAGCAAAGCTTGCATGCTTTGTATATATGTATGTGTGTATGTAAGTATATATGTATGTACACACACACACATATATATCTTTGTTTATAAATGATACATGTGTACTATAAACAGATATAAATATAGTATGAAACAGTCAAAGCTTGTAATAAAGGACAAATTATATAAAGATAAAATAAAAGATTATATATTTAAAATGAAGATTAAATTGACTTATTTATTAATGATACAGAAATGTTTTTCTCACTAAAATTATTTTTAATAGTACTTTATCTACTGTACAGCTCAAAGAAAATAGTTTTAGTGAGAAAATGTAATTAAGTATGCTAAATATTTTCAAAAATCCTTAAACTCTTTGTGACACAGTGATTCAAAAGTCTTGTCCTAAGTCCAGTTTATTTCAACAGTAATTTTATTGGTGGTTGTAACTAGACAAGACACCTCACAAAAATAAAAAATGAAAGAACCATATCATTAGCTGTGCCTACTAACTCAAATAGTTTTCAATCACATTCACCAAGTGGCAAAGGTTGTCTTTGAGATTTGATTGGTGTATTTCCTTTTTTCTAATATTAGTTCTTGTAAGCTAACCAGGTATCATTTTGTAAACTTTAATAAAAGGGTTCAAAGCTATTGAAAATCTTTATTTGAAATATTTTTCTAAAGGTTAGAAATTTCTTCCCTCAAATGTTTTAATAGAGCTGATAGGAGAGTTTTTGTAGGATTGCATTTACATTGTTCCCATCAACAAAAGCAACAATAGAAAAATTCCCAAACATATTTTTTAAAAACCATCTCTCCACAGTATAACCGTCCTCAAAAAAAAGGAGAAAAAGTTACTTTCTCATCCATTATTATGATAATACCCTTACATTGATGTGACAGTATGTTTCTTTTTTGAAATAACTAGTAGGATTCATACTACTGTCAGACATTTGTCATCACGAATAAAGTTCAACAAATTTAGAATAATTCATGTTACAAAGAAAAATGTGTAACCCTCTATAAACTTAACAGCATTTTCAGAAATTTGTAGGAAGTAGCCAGCAAATATCTGTGTGTCTCAAAATGTTTTCACATCACTCTACATCTCAATACAAAATGAGTGTAAATATTCTATTATTTCGGTTATATCAGCCTTAAATCCATATAACTAGCCACACGTAAACTGCAATAAATTGCAATAGGCTAGAAGCAAAGAAATGGATGAGGAGCTACCTTCAACTCTTCAAGTGTGGAACCCCTCTTGGGAAGCCACACATATTATGTGAATTTTGTGAAAGTCTGACAAAAGGATAAAATGAAGGCCCAGAGTCAATAATTCATGTGTTAAATATTAAAAGTTAGTTTCTTTCTCTATTTTAGATTTTTTAGTGAGTATAAATGGATGTTGAAATATTTTCTTCTCTATTTCAGGTTTTTTTAAATTAGTATAAATAGAAGTTGAAATATTTTCTTCCTAAACTCCAGTAGGCTGCTTTCCACACTCCCAGGAATGTACAAACTCCACTCAGGAGATCACTTCCTATAGAATAGGGACCTTGCCACAATGCTTTATTTTTCAAATCCATTGACTTCTTGTATCTATGAACTATCTTCTGAAACAAGCAAAACTCCAGTAAATTATTTGAGTGTTACAAAATTTCTTTGATTCTTAAACATCATGTGTTCCAAGTGCATAATAATTCTATATTTATTTACATAAATCCAGTGTTTCAAAACAATACAGCAATGGCCTTCTTTTTTTAAATCCATATTTGCTGATAATATGGAAGAATTCTTTTCAGTATACCTTGAAATTATTTTTTAATTTTACTAATTTTCACCTAAAATAAATGCAGACACATCTGTTGGCCTGTTATAATTTTTAAAAGTTTCCTAAAGACAAGGCAGTTGAATAAACATGGTATACTATACTCTATTTTCAAGATTTTCTTAAAAGGCAATAATGTAGACTTAAAACTTCATCCATTAGTTCAGAAAGTAGAATGAAAACAGAAGAATTTTTACACTGTGTATAAATATTAACTTTTATGTATTAATAAGAGAAATAGCTGCTGATATGGAAGTAGTTGTCACTTTTTTTTTTTTTTTTTGAGACAGAGTCTCGTTCTGTAGCCCAGGCTGGAGTGCAGTGTCACGATCTCGGCTCACTGTAACTTCCACCTCCCGGGTTCAAGCGATTCTCTTGCCTCAGCCCCCTGAGTAGCTGGGATTACAGGTGCCTACCACCACGCCTGGCTAGTTTTTGTATTTTTAGTAGAGATAAGGTTTTGCCATGTTGGCCAGGCTGGTCTCAAACTCCTGGCCTCAAGTGATCCACCTGCCTCGGCCTCCCAGAGTGCTGGGATTACAGGTGTGAGCCACCACTCCCAGACACTGTCACTTTTATTTCATAAGAATTTCATGAGACTTTCTTAGTCTTCAAATAGTTCCAGTAATAAAGAATACAGTCTTATTTCTCAAATTCAGCTAAATCTGACTCTACTCGCATAACAGATGTTCCTATCTTACAATTCCTTTCTCTCCTCAGAGTATGTTTTTCAGACTGGAAATGCGCAATGGTTACCTACATGTGTTCTATGATTTTGGATTCAGCGGTGGCCCTGTGCATCTTGAAGATACGTTAAAGAAAGCTCAAATTAATGATGCAAAATACCATGAGGTACAAATCATTGTAGTTTGGTTGGTTTTGTTTTTGTTCTTTATACTTAGATCTGTTGATCTAATCAGGCAGTCAAATGAGACAGGCAGGATGGTAAATAAACTGAGAACTTTCATATCTAAAGAGCAACTGAAGGACCCTCATCTTCTCAACCCTAGGAAAACATTTACTTTAAAACATTGGATGTATTTTTCCTGTTGATGTTCCAATTTAAAAGTCACTGAAAGATTCCTTTTAATTGCTTAATTAACCAGAAGGCTTCTATTAATCTTAAATATCTCAATTGGTATTCCTACAGGATACTTCTATACATTTGTTGAATGAGCCAGAGTGTAGATACACAGCCTTTTTTTGCTTATCCTTTGAGCCCCACCAAATTTAACAAGAATACATATAAGTAAATACAGAATTTCCTTTTAAACCACTTATCCAGAATTTAGAAAATACTAGCACAGTTTTCCTTATAAAGAGAACTCACAAAGAATCCCCTTTAGTTTTGAAACAGATGTGCAGACTACTGAAAATATACTTCATCCATTTTCATTAACTATTTTAAATATACAACTTAATAAAGTGTATACAAGGCATAATATCTTTTAAGTTGAACCAAAATGCGAAGGGTAGGAGACTGTATTTCCCTTTTCAGTTCAAAGTCCATAGCCTCATGAGAATGGTTTACAATAAAAGAATATTTTAACTATTTCTCTGACTAGCATTTTTGCAGATTCATTAGAACTGCTCACTGTGTCACCAAAAAAATTACACCTGGTAACATGCAATCTAGATTCCAGAAGGCACCTGCTTGGGAATACAATAGGGGTCACCAGGGGTTAGGGGATAGGGAAATAAGAAATTGCTGTTCAATGTGTATACAGTTTCAGTTGTGCTAGGTGAGTAAGTTCTCGAAATCTGCTGTACAGCATGGAGCCTATAGTTAAAACTAATTTAAAATTTATTTAGGATAGATCTCATGTTAAGTGTGCGTAACACACATGCTCACACACACACACACACCACAAAGGGACACAAGGAAATGCTGGGAAATGTGTGATATGTCTCTTACCTTGATTGTAAGATGATATGAGTGTTTGCATATGTCCAAGCTCATCAAATTGTATACATAAAATATGTGTAGTTCTTTGTATGTCAACTAGACTTGAATAAAGTTGTTTTTTTAAAAAAAAAGAGAATGGTGGCACCTGTTTATAGTTCTTTCCTGAATCCTCTCAGAAGGAGCAGGAGGAAACAATAGGTCTAATCGCAAAATTTTTCTTGGGCTGGCTCCTCTTCATACAGACCTCCTTTCCCAGAAAGTGTGAACTGCTGCTTGTAGAAGCAAGAGTTTTCAAGTCTGTGAGAAAAGAAAATCTATCTATTCCCCATTTTGTGAACAAACAAGCACAAAGGCATGGAAGAACAGCTAGTATACCAGGAGAATTAAAATATATAGAAGTCATCAAAGAACTGAATATTAAATAGTTAATCAAGGCTTACTATATATTATCTCTCCCAGATCTCAATCATTTACCACAATGATAAGAAAATGATCTTGGTAGTTGACAGAAGGCATGTCAAGAGCATGGATAATGAAAAGATGAAAATACCTTTTACAGATATATACATTGGAGGAGCTCCTCCAGAAATCTTACAATCCAGGTAAGGCTTTTTGTTAAGTAGCTGTTTGTTCCTAGCAATGTACTGGGCTGGCAACATCCAGGAGAGGTCTAGTAACAGTGTACGCACCCTTACTTGCTACTTTTACACACAGGGACAGGCACAGGTACACACATTCATGTACCTTCAGGCCCTCTGCAGTCAGTCCTCAGGACCTCCTGAAATTAGCATCGCATAGATGTAATCACAGATTTCTTCAATTATTGTATTACTCTTAGAACATGATCTAATGCAGTATTTCTCATCAATAATAGGAACGGTGGAACATGTGTATTGTGTGAAGACAAAACAGCATTTGTCCATTTACTTTTGCTTTAGCCTTAAACCCATTTTGAACTCTCCAATAGCATCTGAGCTACACAAATTTTTAAGGTTATCCAAAGGGTTGTGTATTATGTATAATGAAACATTAAGACACTCCCCTAAACTTTGTTGATTACAGATGTGTTGGAAATAATGCCAAAATGGATTCATTAATGACGTGGATTAATAAAAGTCTGAAGACCTGTGTTCAAATCCTAACATCACTTGTGACATAAGAGAATAATTTATTTCTTAGTTTCATTTCTTAGTTTCATTACGTTAAACCCTGTGAAATTACTAAGAATTGATTATATTTCTGTGTAACATGTTAGTTCCTATGATTCAACCTAATAATCGTCTGCTAAAGGGAAATCATAGCATCTCCATCTATTTCACTGAATTGTTATAAAGATAAAATGAGATAATGTAAGTTAGAGCATTTTGAAAACTGTAAGGAAGAAATTGGCTTGACGTAGAACAAAACTCTTCTATAGGCAAAGATTAGACATTGCTGTGTGCCTATCAAAGAAAGCATGAGAATATGAATGATTATAAAGCCATTACAAATGACTATAAATAAATGCAAATTCCATAGCCTACATATGCAGGGTAACATCATCATCATGGCTGTATCAGTGAGGCTGACTTTCTTTTCCAGGGCCCTCAGAGCACACCTTCCCCTAGATATCAACTTCAGAGGATGCATGAAGGGCTTCCAGTTCCAAAAGAAGGACTTCAATTTACTGGAGCAGACAGAAACCCTGGGAGTTGGTTATGGATGCCCAGAAGACTCACTTGTAAGAACCACTCAGTCAAAAGCTTTTTAATAGACACAATACTTATCACTCTCAAAAGCTGGAAAAGTTCTTTTCAGCTTCTCTCTGATCCTAGGTACACCTTGGGTTCCTTTCTGCCACCACCAGAAAGAAGAACCATTAAGCTAGAAGGGCTCTTGTGCATGGGGTTCCTCTGTGACTTGTTCGTTTGCTTCAGTTTTCCATGGGTGGGGCATCTAACACCCAGAGAGGGTGTGCTAGCATCATTGTTCACTCAGGTTGGAGTCAGTGGAGAAGATGAAACCCCATCTCTCAGAGGAGCTCCTAGTGTATGCCTGAATTCCAACATAGACCAGAAGTGGGAAAATAAACTATTTACGTAGAAATTAACAGGCAAGGCCTTCCGTATGTGAAACATTGATAGTTTTAAGCATTTGATAATTCTCAAAAACACTATCTCCACTTGTTCTGGCACACAGATATCTCGCAGAGCATATTTCAATGGACAGAGCTTCATTGCTTCAATTCAGAAAATATCTTTCTTTGATGGCTTTGAAGGAGGTTTTAATTTCCGAACATTACAACCAAATGGGTTACTATTCTATTATGCTTCAGGGGTAAGTGTTTGTTTTTCTCTGAGGAAACTTCTTTGTGATAATTGTTTTGCCTATTAAAAATAATTTGTAATGCATGTTAGAAGTGATTTTCTATTCAGATTAATTTTGACTCACACGTAGACACACAGAATGCCTCATTTCAAACACTTTATAAAATATTCTATGTATTGTATATCAGAAGTTCCTAACCTGGAATTCATAGACCCACCCCCAAGGGTTCATGGATAGAATTCAGGGGGGTCTGTGGACTTAATGCGAAAAGATTACATCTTTATTTTCTCTCACTGAAATTGATCATTTTCTTTGATTATGACTCTAGGCAACACACCACAGTAGTATTACCAGTACCTGTGACTTTGTCATTAATAGAAATCACAGATTTTTTTGTTTCACATTACAATTGTCACAGAAATCTCAGAATGTCATTTTTGCTCATTGCTACTTCTAATGTTATTAGGTCTGCTATGGAATCTTATTCTTTAATGCCTTAATAAAAAAGTTATAATAATATCACAGATTATTTTAATATTTTGAAAACTGTATTTCAGTATGATTGGTTTCCTTTGTATTATTATATGTTTTGTTTTATACATTTAAAAACATTATTTTGTGAAGCGGTCGCTATCTGTTACCAAAATGCCAAAGGTGTTTCTGGCACAAAAATTCTCAAGAGTCCCTGTTTGTATGCAATGAACAAACACATTTGTGATTTAATTTATAAAAGAGTAAAAAGAACATACATACTTCTCTTAGATTTGCTACAGAGCATTTGAGCTCAGCTTATAAAGATACGTTATTTCAAGAATAAACTAAGGTCTGTAGAGGATTGGTGACTGTAAGATCCAACTGATGGGTCTCTGAAAAGGTCATCATCAATATATACACTGATGTGCCAGGTCATCACATAACTTCTGAAAGCAGCTTTCACTTTTCATATATATTACCTGCATCTGACACATTTATATCCAATTTAATTGGAATCAGTAGAATTTGTGAGAATTTACCCAAAGCATTTTGTAGAACTTCTGACCCAAACCTGCCTCAGACTACCCTGGTTAGTTAAATAACACTTTTTGCCCATAAAAAGTAGTCTATTTTGAGGGCAGACTTAAGAAGTTGGTGCCCATATAAGGAAAGAGAAGCAAGATTAACCCTTGCCAAATATTTTAAGACAAGCAATAAGCAAATTCAGATAAGAAGAGCTAACTTGCTTTTAAAAATGTCTCTTCTGCCTCTAGATGAAAAAGTGAAAGATTTTAAAAAGCCAAACTAGTAAATTAACCCTTGCCTAGTCATCTAGCTACATCCCCAAGGAGACCCAAATATCATCTATTCGAAGGGATTAAAAGTGAGATTGAAAGTAGGAAAGTAACTGAGACTGGGTTGACAACTCCCAGCATAACAAAGTCATCAAAAATTTTCAGTTGGAAATATAGGAGATACATTTTTCTACTGAAATGTGTCTAATTTTATAAGCAATACCAGTACAAGCAATAAGGTATTCTTGGTTGTTATTTATAGAAATTATTTTACAAGCAAATTTCCTACACACTATATTGCCTTTAAGCAATACCATTCAGTAAATGTTGAAAACATTTCCGTCTTTTGGATCCCTAGACTCCCTACTTACATGCCTGTGCTTGCATTTCAGTCAGACGTGTTCTCCATCTCACTGGATAATGGTACTGTCATCATGGATGTAAAGGGAATCAAAGTTCAGTCAGTAGATAAGCAGTACAATGATGGGCTGTCCCACTTCGTCATTAGCTCTGTCTCACCCACAAGGTATAGCTCCTCACTTCATATTCTTTCCACCATGTCTATTTGTGGGACATGATTATGTCAAAAACCACTATGAATAATAGGCTGTCCTATAACTTTTCTAATGTTAAAACAAAAATGCTAGAAGGAACAACTTATCTTCCTCAAAAAAATATTGCTATTAGTTTCCAAGACATGTAAAATAAATCACTATGAAATTTCTTAAACTAAATATAAGGGTTCTTTTTCCAGTAAAACAATAGGTTATAATCTCCTTGAGGGAAATGCCTACTAATATTACCTACTGAACAGA
Organism: Homo sapiens; assembly: GCF_000001405.40. NCBI lineage: Eukaryota > Metazoa > Chordata > Mammalia > Primates > Hominidae > Homo > Homo sapiens. The sequence goes on along the minus strand of NC_000006.12, from coordinate 112,130,678 downwards.
GTGCAGTATTTTGCACATAGAAGGAGCTCAGCAAATATTGGTCTTGTTTAGACCTTGAGTCAAACAGTTGAGAATGCAACATTTATGGCATTTTAAAAGCTCGAACTTCATCTTTAAAATAGATAATACTGAATTTATTTTTCATAATAAGAAATTTTCTGGAATAAGAAATGAACCTCTGCTGCTATCCTATGTCCACTTTTGTGGACATAGAAAACATGAGTAGGCTTTTTCTGGGCCCCACTTCCAGTAAGGATCAAAATAATCTAATGTGCTTTGCCATGAAAATGGTCTTCCACAAATGTGATTAAGTGATCATCATAAGGTATGCTCTGTTTTATACACACACACACACACACACACACACACACACACACAAAAATAATGCTGATGACTAGTCATCTGAATTTCTTGCCTTACGGGTTTAAATTCCAATCTTGGTTTGGAGGATCTTTTTTGCATATAGAAATATCCAACCATTTTATCCTGGGCCTCATGAAGAGTTTGGCAACTCGCTGTCTTTTCATTAACCACATGTTCCATTTCAATTTCATGAGAAAACCTGCTTATCCAACCTAGAGTGGGTCAAGGTAAAATGCTAGCTCTGTGGTATGTAAAGAAGCCTTTTTCTTTTGCAGATATGAACTGATAGTAGATAAAAGCAGAGTTGGGAGTAAGAATCCTACCAAAGGGAAAATAGAACAGACACAAGCAAGTGAAAAGAAGTTTTACTTCGGTGGCTCACCAATCAGTGCTCAGTATGCTAATTTCACTGGCTGCATAAGTAATGCCTACTTTACCAGGTATAATATTTTTATTATTAATGAATCTGCATGATTGATAAATAAAATCAAGACAACAGCAAAAATATTAAAACTGAGAACTATGAAATGTATCTGAGGCATTAGGGGATAGTAATTAAAAGCTTTTATGTGCTTGAGAAACTGTCATACTTGGGTTTCTGTGTAGGTTCTTTGCCCTTTAATTTCCATATGACCTTGACTAAGTAAGCCTTCATTTCTTCACCTGAAAATGCAGATAATAATGGTGCCTACTTGGTAGGTTTGTCATGAAGGGTAAATGAGAAGATAATGCACATAAAGCAACTTGTACAGTGTCTGGCATACAGCAAGCTATAAATATTAGATGCAATTATTTTTGTACTTATCATTAATGACAGAGTAACATACCCAGAGGTTTACAAAACTCTTAATTTAATGCATGATTTTAAAGAAAGCTATTAATCTAGGTCCTTAACAAAGACAATAGGGGTTCCTTGAGTACAAGAACAAGCAAGGGAGGAATTTAATATAGATTAAGAAACAGAGGCAGTTCCAATCATCCAGAGTGTGTTGAGGGAAAAGATATTCATTATTATAAATATGTGATGCCAGGCACATAGTTATTAACAGGTTGAATGTTAATTTAAAGGGTTCTGGTTAAGAGTGGTTGATGGGTAAGGACCCATCACACATACACACACACACACATGCACACACACACACACATTTTAATTGCCAAAGCTCTTTCACTTCCATAATATTCATCATGTAATTCTGAACAATATTTTTAATATTTATTTTTTCCTCTGTTACAAACACAGGGTGGATAGAGATGTGGAGGTTGAAGATTTCCAACGGTATACTGAAAAGGTCCACACTTCTCTTTATGAGTGTCCCATTGAGTCTTCACCATTGTTTCTCCTCCATAAAAAAGGAAAAAATTTATCCAAGCCTAAAGCAAGTCAGAATAAAAAGGTAAAAGATAATGCCGTTCTGACTTCCTAATTGTCATCATTTTCCATGCACACAGTTCTAGACACTGCTGTTTTAGAGAATTGACTTGATACTTTGCAACTACGTACATAGGAAAGATGGGATTCTTGCAGTATCACATATTCTAGTTTACCAGATTTGTTGCATTAATTCTTTGTTATAGAAGCATTTTTTATTTTTTATTGAAATGTAGTAATTGCACAAATGTATGGGGTACAGAGTGATCTTTCAATACATGTATACAATGTGCAAAAATCAAATCAGAGTGATAGCATGTCTATTATCTCAAACATTTATTATTTCTTTGTGTTGGGAACATTCAAAATCATCTCTTCTAGCTATTTGGAAATATACAATAAGTTATTGTTAACTATAGTCACTCTACCATACTATAGAGACACAGAACAATTTCCTCCTATCTAGCTGTAATTTGGTACACATTAACCAACCTCAGCCTATCCTCCTCCCGCCGCTGCCCGTCCCAGCCTCTGATAACCACAGTTCTAGTCTCCTGTGAACTCAACATTTTTAGCTCCCACTTATGATAACATGCAGTATTTGTCTTTCTGTGCCTGCCTTATTTCACTTAACATAATGTCCTCCAGGCTCATCCGCGTTTGTTGCATCAGTTCTTGTTCCAATGAACAGTCTGAATCAGCTATTTATTCATACTTCCAACTTACAATGGTTTCCTTTACAATGGTTGAAATGTCCCTGTGCTTAACAGTTTGTATAAATAATACATATTATTTAGTACTATAATTCTCTAGTATCATTTGCTTTTGTGTAACAATTTTAGGCTTTTGTCACAATCATGGAAATTATTCAAGTTTCTGATCTTACCCTGGTTTTTCCCCTCCTTCCTGGACCTTCACTTCAACCACTCACATGCACAGTTGGTCTGTGACATCAGCTAAAGCTACTCCATTATCAAAATCTTGAGTTCTAAAATTCCAACCTGACTACTATTCTTTCTCATTCATTTACTTCAACTGTGTACATTATTTGCCTTCATTACAAGTGGGACCCTTAATCCCTTCTAATTCTATCAGTTTAACCCTCCCCACCTCTTTCATGATCCAATTTTAAGAGTGTGCTCAGGTGTCAGTGTTCCCAGCCTGGCCCTTGCCACCAACAACTCTCATCTGAGTAACTGCATCACCTCCCAGCAGGTCTCCTTGCTTCCACCTTGTTCCCTGATAGCCTATTCTCAACCCTACAGTCAGATCCTTATAAACATAAATCATATCATGTCACTACTGTGCTCAAATGGCCCCCCGACTACACTCCGAGTAAAAGCCCAAGGCACCACAATTTGTAAGAGGCCCTATGTGATCCATGCCTTACCCTGAGTTCATCTCCTCCTACTTGCCCACCTCCCTCACTCTTCTCCCCATACTGGCCTCCCAACTATTCCTAGAATGGGCCATGTGTACTCCTACCTTAGGTTCTTTATTCAGGCTTCCCTTCTGCTTGGATCACACTTCTCCCAAGTATCTGCACAGACAACTTCTCCTCCTTCTACAATTGTTCAACTCTCACCTGTTCAATGACCTACATTGACACCCTATTGAATACTGCAGCCTGCCTCCTACCTCCTACCAGTAATACTGCTCTTTTGCCTCTTTCTATTCTTTTTTCATAGTCCTTATATTGTAATTTATTAGCATGCTTTCTTTATTATGTTTATTATTTATTGTCTGTCTCCTCTACTAAATGCAAGCTCATTCATTTTGTTCCCTGACATATAATAAGCACTCAGAACAATGCATATAATAGGTGTTCAATACATACACAGCTATCTGCATCATAGGGTTGTAACAAAAACTAAATGAGTTAATGCATGAAATTATATGCACTTAGCATAGCACAAGGCATATAGTTAAGATTCAGTGAATATTAGTGGTTATATCTCTATAGAGCCTTATGAGTATTCTGGAGGATTGGTTCCTAAAAGTAAAATTGCTTGGCTCAAGGGAATATGCATTTTCAATATTGAGGCAATACCAATTTACACTCCCACAAACAGCATTTGAAAGAACATATTGTCCCACACTATTGTCAACAATGAATATAATCAAATTTCTATAATTTTGCAATTCTGATGGACAAATTGAGGTTTTAGTTTGCATTTCTTTGAATGCTAGTGAGGTTGAACATCTTTTCAGGGGAAGAACTGATTGCCTTCCAAGGCTGGCTTCTGGACCATCAGCAAGAGGGAAGTGTCTCCACCACCTTCTCCATTCTGATGGTTTTTCACTGACCATTATATCTTGACATTTTCCATATATTTGAGCATATGTGGACTACTTTTTTCAATCCTCTTGAAACTTCTCCTTTGTTCATACATGACTGCTTTATCAATGTTAACAAAATAATTTTGTGTGTGTATAATTAAAACTTAGTAGTTTCTTAGGATCTCTTCCTGAGTTTGACATGGAAGACAGATAATTTCATTGATTCTCATGAAGGATTTTGCTGGAAGATACTATGAAGGAGTTTTCAGAGTATACTATAAAATTCTAATAGAGTCTTGCTGTTACCCTCATACATTGATGCTAAAAGATTTATCCTGAAAATTTTTTTATCTGACACTTGAACACTGGTCAGAGGTTCATAGGCAGCAGATTAACATTACAGGCTGATGAGGGACATCAACCTTCTCAAGCAAACACAGTTACCCCTTTAAATAAACACAGTTTTCTAAATTAAGTTGTCTATCAAATGTGATTTCCCAACAAACATTCAATCTCAAGGTTATAATCAACAGCCCTACTAACACAAGCTTTTCCATATTATAGGAAACTTGTTAACCTTTATGGTAAATAGTGTTAGACAGAAACTTGACTTTGTAATAACAAGATACAGAATCACCATAGATTTCAATTATATTTTATGGTAACTAGAATGTCAACATTTGCTAATCTTTTCTTATATTGACCCTTGTTTCAACAGCTTCATAAATAGCTACCAAGAAAAATGTATGGCCTCTGACCTAAATTTTCATCAAGGCTGCATCAAAGCAATTGGGATTGTAATAATTTATTTTCACAATCACTTCCTAATATCCCATTTTATTCACTTACTATATTCACTTAACCATTAATAGACTTTCAGTTGCTTCTAGTTTTCTCCTTTTATAGCCAAAGATCTTTGTAGGTAAATCTTTGAGTATGTTGCTGAACAAATCTTTAAGATAGATTCCCAGGGGCAGAATTACTGAATCAAGGCAAATTGCTTTCCAAAAAGGTAACATTGATTTCTAGTTCCCTATGGTATTTGTGAATACCTGTCTTATCACCTATGTTCCAGCCTTAAATTTTTTTAACAATGTTTATGTTTCAAGTTTAACTGGGAAAAGTTTCTCATTTGGTGTTTAATAATGAACATTTCAGGTATTGTAACAGACATCATGCTAAGGTATCTGGCAAACCACTCTCTTCTCTAAGAACTGATTTCCGAGCTAGTGGGCAGGCCCTGTGTTTTAGATGCACGACCTCACTTCCCTGGATATAGATCACTGGACCAAGGTAGATCACGTGCACGAAGCTCGGCTATCAGATTCTCTTCCTTGGAAACTTAAAACCTAGAGAGATTAGCCTGAGCTGGCCATTGAACAGAAAACATGTAAACCTAAGGGCATTATGTTAATTATACACAGAGGAAAAAAAGCTCCTTCATAGAGTGAAAGGCAAAAAGCTATCCTGCTGAGAAAGAAAAATGAAAAGAGATGCTCTGAGAAATCAGAAACCTCCAGAAAGGGAGTGCCTTGATTCCTTCTAGCTTTCCAATTGATTCTAGCCCCTGCTGGGACACCACAATACTATCCTATCTTAGATTGTTTAAGATGGCCAGGTGCGGTGGCTCACGCCTGTAATCCCAGCACTTTGGGAGGCCAAGGCAGGTGGAAAAAGAGGTCAGGAGATCGAGACCAGCCTGGCCAACATGGTGAAACCCCGTCTCTACTAAAAATACAAAAATTGGCTGGGCATGGTGGCGCATGCCTGTAATCCCAGCTACTCGGGAGGCTGAGGCAGGAGAATCGCTTGAACCTGGAAGGCAGAGTTTGCAGTGAGCTGACATCGCGCCACTGCACTCCAGCCTGGGCAACAAGAGCAAAACTGTCTCAAAAAAAAAAAAAAAAGATACCCCTATATCCTTATAACACATTGCTGTCTTTTTCTTCAGTAGCTCAACTAGCTTGGCTGTTATCTGACACAAAAGAATCTTGCTAAATTGAACTAGTACTATCAGTAGGATTGCAACTAATAGGCCCACAGAGAAAACAAAAAATTACACTGATAAAGCCAAAGTCTAGTGGAGTTCATTGAGAATCACCATACACATACCCATCTTAGGATAATAAACTGAGTCTCAGTGTTGTATGGTATAAAGTAATTAAGTTATAACTTGGCTATTTTATCATTACTAAGAGTGTGAATGTGTATCTGCAGAAGAATTAGCATATTTGGTTGCCATATATAAAGACACCCGAGTTTATTGATTTTTGCAGCAGATGAGTGATGCAGCCTACATAGTCATGTATTCCCACACTGAAGCAGAGTAAGGCAAGGCTGGTAAATTGAGATTGTTCTGTTTCAAATAACCCTGTGCTTCACTGAGCACCTAGAGCTAAGTGGATACACTGACTAAGAAAGCGTGAGATCCTTTCCATCCAAATGGAGAAAACAGGAAGCAGCCAGAGTTGGGGAAAGTCCTCTACCCTCACTCTCACTCTGTTCTCTCACCCTCACTACAGGCCCTGTGCAAAGTATTTCCAGCTGGGCCTTTCACTGAGACAAAAGTGATCATATCTCCTATCATAAAGTGTATTACTCCACTGGGATTGAAATAGAGCATGTATTTGGGGAAATTTTCCTAAGACATTAGAGTTAAAGAATCTCCTGGCAGCCCTACTCCAGCCCATTCTGCCCACCTACGGCTTGAAGCTATGGCCATTATCTGTAGGTGAGAGCCTGGACCAAAAAGTATTGGTAGCTGGGTATATTTCCCCCATCCAAGAGAGAAACCTTGTTTCTGTGGCAGTAAAAATCAGGTTATGAGTCCTGACAACTGCATAAAGAAGGGAAGAGGGAATGGTGGAACCAGGTGGGCTTTCCTTTAGGACATGAGAGTCTATGAGCTCCCACCTCTCTCCAACCTAACCACCACTGTGAGAGTCTCCACTGCCAAAATCCAACTGCACGAGCTGCTGCCCTGAGAGCAAGAGACACTGGCACAGCTCGTCTGTCCTTTAATTAATTAACCTGCCCTCTGCCCAAAATCAGATCTAGATTTTGAAAGTAATTCTGAGATTTAGCTAAAACACTATTTTTTTGTGGGGGGGATTTTGTCTTTTGCCCTTATGAGATTAAGGGTTTTATTGTCCATCTGTTCCAATCTACTTTATATCTTCCAGAAATTCCACACAGCTTGGTTCTGCCAGTAAAAACCCTCCTAGATTTCCAGGACTGCTGTGGATTTATTTTTATGTATATAGTTCTGACATTTCAATGGGAATAGGGAGGCAGGGACTAAAGGTGTATGCTCATTCAGTAATCCTCAACCAGAACTTTTCTTATCTAATCCTCTCTCTCATCTTGTCTGTTGCCTGTGAGTGTGCATTCAGTAATCCTGAATTTTTGTATCTAATCCTGCCTCTGTCCTCCCTGCTGCCACACATTTCCTCTTCTATCAGGCCTTCCTTGTTACAAGCTGTCTTCCTAGGTGGGTCAGAGCAGGCCACTCCCTCCCTGCTTTGAAAGCAGGATGAGGATGTGTGGCTCCTCATCACCTAAAAAACAAAACTTCCAGCAATCATCTAAGGTCCTATCTGGCACCAACCTGTTTTCCAATTTGCTATTATAACTGTTTCTCCAAATTAATTTTCAGTTCCTTAAAAAACAGGAATCATTTCTCATTCACTTTCTATTCCCCACTACATGCCACCCACGGGAGGCATGTATAATCATGGATTTCCTTCCCCTTTACTTCTACCCATTCAATAGTCACTAAACATTTGCTTGAATAAATGACTAAATACTTGAATTTATTTGCATTTACTTTTATTTTGCTTCAGAAATTGAAACTAAATAATAATTAAATATTAGCCTATACTTGCACAACTCTAAATTTTAGCATCGGCCATGCAATTTTAAGAGCACAATGTGTTTAAAAATTGTTTTATATCCTGTCACATAAAATTCTGCTACATATCCTATCACCAAAAATATCCTTAAGTATTTTGAAGATGTTGCTATGTTAACTTTTTACACAACATGCATAAGTAATAATCTGTGTATTAAAGTAACATTAATATTGTTTCTTATATGAGGATTTTGTTGATTGATTCAGGGTCATTTTAATTGCCAACTTTGCCACTTTTCACTAGTATTTAAGATGTGCACTTAATTTAAATGATAGAGCAGTTGTCTCTATAGCTTCAGTTTAACTTTGCTTTACTACCATGCGGAAGAATTTGGGGTTAGTTAACATGCTATGTTGTTGATGTTACTGCTGCAGCTACTGCTGTCATTTGCTCATGGGGCTAGAGGTAGGAAAGAGAGGGGACCTAATGTTCCATGAATGGAAAATGCACAAATAATATATAATTTTTTATCCTTATTAATGATGAGGACATCACAAATTACTTTTTGCTGCTAGTATGTCACTTTTATCCCTTAATTTGGTTTACTTTTATAGGGAGGGAAAAGTAAAGATGCACCTTCATGGGATCCTGTTGCTCTGAAACTCCCAGAGCGGAATACTCCAAGAAACTCTCATTGCCACCTTTCCAACAGCCCTAGAGCAATAGAGCACGCCTATCAATATGGAGGAACAGCCAACAGCCGCCAAGAGTTTGAACACTTAAAAGGAGATTTTGGTGCCAAGTAAAGTAACACACTATACTCCTAGACTCCTAATGACATGGCTGGGCTCCATCTTTGTTTGTCACATGTCATCGTTTTTTCCCATCTTTCCTTTCTGTGCCACCTTAATCCTATTATGTTATCACCAAAATAAACACTAAATAGTACATGATTTATGCTATCAAAAGAATTATATTCTCTGTGACTTTCCAATTGTAAGGTTCATAAAACAGTATTCTTCCAGGATACTGTATTTGATCAAAAAGAAAAGACAATCAAGGAAAGGAAGATGGAGCAAGTTTCAAATGACTCATCATCTAACATTGATATCCCCCTCCCTCTCCCATACAAATTGCTTTCAGATTGTAAATGGGAGTGCATTTGAACTGCTAAAAGGTTAATAAGGAAAGGCATTGAAAATACAAATATGCTTGTATGTCTATGACCCTCCAGCTATCTCCAACCCCATCGCCTCTTTCCAGTATTTCACAAATCTCCAGGTTATCTGATATTACTGAAGAATTATTTTTACAGTTTTAGCACCCAAATATTTTTATATAGGTCTTACATAGCTCTGTCAAACATTCATAGAGGCAAAGTATTCAATAAGAAATCTCTAATACCTTATAATTTGCTACCTGCCTAATAGGCAGAATCAGTATTTTGTATTTTCCAGGAAGAATTTAGAGTTAATCAAACTAGAAGTTAACCTAATAAATGTATCTTATCCATAGCCTGGGGCTAAATTTCTAGAAGGTTTTGTTTAATTTCTACACGCTCGGGTGGCTGCTTTTTACATGTGGTATCCATTAATTAATTTTTACTGGGAAAAAATTTTAGTCTGTGTTTTAGATAGTGCACAACTGATATTATTTGTATTATTCACTAGTATTTTGTCCACATGGATAAGCTTCTTTAACATACATATTTTTACTAAATTGCAGCCTTTTTTTTTTTGAGACAAGGTCTTGCTTGCTCTGTCACCCAGGCTGGAGGGCAGTGGCATGATCATGGCTCACTGTGGCCTCAACCTCCCAGGCTCAAGTGATCTTCCCACCTTAGCCTCCCAAGTAGCTGGGACTACAGGTGCGCACCACCATCCCTGGCTAATTTTTAAAAATTTTTTGTAGAGACGGGGTTCCACTATGTTGCCCAAGCTGGTCTTGAACTCCCAGGCTCAAGTGATCCTCCTGCCTTGCTGGTCTTGAACTCCCAGGCTCAAGTGATCCTCCCAAATTGCTGGGATTATAGGCCTGAGCCATGGCACCCAGCCTGCAGCCATATTTTCAAACCAAGACACAGTAAGATCCTTAACTGAAACAACATTTCCTCAAATGTGGGATACATCCTTGTTGTATAAGGAAGTAGAGAAGAATTTACATTTTTGAACTAGCCATGCTAATTTAATATTCATTAATAATACTAAGTGTGGAATAATGTTGCTTGGGATTAGATAGAATGGCTACTTGTTTATTCTTCCTTACACTGTATTATTTTAAGAAGTTAGAGATTATCCTCAGTCTCATTTTACATATGGTAATCCCTTTCTTTTCATTTACCAGATCTCAGTTTTCCATTCGTCTGAGAACTCGTTCCTCCCATGGCATGATCTTCTATGTCTCAGATCAAGAAGAGAATGACTTCATGACTCTATTTTTGGCCCATGGCCGCTTGGTTTACATGTTTAATGTTGGTCACAAAAAACTGAAGATTAGAAGCCAGGAGAAATACAATGATGGCCTGTGGCATGATGTAAGTTGAAGGCAGAGAACAGCATTACCAGCAAATAGCTACCATTGTCAAATGGACACTAATGGGCCTCCATTACTCTCTCTAGAAATATCCATTTTAAAATTCTGCTGCTGCACACTCAGAATTCAATTTCAAAAAATTGTATTCCTTATAAAAGTCTTGAAGCATACTATTTAAAAAGAGACACAGGCTGAGCGTAATTATTTAAACCAAAGGATCAGTGGTCAACATAAACTGAAATTTGGTTTTTAATGATTTCTCACTTATTTTCTACTGCCAATAGGTTTTTACTTTTCAGCAATTATTATTGAGTGTCTTTTATTGGCTAAGCTGTGGAAGATACAAAGTGAAGAGTAAATCAGTGAGGAAGATAGGATACCACAGTGGGAGCAGATAAATATTGAAAGAAATTGGTGGGTATGTAATGTCAAGAGTAAGCAATGTAACATGCATTACAAGTAATCACAAGAAGTTTAACTGGGAGAGAACATATGGCCTGTTCTGTCTATATGTGGCCTGGTTAACTGGGAAAAGCTTCATAGAGAACATGGAAAAACATAAGCTATATTCAGAAATTAAGCTTTAAATCATTCTATCTAGAGGTCAGAAAATACATAGATCACTTCCTCTAATACCTGAAGTGGTAAATGGAAGATGATCATGAAAAAAATACACCTATGCATATAAAGCAAAGGGGCCTGGAGACAGCTCACAATAAAGGCATATGCTGTATAACAAAACAGAATCAAATGAGGGATAAAGTTTCTGCCATTCCAAAAACTGCATTGCCAGAAGCCTACTAAACAGAAGAGATAAACTCCTGACCTTCAGAGATGGGGCCATTTTAAAAATAAACTTTCTGAAGATTTCCCACAGCATTGCAATAGCAAAGTTGGAAGAAGAGGAAACACAGCCTTTTCTGCAATCTTGGAATGTACCTGAGATGTGCTATTGTCCTTCTCTTCATCCAGGTGATATTTATTCGAGAAAGGAGCAGTGGCCGACTGGTAATTGATGGTCTCCGAGTCCTAGAAGAAAGTCTTCCTCCTACTGAAGCTACCTGGAAAATCAAGGGTCCCATTTATTTGGGAGGTGTGGCTCCTGGAAAGGCTGTGAAAAATGTTCAGGTAAGCCAGGCATGACCAGGTAGAGCCATTGACCATTAGAGCCAGAAGATCATCTAATTGAGGCCCTCGTCTCACAGATTAGGAAACTAGAAACTAGCACCAGTAAAACTGTAGTTTTCTGGAAATGGGATATCAAAGTAAGTACTGTCTTATGGGCTGCCTGTCTGCCCTGTGGCATTACAAAGTCAGAAGTAATCTTTCAATTCTAAGGTAGATGTCAAATGAAAAAGTTTCAGAGGCATAAATTATCATGAAAATTTATGTCTCAAGGAGATCTTATTTGTTCAGGAAGTACCCATACTTTTAATGTAAAGACATAACAAAAAAGAAAGCAAATCATTGCATTATACATTATTGAGTGAAAAAAAAAGTTTCAGGTCATTATGCAAACTACAATCCCATTTTTCTTACACACACACACACACACACACACATACACACACACACACACAATTTGTAAATGTATAAGGAAATGTGGTTGCCCTGGGGAGAAGTGAGAATATAGTAGAAAAATATTATTTGTGTAATTTAAAAATTAAAAATATTGCACTTATAAAAAATTTAGCAATAAAAGGAATGCATCAAAGGACTAAATTTTTCTTAACATAAATATAGGTTGGATTTTAGCAATGTTAAAAATAATTTCTAAGACCTATTAATATATGTAGATGAAGCAAAAAAGATGGTTTACATTATAATTAGATTTTAGATAAGCAGCCCCAATTCCATGGCAATCTCTTTTTTAAAATGTCCAAATGCAGGACAAAATCAGTTATCTTAAGTGGCCCAAGTTTCATGTCCTGTGATATGATAAATTCTCAACCACAAAAACAGCTCATGAAACCAGAAATGAAAGCTTTCTGCTGTTTATTTGGCTATGGTAGATTTAAGTAAAGAACTTTGCTAGCCCTCATCAGCCTTAGGTGATCTTGGCACAGCTGTCATTCTTGAGGGAAAACTAGGATACTTCTAAATATGCAGTTTGAAAACCACAGCTGCAACTTATTGTGTCAAAGTGTAACATAAAAATGTCCATAGCTTAATTACTACAGGTTGACATTATCAAATACAAAATTCCAGCTTCAAACAACCAGTTAGAAAGCAACTATCCAGGAAAGTACTGATCATTCAGATATCTGAAATAAATGAAACAAGGAATTACGTGGGTTCCTTCAGGACTCAAACCCCCTCATTTTGCTTCCCCTTGGTGCATTTGTGTTGAGAAAATTGATTTTAAGAAATATCTTCTTCCCTCAGATTAACTCCATCTACAGTTTTAGTGGCTGTCTCAGCAATCTCCAGCTCAATGGGGCCTCCATCACCTCTGCTTCTCAGACATTCAGTGTGACCCCTTGCTTTGAAGGCCCCATGGAAACAGGAACTTACTTTTCAACAGAAGGAGGATACGTGGTTCTAGGTAACATTAGTCATGTTAAAAATATGAGTCATGAAATGCTTCTTCCTGGAGATGGCTAACAGGGAATATCAGGCCCAGAGTTAAAACTTAAGAATGCCAAACTCAGCCCTAGAAGATGACCTCTTCCCACAAGAACCACCTTTCTCCCTCCTGCACTCCAAACCATACATGCAGTCCCCATCCCTGTATACTCTCCCTGACCAGGCTTCTCCACAGCTGCCAAACTTCTGGATGAAGACCACCTGGGCTCCTTTAGAATGTCTATGCTGCTCCGTGGCCTGATCCATGTCAGTTTTTGGCCACCTTGCTCCTCAAGGTCTTGCTCTGCTCCTTCTTGGCATGAACCATTGTCCTACTAAAGGAAGTCCCACTTTCTCCCCATGACTTGCAACACCAGCAGACAACGTTATCCTTCAGAAATTTTTATTTCTGGCTTTTTATTATTCTCCTTGACCATTACTCCCTCACTCATTCAGTTTTTATTGTATGCCTCCCATAAGGCAGTCCCTATGCCAGATGATGGGACATAACAGTTCTAAAAATAAATAAAATCCTAGCAGACTACACACAATCATCATCTAATTCATTCCAAGAATATTCTATGGAGCAATCGCTGGGTGTGAGGAAGACACCAGAATAAGTGCCCGGAATTAGGATAGGAAAGGGTATAAAGCTGCATGTTCCCTCCTCTCAAGGCACTTAGGTACTTTGCACATCCCCTGAATAAAGAAATTACACTGCAGCCAAGTTTACTTTTTAAACCACCACCATATCCAGCAGAACACCCAGAGGTAGTATTTCCTCTCTGCTTAGCTCATGATTTTACTTTCCTGCCTCACCCATCTTTACCCCTACACTAAAACACCTACACTTACAATTCTCAGCCTTTCATGGAATTTCAGTGATAAGAACTCTTAACAGTTTGGACAGCTGGGAATACAGAGCAAACTGCACAATTTATATACTACTCCATGAGCACTAACTAATAACAGGAAAAAATTTTAAATGATTTATAGGATACATTAAATGAACATTATTTAGATGCCCTGGTTTGCAATGAGTCTCTTGGAGTAAACACAACTATTCTTAATAAGAATTTTATTGGATCACCTCAGTAACAGCTCCTAAATACTTTCTCTGCTCTTTCTCCTCTGAAATGCTGTACAACACTGGCACCAGTTAGGTTTCTGTTTAATAATTATTTTAAAATACAGGTCCGATCAAGACAGCTGTCTTGCTCAGTGACTGTAAAATAAAGCCTAACTTCCATACTTCACCACTAGAGCCCTTCCCAGTGTGGCTCCCACTCACCATGCCTCCTTCTCCCCTGGCAGGGACAGTCCAGCCACAGTGGCCTTCACAGTGCTCTCCAAGCATTCCAGCCTCTGTACCTGTGTTGAGTCTACTTCCTCTGCCCAGATTGCCCTGTCCTCCTCACTTGTGAAATACTCAGTAGTGCTGCTGCTACTTGGAATTAATTTCTCCTCCCCTGAGCTCCCATAACACATATTTTGTGTGCTGTTGCCAGCCTCACACCCCACAACAGGATTGATGCATTAGTTATCTTGGTTCCCCACAGAGCTTTCCACAGTGAGTTTGACATGGAAAAGCCACTTTCTACTTATCTGTTAAAAAATGCATCAAACTTTCAAAAACAGATAAAAATATATATAATTACAAAATCACACCATAGTTACAAATATGATCTTGCTGTTCTTGGGAGTTTATAGTGTTTCTCTCCACAGATGAATCTTTCAATATTGGATTGAAGTTTGAAATTGCATTTGAAGTCCGTCCCAGAAGCAGTTCCGGAACCCTGGTCCACGGCCACAGTGTCAATGGGGAGTACCTAAATGTTCACATGAAAAATGGACAGGTAGTGTCTGAAAAATGTTTAACAATTTGTCTCATCTGACCTTGGATTCTAGATCTGAAGCAGATTTATTTCACAGAATTATTTCATCAATCTTTCCTAACTGAAAAGAAATATAGGAAAGCTATAACATGAAATGTAAATGTGGGCAATATTTGGATTCAGCTTCCTATGTTGAAAGTTGATTTGGTTAAAACAAAGAGTCATAAAAATATGGCAAAACTATCAAAAAAATCACTAATAACAACACAGTTTTAAGAGAAGAATGAGAAGAACTTTTTTTCACCAAATGGAATCAGCAAACATAACTATCAAAATCAACAAACACTAAAACATCTTTCTAAATATCTATAATATGTATGTATATCAGATATATGTATGTGTACTAGATATGTATATATACTATACATATTATTCTCAATTGATAGAAATAAAAAATTATGTTGTAATGCCACTTTCATCCTAAGATACTACTAAAGAATATTCATGGAAGTATTCAAATAAATATTAAGAAAAAAGTATATTTTCATTGATGCTGCTAACTTAACATAACAGATTTTTATTTGGGTTCTAGTACATTCTATTAAATTATATTGAGCCATCACAATAAAATGTATCCCTACTTGGTGTTTACTATTTGTTGGGTACTATTCTAAGCTTTACCTAGATTAACTCATTTAATCCTCCCAATTATCTCCATGATGTAGGTAACAGTATCGCTTATAATTTACAAACGAGAAAACTGGGGCAGAGAGTAAGTTAAATAGGAGACTGGCTGTCTAGCTTCAAAGTCCATGTTCTTCACCAATACTTCAACCTGCTTTGTATAACACACTCAATCTTTAGAAATTAAAGGGATTTATTCTATTTCTTATTGTCCCTCTCTCGCAATTTTCTCCCCTATGAAGTCACTTTGTTCTCTCCCCAAAGAGCACCCCCAGTTGAACCTATTTCTATAGGCTGCCAAAGACCCTTGTGTTCAAATTGCAAAGCTAATCATGTGTGAATATTTGTTGAAGTATTGCTTCACTGTGGTAAATTATTTAAGAAATTCAGTTTTATCACAATGAGGACAAACTAAATCATACAATGTGTCCTATCTTTTGCAGGTCATAGTGAAAGTCAATAATGGCATCAGAGATTTTTCCACCTCAGTTACACCCAAGCAGAGTCTCTGTGATGGCAGATGGCACAGAATTACAGGTGAGAAAACTGACTGCCCTGGGGAGCCTGCACACCCAACTGTAAGATTATGATCTGGCAGAACTTAGGCTATCACTTATATGATAGGTAATGCATGACAGTCTAAAAGTATCCAAGAAAAGAAAATCATGTTATTATACTATTATGTGTATACTGAATCCACATGTGATTTCAAAATATGAACGCTGCAAAATTGTGTTAAGGGGTTGCTTCAATAATGCATAACTTATAGGGCAAAAAAAAGTAGCACAAGAATATTCTAAATATTCTCCCTTTCTAAGGAAAATGTTACAGTAATCTCTTGGTTAGACATTGTTAGACATCATTGATGATTTTAATAATATAGAAGAAAGTGTGGGTTTTATTCTGGAATAAATAAAAGCAATTGCTGTGATAAATAGTCTTTCTCAGGTTAAAAATTCATCACTCCAGTGCCACTTATGACCAGTCTTTGCCCTGCATTTCAGTTATTAGAGATTCTAATGTGGTTCAGTTGGATGTGGACTCTGAAGTGAACCATGTGGTTGGACCCCTGAATCCAAAACCAATTGATCACAGGGAGCCTGTGTTTGTTGGAGGTGTTCCAGGTAAGTGTTGTTTAAAAAGGAAAAGTTCCCAATCCAAAAAACTGAGTTCTCACAATTGTTATTGTAGAATTGAGCCATGTGTTTTTATGATGCACCTAGTTACTCAAAGGATTTTATATACAGTGTTGTTTAAATGGAAAAGGCATAATAAAGTGACATGTAAGAACTAGACCCCAGCATTCCAGCCAGTGGCTATTACTCTCCCTTGCCATATTTGCTTATTTTTTTCTTTCCTTTCCCTTTTAAGTGCCCGCCACACACATACACACAGTGACACACATACTCTTATTTTATCTCTAACACAAAGAAAACTCATTGACTAACACTACAGTAGGATCTGAGAACTTTGGAGGATTAAGTTTGCTGTTAGTTGCTCCCCTTCCTCAGTAGGAAAAAATGCACAGTTCGGTCCATGATTAGTCTGAACTGCAAAAACAGCTGCAGACCATAAGTTGTTGTCCATTGGTAGTGACATTCCCTCAGAGAGGTTCCCAGCTGCAATTCTGTAAACATCATCAGTCACTGCTGCTGTCATCTGCCAAGAATGGTGTATAATCCCGGATGGTGACAGGACACTTATGGACAACACACAAACACCCCAATTGTTTTAAACCTGTGAAGCAAGGACCATGTCCTCATATTGAATGCATTTGTTTTTACACATTTCACTAACTTGGAAAACCTGAATGCTATGGCTGGGGAGTGGGATTTAAAAGGGAAATAACCCAGCTTTTGCAGCTGGAACTTGGTGGGGAGTTTTTAATTGACATATCATAGTTGTACATATTTTGGGGGTACATGTGATATTTTGATACCTGTATACAATGTGTAATGATCAAATCAGGATAATTGCAATATCCACCACCTAAAACATTTATCTTTTCTTTGTGTTGGTAACATTACAATTCTTCTCTTCTAGCTATTTTGAAATGCACAATAAATTATCCTTAACTATAATTTCCCTATTGTACTATGAAATTCTAGAAATTATTCCTTCTATCTAACTGTATTTTTGTATCCATTAACCAAGTTATTTTCATCTCCTTCTTCCCCCTTCCCTTCCCAGCCTCTAGTAACTACCAACTACTCTCTACCTCTCTCCATGAGATTTACTTCTTAAGCTCATGTATGTGAGTGAGGACACATGATATTTGTCTTTCTGTGCTTGGCTTGGTGGAGATTTTAATAATCTTCTAATAGATTATTTTTAAACTGACCCATAAAGACAGACAATGCTTTAAAGAAGAGAGCAAGAAGCACAGATAAAATTAAGCATCTGACCTTGGGTACTCCAAAAATAGTAACAACTAAGCACTCTTCTTTGTCTGAATTTTTCAAATACTAGTATTGACAATAATAGTAACCCGGTGTGAAAAAAAATATTTGAGACCCTCGCAAAGCAACTCTTCTCCTTTGTCTCCTGCTTCCACTCCCCTCTCCATTCCCCAGTCCTCTCCCTGTTCCTGACTTCAGCTTTGAAAGGATTCTGGCAAAGGCCAGCACTGCACTTCATGCAGGTGCAGCATGAAAAAGTCTCACATGAGTGCATATTTCTGCACATTGCTTCCCTCCAGAAATCACAACACAGTTTAAAATGTTTCACAGGTTCCCAAGAGCCTCCAGGATTAAATTCACCATAGCATGCAAGCTCCCTGATCATCTGTCTCCTCCTTGTCCCTGCCTTCGGGATCTCCCCACACCTTCTGGGACTTGCAGTTCCTAAATGTTCAACGATGGTATCTTTGCTCCGGGCCTTTCCATAAGGGAACTGGGCCTCAATTTCTGGGAAATGTTCTTCCTTTCCTCCCCTAGTACCTTTGTTAAGAAACAACTTCTCCTATTCCTCCCCATTCTAACTCCTATTGACCTTTAGGACTCAGCTCAGACTTTTACTTACAACACGCCCCTTTCCCCCTAGGATGTATACACATACTGCTGTTGTAGCACTTAGCACAGAATATTGTTGAAACTAAGAAGTGCATTCCTTGATGGCAGGGAACATGACTATATCCAACACACAGCATGGATTGTCTATTAAGCATTGTGCTAGGCTTTGGGAGGTGGACAAAACAAGCATGGCCCTCCCTCATGGAAGTTGGAGTATTTGTCCTTCACTATGCCACCCAACGTACTTACTACATCTTTCAAACAGATATTTCTCTTTGGTTTTTGTTTGTTTGTTTGCTTTCACAGTCTGATCCCAGCCTCACACACTGCCATCATCCCTCACTACAAGAGTTGCTAAGCCCTACAGACTGGACAGGCAAGATGTACCTAAAGCCAAATTCAGCCTGCCTGAAACACAGAATGAATAGCAAACTTTAGTTAATGAGCCAGCACAGGAGCTAGCAGGCCAGAAGGGCGTAACCACCAGCCCACTGCACCACTGCAGCTTTTAAGTCCATCTAAGAATTATGCCAGCAAGCCTAGAATAAAAGCAACTATACTTTAAGATGAAATGTAATTAATTATATCATTTTGAGCTGTTCAAGATTAATTCCACTAAAATCACATCAGAAACCAGGCATTAAGAGGATAGCTAAAGAAATTAGGCTAAATAAAACCCCTAAATGCACTGAATTCTCCAAGAATACCACTCAGAACTCTGGTGACTCATTATTTCTATCCATAAAAAGCTAACGCATAAAATTCCTAGAACTACACACCAAAAAAGTCAACTTTAGTGTGTGATAGTTTTAAAATCAAAATTAAAAATCAAAGAATTTTTTTTCTGCCGGACATGGTGGCTCGCGCCTGTAATCCTAGCACTTTGGGAGGCCAAGGTGGGTGGATCACTTGAGCTCAGGAGGTGGAAACCAGCCTGGCCAACATGGCAAAACCCCATCTCTATTAAAGATACAAAAAATAGCTGAGTGTGGTGGTGAGTGCCTGTAATCCCTCCAGCTACTCAGGAGGCTGAGGCAGCGGAATCGCTTGAACCCAGGAACTGGAGACTATAGTGAGCACAGATCACACCGCTGCACTCTAGCCTGGGCCACAAAGTGAGACTCTGTCTCAAAATAATAATAATAATAAAATAAAAAGGTTTTGTTAATGTAGCCCACCCATGGGTCTAACCATTCATTCCTCTACTGAAAATCCTGCATTATTTGTATATAGTCAAGCATTCAACCTGGGAAACATTCTCTCTAAAAATTATGCATTAATTTCATTAATCAATTACTTAGGATCCTAGGGCACTGTACTGTCACTACCTACAATTAATTGTATGGTGAATTATTCAGACCACTAACTGCTACATGAATTATTACCTCCAGATGATTTCCCTCATAAGCCAAAGGATGGTAAGCTTGGGCAGAATCAAAACCTAAGTTCTAAGTCAGGTCTCCAAAGTAAGCAGAAGTATTAGATGTTTCTACCTCTTATAAGCATTCCTGTTCACTCATTTCTTACCCAAATGATGAAGTACACTGAGCAGGCTTGAAGAATAGTCACACTAATCTAGAGACAATAAAGGGAATTGATCTCTCAGGCCCCTTCCAAATCTAAAACTTTTATGATTATCATTCTAAATATAAAATGCTATTTCCATGATTTATTTTCAGTACACAGCTTCTGCATATTCTTACCCTACATTGCTTAGAAAACTTATTACAGCTGCTTGCTGATGTTTCATTTGCTGTTCTATGTTCTTTCCTGAATTACTGATTTCTAAGTGTTTTCCATCCTTTATCTGCTACTGCTCACATAGCTGTTTGTAAATAATAATAAGCTTTGGCTAAATGGATTTTAATTTTATATTTCTAAGCTCTCTAAATCGCTTTAAATTATATTGCTTCTATCATCCTAACACATTTAATTGTGTCTGTACAATTAATAAGCATAAGGCTTCTTCTAGATTTCTAATTAAGAGGAGAAAGTTCCCTTGGCATACCACAGGGCACTTGTGCCCACACAAAGACTAAGCGAGTTATCATTACCCTATTTATAGTTCTTAAACCCTGAGCTCAGAAAAATTGAATCTTAGTTTATTCGAATTCATTACTTTCTCATTATATTTTATGAACAGGCAAAAATGTAGAGGCTTAAGGGTGAAGGGTAATGAATTAAACAGAAATATTAACCAAGTCCAAAAATAGTGTGGAAGCTAAAATTTCTTTCCTCCTTCTTAGCAAAGTACACATTATAAGTGAGGCCCAGGTGAAATTAACTTTAAAAAACATAGGTAGATCATGAAAATTCACTGCTGAGGCTTTACATGTAAGTGGTAAATTTCAGCCTTGAAAGACAGCTACAATACACAGAAATGTGATCATGGAAAACATGGCAAAACGTTAAAATTACCACATGTCCATAGGACTTCACAAGCAAATAATGTTACTGAGAAATGAGTCAATTATAACTATGTTCTATTTTTGAAATGTAAATCATATTGATGATATGAGCAAATATGTATACTTTTACCAGGAAGTAATATTTGGGCTTGGAATACCTCAATTGCAATCTTTGTTTTTATTTCTTGCTCTTTTCAGAATCTCTACTGACACCACGCTTGGCCCCCAGCAAACCCTTCACAGGCTGCATACGCCACTTTGTGATTGATGGACACCCAGTGAGCTTCAGTAAAGCAGCCCTGGTCAGCGGCGCCGTAAGCATCAACTCCTGTCCAGCAGCCTGACATGACAGAGCACAGCTGCCCAAATACAAAGTTCTTTAGAGCACTGAAAGAAACACAAAGCCAGCCAGGAGGAACAGTAACTCTTCCTTCGGGTGGAAGCTTTCATCGAGTTGAACAGGACTTAAACGAATCATCAGGGACCGGATATTTCTTATTTCTCATTTGGATTCTTAACCTTGAATCCAAAGTGTCTGCAATGGACAACAATTGAAGGAGTGGCAAACTTACTTGTATTGAGAGCACACGCAATTCCTACTGGTGAAATTACTGTTTCTGTTTCTAATAAAATAGAAGGGATTCCAAATAAACACTTGCACACATTTTTGAAGTGCGGCTAGATTCTCAGATTCACCTTTCTTCCAGGGAAGATAACTTTCAATCTATATAAAAATCTCTGTCCTAAAACTACCTTTCTTTATTTTGAAGAGACTTACTAACTTACATATAATCTAAATTAGATGATAGATTTGTTTTTAGCCCTTTTGTTTGGTCTATCAGTATAAGAAGAATATTTTAGGTTTATAGCTGAAGTTATCAAGGTTTAATAAAGTAAATTTCTAACAGAATACTAGAAAAATGCAGTATAATTTAATTTTTTCTAAATAAGAAACACAGGAAATCAACTACTTTTTCCCCTTCCTTATCTCCTTAAAAGAAAAATAAAATTGTACATGAGAGGAGGCTTCTGTAGGTTATTATTACCATTATTGTGTGTTCTATGGGAATCATTGAGGATATCACAGCAAAAACAGTAGGACAAAATCATAAAATTCAATTTAAGAGTACACAAGTCCTTTTATTAAAAGTTTGCTCCTAGCCTGGGCAACATAATGAGATCCCATCTCTGCAAAAAAATTTGTACATGGGCATACACCTGTAGTCCCAGCTACTTGGGAGGCTGAGACGGGAGGATCGCTTAAGCTCAGGAGTTCAAGGCTGCAGTGAGCTATGACTGCTGACTGTACCTGCACTCCAGCCTGGGCAACAGAGTGAGATCCTGTCTCAAAAACAAAGTGTGCTCTCCACATACCTGCAACACAACTAGTCTTATTTCTAAAATGTTATAATCTTTTTTCCAAGTAGCTACATTAATATAGTCTAGAAAAAAATGGACTTGAATAGCTGGTAGAATATTAAAATATAGAAATGAAATAAAAGAATTATATCTAAAAACCTCAACTCAGAAGACAGAAAAAGAGAAAATAGGCCCTGATATCAACAGAATTAACAATACATAAAAGGAGTAACTTTTGAGGGGAGAGGATATAAAATATTTTGAGGAATTACCAAGGGGAATAAAACAATGTTACCTTGAAATGATTATATATATATTACATATTGGTATATATGTCCATACCTACCTATATCCCCTGCTACCCTTCTGTCTGAAATATACAAATAATGATAATGTTGAAGATATCGATAAACATAGCTAATGTCTGTTCATAGAGGACTTACTAAGTGCCAGCCACCATGATAAGCTAAAGTTAATTATTTTATTTGTTCATTCCACTAATCCTTTGAGGTAATATTTGCAGCTCAGATAACTCGCCCACTGTCATTCAGCTGGACCAAGAAGCCGGTAGTCAAAACAAGACTGCCTGCCTCCAGGAGCAGCATGATTGTCACCTTGGTTCCCTGCCTCCAAAGACTATCTGCCTTCCAGCTGACCAGAGCCAGAGAGGTACCATAAAGTAGTGAGCTGGCAGGGTCTCACTGGGAAAATCAAGAGGGCACTTGCTTTGACTCATCTAGAAGGGCAGCAGGTTTCTAGGGGCCAATCCCTTCTTTAGGACTGGGTGAGAGAAACCATTTCAGCACAACTGGCAGTGCAACACCATGATGCCCCCAACACCACACACACAAACCTGCAGCAAATGGCACACACAGAGTCTATGTAGAGTATAGAAAGCCAACTGAACATGCCCGTCCAAAATGTGAGCACCATAAATTTTCATCTGTGTTATTCACTGATATGTTGTAAGAGCTGAGACCAGTGCCTGGCAGGTAAGTATATGCTCATAACGAGAGCATTTAAAGGAAGCCCAGTTTCCATAAAGTTATCCCCTCACCTCACCTCC
This sequence comes from Homo sapiens, assembly GCF_000001405.40. NCBI lineage: Eukaryota > Metazoa > Chordata > Mammalia > Primates > Hominidae > Homo > Homo sapiens. The sequence goes on along the minus strand of NC_000006.12, from coordinate 112,107,355 downwards.
TAAGGCAATCACTTGACTTGTAAATTTCCTGGAAGTCTGAGAAAAGGGAAAAATGGACAGTGACTTCTCCATCTGAGTTCGACTGAGCCCCAGAAATCTCTGGCTTGCCTGAGGGTGCAGGGAGAAGCCTGAGGGAGAGAGGGAGGTGTGGGAGAGAAGCCTGAAGTCCTCAGAGAGACAAAAAGCACTCCCTCAGGTCTCTCTGATAACCTTTTAAGTCCTGAAAAAGTAGGTAAGAAGTTTGGCTACCATGAATAGGACCACTCAGTTTCTAAACATCACAGCACCCAAGGACACCATTCCCAGAGAAGACTGCTAGAGGACAGGATGAGGTGGGCACAAGGAAGATGAGATTAGGGGTGAAAGCCTGATGATCTGCCAAAGCATGGGACAGGAAGGCAGAAACGTAAGTGGAATGTAGCATGACCCTAGCAGCCGGAAGAAACAGTTGAATCTCTCAAGGAACTTCTCAAGTGTAGTGATGGTGGCTGCTCAGGCTTGAGTCCCTCACCAGCCCAGCCAGACCATAGTTTACAGAGAGCTAAACCAGCAACCTCAACAGAACATGTTGTCAAATGATCCTGTCTAAAAACTGTTGATTAATGAGCTGATGTCAGCCAGATGGAAGGTTATGAAAGCATGGTGTCACCAGGTTGCCCTAGGACCTATTTGTAATATTCCCTTACAGAAAGCTTACACCTGGAAATGTAAGAAATGTGGGAAGGCAATTTATTCAGGGTAAAGGCCTTGGAAGACTAAAGAATTAAAGAATTCATACTGCTGAAAACTCTATTTATCCTTTTAATGTTTTTTTTTTTTTACTTTAAATTTTAGGGTACAATGTGCAGGTTAGTTACATATGTATACATGTGCCATGTTGGTGTGCTGAGCCCATCAACTCGTCATTTAACATTAAGTATATCTCCTAATGCTATCCCTCCCCACTCCCCCCTCACCACAACAGGCCCCAATGTGTGATGTTCCCCTTCCTGTGTCCATGTGTTCTCATTGTTCAGTTCCCACCTATGAGTGAGAACATACGGTGTTTGGTTTTTTGTCCTTGCAATAGTTTGCTGAGAATGATGGTTTCCAGCTTCATCCATGTCTCTACAAAAGACATGAACTCATCATTTTTTATGGCTGCATAGTATTCCATGGTATATATGTGCCACATTTTCTTAATCCAGTCTATCATTGTTGGACATTTGGGTTGGTTCCAAGTCTTTGCTATTGTGAATAGTGCCACAATAAACATACGTGTATATGTGTCTTTATAGCAGCATGTTTTATAATCCTTTGGGTATATATCCAGTAATGGGATTGCTGGGTGAAATGGTCAAATGGTATTTATATCTCAAGATTCCTGAGGAATCACCACACCGACTTCCACAATGGTTGAACTAGTTTACAGTCCCACCAACAGTGTAAAAGTGTTCCTATCTCTCCACATCCTCTCCAGCACCTGTTGTTTCCTGACTTTTTAATGATCGCCATTCTAACTGGTGTGAGATGGTATCTCATTGTGGTTTTGATTTGCATTTCTCTGATGGCCAGTGATGATGAGCATTTTTTCATGTGTCTTTTGGCTACATAAATGTCTTCTTTTGAGAAGTGTCTGTTCATATCCTTCGCCCACTTTTTGATGGGGCTGTTTTTTTCTTGTAGATTTGTTTGAGTTCATTGTAGATTCTGGATATTAGCCCTTTGTCAGATGAGCAGATTGCAAACATTCTCTCCCATTCTGTAGGTTGCCTGTTCACTCTGATGGTAGTTTCTTAAATCTGTAGTGATGCCCCTACTATCATTCCTGATTTGATAATTTGTGTCTTTTTATTTCCTGATAATTCTACCTAGAGGTTTATCAATTTTATTGATCTTTTTTAAGAACCAGCTTTTGTTTCTATTGATTTTCTCTATTATTTATCTGCTCTTATATCATTGTTTCTGCTCTTTATTACTTCTTTCTTTCTGCTTATTTTGGATTTAGTTTGCTCATTTTTTTCTGTTTTCTTAAGGTAGAAGCTTAGATCATTGCCTTGAGATGTTTCTTCTTTTCTAATGAAATAATTTATTGCCTTAATTCTCTCTAAGCGCTACCCATGCATTTTGATATGCTGTGTTTTTGTTTTCATCCAGTTCAAAGCACTTTCTAATTTATTCAGTCATTTCTTCTTTTATTCATGGGTTATTCAGAAGTGTATCACTTAGTATTCCAATATTTGGAGATTCTCTAGGTATCTTTCTATTGTTAACTTATAATTTAATTCTACTGTAGGACATACTTTGCCTACCCTTCCATACTTTGAATACTTTTCAATTTATTGAAACTTGTTTTGTGGCCTACAATATGTTCTACTTGGTAAATTTTCCATGTGCACTTGAAAAGAATATACAGTATTCTGCTGTTCCTAGGTAAAGTGTTCTATATCAATTGTCATGTCCTCTATATCCCTACTGATTCTGTTTACTTGTTCTACCAGCTGAAATCCTGAACTACAAATGTGGAGTTAGTTCTTCTTTCAATTGCATCAGTTTTTGCTTCATGTACTTTGAAGCTCTGGCATAAACATTTAAGATTGTTAGGTATTCTTGATGTCTTGACCCCTTTATCATTATGAATTGTCTCTCTTTACCTCTGTAAATTCTTTGCTCTGAAATCTTCTTGTCTATTATTAACATAGCTACTCCAGCTTTCTTCAGATTAATGTCTGCATGGCATATCTATTTCTATCCTTTTATACTTTTAATTTATCTGAGTCTTAGTATTTAAGGTGGGCTCATGTAGACAGCTCATAGTTGCATCTTCTTTTCTAGCCAATCTGATAATCTCTGCCTTTTAACTGAAATTTAGACCTTCTGTAATTAATGCAAATATCAATATCATATGGTTTAAATGTATTATCTTTGTTCCTTCTTTCCTCTTTTCCTGTCTTCTTTAGAATTAAATGAGTAATATTTATTACATTTACTCTCCACCATACAATAATTAGAGCTACTGTATTAGCTCTAACTCTGTTTGTTAGGTTTTAGAGATAACTCAAGTTTTACTTCATCAGTCTATTGTCAAATACCATTATGTCATTTCACAAATAGTCTAAGAATTACAAAAGTAAACTTCTATTTTCCTCCTCCTTTGTTTTTTTGCTAGTATTATACATTATACTTTTACATAAAATATCATTGCCATAGTTTGCCTTAAACGGTTATCTATTAGTGCTTAAAAAATTTTAAAGCCTATATATTTATCCACATATTTTCCATTTCTTGTGTTCTTTCTTTCTAAAGATCCAAATTTCCATCTAGTACCATTTTCTTTCTGCCTGAAAAACTTCCTTGAACATTTTTTATAGTGTAGATCTGCTAGTGATTAATTCTCTCAGCATTTGTTTGGCTGAAAAGTCTTTACTTCACCTTCATTTTTGAAAGATACTTTAAAGATACTGCTCCATTGCCTTTTTGCCTTCATATCTTCTGATGAAAAGTGTGCTCTCATTCTTATGTTTCTTTCTCTGAATGCATGTGTCATTTACTATCAAGTTTTAAGATTTTTCTCTTCAATTTAATTAGGACATGTCATTGTTTTGTTTTCATGTTGCTTCTCCTTAGGGTTGGTTAAGATACTTGGATCTGTGAGTTTATAGTTTTCATCAAATTGGGGGAAAATTTGACCATTATTTCTTCAAATATTTTTCTATCCCCCTCCATTCTTCTGAGAAGCCACTTACATATATATTAGACTGCTTGATAATGAAACACAAAACTTATACGCTTTTTTCTTTGTACTTAATGTTGGATAATTTATATAGCTATATATTCAAGTTCATTAATATTTTCTTCTCCAGTATCTAATCTCTTAATCCTATTCAGTGTATATTCTTACTTCAGATATTGTATTTTTCATCTCTAAAAGTTCTATTTGGGTCATTTTTATACCTTCCATTTATTTCTTCATTATGTTTTTATCTACTACTTGAACGATATTTATGGTAGCTGATCTACTGTATTTGTCCATTTTCACACTGCTATAAAGAACTACCTGAGACTGTGTAATTTAGGAAGAAAGGAGGTTTAAATGATGCAGTTCCACAGGCTTAACAGGAAGCATGGCTAGGAGGCCTCAGGAAACTTACAATGGCAGAAGGCAAAGGGAAGCAAGCACATCTTACCATGGTGGAGCAGGAGACACAGAGGGAAAAGAAGGAAGTGCTACACGCTTTTAAACAACCAGATCTCATGAGAACTCATTCACTATTATGAGAACACCAAGGGGTGTTCTCCATATCCATGGAGAATACTCCATATTCATATCCATATAGGTGTTCACCATAATCCAGTCACCTCCTATCAGGTCCCTCCCCCAACACTGGGGGTTACAATTCAACATGAGATTTGCGTTGGGACGCAGAGCCAAACCATATCATTTACTAATGCCATCATCTGTCATTCTCAGTCTATTACCATTGACTAAAGATTCTCTTGACTGTGGATTGCCTTTTCCTTTTTTTTTTCATGCCTGGTAACTTTTTATTAGATGCTAATCATTGTGAATGTTACACTTTTGGTGCTGGATTTTATTGTAGTTTTTATTTTTATTTTGATGGGTTTTCTCCCCTTGGATGCACTCAAGTTACTTGAAATCAGTTTGATCCTTTCAAATGTTGCTCTTAAACTCTGTTAGGGCAAGTCCAGAGTAGTCTTCAGTCTATTCCCATCTCCCTAACCTAACCCTAACCCTACTTTGCCAATATTTTGCTGAAGACTCTACTCAATGATCCATGTACTATATTAAAAGATCCACTATTGTTGAAACACATATTCTACCCAGCCTTGTATGAGCTCTGAGGAATTTTTCTTTGTTTTTCTTTTTTTTTGAGACAAAGTCTCACTCTGTTGCCTAGGCTGGAGCACAGTGATGCAATCTCAGCTCACTGCAACCTCTGCCTCCTGGGTTCAAGCTATTTTCCTGCCTCAGCCTCCCAAGTAGCTGGAATTACAGGCACCTGCCCATCATACCCGACTAATTTTTGTATTTTTAGTAGAGTCGGGGTTTCACCATGTTGGCCAGGCTGGCTTCGAATGCCTGACCTCAGATAATCCATCCACTTCGGCCTCCCAAAGTGCCAGGATTACAGGCATGAGCCACCAAGCCCAGCCCTCTGAGGAATTTTTCATCACTCCTTTCTCCTTCCTGTCATTTTTTCTCCAGCCTCAGGCAATTTCCTGCCTCGATTTTGTTTTCTTCCTTTAAGGAATGTTCTATTTTTATTTGGCAGATAAAATGAGGTTACTTAGAGATCATCTTGAGTCTCTCAAGGCTTATTTTTAAGCTTTCTTAAAATTGGTATACATTAGCCTTTAGTCTAGCTCCAGTTTGGATCTCTTATGAAAGTACAACCTTTCTGAGTCTCTACTCAATGCCCCACATGTTCAAGATCTTTCCACTTTAACTGGTTGGCATTCAAACTTCTCCCAGCTCAGTGTGAGCTCTGAGAGTTTTTCCTCTTATAACTCCCTGGCAGTTTTTCTTTTCACCTAATGCAACACATATGCATCTACGTCTATTTAATTATAAGTTAATAAACTTTTCATTTTAAAAGGCTTATATGTATATTTTCAGAAGCAGCAAGGTAGACAAAAAACACTGGTGAAAATTGTATCTGATCCTAAAGTCAGTCTTTTGGAGAAGACAATTTCATTAGATGGGTGCTGACAGCCATCGAGAGAAAAGGAAAGCAGACTGAGTTTCTGGGGACTACTGCAAGAAGAAAAAGAGAACATAGAGAGCTGGCCTCATCCTCAAAAGTGATCCCACATCTAACCAAATTAAAAAATCCACATGAGGTTTCTCAATACCTACTGTAAACAATTTATCAAGATACCTGGTTAGCACTTCGTGTACAAAGTGATAACCAGACGTCATTTTTCTTGGAAAAATCGGGGTTGGAACCACAGCTTTGACTTCATTATCAATATATTTAACCAACAATCTGGGCTCCTCTATGGAAGTGGCTTAAATGCCTTGCAGATTAACCATGGACTAAGAACTTTCTTTGATCTTGAATACTGTTCCAAAACACACAACCCCAGGGCTCCATTTCTCACCCAATATAATCATTCCTGAGCAGAGCATTATCAAATAGTATCAAGCCAGGAAACTGGCTTAGGGTACTAAGGTGAAAGGATTTAGCCAAGTAGCAACCCAAATATGAACAAGGAAATGAGCTTAAGACACATTAAGCATTTAGAATAAGCCCCACCTGACTGATGACCATGGTGGATTAAGCTTCATCTTTAATTATTGATATTAATGATCTACTGTGAGCAAGATGATCTCTAAGGTACTTTCTAATTGTGAAATATTATTCTGTCTTATGTATCAGACATAACTGATAGCCTATCACTACATGTGCTTTACTGACTACATTTCTGTCGGTCTTACTAAAAGTAAAGAGCTCAACTGTTGTCATCATCTAAAGGTGCCACCACTTTTATTTGTTTACCAGATCACCAGATGATACTGGTCCATTACCCTTGACCTAGTCAGACCTTGACAAAAGACTTAATGGTGCTATTTAGGATGCATTTCCTTGCTGCTTTGTGCAGGTGGCTTTCTCGTTGTTGCATAAACAGTGACGGGAACATCAGTTATTGTCAGGCAATGACTTCCAGGGCACCTCCGGAGTTGCCTGAATAAAAAAGCAGATGACATGTAGTTAGATACTAAAAAGAGGAAATATTTTTTTTCAGAGCACCAAAGTTTGATTGTATATTTAACTGTTTTAAATCACTTTGAAATCTCTGAATGTCATACAATGAGTACAACATGGTGATGCTGACGAGGCACCCATTTTAGATGGATATAACAAAGAAATTGTGGCCTCTGACGTACATATTTAATCACAGGAAATTCATATATTCAAAGATAATCCTCCGGATGTTGATTTTGAAAGGTATGCAATGATTGCTAAATGGCAAAACAAAAGTGCATAGTTACAAACATAAGTGACAATACCGTGGCAATTCATGTGCATTTGCACCCTAAATCACCTTAGTTGAGTGATTTCAAAACAAGAATGTTTGTGGTAAAATACAAAACTGAACATAGTATTCCACATACTGTTCAAATGTTGATAGAATCTCAGATTTGAAATGGCCCTTAAATGACACCTAGTTCAAAAATACATCGAATATATGAATTTCCTTTCCAACATTCCCACCAAATAGTCATTCAGCCTTTAGCATTTCTAAAGATCGGGAGCTCACTACTTCCCAAAGCAGCCCATTTTATCCTTGACTAACTCCGATTTTTAAATACCTACACCTGTTAAACTTAAATCTGTGTTCCCAAAATTTCCAAGCCATGAGAATCTAACAATGTAGTATTTAAGGTTTTGCTATGGTAAACATCAGAGAAATGGAACTAATCATTCTGCAAAAACACTTTGTCTCACAGAATCTTCAGATTCTATATCACTCTTTCTGCCAAAGGTCGCAGCAAAGCCAAAGTGATACTAATCAAAGCCAAAGTGACATTAACTCTGAGGTCTAAGTCTTTTTCATATTTTTAGCCTTATGCCTAGCACAGTGCCCTGTGCATACTAGCACTGAAGTTTTGTTTGTTTAATTGAATGTTATCTAATCGTGAAGCTATCAACAAAACAATCTATTAGGTTGGTGCAAAGGTAATTGTGTTTTTGTTGTTGTTGTTAATAGCTAAAAATGTACCAGAAAGACAGAGAATGAATTGCTCTATCATCAAGACTTACAGAAATACAAAATACAGACTCTACACTAAGGAAAACTGGGCTCTGTTAATACGCTAACTTAGAAACAACAATGTTTTTGAATTGCTGAGAGTTTTTTCTTGCTAATAATGAATATCAGCTGAAGGTTGTATTGATGATAGCCAATACATATCTCCTCACTTGTGAGGACAGAAGACTTTACCTGGTTGGTGACATCTCCTTCCCATTACAGGCAGCACTGGAGCTCAGCCCAGGTTCCAGCTCAATTGAAGAATCTCCTCCTTCCACTGGAAACCTCCTTGGCTGGGTTCCAAATTGAAAAGGCATACTTCACTGAAAACCTAGATCGGAAAGTTAAAATATTGAAAACCTAGATTAGAAAATTAAAATATTGGGGGTGGAGATAGATTGTCTTCAAAGACTTGCATGGAATGTTTTAAAGAGTCAGAGTCTCACTATGTTGGCCAGGCTGGAGTGCAATGGTTATTCACCAGTGCAATCATAGTGCACTACAATTTTGAAACCCTGGGCTTAAGTGATCCTCCTGCCTCAGCCTCCTGAGTAACTGGAACTACAGGTGCACACAACGTGCCTGCCCTTGGAATTTTTAATATTACTATTTTGTTATAGACATACAGAAACATTCTGAATGTTATTCTATTTTTAAATAGCTAAAAATAGTGTTTAAAATACTGTATTTCACAACTATCCCTTATGTACAATTTAAGTCTTGCAAAAAATACAAAATAGCCACCAAGCAACGCAAGGAAAATACTCTATGGTTAACATAACTGAAGACCATTTCTGCCGTGTGAAAACAAAATTCTGTATGCCTTTAAATGGTTGTTGCAATCAACAAGCACCTCTCTACCTATCTATGCCCTTCTCTTCCTTTGGAGCACAGTTTCACATTCACCAAGATATCTTTAGCTAATCCTTCAGTTCCAGGGGATTATTCATTTCCCCACTGCTTCTCTATAGTCACAGTATAGTCCCTGGCTCTGGCCCTTCCCAACTATGTGATCTTCAGTCAAGGTACTTATCTATATTTCTCAAGGGTACATTGGTGATAATATTTTCTACTTCTAGGATAATAGTGAGGATTAAGTAAGGTAATACACGTAAAGTGCAGTGCCTAACACACAGTAAGTGCTCAGTAAATGTTAACTATTATTATTTAGCAGGTACTACTGAGCATTAGTAAGTATATATAAATGTCTGCAAGTATACCTGAGATATGAAATTTATTATGAAATACACACACAAACACATATAAATGAACTCCTTACTGCCTACCTTGGAACACTTCCCTACCCCCTGCTCCCACCCTTCACTTGCTATGGCCAATGCAATCCATTAAGTCTGAATTTACATTTTACTTACTCTATAACTTACTTTTATAACCCCCATTATCTAAGTTTTCATAGCAACCTTTATTTCTCCTTCGTAACAGTTATCCTTCTAATTCAGGGTTTCTCAACCATGACACTATTCACAGCTGGGATCAGATAGTTCTTAGCTGGGGAGGGAGGATACTGTCCTGTGCACTGTAGGATGTTTCGCAGCATTCAAGGCCTTTACCCACTGGATGCAAAGAGTACCCCTCTCCCAAAATTGTGACAGCCCAAAATGTCTATAGACATTGTCAAATGTCCCCTGGTGGGAGAGAGAGGCAAAACTGCCCACTGTTGAGAAACACTACCCTCATTTTTTGTAAATGTTTAATATCCCCCCTCATTCCAAGTCTGTCTTTGTCATCCCTGAATACTTAATACCTAGAACAGTGCTTGTCACACAGTGGACATTTAATAGCTCTACCCTGAAATAACTTGCATGTATTCAACTATTAGTACACAATGTATTCAACTATTAGTACACAATGTTTTCAACTATTAGTACACAATGTATTCAACTATTAGTACACAATGTTTTCAACTATTAGTACACACTGTTTTCAACTATTAGTACACAATGTATTCAACTATTAGTACACAATGTTTTCAACTATTAGTACACAATGTTTTCAACTATTAGTACACAATGTTTTCAGCTATTAGTACACAATGTTTTCAGCTATTAGTACACAATGTATTCAACTATTAGTATACAATGTATTCAACTATTAGTACACAAAGGGTAGGAAAAATTTAAAATGGTGCAACTATTTCTTATGCCTAGTACAGTATTCTATGCCTAAAAGTGAATGTTTATTGGTGTTAATAATAAAACTAAATTAAGGTTTAAAAATTTGAATATGATAACTTTTATAGACTGTCTCAATATCAAGAAAAAAGTGTTTCGCTCAATGATGATTTAGTGAAACCATAATAAACTCTGTGGTTTAGTATAACTACCTATCTATGCAGGTATTAACATTTAGCTAATTTGATCAAGGATAAATAGACTTACCAAAAGAGGCTGAGTCTGATTCCTGTAGAGGTGAATAAATCAATGCTTTCTACTGGCCTTTCCACAGAAGGCTGGAATTGCCAAAGGAATGATGATCAAATGTTCCGGTGACACCCGGAAATTATGACATCAGGAGATTCTTTCACATAGTTTCCTACCTGCTAAAGAATCAAACATCTCAATGCATAGCTCCAACAACAAGCTGAGGCTTAGCTAAAAATTTTCTCTAAAGCTTTTTGGAGAGTTTCATTCTTGTTTTTACTGGCTTATTTCCCTACAATATTAGTATTTTCATCCATGAGTGGGGACCTACAGTCTAATCCACCTGTAGTAAATCAGAATTGAGATTCTTCTCATTTTATATCCTGTTTTCCTCATTCCCTTTCTCTCCCAGACCTTCTCTTATAACATCCCAAATAAATCCCATCTGTCTACATCCTCATCTCACTCCAATATCCTCAAACCCAAATTGTACCTTTACAAATTTCTCTATAACTCTTACATGGGATTCTTTACACCCTCTCTCTAATGCCTGGACTAACTTTATTTTTTTTTCCTGTTTCCTCAAGAGAGTCTTCAAATTCCCAAATGGCTGGAATAATTACAATTGTGAAAGGAAGAATACATCTTTTTTGTTGTTGTTGTTGAGACAGAGTCTCGCTCTGTCACCCAGGCTGGAGTGCAGTGGTGCTATCTTGGCTCACTGCAAGCTCTGCCTCACCTGTTCACACCACTCTCCTGCCTCAGCCTCCCAAGTAGCTGGGACTACAGGCACCCGCCACCACACCCGGCTAATTTTTTCTATTTTTAGTAGAGATGGGGTTTCACCGTGTTAGCCAGGATGGTCTCGATCTCCTGACCTCGTGATCCGCCCGCCTCGGCCTCCCAAAGTGCTGGGATTACAGGCGTGAGCCACCGCGCCCGGCCGAAAGGAAGAATACATCTTGTACTGTCCTCATTATTCTGTTCCCTGAGCCCTGGGCTGCTTCTCTGCTCATTTCTCTAACTGCTCTCCCTCTCCCAACTCATTCTTGGCTTCTAGATCAATAGCCCACCTCATGAACTTCTCCTCTACTCAGTAATGTTTAGTTTAACCCTTATACCAGAACATAACTCTTCAGCTAAGCAGTTTTTCAATTTTCATATCCGATGACTAAACTATTAAATGTTAGTGAGCATTTTTACCACTGTTGTGTTTTCATATGACTCAAGTTATAGAAAACTGGCATTTTACATAAGAATTAACTTGATGTTGGATACAATCTTACCTCCACCTTCTTTTTCTTACTAGGGTACTATCTGTGAATAAGTTGATCACCATTTCAGCTTGGAAAAATAACTGACGGTGTCACAGTCACACAAACAAATAATTGCTGGCCATTGTGAGCTAAGGTATCATTAGGACCTAAACATTTGGTCCTTAGGATGGCAAAAAATGTAATAGTTTACATGTTTGAGAGGTGGTAGCAGTGGGGAGAATGATGGGTTTTAGCATCAGAATTAGGTTAGAGGTTTTTTTTTTTCTTTTTTTTTTTTTTTGGTTTTTTTTTTTTTTTTTTTTTTTTTGAGACAGGGTCTTGCTCTGTCATCCAGGCTGGAGTGCAGTGGCATGATCATGGCTGACTGCATGCAGCCTCGACCTCCTGGAATCAAGCAATCCTCCTGCCTCAGCATCTCAAGTAGCTGGGACTACAGGTGCACACCACTATGCCCAGCTAATTTTGTATTTTTTTGTAGATAGAGGGTTTTACCATGCTGCTCAGGCTAGTCTCAAATTCCTGGGCTCAAGTGATCCACCCACCTCACCCTCCCAAAGTGCTAAGGTTACAGGCATGAGCCCACTGTGCCCAGCCAGGTTTGAATTTTGACACAATGTTAGCTCTGAGATTTTAAGCAAATCACTAAAAGTTTGTCTGTAAAATGGTATTAATTCCTACCTTACAGAGTTGTCGTGAGGAATTAAAAACAATCTAACATGTATAAAGCCAATAACTGGGACACAAGAATTCAATCAGCACTACTTCCTACATATTTTTGTGTCATTCTTGAAATCAGAGTATTGAGACACTGATTTCACCTTTTAGTCATGGATATATATGAAGTAAAATATCTGTAAGTGGGGTATTCTTAAAATCCTGTAATTTACCATTTTAACTAGTCCATTTGGCATACCATGCTTCTTTAGAATGGGTGATACAATGAAACAAACCAAACAGTAGTCTTAATGATGAAACTTTACAACATTAGAATGATACCTCAGAAGACAAAAGGAATTTGAGTCTCCAGCATATTTTCATAAAGCAATAGATAAACAAGAGCAATGCAAATGGTGAATAAAAAGATGAAGTATCCAAATACCCCCTTAAGTATCACAAGCTCAAGAGTAATAGTCTTTCAATTCTCAAGATATTAATTCATGAGATGCAGAAAATGAGTGATATTTGAACTTGTCATGTTCTAAGAAAAAAAGACCCATGGACTTCATTCATTCATTCATTTAATGAATATTTGCTGAGAATCCACCATGAGCCAGGCATGTGTTAAGTGTTAAAGATAAAAGATTAAGCAAAAACAAACACAGTTCCTGTTGTGGTAGAGTTTGTAGGTTACGATAGGATTTGTTTTAGTCTAGGATATTTAATCTAAATCTAAGAGATGGGGGGCATTAATTAGGTGGAAATGAGTGGGAGACAAAAACATTGACACAGTTGAGGAGGGGGCAAAGAGGAAAACAGCATGTGGAAAGGTCATGCTAGTAAAGACAATAAAAAATCTGAAAGGCCAGCATAACCACAGCATGGAAAACAGAAAATAAATGGAGTCTGAGACATAAGCACAGGCCAAATCACGCAGGAGCAAAAACTCAAGTTAAAATTTTAGACTTTATCTTATGAACAAGGAAGCCTATCAAATAATTTTAATTTCTCAGGACACATATTTAGGTTTCATTGATTTTTCTCTATTTTCTATTTACTATTTATTTTATTTCCACTCCAATCTTTATTATTTCTTTTCTTCTGTCTACTTTGGGCTTAATTTGCTTTTCTTTTTCTAATTTCTTAAGGTAGAAGCTTAGGTCATTAATTTTAGTGCTTTCTTCTTTTCTAATGTAAACATTTAATTCTATAAATTTCCATCAAAGCACTCCTTTAGCTGCATTCCACAAATTTTTTAATTTTGTATTTTCATTTCCTTCAGTTAAAATTTTTTTGCTTTTTCTTCTTTGACCTATGGGTTATTTACAATTATATTGTTTAATTTTCCAATATTTAGGAATATTCTACTTTTCTGTTACTGATTTCTAATTAGGTTCCATTTTTGTTAGAGAACATTCTTTGTATCACTTGAATCCTTTTAAATTTATTTAGACTTGTTTTTATAGCCAGAATATAAACTGCCTTGGTAAATGTTTCACACATACTTGAATGTATATGCTGCTATAGTTGGCTTCAGTGTTCTATATAAGTATTTTCCAATATTTAGGAATATTCTACTTTTCTGTTACTGATTTCTAATTAGGTTCCATTTTTGTCAGAGAATATTCGTTGTATGACTTGAATTCTTTTAAATTTATTTAGAGTTGTTTTTATAGCCAGAATATAAACTGCTTTGGTAAATGTTCCACACGCACTTGAATGTACATGCTGCTATAGTTGGCTTCACTGTTCTATGTAAGTGATTTGTTGATTGATAGAACTGTTCAAGTCTTCCATATTCTTACTGATTTTCTATATACTTGGTTTATCAACTATTGAAATAAGGGTGTGAAATCTCCAACAATAATTGTGATTTTATTTACTTCTCCTTTCTATTCTGCAGTTTTTACTTCAGGTATTTTGAAGCTATTATTTGGTGCATAAATATTTAGTATTGTTATATCCTCTTGATGAAATGACACCTTTATCATTATGAAATATGTCTGATATCTTTGCTCTATAGTCTACTTTTCTGATACTTGTATAGATACTTTTCATTCATTGATTTTAGTATGACATATCTTTTCCTATTCTTTTATTTTTAACCAATTTGGTTATTATATTCCAAGTGGGTTTCTTGTAAGCAGTATATATTTGAGTCTTGCTTATTTTACCCACTGTGATGACCTCTATCTTGAAATTAGGGTATTTTTATCATTTATATTAATATTTAATATGATAGATACGGTTGAATTAAAATTTGCCATCTTGCTTTTTGTACTCTATTTGTGCCATCAGTTCTTTGTGTCCTTTTCTTCTTATTCCATTCTTTTGGATCAATGAATATATTTTATGAATCTATTTTATTCCATTATTGGTTTATTACTATACACCTTTGTGTTTTGTTTTGTGTTACTTTAGGGTTTATAGTATACATATTTAACTTTTCATAGTTCACTTCCAAATAACATTATACCACTTCACATATACTAGAAGAACCATATAAAAGTATATTCCATTTCCCCTCTCCCACTATATATAATTTTGTTGTCATATACTTTAATTCTATCTATAGTACAAACCCCATGCATGTCGTTATACATTTTCCTTTAAGCAATTGTCTTTAAAACAAGAGATGCCTTCTATATTCATCTACATTTTTATCATTTTCAGTGCTCTTTATCCCTTTGAGTAGGTCCAGATTTTCTTACAACATAATTTTCCCTTTGCCTGAATGTTTCATTTAACAGTGCTGGTCTGTTGGTGATTAATTAATTTAGCTTTTATATCTCTTTTTTTCATATTCATTGTGGAACAATATTTTAACTGGGTATAGAATTCTCAATTAGCAGTTTTGTTTTCTTTAGGTACTTTAAAGATTTGGGTCCACTATGTTCCAGCTTGCATTGTTCCCAACAAGAAGTCTGTTGATTTTTTTATCTTTGTTCCTCTATATGTAATATGTCTTTTTTATCTGGCTGGCTTTAATATTTGCTTTTTATCACTGATATTAAGCAATTTGATTACAATGTACTTGGCATAGTTTCTTTCTGTTTCTTGTGCCTAAGGTTCACCGAGCTTCTTGGATCTGTGGGTGCATAATACTTATCACATTTGAAATTTTTTTAGGCATTGTTTCTTCAAGTATTTTTTGTTCCCTCCTCTGGCATGCCAGTTACATGTATATTACACTGTTGAAAGTTGTCCCACAGTGCACTAGTTCTCCTTTTTAAAAAAATCTTTTTGTTCTCTGTTTTATTTTGCACAGTTTCCATTGCTACATCTTTAAGTTTGCTAATCTTTTCTTTTGCCTAATGTCTAATCTGCTCTTTATTCCATCCATTTTTCACCTTAGATATTGTACTTTTCATCTCTAGAAGTCTAATTGGGATCTCTTTTTCATATTTCTTTGTCCCTTCTCAGTCTGCCTGGGCTTCCTTCTGTCCTCTTGAACATATACTGCTTTAATGTTCTTTTAATTTTATGTAATTATTATGTTTACTAATTCTTTCATTTGTGCCATTTCTTGTTCTGTTTTTAACTAATTTTTCACCTCATTATGGGACTCATCTTTGCATATCTGGCAATTTTTGACTTGGGTGCCAGGCATTGTGATTTTACATTGCTAAACAATTTTATTTTTATTCCTCTAAGTATTTTTAAGTTTTGTTCTGGGACACAGCTATTTGGAAACAGCCTGGTTCTTTGGAGGCTTGGTTTCATGCTCTCTTAAGCTAGATTACAACAGCCTTTCATCCAGGGCTAACTTTTCTTCACTACTGAGGTACCTTTCTGAGTACTCAACTCAATGTTCCAGCTATTTTAAGGTTTCTCCACTCAAGATACGGGGAATGTGAATTAGTCCTAGCCCTATGTGAACCCTAGGAATTGTTCTGCCCGCTTATTTCCAGTGGTTCTTTCCTCAGTCTTACATAGTTTCCATGAATCCATGCAAGGATCAGCACTCAGTTTAGGCTCATGAGGAACTCCTTAAAGATTTTCAGAGCTTTGTTTTTGCATACTCTCTAACAAATAAAGAAACAGATAAAGAAAATGTGGTATATATACACAATGGAATACTATTCAGCCTTAAAAAAGAAGAAAATGCCGTCATTTGTGACAACATGGATAAACCTGGAGGACATTATGCTAAGTGATATTAGCCAGCCACAGAAAGAGAAACACTCCACTTAGATGTGGAATCTAAAAAAGTCAAGCTCATAAAAGTAGAGAGTAGAATGGTGGTTACCAGAGGGTAGCAAAGCTGGAGGGTGGGACAGGGATAGAGATCAGAAAGATGTCCAACGGATACAATAAGTTTCAGTTAGGAGGAATAAGTTTTATAGATCTATTACATAGCATGGTGACTAGTTATTAATAATATATATTTCAGAACTGCTAAAAGAGCAGATTTTAAATGTTCTCATCACAAAAAAATTCTGAGTATGTGAAATGATGGATATGTTAATCAGATTGATTTAATCATTCCACAATGTAAATATTTATCAAAAAATCAACTGTACCCCATTAATATACACAATAATTAATCAATTTAAAATCAAACAAATCAAAAATGGACCAAATAATGGCAGATCATCAGCCTGAGTGCCAGAAGGGGGATAACATAAAGCATAGCCCCCAGACACCCCTCAATGGACATGTATCATGTACAAAAAAAAAATTGTTGTTTTACACCACTGAGATTTTGGGGTTGATTGTTACCACAGCACAACAAAGTTTATGCTGATGTATACAGACTTTGGTCCAGACTTAGGTACCGCTATAACAAAAATCTAAAATATAAGTCACCATACCTAAGTGGTCAAGCAGCAATTAACAAGGAAACTGTTGTGGAAAGCTAAAAGGATAGTGATCTATGTCACCCAGGAACAAACCTATTGGGAAAAATCTTTGGAAAACTCTGTGATAACCTAGAAGGCATGTGATTTAACTAATGAATTTAAATGTTGGGAGAAGAGGCTGGAAAACAATAACATGTCAGTTGCTACTGTTTGTCAAGTTATATGAGAAAGAGATGAGCTCAGAAATGGCGGTGTGCAAGCAAGAATAAAAACAGACCACCCACAACTCTGAATTATATTTTAATGACAACTTACAAAAGCTACAGAATAATTTTCTTCTAAAACATTTTATTCCCCTTCAGAACTTTGCAGCATGTTTTCAATGCCTTCCAGTACTGAATGTGCTATATAGATGAGTCTAAAGTACTCTAATTAATTGTTTTTTCTTCATCCCACTCCCCCGTTCATTTCATGCCTAGGTACCTAAAAAATTCTCTCTTTATTCTGAAAAGTTGAATGCCTTAATGAGGCTGCATGTCTTGGTGTTGATTTTTCTATAAATTGTCCTATAGAACATAGTGTGTATCCTTTTAATCTATGTATTTTTCTTCCTTTTTTTTTATCAAGTACATTTTTTCCTCCATTTGCTGTGGGCACATGTTAATCTTATGTTGAGCCATCTTTGTCTCCTTCATACATATTATTTTTAATAACTTTCATATCTCTGGGTTTTGCCTAGTATTGTTATTATTTTAAGACTTTCCTCTACATTATAATTTGATGTGCATCTCTCTAGTCTGCTTCTTAAATGCTTTTAAAAATTATTTCTTTAAGTCCTTTAAGGTGGATGTTGTTGTCTTCAGTTAATTTCCTTAGTTCTTTTATCTCCATTTTATTTCATTTATTCATCAAATATTTATTTACTATCTACTATATGCAAGGTACTATCCCTAGTAGTGGATAAAACAACAAGACTCAGCCCTCATAGAGCTTGAGTCTTATTATTTTAGTATCTTGTCTTTAAGTTCCTGTTTTATTGCATTCATATTCTTAAGTTCTTCTTCAGCACAAAGTAGATATGATGAATTTTCTTTTCTCCCCTCTTAGGCTAGGTTTTACCCCAAGGTCTTGTACTTTATCCATCTTTTACATCGTTCCTTCCTTCCTCTCCCCCTTCCCTCCCTCTCTCCCTTCCATCCTTGTCTTCCTTCCTTCAATTTTAGGAGTCCATAGGATTCCCAATAATTTTTTTCTTTTTCATTTTCAGCATGTGGAATTCTGTTCACTCTATTTGCTCTGTATGTTGGTCAGCTATCACTACAATAAAACTGCACCCCAAAATTTCAGTAATTTCAACCAAAAACATTTCTCTTGCTTATAATATTCTGAATAGCCCGCTGCGGTTCAACCGATCTCAACTTGGCTCACCCGGGTTTGCATATACGGAAGTTTTGGAGTGGCTGGCATGTGAGGCTCTACCTTGCTTGGCTCTTAAGCAGAACTGTCTCTCAGTCTGATTCTCTAGAGACTGAAGTTATTAATAAGATGTGTTAGGACTTTTCTTTCCTGTGTGGGGAATAATGACTGGGACTGCATGAAGGGTAGGGCTCTGCAAAGGCCAGTGTATCATCTCACCTAGCACTGATAACACACTGATACAGACCTATTCACATCACTGCCTACAAACTGGACCAAGACTTGCAAATTTTGGAAGCCCCAGACGTTGGGACTTTAGCATCAAGACCTAAAATGCCCAACTTTACCTCTACCACTGACCCCATACTCAGTAAGAAGTTAAGAATAAATCCAGCCTACAAAAATTTACTGACCGAAAGCTGCCTATTACCAAAAGATATAAAATCCATTGCAACTTTAAACCTACCGGCTACCAGAGAAATTTAATAGTAACTACTACGTGTCTTGGTGGGACAATAAAGTGTTCTAATCCATTGAATATTACAGTTCATATTAGCACATATTCATAGCACATACCATATAACTTTTTATTAAACAAAGAAGACTTCTTAGAGTTTCGTAGTTCTTCAGAATTTTTGTGGAAAATATTAATTTCATTAAAGAAGTACTTGAGTTCTTAATTAAAATCTGGTCTAATTTGATCAATAGAAGTTTACATATTTTAATGTTTGACAATTTTAAGTAGTTGGTAATTGTCATAATGCCTAACTTTTTAATCTTCTCCTGCCTATCCCATCTAAATACCCATCTAAATGCCTAGTGTTAATCTCGTGTCTTCTATCAGACTTCTACATACTCATCTACATCCTCAACCACTGAATCCTATTGCACTTATAGTCAACGCCACACAATTCTTTAAGTATTTCGCGTGTATGTCTTCAATTAGATTGTAAGCTTCTTGGAACTGGATCTATGCCTTAATTTCTTTCTAATCTTCCCAGCGAGCCTACAAGTTAATTTGGGGAGTATACAGCGTTCAACAAATACTGGTTGGGTCTGTGACCTTAGCTTTGCCATTTTTGTCAAAGCGTATAACCATCTAGTTTCAATTGTGCCCTGACATGACTATTTCTCTGGGGTTTCTCTTTGCTCAACGCCATTGTTCATTTTCTATTAGAATAAAGGGCTTGTTGAACAGAGATGCCAACGCAGCGTCCCGTGGAATCTGAATAAACGGACTGATCCACCGCCCCGGGTGTTGAGGCTGTGAACAAAAATTAAACCTCTGATAGCCCACGAACAGCTTAACGACACATATTTTAAAATACCACTCCAAAGCCTAGTTACCTGCCAGTTACCCCGGCCTCCGGAGCTGCCGATGCTCGAAGATGTTGACAAGGCAGCTAGGATATACAGTCCAGAAGCCCAGTCGCTACGGTAACGGTGACACGCAAGTGCACTTGCGCGGCCTTCTGACGGAAAACCTTAGCCTGAACCTACAGACGTGCTTAGCGACGGCAGAGGCTTGCGGCAGTAGCGTGACTTACGGCAGCTCTCTAGCAGAGCGCCGTTGCTGGGGGAATGCAGAAGCGGCCGCGGGCTAGCAAGCTCCCGGAGCCGGCGGCGCACCACCATGACCCAGTCGGTGGTCGTACAGGGTAAGCTACGCCGGGCGGGTAGAGACCTGGTCGCCGCGGAATCCAGCGGCCATGTTTCCTGCTTAATGTCCTATTCTCTTTCCTTCCTCTCCTCCGGTCGCAGTCGGCCAGTGCGGAAACCAGATCGGCTGCTGCTTCTGGGACCTGGCACTAAGGGAGCACGCCGCGGTCAACCAGGTACCCGCCCGCCGCCGCGAGCCCCCTCGCCTGTCAGCTAGGTCTTCCAGCCCATACGCAGGAAATAATCGACTTGAGCTTTCATCTGACCCGTTTAAGATGCATGGGATCTTCCCAGTAAAGAACGTACTGGTTTTTAAACATGTTGCGTCAGACACACACTAAACTAAAAGAACACTGGCCAGCGACCTTAGTCTTAACGTTTTTCCTGATTCTCAGGGTCTCCTCTTTATTGGTGTTCGTGTGCAGAACAGTGAGATTTGTATATGGGAAAGTACTTTGTAAAATAGATAACACGTGTGGTTATTGTATTCCTTAATTTAACCAGTCAGCTTTTAAAAAGATTACGAAGAATCCAGAGAACGCTCATTTGATGGACCTGTCCTACAGTCCTATGGGTGAAATCCTTTCTTTAGCACCCCCTGCTGAACTTTTTATCTGTAGATCTGGCATTTACTCTTCTAAGGAGATTGGGAAGAGTCAGGCTCCGCATTTTGTGATACTTGGTTTTTCTTATCAGAGTCTCATCCTAGCCATTACAGTATTATGTAATTAAAATTGAAAGAACTTGATTTGGGCGAGAAGCAAAACCTAAATGCTATTAACATATGTTTTTCTTTTTAGAAAGGAATTTATGATGAGGCAATAAGCAGCTTCTTTAGAAATGTGGACACCAGGTAAGATGGGATTAAAGTCTGTCACAGTGTGATACTTTAAGTTTCAGTAGCTTGGGAGAGAATTCTTCAAAGGACAATAAAAATAGCCAGCTGCGAAGTTGTGTTTTTTTGTTTCATTATTGAAAGCATATTTATTCTATTAGATTATTAATATTCTTATATCATTTTCCCGAAGAAGACAACAGATTTCCCTTTAGTGTGACTTCTTTTAACTTAACCTTGAAATAAGTTTCATTAAAAGAAAGCTGAAATTTTCCCAGAGGGCATCTTGTTAATGCATCCTGTAATAACTAACTTTTGAAAGAAAAATATATTGTTTACATATATGCTGTAAGTATAAAAATATACTTAAAAAGGTGACAAGCAGTTGTTGGATTGTTTTTGTTTATTTAATAAAGAGTATATGTAAGTACCATATATGTTTTATCTGGAAGAGTAATTTAAGTTGCCGTTTAGGATATCTCCATAAGCTTTTAATATTAAATCATTAAGTTCATGCATTTTCAAAATACTTCATAAAACTAACTGTCCTGTGCTTAAACTGAAAAATACATACTTCGTGTCAGGCTTTAATCCAATAGGAACATCAGTTCTAGTTTAAAATAGTTGGCTGGGTGTGTGAGCAGTTATCTTCAGAGAAAGCTGATTAGTCCGCGCTTCCTGGGTGAATTCCAGAGTCTATCTAGGGCACTGGCTTGCAAACTCAGAAGTGTCATTGGCATCTCGAGATGGGTTCAGT
Source organism: Homo sapiens (assembly GCF_000001405.40). NCBI lineage: Eukaryota > Metazoa > Chordata > Mammalia > Primates > Hominidae > Homo > Homo sapiens. The sequence goes on along the minus strand of NC_000006.12, from coordinate 112,085,816 downwards.
GCTCTCCAGTACAGCCAGGTTAACCAAAGACCAAATTCTCATTTTCATAGGCACATTACTTTATCTTTTGTAGGAAATCTAACTGAAAAGCTGTGTAATAATCTGAAGGTTGCTTGGTGACCATGGAATCAGACCAAAGGAAGTTAGTTACTTTAATGGCTGGTATCATTTATATTTATTTTATGGAGATATCTGTCATATAGACTATAGATTCCCTCTTATTTGTAGCCCACAATATCCTCACCTCTAAATTCTCTTAGGAGACTCAAATTTGCTTCTGTCATACTTCCTTTCCGGCGCTTCTCTTGCTAAGTTCCTACACCCACCTCTTTACTTCTTGTTACCCAACGCTTACATTGAGTATTACATAGTTGAGACTCAGCCTGGGAGCTTTTCTTTCTTCATAAGGTGACTCTTCATAACTACACTCTCATCTACTCTGTGTGTTTTATACTTTAACCTGAGAGCACTATTATTTTCCCGGTAAGTTTGGCAAACAGGGTTGTGGCATCTTGCACTTCTTTCTGTGTACTATCAACACATGCAGCATCTGTTCCACAGCTTAGTACAAAAAATATTTTTCAAAGTAAAACCATATCTTTGTGTACTATTCTTATCAAATTTTTATACCTTTTGAGTAGCATGATAGGAATTTACCTACAGCATGGGTTGGCATGCATATATTTTCTGTAAAGGACCAGGCAGTAAATATTTTAGGTTTTGTGAACCATAAAGTCTTTTGCACCACTACTTGATCTGTAGCATGATTGTGGGCATAGGTAATACATAAAGGAATGGGTGTGTCCACATTTGAATAAAATTTTATTTAGGAAAACAGGCAGCTAGTTGAATTTGGCCTGATGATTGGCTACCCTTCATATATTCCGTCTTGTGAACTGTCTTTATTGACCCATATACTGCGTTAGATTTTAGTACTTTGGCAACTTATTTCCAACGTGAAATTCTGAGAACAACCTTAGATACTCAATGGTAAATACCAGTTATATCAGTTGATGGGTGTTAACTGCAATAGAAAACTACATTAATGGTGGCTGAGGCAGTAAAGGTATTCATTTATCTCACAAATCTGCAAATCAGATGTTCTAGGTTTAAAGGAATGCCTCAAAGATCTAATACTATATATGTTCCACTGTCCATAAGTGTGTTGGCTTTTTGTACTTGTATTATTACTTCATGACTATAAAATGGCAGTCTTCTCCAGGAATCACATCCATATTCAAGTTTGAGGCAGGAAAAAGAAAGAAGATAGGCACCAACTGCATCTGGTCCTTCTTTAAAAGCTTCCCAGAATACTTCCCCTTTATCTCATTGGCTAGAACTGGATTACATGGCCAGCCCTAACTACAAAGAAAGCCAGGAAACTAAGTACCTCACTTTTTCAGCCTAATGGGAGGTAAGCAAGGAAGAAAGAGATTAGGAATAGCTGTTGTGTCTGCCTTACCTGGCCTATAAGCAGTCTTATTATATAAATGGAAGTTAACTTTATCACCTGATAGTGCTATTAGCCATGGAAGATCTTATGACCATTTCTCATTTTTTTATCTTTCAGAGTGGTTGGTGATGGTGGAAGTATTTCCAAGGGAAAAATATGTTCTTTAAAAGCACGAGTAAGATACATATGCTTGGATTCTTATATTACATGTATTTTTTAAATAACTATTCTCAGTAACTATCATGAGAATAAAACTTTAAACTTTTCAAAGTAGAAAAAAATTACTAAGCCACATTTAATATAAATATAACTAAGCAGACATTTGTGTCCACCTAACACATTAGGGGGAAAAGCCCATACTTTAAAACACTGTAGTTAGCCTGTTTTCAGGAGAAATAGTGTCTAGATAAATGATAACAAAAGGAGCATTCTTAACTCTAAGGACCTGAAATACGTACTAGTACAGTTTAATGTTTTATTTAAAGATACTGGAAGATTTATTTGCATCAAAGTTACTACCAATAAAAAACATGGAACCAGCCACATTGTAGTGAATAAAAACCATTCACCATATAAGTTCTCCTGAACCAAGTACTTCAGGTTCTTAGCCCATATTTACAGTCTTATTTACAGTCTTAATCATTCCAACAATATTTCTGTGATTGTCTGTAACGAACTACTTTTTCTGATTTTTGATCAGTGATCTTTGACTATAATAGAAAAGAAAGTTTAAATGTTATGGAAGGTGCTGGGCGCGGTGGCTCACGCCTGTAATCCCAGCACTTTGGGAGGCCGAAGCGGGCAGATCACAAGGTCAGGAGATCAAGACCATCCTGGCTAACATGGTGAAACCCCGTCTCTACTAAAAATACAAAAAATTAGCTGGGCGAGGTGGCGGGCACCTGTAGTCCTAGCTGCTCGGGAGGCTGAGGCAGGAAAATGGCGTGAACCCCGGGGGGCAGAGCCTGCAGTGAGCCGAGATCGCGCCACTGCATCCAACCTGGGCGACAGCGGGACTCCGTCTCAAAAAAAAAAAAAAAAAATGTTATGGAAGGAATTGAGATGCCAAGGATCAGACCTGGTGTAGTAGCTTAAAGACTGGTGAGCAATAGTTTTGTGACATCTGGGAATCATCTAGTATCTGCAATCTCCGATGTCCTTGGAAAACAAAATTTAGGGCAGAGATCATGTGCTTGCAGGCTGTTACAATAATTGACTAACACAGTATGCTTTGTGATGTAGAGAGAGCAGGTATCCCAATCCAAATCTTAGAGAAAAAGAGACTTTGACATTTCCTAGACTACTCCCAGTTGAATCTTTTTCCTACAACCGTATCAGTAAGCAGATTGAGAGGTGAAGGAAACACTATTAGGAAAAAATAAATCAGCGTGTTTTTGTAGCCTTTGACTTTTTTTCCGAGAAGGTACTCTTCCATTTTCTCCTTAAGAGCTCTTGGTATTATGTGGTTGTGATCACTGAAGAGTCCAGGCTTCACAAGATAACTTGGTGCTTGGGTCCCTTCACTGTGTTCAGTTTCTTAGGTTAATAAATACTCAGAATTTTATAAATCCTGTTACAATTGTAAAGCCAGGTGGCTCTGAAAGGAAGTACAAACATCAAATCCTGGAACAGTTGTGACTCCAGACCTTGGATGCCTAAGTGAAGAACCCAAAATACTCTCCCAAAGTTTAGTTAATTTCCAAAGGAAAAACAAGGGCCTGATGTAACTAAGGGAGGTCTGGAAGAGTTATATGTCAGGATTTTAATGTTAAGTGACTAGGACAGTGATGATTCTATCAAAACTAATTTCAGGAGGTACCTGAATATCAGTTTGTATTTGCATATTGCCTCCCTTGCCAGATAGCAGAGTAATTGAGGGTATGATTTATGTATGTTTAATCTTCCACATACCTCAATAAATCTATTTTGGAACAAGGCCAGTATAATCCAATTTGCTTTTTCTTTTATAATCTCACAACTTGTAGTACTAAAATTTGCCCATACAGTGAAGTCTCTCTTTGGTTTGTTTAGGTGTTAAAGTCAGCATTTGAGGTCAAAATTGCATATTGTCAGAAATATGCTTGAAAATACCTAACATTGCCAAACATAATCCTATACAGTCCTCTGTATGTAAAGTGTATATATGATTGCTCTATATAAAGGAGCACATTTGTAAAACATAGTTTTATAGTCTTTATGATATACTGCTGTATTATTTTAATTGTAATATCTTGAAGTAGCATGGTTAATTACACACATGATTAAACTCACTGCTTAATGTTATATGGTAACAGAACTGAAAGCCATAAACCGAGCACTTCCTCTGTGACACTGAATCAAACAGTTAACAAATCATTGTTTAGTGTACCCTAAGAATTTGTTTCAGCTTTGCTTTTTTTATTTAACTCTACTTAGTTTACTTTTTTACTCTTCTTCCTCGCTGTAGAATATATGGAAAGTAAGGGAAGTGGGAGGACGGGACATGTAATCCTACTGCCAAGCTATCCCTGCTTTACGTTTTACTAGATGTCCTTCATCTTTTTTTTTTTCTGTTTTTTTTTTTTCCATAATTAATTTTGTGTTTTATATTCTCATTTCTTCTTAGGAGTGTATGTTTTCTGTCATGTCAGCTAAAGTTTGTAGTAATGAATTAGATTGTGAATTACTTGGGGGAAGGGACCATGTTGTCATTTTTTACATCTATCCAGTGCCTTTGCTTTGCACGTAATGGTAAATTTACTCATTTGAGTTGGACAGTTTTGAGCTGTGGTTCATAAAGAGCAGCATGATTGTTCCTAGTATGCAAGTACATTCATGCATCCTGTATTGAGAACTTGTTCTGGTTAAGGATACCTTCTACATTTCTGAGACCTTGTTAGAAATACAGTTGAGGGGATTATTCTTGGGCTTTTTTCCCCCAACTAGGCATTTTGGAGTAGGATAAAAGAATTTAGAATCCATTTTTTAATTGGATTCCACCTTTCAAACAGAGTGAAATTCTTTTTTAATTTTTACAACAGATTCTACGTAAAGATTTTAATTAAGCTTAAACTATAAAGAGAACAGTGCAATATTCAGCGCATAAATTCTTTTCATTTACAGAGTGAATAACTCTAAAAGAAAATACATTAATTATATTTTATTTTTCTTTCTCAGGCAGTCTTGATTGATATGGAAGAAGGGGTAGTGAATGAAATTCTGCAGGGACCACTGAGAGATGTATTTGATACGAAACAGCTCATCACTGATATTTCTGGCTCAGGAAATAATTGGTGAGAATACACAGCGTAAAAATTGAATATCTTCTGAAAAAAATGAGCAATCTTTCTTCATTGTGAGATTCTGCTGATACGAAACAGGATGTAATTTGCCACATAATGCTAGGCCTTTCAGCCCACCACCTTAATAAATAGTGGCTTGGAAGCCACCTGTATTTACTCCTAGTTCTTTCTAACTTTTTTAAAGAAAAAGAAGAATTATGAAAAATTAATTTGCTAAATTCCGTTTCATAAATTCTTGAAGAACATTAAATAATGACAAATGTTTTAAGTACTTTCATTAACTGTTATCTATGTTATTTGACTCACTCTCAAGTTGTCCAATTGGTCAGATGTAATACAATTGGTAGAGATGCAAGCCAGACCAGTATCCTAGCATTCAAGCTGAGCCTAAGGCTGTTTAGGCCCTTGAGTATATAATGGTCTCTTCTCTTTACTGTGAAAAAAGCTTCAACAGTGATTACTTAAGAATTCACATTGAGACTGTTGCTGTTTTTTAGAAATTAGCTCCTTGTTATTTGCAAATCTCTCATATTCATTATTTTCACTATTTGCAGCCAGTCCCTCAGGTTCATAATGCGGAATAATATGTAATTTTACTAAGGCATAAATTTGAATCTTGTGTTCCCAGAGAACCAGTCACTTAGTAAGTGAGCCCATCTGACCACCTAACTGCATTTTTACTAATTGTTGTATAACTTATTATGTAACTTTTGAGTTATACCTGAAATGCATATTATGGGAAAATCTTTTGTTTTAATTCATCATAGTGATATTTGCAAATTTGGACAACTTAAAAAGACTTGCAGAGCTGCATGATTATCAATTTCTACCATGTACCATTTCATCTAATAACATGATGTGACCTTTTTTTTCTCATATATGAAACCAGAATAGGTTTGTTTAAATTTTTGATTTTCAGTGTCTCTGTAGTTTACCACATTTTGCTTTTTAGTATGTAAAATCCACTACAATTCAGAGTTTGCCTTAAATGGAGAGAAGAAAAAATTATGTAACTGCAATCTTGTTTTGTTGGAATTGTACCTTAAGAGAAGGTTAAGATGAATTTAGAAAATCATAGTTTAATATTCACTACTAATGAGCTTACTTATCCAGATATTTGAGGATTATAGATACTGAATATTTGTTAAGTTTTCTATCTAGTATCTTCAGGATATTGTATGATTTATTTACATGAAACAAGAATAGACTTTACTTAGCTCAATAAGAATACTTTTCAAATTTGTTTAAAATCCTTTTATTTAGATTAGAACTAATCAAATAAAAAAATAAATGCAAGGAATTTTTAAAATCCATATTCTAATTTTCAGGGCCGTGGGTCACAAAGTTTTCGGCAGTCTTTACCAAGACCAGATTTTAGAGAAATTCAGAAAGTCGGCAGAGCACTGTGATTGCTTGCAGTGTTTCTTTATAATACATTCCATGGGAGGAGGTAAAATTTTTCACTCATTTGCCTGTAACAGTGTTAAAGGATAAGTGGGAATTCATTTTGCAAACGTAAGTCTTGTTTTTAGACCTGTGCTTGATAAAGATAGAACTATTCGGAGGGTGTGTAGTTTGAGTATATAAACATACACCTTTTTATCTTAAAATTTTGTGGAATTATGTCACTATTTTCTTTTCTTTTCTTTTTTTTTTTTTTTAATGTAAGCCCTCTTAAGAGTCAACAGAACTATACTGGAAAATTTTTTTTCTTGTACCTTTAGTTTCTTTTACAGAACATTCAGATACTTTTCAGGATGTATGAGCTTTTGAGAAATGCTGACTTTCTCCTTAGAGTTTGCCTGTACAGTCCTATTTCCTAGAGTGAAGCATTTTTGACGTGCTCATGATGTGTGCTTGCCAAAGGATATTAATACCCTTTCTTTAACCATCTTCAAACCTTTCTTGTCTCCAAAAAGAGAAAAAAAAGGAAACTAGTTTAGTCAATTCCTTTAGATCATTTATTACATGGCAATTAATCAACTTGAAGTAAAAATAAATGATTGGCATTGCTTTCTTCCCCCAGGGAAGTCTATACCTTAGAACTGAAGTATTTTGCTCCCCTGTTCTGTAAAAATAGAAACAGAATGTAACTTGCTGATTTTTAAATACGCTTAGCAAATTTTAAAAGAACAAAATGGTCACACTTTTTTCCTCCAACCTGAGATTAAGATTTTATATTCAGCAAGTTAGGTGTATGTACAGTTGATTTTTATACATATTATTCATTGACATAGCATTTTAAGATTAAAAGTTAAAATTGCTGTGTAACCATGTCTTTAAAAGATCCTCATAATCATCGGTTAAGAAACAAATTTGTTTCTGTGCTAGTATAATTAACCTGCAAATTTGAGCTAGCTTTTTATTTGATTTATAGTTCGTTATACCTTTTTAAAAAATACCTTTACTACCCAACATCTCAGAAGAACATACTTACAATTCACTTAAAATAGCAAAAATAAATATTAATACTAAAGGTTAAAAGTAAAGTTCTTTTTTCCCCACATCTAATGCCTACTCCCTGTCCTTACAGATGATCAGGTTTGCAGGGTCTTTTTATGTCTGTTCTTTCAGATATATTCTATGCCTATCAAAGCATGTATGTATATTTTTACATAAACAAGATTATCCAATATATACTATACTGTAACTTTTCCACTTTATCTCTTTCTCAGACATCTTTCCATATCAGCTCTCTGTCATAGAATCAATTATACAGTTTAAAGTGAGTTTGTTATTTATGGGTATTAAGTGTTTATGGTGTTTAGTTTTTACATCCAATCATCAGTGAAAGTCTGGGACAAATACTTCTGTATTTGTGCCACTATAGCTTTAGACAGTATTCCTAAGAAAAAGATAGGACCAAAGCATATGTACATTTTAAATTTTGGCTGATATTACCTATATACCTTCCTACAATATTGCACCAGTGCTTCTTACTGGCAACAATGTGTATGAGTTTCTATTTCCCTACACTAGCACCAATACTGAGTATCATGAGACATAAATCTATTATATTCAAAATTGTATTTAGTTTTAATTTGTATTTCCTTAATTAGAAGAAAGGTTGAGCATCTTTACTTCTATTTGCAATTTGTATTTCTTTTATTATGAGTTAAATGTTTCTATCCTTTGCCCATTTCGTGGTGGCATTATTCGTATTTTTTGTTGTTGATTTGTGGGAACTCTTTCTTAGAGAAACTTAGTCCTTCCCATCATATGTATTGAAGGGTTTTTTTGTAAGTTTGTCTTGTTATTTTTTATGGGTTTTTTTAAGTATATATAGAAGTTTTGTTTATTTTTAATGAAATCAAAACTGTCTCTTCTGTAATGGCTCTGGTTTTTTTGTGACGCTTAGAAAGTCCTTCTCATTAAAGATCACCCCAAGAATCTCCCTCACTTTGACTTAGTATTTTTAGCATCATAGCCTTTTAATAGTTATCTGCATGGATTAGAACATTGGTGTTTAAAGTTTTTTTTAACCAGAATAGTATGAAATACATTTTATATATCACAATGCAGCATACACACATGAAAAAATATATTAAGAAAATGTTATTTACTCATACTACATCTGACATGTTATTTTCTACTGTTTCATTTAAGAAAACAGTACTAATCTGTTCATTAGTTTCATAGCCTACTAATAGTTCAGAACCCAGTTTGAAAAACATCGGATTAGAGGATTCCAGTTTTAAGTTCTGAAAAATTTCTGAATTTATGTAAATGTAACTTGATGTATCAGAAAGTTATCTTTAATGAGATTCCTCGAGTTTCTGCTTTTAAATAAGTAGTGTTTCATATTTGAAAATTTTTGAAATTCGAGGTAGGCATGCTTAATTGTAAACAGTTTTAACTCTGTTTAAGTTGCTTGATGACATGATAGTTTTTTTCATCAAGATTATATACACACTACACTAAAGCTGTCAAGTTAGTTTTCTTAAGTTGCTTAATATCAAATGTAGACTGAACACCGTCTTAGTTGAATTTTTTACTTGTGCATGTGCAATTGGTTCTTGTGGCATTATATAGGTATAACTTAAATATGAAAAGGAGTGAGATATAGACGGCCCTCCCAAACTCACTGTCAGAACCAAAGATGGAATTCAGGACTTCATTTCCTGAATGTTGCCTTCATTTCCTTATCCAAAATTAGATTAGTTAATATATAATCACAGAAATAAGCTGAAAATTATTTTTACAAATATAAATTCTGACCAGGTGTGGTGGCTCATGCCTGTAATTCCAGCACTTTGGGAGGCCAAGGCAGAAGCTTGCTTGAACCTAGGAGTTCAAGACCAGCCTGGGCAACATAGGTAGACCCTATCTCTACACAAATTAAAAAGTTAGCCAGGCGTGGTGGCTCATGCCTGCGGTCCCAGATACTTGGGAGGCTGAGGCAGGAGGATCATTTGACCCTAGGAGGTCAAGGCTGCATTGAGCTGATTATGCTGCTGCACTCCAGCCTGGGTGACAGAGCAAGACCCTGTCTCAAAAAAAATAAAGTTTCAAATTCTTCACAATTATATTCTGAATCATTTATGCTAATTTTTAAAAACACTTTAATCCTCAGGAACAGGATCTGGACTTGGCACATTTCTTTTAAAGGTGCTTGAAGACGAATTCCCAGAAGTATACAGATTTGTGACTTCCATTTATCCTTCTGGTGAGGATGATGTCATAACCTCACCTTATAATAGCATCTTGGCAATGAAGGAACTTAATGAGCATGCAGACTGTGTATTGCCCATTGACAATCAAGTAAGAAATGACATTGGAACTTATGAATAAATGTTATATATATTCAGTCCTGTATTATGTATGTGTGTTTATATGAAACGTTCTCTTCACTTTTCAGCCTTCTTAGAGAAAAAATCAGTTTAAATTGTTTTTCTTTCTCTTTCCTAGTAGAATATCATCTACATCCACTCTTCTTAATAGCTTCTCTCCCAATGTTTTTCCCTCAAAAGTCTTTATTTGACATCATTAGCAAAATCGACCTCATGGTGAATTCTGGAAAGTTGGGTACAACTGTGAAGCCAAAGAGTCTGGTTACTTCAAGTTCTGGGGCTTTAAAAAAGCAGCATAAGAAGCCCTTTGATGCAATGAATAACATTGTGGCAAATTTGCTCCTCAACCTAACGAGGTAATTCTATCCAGGGATAGTCAAAAAACTTTATTGTGCTTTTGGAGATATTTTGAATTTTTGTAGTAGCATTTTTTAGTTATTCTAAATTGTAGAAGCTGCTTCTGTTTTTATTTTGTCTTCTATCTTTTCTTGGAGTGATCACGCAGAATTTTACCTTCTATGACTCCAAAGCAGCATTTCCCCAAGTATGTTCCATGGAATATGAACAGATATCATATGATGTAAAAGATTTTGTGGTTGACACACTTGTAAAACACGTAGACAAAATTAAACATTTTTTAGCTGTAGAATGTCTTAATCATTTAAACCAACTAATCTGTACCTCCTCATTAACTGGTCCAAAAGATTTCTGTGGCTTTTTGGTATCAGAGATTGCTTTGACATTATTATATTCTAGATTATAGAGTATATTAAGCAGATTCTTGAGGAAATTAGTTGTTTCTACAGTTACTAATTATTGACTTATATGTGTTTAACTCAAATATAAAGTTTGTTTTAAATAGGATATTTTTATATGTGTAATGAGCAACTATAATAGTATATTGATTACACTTCAGATAATCCAGAAAGAATGACTGTAGGGCCAGCCATGGTGGCTCATGCCTGTAAATCTCAGCACATTAGGAGGCCAAGGCAGGTAGATTGCTTGAGCCCAGGAGCTGGAGATCAGCCTGGGGCACATGGTAAAATCCCATATCTACAAAAAATACAAAAATTAGCCAGGCAAGGTGTTGTATGCCTACTGTAGTCTCAGCTGCTCAGGAGGCTGAGATGGGAGGCGGCGGTTGCAGTGAGCTGAGATCACACCACTACACTCCAGCCTGGGCAACCAGAGCGAGACCCTGTCTCAAAAAAAAAAAAAAAAGAAAGAAAAAAAAAATGTAGATGTTGTGTGTTATATTTTATTTTATACATGATTGTTCTGATACTAACTTTCACTAATATGGAAGAAAAGCATGTGTTCTGCACTGAAGAACAGTGTACAAAAGAATTTAAGAAACTACCTGCTGAATAAATCGAGCTACATTTAAAGTGTATAATTTTAAAATTAAAAATTTTCTCATTTTAATGTTAACTTTTTAGCTCTGCAAGATTTGAAGGGTCCCTTAATATGGACCTTAATGAAATCAGCATGAATTTAGTTCCTTTTCCTCAACTTCATTATCTCGTGTCAAGCCTAACACCTCTGTATACACTGACAGATGTTAACATTCCTCCTAGAAGGTAAGGTGTAACTTTGTTTCAATTTTTTGAGGCCTCAAATTACTTTAAAAAACATTTTTAAGAGAAAAAAGTTTGCAATAACTCTAGTTATTTAATTGTATCATCTTATCTGTGAGAGTTGATGACATCCATTTTTGCATTAGATGAATGCATCTTTATTTAGAAGTAATTGTTGAAAAATGCCAGTATTAAACTATTTGAACTTAAATCTAATGATTAAATTTGTAGGCTTATGAAAAGTCCTTTGAAGTCTGACAAACACATTTGAATCCTAACTGTCGCTAGCTACAGGACTTTGGGCAAGTGACTTAAACTTTCTTAGTTTTTCTCATCTGTAAAAATGAAATAGTACCTACCTCATATACTTATTGGGTAGATTAAATGAGAGTTTGTTTTAAAGCTACTGTCACAGCCCAGTACCATAGAAGAATTTCAGATGTAACTCTGTATGTTTTCCAGAACACCTTGCTTTATAACTGTGTGTCATTGTTAAGCATAAAGATTACATCAGTATACTTAACAAAAAATGTAGTTTTGAAAGATACTCTTAGCATGTATACTGATGATGAGCTTGAAAAGTTCACAGTGGCATTCACAGTTGACTGAGGGAAAAAGTCCTGCCAAACTCTGTAAGGAGACAGTATGTAAATAAGAAAGGGAAAACTAAATTGGCTGAGTGCAGTGGCTCACACCTGTAATTCCAACACTTTGAAAGGATGAGATGGGAGGATCACTTGAGCCCAGGAGTTCAAGACCAGCCGGGGCAACATAGTGTGAGACCCTGTCTGCACTTGTAGTCCCAGCTACTCTGGAGACTGAAGTGGGAGGATCACTTGAACCCAGGAGTTTGAGGCTGCATTGAGCTATAATTTTGATCCTGCACTCCAGCTTGGGCAACAAAGGAAGACAGACCCTGTCTCTAAAACAGATTGAAAATAATTTTTTAAAAGTTTTTAAAGAAAACTAAAGATTCTTTTTTATAACTAAAGTTTTGACAAGATAATTCTATACTTCAGGAATGTCACAAGTGATATTGGTAAGTTTTCATCTAAGCCAACAGCAAATGACCACTTTGCCAACTAATAGATAGGACTCCGTTTCTGCATGGGATGCTGATGACCTTAACAAGCTAAGCAACATACACAGTGTATGCAACATGGTGATTATTAAATGTCCATTGGCATCAGCCTAGCATTGGAGTCTGTGTATTGTTAGATATAAACTTTGTCAGTCACCTTTATTTTCTTTTGTCTTTTATCCTTCAGTTAAAAGACTTAGGTTAAAAGTCTCTACTTTTAGGAGAACTACTATGGAGTTTCATCTTTTATAGGAGAGCTTCACATTGTCCTTTGATAATTTCCTCCTGTTAACAAAATTTATGATATAATATACTTTACAAAGTAATAGTCTTAATGTTCTAGGCTTTTAATTAGTTTTAGTAGTTTGGATACTATGAAATAAATAAGGTATACCGAACTAAGTAATAATAATACAAGTTTCAAAAATCAGTACTACATAGAGTTCATAATGCTACAGTCAACATTTTGTAGCTACCTGAAATCACCCATATACTGCAGAAGCCTTTTCCCCCAGAAAAAGAAAATATTATATGATTTCTTCTCTTCTCATATCATTAAGATTGCTTCAAGAAAAGTATAGTTATTTAATATTTTTAGAATATATATAATCTAATATTTTGTTAGTGTAATATTTAGTGTGGTTTCTTACTTATAGAGGACTATCTTCATTTTATAGTTATACATAGAAAGAAGTAATATTTTGTATAAACAATGACAATTTCATTGTTGCAGATTGGATCAGATGTTTTCAGATGCCTTTAGTAAAGATCACCAGCTGCTTCGGGCAGACCCCAAACACAGTCTTTACCTCGCCTGTGCACTCATGGTTAGAGGAAATGTACAAATTTCAGATCTTCGTAGAAATATTGAAAGGTTTGGTTTATATTTTTAAAGATAATTTGTGTGTGCTGCTTGGGACAGTGTGGCATAGTAGTTAGTTAACAGCCGCCCTTCAAATTCTAGCAGTGCCACTTACTAAAGTGTGACTGTGAACAAACTACTTAGTCTCTTTGTGCCTTGTTTTCTTCAAGTGTAAAATAAGGATAATAATAGTACATGGTTTTTATTTAGGAGTCTTAAATGATATATGACATGTTTTATTTTATGAAAGTGTTCAGAAAATCGTAGCTATACTATTTTTATTACCACTGCCACCAGTACTACTATAGTAGTACTACTACTACTTCTGATTTTTGTGTTACTATTTCATTCTATTTGTAAGAAAACTAGTCTGTTGAATTACAAAGTAAGGAAAATGGTAGTACCTTCATTTCTTTATATCCCTAGATTTCTACTCTTAAGGAATGAGTTTCTAGCTTCTTGAATCACAACACAGCCAATTTAATGTTCCCCTACAAAATGTCTCTTAGTTCACTATCAGACTGTACCATGTTACTGCCAATAGTAAAAAATAGATAACTTAGCGTCTAAACTAAGCAAGTAGATTGATACCATCCATAATGTTCTGGTTTAACTAATATGAGCTGCCATTATATGGCAGACATTTTTAGTACCTTAGTTCTCACCTTCTGAGATTTTTTTTTTTAATCTCAGATTAAAACCATCTCTACAATTTGTCTCCTGGAATCAAGAAGGCTGGAAGACCAGCCTGTGTTCCGTACCTCCTGTGGGCCATTCTCATTCGTTATTAGCTTTAGCAAATAACACATGTGTGAAGCCCACCTTCATGGAACTGAAAGAGAGATTCATGAGGCTCTACAAGAAAAAGGTAATTATTGTACAGCTTTGTAACTGTATGTGTTTATTTTGGCTATTTAAGATGTATTCTTAAAAATTACACTATTACAAATCAGGGGTGATGTTTTCTATTATGTGCGTTGTACTGATTATAACTGAAGAGGAGAGGCTTACTCATGCTACTTTTACTCTAAATGAGAAAATTCATGAGTTTATAGGATTCATTCAATTTGACACAAGTTCTCTTTCAAATGTAGAGCTGAATGAACTCTAATTTTAATAAGGAATATTTACCTTTTAGGATAGTCTTATGTATTAAAGTTCCTGAAATGGTAAACGTTACCTAATTTTTTAATTTATAGGCTCACCTTCATCACTATCTACAAGTTGAAGGGATGGAAGAAAGCTGTTTCACAGAAGCTGTGTCATCTTTATCAGCACTCATACAGGAATATGACCAACTGGACGCCACAAAAAACATGCCTGTGCAGGATTTACCCAGACTAAGCATAGCTATGTGAAAAAGAAACCCTCAAAAATACTTTCTTAATTTCACATTGTTTTTTCTGACCTTTCTGTTTCAACATTTTTGTAATTTGGAAACTCCAGTTTTTTCATATTATCGGGAAATATTTTTGTCTAAAAGAGTGATTTCTGTTTAATCGCAATTTGTTGGTAATACCAATGTGTGAAATTAGTGAAATCTTAGTACCTTAACTTCAAACATTTCTCTTCAGAAAAGTTCCCTTTTCTAAAATTGAGATAACATAGTTCTTGAATATTTTGCTGTATTTATAGCCTCATATTTAGGCATTTATGCACTGATGTGTCTTCAATAAAAATCTTGTACAGATATATTTTTATAATTATTTATAATTTATATTTTGATATTCTATTTAAGTTATCCTGATTCTTTAAAAGTAGTTATTGGGAGTAGAAGAACACAATATAAATATTTCCGTGTAATAGCCACCAACTTTTCAGGCATAGGTTTTATTACAACTGTTAAGGAGGTTTTGCTTCTTCTTTAGATAACAACTTGTTTGCCCAAAAGAATCCTAATTTGTACACTTAACATGTATTTGTATTAAACTTTTTAAATAATTGCTTTCTTATCAAACCAATTGATTTTATAATAAATGTCTATATTTTTCAACAGTGCTACTTGTTATTGTTCTGCATGACATTTATGCAAATGAACAGAATGTTACTAAGCTTGATATCTTCCAAACTTTGCAATAAATGGCTATAATTGTTCCGGTTACTATAATCTTCAGTTCTAGCCTTAACATTAATTTATTTTTAATAACATTTTATATTTCAGATCCACAGGTTAATTTTAAGTTGTATTCTTTATATTTCTTTCCTTTGCAAAGTAATGATACTGTTCTTGGTCTTTGTCTTGGAAATTTAACTTTTTACAATATTTGATGTAAAAAATTTTAGATTGCAGTTGTTAACAGTGGCCAGAAAAGTTGCATTTTCTCCTTTCCAAAAGAAACTGATATTCAAGATCAGGCAGTGAAAAGTCTAAATATATTTACAGCTTAATCTTATTTCTGTTCAAGAATTAATCTAGAATTTCACTTGCCCTATAATGATGTATCAACTAATGGGCACCTTAGGCTACATTGTCAAATATAGATTAAATTTTTTAAATTGAGTATGTTTTTTTCTCCCCCAAAGGAGTCTCGCTTCTCCGTGCCAGTGCAGTGGTGCAATCTTGACCCACTGCAACCTCCACCACCTGGGTTCAAGCAATTCTTCTGACTCAGCCTCCCGAGTAGCTGGGATTACAGGCGCATGCCACCACACTTGGCTAATTTTTGTATTTTTTTAATTACAGACAGGGTTTCACCATGTTGGCCAGGCTGGTCTCAAACTCCTGACCTCAA
Source organism: Homo sapiens (assembly GCF_000001405.40). Lineage (NCBI taxonomy): Eukaryota > Metazoa > Chordata > Mammalia > Primates > Hominidae > Homo > Homo sapiens. The sequence continues at coordinate 112,070,037 of NC_000006.12, read as the reverse complement.
ATGATCTGCCCACCTTGGCCTCCCGAAGTGCTGGGATTACAGACATGAACCACTGCGCCCAGCCTAAAATTTAGTATACTTTTTATACAGCTTTAGCAAGTATTCCAGATTATTTTGTAAAATATTTTCTTGTAAATTGCATAATTTTTTCATATACAAAATGCTTAGATGGTAACAAATGTCTGTGTATTATATAATTATAGGATATATTTTAGAAATTAGTTCAATTTTTAAGTTGTTCAAATTTTATGTATATTTTTAAGATAACTTTTTAAAAGTTTCTAATGCCTTAAATGTAGTGATCTGAGAATAGGCATTCATACTGTTTTAAACAAAGTAGATTTGCCACCATTTTATACTCACTAATTTTTTTATTATATGACAGGATTGACTAACTTTTCCCCCATTTGCTTGGTTTTACAGAATCTTGAGCTCAGAAAATATATCTCCAGGTTCTCTGCAGTTTCTCTGACACACACAAGATGTAATCCACAGCATCTTCCATTTAAATGACCCCTCATTTGGGCAATCAAATTGAATAGTAATCATTTTAGACTTATTAGGGATACAGCATCTCTTATCCAAGCATATTCCACAAAAAGTGGGTTTGTAACTCTGAGTACTTGAGCATCCAGAAAAGACAAATTTTTCAGCTTTGGAGAGTTGGAAAGTAGGTTGGCATGTTTTTCCTTTGGGAATCTGAAAAGATAGATAAAATGAAGTCATTCTTTAAATTTTATTACAATAGTTTTGAAAACATGTAGAATAGTTTATAGTACAAATCTGAGTATTTGGAGGCATTAATAAAAGTTGCTATGTAGTGATTTCCAGCACTCTCTTTACCCTTAAGATCCCCTTCTTATCAGAGGTCTGTCCTCTCTATTCTTCATCATATTATAGCACGTACTCCTCAATGTTTTTTGCTATCTATTCTTGACTCAATTTTACAATAAATAGAAATTTCTGTTTTGTTTAATATCAAGAGCCATGTCTTATTAAATATTTATCTAAGACTTAGCAAATTCCATAACACAGCCCAGACAGTTTTCAGTGGATGCATAGATGAATAATTATCCTAATCTTTCTTTAAAACTGAATTGTCAACTTGCTAATATGATAGAGAATAACTTTGGGGTAGAAGGATTGTGTAGCATTTCTAAAAATTACCCTTTTTGAGACAGACTTACTGCCTCATTCAAGAAGCAGGACCAGCTCTAGTTATACCAAACAATCTTAGGGTAAATATTTTATCATAGTGTTTTAGCAAGTTTACTATGTAAGCATAGAGCATTTTGGAAATGGTGTGGCTTCCTTCCAAGTTAGTGATATATAACTAAGATCAGGACTTCTCTACTCTGATGTTCATAATATCTGTTTTCATAATTATAGTGTAGCAACCAAAATCTTTTATTCATTAACATAGAAAAAAGAAGTTAGAATCTGCTCTGGTTGGTAAAATTTTCCCCACAACATGCAGTTAATACCTGTTTTCCTCTGAAATAGTTTGACTTTAAGCATTATAATGAGATGCTTTTATTTTTCTAAGAACTAAACACCATCCCACCCTCCAAAACACACACATGCTTACTTTTCAGGAATCTCTTAATATTGAATTAAGTTAAATATATTTAAACTTTACCTTTATTGTCTTTAATATATTGCTGTCGCAAGGCTGAATGTAACACAGTCTTTTCTCTTTTCTCATTTCACAGTTGCTGTTTTCATTGGTCACCCTGTTAGATATTCCCATCCCACATGTTCTGGAGCAGGGAGTCCATTTTGTTGCTTGCACAAGACATTTTTTTTTCCAAATAAGTGGGAGATTTCTATAAGCTAAAACAAAGGGAGAAAAGTACATATGTATACATATAAATGTACTTGTATAAATAGATAATTTTTAATCATGTTTAATGTTTAAGAAATCTGAGTATTTTTGTATAATATAACTCAGAATAAAAGAAGCCGATGGTCTAATTTATCACTCTATCTCCCTCTTTCCCAACCCCAAAATTAACTTTCAATCAAGTATTACAGTCCAGTCTCTTAGGAGGAATAAAAATACTTTATCTTTGAAAAACTGAGAAGATTTACTCATTTGCATTTTTCTGCTTTGCCTGTCCTCTGAATACTAAACCTAAGCTTATGTTCCTGTTGAGTTGTCTTTTCCCTTGTTCTTGCCTCATCATTTCTAACAGACATTGAAATAAAAATTAGGGAATTTGATCAGAACAGTGTGATCTTAATGTTAACTTTCATAATATGTTAAAATCTAAAATACAAAAATTATATTTGAGAATGAGACTATCAGTGAGACCAGATTTCTTCCATTTGTTTTAATCTAGTCTTTTAGAAAACTGTCTAATTAATACTACACTGAACTAAACTAATCATTTATATAGAAAGTCATTGCAAGCGTATAATTTCATTCATTCAACTTAATTGTCACACTCCCTATGTTCTTAGGCCCAAAGTACTCTCCAATTGGCTAAGATTTCGAATTACATATGAAAAAACAGAATGGATGGATCAATAGATGGGTCAGTGAGTGAGTAGATAGAGCCCTTCCAATGTGCTGCTAAGGAGAAATAGGAGGGGAAGAGAGAATATAAGAGGGTCTAATAATGCTCCCATTTCCATGTAAGGTCACTGGGAGCTTCTTCTTATAAATGAATCAGGCCCTTGGCTCATTTTAAGCAAACTACATATTGACTTACTGTCTCAAGGCATTTCCTTAAGGTTAATGTGCATCTTGAAATGGATGCTTTGGGAGTATGGTTGTGATTTGAGTCTGCACAGCAAAATTCTGGCTATATTACTTCAAAAAAATCAACTTAAAACTCGAAAAACACCCAGAAAAAAAAAAAGCCTTCTTCATAGGAAATAGTCTCTTTAAAGTATGTGCTCTATTTTAATTGATACTGTGACACTGCTTTCAGTGTTATGACAGTAGAGTCTCTTGCAATTGCACATAGAACTGAGGAGAGGAAGCAGAAACGTGAAGATACCTGGAAGGTAGACAACAGTTTAAAGACCTCAATGCAGGAAGCAGATTAGAAGCTTGGCACACATCTGCAATAAATAAAGGCAGGTTAGATTACCGTGTTACCAGTAATCCCACTTGTTAAACCGACAGCTGTAGTTCAGGAATTTACCATTCATTAAAAAGCAAGAAAACTAGAAGAGATTTTTTAAACAAAGCTTAGTGTTTGGTGAGCATTGAAAAAAGCATGAGGGCATTGAAAAAAGCATGAGGGCATTATGTCATTGCGTGCTTCATACTGACCTAGCAAAAGCTAGATTCCAACCATAGACTATAAATTACTGTCACAAATATATCTAAAAGTATGTGTTTTTGTCATTATGGTTAATTTTAAAAGCCAAATTCCTGTGTGGGCCATAAATATAATTTCACAGTTAAGCAAAGAAGAGACATTAGACTGAACGTATACTTCATTTGAAACACACCTAGGTCTAAATCATAAATACCAGAGAACACTTCAGGAGATTTTCTTGTTTTACCTGACAAAACACTAACTACTAAGACTGACTATCTGATGCCTCTCCCAACCAAGGTCAAAGTGAATCCACTGAACTGCTCTAACTTCTAAAATGAGACCAACTTGAACTTGATCCAAAGGGCTTCACTTGTGGAAAACTGCTCTAAGGTAGTCTTCCCAGGGAAGTTTATGTGTGGGTTCTAAGAGCCTTATACTGAATGACTAAAATCCAATGCAGAAAACCAACTGTTCTGTACATTTTGAAAAAAAAAAATAAGGACATGGCTTATAATTTCAGAGATTTCAGAGCATTAACAGTGTCATGCTGTCAACTGAACATGTATAGTAAATGCAAATTCACAACAACCTAGTAAATTTTTTTTCTAATTTACTGACAAAACTGGAGTTGCTGAGGATGTTCCTTTCATAGAGTTAGTTCTTAAATATCTAAACTCATTTCTCTGCTTATAGTTGCCTTTATTAAATATCCACTTAATAAAAGTGAACTCATGAGTTGTTAACATATTCAAGTATTCTGCATTTCCATGGCACCTCTCACTAAGCTCTAAACTTTAAGAAAAAGGCATTCTTGATTTCTGGATGAGAACACAGAGATGTGAACAAGAACCAGACTTCGATGTTGCCCCTTTTGAGTCCCTCCTCCTCTATACTTTATTTGCTGGTGGTTCTGAAACTCCTGTTCCCAAAATATGCTGATGCTTAAATAAAATGCTAACTTAGAGCAGACCAGAATACAAGGTTTATAAGTATACTTAAGCTGTTTGAAATGGCCAGATACACAAGATGAGTAATGAAGGATCACACTTCATTTTTCTGAGAACATAGATACATGGGTAACCTACTTAAAAATGCCTGTGTGTGTGCATGTGTGTGTTTGTGTGTGTGTGTGTGTGCGTGCGTGTGTGTGTGCGTGTGTGTTTGTGTGTGTGTGCGTGTGTGTGTTTGTGTGTGTGTGTTTACAGAGAGATTAACAATTGAGCTTCAATTTCAGAGTGAGGGAAAGGACTTCCTACGAGATTTCTATTTTTAGAAATAATATTTACAAGTTCAAAATATGTGTCAGTTCTTAAATATTTTTCAGCAGTAGCCTCCCATTTCTGCCTGTATCACATAGAAATGTTACCTTTTAAAATTTGGGGAAGTGAATGGTCAAACTTCTTGCCCATAATAGAACAATAAAAATAAGTTGTTCTAGGGTACATGTGAACAATATTTGGTCAATTTTCCTGAGAAGAGGTTAGAAATAAGCAGAGGTGTAAGATTTTAGTAGAGCTTCCTGACCTAGTAGATCTTTTAAAAATGTTTTTAAATGTTTTACCAGAAAATTCTAAAACATTATAAAATTTCCTTTGCAGATATTTATCCCTGTCTGAGGCAAAGATTAAGTAAAATGATACACTCAAACTATATCTCACTCTGACCACCAATCAACAAGTACTTACTGAGTACCTATGATACGTAAAAGGAACATGAAGGAATACCACCAAGGTCATACGTGAAAAATAGCTCTACTTCTGAGCACCTGGCATTGTTTTGTAGCTTGTTGAAAGCTGCTGTAGTAATGGTTCCAGGCTACAGTTTGACTGATCAGACTTCTTTCCACCTTTAGCTCCAGAGCAGTGACTGCCAGCCAGCTTTGGTATGAACAGAGGTGTGCATCCAATGGCCCCACTCACACAGAGGCAGCTGAACAAGGGGTTGGGCTGAAACACTTGGCCATTATGATAATGTACCTGGTTGAACTCGCACCCAACAGCTACAAGGTCTGAAAAGAGAAAAGAGCAAAATTGCCAAAGAAGCCATGATCTGTGATAGTCTAGACCTCCAATTATAAACCTAAGAAGAAACGGATCATCTCCTGTATGAAGTATAGCTCTCAACCTCTTAGGTTCCATTTGGAACCTCCTTCACAGGACATCTGTAGAAAGGTTTCTAAAGTGAGGCATTTTTATTATATTGCAGGCTATAAACCCCACATGGTCACTTCCAGAATTAAGACCAAGTAAAGACCCTGTAAAATCACCATAAGTATAGTGGTTGATAATAAATCTGAGACAGGTTAATGCCTAGTGAGACAGGTTTTCTCAGACATCCAACAATAGGCTAGGATATAGTCTTAGGAAGACAGGATAAGTGAATGTCTGAAGAAACTATACGTTAGTTAACTACAGAACCGCAAGGTACTGATGGTTTTTGTTAAGAGATTGCAGGAGAGTTTCCCTTCCTCTGATGGGTATTCTTGACTTTCTGGATAGGCTGTTCCCCAAGTGTGGTCCTCTAATCCCTTGGCAGTACCTGAGACACTTTTAGGGGATCTGCAAGGTCAAAACTCTTTTCCAAATACTAAGATGTGGCTGGCCTTTTTCACTGTGTTGGTATTTGCACCGGTGCTACAAAAGCAACTGTGGCTAAAACTGAACTGCTGGTGCCTTGGCATGAATCAAACTGTAGAGGTAATCTTGTATTTTTCCTTGCCAGGTACTTATACTTTAAAAGGGGTGGGGGAAGTTTTACCTAAGAATGTCCTTGATGGCACAGCAAAAAGTATTAATTTTATTAAATCTTAATCATCAAATACTGGTCTCTTTAATATTCTACGTGACAAAATAGGAAATATACATAGAATATTTTAGTGCAACAGCTGTCTTGAAACTTCAGCAAACTGCTCTCTCAGGGAAACTTAAGGAACTATGTCATTGGTAAAGTTGTGAGCTGAGCTAACCACTTTTTTTAGTGGGAATTTTACTTGAAGAAATGACTGATGATAAACTGGTTATTCAGACTTGTGTATTTTGGAAATTTTTTTTGAAGATGAGCAAACTGAGCCTGTCACTTCAAGGAAAACAACTGTGACAGCATTTTTTGCCAATGCGAGAATTCAAGATTTCAAGGAAAAATTAGAATTTTGGAAAACTTGTATCCATCACTGAAAACTTTATATTTATCCAATATGTAGACTTTTCTGGTGAGGATGATATTAATGTGATTTTTTTTAGATATTACATAATTAAGTGTATCAATATTTTGAACATCTCTACAACACAGTAAACATATTTTCCAAATGAACAATGCATAGAATGGCAAAATTATACATGAGTAAAAGATCTATTCCAAATGGGTCTTGGATAGACCAATGCATTTTAATGTCACAGAGTCGAAAGTTCATTGATATGGTTTCAGATTCCATGATGCAGCTAATTTTTAAGGCACTGTCACTTGCCAAGTTTTAATATAATATCAATAAACATAAAAGTATATACACAATGATCTGAAAAGCCTGTTAAAATATTCCTCCCTTTTCAAATTACATATCTGTGTGATGCCAGATTTTCTTCACATATTTCAACCAGAAAAACACATAGTAACAGATTGAAAGAAGCAGCAAATGTGCGACTCTAGCTATCTTCTATTGAGCTAGACACTAGAGAGATTTGCAAAAAATGTAAAACAATGACACTCTTTTACTAAATTTTTCTTTGGAAAATAAGTTACATGTTTTTTCATAAAAACGTTATTCTTATTAATCTGCAATGGGTTTATTCTTTTTAAGTGAATAAATATTTCTAAATTTCTAATCCATCAAATATCAATGATAAAACCCACATAAAACCTCTTTAGGTCCTCATTAATTTCTAAGAGTATAAAGGGGTAATTTCTAAGACTGTAAAGGGGTCCGCAGATCAAAAAGCTTTTAAAATGTTGCTCTTGATCAGGGATCATCAGGTTTTCTGAAAAGAGCCAACTAGAAAATATCTTAGCCTTTGCAAGCCAGAGAGTGTTTGGTCAAAACTACTGACTCTGCCATTGCAAAGCAGCCAAAGACTCTACATTAATGTGCCATGTTCCAATAAAGCATTATTTACAAAAACAGGCTGTTGGCTAGATTTGACCCTCAGGTCATAGTTTGGGGCTCCAGTTATAGATTATCCCCATTCCTATCCTCGTGGCTATGCCCTGTTAAAAGTCTCATCACATTTTGTGTGAAATTACTTACAGAAAGGTCTGACATCTTAATATTTCATTCTCTGAGGCCAAGGCCTATATCTTTTGTTTTTCCTGTCGTGTCCTCAGTTGCTGGCCACAGTGCTTGGCTCTGTAGTGGATGGTCACTAAGTGTTTGTTGGTTTAATGAAATAACCTGCCTAGCTTGGGAAAAATGGGTGTCCTGAATGCCACTTTGTTTGATAGGTCATGTTTTCATTATAGGATTCCAATAAATAACATTTTTGGGATCCTACTGAATACCAGCTATTGTGCTAGGCGTTTTATGTCATTATTTTATTTGATCCTCCCAGCAACTCTATAAGCTAGGAAGTACATATTATGTAACTGAGACACACAGAGAATAAACAACTTGATCAAGTGTATTTAGTTAGCAGAGCAGTCAGGACTTGAACCTAGATCCCACATTTTTAACCATACAATACAGTGCTGGCAGGGGCATCAGGCTATCAAGCTTGAGTGCTCTACACATTCAGCCTGACTCCAAAGGTAGGCTCTCATTCCATGGCTCATAACCAAACTTCTGATAGTAATTTGCCTTCCTACTTTGACTTTTCTACAGACGGACTAAACTGCCCAGGTGACATGAGTGTTTCTCTTCCCTTATAAATTTTATTTGTTTAATCCTAAATAATTTGGCACCCTGAATTAGTGTCAATGTTTAGATGGTCTGAATCAGTCTCCAGAACTTAGTCACATAAGGCTGAGGGTCAGGTTGTGGTTTGGGGTGACCTCACCTTCTTTTTTTACAAATCTGCTGAAGTAAAAAGCACAGCAACTCGGTCATTAGTTGGGAAAGCTGAGGTTAAAGTTGTATGTCTGAATACTGGGTATACATTCTAGTATTTTTAAGCAGATCATTTTTTGTTACAGAAAAGGCCGAATTCGGATTGTTTTTGACAGTATTAACAAAAGCTGTCATTTTGTAGCTCTTTAAAAAGTCAGACTCTAGATAATTCCTTTTATTTTCTATCATTAAAAGCAATTACCTGAGAAGAACTGCAAAATCACCTCAGTGCAATGAAAATAATGGGCTTCTGAATGTGTGTAAGCATCTGCTAATTTCACATAGTATCCAATACAATGGAGCCAGTCCCACTGGTGCATGAAAACTAAACCCACCTCATATTTAGCCAAACTAAGCTGATCACTCCAAGCTAACAATTGCAGGAAAAAAAAATTCTGTCTAGACTCAATCTTTTCCAGCAGGTCCAGAAGAAGACACTTACATGCACACACTCCAGTCTCGTACCTAGGCCTGTCTACTGAGTAGTCACAATACAGCCCTTTGTGTGGGTCACAGAGGTCAGCTTCATTGCAGATTTCCCCTGGTTGCTTGGCACAGATTTTACAGCATCCACAGCCATCTCTCACCAGGCTCACTCCAGGAGGGCAACGGGGCTTCTGCTGAGGGCATTTGCAGGGCCAGTGACAAAACTGTTTACGCTGAGGTGCATCTGACACTTCTCCAGGCCTTCCTTCAGGTGTTGTATCTAATGGTCCAGTGCCCTGTACCCTGCAGCAGAACTTCATTTGATAATAAAGGTGATGTTAGAAATAGCTTCTCTATGTAATAGTATAACAGGAATAGAAGATTTCCCCCAAACAGGTAGTATACAGAGTGGTGAGTTACAATCATTATAATAACACCTATCAGCATTTGACACAATTACTCTCCTTAAACTATTCTTCACTCAGCCTCCAAGACTGTTGGAGGCTCTTATTCCTCTTATTCCACTCTTACTCCTCCTTTATCACTGACTGCTCCTTCTCACTCTCCTTTGTCAGTTTCTTCTCATCCTCTTAATCTGTAAACCTCAGAGCCCCATGGATAAGGCCTCTAAAGTATCTTCCCTCACTATATCTCTTATCTCCAACTCATACCCCTCTTCTGAACTCAGACTCAAACTGCCTACTTAACATCTCCACTTTGATGTTTAATAGGTATAGCAAATTTAATATGACCAAAAACAAGCTCCCAAGCTTCCCCTTCCACTCTGCTCTTCCACACACTTCCCTATTTAAGCAAATGCCAATATATTTCCAAAATACCTTGAGATCAGATCATGCTTGACTCTTCTCTTTCATATTTTACATCTAATTCCATCAGTAAATCCTGTTTATTACACCTTTAAAAATACCCACCTTGATCATTTATTGATACCTTCTCTGTTACCATCATAATCCAAGTCATCATTGTTCACTTGGATGATTACAATAGCCTCCTGAGTGTTCACCTTCCTTGCTCCTTTGTCCACTTGACATCCAGAATGATTCTTTAAAAATAAGCCAGTTCATATCACTCTTTGCTCATATGGAGTGACTTCCTCATGGCCTCCCATTTCCATGTAAAATTCAAAGTGCCACCATGGCCCTGCATCCTGTGGTCCCCCCTCCCCATATTACTTTGCCCACTGCCACTCACCCCCTTGCTGCCTCCACACCAGCCACACCAGCGTCCTTGTTCTCTGACTCCAAGCACACTCTGCCCCTAGATATCTTCATGGCTCACTCTTTTACTCTCTTTAGGTCTGTGCTCAAATTTCTCAGTGAGGCCCTCTTTGACCACTCTTTGTGAAAGGGCACCCTATCCCAGTCCTTTCACCGTAGAGTTTACCACCTTTCTTATTACCTACACATTTCAGTTGTTTACTTTCTGATACCTGCACCAAGAATGTGAGCATCTTGAAAGCAAGATCTTTGCCTAATGTCTGTCTTGATGACTGCCATCTTTATAAATCACTTTACATGGTTATTTCAATCAAACTTCATAGCAACAGCGTGCAGTGGTGATTATACCATGTGATAGGCAGATAGTGGTCCCCTCAAAGATGTCCATGTCCTAATCCCTGGAGTCTGTGCATATATGTTACCTAAAACATTGAAGGGGATTTTTGCATATGTGATCAACTTAAGAATCTTGAGGTTATCACTCTCGATTATCCAGGTGGGCCCAAGGTAATCACAAGTACATTGGGTCCACTGGGGAAGGAGGCAGGCATGTCAGAGAAGATGTGATGGCAGAAGCAGAGGTAGGAGCGATGCCGTTGCTGAAATGGGTCATGGTCCAAGGAAGCCAGACAGCCTTTAAAAGCTGGAACAGGCAAAGAATGGATTCTCCCCTGCCACCTCCAGAAGGGAGGCAGTCCTGCCAACGCTTGATTTTAGCCCTGTAAGACCCATTTTTGGACATCAGATGTCCAGAACTGTAGATAATCATGTTGTTTTAAGCCATTCAAGTTGGTGATTTCTTACAGCAGCAATAGGAAACTGTATACTCCATTTTGTAAATGAGGACCCTGAGACTCAAATTATTTAAGTTGTCCTATGTGACATATCAAGTAAGTGATAGAAGACTGATTTAAATCAGGCAGGCAGGTTCCAGAGCCTAAGCTCTCAACACTTACCCTCCTTCCTTTCCTAGTCCAAATCATACTGCAACCCAGCTTTGATACAGAACAAATCACCAAATCTCTGCATCTATTTCTCCAGCCTAGACCTCATCCCTTAAGCTTACAACTTATTAGTTGCTATGGTACATATGCACTTTGAGGTTCTACAAGTACCCTCCCCCTGACAAACTGCTCCTCAACTAGCAGTTCCCATTTTAGTGAATGGCGTCACCATCCACTCAGGTCCCCTAGTCAGGAAGCTGAAAACCATCTGGATTTCTTCCTCTCCCTCATCCTTCACACGTGAAAGTGTCTGACCTACAGGAAATGTGCAAGCACTTATGCACAGCATTCAGGGCCCTCCTCGTGTCTTGCAGTTCTTGTATGCATTAGGTTCCAGAAAGTTAAAGTGCCTGTAGTTCCCTGCATATATGATGCTGTTCCTCCTGCCTGGGACATTCTGCCCAGACCCAGCTCCTTCTTCATCTAGTTAAAGGATACTTCAAGGTTCTGTTTCAGTATCATCTTTTCCAGAAAGGTTCCTATAACTTCCCTGCCTTGCACACATTTTTAAACTGAAATTACCCATGTAAGTGCCTATCTCTTCCACTAGCCGTAAAGCCACCCAACCTCAGGTGCTTGTGGTTTGTTTGTGAGTATACCACCAGCACCTAGCACAGTGCCTGGCAATTTGCTTATGTAAATAACTCTTAATGTTTATTTGATGGAACCAGGGACTGTTGAATTGATTACTAGATCTAAGTCCATTTGCAGCTCAAAAATTCTACATTTAGAAGTATCTGTAGGAAATTCCACCCAATATTAAACCCTCAGCCTTTTTTCTTACTACTGGTAAAACACATATGCCTCAGTAAAGAGTAACGTTTCAGCTGTGATTCAAAAGTTACATGCACAACGTGAGAATGGGTTTTGATGGGGAGGATAGGACACTGCTGGGCTTCTGGAGAAGGAGCAGGGGAAAAGGAAACATCAAAATGGAGAAGGGAGTAGAAATAGTGAAGCTAGAATCCTAAAAAAATTTTAAACTTAAAAAAATTTTGCCTCCATCTCAGTTTTGCACAGGTTCAGCTATAGCCACCAGTGATTCAGGATGCCAGGTTCAGTGGCCTCTTTGCTGGTCTCACATCCGTGAACCCTCTTCAGTCCTCCTCTTGCCCCACCTCTCTAAGGCATTTAACTCTCCTCTACCTTGGATTTCATTACATCTGGTCCCCCCAGTCCTCCCCTTACTTTTCAACGCACTTTCTCAATCTCCTCCGCAGGCTCCTGTTACCCTGAATTTGACTTAAATTTAGGCCTATTGGTGTTTCATAGCTTTAATGTATTGCTTGCCTCATTCTACACTGTGTCTTGGCAATCTCACCCACACCCTTGCCTTCAGTTTTCATCCTATGCAAGTTTCAAAACTAAATTTCCAGCCTGGACTTCTCCACTGAGCCCTGGACCCGTGAGATAACTACCTACTGGACATCTCCACCCAAATGTCCTCCAGGAAATACTCAAGTCCAAAAGTCATCATTTTTCACTCTTCAAAGTTTGGAGTCAGGAAGCTGGATTCATCTGGGTTGTCTTCCTCCCTCTCACCTCCTATGACGATTCAGTGACCCTCTCCTATGTATTGTATTGTCCTCGTCTTCCCAGAACTAGATGCTTTTCCCCATTTCATTGCTACTAAGTAAGCACCGTCACTACGAGTTCCTGACTGACCTTCCTCCCTCCAGAATGACTTTTCAAGTGCATCTACTATGTTGCTCCTGGAGGAATCTCTTTAAAGAACATGTCTGGTTGTATTACTCCTCTCCTTAAAGCCCATCAGGGGTTCCCCATAGTCCATACTGTGCAGCCTAAACTTCTGAGCCAGTTATCCAAAGCCCTCTCCTGCCTACCTCTTGAGCTTTAGCTCTCACACACTCTCCTTCCATGACTTGCCATTTGCTGGACTCCCTGGGTTGGTTTTCTCCTCCCTGCTTTTTCATGTGTTCTTTCTAATGAAATGCACACTCCCAAAACTGCCCCCGGATGCCTCTTTAACTTTCCAATTTTGAAGCATTTCCAGATAATCTCTGAGGTCAAAAGGTAACACTGTTGAAATCCAAGGATAAAGAGAAAATCATAACAGTAGACTGAGAAAAGCATTACATACTGAATTACATGAAAAATGAGATCTGACTTCTCATCAAAAGACGGAGGAGGAGGAAGAGATTGAGAAGAAGATGTGCAAAGACAATGTTGAAAGGAAAAAAAAACAACCTGTCAACCCAGAATTATATGGCCAGTGAAACCATCTTTCAAAAATGAAGCTGAAATAGCCTGTAATCCCAGCACTTTGGGATGCCGAGGCAGGTGGATCACTTGAGGCGGGGAGTTCAAGACTAGCCTGGCCAACATGGCAAAACCCCATCTCTACTAAAAATACAAAAACTTAGCCAGGTGTGGTGGCGTGCACCTGTAGTCCCAGCTACTCAGGAGGCTGAGACAGGAGAATCGCTTGAACCCAGAAGGCAGAGGTTGCAGTGAGCCAAGACACGCCACTGCACTCCAGCCTAGGCAACAGAGGGTGATTCCATCTCAAAATAAAGAAAATCATAACAGTAGACTGAGAAAAGGGGGAAGCATTACATACAGAAGTACAATAAAACTGAGATCTGACTTCTCATCAAAAGAAGGAGGAGGAGGGAGAGATGGAGAAGAACAAGATGCCCAGAGACAATGTTAAACGGAGAAAAAAAAAAATCCTGTCAATCCAGAATTATATAGCCAGTGAAACTGTCTTTCAAACATGATGGTGAAATAAAAACCGTTTCTGGGTAAACAAAACCTAAGAGAAATTGTTGCTAGCTGATCTGCCTCACAAGAAATACTAAAGGAGGATCTTCGGTCTGAAGATCTTCTGTTATGATAGTAACTTAGAAATACAGGAAGAAATGAAGAGGCCTGGACATAGTCAATATGTGGGTAAATATAAAGAATCTTATATTTTTCACTTTTCCTCAGGCATATTTTGATTGTTTTCAACAGCAAAATTTCAGGACAATAAGCATCACTAGAATGGTGCAATAGAAAGAATAAGCATTTTGACAACAGATCCGAGCTTTGCAACAGCTCTGTGATCTTACAGAACTTCCCATCATTTGATCTCCTCTGTAATATGGGATTAATAATGACCACCTTGTAAAGTTGTTTTGATAATTAAGATAATAACTAAAGCACCCTTGGGCCGGAGGTGGTGGCTCACACCTGTAATCCCAACACTTTGGGAGGCCGAGGTGGGCGGATCACTTGAGGTCAGGAGTTCAAGACCAGCTTGGCCAACAGGGCAAAACCCTATCTCTACTAAAATACAAAAATTGGCAAGGCATGGTGGTGTAGGCCTGTAATCTCAGCTACTTGGGAGGCTGAGGCACAACAATCGCTTGAACCCAGGAGGTGGAGGTTGCAGTGACCCAAGACTGCACCACTGCACTCCAGCCTGGAACGACAGAGCAAGGCTCTGTCTCTAAATAAATAAATAAATAAATAAATAAAGCACCCAGCACAGTATTTGGCATATAGCAGCTATTCAGTAAATGCTAGGTATTATCAGCTATTTCATGAATTTATGAATTCATAAAAGCAAAGTTAAGCACAAAATAATCCATTTTTACCGCTCTTTGTGTAACACCTTTCTGTGTTTGTTGTTGTTTATTTTGTACACATCTCTCTGTGTTGGAATACCTGCTGTCTAAGAACATCTAGCTGCTCTCAATCCACAATGACAGGCTTTTTCTCAAGAACAGTGGAATAGGAGGCACACAGACAGGGGAGTGAGCCCCTCCACAGAACAGCAGCAATGACCTGGACCACTGACATTCTTGTCATGATTCTTTTGAAATCGTAAATCTCTCTCTATATGGTATAACAATTTGCAATTCCTTGTTTTCTAAGATGTATCTACTACTTATGGCCCCAATCAACTACTAACTCACAGACACACCCATGTTTCCTAAATCACCAGATTTCAAAAGCTCTGTCTCCTGTCTACCGTGTAAATAAATCAACAATTAAGTCACCTTGTTTTCATCTTCTTATTTAAAAAGACTAAGGCAATGAATTGCTCATAGTAAGTTAAACTTCCCTTTGGTCTGTTGCTTGAAATATTTCCAAGCCTCCATGGACTGCTTCCCTTTCAGGAAGTGAGAAACACATGGACTGAGAAAAGACAAAGTAAGAGAATGTTTTAAAAATGTAAATGTTTATTCCAAAGTGCCCCTTTCAAAGAAGGACAGACTTAACTGGAAAAAGTCGCTGTCAAAATTCGTTTTTCCAGGGGCTCTTTGCACATTTTGCAAACAGCAATGGAAAGTTGAGCCTCCGCCTGGAGCTGGCATGGAGAGACACTGTTTCCCGCACTGTGCCAGGCTGTGCCTTAGGCTCTGCTATAAAAATATATAGGAAAGCGTGGCGCTGTTCAAACATAGCGAAAGGAGGCTTCGGTGCCATTACCTGAAAGGGAGAAATGTTTTACATTTCTTTCATGAAGCTCATGAACGAACACAGAACTTTATTTGGAAAGAAAAATGGCTTCCTATTTCTCATGAAGTAGTTCCACAAGCCATTGATCCTCCCTCTTCCTCCATCTTCGTTTTGTTTAGTTTTGGGCCTGAAGAACTAAGGATGGCCATAGCCTCCGGAAGGGAAAGAGTCGGGGGAGAGGACTTACCTGTGCCAGGCCAGCAAGCAGAAGAGTGGAGAAGAGGAGCCCCTGCATGTCGCTGGGACCGTGGAGCCACCCTGAGGGGTAGAGAAGTCGCCGCTTGTTCATTGCTCCGGGTACACAAAGCTCCCCTGTCTCCTCTGCAAACCCCACGCTCCTCTGCACAAGAACACACACCCTCTACCTCCCACACTACCAACTTTCAGCCTGCACTTTCATTTTTAAGGATCCGTTTTAATACCCTGTTTACTTTCATGGGACTCTTCTAATAACCTGCCTTCGCAGTGAGCGTGTCACAGGTCAGGAATGGGCGAGCACTTTCCTCCCGGGACTCAGGAGGGCAGGGCAAGTAGTGACTGTTCTCTAAGTGACTGTGTTACCTGTTCCTGGAGAGCAGAGCCTGCCCCCGACAACGGGTGGGGTCCCACGTCATTCCCTTCCTTGCCCTCAGCTTCTCCATCTGTGTTTGCCCTGCTCCGGGTCCTCTCTAGGCTGCTTCCTTCTCCAGCTTCACCCTCACGTACAGAGTGCAGGCCTGGCCCCCCCACCAACAGCACCCATCGCAGCCTAGCCCTGGCTTTCCCCCTCCATATTAATGGCAGGCTCTCGAAGGACCCTGACTCCCCCAGCTCAGATTCTCTCGGAGGCACCCACAGTGCCCTGGGCTCACCTTTATCCCAACACCTTTCTCATGCCAGGTGGACTGTGAGTGGAAAAAATACAGATGGAGCAGGGGGCGGACTCCTACAGTACCTGGCCTGAGAGACGCCTCTTTTTGTGGCCACAGTTCCATGACAGATGACAATGAAGTTAACCTCCATTTTTCCGGGCCTAAAATAAAACAATTACACTGGTAGCAATCATTCATTTAATGAATTAAGATTAAAAATAAGCCTGGCCAATATGATGAAATCCCGTCTCTGCTAAAAAAAAAAAAAGACACAAAAATTAGCCAGGTGTGGTGGCAGGCGCCTGTAATCCCAGCTGCTTGGGAGGCTGAGGCAGGAGAATCGCTTGAACCTGGGAGGCGGAGGTTGCAGTGAGCCGAGATCGCACCATTGCACTCCAGCCTGGGGGACAAGAGTGAGAATTATTCTCAAAAAAAAAAAAAAGATTAAAAATAAAATTTTGACAGGTTTGTACTCCTCTTCTTCATACTCACCTCCCTGAAAGGTGTGACCACCAGCGCATCTCCTCCTGTGTCATCATGTGGGACCTTCGCTTCTCCATGTTCTCAGCCTGGGTCTGTGTTCCCATCTTCATTTGCAGCTGCCGTGGTGCTTTGTCCCTCTCAGGTCCCTGAGGCGTCCCACCTGCCTGCCCCCATCCCAAGGCCTATTTCTATTTCCTTTGATCAGTTACCTATCCCTCCTTTTCCTGCTGCCTTACCTATCCTATACCGATTGCTCACCTTTGTTACTGTTCAAGGCAGTCACTACTGTATAAAGACAACATCAAGCCTCGCTTAGGCCTGAGCTGAGGGCCTGGGAAAAACGAGGCTGTCCTCCACCACAGAGAATCTGGTGTCCTTGGAGAACCATGGACACCCTAAAACCTGCAGATCACACAGAGCTTACTAAGGAGTCATTAAACTGTAAGTATATGCACATCAAACAACAAGGAATACCCACTGCAGTTAGGATGCCAACGCCTTATCTTGCCTCCCTAAGAAATAGGACAAAACCAGATAATGGAGTAGTGAAGAAAATGTGTCTGTTTTGGTCCAATCTGATCTTTTTCTTTTCTTTTTTTTTTTTTATTATTATACTTCAAGTTCTAGGGTACATGTGCACAATGTGCAGGTTAGTTACATATGTATACATGTGCCATGTTGGTGTGCTGCACCCATTAACTCGTCCTTTAGCATTAGGCATATCTCCTAATGCTATCCCTCCCCCCTCCCCCCACCCCACAACAGGCCCCGGTGTGTGATGTTCCCCTTCCTGTGTCCCAGTGTTCTCACTGTAGAGAAGTCCTTAAATGACCTGATGGAGCTGAAAACCATGGCACGAGAACTACGTGATGAATGCACAAGCTTCAGTAGCCGATTCGATCAACTGGAAGAAAGGGTATCAGTGATGGAAGATCAAATGAATGAAATGAAGCGAGAAGAGAAGTTTAGAGAAAAAAGAATAAAAAGAAACGAACAAAGCCTCCAAGAAATATGAGACTATGTGAAAAGACCAAATCTACCTCTGATTGGTGTACCTGAAAGTGACGGGGAGAATGGAACCAAGATGGAAAACACTCTTCAGAATATTATCCAGGAGAACTTCCCCAACCAAGCAAGGCAGGCCAACATTCAAATTCAGGAAATACAGAGAACGCCACAAAGATACTCCTCGAGAAGAGCAACTCCAAGACACATAATTGTCAGATTCGCCAAAGTTGAAATGAAGGAAAATATGTTAAGGGCAGCCAGAGAGAAAGGTCGGGTTACCCACAAAGGGAAGCCCATCAGACTAACAGCGGATCTCTCGGCAGAAACTCTATAAGCCAGAAGAGAGTGGTGGCCAATATTCAATGCTCTTAAAGAAAAGAATTTTCAACCCAGAATTTCATATCCAGCCAAACTAAGCTTCATAAGTGAGGGAGAAATAAAATCCTTTACAAACAAGCAAATGCTGAGAGATTTTGTCACCACCAGGCCTGCCCTACAAGAGCTCCTGAAGGAAGCACTAAACGTGGAGAGGAACAACTGGTACCAGCCACTGCAAAAACATGCCAAATTGTAAAGACCATCAATGCTAGGAAGAAACTGCATCAACTAACAAGCAAAATAACCAGCTAACATCATAATGTGGATCAAATTCACACATAACAATATTAACCTTCACACTTAACAATATTAACCTTAAATGTAAATGGACTAAATGCTTCAATTAAAAGACACAGACTGGCAAATTGGATAAAGAGTCAAGACCCATCAGTGTCCAATCTGATCTTTGTCTTTTTATCTTCCTGGTTATCACCATTGGTCTGTGGGTACCAGCCTGTGATTCCCACACCACACCGGCTGTCAGGATGGATAATTTCATGTTTCTGGTTTGTCTATGAAAAGCAGAGGAGTCGCATCCCAACACTGGGGTATTCATCAACTGTATCTCTCCAGCTCCAGCTCTCCCCCGGTTCCACATATAGTAATGCACATATCAGTGCAATTTTTGAATTTAAGGAGTTTCACCCTCCTCCCGTTTGCTGTCTGTGAAATGCTGGCGGCAGCAGGCATTTTTCTGGAATCGTCTTCCATCCCTCTGCAGTCTCACTGACGTGGAGCAGGGGAAGATAGATGTTGACCATCCTTGCCTCTTGGTAGGAAAGGAACATCTTGCTTGAAAAGTGACCTGCAAAACCTCCCCCAGCTCCAGAACACACTGGCGCTGGGTTACTCACTCCCACATGTGTTTAGACATCTTTGGCTGTGGGAGCTCCTATTTAACTCTTTCCAGCCGACTGTGTGTGGACTCCATGGATATGGTAGTTTTAGAGGTCGGGGCTGCTATTTTTGACCTTACACAATAAGAGCTTTCACAGTGTGTGTCCTGTTCTGAGCATGTTTCCCTATTATCTCATTTAACAGAATGCTAATCTGTCTAGGAGCTCATTTCACAAGTGTTCAGTTTGTGATGTACGTTCCAATAGACATGGCGCTAAGCATAATTCAATGTGCACCATGTTCTATGATTTACAAAGAAGTTTCCTGTGTATTACATTTTTAATTTCACAGCTCAGTGAGGTGGGCAAAAGCAGTATTACCAACCTCATTTAACAGATTAAAAAGTGAAAGCTAAGCGATTATACTTGGTCAATAAAACACACTTAATCTCTGCCCTCTACAGCTAAATAATCTACTGGGAGAGAAGACGCTGAACAAATAAACACACAAAATGTCCGTCATTGAAAGTTGAATAAAGGCTAATAAGAGCAAAGAAGAAATTATAAGAGAGAATGACAGGTGAGAGCTAATTTAGATTGGGGGCAGAGAGGACATCTGAGGAAGTGATACTTAGTCAAGAGATGAAGCTAGATGAAGAGTCGGGAGACAACTGCCAGTCCAGGACTCCTTCCACTGGCAAGATGCACACCTCTAATGGTGGTGAGCTCCCCCGCACAGAGCACACCCCACTCCTTTCCCGTAAGATTCCTAAAATCGTTCTGTTAGGAGCGTCATCACAGCTAGAATAGTCCCTTCTCCTGGGAGTACCAGCCGTCCGGGCAGGCAGTGTTTGGAGCTCATGCCTGTGGTCAGCAAGCTTAGTACAGTATGAGTCTTCCTTTCCTCATCCCCTCTTTCCTTATCTTCCTATCTTACTGATTGTGGAGAAGGGTGTATTGACATCCTTGAGAAAAGAGAAGATATTGTTTGTGGAAGTAATGTATTGAATGTGTGCTATGAGGGGGGTCAATATTTGCTCCAGTGAAATAGAGATATAGTAACAATAACACAGCTTGGGCAACATAGTGAGACCCCATCTTTACAAAATAGAAAGTAAAAAAATTAGCCAGGTGTGGTGGTGCATACCTGTAGTCCTAGCTACTTGGGAAACTGAGACAGGAAGATTGCTTGAGCCCAGGATGTTGAGGCAACAGTGAGCTATGATCATACCACTGCACTCCAGCCTGGGAAACAGAGAGAAATCCTGTCTCAAAAAAAAAAGTATAATAATAATAAGAGCTAACATTGGCCGAGTGTCACTGTGTCTCAATATTGTACTGAGTGCTGTATATGTATTAACTCCTCTGATCCTTCAGCAACACTGGGCCTGTGTTCTGTGATTACCATCTTTGGTTTACTTATTAGGAAACTGGGGCAAGGTCACATGGTTAGCAAGAGGTAGAACCAAGATTCCAAGAATTTCATTACCATGCTCTGCTGCTCTCTGCATGGCCTGTAAATGACACCATGATCAGTAGCAGGATGATTGATTGATATATTAATTTGCATTGAGTTCTCTGTATTTTTCTTCCACCTGCTCCTCTCCTGGATTTCAAGAAGTTAGTGAGGCCCTTTAGGGTTCCCGCCTATCCATCCTCTAAGCACAGGATGGAAGCTGCTGGCATGCTTTATCTTGCCTTTTGAGATCCTGCCTTGTTCTCACTGGTAAGAGGTGATGCTGGGAGACGATGGGGAGGAAGAGGAGTGCAGCCGAGCATTGGGTGAGGACTGAACATTCAGGCCTCCCCATGCAGCAGCCCGGGGAGGTGACTAAAGCTCAGAGGGACTTGATGATTCATGGTACTTCCAGGAGGCTGCCCCAGTACCAGGGTGCCCTGCACTGGCTAAGTTCCTCAAAGAACTTTGTGAGGATGCAAAGCCTCAAGTGTCTATGCGTATTTGGATGATACAGGTATTGGCAGAAAACTTAGGAACTGATTATCAGAGGCCTGGCCCCTTTTTAGGCACCTTCTAGGCCTGCTGGATTGTCGTTCAACCCCCACTCATGGTGGCAGTGGTGTGGGTGGGTGGGTGGTCATGATGGTGGCCATGGTATTGGGGGTGGGGAGGAATGCACCAATGATACCTTAGAATAAATCCATCTCAGGATGGAGGCAGGGGAGGAGGGTTCAGAGCCTGGTTTAATTTGAATTAAAGAAAATGAATTTGTGAAGTCATACTCATACTTGCTACAAATACCACAAGCTTCACAAAGTAGCCATTCTCCTGCAGTGTGGACTCTCCCCTGAAAACTCACAGAACTCAGAACCAAAACCAGTGCCGGAGCATCTGTACCGTCTCCCATGGCCCTCTGTTCACTCCTGGCTTGGCCTGCAACCGGGTCTCTAATAATGCAGCAACTCTGCCCACCAGGTTGCTACTGCAAGCCCAACAAGGCTGAAGGATGTTTGCTTGGTAGGTGCTCAATAGAAACTAGGTGATTCAAAATAGAGTCCTTTTAAATCACCTTATACTACATACTGCATACTACCAAAGCTAAGCATGTCTATAATTTTGCATACATTTATCCATTGCGTTCTTTCCTGCCATTTGCAAACTATTACCATTACAGTCATATGTCCCTTAAAGATAGGGATATTTTCTTTTTCTTTTTTTTTTTTTTATTGATCATTCTTGGGTGTTTCTCACAGAGGGGGATTTGGCAGGGTCATAGGACAATAGTGGAAGGAAGGTCAGCAGATAAACAAATGAACAAAGGTCTCTGGTTTTCCTAGGCAGAGCACCCTGCGGCCTTCCGCAGTGTTTGTGTCCCTGGGTACTTGAGATTAGGGAGTGGTGATGACTCTTAATGAGCATGCTGCCTTCAAGCATCTGTTTAACAAAGCACATCTTGCACCGCCCTTAATCCATTTAACCCTGAGTGGACACAGCACATGTTTCAGAGAGCACAGGGTTGGGGGTAAGGTCATAGATCAACAGGATCCCAAGGCAGAAGAATTTTTCTTAGTACAGAACAAAATGAAAAGTCTCCCATGCCTACTTCTTTCTACACAGACACAGCAACCATCCGATTTCTCAATCTTTTCCCCACCTTTCCCCCTTTTCTATTCCACAAAACCGCCATTGTCATCATGGCCCGTTCTCAATGAACTGTTGGGTACACCTCCCAGACGGGGTGGCTGCCGGGCGGAGACGCTCCTCACTTCCCAGACGGGGTGGCTGCCGGGCGGAGGGGCTCCTCACTTCTCAGACGGGGCGGCCGGGCAGAGACGTTCCTCACCTCCCAGAAGGGGCGGCGGGGCAGAGGCGCTCCCCACATCTCAGAAGATGGGCGGCCGGGAAGAGGCGCTCCTCACTTCCCAGATGGGATGGCGGCCGGGCAGAGATGCTCCTCACTTTCCAGACTGGGCAGCCAGGCAGAGGGGCTCCTCACATCCCAGACGATGGGCGGCCAGGCAGAGATGCTCCTCACTTTCCAGACGGGGTGGCGGCCGGGCAGAGGCTGCAATCTCGGCACTTTGAGAGGCCAAGGCAGGTGGCTGGGAGATGGAGGTTGTAGCGAGCCCAGATCACGCCACTGCACTCCAGCCTGGGCACCATTGAGCAATGAGTGAATGAGACTCCGTCTGCAATCCCGGCACCTCGGGAGGCCGAGGCTGGCGGATCACTCGCGGTTAGGAGCTGGAGACCAGCCCGGCCAACACAGCGAAACCCCGTCTCCACCAAAAAAATATGAAAACCAGTCAGGCGTGGCGGCGCGCGCCTGCAATCGCAGGCACTAGGCAGGCTGAGGCAGGATAATCAGGCAGGGAGGTTGCAGTGAGCCGAGATGGCAGCAGTACAGTACAGCTTCGGCTCGGTATCAGAGGGAGACCATGGAAAGAGAGGGAGAGGGAGAGGGAGACCGTGGAAAGAGGGAGAGGGAGAGAGGGAGAGAGGGAGAGGGGGAGAGGGAGAGCGTGTCTCCTTCCTTTGTTGGCTGGGTAGTAATTCTGTCCAAGATAGGGATATTTTCTAAGATGTGCATTGTTACATAATTTTGTTGTTGTTCAAACATTATAGGGTGAACTTACACAAACCTATATGATATAGCCTGCTACATACCTAGGCTGTATGGTAGAGCCTGCTGCTCCTAGCCTACAAACCTGTACAGCATGTTACTGTACTAAATATTGTCAGCAATTGTAGCACAATAAGTATTTGTGTATCTAAACATATCTAAACATAGAAGAGGTACAGTAAAGAGATCATATAAAAGATTAAAAATGATCCACCTATATAAGACATTTGCCGTGAATGGAGCTTGCAGGACAGGAAGTCGCTCTGGGTGAGTGAGTGGTGAGTGAATGGGAAGGCCTAGGACATTATTACTGTGCACTACTGTAGACTTGATGAACAAATAGATTTAGTGTAGCCTATTTTTTCTTTGATAATAAATTAACCTTAGCTTACTGTACCTTTTTTACTTTATAGACTTTTTATCCTTTTTTTAACTTTTTGATTTTTTTTTTGAGACAGTCTCACTCTGTCCCCCAGGCTGGAGTGCAGTGGCACAATCTTAGATCACTTCAACCTCCACCTCCTGGGTTCAAGCTATTCTCCTGCCTCAGCCTCCCAAGTAGCTGGGACTACAGGCACCTGCCACCACACCTGGCTAATTTCTGTATTTTTAGTAGAGACAGGGTTTCACCATGTTGGCCAGGCTGGTATCAAACTCCTGACTTCAAATATCCACCCACCTTGGCCTCCCAAAGTGCTGGGATTACAGGCATGAGCCACCGTGCCTGGCCAACTTTTTGACTCTTTTATAACACAGCTTAAAACACATTGTACTGCTATACACAAATAATTTATTTGTATCCTTATTCTGTATGCTTTTTTTCTAATGTTTTTTCTTACTTTTAAAACTTTTCTTAGTAAAAACTAAGACACAAACATCCACATTAGCCTAGGCCTACACAGGGTCAGGATCATAATATCACTGTCTTTCACCTCAACGTCCTGTCCCACTGGAAGGTCTTCAGGGGCAAAAACATGCATGGAGCTGTCATCTCCTATGATAACAATGCCTTCTGAAGGACCTGCCTGTCCTGTGTTATAGCTAACTTTTTTTAATAAGTAGAAGGATTACACTCAAAAATAATGATAAAAATATAGTATAGTAAATATATAAACCAGTAATGTAGTATTTATTATCATTCTCAAGTATTATGTACTGTACATAATTGTATGTGCTATACTTTTATATGACTGGCAGTGCAGTTGGTTTGTTTATACCAGCATCACCACAAACATATAATGCATTGCACTGTGATGTTGGAATGGCTACGATGGCACTAGGTGATTGGAGTTTTTCAGCTACACTATAACCTTATGAGACCACTTTTGTATATGAGGACTGTCATTTACTAAAACGTCATTGTGTGACATGTGACTGTATTGCACATCTCACTTACCTTTTTTTCTATATGTCTTTCTGTTAAAAGCATCCCATTTTTTTTTTACAAAGCACTAGCCTCACGATCCCAACGTGACTCTAGTCACATGTGCATGAGAGAGTAGGTTTGTTTTCTCTTCTTCCTCCACTAACGTGTATACAAGCCTTGTTAATCAACACCTGTGCATTCTCTGAGGGGCTGTTCTGTGCGTGCTAAGGTGCTGCCAATGCCCCCCACCATGGATGGAGGGACAAAGAGGTGCCAGGCTCTGCTTGGTCCCCTGTCCAACTTTTAATAAACCAGGTCCAAAAATGAGCAACCTCTGACCACCACAAAATGCTCTGCCCAGCCATCTGCGTGGGGCTTGGGTCAGAGTCTCCTTGAAAATAAACAGGTGTCCTCATTCCAAGGGCCTTTAAAAAAGTCAGGCTGTGGCCCAAGGAAAACAAGGCCAAATATCTCAGAGGTTTATAATTCATTTTGTCACTTGGCCTTGTTAGTCTGGTTTGCAGGGGGAGCTCTGTGTGGGAAACAGGGCTGAGTTAATCAGAGGCAGACACCGAGGCCGACCACATGCAAAGGAGAAGCAAGAGAAGAGGAGGACAGAAAAATTTCCAGTATTTCCAAATGTGGGTGAAGCTAATCTTTCAGAGAAGGAAAAGTATGCATAATGTGGTGTGTCATTCCTGATTTGTAAAATGCTTGCACATGTGAATCATAATTCAATTAGATGGGGACAGTGACAGGCATCCTGGACTTGGAGTCAAAAGACCCTCATTCACCTTCAAGCTCTGCTACTTTTCTGAGCTCACTCACCTTAGACAATTTCCTTCAGGCCTCCCTGCCTCCAAGCTTCCTACCTCCCCCAGTCCAGCCTCAACATTGCCATTTGATCTCTTTTTCTTAAACACAAATTAGATCATGTCACTCTCCCGCTCAAAACCCTTTTTCACTCCCCCTGGAATAGAACCCAGCTCCTGGGAAGCACAGTAGAAGGCCTTCCACGATGAAGCAACCTCACCCCTGCACTATCCTTGCCTCACCTGCCAGCTCAGGTAGCACAGACCTGCTGTACTGCGAGTCCCCCAGCCTCTTGCTTTTGCTTATGCGATTCTACCAGGACAACCCTGCCCACTGCTTTATCTGATAAGCAGTTTGCACAAGCGACTTCTCCCCTGAGAACGCTTCCTAACCAGCACCCACAGCAAAGCTCCTCAAGCAATTAGCGTGCCACCCTGCCCTTGTAAAGCCCATACTGCAATCATCTGTTTATATGCACGGTTGCAAGATTTTGCTTATAAAAATAATGATAATAATAGATGCCCAGTTAACTGCTTTAGCATATATGGGACACACACACACACAAATTCCGTGTTAACCTGAAATTCAAATTTAACTGGGCATATGTTCATATGGCTTGTCCCTACTAGACTGGGTCACTGAAAATAGAGACTGAGACATCTTCATAGCCTTGGTACCCACAACATGACTGACTTACAGCAGGGGCTTGGGAAATACTTACTTTAGAGTTTTTAGCCTTAAAGTTACTAATCTTACAGGAAAATGAATAAACACTCCACTCACTTTTTATTTGCCTTCTTCAGTGAGATCTACATTAAGTGAGATCTAGGTTTTGCAGAAGGCTAAAGGTCACCCTTCTGCAAAATCTAGATTGCAGTTTCCAGACTGTCCGGCTCCAACCTGCCATGAGCCCCTGCGGACGCTAGATGGCGGAATGGGTTAAGGGACTAGCCCTGCTCTGGGGTCCGGGCGCCCCTATATAAAAGCAGGCGCTTCCTCTGCCGCAGAGCCCTGCATTATTGATTGTGACGCTGCCGCAGAGGTGGGAGGAGCCCGCCGCCATCTCGCCAAGTCTGCAGTATCGGGAACATGGCTTTAGGATCCTTTTCTCTCTCTGCAAAAAGTCCCTCGATAGCTGGAAAGAGAGAGCTCTCTGTGGCCCACATGATTGTTTTCATTCATAGGAAGATCAGACCTTCCCATAGTCAGAATCATTTTTATTTCACATTGTCATTCTGAATAGCGGCACCAAAGAATAGCAGCTGTACTTTCTGAAAGCCACTGATTTGAATCGGCACCTATCGTAAAATATTACCGCGTCACTGAAAGGCAAAATAGTCGGGGGCGGTGGGGGAAATTCATCATCTCTTTAGGTTTCTCAGTTACAAAACATTCTTATAAAAATAGATGAAAGTACTACGGACGTAAAATAGTTTCATGATATTTAAAACCACGGCCGTATTTTCAACCAGCATTCATTGGAACCGGAATCTGTATCTTGGAACTGAAAAGCGCTGATCTGAAACTAAACCGTGGGTGGGGCCCTGACGCCGTCCCCTCCGTGGCACCCTTCCCTCCGGGCCAGCAGAGGGCGCTCAACGGGCAGTCAAAGGGGCTCTCGCAGGAGTCCTGCCTATACAAACATTTTATTTTAGCAGGGAACTGAGTTGTCTATTTACTCACCAGTGTTTTTATTTAGCCAATGCCTTTCTTTGAATATAGATGTGCTGATTAGAGTGCTGTATTGTTCCCTCTCTTTATGAGCCACACATATAATGCATCCTCCATGTTGTCTCATTTGAGTTTCCTTTGTGAAATGAGAATTTAGAGACAGTGTAAAACATCTTGACTAAAGAATCTTAGATTCTGTACTCATAACCATCAAATATAATTCAACAACACATTTAAAGCAGCTTTTCCTGTTGAATCTTTCCCAAGCATTTTGCTTTTTCTTTCCATTGGAAATATCTTTCTTCATGTATCTGTGTATCATCAGTTTTAGTAATATTTGCTCAAATTAATATTTGCTCAAATTGTGTCGTTATCGGGATACAATTAAGTGGAATGAACAGATTAGGAAAGAGGCAAACAACACACTGGGCCTACTAAAGAGGAGCCTCCTCTCCTACCAGCTGTGAGCTCTCAGTGAGCTCAGGGTGTGTTCGTATGTTCCACGAAAGAAACTAAGAGTTAATTAATCTGTCCTGGTACGCGGAGGTCAATCAAGACAGTTTCCACCTGAATTCAGAAAGGTTACATCATTGTTTAAAAGAAATACACACACACACACACACACACACACACACACACACACACCACTTTTCCAAATCCACATGTAATGTAATTGAATCAACTGCTAAATCAAATGCTGTCTTAAGACTTGACAGAACAAAACTGAGCTCACGCTTACACACACTAGGACTGTTAATTGATGAGGCTCATCCACAAAAGACTCTCCAAAGTGAATCTCGTGTCACAGTTTCAGAGTGTGGAAAGCAACTCTTCAGTCCTGGATGATGGCTTTCAGAATGCCATCTGTGTCCTGTGCATGCCAGGCACACAGACACTGCCCTTACCTGCCCCTCAGGTTTTATGTCCAAAGTTAGTATGTCCACCTTCAGTAAGCAAGAATATCAGTTCTTAAACTCAGGTTCACAATAAATATATTTTTAGAATCCCTTAAATCAAGTCGCATGTAACTCCAAGTCCCCCTTTTATTGAGCTGTTGGACAGCTGAATCATAATCATTATTGGGCACCTCCTCCATCCTGGTTTGGGTCAGGGTTCCAGGTCCCTGCAGCCCACAGGCAATGGTTCCTTCAGGTTTGACAATCCTGCTATTTCAGTACCAGCCTTGGGTCATGAGAACATTGGTGCACTGGAAGATGCTGCATCTAGGGACCAATCTCCCTGGCTGGAGTCGCTGCTAGGGATATCTTGGCACCTCCCCAGCCCAGCACACTGCCAAGGAGAGGTGAGCAGCTCCCATTCTCACAGGACCTCTGACCAGTCTTGGGGGAGGAGAATCTCTTCCAGCCACCTAGCTGCTCCAAAAATGTGCCACTTCCTCCTCCCACTCTAGGAATTTACTGTAAACGGTAGTATCAGCTGTAAACCCTTTCAAACAAGATGGTGCCACCATCCCCACCCCCATTCCCAATAAAACTAAGGAGCTGCAGAAACTAAATGTGTGGATTGGCACTGCATGGGAAAAAGTTCTGTTCTAATGGGACAACGTAATGCTAAAGATTCAAAGCCACTTTGATCAAAAACATTCTGTCTTTTCTGGACAGTTACAAAAAGAGGAAAGATGGAAACTTTCCCACCATGGAGAACATGGGAGCTCTGTTTTGGGGCTCTTGAAGCATTTCCATGTATAAACACTTTGTTTTGTTAGCCAGCATTTTCGGTTCATGCA
Source organism: Homo sapiens (assembly GCF_000001405.40). Lineage (NCBI taxonomy): Eukaryota > Metazoa > Chordata > Mammalia > Primates > Hominidae > Homo > Homo sapiens. The sequence continues at coordinate 112,041,357 of NC_000006.12, read as the reverse complement.
TTCCTTCAGTCCCACCTCTAATTAAGCAAAGGCATTAAATTTTTAGTATCAGTAATAAATATCCCTTCCACCCCCCAAAAATGTTTATTACAATTATATGTTTTTTCTGCTACTGAAAAGGAATAACTTAAGTTTATGTGATGTAAATGTTGGCTTTGAGAAAATGAATAGGGAAGTGAGTCAGGAAGCAATCAACAGGAAGCATAATGGTGGGAAAGAAAGCTGGGACTCACAACCCCTGAGATCTGGAGGGTGAATGCAGGTCACCGGGCCACTTCCTTTAGGGAGCTCATTATTTCAGAGACAGCACACCATTGTTGGAACCCTGTGTAGCAGCACTGTCTAGCAGAACTTTCAGCAATTATGGAAATATTCTATAATATAGAACTATAATGTGCTGTTGAGCATTTAAAATATGGTCAGTGTGAATGAGGAACTACATTTTTTATTTTATTTAATTTTAATTAATTTAAGTTTAAATAGTCATAAGTGGCTAGTAGCTGCCATGTTGATAGCATAACTCTGAAGTCTTTTTTCTTTTTTAATCCATAATTTATCCCTCACATATTTCCATAAATGTTTTTGTAAGCTAAGACAGCTTACAAAAAAATCAAGCACAGTATAAAACAGGAGAATTAAATTTTTTTTAATGATTGAAAAAAATAGTAAAAGAAGAGGAAAGCTCTGTAAAATAGAGCAGAGAACTAGATGCTCCCAGACACATGGAATGAGTCAGTGCCTTTGAAAATTAAATTTATTTCTAAATTGCTGGAAAGTAAAGCAAAAATGAAAAGTCATGCAGGAGGGAAAGGTGAAATTTGTAGTTAACCATTGTTTGGCTGCTCAGAAACACTCAGTTCCTGAAAATGGTCGCCTTGCCCCTGAAGCCCTTACTCTCAACCATTTCTTCTAGTTGGTATGGCCGAGCTCCTCTGGGTGATACCCCTGGGACCTCATCCAACCTGGCCAATCATAGTCCTTTCTTTGAGAGATGACTGGAGACACAGAGAAGTGTGGTGTCTCCATAGACTGATGGATGGCATGTGTGAAACTTGGGGTGTGTTGAGCTGAGGGACAGAGGATGGCAGTCTGCACCAAGGCAGGGGACAACAATGTGGTTAGGGTCACCAGTACAGGCTATGGATTCACACTCGCTCTCTTACTACAATAGCTGTGTGACATTGGACACATGCCTTTACTTCCCCAGGCTTCCACCTCTGAAAAATGGAATAATTTTAGTTCAGATTTTACAGAGTTGTTGTAAAAATAAATAAATAAATAAAATGCAATGAACCTAAGCAGAAAGCATGCCTAGGACATAATAAATGCTCCACAAATATTATTAATTATATGAATATTGGCAGCAGAGTCCTGACAACATTCATGTTTTTGGATTTGTGTCATTCCCAAAGTCCAAGCATGGATTCCACTGGATTCCATGAGACATGCTCCTCCCCCATATTCTTTTTTTTCCCCAGTTTTATTGAGCTGTAATGGACAAATCTCTCCCATATCCTTAAAATGAAATTTCTGTTTTGCTTAAGCTAATTTGGATTGGGTTTCTGCTAACTGCCTCCAACAGAGTTCTCACTTGTATGTCACCTTGTTTGGAAGTCTAACTTGTCTTCCTCCCTACGCAGAAGGCCAGGTCAGCTGCAGGAGCACCTAACCTTTGCAGACTCTTCACAGGCAACAGGCATGGAATAGGAGAATGCAGATGAACCAGTCATAGTAAAGATACTATCTTTAGTGAACATTTGCTATGTTTGTGGCTGCCCATCACCCACACTCTCTTCTTATTTGGGAATAAACCTCCCAGAATATGCATCTTGGAGGGACATGCGGCTCCATCTCCTATGATAGGATCTGGAAGTTGCCACATCAAGCTTTTCTCCACTCCTAGGCAATCTATGCACTGTGTTCTTCTCTGAATTCTACATAGCTAAGAACAGGAAGACCCAGTGCCCAGCACTGTTGCCAACACAGTAGATAATAATTGTCTGTTGAACAAATGAATAAGGGAGCCAGTGGACGAGTTAATGCGGAAGCAGTAAACTAAAGCAGAATGAGGAGTCCGCTGCTCGTGGGCGCCAAGAAGGCGGGTGTTTGCCCTGGAATGTCAGCCTTGCCGTGAACTTGGTAATGGAGAAAGGGCAGGGCTGATGATCCAAAAAAATCTACTCATCACAAAAATATGAGGTTATTTGGTCGTTTGTTTTTCCTTGTGAGAAACGTTTACAAGGTAAACCTTCTGTTAAGGTAACGAGCACACCTTGCCTGAAACAGATGCGCACTGTGAACTGGTCATTAATGGAGCAAGTTGTGACCCTGTTTGATGGTGGAGCTAGATGCGCCGACACAGTCCAAGGACAGCTAACAGTTCATCACTGGCAGCTGTGGGATTTCTGACTCTTCGCTCTGCATTCATCCAGCTCAGTTCCCACAGGCCCCTGAAGTGACAGACTCACCCATACCTTGCTCATATACATTTGGATGATTTGGCTCATCTCTCAGGGCCTTCATTTCCGATATTCCCCCACTCTTTATTGAATCCAAAACAAAGAAGAAAAGAACCATTTCTGACAATGTTTGTCATCTATAGAAATAAAATTACATTTCTGTTTTTTTTGTTGTTGTTGTTTCTGTTTGTTTGTTTTCCTGCTTCTTATCGCATCAGGGGAAGACAGCCAGACAGATTTCCACCAATTTGGGACCCCCCAGCTTAAAATATTGACTAACTGGTGTTTGAAAATGGTACTGTAGGGGCCCCTGAAGGCTCCTTTGAGAGGTAGGCAGCCATCCGCTGGGGAAGCAGCACACAGAGGCATAGAAGCCAGGCTGACCGTGCCTCTGGGACTGAGATGAAGTAAGAAGCAGGCACACAGCAGGCCCTCTGGTTCACAGGCTTCTGGTGAGTGGAGCTGCTTTCCACAGGGCAACTCCAGTCTAGCTCAGGGGTCTCAGCCTGCAACACTCCTGCAGATCACCCAGGCGTCATGCCTGGGATCTGAGTGGGGCGGGAAACTCTGCCTTTCTAACCAGCTCTGGTGGTTCTCAGACCCTACTTGGAGTCGGAGGTTCAAGTGCCAAGGTGAGCAGCACACATGGTTATTTACATAACAATTTCCCAGAGTAATTTCCAGTACAGCAGATACATTCAATAAAGGAAGCCTGGAATAGAGAGGAAAAAAATCCTCTCACACACGAGCATTCCCACTTGCTTGAAGCAGTGGCTCTCAGCTTTGGCTGCAACTAGAATCATGTGGGGAATTTGCAATATCCCAGTGCCCAGGCCCCACCTCAGACCCATGACATCAGCGTCTCCAGGGGTGAGACCCAGGCGTCAGGATGTTTTAAAGCTCCCTGGGTGATTCCGATGTGCAGCCAGGGTTGCGGCTGGCTACCCGAAAGCAACCCTTTCCCATGAGTCACTGGCATTAACTGCCAGCTCTTCCTCCCACTGTTCCTTCAGCTGGCTTCCTGTGCCTGCAATGGTGACATCGCAAGCCTGCGTGTGCCCCCTTAGATTTGGAGGTGCCAGTCATCATCAGCTGGCTTCCTGTGCCTGCAATGGTGACATCGCAAGCCTGCGTGTGCCCCCTTAGATTTGGAGGTGCCAGTCATCAGCCTATTTGACATGGAGTCTATTTCTATGGGCATCTAGGTCTCTGCTATCTGCCGGGACACAACTCCCAAAGTATGTTCCGCACAACACAAATTCCACAGAGATGCTCATAGATGCTATTTAAAACAGGGAATAAATGCATTTTTATTAAAGTAATTTGGGTTAAAGTCAACCAGATTTATTTACTGAGCAACTTCTCCAATCCTTTAACTACCCAGTGCACTCATCCCCAGTAGGAAGATACGACAGGCAACATTTTCCAAACAAATTTGACCATGAAAACTTTTTTTAAAGAAAAAGGAAAATCCCGGAAACAGGCTTTGGAACATATTGCTCTCTCAGGGTATAATTTAAACTTTAAACTTTTTGGATATTCCTTAATATTTATCAATTGACTAGTGTTTTTACAGGTAACTACCTTATGCTCTCTGTGCTGTATTAGTTACTGGGAGATATAATTCACATGAAACAATTAGAAAATAGCTGCACTGAACTGAGTTGCATTTTTAAAACAAAATAACATTTAATTTTTTTAAAATTAAGGAATAAAAGAGAAGGCTACATAAGTCAAAGAGGCCTTTGTGGAGGAAGTGGTACTTTCTTTGAAGACCTTGAAGAATGAGTAGGGTCTACATGTGCAAGAGAGCAGAAGAACAGAAATTTACTTTGAGGAATTGGCATGAGCCAGAACCTAAGAGCAGGAATGAGTGCAATGGGGTATGATATGGGGATAGGGCATGGGGCAAGAGGGACAGTGAGTGGACCAGCCTCAATACAGTATCAATGGGAATACTGAGTGTATGCAATAAAAAATGACCTTATTCATAAGGTGATACCCAGTTTTCCCAATGAGATAATTTTTAAAGAAAAATTTTAGTAGCCAACCTGAATGTGTAAACTGGTAAGGAGGTAGATAAATTAATCAACATCTCCTTGTAATATTTATTAATGTAGCACCCATGCTGTTACAAACTGAATTCTCCAGAAACAGATGCTGAGATGGAGTTTGGAATGTGAAATACTTTTTAGAGATCAATACCTGTCAAAGAAAGAGAAAAGAAGCAGGATTTAGCAGAGGAAGATATTAAACTGTGAAACAAGCCTGACAAAGACGCCACTAACCCTGCAAAGAGCTCTGGAGCAAATGTTGCCTACCAGAGTTACCCTCAGTGAAGCCAAAGTGGCCAGGGCCTTATGTCTTTACCTTGCTTGGTCACCTGATGTGGACTGGCCCAATAGTGAGACCTCGGCCTAGGGAGGCCTAGTAGCTAACCCTGCTGAGGAAGGCCCTGATGGTGTCAATGTGTGGGCAGCAAGGCTTTCCTTGAATGCACATGCTTGTTTACAGTCATATCTTATACAACATACAAACAATACTTTTCTCCATCACATTTTATACATCAGTTTTTGAAACTCTTCTCGTGAATCACCATGATCCCTTAAGGCCATATTTTGAGTCATCTATCACAATTTTACAGAGTACCTCATCTCTACAGTCATCTAAGATATTGGATATATGGCATTACTTCAATCCATGGATGAAGCTGTTATTAAATATTTTATCCAAGCCACGATTTACCAGTTCCACCCCATTAGATTAGCTTTTATAACCTTTTTCCTGTAGTTGCATACTCATGATCTCCACAAAGTACCTTCTTACTGTATTTTTTAAGTAATCTTTCAAAAATAATCACTTTTAAAATCTTAGAAGTAAGATCACACTCCCAGAAGTAATTACTAGTATTTGATGTCTTTTCCTACATTTTTTTTGTTCGAACAGGTAACCTCAATAAGCATCCCAAGCTAGCACTGATTTCAGTCTAAAATGTGATCCCCAAGCAGTGAACTTTTTTTCCAAATAAAGTAGTAGAGAAAATACACACATTACCAGTGCTTTTCAAAAGGCACCCAGCTTTGTAAAGACATATCTAAAGTGACTTTCTATTTGCCAAGAGATGATATTAGGAAAGAAATCTTGATTAATATTTTGGATGTACATGCCAAGTTTGTCCGGGTGACATGAGGCCAGGTCACCGAAGCACTGAAGATAAAGGAGAGTCATTTAGATGGAACATCACTGTGGTTATGAAACAGGAAAGTAGCCTGATAAACATCATCTTAGGAAACTCTGTGCAGCTAAAGACAGTCTTAAGATGTGTTTGGGGAAATACTGTGGAAACAAGTAGTCATCTCATAACTGATATAATTAGAAGTTATAATAGCTTGGACTTTAGGGATGGCACAGGAAAGGAAATGAAAGAAGTTAATGGAAACACATTTCTAAAGAATTAATAACCTTGAAAGCATGTTGGATGATAGAAGCATAGGAAAGTGAAGCGCCAAACAGGACTTTAAGAACCTAAAAGGAATACTTTATTTTTCAATTTGTTTTTATTATTATTATTTTATTTTTATTTTTGAGGCAGAGTCATGCTCTGTCATCCAGACTGGAGTGCAGCTGTGCGATCTTGGCTCACTGCAACCTCCGCCCCCTGGACTCAAACGATTCTCATGCCTCAGCCTCCAGAGTAGCTGGGACTACAGGCACCTGCCACCACACCTGGCTAATTTTTGTATTTTTAGTAGAGTCAGGGTTTCACCAAGTTGGCCAGGCTGATCTCGAACTCCTGGCCTCAGGTGATCTACTCACCTCGGCCTCCCAAAGTGCTGGGATTACAGACATGAGCCACTGCACCCAGCCTAAAAGAAACACTTTAAATATGTGGTCAGTATATCCTTGAGGAATGATTTCTTCATAATTTTATAGTTAGAAATTTCTAGTTGATGAATTTCTTGAAGAGATTTTAAATTACCCATGCGAAGGCCACAACAGGACACAGGGCCTGCCTGCACACCCACCTGCCCCAGCCATGGCTTTTTATCAAAAACCAAAATCAGATGTCTTTTTCTCTGCTGTCAGCACTGACCACAGTAAGTGCTTGTAAGACAAGCCCGATAGGTCACTGCAGGAGCCTAAACTGCATTACAGCCTCTGCATTCGCAGGGGCCACAGAATTATCAGATGTCTCCCATGTTCCTACTTTCCTGGGCCATGTTACTGTCCTTAATCTTGCAATCGCCATGAGAAAAGTTTTTACTTGGGAGCCCCCAGGGCTGGTACCTTTTTATTACTCTGATTTCCACAGTTAGCATACCAAAGATGATCCTTATAGGAAGGTAGTCCTTAATTAGATGATTAGTTGATTGGTTGACCAAGACTGAAGATAGAAACCTAGGCTGCCTTCTGATCTGCTCCCAAGTATACACCCAGCACGCCTCAGACTGCAGTGTGCACACAAATCATCTGGGGGAGCTCGTTAGACTGCAGGTTCTGATCAAGTAGGGCTGGGGTGGCCCTTGGAATCTGCATTTCTAATATGCTCCCATGATGCCACTTCTGCTGGTTGAAGGACCACATTTGTGTAGAAAGGTCTTCTCTATAAAGGGTAGCAGAAAGCCACTGGGAACTGAACTTGCCAAGGAGTGTATGTGCACAGAATGTAGATCAGGGAGGTATTCATGGTGAATTCAGAAAAGCCAGGAAACTAAAGGGGACAGGGACTTCAGAGCAGGCAGACTCAATCAGTAAGCCTCACCTGAGAAACCCTATAGCCAGGATGTGGAGGCTACATTGACAGTGAAATTACAGGAGCTGGGGAAGCCTGCAGAGCAGCTGTCAGTCTCCTGCCTCTCAGAGGAGGGTGTGGAGGAGGGGCACCAATTTTGGCAAGAATGAGGACTACTTTATTATGGAGAACTCCCTAATTATGCAGTTAGAGAACAGTGTGTGGCACATTCCGGAGCCTACACGGCTCACATAAGGATTCCACTGTTAATTTTGAAAAGAGAAATAGCAATGCAACTTTCTTAACTCCCACACCATTCACACATTGAATTTGTGTGCCAACTCGAAGCGTACCCACTGGAAATGAAAACAGACTTAAAGCCAGCCCTCAAACTGAAGCTTGTCAAGCTGCAGATATACAGGGGAAGGGATATACAATGGAAGAGATATACAGAGGAAGCGATAGATATACAGGGGAAGAGATATACAGGGGAAGGGATATATAGGGAAAGGATACACAAGGGAAGGGATAGACAGAGGAAGGGATAGACGGGGAAGGGATAGACAAGGGAAGGGATAGACAGGGGAAGAGATATACAGGGGAAAGGATAGACAGGGGAAGGGATAGACAGGGGAAGGGATAGACAGGGGAAGGGATAGACAGGGGAAGGGATAGACGGGAAGGGATAGACAGGGGAAGGGATAGACATGGGAAGGGATAGACAGGGGAAGGGATAGACAGGGGAAGGGATAGACAGGGGAAGGGATAGACAGGGGAAAGGATAGACAGGGGAAGGGATAGACAGGGGAAGGGATAGACAGGGGAAGGGATAGACAGGGGAAAGGATAGACAGGGGAAGGGATATGGGATATACGGGGGACAGGATATACGGGGGAAGAGATATATGGGGGAAAGTATATACGGGGGATGGGATATACGAGGGAAGGGATATACGGGGGGAAGGGATATACGAGGGATGGGATAGAGAGGGGAAGGGATTTGTTTTCTTTCTCTCCTTTCAAATAAAATTTTTCTCTCTGCCATTTGAAATTGTTACATCAGATATCTATTTGTTAAACCAAAAATGGCAGAACTCGGTCTCCTAACATAGGGCCCTTAACATAGTAAGCTCTCCCTCAATGTATTATCTCATGAGCGGTCTTCTGCGCATTTACACAGTATCCAGTAAGAACAGCTTTGCAAACGTACACACATCTGGATGCTTTCCTGAGCACTTGGGTCAGATATGGTCCCTCCCTTTGCAAATACGAGCAGGCAAGGCAGATGGAACTACTAAGTCAGAAGGAGTCACTGGAGCAAATGGAATCAGTGAGCAATGTGACACCAAATCTGACCCACGGTCCCTGGCCACTCCTGCCAGCTTTGTCCCTGTGGGGCATCTAACTTTATAGAGCAAGCACTTTCAAAGTCTCTTGACTGGATTCCCAGGAAGAAAAATATTTTATACCAGATCCCAACACACTCACCTGAAACAAGAGCTTTATGAAATCACAGTCACCCATGTTACATAGTCACCCCATTTCTGAATGATGGTCTCTTTAAGTGCATCCTTCAGGCAATACCCTATCTACACTTTTTTCATGGAGTTTTCTTTATCTTACAAAAAAACTACATGGCAGCTTTTTAAATCTCCCAATACTTTAAAGCATCATCTTAATAATTCCTTTTCCCATTGCCGTCGCTGCTCAATGCATTGCTCCTGTTATTCTTCTCCTCACCAGTGAATTTTATTCTTCTCTTTTAAAACCTGGGGAAACGATTAGCACAGTGATGAGTAGCATAGGCTCACTTCCACTCCTGTGTGACCTTGGGCAAGTTACTGAGCCTCTCTCTTCTCAGTTTCTCATCTGGAAAAGGATAATAATAATAAGGCTACCTGATAGGTCAGTTGCAAGAATTGAATGTGTTAATACAGACAAGGCAATGAGAGTATTTCCGAGCGCAGCAGCAGGCACCTGCTGCCACAGCTGCTGCCACTGCTCAAATTCTCCCCTCCAGGGGAACGCACCCACTGTGAGTAGCCTCTGCTTGAGCCTCCAACGCTTATGTGTTGAACCTGGACAGTGTCCTTTCCCATTTGTTGACAGTCATGCTGCGCGCTACTTGCAACTTGCTTTTTTCTGACCACTGGAGTTAATATTTTAAGAGCATATATTCCTTTCCTTTTTAACACATCTAAAATGTATTATTTAACACGAATGACTTCAGAAGATACTAAATCTAGTTTGGACTTTAGTTTATCACAAATGGCCATTATTGAAAATATGTATTTTTATAGAAGGCTATATTGCAGTGATACTTCCTGTCAGCTATATGTTCCCTTTAACAGGTGATTCCACTTTCCATTTCTACCCTAAAATGTTGCTGTAGGGCTGGGATCCCAGAGAAGCAGGTTTGTTAAAAGAATGAATACAATTCTAAAACGAAGTAGCCTCTGTTTCAAGACCTTCTTAATGAATAACGGGCATACACTTGGTTACATGTGTTCAAGGACATTTTTCTGGCTGCTCTGGGAACATTGCTTTTTAACTATGTTCCAGATAATTGCTTTTACACAAAAAAGGCATCTCAATAAGTGAGGTGTTGTTATATGTGGTTCTCATGGTATTTCATGAGTGTGTATGGTCACTTTCCAACCTGATTCTAGCAGAGTGCAGAGACTTTTAAAAATTTCATTCACTTATTCTTCCAACAAAAGAATTACCAAGCACCTGACATTCCAGGCATTATGCCAGGTGGTAAAAATAAAAACAAGGGAACTTTATAGTTGTCAAGTACTTTTGGGTAAATTACCTCACTTACTCCTCTAAACAGCTCTGTGAGGCAAGTGATCTTGTTCCCATTTTACAGACAAAAGAGAGAGGTCATGCACAAGAGAAATAAAACGAAAAGAAAGAAGTACTGTGTTTATTAACTAACCAAAACTTCTCGACATCCCATCCCTGTTGGCCTTTACAGAAAGACAACACACCCGAAGGGTGTGGACCTTGCTCTATGAACTTATTTGGTGTTTGTCCAGCACAGCACTGCATGCAGAAAGCCACTTAGTAAATACTTTGGAGGAAGATCATTTTGATGTTTGTGAGAGTTCAGGCCATCTCTGGGAATGGGAAAAAGGATGGTAATGAACTCCAAGAACCAGAGGAAAGGAGAAAATTAGACAGTGGTCTGGGTGAGGTGAGAAAGGTAAGACTTACAGGAAAGTAATGAGGTTTATTTTTGTCTAGGGGAGAGGGCAAACTGACAGAGAGGAGGTGAGGGGTTAGAGAGGGAGGCCTTAGCACACAGAGAGCAGAGACTTAGGATCCAAGGACAGTTTCCAGGATGTTATAAATGGGCCCTAAGGAAAAGGAAACACGCTTCTCTATGCCTTCACTAGCAAGTTCTAGCCAGCAAAATGGTTCCAAATTTCTGACAGCATTTTGAATTAGCTTCAGTCTCAAATTCAAAGCAGAAACTGCCTTAAATTCCTCTGTTTCTCAATATGTCCTGTTTCTGTCGCATCGGGGAGCTAAGACACTCCTTATTGATGATTTTGCAGATGCTCAACAATGGTAGCTTTACAGATTAATCAATGAACCAAAGATTTATTGGAGATCTGCTGTGTGTGCACCATGCTGAGGACCAGTGACATTCAGATGGGAGGCCTGGCTGACAGCACACACAGCATGCTGGCGGGCAGCGACACACCTTCCAGACACACACTTGTTTGAGAGCCAGTAAAGCAGGTTATGCCTGAGTGGGAAAAAAGATCCGATAGGTAGGGTGGGGCCATATCACAAAAAGCCTGAAGAGGGAGAGGAGTGGATCCGAGGCCTTTAATTATAGTCTGGCAACTGTAGGTGTCCAGAAACTATTTGTTGAATGCATGCCTGCATGAATGATTTCAAGTAAGCATATTGTCCCAGACCCAGGACACAGTCATCCTCTCTAAATCATTCAGTCCTAAGTTTCAAATTGTGCCCAAACACAATTATGATATTTACATCTTTGTAGAATTATTCTGAGACTGTGGATGGATAGAGGTCTAACCTTTCCATGAGGACAGTGACCTTTTGCCTCCCTGGATCTACTGGATCACTTGGAAACAGAGGAGTAGACGCTGGAAGAATACAGTGCTTGGGACATAATGACCAGGCCATGCTAATTGCAGAATAATACAGAAACAGATTCTCCTTCCACCCAAAAATGTATCCAGGGCGAGCGGCCACAGAGGACATGGAGGCAGGAGACCTACTAAACAGGCCTCTTCTGTAAAACAAAAGAAATTCATACTACTACCACACCTTAAATGCCATGATTCCTTGTGCTTTCCTAACTCTCAGATGCTTTCTAGTCTATCTCATTTATCTTGACAGTCAAAGACATAGAACGGGTAGAACATTTGCAGAGTGAGCAGTAAATTAGCCGGTTTCTGAATCTTAAACAGTAAAGTCTTTCAGATGAAGAATGTGCTGGTTTAAGGAGGATGCCTCCTAAGCAAAGTCTTCAGCAGAAGAAATGTCTTCAGAAAACTTCCTGGACAGAACTACAGGCACCTTGCATTTCTCTCCTATTACTCCTCCTGCCTTCTATCTGTACCCACACCAGAACACATCTGTCGGACCCTCAGACCAGTTCTAAAGCAGCTGCCCCTTTGTAGACGAGCCCAATCTTAATCATTCCAACATAGTAACAAGAAAAAACCTACTTGGGCAGAGGTCCTTGTCTTAATGAACAAGTAGTCTGCAACCACCACCAGCAGAGGGCGTTGTCCAAAATGGCTGCGGTGAATTCAGCAGGCTGCACACAATGGAAGCATAATTCTTGCCATAGATCCTTTAAATGTCTTTCCATTAAATTTGTCTGAACTGCTCTTAACCTCGGAGCAGTTAAGAACATCAAGGCCTTTCTTCGACAGCTCTTCCCTTTCCCACAATGCGAGACTCCAGCAGTAAGACGCTTGAGAAAGGAAACGTGTAACAGATAGACAGAAAGGCTCAAGCAGGGCCTTTCCACGAAGACTCCATGTTTTTGCACTTTCTCTGTGCCACGTGACCGAACGATCATTTCACACTGGTGTAAGTCTGTGGCTTCTCTGGATTCCATACTTCTTAGCTGTATCAGTTGGGTTTGCATTTTATTTGTCCAATATAAAGGAAGGAGATGCCAGTAGTGACTTTTAGATATAATCATTGAGTTCAAATCCAAAACCCATTACTCTGTCCAAGCTTCATCGACTTCAGTATCTAGGGAGATATCCCAGAGGTCATCGCTCTGTCCCCAGGCTGGAGTGCAGTGGCGCAATCTCAGCTCACTGCAACCTCCACCTCCCGGGTTCAAGCGATTCTCCTTCCTCAGCCTCCTGAGTAGCTGGGACTACAGGTGCATGCCACCACACTCAGCTAATTTTTGTATTTTTAGTAGAGACAGGGTTTCACCATGTTGGCCAGGATGGTCTCGATCTCTTGACCTCGAGGCCCTCACGTTCTTAAAGTGAGTTCTGAGGGCTGGATGGAAGGGAGGGGGGATTGAAAAGAAGAGGCAGGCAATTGCAAAGGCAGACTGAAGCCAAGTTCTCCTAATTTTTGCCTCTTGGAGGACAGTAAACCCCTCCAGTCCAACCTGGGAATTCACCACCCAGACACATGATACTCAAAGCTCCCACGAGGAGGGTGGCAGTCCTCTGACCTTTTCACTAAGATTTAGAATCTACACATGGATCTGCAGCATGTTATTTAACTGGGGCTATCTACTCTGTGTATCAGATATCATGCCTGTCAAGATGTGAGTGTTTAAAGTCCAATTTGAATGCTGAGATTTTTTTCTATGAGAGACACTTTTGGAATCTGCCTTCTTCTAAATTCAGGAAGGATAATCTCAGCTTGTACTTAATTTCCAAACAATAGCAGCAATAGCTCTCCTACTCTGGAGGCAATTATAGAACATTATCTTGGGTGATCTTTTATCACTAGTGTTAACTGCTTTTGCAAGCACTTGGCTGCAAGTACCCATGCACAACAGGATGTGGTTAGACAGTCAAAATTCATAGATCTTGGGAGCCTTATGGGGCAAGATGGAACAGGGTGTCTGAAAACCCCTACCAAGTATATGCAGGTTTCACTGACAACGTCAAAACATGTGGTTTAATTCAACATATGTATTTAATGCCTACCATGTGCAAGACATTGTGTTTGGTGTTATGCGGGTTAAAGAAATTATCAACTCAGTCCCTGCTGTAAAGTGGGGGTATAACGTGTAATAGACTCAGACTGAAATAAGCCTTGTTTAAGCTCCATTCTGGAAGGTGTGTAGTTTTCTGGGTTTTCTCACTTTGGCCACTGAGTAGATTTGAATTATTAGGTAAGGTCAACTCCATCCAGGCAACCAACTAAAGTGACACCTGGGAGGGTTATTTAATTAAGGACCTTAAGAATGTACCAAAAGCATCCTTTGGGAAAAGATTGGACCAATAAACCAGAATCAGAATTTGATGAATGTTACCATACCGCTCATGTAGAAATCCCTAAACATACAACTTCAGATGGTAGACATGGGTCTCTGAGAGGCAATCCCACCTCCTTAGCATCCAGGAACTAGTGAAAACCAGTTCATGACCATAGGGTTTGGGTTCTGGTGTGCCCAGGCTCTCCCTGGCTGCCCCTCCTGTTGAGGTCAGCGCCTGTCCTGCCTCTCTCCAGGCTGGGATGTGTTTCTGGCCCCCCACTGCACTCTCTGCACCATGCTGGCTGCCCCAGATCTCACCTTCTCATTTGGGATTGGCTTCTCTCACAAATGAGAGTTGTCCTGGGTGTGTTCTCTGCCCTACCAGTGCTCTGGGCCATCTGTGCCTTTAGCTTTAAGATGAGAGAAGGGAGAGTGTGACCGAAAGTGTGATTTCCAGTATTTGGAGACTGAGATAAAGAAGGATTCCACCTGGAGAAGAAACAGACTCCAGATGCCCCCTGTGTAAGCCGTGACACTTCCAGCAGCTTGTTTTCTAGCTTGACCTTTGACCCCAGCTACACAGAGTTCAGGTAGGGCAGAGGGGCGAGAGGCATTGCACAGAAAATCACAACAGAAGGGGCACAGGAAAGCAGCCATTTTGGTTTTCCCTCACTCTACCTTCTTTGAATCCTTCTCATCGCTCAGTAACAGGAAAGTACTGTGATCTCAATGCTATCCACATGTATCCACAGCACTGTTTCTTCTAAGATATGAAACTGTACCCAGGACTTTCCATGCATGGTAATCGGCGTTCATCAATACTAAAAGCTGAGTCTTCACCGCCACCTTCCTTTTTGGTCTCGGGCCTCTGTGACCTGCTCACCCCACTCCAGGGATCTATCACACTCTTGTAGTGACCCAGTTTATGGTAATAAGACTGTGAGCTCCAAGAGGACAGGCCTGATGTCTGATATGGTCACAAGCTACTCCTGTGCCCAGCACGCTGCCAGGCACAATAGGAGGCCTTGATAGTTATTTACTGGTTAAGGAATGCAAGAATAAGTCATTTGCTTTCCAGCTAGTCTCTGGGTAGGAGGAATCATGCCAGCCCCCATCCTGTACTCCATAATGCCCCAATGTAAATCCTAAAACCCAGAGGAAAGCCATCAAAAATGTCACAAATACAATTCAAACACTCGAAAACACATAGAATCTGTCATAAAAATTGGGAAACATCTTCCACAGTTCTATTCTCCTATGACATACTTTTTTTCCATGAAGGTAGGAAATGAAAGCGAATAAGTACTCTGGGCTTCACATAATGACAGCTGCCACTACCATAGCCATACATGGGGGGCAACAGAACAGAGCTAGGTTCAAGACCTGGCTCTGCCATTTACTAACTGGCAAGTAATTGTTATAGGTGAAGTTATGTCCTCCTAAGATCCTAACCCTCAGTACCTTAGAATGTGACTTTACAAGGAACTAGGGCCACTGCAGATGTAACTCATTAAGCTAAGATGAGGTAATACTAGAGTAGGCTGGGCCCCTAATCCAATAGAATTGGTGTCCTTATAACAAGGAGGAATTTGGACACAGAGACATGCACACATAGAGAGTGCCACATGAAGACTGGAATCATGCTGCCACCAGCCAGCGAGCAACCAAAAGCCTGGAGAGAGGCCTCGAACAGATCTTTCCCTAGCATCTTCACGGGGAGCACATCCCTGCCGAGACTGTGATTTCGACTTCTGGCCTCCAGAACTGTAAGACAATACATTTCTGTTGTTTAGGCCACCCAATTTGTAGTACATTGTTATGGCAGCCCTAGATGACCTGTGGCAAATTAACCTCTTTGTGCTTCGGTTTCATTTTTTAAAAATGATATTAGTAATGGTCCCTACTTCATGGAGTTGTTATGAGAATTAAATTAATTAATACTTACATAGTGCTTAGATCAGTCCTTGGCACAGAAGACCAATGATGTCTTATAATGTTCAAAATTCTCTCCTATTCGATGTGACAGTGATGGGAGTAGATGTCCCAAGTTCTGACATAATAAGTCCTAATTTACAACCCATCGTTGTGTTGGGACATTTCATAATTTATCTTCAGTGCAGAGCATGGATACACAAAAGCACTCAGGTGGCCAGCAAGAGCAATGAATGTGAGGTGGCTTTGCAATTACTTGGATTCACTAGATACCGAGCAACTTCCCCATGCATGGTGCAGAGCTGTGGCACTCACACGGCCAGGTGTGACCTATGGGGAAAAGTATTTTATGTTATTTTATTGTTTCCTAATACTGAAACTTCAAAAGCAAAATGATTCTAGATTTTCATCACTTTCTCTTGAGCATTTCTAGCGTTCCTGTAACTTACACAACCTGGGAAATTCAAAAGAGCAGGAAAACTTTTAAGGGAAATAAATAAGAATGAAGGACTGAAACAGCTAATGGGAGAGTGACTGAGGCCAAAGAAAATTCAAGAATTATTATTATTTTTTTCATTTTAAACAAAGGATCCTCTGCTTAACCAACACGGCTCTCTCTTAGCTGTAGGCCATCAGTGAATCTTAATTAGTTAAAAGGTTTGTGGGTTCCACGGGTCTTCTTGGATAAGAGGATGAATATCTCTCTTTTCCCGGCCAAAAGCACCACTAGAAATCCATTCAGTCATTCGAAAGTATTTATTGAACATCTATCATGTGCTAGGTACAGTTTTAGACATTGGGAATATGACAATAGATAAAATTAACAAAAGTCCATATCTTCATGGAACTTATACTCCAGTAAGACAGAAAGATGAACAACCAAGTAAATAAGTCTATATATAGTATGTCAGAGAGTTATAAATGCTATAAAGAAAGTCAAAGCATGGATATGTTTGGGGTGGGGTATTTACTAGGGATGCAATACTAGATAAGGTGGCCAGGGAGTCCTCACTGAGAAGGTGACATTTGAATAAAGATCCGAAAGAGGTGAAGGAGTGAGCCATCAGATATCTGGGAGGTGAGCAGAGGACGCAGCAAGTGCAAAGGCCCTGAGGCAGAAGTGTGCTTAGAATATTGAAGGAACAGAACAGGCCAGTGTGGCTGAAATGGAGTGAGAAAGGGTATGAGATGGAGTTGAGGGAGGTACTAGGGGCCAAGTCACAGAGGGCCTTGAAATCACAGTAACAACTGTGGCTTCTGCTTTGAGTGCAACAGGGAGGCATAAGAAAGATCGTTGGCTGCCATGCGGTCTCTTCTAGACTGTGTCTGAGGCAAAGGAGGATGCAGGGAGACAAGTTAGGAGGCTGTTGCAATAATTCAAACAAGAGGTGACAGTGGCTCAGTAGCAATGTTGATTCTGAATATATTTTCAAAGTAGAGCAAATAAGATTCACTAAGTAGGACGTGAAGTATGAAATAAAAAGAAGAGTTATGGATGATTCTAGGGTTTTTGACCTGAACAACTAAAAGAATAGAATTTTCTTTTCTCTGAGACAGGGAGGACAAGGAGATGAGCAGATTTGCAGGCAGTTCAGCTCTGGATATGTAGGGTTTGAGATGCCTATTGAATATTGCATTTGTTTTCTAGGGCTGCTATAAAAAATTACCAGAAACTTGGTGGCTTCAAACAATAAAAACATTATCCCAGAGTTCTAAAGACCAGGAGTTCTAAATCTGTTTCACTGGGCTGAAATCGAGGTATTGGCAGGACCACGCTCCCTCCCGGGGCAGTGGGATGAATCTGTTCCTTGCTTCTTCCAGCTTCTGGTGGTTGCCAGCATTCCTTGGCTTGTGGCTGCATCACTTCAGTCTCTGCCTCTGTTGTCACATTGCTTTCTCCTCTTCAGTATGTCAAATCTCCCTGTACCTCCCTCTTGTAAGGATACATGTGATTGCATTTAGGGTCCACCCAGAAAAACTGGGATAATCCCTCCACTTCAAGATCCTTAATGTAATCACATTAGCTCTTCGACATGTAAGGTGACATATAAAGGTTGCAGGGATTAGGGCATGAATATCTTTTGGAGAGAGTCATGATTCAGCCTACCACAGATATCCAAGTGGCAATGCTGCATAAGCAATTCCCTATATAAGTCTGGATTTCAGGAAGCGGTACAAGCTGAAGGCCTAAATCTATAACTTATCAGTATATAGGTGGCATTTAATGTCATAAGCCTGGAACACCTCAGAAGTGAGTATAGAAAAATAAGATGTCCCCTCAAAAAATTAAAAATAGAATTAGCGTTTGATCCAGTAATCCTACTTCTGGGTGTACATCCAAAGAAATTGAAGTCTGAATCTCAAAGACATGTCTGCACTTCCATGTTCACTGCAGCATTATTCACAATAGCTAAGACATGGAAGCCACCTAAATGTCCATTGACAGATGAATGAATAAAGAAAATGTGGTTTACACATACAGTGGAATATTATTCTGTTTTTAAAAAAGAAAGAAGAAATCCTGCCATTTGTGACAATATGGGTAGAACTGGAGAACATTATGCTAAGTGAAACAAGCTAGACACACAAAGACAAATACTGCATGATCTCACATATGTGTGGAATCTGAAATAGTCAAATACATGGAATCAGACAGAGAGTAGAATGCTGGTTGCCAGGGAGGGGGAAAGGGAGAAAGGGGAAGGTGTTTATCAAAGGGTACAAATTTGAGTTATGCAAAATAAATAAGCCCTGGAGATCTACTATACAACATAGGGCCTATGACTAACAGTACTGTTTTGGTATACTTAAACATTTGCTATGAGGGTAGATCTTATGTTAAGTGCTCTTACCACAGAAGGAAAAAATAATAACAGCCACAAAGGGAATGAGAGGAATCTTCTGGAGGTGATGGATAAGTTTAGAGCATTGATGGTGATGATGGTTGGATGGTTTCACAGGTGAATACTTATCTCCAAACACATCAAGTTGTATGCATTTTACATCTACAGCTTTTTGCATGTCAATCATATCTCAATAAAGCAGTTTAATTTTAAAAGGAAAAAAGAAAAAGATGTTCAAAAACGGGGCTTGGGACCCTCCGATGTCCAAAGGTCTGGAATACCCGGAGAAATCAGCAAAGGAAACTTAGAAGAAGCAGCTGGAGATGTGGAGGGTAAACTAAGAGGCCCTGGGAGCCCGGCAGAGAATGCTTCTGAATGGCAGAGGATAATCCAGTGTCAGATGCTAACGATGAGTCAAGGAATATGAAATCTCGGAGCACTGGGTTTGCAACGTGGAGGACACTGTTGAACTTAACAAGAGCAGTTTGAATGCAGAGGTGGGGCAAACGTCTGATTGGAGAGGTTATTAGGAAAGAATGTGAGAAAGGAATGAAAGACAGCAATCACTGACGACTTTTCAAGATGCGTTGCCCTGGGAGGCACAATCAAAAAGAATCCCTTGACCCCGTAACTTTTAGAACAGCAGAGAGAATGTCCATTGGAACTGTTCTAGTTGGAATTCCAGTATCCGACAGAGAGAAGATGGATGCCAAAGTTTTCCCTACTCGGCTGTTTTGCCCAAAGTCTACCTTGTGAGTCCTTCTTAAAACTGCTAAGGCTGATTACATTCTGAAAACGCCCAATAGAAGGCTGACACCAAAACTCTTAACCACGACGATCAGATGGACCACACCCTCACATAAGCCCCAAACACAAGCAGAGATGCCACAGCCCTTATCAATGTGCTGGGCAGCCCCCTCCCAAACACCTAAAGGCCTTTAAATAACAAGGTTTCTAAGTTGGGAGAAGTCAGTGCACCTTTATGTACACACTCTGGAGATGCAGAGCTAATTAATCTCAATCTAGGCAAGTTTCCAACTTTCTCAGGGAAGTTTTATTTATGCCTAGTATAACTCAGGGCAATGACTGCAGCCTCTGATTTTAATTCCAGATTTGAGAAAGTGCGAGGCATTCCTTTAATGCTAATGAAAGAGGCATAAGTAAGTTAGCACCAGCTTTCAAGGAGTTAAAGAAAATCATAAGGTTCTCTCCTGAGTTTCTCAAGCATAGAGTAGTATATTTACCTTTTCATGACTGTGGCACTTAGGAGGACACAGGCCATGCTCAGACAAGACTGGAGGGATGATGCTCACTGTCGTTTATCAAGTGCTCGCTCTGTGATAAGTAGTGCACCAGATTTTTTTTGTGCATTATTATTTAACCTTCACAAGAGTCCTGTGAAGTGGTTGCTTCCAGTAGCCTCATTTTACAGACAGGGAGCATGAGGCTCAATGAGGTCATGCAGCTTCATGCCATTGCCATGGGAATTGTGGGTGAATGCATAGGCATGGCAGCTACAGCCTCTGCTACCCAGGACAGTGGCCTGCAGTTCAGCAAGAGAGATAGACCCAGGGCCTCCAGAAGAGGTCTGGTGTCCAGAAACCAGCCCGCTTCATTGCCCTGCATTTGAAAACGCTTTGGCCTTTAAAATTCTCCATTAAAAAAAGAAGAGGAGAGGCTTCATTTGTAAATCCAGAAAGAACCACAAAAGGAATAGAAGGTGTGGGGGTAAAGGGTTGCTTCTTGCATAAAAAACCTTGTAAATATGGAGATATCCCTTTCTGGACAGAGCAGTGACATAAATTTATTGAAGGAGGCTGGGGTTTGGTTATCAGCTCAGCTGGAATACATATGTTAAAGAAGGAGAAAGAGCAAAAGGTAGCTTTAACATCCCCATAGCCCACATGCCAAGCAGGACTTTTTCAATTATTATCATGGTGGCCTTTTAACAAGCTGAAATTTAACATGATGCCAATACTAAATACCCCTCCAAAATAAATGGTGCTTGTGAGGCTGAGATCTGGAATACAAGGGCAATAGCTGTTGATTTCCAGAACCTTAATCAGCTACCCCAAGGCCAGATCTAGGGCAACGTTGTAAAACAAAAGTTATCCTTCGTAGTTCTTTCATTATCGACACTTTCTTCATTTAGGAGTTCCCAGACAAGCTCAGGTGTTCACTCCATCAAGTAATCCCAACTGTCCATGGCCCTCTCCCTTAGAGGGGCCCTCTATTCCTGCCCCTTCTTGCTCTCATCAGAATTTATGTCCTGGACTCAATTTTTTTCAGCTCCCTCTTAGTTGACAACCAAACTGACTTTATTGGAACAGAGGGTTAGTATTTTCAGGGAGGAGAAGCATGTTTAGGTGCCATTCAAACCACTGCCAACTTCTCTTCCTTTATCCAGCTCTGGACCCGTCTCTGAAATTGGCTATGCTTTTCCCAGTCCATATATAATTTAGTGAGAACCTGAGAAATGCGTGCTAGCAAAATGTTCACGGGGAGAACCCACTCACAGACTTACTCGTTTAAAACCGTCTTCACAGCTCTAATCATTGTTGAATAGGAATTAGATACCCAGATCCAAATAGGTACTAATAAGACAAAAATTACTCCCTGAAAAGCTTGCTTCTTTCTAACTGTACCCCTTCCCTCCAGCCCCTGATGCCACTGCCACACACACACAAATCCTTACACTGTCAGCCTAGTAATAAGTATATGTGCTTTACTACCGCACAGAACAAGGTTAGGAACCTGTTTCTGTTAACTGGGTGGCTTTGGGCCACAAACGTCCTCATTTTTAGGACCAAGATAATAACAGTACCTACCCCATGGGGCTTTGTGCAGATTACATGTAATAATAACTCACGTGAAACCCTCAGCACAATACTTGGCCCTTAGTTAACATTTTTTAAATGTTATCCATGGTATTACCACTCCCTGAATGGTAATAGTTACACTTGTATGGAGTTTACTGAGTGCCAAGCACTGTTCTCAGAGCTTTACAAAGGTTAACTCATTTAATTTTCACAACTACCCTATAATACAGATACTATTGTCCCTGTTTGAAAGAGCAGCAAATGAAGGCACAGAGGGGTTAAGTGATTTGCCAAGGTAACACAGCAAGCAAGTGGCAGAGCTACAACTCAGACCTCGCTAGTCTGCCTCCAGGGTCTGCACTTTTCACCACACATTTGATGGGGGCTCTGGAGGGCACACCAAGTTGGGCTCCATCTTAAAGCAAAGGGAAGTTGTGTTGTTGGTTGGGGCAAACAGAAAGTTGTGTGTGAACTCTGTCACCAAAAGGAAAAGGAGAGTAAGTGATCCAAGGATGCAGAGAAGGCTTCTATTAGGAGAACAGAAACTCCACACTCAGGTGGACGCGAATGGTTCTGAAGTCAGCAAGTTAAGGTCCACATTTCTGTAATGTTTTAAAGTGAAATTTGAGGGGAGGATATTTCCCACTAGGAATGAAGAAAAGTCACCATGAAGTTAGAGACTAATGAGACAGTCTATAAAAAGTGCTGATGAAAAGAGGGAAGGGCCAACAGGGGAAAAAGGCAGCAAGAGGGAGAAGGGAATGGAGTCATATTCCCAGAGTCATAATTCAAATGCAACCCAGGTTCTGGCAGTTTACAGCGACAGCTTGTCCAATAACATCCACAGTACACAATGCTCTAAGGACTTGTTTGACGTTGAAATGTTTTCTTGAATGAGATTCACAAAGGAAATTATTGTTGTTTGACATTCCTTCAAGTTTATTAGGCCACAGTGACCTGTGTTTATCGCTGTGTGTGTATGGGGCAGCGGCAGCGTCTGCCACGTGTTGCATTTACTCATGGATGAGGCTTGTCACTCCACTTCGACTGCTGCTATGCCTCGTATTTAATTCACACTCAATACTTGGTGAAGAGGGGAAAAGGAAAATACAGCCCTTCGTGGAGATTTGCCTAATTTTTTTTTCAATAATCCTAAAGAAAATTTCCCAATTTGTAATTCTTTTTAAAAGCACCTAGTCTCATAATAAAATCTCTTTCAAGGTGCATCAAAAGAACTGTGAACCCTTGAGGTCTGCACTCGGAAATTTATCCAGATAAAGTCCGGGCTGCTCCACATTTTGCCTGCAGCTCCAAAGGCCAGGCCATTAGCTGCTGACCCTGCCAACATTTCCTGGCCAAGACAAACAAAACCAAATCCAGGGTCCACACAGTGAGCAAAAGGTCTCCGGGGTTTTGTCACTTCAGCTTATATCTGTGAGTTTGCCAGTTGCCATGGGGATAGAAATCCTTCAGTGGGGAGAAGAACTATTATTTTCAGTGCTGGCTACACTATTTTTGCAAATAGTGTCCATAATTTCTACCAAAAACCTCTGTGCACCTATAACCACTTGAGAGTAGAAGGGAATGAATGAACTGCATTTCAGCTTCTCTTCCTTGCAATTTTCACTTTTGAGGAAAATTGTAAATTATAAAGCAGAAAATGGGTTCTCATTCTTCATGAGATGCAAGCTAGCCATCTACTGTGTATCGTTGCCATTATGTAATCTAGAAACTTATAATTAGGCTGAACTGAGGCTGCTAAAGAGCTGCATGAGATCTATGAAATGCCCTCGGTGCTTCTAGATCCGCTTCCCTGTTGATCTTAAAGCTGAGCGTGCCTTCCTGCCCCCAGTGGATCCAACTCCTGCAAAGCAAGCTACCTGCTCCTCAATCAGCACCAAGCCAAGCCTCTGACTTCCTAGCCTCTTTCTGGGAGTTGATTTCCTAAAGGACTTCTTTGACTGTACAGATAAACTCTCATTTAAATTCAGGCATATACACCCACAGGCTGATCAACAAACGCACACCATGAATTGAATGATAAATAATACATGCAGACAAAGACAACACCAGCACTTATTTGCAGATGAAAGAACACTAGAAATTATTTCTGATGGAAATATAAAAGATTAAATTCAAGCAGAGAGTGGAGGAGAAAGTATTCTTTAAAGCTCCTCAAGAAACACCCTCATTGTTTCACTTTCAAAAAGACACTTTCTGTCTTGAGTTGGGAATTCAGTGGGCATTGCACTCAGAACTCGGGCCTCAATGGGAGATGCTAATCCACGAAGGATAGAGCTTGGGAGGACAATCATAGCTTAGGTCTAGGACAGGGCACCTGATGGTGGTCAGCCTAGCATACATCTCCTTCCTTCTGGTAATTTTCTACAGGAGAGCTATTCCTTTTCCAGTCTCACTCCATAAAGCCAATAGTGCTGTGTCTTACCTTCCACCATGATGGGATCAGCAATGGGAATATGAACCAAATCATTCCAGTGAGACTCAGTTGCTAGACTTTGCTCTCTTTTCGCCAAGGTTGTGAGCCAATGAGAGTGAGCCTGGAGAGCTCATGAGCGTCAGGAAAGCCTGCCTGAAAGCACAGAGGAAAAGTGAGCTGAGAAATGGAGCACTACAGGTGCCTGATCATGTAGTGTGAGCACCTGGACTCAGCCTTTCCTGAAGCTAGACTGCCCTGGACATTTCGGTGACATGAGCCAATAAATTCCGTTTTGTGCATAAGTCATTCTGTCACTTTCAGTCATGCACTCAGTAAGGTGGACTGCTGGCTCCCACTCACATAGCTTGGGTGACATCACTGTGTGGTAGAAGCAGACCTGAGTATGAATGTATGAGGAAAGGAGATGGGGAGCTGGGGGCTCACAGAGCCCGGGGGAGGTGACTGCTAGGCATCTGGGCCTCATCTCTCTGGTGTGATTCCAGCCTCACTCTGTGATAATAAAGCTCCCAAGGGGTCTTAAGTTGGTAAAACTGAGATGGTCTTGGGACCTAACTAAGGATTACTCATGGCACCTTTATCTTAAACTTTGACAGCTTAAAGAAGCAAATGTGCCTAAGTATGTGTAATATACATGAACATATATAGGCACATATGTACATATAATTACTAATAGGAAAGCAGTCTTCTTATGTATTAGTAAGAAGATTTATCCTACTGACAGGCAAAACCCACATAAGAAAATTCAGGTTTATTAATTGATAAATTAGGGAGTAGTTATTTATTTGTTAAGGATTACACAGGATGCCAATGAAAAAATTATAGGGCAGACAAGGCCCTTGCCTAAGATTAGGAGAAACAATTCTCAGAGGGAGAGGATCATGGCCTGGCAAGACACCCCAAAGGATGTTTAATACAATATGGAAAATGCAATTTAAACATGCAAATTAAAACAAAAATGTGCATCAAATCAAAACCATGAGCATTGTGGGAACATACAATGCTGGAAATAGGCGAATGAGAAAGGTTCTTATGAACGGCCCCAAGCAGGAAAGCTGACTGTGAATGACTAAACGGAACTATGAAAAGTTTGATATCCCCTGTGTCAGTGTTTAGGGAAAGTCCCCTAGGGTGGAGGCCAGGGCTTGGGAAATTCTGATGCGTGGGAAGAGCGAGCATGATGGCTCCTGTCCTTGTGGATGGTTCAGAACAGCTCCGCAGATGAGCTGTTCCCCCAGATCTGTCACAGACATTGCCCCCATTCAGGCTATCTTGGACTCCTTGCCCCACAGCCAATCCATCTAATCCTTTTAGCTTCACCTTCAAATATATATAGACTCTAACTCATTCTCATGCTTTGGTCCTGGGACGGCATCAGCCCCTGCGAGGGCTGCTGTGTCTCTTGACTGGTCTCCTTGCTTCCACCCGGGCCCTCCTACAGTCTCTTCCATCGACAAGAGAGTGAGCCTTTAAAAACACAAGTCAGACCCTGCCAGTCCTCAGCTAGAAACTTCTCCATCTTCCCCAGAAAAAACCATAGTCTTACCACAGCCCACAAGGCCCTCTGCTCTGTACTCCATGGCCCATTCCCCCATCACCTCTCCGGCCTCATCGACTCCTACTCTTCCCCTGTCGCTCTGCCAGCCTTCCAGCCCTTCCTACACCTCCTTGAACTTCTCAGGGTACTTCAAAAATGCCAGGGTGAATCACTTCAGGACCTTTCACTTGCCTTTCCCTTTCTTAGAACATTCTTCCCCTGGATACCTGCAGGCTACATCCCTCATCTCCTGTGGGGCTTTGATCAGAAGCCTGCCATCAGCGAAGCCTTCTCTGACCACAGTATTTACAATTACAAACTCCCCGCAAGTACACCTACATTCAGAGTGTTAGGAAGGAAAAAGTAATTTGATCTTTAAAAAGAAAGGAAAAGCTGGACAACTAGGGAGGTTTAGGTGGGAAGATCACTTAAGCCCGGGAGTTTGAGTTCAACCTGGGCAACATAGCAAGACTATTTATAAAAAAAAATAAAATAAAAATTTTAATTCAAATACTCAGCATTCCTGTTTCCATTCCCAGCTTCATTTCTCTTTATAGCTTTATCACCATCAAACATATGCAAAAGCAAAGTTCTTAAAGTTTATTCTGAGCACATACCAATGTTCAACGTTTTAGTCAACTTATTAATAAGGAAACCAGAAGAAAGACAAGAGCTGATTCAAAGAGCATCCAAATAAACGACTTATGTAGTCAATCTGGGTAAAGGATATTGACATAAGATTGCTAAATTAGATACAAGAGTAATTAATGTTCTACAGGACAATACAACTGTAACTTCAAATTATCTTATTTACCAGGACCACCCCCAACCCCCATGCACACACAACAAAAGCAAGACATTATTACCTCATATCAGTTTTTTGCAGTTTAACCTCCAAATTTATAGGTGGTTAAACATCTGGTCCCTTGTTAGTTAAACAAAGTTATATCCCCTTGAGAATCAGAGGATAGTCAGGAGCTGTTTATAAAATGTTCTATCATCAGATTAAAGAAAGCAGTCATCACTTAGGTTTATTTCCAAGTAAGGGATAAATTATTAGTTTATACCTATCATATGTTTTGCTTGTTTATTTCTTTTTAGTTGTCCGTCTTACTCTACTAGAATGCAAGCTCCATGAAGCAGGATTTTTGTCTATTTTTCACTGTTGTGCCCAGCACCCAGAATGGTGCCTAAGCCACAGAAAGTACTAAAAGAAAAGCCTAATTGAAAGAATGAGTTGCCAAAATTTTTTTAAATGCTGCCGTATGGCTATTGCTAACAGACAGGGTGTTATCTTTTTTTCTTTTCTAATCTCTTACAGTGCATGCTGTCTTGCATAGAGTAGGCTTTAATGGTCAGCAGCTGTCCTGAACTTAATGATCACTGAAAAACTTTGTAAAGTCTTGGTTTACAGATGGCTGCATATTTTTCAAATAGTCTGGGTCTGGACCAAAGCCTAAGGGTGTATAAAGTTGAGTCAGAGGAAGCATTTTGAATTCAGTGTTTGGCCTGCTAATTTTAGATTGACTCCATTTTTGCTGTTTGCTCTGGAAATTCCATTCTTGTGCACCTTTTAATTGAGAATAATCATTGTTACTCCCATTCACAATATCTTATTAAACACGGAGGCAGCTTATAGGATTTTCCAAATGTGATTTTGCTTTCCTCTGATCTGTCCTAGAGCTTCATGTCTGACCAATCTGGATGTTGAATATGTCCTTTCAATTCACGGGCAGGGACTGAAGGGTCAGAACAGAGAACATGGAGTGATCATGACCCATTTCAGCCAGAGGAGGAAATGGAAGCAAGACATAACATCTTTGCTTCTTTTCTCTCTAATTGAAAGGCCAGTGAAAACCCAAGAGAGATACAAGTACACCAATATTCAGAGTTTTGTGAAGGCAACAGTAATTAAATGTTTAAAAATAAAGCAAAAGCCAGGCACAGTGGTCCATGCCTATAGTCCCAGCTACTCAGGAGGCTGATCGCTTGAGCCCAGGAGTTCGAGTCAAGACTGGGCAATATAGTAAGACCCTATCTCTAAAAAGAAAAAAACTTTTTAAAGTTAAAAATAAAATAAAGGACAGTAGACTTGAAACATTATGGGAAAGAAGTACGGTACAGTAGTTGGAAGCACACAACTGAAGTTAAAACGTCTGGATTCACAGCCCAGCTTCAGCACTTACCTATAGTGAGGTCTGGGCAAATTACTTCATTTCTCTAGGTCTCAATTTTCTCATATGTGAGTGTTTACTTTATCAGATGGTTAGGAGGCTAAAATAAAATAATATGTCTAATATGCTTAACACCTTGTCTAACATATTATAGGAGTTCAATAAATGTTAACTATTAACATTTATTATTTGTAAGTATTGAAGAAAAAAATTCAGACAATTCAGTCATCAGCAAGTATCAAAATGTTATTACAATCATTCATGCATGGGAAAATGACCCACAGTAGGCCATGTCAGAGATAAGGTATAGGAAAAGAAAATGATAAAAATATCATTATTAGGTATAAAATGAAAAGAATATCTGGTCAAAAGTTCCTGAACTCTTTTCTGACAATCAGCTAACAGTCAACTGGGTGGGTGAGTAACTAATTTCCTAGACAAAATCTTCATCCCATCAAAATTCAGCAGTAAGTTGCATAAATATAATTTTTTTTTCCAAAAGAAGGTGATGGATTTTTATCACACTGAAAAGGTTCTGCTCCAGACCAGATTTAGGACAGTTTTTCTATTATAGGACAGAAGTGCACTAAAATATTACGTACTCTCTCATTATTCCCTTGGATTTTTTCTATAAGGAGAGCATGATAATGAGTCATTTATCGTCCTAAAATTATGAGAATGAGGCTTCCCTCGAAAGTAGACAAGTTTACATGATTAGGTCATATGACATGACAATGGAAGAGTATAAAGAAGAATCCCATTCACAATAAATGATTCAATGAGATCATGGAAAAATATAGTCTTTGAGCCAAGCTGACTTATAGTCAAATCTTGGTTTGGTCAAATTACTTAACCTATATTAGTCTCACTTTACTTATCTGAAAATAGGGATGATATCTATTTCACACAGTCAATGTGTGGATAAGGTAAGATAAAATACATCAAGTACCCAACACAGTGCTGATACATAATATAGACTCAACATAATATTGTTTCTCTTTTTGCTACCCCCATTCCTCTCTACCTGCATTGCCCATTGCCCATGATAGCCAAGAATCTGCAACTTTTGATCTCAAATACTACCCCTTAAGCCTCCAAACAAATTGCCACATTCCCATTTCCTACATTTATTAGGAATTATCAGGAGAGCAAAGTTAGCAATCATAAGTCTCTCCCACATGCTCCAAATGGCTACACTTATTATGAGAACCCAAAGCCCCATGTCAAGGGTATTATCTTCTCGTGGTCCCAACCCGTCCAGTCTTCAGAGCTCCAGAACAATGTGGGGTTCCTGATGTGGCTCTCAACTCACCGCTGGGCATTCACTTTGTGAATGGTTCCATCAGCCTCTGACGTGCTTCCTGTATCCCCAAGCACAGGACTCACCTGCTCCTTGTGTCTTAGTGGCGTCGGTGTTACATTTTCCCCTCCATCCTCCTCAGCTTCTTTTCCTGATCCCAGTTACAGATTAAAAACTCCTGTGCATTAGGGTAGAGACAAACATGGTAGTGGTGTGTGTACAGGAGAGGGTGGAGGATGGGTTAGTTATTGGAAACAGCCAGGCCACTATGCTTCCAATTGAATAAACCTTTTTAAAGTGTTTACTCTGAATCTGAATTATGTTCCCAAAAGAGGAGAATATATACATTCAATTCCTATAACCACTCGCAGCCGGTGGGAAGGAGAAAACGTCCCCTTGAGACTGGGGCAGTCCACGTCTCATTCTCTGTTGCACTCTCCATATCCTTGGCATAATGCAATCTCAATAATTCCTGGAAATAAGAATAAATTAATGAAAGATTCTCTTTAGCCAACTTAGTATGTACTTGAAAGATGTGATTCTTGTCAAACTAAAATACTTATGATGAAGTATCAGGACAGTGAAAACAGCGGCCTATTGTGTGAGGGAGGATATCCAAATAGGTACATTGTCAAAATTAGGGACTGGGCTCCAGTCAATAAAATGAGATACAATCAAGAAAAACAAAGTGGCTCCTATATGAACAAATATGCAGCAAGCTGAGAACTGAGATTGTGGGTCTGGCCGAGCATGAGGAGTCGTAAATTGTTTGGAAGTCCACAGAGAGCCTCATCGTAACTACAGACCATGGTGTTTTGGGCTGGGCTTGCGGGGATTTTACTCTGAGGTCAAATAGGCATGTGTTTCGGTGAAATACAAAAAAAATACAAAAAAATACAAAAAAATACAAAAAACAAAAAATTAGTCAGGTGCAGTGGCAGGCGCCTGTAGTCCCAGCTACTAGGGAGGCTGAGGCAGGAGAATGGCGTGAACCGGGGAGGCAGAGCTTGTAGTGAGCCGAGATAGTGCCACTGCACTCCAGCCTGGGTGACAGAGCGAGATTCCATCTCAAAAAAAAAAAAAATAGGCATGTGTTTATTACTCTTGATTGGCCTTCGCTAAGCACAAGCCTGGCAGGGATACCAGGTATTCTTCTTCAAGTTCCAAATTTCAAAATCGATGCGGATCCATCAACGAAGTTTCAGAGAAAATGAGAATGATTAAAATTTTGAAAAATAAGCCTTGTGAGAAAATGCAGCTAAGATGGCCTGTGTTTGGTCTGTAAGGAAAGAGACTAAGAAAGGCCATAAGTCTCTGTGTATAAAGTTACGCTGCAATGAAGACAAAAATGATTTCTTCTTTCCATACCCAGTGAACAGTTAAAATAATGAAAGGCATGGTGCCCACATTGCTTCATGAGCATGGATAGATCTGTAAAATAGGCAATGAGGACAATCACTGGCATGGTCGGCTTCACCTTGGACTAAGTAAAGCTGGCCTTTATTCAGCATGTTACTCCAAAGCCCTGCTTCTCCCTCACTAGCAAAAACAGAAACTAACCCCCGACAGAAACCTTGGAAGGAAGAAGCAATACCCTATCCTCACACATAGAAGGTGCCAGCATAAAAATATTGTATTCTAGGAAGAAGCTATCTGGTGGGGTGGGGGCTGGGTCTGTGTTATTCCTGTATGTGTGAATTGATGAGGTCTTAGGGTGCTGGGGGAAGTAGGGATGTCTCTTTTTGTGAACTATATTCCCTCTAATTTGGTTTATGCATCCCAAATATAGGCCTAGAACCTATATAAGTTGTACTGAGGAGCACAGAGGGGGCTTTTATAGAATGCAAGGCAATATGGCTTTCTTCTAGACCCTTTAACAGCTCCCATCCATGCCATGGACAAAGCTGTAGGTACTCTACAGAAGACCTGATGCTTTCTCCAGCATCTCAAGCCAGCTGGTCTCCACCCTCACTCCGAGCAAATCTGTTCTGTCCTGTATCTCCCTTCTCTGTTCTGGTGCCTCATACCTAGTTTCCAAGCACTCTTCCCTGCCTCTTCAGATCAATGCTCCATGTTTAGTCTCTGCGTGGCCCTCATTTCAGACTTTGACTTGGTGCCATCTACTGGATTTTCCCTGACTCCACAACCAGCCACCCACAGAGCTCCCCATACTAGCTCAGTGTCCCAAATTGTAGACGAGGTCAAAGGCCCCAGAACCCCCATCCAGGAAGGCAACTTGGATTGTCTTGACTGCACTCCCTTCAGAAGTCACTCTGACTGTGAAGGAATCCCCCCAGAAGGCGTATTCAAGATGAAATCTATCAACGTTTGGCCAAGATTCAGAACCTCCAACCCTTCCACCTGCCACTGTAAGACTGTGAGGGAAGGAGATAAAAGCCTTTTCCCCCCAACCAGGAGAAGGTACTCTCTTTGATCCTATGAGTCATGGGTCACAAATAATATGTCCCCAGGGGTCAGGCAGGCCACAGAAATGGTGAAGTGGGCCAGGAAGAAAAGCAGAGGGAACCATGACAAACTGAAGAGTATGCCAGCTACAGGAGTCCACCAGGACTGCTATAACAAAGTACCACAGCCTGGGGGCTTACGCAACAGAAATTTATTTTCTCACAGTTGTTGAGGCCATCTTCAAGGAAGTTCAAGAGCAAGGTGTGAACCCAGCTGGTCTGGGACTTCTCTCCTGGCCATATAGATGGCTATCTTCTAGTGTACCTACATGATCTACCCTGTGTCTGTCTGTGCTAATTGCCTCTTTTTACAAGGACAGCAGTCATATTGGATTACGGCCCAACCCTCATGCCCTCATTTTAACTTAGTTATCTCTTTAAAGACCCTATGTCCAAAAATGGTCACACTCTGAAGTACTAGGGGTTAGGACTTTGACATGTGAATTTTGGGGGACACAATTCAGCCCATAGCCCCACCTACATGAGGAGCCATTGCTTGACTTCTGCCGATGTCTGCTAGGAGAATAGGGGCCCAATTTTGACAGAGCATCTTATTTTTCAGAAGGAAGCAGACATCTGGAATTTCACATGAAATCCCCAATTTTTAAACATGGACAGCTAGTTTTATTTTATTTTTATTTGCCCTCACTCTTGCTGTCATCCTATAATTTTTATTTTTTTAAGTATCATGAGGGCTGTAGGTGCCCCCAGGCAGCAAGTCTGTGACCTCTTCAATTAGCATATGGTTCTCTGTGAAACCCACCACAGAGGCTGACTCCTTGAAATGCTTGAGATTAGGTGGCCCAAGCAGCAGATGCTGAAGGTAGACTGGCCGGCCTCCTGGGCCTCTTCTCCGGCAACACACTGATCTCAGCCCTGCAATGGTGGGAAGGGCCGAGGGAAGCTCAACCTCATGAAAGAATGGCCAAGCAAAGAGTGCATTTCTCTCTACAGCCTTGGCCCTGGGAGTTGGCATCCTGTCCCAGGCCTCTAACCAATCCTGCTTGGCCTTTCTAGGGCAGGAGATGGCACCAGGTGACAAGTGGCCCAAAGAGAACAGGGAAGACTGGACAACCCACTCTGTGGAGATCAGGGTATTTAAATGTTCTACTGTTTACACCATAAGCTCCACCACCCAGCATTAGGGCTAAATTGTGTCAGTGGCCCACATCAGCACCATCTATCCTGAGAGACAGAGGGATGGGGTGAGGGTTTTCTTTGTGAGGGGCATAAGGAATGCACAGCAGAGCCTAGTTAGGAAGCCCAATTCTGAGTGATCCCAGAAAAATGTTTATAACCAATCTTGTCCAGCTCTGTCCCTGAGATAAGCCTATAAATGGCACAGAAAAAAAAAAAAAACAACTAGGACATTTCAGAAAAGATCTCTGACTCCTCTAGGCTTATTTTAAACACCCATGTAGAGAAGCTGCTTCTAGGAACAGTACGGTAATGATGCAGAAGGAATGTGGGCCCTGAAGTCATATCTGACCTGTAATAGGCATAACGGAGCCAGATTCTGTAAACACCTGGTAGCTGAAGGCCAGCAGGCTCCAGGGCTGTCTGGTAGGGGCCAAGAGCTAAGAAGAATTGTAGGCAGGTTACAGCTGTCAAATAGGCGGGAGACAGGTCAAGTCCAGAGAGGCAGAAGAGAGACCAGTAAAGTGGATCTGTGTGGGCAAGGGCATGATTTAGTGCAGGGATGGCGAACAGGGTTCCACTCAGTGCCGGCTCTCAGTAGTTGCAGCTGCTGGGAGTATAGGGTTGAGAATGATCTGCAACCTCATCCAGACACTGGAGGAAAGAGTGCTGTGATTGATTAGCACTGTCTCTCCTGGGCACAAGGTGTGGGGTAGACAAGGCTATGCCATCCTGCTCCAGGAGGTCAGGTGGTACTAACCAAATACCCAGGCTTGGATGCAGGAAGTGTCAAGGGTGTTTCAGCTTCAAATGGCCAGAAGCTAGGCAAGGGTCTACATACAGCGAGGGCATACCACCCACAAAAAAGTACGTAGATAATGATAAAAAATTTATGTAACTCAAAAACTCCATATATATTTCTTTTCTAGGCAAGGACTGTGTCAGAGTGTGGGCAGACCAGAGACTGCCAATGGAGAAAATTGGTTATATCTGAAACAGGAGGTAGCCTGAGAAAGAGGGAAGTCCAGCAGCTCCTGACACCAGGAAGCCCTGGTGACTCACAGATGTGACACAGTCAGGCTGGTCGAGTGTGGAAGTTAGGCAGGGGTCTCGGGACTGCTTGGGCTGCCAAAATCTAGATCTGGGAAGCCACAACAGAAATGAAGAACTTGGTGTTATCTGCCTTGGGAGGAAAACAAAAACTTAAGAAACCTGGAGGTCAGAGCAGAGGTGGGAGGGTCTGAGGTGTTGGTTTTCAGGAGCTAACTAATAACGGGAGAGAAAACCAGAGAAGAGGTAGGTACAAGTGATGCTCCGCCCAAACAAGCAAGGTCCAGCACCCAGAAAAATAGATGAAAAAGCAGCTGCAACTCTCCTAATATATGAGAACTTGGAGAGTGATTTATTTCCCAAAGGATCCCAGGCAGCAAAAGTCTCAGACCAAGGGGTCCAGGTATGCACACATGACAGAGAAGCCAGCTGCAGCTGGTTAGGGAAAAGCTGGGTTCTAAAACCACTTCGGGACTCAGCCCAAGACAGACCAGTCCCTGGACTGCAAGCTCACTTATTTATTCAAAGAATATTTACCAAACAGCTGCACTGTGTCAGGAACTGAGAGACAACAAAACATACTCCTGGGCCCTGGAGGAGCTCAAAGTCAAGCAGAAAAAACAGGCACGAATCTTCCTAATGAATTTGCTGAGTGCTGTAGTGAAAGTAAACACAGCCTGCAGTGGGAACACAGAGGCAGCAGAAACTACAGCTCATGTGTGAAGATGGGTGTAAGTGTGTTGAAGAAAGGAGCCAAGATAACGAATACGTATACAAAGTGTCCCGTATGTGTCAGGCATTATTATAAAATGCTTTACACACATCAAGTCATTTCATTGTTGAGGGAGTAGTATTGTATTATTATCATTTTACAGATGAAGAAACTGAGGCTCAGAGATATTAAGTAACTTCCTCGAAGTCCCACAGCTAGTAAGTGACAGGGTCACAATTCAAACCTTTTTGCACTGCCTCCAGAGCCTGTGCCTTGCTGCCTCTCAAGGGAAGGTTAGAAATAGACCTAAAAGGTCACTCTCAAAAGATGGCTCAGGGACAAAATGCACCTTGGAGTTCATCTAGTTCAAGTGCCACATGGGCTGGGAACATCTGGGCTAATGACTTCAAAAATCTTGAGTTCCCAGATTGTTCTGAGCCCTCTGAAACTGCAGGAGTATCCCACTCTTCTCTATTAAGGGTTAACATCCCTAGGACAAAATTAATGGGCAGCCAGCAATGATACTAGTCAATCTGAAATAAAAAGAAATCAAGGATGAATGATGAGGAAACTGAGGGCTGTCACCTCAGTGAAAAGTCATGATCTCTTGCCCCGTTTACAGATATGACCCAGTCTGTGGTCCTGGAATCTATTAATTGAAAGAGTGGTTGGGTCCTTAGAAGGAAGGTCCTGTAACATTATAGAAAATATATCCAGTAATGATTCCTCCAGTCCTTCTCCAAAGAAACACATGGCCATTTGCCACAGATACACTGAAGAAAGGGGACTACCCAGATATTTTGAGGTCTGTCGAACACTTGACATTGATAACTGGAGACATAAAACATCATCACGACCCTCCTGTTAGAGTGAGGGCATATGGGAACCAGGTAATAAATGGAGGTGAGCTGCCCTAAGTCTGGCTCACAGTGGGCCCACTGGATCCATAGACCAATCCTATAGTCATGCTCACAGTCCTCAAATGTATAACTGGATATACATACGCCTACATTGATTGCTTGGATTGTGGGTAAAGTCAAGTGGAGGCCTCTGAAAAGGCACCCCCACACACATCCTATTCAAAATAGTTATTCAAAAGCAATGTAGCTTCCTGGGGAAATGGCAGAAATTAGTGCTACCCTTAAAAACCTAAAGTCTATAGGGTTGGTGAACCCCACCTTATTTCAATTCACCAATCTGACCCCTTCAAAAACAAGACAGATCCTGAAGGATAGCAGTGGATGACTGCTACCCAAGCAAGCTCAAATCCAAATGCAGCTGCTGTGCCAGATGTGGTATCTTTGCTAAAGCAGATTAACCTGGCCTTGGATACATGGAATGCAGCCACTGATCTGGTGAAGGCATTGTCTTCCATTTCTATCAGAAAAGAGGATCAGAAATGCCCAACACTGTATATTTACCCTCTTCACTGAGGGATATGTTAACTCTCCCATCCTCTGTCATAATATGGTCCAAAAAAAAACTGGACTGTCTGGACATCTTTGGACAGAATGTCATACTGGTCCAATACATGGATGACTTTACGCTAATTCAATTGGATAAACAAGGTAGTGGCTAGTACATTGCAGGCCTAGGTGTAAGCCACATGCAACTCTTGAAGAATAGGAGATAATAATCTATGAATATCTATAAGCCTGATAAAGATTCAGGAACCCATCACATCAGTAAAAATTTTAGGTGTTCAGTGGTCCAAGGAATGCTACAGCATCCCTTCCAAAATAAATAATAAATTATTGCATTTTGCACATTCTTCTAACAAAGAAGGCCAGAAACGCCTTGTTCCAGTGATGGATACCAAAGACACATTCAACTCTCTCCTCACACATAAGGGTCAGTAGAGTAGACAATGCAAATATTCTTAAAAGCACTCCCACTCAGAAAGGGCTAGCAGTAATCTGACTATAAACAGAAGGACTGCAAGCCACCTCATCCAAATGTATCTG
Source organism: Homo sapiens (assembly GCF_000001405.40). Taxonomy (NCBI): domain Eukaryota; kingdom Metazoa; phylum Chordata; class Mammalia; order Primates; family Hominidae; genus Homo; species Homo sapiens. Next base: position 112,005,331 of record NC_000006.12, on the reverse strand, counting down.
TAACTCACTTCCCCCTACCAGGATCCCAAAAGGCTTCTGCTGCTCCAACACCACCCAACACAAGAGGAAGTTAGAGTGCACATTTTTCTTTAAAAGTCTGTCCAAGTGAACAAACACATTGCTAGGGCCCCTCCCAGGTCCTTGGAAGGGGACTGTACAAGTGAAGGGGCCTGGGGATTAAGCATTGTTAGTTTCTAGGTCCGTTCACTCATGGCTGGAAGCCAGGAGAATGAGCATGGAAGTGGGACTGGAGGAGGGTGGTGTCAGGCCAAGGCTGGAGCTGGACAAGAGTGCTTAAGGTTTAATGCACTATCCAGAACGTCTTTTCTATTCCTCTATAAATGTTTTCACCCTATGACAATTGCCAAGGGCTTTTTGTTTGTTTATTTTATCAAACTAGGTTCCATCAAATACTCTTGTAATTAGGAACAGTTGGTGAAGTGCAGGCGCTGGGAGAGGAGCCGACTCTCCATCCTCATCCAAAATGAGAGTCATGGAGACCAAGAGTTTGGCTCCTTAGCTGCTGCTCTGGGTGGGAATTAGAAATATCTGGACATTCTTGCCATGGCCTAAAATTCAAGAGCTCTAGACCAAGGCATGGGAGCTTGCTGCTTCAGCTTTCCTCATCTGCAAATCGATGATAATTACTAGTTAGTGACTGCTAGATGAATGGCACTATTGAACTGCAAAATATTAGTATTATTGCTTTTCCTCTTTGATCTCATGGGGCAAGATAAATTTATGACATCATAATTGTTTCTATGGCAGCAAATCATATTGTCCCAAACAGGGGACTTCATGACTTCATGGCTGGATTGAGAAAAAGAAGAAATCAGATTGGGAGTGAGAATTTTGCTCAAACATAAATATCTTCAATGCTGCACGGGGAATAGAGCAAATTACAGACTGGCAAAATTGCTTTTGCTTTAAATGTTCTTCTCACAAGTTTATCCCAGTGCAAAAGCCCCTTTCCAGGCATGTAATTTGTGTAATGATGCCTCCTTGCTTGAATTCACAGAAGGCTAATGGTGAAGCTCATCTATTTCAGGGAACACTTCAGCAATGTTAATACTAATTGTTTTGCAGCAAATATCTGGGTTTCTGCTGTAAGCAGTTTTGTTTGGCTTTTCTATTTGTTTGTGTGTGTTTTTACTCCCTCAATGTTTTATCTCTACAAATATATTTGAAATAAACCAATTTCCAGAAAAAAATTCAGTTTTTATCATCTGAAAATCTGTCAAGAACTCTCTCTCCTCGCTAGAAGCATCTGCTTTGTCTCACTTAGGTTCCTATTGACTTTATTTTCACATTTCTGGAGTCTATTGTTAGTTTCTGTTTATTGCCTGAAAAGAGCACAAAATGCCTAACTTTGAAGCCATTTAAATTCACCTCAGTTTCATTTAACCATACACCACAAACAATGACTTGGGATTTTAAACTCTAGAGATCTCTCTCCTCCTCCTCCTGTGCTCTCTCTCTCTCTCTCTCTCTCTCACCTCCCTCCCTGTTTTTCTCCCCACTCCCTCTACCTTCTTCCCTTCTCTTTCTCTCTCTCCTTTCTCTTCCCTCTCTTCTCTCCCTCTCTCTTTCCTTTTCTTTATATAAAAACATTTCCAGTACCTTCTACCAGTGATCTCCTCCTCTCATCCTTTTAACCCTAAAATTTCCAGAACCTGCAAGTTCCTGCTGATTCATAAACTTCTTGCCAAGGACCTCACCCAGGAGCACCACATGGCATCAGTTTTCCACGCACCCTGGAAATTCACTGCTTCTTATCCAGGCCTCTCAGTGACCCTTCTCTGCTTTTACTCTGAAAACTCCATCTGTTGAATTTCTCACTATGACTCCATCAGTAAGTGCAATGAGATGGTCAGTTTTATGTGTCAGCTTGGGTAGACCATAGTACCCAGTTATTTAATCAAACATTAATCTAGGTGTTGCTGGGAAGGTATTTTGTAGATGTGGTTAACATCTACAGTCAGTTGACTTGGAAGTAAATGAAATGGCCTTTAATAATGTAGGTGGGTCTCATCCAATCATTTGAAGGCCTAAAAAGCAAAAACTGAGGTTTCCCAAAGAAGAAATTCTGCCCTAATACTGACACATCAACTCCCACTTGAGTTTCCAGCTTACCACCTGCCCCACAGATTTAGCACTTGCCACATCCCCATAATCACATTAGCAAATTCATTAAAATAAGTGTGTGTGTGTGCGCGCGCACTTGTGTGTGTGCACGCGCACGTGTGTATGTGTGTCTCAGAAGAACCCTGACTGGCACACACATAACAACTAAACTACGTGTATTTGTTACAATGATGTGCTGAACACTATGGCATGGGAAGTATAAAGAATGCATAAGATGTCCATTTCCCCTAAAGAGCTTACAACTCATGGGAGAACCAAGATTAACTGTGCCTGAAACAACAACAACTTGTTAAAAATTATAAACATAGGGTTTAGATGTTTTGTGTAGACACCCAGGAGCTCAGCAGAAAGAAAGTCCAGTGAAAGCTGGAGGAGTCAGGGACCATTTCATGGAAAAAGTGGGTGTTGAGCTGACATGCCCTTGCTTCACCCTACGGTCAATTTTACTTCCTAGGAGAGGCCCTCATTTCAGAACCCTGGGATCCTCCTCTCTCCAGCTTCTTCTCCATGCTCCTACACTCCACCAACAGAACAATCTCTTATGACACCAGTTTCATGCAAGTTTAGATTGAGGAGTGATATGGTTTGGATTCATGTCCTGGCCCAAATCTCATGTCAAATTGGAGGAGGGGACTGGTGCGAGGTGATTAGACCATGGGGGCAGATTTCCCCCTTGCTGTTCCCATGATAGTGAGTGAGTTCTCATGAGATCTGATTGCTTAAAAGTGTGTGGCACCTCTCCACCTCTGCCATGGAAGACATGCTGGCTTCCCCTTTGCCTTCTGCCATGATTGTAAGTTTCCTGAGACCTCCTACCCATGCTTCCTGTACAGCCTGTGGAACTGTGAGTCAATTAAACCTCTTTTCTTCATAAATTACCCAGTCTCAGGAAGTTCTTTATAGCAGTGTGAGAATGGACTACTATAAGACGTCAAGAAATCTGCTTATCTGGATCTGTCACTAACTTGCCCTGGGTGCTTGGGTAAGGTACTTGAACTTCAGTCAACCTCCAAGATCTCTAGATCTCTAAATTCTAGGATTTCTTTCTACCACATCAAGCCTACACAATCCACCCAGTGTTTGTTGGGACTCTCCATAGTCCATTCTCGGTCTGCCTCTCCAAAACCTTGCTTTCCAACCTCTCCAGATGCTCCCTGCCCTGGCCAGTCTGGTCACCTCACTGTCTCAGAGCCAGACTGTACTGATTCCCACCCTTGTGCCTTTGTCTACATTAGTTCATTGTCATGCTGCTGATAATGACATACCCAAGACTGGGTAATTATTACAGGAAAACGGGTTTATTGGACTTACAGTTCCACATGGCTGGGGAAGCCTCACAATCATGGTGGAAGGGAAGGAGGAGCAAGTTACATCTTACATGGATGGCAGCAGGCAAAGAGAGAGCATGTGCAGGGGAACTCCCACTTATAAAATCATCAGATCTCATGAGACTTATTCACTATCACAAGAACAGCAGAGGAAAGCCCTGCCCCCATGATTCAATTACCTTCCACTGGGTCCCTCCCGCAACACATGGGAATTCAAGATGGGATTTGGGTGGGGACACAGCCAAACTATATTACATGGCCTTTCTTGCCTGGTGCCTTCTGAACTGTGCAATGCCTGTGCAAATCCCCATATCCCCGCTATGCCAGCTCAACACTCACTTTTTCCATGAAATGGTCCCTGACTCCTCCAACTTTCACTGGCCTTTCTTTCTGCTGAGCTCCTGGGTGTCTACACAAAACATCTAAACCCCATGTTTATAATTTTTAACAAGTTGTTTTTGTTTCAGGCACAGTTAATCTTGGTTCTCCCATGAGTTGTAAGTTCTTTGGGGGAAATGGACATCTTATGCATTCTTTATACTTCCCATGGCATAGTGCTAACATAAATCCAACAATTTTATCTCTACCGCACACTTTCTCATGCCTCTGCAGCATTTGGCAGTGCCAAGAACTCCTTCCTGAACTGCTGTCCATGTCTTCTCCGACACTCTCTCCTTCCTTCCCTCTTGACACTCCTTCTCTGGATCTCCCTCATCTGCCACATCAGTGTAGGCGTTTCACAAGGAATGTCTTCTCTTCCCTTATTAGAAACATCCTGGCAATCATCATTGATCTGTTGCCCTTAACTCTCACCTTGGTTGGGGAGAAAATTGTTTCGTACAGGTCTGCCTGTGGTCATGATTTCCAGGCATGTATGTTAACTCCTTACTGGAGCTGTGAACTTTCCACCTGGATATCCCACCAGCACCTCTAACTCACTGGGACTGAAATTAAACACATCCCTTTTCTTCCCAAATCTGATTATCTCCTCCTCCCTATTTCTGACTTGGAGATCAGATACTTGGGTCCAGCGTCTCAGCATTTGTTTGTTACCATTTCTTCTTCTTCACTCTCCATGTTCAACCAGATGCTAAGCTCTGTTCATTCTCCCTCACCAATATCTCCTCCACCTCCCTGTGCCTGCATTTCCACTGCTACTTCTGCTGCCCACATTTAGGCTGCAATGTTCTGTAGCCTAGCTGATGATCCTCTTTTTATTTCCCCTCTGCAACCCATTTAGAGGCTATGACTAGATTAACATTCCTGAAACACAGCTCTGATGCATTATTTATCTGATCAATATTTTTAAATCTCTTCCCAGTGCCTTCAACATGAAACTAAAAGTCCCTGACCTCTCTCTTCCACCTTGCTTCCCATTCTTCTCCCTCATGCACTCTAGGACCCATCTGAACTCAGCTCTGACTCTTCCCCTCACCAGGCCTGGTTGTCTTGCTTCTGGGGTGTTCTGTTCATGCCATTCCCCCTATCCGAAAGGCCTTCCTCCCCTGGGATCTGCTTGTCCAAATACCACCTGATTTTCAAGGCCCATCTCAAATATTCCCTGTTCCCTGAAGTCTTCTCTAATCCAAGTGAAAGTATTTTTCCCTCTTTTACATTCTCATAAACCCTAACTTTAGACTAATTATTTTCTGCCTTAAATTATAATTCCTGAACATGGTTTTCTTCTCAGCCTAGATTACAAACTCCCTGAGGGAAAAATAGGAAACTTTATACCACACCTTCCCTAGGTATTTAGCATTGTGTTTTGCAATAAATACATATTTCCTTAATTAATACATTCTGAAGGAAGAACCCGTAGGACTTGGTGTTTACTGGGGAAAAAAACATAAATAGAGGAATAAAAAGAACTTGAAAGTTTTGAAGTTTAGCTGAGCAGAAGGGAAATCATGACACTGGTAGGGATAGTGACTCCGATGGGTAAAGCAATTTGGGAGTTTAGGTGACAGTAAGGCATCTCAAAGGAAACGGCCACCAGGCAGCTAGAAATATGAGACTAGCAGGGAGCATAGATGTGAGACATACAGCTCTGAGAATCCATATGATCCCCAATGAATAAAGTGGAGAAAGAGAAAAGTATGTGTTAAGAACCTGAGCCTTGAAAAATAAGAGTATGGAAAACAAAGAAACCACAACATAAGAGCTAGAGAAAAGAACTAAGATTGTGAAGAGGACAGCATTTCCAGAAAGAGATGTCAACAATGTTAAATATAGACACTCACTGAACTGATGTTTACTGAGCACCTACTAGGTGCCTGGTTCTTTTGGATGTACTGGAAATAGAATGGCCAGGAAAGTCCTCACCATGGAGTTGACATTGAAGAAGAATGCTGGACACGACGGAGCAGGCCATGCAAATATCTGGAGAACATGTGTTCCAGGCAAGGGACAGCATGTTAGCTTCCTATGGTTTCCATGGCTGGATATAGTGTGAATCTCTGGCTTTTGATGGTCAACTCTAAGGGCGGCTCCTGCAGTGCTCTCTGTAACTTATTGGCTTTCACACATGGATGAGGGATTAGGTCTTTGTGATTTTCTATGCTCAGGGGCCCTATATGGGAACCACGTTGGTATTTACGGGTTTTTTTTTTTAATGGTGAGTTTATGGCTGGATCCTTGAGGACTACTTTGGACACTGTCTGATTCTTCTCTGCTTCTTCAGCACTGATTGTAGTAAACGGTGCTCAATATGTGTTCAACCATTGTGGACCATTTTTAAATGGACTATCAAAGGGAGACAAAACTGGACACTAAAGTGGAAAGGGCCTATTTTAAACATTAATAACAATTGCAATAGAGAAAAGAGTCCAGTGTGAACTGAACTCATCCTTGATTTGCAGATGTGGCTGGATATTTCAAAATGGGATTGAGGGAGTAGAGGCTCAGTAGAGTCAGAGAAGTGAAAAATTACAAAAAGTGAGAAGGAGGTGTTGATCCACGTGAAACCCACCTGGATTTGCTAATTGGCACTTATTGAAATTAGATTCCTACCCTACTACAGAGATTGGGTGACTGGGACCCTGTCTTTAGGTGTTGGCAGGAACAAACAGTAAATTCTTTTAGTAGCCTTGAGTTCTCTCAGGCAGGTGCTTTATGGGGGCTAGGGTCATCTGAGGGGTGCAGCTTTGAGTTTTTTGATACTTTGTTAGTGTTTGTTCAAGTGTTTATAGATCAAGGTCGAGCCCCAGTAGAGAAGAGGGCTCAGGGGAGTCTGCTAGTTTGGTCAAGAAGAGAATCTTTGTGGGGACAATGGTTGTTGCTAAAAGAAACTAGGACAAGTCTAATAGAAATTGTATAAAGGGTATTCACATGTAATATACTTCTTGCTTCTGATGTGTACATTTTCATAACTCTGAAAATGTCTCTGTAAGTTTGTGTATTGATAGGGCACGTGGATTAGGCCCTGAGAGTTAAGGCCCTTTAAGCAAATGCTTGGGTCCTTGATCTAATACTACTGGGAGGAGGAAGCACAGGTGAAATTGAGAAAGCCCCAAGCACCATTATGTGCTCATAGCTTAAAACACAACAGCAAAACATGGAGCATTTCTATGTTGAAGCTTGGTTAAAAGGCAACGGCAGGCCAAACCCAGTTATTACAGCAAATATGTACTGCAAATCTATCTGCCTTCAATTGGTTGAAGTTACAGGAAAATATATTCCCTCATTCCCTAACCCCCCAAACCCCTTGCAAAACACATCCCACAAATTCCCATCCCCAACAGCAAAGTCATGGGCCATGAACTGCGATGTTAGCCTTTCTCTAAAGAATCTGCTCCTGGCTCCTGACAGAGTTTGGAAGTCATCCTCTGGCCCCATTCTTCGCTGGGAATGAGCGCCATCAGCCTGTGCACACACTTGGCCTGCACATCACCCTGGAGACTCAGAACCTGGCTTCAGAAGAGTGGGAGGGGCAGAAGACGGAAGCAGAAAGCAGGGGCGAGGGCAAGAACCCCCTGGAGCTGATTGCTGCTCTGTGAACGCACCAAGGTCAGGGGAAGGAAATCTTCAATAGTCGACAGCCTCAGGTAGAAATGGAGAGCTGGCCACCTCTAGGGAGCGGCTGTCAGTGAAGAAGGGTGAGCGGGAACCCCTGACCTCCTCACAGCGCCCGGAGACATTGCTCTTCTCTCCTACTCTCCTGTCCGCTATTTCAACCACACACACACACACACACACACACCCTGCAGTAAAAGAGTTGATGCTTTCCTATGGGAACTCTCTGGTTGAAATCCTAAAGGCAAGTGAAAGGGCTTTTTAAAACCAATCCCAATGATCCGTTTGAGGGAAAAGAAATAAGGCAATGTTTGGAATAGCATCTCCAGCACTGATGGGAGTAAGTGGTACCAATGAAGTGAAATCCTCAGCTGTCAGTCCTGGGCTTCTCTACCAGGGGAAACAATGAGAAATGTTTTTTGTTACCTCGCCTTTGTTCGTTGGAAATTTGATCAGAATTCCCATGTCTGCTATTTTCCTTCTGTACGCTTAACCAAATGCAAAGTCTCAGGCTCACGCTAGAGGTCGCTGTTGATCACATCCGAACCTCACCTCCCAACGCAGGCAGGAGAGGCAGGCTCACCGCCGCACGTCTTCACTGCAGTGGGAACAGCCTGCAGGCTTTGGTGGCAGGAAGATCAGTTTGGCCACACCCGGTTCAGGTACAGCGCATCGGCCTGCGAGGACGTTGCTTTTTATTTCACAGACAAAAGTATAAAACGAGGATAAAGCAGATAATTAAAGGTGCTTCAAATTAATTTGAATTTTTTTAAGTACTGCATAATTTATGACGTTTCAACACTTCCCTTCCCCTCCCTGTCTGACCCCCCAACCATATCACTTCTTCCCCCACTTCCATTAAGCAGTTTGAGGAGTGTACAATATGAAGGACTTGAATAAAAGCCCAGGCTTAAATATGGACCATACCTGCAGTTAGCCGCTATCACTGACACCACTGGGCTTGTATCCTTCCCAGCTGGTTCTACGCCCAGAATATAAAACAGCTAAGAAATAAAATGACAAGACAACAGGGCCGATAACATTGTAAGCAATTACAGCCTCTCTTGATGCTGAGAATCCTAAAGACGCCACCCAAAAAGCAGTATTCTAATCGAAGGCCATTATTAATGAACCAGATCTCTGCTTGGCTGACTCCTATTCTTCCTCTCCTAATTATATTCATCTGCTCCTTCTTTGGTCCTAACTTTGGAAATTGCTTTCAGCACAGACCAATCCCAAAGGCGAGCTGGAAGCCAGAGCTGAAATAAAAGTCGGCGGTATTATCATTTTGAGGCAAGTCACGAAGTATTTATTGTTTGCTGCATTTCCACTTCTGCCCTTGACTCTAGACCCAAAGTAGAATTGCAGTGGTGATGCAGTGACATCATACACGCAGACACCGGTGCAAAGCAGTGTCTCATTCAACATTAAGATTGTGGCACTGACGGCAAGGCTTAGAAAAATTCCCAAAAGATAGGGTCCAGAGCACTGGTGTCAACTAAAAAAGGTTTATTGGTAAAGAGTGTGGCTTTGACAACCCCCGACATGGGAAGAGAGCAGAGGCTGCAACAGCCTAGCAGGGGCCAGGATGCAGCCACGACCGTGGCTTCTGTGAGGAGGCTTATTACATGAAAGCAGCCGAGAACTTATTACGAGAGGCAGCCTACACTTGGGTCCCAGGCGGAGGTGCTGTCACTGAGTAGGATGAGAGGAAAGGAACCTCTAACAGTGTTATAGCAGGAGGGACATGGCATAGGTGTAGTTTAGAGGGAAGGAATCTGACTGTACATATTTATTTATTTATTTATTTAGAAGGAGTCTCTCTCTCTTGCCCAGGGTGGAGGGCAGTGGTGCGATCTCAGCTCACTGCAACCTTTGCCTCCCAGGTGCAAACTTTGCCTCCCAGATTCAACCTGGGAGGTACAACCTCAGCCTCCCAAGTAGCTGGGATTACAGGCACCCACCACCGTGCCTGGCCTAACTTTTGTATTTTTAATAGAGGGGTGTTTCACCATGTTGCCCAGGCTGGTCTTGAATTGCCGACCTCAGGTGATCCACCTGCCCCAGCCTCCCAAAGTGCTGGGATTACCGGCGTGACCCACTGTGCCCAGCCCACCTTTTTAATATTGTGGTAAAATATACTGCTATGTTCTGAATGTTTGTGCTTCCCCCAGATTCATATGTTGAAACCTGATCCTCCAATGTGATGGCATTAATTTGGGGAGGTGACTCAGTCATGAGGGCAGAGCCTTCATGAATGGGATTAGTGCCCATATAAAAGAAGCCAGAGGGAGCTTGTTGTCCTTCTGCCATGTGAGGACACATAAAAGGCATTGTTTATGAGGAATAGGCCCTCATCAGACACCAGATCTGTAGGTGCCTTGATCCTGGACTTCCCAGCCCCTAGAACTGAGGCTGTTCTGAGAGCAATAAATTTCTATCATTTATAAAATGCCCATTCTAAGGTATTTTGTTATAGCAGCCCAAACTAAGACATATATATATATATATACACACACACATATATATATTATAAAATTTACTATTTTCATCATTTTTAAGTGTACAATTCAGTGGCATTAAGTAGATTCACAATGTTGTGCAACCATCACCACCACCCATCTTCAGAACTTTTTTATTATCCCAGACTGGAACTCTGTAGCCGTTAAGCACTAATTCCCCATTTTCCCCTCTTCTCACTTCTTGGCAACCACCAGTCTGCTTTCTGTCTCTGTGAGTTTGACTATTCTACGTACCTCATAAAAGCGGAGTCATACAATATTTGTCCTTCGGTGTCTGATTTATTTCACTTAGCATCATGTTTTCAAGGTTCATTCATGTTGTGGCATGTCAGAACTTCATTCCTTCTTAAGGCTGAGTGATAGCCCATTGTCTGTATATACTACATTTTGTTTATCCATTCATCTGTCAGTGGCCATTTAGGTTGTTTCCACGTTTTGCATAGTGTGAATAATGCTGCTGTACATACTGGTGTGCAAGTATTTGAGTTCCCGATTTCAGTTCTTTGGGGTATATGCCTAGGAGTGGAATTGCTGGATCGATAGGGTAATTCTGTGTTTCACTTGTTGAGGAACTACCCAACTGTCTTCCACAGTAGCCACATCATTTTACGTTCCCATCAGCAAAGCACAAACGTCCCAATTTCTCCACGTCCTTGACCACACTTGTTATTCTCCTTTTGTGTGTGTGTGATAATAGCATTTTAATGGATATGATATGGCATCTCATTGTGGGTTTGATTTGCATTTCCCTAATGACTAGAGATATTGAACATCTTTTCATGTGCTTGTTGGCTATTTGCATATTTTCTTTGGAGAAAATACCCATTCAAGTCCTTTGACCATTTTGAATAGCCATAACACTTTTAAACAGAATGCTTCTGTCCTGACTCAGCCACTTCCTTGCTGTGTGACCCTAAGCTAGTTACATAATTTCTCTGTGCCTCAACTCCTTCATCCCCAAGATAGAAATAGTAGTATCTATCTCATAGGATTGTATGAGGATTAAATGAGTTTGTATCTGTAAATTATATTGAATAGTGCAATAGTAGACACTCAACTAATGTTAGATTTATCTCTACATAAGGTGGCTTAAGAGGGGAGAGAATGGGTGTAAGGGAGCAGTGAGGAGACAGTTTCCTGCCACCAGTATTGATGGGAATGGCCTCGGAGATCTTCTGGACCAGAGCCTTTATATTACAGGAAAGGAAAGAGATAAAAAGATAACTCCTATGCCCAGTATCAAGAGGGACCCTTAACACCACCTCTCCAATGTCCAATACTCTTTTCACCACACTTAGATCTTTCTCTCCTCTAACTTCTGCTTAAGACTGAAACCTCGTGTTAATGTCCTCATGGGATATGACTTGAACATCTTCAAAACCACCTTGACAACCTGTATTGGCATCACAAGCTTGTATCAATGGGCTTGCAAAAAGTTGTGATTTCTGAGGATCAGAGTGGTAGCTGGTGTGAGCAAGAGGCAGTGAGTGTTGCCTCCAAAGTGTCCTTTGGGAGAAAACAAGCCCCAGTCTCTCCTCAGTGTTCAGCCTCTCTAACTTTGCAGTCAGTGTGACAGGTTCTTAATGACCTGCTCCCACCTTCCCCTGTTACCTCCTACATACGCGGGAGAAACCAATTAGAGTAGTGACTTGGGACTACGAGACCATCTGTCTCAGAGAGACCACTCTTAGGACCCCCACAAAGCACCCCAGTGTGCAGACAGCCTCACTCACTTCAGACGATGCTCTTAACTGAACAGAACCCTGCTTATCTTTGTGCAACTCCAATTATTCTTGCCTGCCAGCAGGTGTAATAATGCTAACTGCCTCTCAGCCCCCACGTGGCAGGTGCCACAGAAATAAGTGGATAAATGGACAGAAAATGAACCGAAGCTACACAGTCTGCCAAAGGCTTTCACAGCCCCTTGGAAACAGAACACCTGGCTTCACTGTCTTGTGAATCAATATGGCCTTTTCTTATAGTACCTAAAGCTGAAATTCATCTCCAATTCCTTAAACTGTCCTTCTCCAGGAGCAGAATTCATTTACCATCTGCTTTACAAGAATCTGGACACTCTATGTTTCTATCTTATTATAGATTCAGCTAATATGATTTCTCCCATCCACTATCCCTAAACAACACAACATGTGCTTTGTCTTTGACTAAGCCCCACAGCCTTCTCTCCATACAGGGTGCTTTCTGATGATTCACATCAAATTTCCTGTTTGGTTTCCTTTATGGGTGCATGGCTCCTAATGTTTTTACCCATCTTCTCATGGCGCATCCGGCCCAGGAAGCTTTACTGCGCTTGTTAGTTTAGCAGCTGTGCTTCTCCACTGAGGCTACCCCAGGTGGGAGGCAGCTGGAGAAGGACAGGATAAGAAATTGGAGATGAACTTCATTGTTGTTGTTGTTATTGTTGCTCATGCTGTTGTTTTAGAGACAAGGTCTCACTCTCTCGCCTAGGCTGGAGTGCAGTGGTGTGACCATAGCTCACTCCAGCCTCAAACTCCTGGCCTCAAGGGATCTTCCTACCTCAGTCTGCTGAGAAGCTGGGACTACAGGTGCACACCAACACACCCAGCCAATTTCGTTTTAACTTTTTGTAGAGACAGAGTCTCACTATATTGCCCATGCTGGTCTCAAACTCCTGGCTTCAAATGATCCTCCTGCCTTCCAAAGTGCTAGGATCACAGGCATGAGCCACCACACCCAGCCAACAATGTTTGGATTATTTTTTTCTTCCCTATACTTTCCCCATTTTTTTTCTCAGACTAATAATAGTGAGTTTCTATGACTTCCAGAGTCCTAGATACATCTTCTGTGATCGCATATCCAATGAGCACAAGAAAAATGAACAAGCTCCATCACCAATGCCTCCCCTGGACAATGGGATAAGGCCAAAGAAACCACAGCACAAAGGGTGGCCCCCAAGTCTTCCATTTTAAAAAAAGAAGTTAGAGGTTTTGTGTTTGCTCAAAGCAACTAGAAAGAATGATGGACCCCACACACAGAGATAGCTGTGCTATAGACAAGTGTTTTTCTTTTTTTTTTTTATTTCACTTTAAAAATTTATTTTCATACCAAAAAAATCATTCAAAGACAGTATTAAAAAGGATGTTTTTCAAACCGTGCTCCCCAGAAATGCCTTGGGAGAGAGAAAAGTAGAAAACAAGACAGAAGCAGGCTCTGGGGCTTCCTCCCATGATTCAAGCAGAGCAACCTGAGCTTAGCCGTTGTACACAAGCTTTTTTGGAAAAAGGGCTTCTGTGGCCCCAGACATACAAAACCACTAGTGTACTGTAAAGGTCGCTGTCCTGGGAGGCAGGGTCCCGGTCCCATCTTACCTCTATAGCCTTTGGCAAGACACTAAGCTTCTCAGGGTCTCCCTGCCACGTCTGAAAGGGTGAGGTGTGGACTAAGAGATGGCCAGGATTCTCCAGCTTTATGATCTTCTCTTCAACGTTATTTGTAGCCTTCAGATGACTGTGTCAGTTCCAAGTTGGAAAGACTCGGGACTGAATTCTAGTTCAGCCACTCTTCAGCTCTGTTACCTAGGGTCGGGGGAGGTCCCTGTAGTCTGAATGACCTTGTATGACAGATGCATCTGAATGTGTGCTCCCAGCTATGGAATCCAGGAGTGGCCAATCCAGAGATTTATTCCTTGTCTATGAGTAACATCTGAGCTCCCAGCCCATCCCGTGGGACACGGGCCATACAGAGGATTGAGGCCCGGAGCCTTAATGGACATTGCGAGGTGGAGGTCATTAAGGGGAGGGTGTTAGTGAAAATGCTGTATAAACTGCATGATGTTTGCAAGCAGCTTTGGTTCTCCTACCCATCCTGCTGCCACCAGACCATACAGATATCTTGTCCAGCCCACTGTCATTGACTCTCTCCCCTGCATGTGATCCCCTAATAAAACCCCAAGTCTCGTTTTCTGGCTCTGGGTCTCTTCTTCAGCCTCTTGAACCTAATGCCTTCCCTACAGAGGTTAATAGGCATTCGTCAAAACAGCCTCCTCCTCCCTGAAGTTCAGTTCACCCTCACCTGTAATCACTAATACTATCAATGACCTTGAAAGATTGTTGTGAGGATTAAAAATAACATATAAAACTTTTCTTGGCCCAAATTAGTTATTCAATAAAGGGTAACTATGACCTACCATGATTTTTATGCATGCAGCCTTTAACTCAACCAACCCAGTGCTAGGACTTTAACTTATGGGTATATGTCTAAAAGTTCACCAAGTTGTTCATTTGAGGATATTCATAGCAATAAAATGTGTAATACCAAAAAATAAATAAGTAGGATGTGTCCATCAATCAGACGGCAAATAAACAAATTATGCAAATATACCTATTTGTATATTTGCATTTTATAACCATTGACAGGTTTTTAAAAATTGATTTATCAAAATTGAGATTGTAGCCTATCCTTTTATTTGTTTAACCTCTCCATACTTCTCTGTATTAAAGGTGAGTTCAAAAAATGCTATTCTTCATCCAAGAATTTTATATTGTGTATCTATTGGTTAAAATAAGTAAACATTGATGATGATGAGGCTGATGATGAAGGTGGCGATGGGTCACATTCAGAGGATACAGGAATCCTGGGATGTCTTTTGGGGAAAAATGACCAATAAGGATGAGGCTCTGCAGATGGATTTTCTCTGGCCAGTCCTTTTTCCTGACCACATCCGCTCCACTTGATGAATGACTTGGTCCTTCTTGAGATCTTCAATAAAAATAGCTCTCTGACCCTTGTTTTTGTTTTTCTCCATTTGACAGCAGAGAACTAGGAGAAAGGAGAGTTTGCTATTCTCACCATATCTCAAAACAGTTAACTGAAAGCTCAGCTGGACGTCACTAGGGTTTAGTCTCAAGACATAAGCCTGACTTCTCAGTTTTCAGTGTGGGTTTCTCAGCAGTTGGGTTTGAGAGTGGTAAGACTCTAGAATCCCCAACCAGATGATCTGTCCCGCCTAACAGAAAAAGGTGATGCTGCCCTTATATATAAAGCTCAGATCTTTGAGGTGTCTGTTTTGTTCAGAATATTTCTTTTCTAACCACCTTTAAAATGAAATATGTATTCTTCAGACATACAGGCCAGTGCTAACCAAATATTTTCATCATACAGATTAAAACCTCTAGAATATTGAGCCAACACTAGTCCCAAAATGCAGGATTTCTGGTCTAGGAAACAAATTTATGAGTAGGTCCTCATATTGTTTGGTCCCCTTCTCACCTGTGAACACCCGGCACATACACACATTGAATGTCATACTATTTCCTCTGGTTTCAGGGCCCCATTACAACATCCTGTCACACCTGATTTCTTCTGAAGTGTGTCAAGCTCTGCATAACTTCTCCCTCTTCCCCCAATACCCCATACCTCTCAAAGCCTCCTACCCTTACACAAACTCGAATTTCTCCCTCCTCATATAAATGTCAGAAGGCAAGTAAGCTGACTAGCTCATTTCATTTACAGTGTGACTGACCTATGGCCTGATACTTTTCTCAAGGGAAGTGAAGGTTTTCACAGGGGCATTTCATACAAATCTTTACCCTGCTGAGATTACAAATCCTCTGTGTTTCCTTTCCTCTTGCCTAACCCAGCAGAGAATTAGATGTTAGCCCAAAATCTGTTGTAGGAGGGGTCCTGAAGGGGTCCTAGGATCTCAGTTTATGGAGAAGGCAGCCTCTTAACCCTAGCCTGTTCTGGGATCTCAACTCCTTTCTACTTTAAGTATCACGTGTTCTTTAGTCCCTTTATGCCTTCATTTCCCCATAGCCCAGAGCCCATAGGTTCTTATCCTCTCTCATTCATTTCCATTCAAGCATGCATTCACAGGCATTCTCCTGCTTGGTATTAACCCACTTGCCATACTTTCTCTTTCTAGTGGCTGCTTGGTTATCTGGGCTGATAACTGAAGGACTCATTTTTTATGACCATGGGCCTTTCTGATGCCAATCTTTTATGTATAACCATGCATCCCTGGGTTTGGGGAATACAGTATAGAGAAAAGTAACTAGTAAGTAAGCTAAGCGCACCATTCATGAAATCATCACTGCTGCCTGTGCAAGAGTTCCTGACATGTCCTGGGTGTACTCTGGGCAGCCAACACTTTCCTCCTGCCTCTGCCACTCTCTACCTTGAAGAGTCTTCCTGCAAGGACCTCTGCCTCCTGGCTGTCCTGCCGCTCCACTAGTTACTTTGTTGTGTTTCTATGGATCACAGTCTAGAAGTGGAGTCCTTCTTCCACTAGTGCTTAAAGGACTTTATTATTCCAAAGTGTGAGACAGTTGGGCCCAGTCAGTGGCTTGGAGCTGCCAATGGAACCACTTTTTCATTTGAGTAAAATTTTTATCTTTTTAGTTTCCCTTACCATTGGAACATAGCACATGTCCTCCAAACTAGGAGATATTGTGGAATGCTGGCTGTGCAAACTATCACCAAAGCAACCTGTTGATAAGTCAAAGCTAAGTTTATTGCCTACGGGAGTAAAGAAAAATACTGCTCCTCAGAGTCTTGGAAGCAACTTGAAAGGAGAGGGCTGAGAAGGCATGTTTATTAAGATTGTAAGATCTGGTTTTAGGTAGGTCTTTCAATGCGGGCGTATGGTTAGGTTTGAGCAAGGATCATGATATTATAATTTAGGATTGCTGGAAAAAAAAACAAGGCAGAATTTTGAGGCAAGAGGTTTCAAGAGTCTTAGGGTGTAAAATGTCATTTGATGTTTTATCTTAAAGAGTAGATAGGTCTTTCAGGTAGTCCTGCTAAAGTCAATGAAGTTATCTGTAACTTTTTTCTCTCTGGCGAGAGTTGCCTGGAATAATAAAGTTACTTTGATGAAAGCAGTAGAATAAAGTCATGTGTAGACAGAAGCCTGTGTAGAAGGTTTGATTCTCAATAGTAAGAACACCCAATAATGCTGTCCTTAATTACATCCCAACATTCTGATCCCATACAGCCAGCCCATGCTTTCTGCAGAATCTACAGACCTAAAAGTTTCAGCCCTTCTTCTTCCCTCATAGTGGGTCCTTCCCCATCCAAGTCTCTGCATGTGAAGTGGCCTTGTTGTCTAGGGTGACATCCAAGGTTTGTTGTCTCACAGCCAAGGAGACCAAGGACGCAGACACACAAAGAGTGAGGTTAAGAGCAGAAGTTTAATAGGTGAATGAAAGAGAATAGCTCTTTGCTACAGCGAGGGGTCCCAGAAAAATGAATTGCCTATCTGCAGTGAAATGCAGGGAGTTTTATAGATGAGCTGGTGGGGAGGCGGTGTCTGATCTACATAGAATGCGAAAAACTGGTTAGGACCAGGTATGCCATTTGCGTAGGGTGCGAATCTCTGGCCATCTCCACCCCAGTCTTTTATTATGCAGGTGGGTTTTCAGCCTGAGCTGCACCATGTTGCCCACAGTACACATGCTAACAAAAAAGGGAAGATGGAGCTTCCATGGTGGACATGCCTGGCCCCCAGGTAGCCCTTTTCTATTGGCGCAGTTGCCAGCGTTCCCCTGTGCAAGCTCCCAGCTTCGTTGTTTATGCTTGCAGCTCAATCTTTCAGGCTGCTCTTTGTTAGAAAAAAAAATTATTTCTGGGGCTGCTTTTTGTTAGAAGGGAAGTTCTGCTAAGGAATCTTTTGCCCTCACTATCTGCCTAAATATTTTCTTTCTATCTCCTGTATCACATGGAAAGCAAAGGGTTCCTGTCTTCATTCCCAGCTCAGCCACCCACTGTCTCTCCTTGAAGCTCATTAAGATCTCATGCAAACAGATTTCCTTCCAGCCTTTGGACAGGCCCTGACATGCCTGAACCCATACGCAATAGGCATGCAGCATAGTCCCTTGCTCTATGGCTTTTCCAGACACTTGAAGATTTTGTGTAAGGAGCAGAAGGTGAAATTTGGGCACCTTCTAAAGTGGCACTAGGGTTTAAAGGACCACAGAAAATAATCAACTTTCATTACTTTCATTACCAAAGGAAATGGGACAGAGATGGCTAGATATTTACCAACAGTTTTACTCCCCCTTTCCTAATACAGAGGGTCCTCAGCTTACAATGGTTCAACCTACAATTTTACAACTTTACAATAATGCAAAAGCAATACAGATTCAGTAGACACCATACTTCAAGTGCCCATACAGCCATTCTGTTTTTCACTTGCGGTATGGCATTCAATAAATTACATGAGATATTCAACACTTCATCATAAAATAGGCTTTGTGTTTGATGATTTTGCCCAACTGAAGGCTAATATAAGTATTCTGAGCATGTTTGAGGTAGGCTAGCCTAAGCTATGTTGTTTGGTAGGTTAGGTGTAGAAAATGCGTTTCAATTTATGATATTTTTAACTTACAATGGGTTTATTGGGACAGAGCCACATTGTAGGTTGAAGAGCATCTGAAGAGAGTTACTGCTGATAACTGGCTGCCCAGCCAGAGACCATGTTTCCCAGCTTTGTTTGCTTCTAAGTGTGGCCATGTGGCTTGTTCTCACAATTGGAATATGTGCAGAAATGTGCCTTCTAGATCGGAACTTCCTATTCTCTTTCCATTCTGCCCACTTGATGCAGATAACGTAAGATCCAAGGGATGGCAGGTAAGACAGAAGAAGTCTGTGTCTCAGGATCACCCAGGGAAATGCCACTTGCCAAGTAAAAACTGAGGAAGAAATAAAGTTCTATTACGTTAACCATGAAAAACTGGTCTATTTGTTACAACAGCTAACATAAGAAGTAAAATGATCATAACAGTCCCCTAAGGAAGAAAAATGTCCATCATTGTTTTGAACTGAAGAATCACACCCAGTGAAAAACACCAGGTTCAGGCTTTGGGTAACCTTGATGAAGAACCAGAACAAATCAATTTGGCTTTCAGCACATTAATAAAGTGGCAGGTATGTATAGAATGTGTCATTAGCTGATCGTATTTTGAGAACCAGTTTGCTTCTCAGGATAGGTTTGGGCAGCTGTGAATAGGCTTATAGTTTTCATTGTTTCCCTGCTCATAGCAATACACTGAAATTATTCTGATTTGCCTACTTAAGACGGAAAGAAAGATAGGAGCAAAGTTACATTGGAACCAGAATTACCTCAATACCTAGGTCATTTTTTCCTAAAGATGGGTTTGCTGCAAAATCAGGGGAATAATCTCCCTCCCAGGGCCCTTCTAAATAGTACCCTCATGGCCTAGAAGAACTAATGTCCTTGCTACACAAGAGCCTTTGCAACAGAGGAGCCCTAACTGCCAGGGCCGATCTTGGAATTTTGCCTCCCTCAGTCAGGTGTTCAAGTTGAATCAAAGAAAAGAAATAGAAAATGCCCTCCATGAGTAGGCTAAAGCCTTCTTCTGCCTTATGTTTCTATCACGTTCTGGAGAAGGACTCAATGTTGATCCAAGTACAGAAACCATGTCAGGTTGCTTGGATAACAACTGTAAACGGGTTTAATTGTGCTGGTTTGGGGTGGGCCCCAGCCCGGGAGCATTGCTTCTCTGTGTACATCAACACTGAGTAGTGTGCATTCTAACTCTTTCACCACAACCATATGATCCATGCTAAGGCATTTGACCACCTTCTCCACCTGCTCTGCCATTTTCTGTAAAACAAGATTATTAAATTTAATGGAGGAAAGGTAGTTTATAGATGTAAAATGATGACAGACTGTAAATATGAGGGGAATATAGAGCAATCTATATGAACACTACATAAACGCTAATTAGCCCTAAGGCTGCGATGTTTCTTCCTACCACACGGCAAAAGAACACAATGGATTTTTAAAAAATCTTTAAAAAATTTTCCTTTCCCAGTAAAACCTTTACATGGAAAATAAATGTAGCATTTGGCTCAGGCATCTTGAGTACAAAAGGATTCCACAGGCAAAATAATGTGAGAAGAAGCTATCCGGCTCATACTTGCTCATTCATTAGTCAGAGCATGAGAGCTCTCTGGAAACTGGTTTTGTCACATTCTTATGTGAGGAAGTCACATGGGCTCCTGCAGCACATTTTCCTGTGTGAGTCCTAGCTTTGATGGAGGTATTTGTGGGCAAGGCCTAATGAGAGGGTTGACTTTTTCAGGTTTAGATGGGAGTGAGGAGAGAAGCTAGCTTCAGGGACTGAAGGGACGGGAGGCCTTAGACAGACTTAGCGCTAGGTGCTATTTTCAGATAGGAGCTCCTCTACCTTACTGACGTGATAAATGCCAGGGAAAATAAGATCCTCATGGAAGAAGCCTAGTTGAACAATCAAATACAGCAGGGAATACTCATTAAAGTGCTTCTCCTTACAGCCACCTCCACTCAGTTATTTATGCCCTTTAACTTCCAGGTAATGGTTCAGATTTTACTACTTGAGGAGCACAGGGAATGTCTTTGTGTTTTATTATTTCTCATGAGATTTAAAAATAAATAAATATGTATATACACCTAAATTTGCTTTTGGTTCAAGTGTACTTTTTTGTCTTAAAGTTTCTTAAAGAGCCTTAGACCAGTGGAAGACCTATGAATCAGAGAGAGATCTCACCTTGCACAGACTTTGTGGTATTCTTCCCACTTTTCCTGAGCCATGGAGTCCTCCCCTCTCCTCCTGAGCCTCAGAGTCCTCCCCTCCCTTCCTGAGCTGTGGTGAAGAGCCGCTCAGGTGCTCCTACTGCACATCTTTCCTGCTCTCCAAGAGTGGCAGCCATGCACTGAGAAAAAGTGTCTGTTCCTGCAGTTTGTTTCAATTTGATAGAGTCTCACTGAAGCTATCTTGAACAAACGTGATTTTTTGTGGGGTTACATGGAGGAACAAAAAAATAAATGGGCTCCTTTGCTTCATCTAAGAACAGAAGCTATAACAGAACTAGGTCTTAAAAGCACCTGCCTTCAGGGATGCTCAGTGGACCCCATACGTAGGGATTAGCGGACCTTCACTCCCAAAGCTCCAAGAACTGCCAAAACCCATGTTAGGTCGTGTCATTCCTCTGTTCAGAATGCTCTGGTGGCCCCGCATCTCACCCAGAGTAAAAGGCAAAATCCCCCCCATGACTCACAGGCCCTGTGTGATCCTCCTCCCCCTGCCCTGCCCCATCTACTGCCTCCTCCTCAGCCACCCTGCCTTGGCCATGCTGCTCACCTTGTAGTCCTTTCACACTCCAGGAATACTCTTGTCTCCAGGGTTTTGCACATGCTGTTCCCTGTGCCTGGAATGCTTGTCCCAGATATCTGCTTATCACTTCATGTAGGTCTTTTTTCACAGGTCAGCTCAGTGAGGCCTTCCCACTCAGTGAGATCTAAAATTGTAAGCCCACACTACCGTAACATCTCTTATCCAACTTACCTGCATTCTTGTTTAAATTTTTTATTATAAGAAATGGTAAGTATACTCAAAAATAGTAAAATGAGCCCCTATCTATCCATCACCAATCAGTTGTCTAAGTTTTACCACTCTTGTTTCATTTATTCTCCCTCCATTTTTTTCTATATTACTTCTAATTTGCCCCAAGGATTTATCACTACCTGATATATATTTCTTACTTTTCTTTGTTATTTTGTCTCCCCCACTAAAATGCCAGCTCCATGAGGCCTGGGATTTTTGTCTACTTTGTTCACTGCTGTATCCCCTGTAGGCAGCAGTGTGCCTGACACATAGTAGGTGTTCATGAATAGTGGCTGAATGAATGAATGAAGCAATGAAGCAGTTACTCCACAATGGCACCTGTGTTTTTCCCTACAATCTCCCCACCATCTGACCAACACAGCCATGAATGCTTCAAGCACCCCTACTCTGATTCCACCCAACGACTGTCAGCTACAGCACCCACATATCCCCCTCCTTGACTCTCAATAGTCCAGGGACACATACACAAAAGGCAAAGCTAGATTGGCCCAGCTCTGTGGGTGCCCTGTCACAGGACTCTGGCAAGTCTGTGAACTACTACCTTCCCTGAGGTCTTCTGGCCACCACTGGTTATGTAATACAAAAGTGAGCAACCAACTGGGGCCACAGGGGACATTTCCCTTTGAAAGGGGCATGAGCGATTGACATCGACATCTTTCTTTCACCAGGCAAATTTGTTAGCAAATTTGATGAGACTGTTAAGTGGGTAGGTAACTCTCTGGGCAGCCTCTATTCATTGCAGCCTCTATTCATTCTCTGGGCAGCCTCTATTCATTGCAGCCATCCTTGCATTTACTGTGCATCTCATTGAACAGGTATTTTTTTTTTTTTTTTTTTGCCAGGCTCCACCTGTGAGGGAGGGAAGAATGCACAAGGAAGAGCTTACCTGGTTTCAATTTCTTTCTTTCACCATTTTCAAGGTTGTCAACCAGGAAAGTCCTTCAGGCATCAGACACTCTCCAATTAAGCCTTCCATAAAAACCAGGAGACATTACCAGCTAGGATGACAAGTTAGAAACCTGCAGGACCAGTACTATGCCAGCACCCCAATGATGGCAACTAGGATTGCTTCGCAGCTGCTCCCTGCCAATAGTGCTTCCTGTCTACCTGTCAAAGGGGTGTGTCTTCCTCCCTGGCCAAGTCCTGTGTAAACCAAGTAATGATCAGGCAAGAAGAGATCCAAAAAAACCCATTGCCACATCAAAGCATATTCCAGGGCTGTTGCATTCTTTTCAATAAAGACTATTTATTTTTACAGAGGCTGGGTGCCCCTCACAGCCCTGCTCCACCTGGCAGCCATTTATGACAATTTTAAAGGCCATCTTGTTTTCAAAGTCACTTTATAAGGTTGTGGAGACTCAGTATCTGTGAATTCTAATCCTGGTTCAAAATATTAAATTGGTACTAGGTCCTCTGCTGGTTGCTGGATCTTTTATCAGTGAGCATATTGACCAAGACATCATATGGGTATGTCCTTTTCTCTAGATTCTTTCAAGAATGGATTACAAGGCCAGGCACGGTGGCTCATGCCTGTAATCTCAGCACTTTGGGAGGCTGAGGAGGGCAGATCATGAGGTCAGGAGTTCGAGACCAGCCTGACCAACACGGTGAAACCCCGTATCTACTAAAAATACAAATATCAGCCAGGCATGGTGGCACGTGCCTGTAATCCCAGATACTCAGAAGTCTGAGGCAGCAGAATTGCTTGAACCCGGGAGGCAGAGGTCACAGTGAGCCGAGATCATGCCATTGCACTCCAGCCTGGGTGACAGAGTGAGACTCCACCAAAAAAAAAAAAAAAAAAGAAAACAAAAAACAACAGTGGATTGCTATTCATCTGGTATTGTCTGGATTTAACCAGGCTATGTTTAAAGTATTGAAATACTTCTGTACCATTTCGTAAATAGCCAGTGCCCCCAAGTACCCCCACTCTGAATCTTTCGCCATCTCAGCTACCTCAATCCTTCTCTCAAGACCCTCGAATCTAAAGGTTTAATGCTAGCAGGAACTACAGGTGCCCATTATGATTGGTCAGCACTTGTATTATACCAGTTGCTAATATTATGACTATCACCCCTACTTCTAAGCTAAAGTCAATGGCAACAACTAGTCCTCATTTTAGACAATGTCACTGCTCCTAATTTATAGAGAAAGGGATGCAGTAAGATTGGGATTAGACCAAGGTCCAAATCCCAGACAGCTGCAGGACAGCTGGAAACAGAATTAATCATTCAAGTAGTGATGCTATAAGTGTTTTCCTCTGCTTTGGATGTCTCTCCAATAGAACGCTATCCACAAGGACAGGAATTTTTGTCTGGTGTGTCCACTGCTGCATCAACACTCAGAACACGCTTGGCACACAGAAATTGCTCAATAAATCAATACAGCTCTTGAATGAATGCATGAATTCCCTGATCTGATGGCCCAGTTGTTGCCTAACTTGATAGACCTGAGAGAATCTAAAGCTCTTCAGGGTTTCTCAGTCTGACATTTTTTTCTTAACTATTTAATTTCTTTATACCTCAAGACATAGAGGCAAGCACGTCATCACACATAACCCCTGCAGAAGTCTCCAGCACACAGTGATGTGATGGTTGCAGCCTTCCCCTGGGGCCTATCAGGCATTTTAGTTTCTCCAAGAGACACTGATTTCCATTTCCAAAAATTAGCCTCACACACGACATCATTTTGATCAATTCAGCAGAAACTGCTCTAGGATCTCAGCCAGCACTGGTGAAACAAAGAGAGGAGAGCAGCACTCTGAAATCACGGCTCTGTCTCAGCCACATCATGTGTGACTTCTTGTCCCGAGGAGCTCCAGGGTCATGGAACAGTGTCCGGGGCCAGGAAGAAATGCTGGCGGCCAGCCTTTGACCACTGGAATAAGGA
This sequence comes from Homo sapiens, assembly GCF_000001405.40. Taxonomy (NCBI): domain Eukaryota; kingdom Metazoa; phylum Chordata; class Mammalia; order Primates; family Hominidae; genus Homo; species Homo sapiens. Next base: position 111,981,049 of record NC_000006.12, on the reverse strand, counting down.
AGCTCACATTTTTTAGTCTCTCAGGAAGGGCCACTTATGGAGAGGGGAAAAGTGTTCAGGTTTGGTTCTCCAAGGCACCCCTTATCCCTTACCTGCCATCAAGCTGTGCTCACCGGGGACGTGTTTCCTGTCATCAAGATCTCTGTCAGTGAGGAGTGAGGATTGAATAGCAAAGGTATGAAGTCTCTGAAGGAAAACTTGGAACATGTGACATTTGAAAATCAGCTTTCTTCACTGTTTACAAGACTATAGGGAGAAGTGTCAGCCCACGAACACGCATCCCATGCAAATCCACATTTTTCTCTTGACTTTAGTTCGGGGACCAAGGTGGCTTCCAACACCATTCTAAAATGAGACCCATTCTCCACAGAGCCTATGTTCTAAGATGAATTTTATCTGTCTATATCGATTCTAATCACAACACATATGGTAAGTGACACAACTTACTGTGCCTCACAATTACACTTTGTTTTTAACCCCTTTCATCCCAGCATTGTCACGCAGTTTGCTAACTTTAATTAATACTCCCTCACAAAGTAGGGAGTATCATTATCCCCGTGTAAAGTCCTGAGAAACCGAGTCACCCAAAGGCACAGGCTGAGTCAGTGTGAGAGGAAGAGTCTGAATTCCTGACCACCAAATGCTCGGGCCAGTGGCCTGGCCTCACACCCACTACAGAGGCATTCTTTATTTGAAGCTGCTTAGTTCAACCCAAGGCCAGCTGGACCTTCTCTCACATCTCATTCTCATTCCACAGCCAACAAGGCTGTTGCGACCCAGGAAATGTGGAGAACGGATAGAGGAATGGCTGAACACATGCGTTAGAGAAAATCTGAGGACCTGAGACAGTGTGAAGAATCTGGGACTGATTTGGGAGTTTTCTCTTGTGAATGTTAGATGGCAAAGTCCAGGCTGCATCCCTGAGCCTTCCTGATGCCTCCTCCATCCTCAAGGCACGTTGGCCCATGCTCTCCGCAGAGCCTCCATTCTTCCACTATTACCTCAATACTATATCACCCTCTGTAAGCACCTCCACCCCAACTTTACTCTCTCTTGCTGGCAGCCCTTGCTCTGAGCAGAACTTCCTCAGGGACAGGATGGAGAAGAGAGAGGAACCATGTCCCTCCTCCTCACACACTCTCCATCGTCATTCTCATCAACCGAGATGTTAGGGGAAGGTACCGCCACTAGTGTGGTAAGTCTAGATTTCCTTTCTCACAGACACCCACGTGGCTGTTCTCCTCCTAACCCTATCCAGCCAACCTCTTCAAGACAGCCCTTTCATATTTAACGGTGACAAGTGACTGAATGTGAGCCTTCACCCTTTTCTTCTGGGCACGCTGCTTGCTATCACTCCCCTCCTTTTCCTTTCTTCCCTACTCCATATATGCCTTGCCTTCTTCTGCAAATCCCCAGATCCAAAACCTTTGCCTAGAAGGCCTGGCCCTCCAGCTTACCTTCTGTATATGGAATCTCTCTGGCACTCTCTAGAAAAGGAAGCTGGGAACCAACTCCATGGAGACCAGCTCTCAGAACATGGCAGATTGCACCATGTGGATGAGATACACATTGACACCTGGGAGTGTCTCCGCTGAAAGTTACAAACAAAGACAGCATTTTCCCCTGAAGGAGGAGAAACACAAGGAAGTGGAGGCCCAAGAAGTTTTCATTCATCTAGTGGCAGTGTGGTACAGTGGCTAGCGAGGGCCACAGAGCCTGATGTCCTGAGGCTGAATCCTGGCATCACGCTTGCCTTCTGTGAGACTTTAGAAGCATTATTCTTCCGTTGGTGCTTCAGTTTATTCCTCTGTAAATTTGGCTAACCTCAGAAGATAATTGAGAAAAATAAATGACTTAAGGCATCTGAAGTTCCTAGAATAGCAACTAGCTCTCCATAGTTGTTAGAACCCAACAAGAGCTGGCATTCCAGGGATCTAGAGGGGGCAACAAATAAACAGATGTTCATTGTAGTGGTCATAGCAGTGATAGGAATGTGCACAGGGCATGTGGGTTTGCCTTTGTGCGAAACAGAAAACAATCCCAGCCCCAAGGCATATGCTAGATGCTACAGCTTGAGCTGGCATGCAGAAATTCACTCCCTCAGCAGGGTGACTTTATGCAGTGAAAATGCTGCACAACTGTACATGGTAGCACTGATGAATAGTATTAAACCCATGCTGGGAAGAAAAGGGAATGGTCAGAAATAGGCTTCAAGGAAGTGATGCCTGAACTGATCCTCATTAGGGATTCATTCATCAAAATGGACAGGGGACATTCTAGGCAGAGAGAACAATGTAAACAAAAGCAAAGAGGCAGGGAAGAGTGCATTACATGCAGGGAAATACAAATAATGTAGTACTGCTTTGAGCACAAGTCAGGAGTAGTAGACCGTGTGCCAGGCATGGGCTAGGCAATGTAGGCTGTGTCCATCATGCTCACACCAGCCCCAATATTCAACTCGATTCAACCAAGAGAAGATGACCACATGTTCAATGTTTTCCACTGAATCTGGGTTGAACGTGGTTTCAACTTTCTTTCTCTGTTCTACTCTAGGGCTTCAGGGGGTATTGCTAACAGCTGGCATACTGAGGACAAATGATCCAACAACAGTCTTGGGCACCCATCCTTCCTAGACATCAGGATTAGACTGGAACCCTGTTTCAGGAGGGTGTCTTGCTTATTTACCAAAAACACTAAATGGAAGGCTCAATTTTTTTCTACCTTCTCTGGTCTACAGCTTCCTTTCAAGTTCCAAGAGGGGCCTTACTCAAGTTACCTCAATAAAAGAAGAAATTGATCCACTCTGAATGTATTATAGAATAATACTGCATAACATCGTACATTTCTTACATGGTGCAATTCCACTGAAAATGAAATATACCATGTCATGACAATGTGGACATTCTCAAGTACAACTTTGCCTTAGAGATCCAACTTGTACTTGGTATTTTATCAATCAAATGCCATGAATTTAGTAAATTATTTATTTTCTCATTTTACAACTATGGAAAGCAGAGTGAATATATTTCCATGGCAGCAATATGAGCTTATACACAAAAACATAAACCCAGATCTGAAAACTCCATGATCCCTCTCAATCTAGAATTTTCATCTTGGTCCAGATTCCTTTCAATAATCTCATTCAATTACTGAAAAAACACTTTTTGAGCATCAGGTGTTGGTCACAAGAGATATGATCTGAGCTTCTAATCTACTAGAGAAGTCCAGTGCATAAATGGATAAACTACCAGCTGATTCATAAAGTGATAGAACAAAAATATGGGCAAAATATATGGGAGTCAGAGAAAGATCAGTTTGGCAGGCAGATTTGGGAAAGCCTTCATAGAAGAAGTGGCTTTTCAGCTGGTTCTCAGAGGCTTCGTGAATGTGGAAAACACTTCAGACAGAAGAAAGCACAAGGTCGTGAAAGGATCTGGTGTTTCAGAATAAGCCATTCCATCAGAATGACTGTGGTGAAGGTTTGAGTACCAGAGTGACATGAGCTAAGCTGTAGCTATAGGTCATAGATTGAGATAAGTCCTACACTCCCGTGGTCAGGTTTGCTTTTTGGAAAGATGTTTCTGGTGTCTTCATTTATTTCAGCGTGTCTTCGTTTATTCAGGCTGCTATCACAGAATACCATAAAGCAGGTCACATATAAACATAAATTTATTTCCCATAGTTCTGAAGAATCAAAAGTTTAAGATCAAGGTGCTGACAGATTCAGTGCCTGGTAGGGGTCCACTTCCTGGTTCATAGAAAGCAACTTCTAGCTGTGTCCTCACATGGTAGAAGGAGGAAGACAGCTCTCCCTGGGGCCTCTTATAATAAAGGGCCCTAATTCCATTCATGAGGGCTCTATCCTCATGATCTGATCACATCCTGAAGGCCCTACCTCCTAATACCATGGCATTGGGGATAAGGTTTTCAACATATGAATGTTGTGAGACACAAACATTCAGACCCTAGGACAGTGTAAAGGGATGTGCTGGAGAGGAGTGCAAGTCAAAGCAGGGATTCCACGGATGGAGCCATTGTACCACCCAGGCTAGCAGCGGTGATGGCCTGACCTACGACAACACTGAGGGGATATTCATGGGCTAGAATCCTCTGAGTTTTTGACTGTTTGGCTACAGTGGAAAAAAGAAGAATTCAAGAATGACTGAGTTTTTTAACCCAAGGAACTGAGGAGATAGTGACACTATGAACTGAGAGTAAGAATATTTAAGGTAGAGAAGTTTTGAGATATAAGGATTTTGTCTAGGATGTATTCATTTTGACTGGAAGCCATCCAATCAGAAATATCCAGTTGGTCATTGGAAATATTGATCTAAGCTTAGGAGACAGATCAGAGCTGGAAACAGAGGTATGGAAATTATGATAGGTTGAAACATATGAAATTACCAACACTTGATCACATTTTACCTGTAGAAAAATGACAATTGCATTTGGGATAATAGTTCACATGGGAAAATATACACAGTTAGAGAGAGGAGAAGAATACCAAGAGTAAGACAGGACCTGGAAAACACTGACTTCTAAAAGTGAGCCAAGAAGGAGAAACTGTGAAGAAAATTGCAAAGAAATACAACAGGCAGGAGATGGAGTTTACAAGGGAAATTTAAGAGGGAGTAGTGATATAGAAGCCAGTGTAGGAGGGCTTATCAGAAAGGAGTGGGTGTTCAGAGCCTCAAATGCTGCAGAAGATACAAGGAGGAGGACAGAAAACAGGACTCTGAATCTGGCAGTTGGGAGGTGACTGCCCTGTCAGCAGGAATTTCAGCTGAATGATGATACAAAAATTCGACTGTAAGCGGTCAAGAACAAAGGGCTGATGGCAAGATTTTATTTTTTTGTGTGTTTTGTTTTTTAAGGTTCAGGGAAATTTGTACATATTTGTTCATAAAAGGAAAAAGCCAGAGAAAATAAAGTAATTGAAAATATAAGAGAGAAGGAATAATTGGGAGAGCCAGGTCCTACAGGCTCAGGGATAGACTTGAATGCGTAAGAAGAGAGGATTTCCCCCAATAGAAGGGACAGAGGGGACTTACTACAGGCACTCTTATACCTCTAACCATCATGTGCATTTTCAGCCATGCATTCAGATCACATTTATTAGTGCTATTATGTTGCCATGGGACAAAAGTCCTTCTCAAAGAGAAAGATGCCAGAGATGTTAATTACCAGGACTTGGTTCCAGAGTCGGTTCTAATGCCTTTGATGTATTCTTGGGCACACCTACCTCGAAGGCTGCAGCATCATCACTAATCCCTCTCTAGTGGCCATTGAGGGCTCGCCTTCCCAGGAAGAGTCATCTTCTTAGAAGACCTCAAAAACCATCAAGTTGTTTGTTGAGAACTGAGGGAGGGTTTCAGAATTTACTCAGGCTGCCAGCCTTAGAGGAGGTGTTTCGACATTTTCTCCAGCTCTAATACTAATGGTCTCAACTCCTACCACTGAGAAGAGTTGGCGCAAAGGGCTTCCTTTTGGTTCCAGTTTCTAACAAAACCAAAGGGAGAAATGCATCGTCCAGGAAAGTTGGTGTTTTGCTTAATCAGGCATCACCAACATAGACACTGTCTTAAAATCCCCAGCTAATCCTGCCCTCCTCATCACTCTGAGGCCAAAGTGCTGGGATTATGTTGTATTTATTTTTGTCTACTCAGTTCATCTAATTAGAATAGTAGGAGAAACAGGGCTAGGAACATACATCTCCTCATTCATGGAACCTAATAAGTGAAAGACCCGACAACCCAACCCTTTTACAAAAGTGCTTGCAATCCCTTAGGCAAGGGACCTAAGCTGCCAGTTGAGCTTCCCATGGACTGGAAACATGGAAAATGTGAGCTCTTTGTCACAGGGAGGACCTAATAAGAGACCAGGGGCCAGGAGCGGTGGCTCACGCCTATAATCCTGGCACTTTGGGAGGCCGAGGTGGGCGGATCACAAGGTCAGGAGATCAAGACCATCCGGGCTAACACGGTGAAACCCCGCCTCTACTAAATACAAAAAATTAGCCAGGCATGGTGGTACGCGCCTATAGTCCCAGCTACTTGGGAGGCTGAGGCAGGAGAATCGCTTGAACCTGGGAGGTGGAGGTTGTGGTGAGCCAAGATCGAGCCATTACACTGCAGCTTAGGCAACAAGAGCGAAACTCCATCTCAAAAAAAAAAAAGAAGAAGAAGAAAGAGACCAGGAAGATTACATGCTAAACTTTTCATAGATTACCCACATAACACTTCACAGTTATCATAATTGTCTGCTTACAGCTCTCTGTCTGGTACAAGGACTCTGTCTATCACAAGAGATGTTCAATAAATGTCTCCAATGAATAAATTACTGAATGAATGAGAGGTGTTTCCAAGTACACCATTACTATTTACCCAAATAAGAATTTAGCTTGTCTTGGTGTTTGTGTGTACACAAAGAGAAAATAAGGTAAGTCTTTCAGAAAGTACCTTACTACCTGTTTCGGATCTAAGATGGTGAAACCAGTTTTTAAAAAGAGACCACGGATCTTCCAAATGCATATACGTGTATATACTTATATAGCTATACAGAAATACACATATGCTCAAACACACACACACACACACACACACACACACCCACACACACACACAATGAGAAGTGCAGGCATCTGTAAGACTATAGCTTGGGGTAAGGTGACCTTGGACGCTTAAAGGTCATCCTTTACTGACACAATTTATACCCAGTAGCATCAAGAGAGTTTGTACTCATGTTTTCAGATAAATAAAACGACAATAAAAATTTTCTTACATTCCAAGAAATTTTGACTTTAGCTCCTGCCTTTTGTTCCATTCAGATTTTCTCCTTTTTTTCTATAATCTTCCACATGTTTCTCACACCATTAAGTGATTTTGTTACTATGGAAACCACACAGTCTGCATAAGGCTCAAGTATGATGTCAACTTAGAGAGTGATTTGAAATGTGTCCCATGGCCTGATAAAAAGCACTTGGAATAATATTGTGATGTGTCTATATAAACACATATCTGGGAATAATACACCTTTTAAAAATACAGGTGGGTATATGGGTGGGCAAACATGATTAATGAAGAATTCACTTACAGATACTGCTCCAAATGAAAATAAAGCTTGGTTAGGAAATGCCAGGTTTATAAAATCATGGTAATTATGAGTTAGAGCATGCAGAGTTTATCCCTTACATGCAAACTTTGCCTTGTTTGTGAAGTACTTAAATCCTAGCTTTCTAAAAGAGCTTTCCTAGAAATATTTAAAAACAGCACAGTGAACATCTAAGGAGAAAATTTTAGGTGACTTTCCGCCTGGAGGGGAAAGATAAAGAAGCTCTCCTCTTGGGGTGGTTTCTAAGCCTCTGGGTCCTTAATTCTCCGGCTGGAGATCTTGTTCTCATTTCCTAGGCAAAGTCCTGCCTTCAGACTAACACATATGTTTCTGATGTCATCATCTGGCCGTGAGTCTGTACATGATTCAGTGGCAGTGGAATCTCCCCTAATACTCTGAAATCACTTATTACACTGATAACAGTGGGGCGGGGGTGGGGGGACATGGAGGAGACTGGGAACCCTCGACCAAAAATCTCCCTAGGCTGTCTACTTGAGGACAAGCCACAAATCTGTGAGAGCTGTCAGACAACAAAGTAAGTGGCATGGAAGGCAAGCTCTGCTCCCTCCTCCTCTCCTCCTCAGCCGCCCTTCCTTCCGTCAGATCACTCGCAAGCGAGTCATCGCAACAACACTCCCGAGAACATTCTTGTTGGGTAATAAGAAAGCATAATTATATACTTCAGAGCTGTTGAGGTTTTCTTCTAGTTTCAAAACAATGAACATCCTGTGGAAAGATAGTGCCACTTGTGAATAAGCTGAGATTCTTTCCCCTGAACAACACACAGACAGTGGTTTGGAGGAAAAACCAGAGGACGGCCCTATTTAATGATTTTATTCCTTGGGTAACCTAACTGCATTGTTCTGTGGTACTCCCAGAAACAGGCTTCTGAAAGCATAATTATAAGTGTAATATCTTCAAAACTAAATATTGCGTTCTCTCCCTCTGTCTCTTTCTGTCTCTGCACACATGAGGACACACACACACACACACATACACTCTGAACAGGCCATCTAGTGCTGAGAGAAATGGAGTTGTTTCTAAGTTCATAGCAGGCAAAACTCGAAACTGACTTCAGTAACGTGTTATTGGTTTATTCACGTATTCCTAGTTCTCACCCCAGGCGTGATGAGTGAAGATGTGGAAAGGATTTCAAGTGTCTCCATAAGTGACATGGTGGTCTTTCTGGATTTGGAATCAGAGTGAAGCTCCATGAATGTGCAGAATTATGGGCTTTCCAGAGGCAGCCATTGGTTCCTGTGATTATCATCCCAACATTCCTCAGAGTCCCACAGAAAGTCACAAGAAACAGTTGTTGCTGGAGCTGAAGAAAACAACATTTAACATTTCAAAAATGCCAATCCTTTCAGTGCTCCTGTTTACTAATTATTGTCCATATGACTTCACAGGTGAGGAGATGGAGACCCAAAAAATGCCCTAGGCATTCCTATCTCAGTCTTTGTTCAGACTGAACTTCCAGAGCCCAGACTCTTCGCTTATGGCTAAATCAGGCCGTCCTTCAGAGAAGGCTGAGTTGCTTGTAAACCATCATGTAAGTGTGGTTCCTTGAACCACAGCCCACTAAACTCTCAGTTCCACTCTGATGGCCTCAGCAAAACATGCTTCCAAATAAAAACATCACATTGGTGATTTTATAAGGCTTAGGTCAAGTTCTTTTGACCACATGGACCCTGCCACGCGGAAATGAAAATTGTCAATAGCTGTTAGAAAATAACATCCCACAAGACGAAGCAAAGTATTCTGGAGCTCACACAACCACTAGTCACTGCCTGACTCTAGACCACAGACTCATGGAGATTCTGAGGCAGACACTGGGGATTTGATTGATTTTACTTTGGTGATGGCTTGGGACATATGATTTTCCTTCCTGAAAATCTGCTTTCTGGCAGTAAAAACCAAACCTAGGGGAATGAGTCATTTTTCCTCACCCAACTTTGGGTTCTGCTTCTCAACCAACTGGGAAATTTTGGAAACTCCAGTTTTTATGAGTGTGCAAGTGTGCACATGAGTATGCACACACATGTGTGGATGGGAAAGAGAGTGAGAGGGAGAGAGATTGATTGTGGGAAGGAGTAGGGAATGAAGAAAAATATATTTATCCTAGAGCCAATTTCTACCTGATAATTCATATTTTTAGCCTGTGGCCTTGAAGATGACTGTCATTTTATTGGCACAAATGACTTGCTGTGCAGTTTGCTGAGTAAGTGTTTTTTGTTGTTGTTGTCATTTTTTTTCTTTTTTTCTTTTTTTTAGTAGGAAAAAAATCTCAGCCATATGGGGAAAATGCTTTGGCAGATGGAGCACATCTATTCCAGACCCCAGGTCCTTCACGGCCAAGAATCTTACTCTCCTTTGTGTTAGGCCCATTCATTGATGGGGAAACAAACGCCAAGAGTTTCCCAATATCGGTGCTGAGGATTTCTGAAATGAAGAGAAATCTGGACCATTGCAGAGAACTCAATTGAAACAAAACATCTAATGTGCTTGGCCTCGAGGTTAAGAGGGCTCTTTACTCAGATAAACAGTAACAAGGCTGAGCCCTGTACAAAGTGGCACGTCGTCTCCCTTGATCTGAGTGTGCTCTGAGCTCCAGCAATACAGGAATTAAGAGAGGTTGTTTGTAATTAAACTGCTCAGACGATGAACCTCACTCTTTAAATCTGAAGAGAGACTGAAACAATAGTACTAGATTCATAGGTAACCAAGTATTTTTATTTTGTCCCAAGAGCAGAACATGAGTTTATTTGGGAAGGCTTTTAATGGAATATTTTCAAGGGGGTGAGAAACCTACCTGTTCTCTTCAGCATCCAAGTCTCAATTTTCACAAACACTCAATTAACATGCACATATATGCAAATTCTGCTGCATATTTTGGATCACGTAGATAGCCACTTTTAGGAGACAAAGAAATAGATGACTCCTCTCCAGAGCTGATAATCTACCAGAGGTAGAGTTGATACATGTGAATGGAAAACTAAAAATACAAGGGTAACCACTGTGAGGTTAACTCATCAGGGTAGAAGCAAATAAAATGTTTTTTTGATGTGTTTATTTATACAACAAATATAAATTCAGCACCTACCATGTGTCAGGCACTGTTCAAGGTTCTGGGAATAAACAGAGACCATAATAGACCGAAAAAAAAAAATCCCTGTCTTTGGATTATTAGATCCTAATGAAAAGAGTCTAACATAGGAACAGAAAACCAAATACCACATGTTGTAAGTGGAAGCTAAATATAAGAACTTACAACACAAAGAAGGAAATAACAGACACTGGAGTCTGCATGAAGGAGAGAAGCAAAAAAGAGAACTATTGGGTACTAGGCTTAATAGCTGGGTGATGAAATAGTAAGTACAACAAACCCCTGTGACGTGTGTTTACCTATGTAACAAACCTTCACATGTACCCCCAAGCCTAAAATAAAAGTTAAAAGAAACAAAAATTGTGTAAAGTAAATTTATCTTAAAAAAAGGAGTCAGGCAGTAAAATGTAAAAAATACATTGAGATGAATTATATCAGGAACCAATTATTATTTTAGAGAGACAGTTAACAGCTGCCTGACCATCACTGGATGGTCGCCTGACACTCCTGGTGTGTGTGTGTGTGTGTGTGTGCGTGTGTGTGTGTGTGCGTGTATCGGGGGCCGCCCTTTCCGGCCCTACTCGTATCTGACTAGCTACCTATTATAATATTTTCACATACCAAAAAATGGATTCAAAACCTCATCTCAGTCTGAATGTATGAATTTTCTCTTTGTCCAACAACTATCTAAATTTGATACTACTTTTGCATGAATGTGTGCATGCCTCCTTCTCTTCAAACACACTACACCCATCAAATGAGAAATAAAAAACTAAATACAATTCTTTACATTCATATTATGCTTTTATTATTATTCATGTCTTGAATATGTATTTAACAAGTATCTATTAGGTGCCTACTCTGAACCAGGCACCTTCCTAGGCCATGGAGATGCCATGGTGAGAAAGACAAACCCTGTCTTCATGGAGCATACAGTCTTATCCTGTGTTAAAAAACTGACCTAACAGATAAATGGTCCTCATATCCATTGATTACAAATAGAATGACTAGGATGAACTATTGAAAAAAGACTAAATTATCAGACTTACTATTCTCAATCACAACCAAAGAGTCTATTGAGACATCCAAACCAATTAATGACAATACAATTGGTAAAAAAAGATTCATAGAAAACTATGTTGCTTAAACAAAGATGTTCATTATTTCTGTGACCACAGTCAGCAAACTGTGATCCTGGATCACCGTTTGTAGGATATGAATTTATCCTACTACGTGCCAGGCACTGTTCTGGGAGCTGAATAAGCAAGCCTGTAGAATGAGCTGATGTTGGACAGGAAAGCAGAGGCCAGATCATGGAGAGCTATCCAGGCCATTGAGAAGAGTGTGCCTGCTGGAACATGGGCCAGGGATTATTCTAGTTGTGTTCTACTGTACAGAGAGGCAGTTCTCAACCCAGCTGCATGCTATAACCACCTAGGAGATTTTTTTTTAAATGCCAGTGCCTGGGTCCTAGCCTCAGAGATTTGAATTTAATTGGTTTGGTGTGGGGCCAAAGCATCAGTATCTTTTAAAAACTCCCCAAGGCATTCTAAACTGCAGCTAGGGCTGAGAACCACTGCTGTGGAAATTTGTGGCTGAATTTACCCATTCATCCATGGATCGAAGCAGCCTAGAGTAACTATTTTTTTCTGAAAATAACCTTATTTTTTTCTTATATCCAAAGCAACATCTGCTCATTGTAAACATAGAAAGAGAAACGTCAACTGAAATCCCATTTCCCAGAGATTTCTGCTATCAACATTTTGGTGTATCTTATTACTGGGTACACGTTTGTGCTCCTTTTCCCCAAAATGGAATCAAGCTTTTCTTGTCATCTAATAATGTTCTGTAAAGAACTATTCAGTGTCAGAATTGAGGACTATTTTGATCTTGCCCATAGATATGTCTCAGCTCTTCTCATGCAGAAATGGCATGGTTCTGTTCAGGCAGGTGTGTTTGCATGGCTTTTAATTTTCATTAAAATGGTCTTAGTCTTACTGTCTACCTGACTGATTATCCAATAACATTTCTCTGCCCTTCATCAATGACAGACGGTATCCATACTCAGCGGTTTGCCTTGAACTCTACTTTCTTATACTTTTCAAAAGCCTGATTGCTAGAGATAGTATCTATAGAGAATTGCCTGAAGGACACAGATCTATTTATTCCTGTATGTATTCTAAACTCTATCCTTGCGGCATGCCAGATCTCAGAGGATTGCATACACATAGTACACAATTTAACTCCTTGTAAAAATGCTTTTACAGGATTGAACTTCAGCTGTACATCATCAGCCTATATTGAAAAGCATCATAGGAAACAGTTCTCTGGTTTATTACTATATCCATGATGAAAGGAGATGCATTATTATGGTAGACATCACTTGCTTACACCACTTAGGGTCCCCTTTATGAGAATCCACAGAAGTGCTCAGGGAAGGAACCACAGTTTTTACGTATTTCCTCCATCTCATGGACCTCACTACTCTTAATTATTTGTTTCCATCTTTCCTTTGGCTGCTAGGAAACTCAGTAAAGTGGTAGCCCCCAACTAGCAATTATGCCTAACCATGGTATGCATTTATGCCTCTCCTCTTAACCCCAGCTTTATGATATCTCTACCCTCATTTTCCCTTCACCCATTTTCCCTTCAACTTTATATAAATTTTAACTTTTTATGTTGGATTTTTTTTAGTCTTTGTAGGAGGGTGGAAGATGGAAAAAGTAAACAAGAAAGGTAGGAAGGGAAGAAGATATCAAAAGAAAGAAGAGAGAATGAGAAGTGTGAGAGGGAGAGAAGAGGCAAGTAGGCAGAAAGACAAGAAAGGGCAGCCTAAAAAATGGGGCAAATAACTGTGCTGCAGGAGTCTTAAGGAGGAAGAGATTCATCTGTGTCTGACTGTGCTGGTCCAGTGAAGGCCTGAAGGGGCTAATGATAATCGCAAGCTCTCATAGAGAGCCCACCTTTGTGGGGTTATCTGCCAGGTACTTTAAGTGCATTATCTCACTTAATCCTGATAGCAAAGCTTTGAGGAAAGCACTCTCAATATATCCATTTCTCAGATTAAAAAAAAAATGGAAATGATTTGCCCAAATTCACACTGGGAGTGATGAAGCTGGTTTTCAACCCAGATCTACAACCTGTAGTTTAAGGTTAATCTGGTTCTTTTTAAATAAGCCTTTAAAAACTTTTTAGAGAAATCAAAACTCCAATGGAAAGATCTTTCCTTATATTAGCAATACCTTACCTTACCATCATCTTTGTGTGTGTGTGTGTGTGCACATATACGCATGCAGTAAAAGATGACTTTCCCTTTCATCCATCTATTTCCATCTCCCAAATAAATGTAATCTTATTGAAAATGAGAGCAGGAATGGGGCAGGGGGAAACAGTACAGACTGGCTGGCAGGAAGAGCAAGGAGGAAAGCCAAAAGGACAAAGGGAAAGCTGACAAGACAGAAGGAAAAGAGTGAAGGATGGGAGAGCAGACGGGAAGAGGGTCTTGCAAAGAGCTGAAAACTTGACTGAAGGCCAGGGAAAAAACAAAGACAGTCTTAGCAGGAAGCCTGGCATGAGAAGTGGCAAACTAGAGCTAAAATAACAAGGAGGTGCCCAGATAAAGATAAAGTTCTAAGGAGAGAAAGAGAGAAGGCTTTTTCAACCTTTCCTTTCTACCTCTGGGTCCACAACACTGAGGTAGACAGACAAAGCGAAGGGAAGAACCCAGTGCCTGCCCTAAGCCCTCAACCCTCCAGTCAAAACCCAACTCTTCTATTTCAAAAATTGGAGATTGAACTATTTGTCTCTATTTTTAGCAAAGATAATTTTTTCTTATCTCCAATTTTGCAATTGTTTTATTAAATCTTAGTTTCCCAATAGCTCTAAGATCCCGGTAAAACTCAGTATTTTTTTAAATCTCTAAGTCCCTGAGAGAGCTTTATACTAGTGCACAGATGAAGATGGACTTAGGGACTTTCAGGGGCCAGTGGACAGCTGCACTGGGCAAAGCAGGACTCTATTCACAAATGCACCAACACTAAGCCCGTTGCTTGGTGGTTCCATTAGCAGTAAAGTAAAATCTCATCATTTTTCTATGGGTAGGGAGCATCATCTCTATTTCAACTGGGTCTTTTTAAAAAAAATTATCCCAGTCACTATACATGTGGTCATAGAGTCAAAAGATTCCATGTAGGAAAGCACCCCAAAGCCCAGCATTCATACCCTAAATGAAAATAATGACAATTCTTTCTTCCTCCCTCCAATGTTTTATTTTGAAAATTTTCAAACCTACAGAAAGATTGCAAGAAAAGTACCATGAATATCTATATTCCCTTCATCTAGATTGGCTGTTTGTTCATATTTTGCCACATTTATGCCTTCTCTCTGTGTGTGTGATACATACACATACATACATATACACATTCATTTTTTGTTGCTGAATCTTTGAAACTTTACAGAGTTATTTGCAGATATTATAACCCTTCACCCCAAATACTTCAGCATATATCTCCTTAGAACAAAGACACCTTCTTTCATAACCACAGTATAATTCTCATATTCATAAAATTTCACAACTGATATAATACTATTATCTAATATACAGTCTACATTCAAATGTATCTCAACAATGTCTGTTACAGCTAAATTCCCCCAATCTAGGATCTTAACAAGGAGCATCATTGTATTTGATTGTTGTGTCTCTCTACCTTCCTTTAGTCTAGAAGAGCCTCTCCTCTTTTTGCCTTTTTTTTTTTTAATTATGGCATCGACATTGTTTTAAAAGTCCAGGCCAGTTGTTTATTTTGCAGAATGCCCTCAATTTGGATTTCTCTGGTTGTTTATTCATGATTAAATTCATGCTAAACAATAGAAATATTATTAGGTTGCATCATATGAAACCGTCATTTTTGTAAACCAAAGTCAGTCAAATATCAGCAACTTCATATGATTGAAATTAATACACAGAGGGTGTGTGTCCTTCCTATTACATCCCACCTGGGACACATGATGCTTGTTTGTGCCATAATTGGTGATGTTAAGTTTGACCGTGTGTTTAGGGGGTGTCCCCTAAATTTCTCCACTGCAAAGATATCTTATTCTCTCTGTAATTAATATGAAATCTGTGGGGGACACTTTGAGACTGTGTAAGTATTCTGTTCCCCCACAATCTTTCACCTCTGTATTTTGTTACCCATTGATGATTTTCACCTGAATCCATTGCTATGTCGGATTTAAAGTGGTAATCTTCTGTTTCTATAATTGTTCCATGTTCACTAGTTGGCATCTTTTACAAAGCTTTTTACCTCCCCTCCCCACTGTTTATAAACTTTTTTAGTCAGTAAAGACTCACGGATTCTTTTTTAAATTTAGTATGTTATAATTGATTCCTGCCATTATTCATTATAATTTGTTCCATATTAAAAGTTCTTCTTTTTAAAAATTACCAAGTCATTCTTGCCTTTCTAATGCCAGTATATTTTCCCCTTTCAGTGTACGTTACCTGCTTTGCCAGTTCTAAATCTACATCTCCTGAGAGGCAGTTCCCGAATTGCTCATTTATAATCCTGCATTTATTTTATATTCTCCTTATCCTCTTACAAAAACATCTTCTTTAAAGAAATCCATTTATAGTTACTCTATATTTAGTTAGAAAGTCTCCTTCCTCCCTTCATCTCTCCTTCTGTCTTTCCTCTCTACTTTCTCCTTCTCTTCTTTCTTCTCTCTCTCTCTCTCCCCTCCTCCTCCTCCTCCGCCTCCTGACTCTCTCTCTTTTCCAGATCTAAGTTCTTGCTTTGTCTCCCAAGCTGGACTGCAGTGGCACAATCATGGCTCATTGCCATGTCAACCTCCCAAGCTGAAGAAATCCTCCCACCTCAGCCTCCTGGGTGGCTGGGACTACAGGTGTGCACCACCATGCCTGGCTAATTTTAAATTCTTTTGTTTTGTTTAGTTTTGTTTTTGTAAATATGGAGTCTTGCTATGTTGCCAAGGCTAGTCTCGAACACTTGGGCTCAAACAATCCTTCTGCTTCAGCATCCCAAAGTGCTGGGATTACAGGAGTGAGCCACCACACCTGGCCCTCTTTCATTCTTGCTTGCTTTTTCTTCCTTCCTTCCTACCTTCCTTTCTTTCTTGTCCTAGATATGTTTTAAAGTAGCTGCTAGGCCAGGCAGTGTACCCAGTAGAGTCCCTGAACTTAGTCTAATACGAAACAAGTATATAATATATGTAGCTATAATTCAAGGTAGACCAAATGTAAGAAAGTAATAAAGTGGCTAAAACACTTTAAAAAGGAAGACTTGTACAATGAGTAAAATCTGGACATGCGGTACTTTGGAAGACAATAAAAGTTTAAAAATGAACACTATTCTAATTTAGTCTCACATAAAGTTCAATTTTTCATCTAATGTTGCAAGTTCACCAGAATTACCCATATTACACATATGGGAGATACTGTACATGTAAATGCCACATTTAATTTCTAATGCACGAAAGTCTATTACTATAATTTATCCCTTCCATATAAGACCTAGAACGTTGTGTCTGATGATATAAAGACTAAAAAAAAAAATCAAACTGGGTAGTTTATTCTGACCTAGCTTCCATTTCATTAATTATCTCTTTATCTTTGTCTGGTTTTAGCCCATACAATGGGCTTTAAATTTCAATTATTGTTTCTCTAGAAGTTCTATTTGGTTCTTTTTCAAAATTACTTATCTATTTTTAAAATTTTTTGTTTTTAGAAAAAACTATTAAAAAATTCATGTGGAACCAAAAGAGAGCCCAAATACTCAAAGCAATCCTAAGAAAAAAAAAGCTGGAGGCATCACATTACTCAACTTCAAACTATGCTATAAGGCTACAGTAACAAAAACAGCATGGTACTGGTACAAAAACAGACACATAGATCAATGGAACAGAATAGAGAACCCACAAATAAAGCCACACACCTACAGCCATCTGATCTTCAACAAAATCAACAAAAATAAGCAATAGGGAAAAGACTCCCTATTCAATAAATGGTGCCGGGATAGCTGGCTAGTCATATGTAGGAAAATGAACTGGACTCCTACATTTCACTACATACAAAAATTAACTCAAGATGAACTAAATATTTAAATGTGAGACCTCAAACCATAAGAATCCTAGAAAAAAACCTAGGAAACACCATTCTGAATATCAGCCTTGGGAAAGAATTTATGACTAAGTCCTCAAAAGCAATTCCAAAAAAAACAAAAATTGACAATTGGGACCTAATTAAACTAAAGATCTTCTGCACAGCAAAAGAAACTATCAAAAGAGTAAACAGACCACCTACAGAATGAGAGAAAATATTCACAAAGTATGCATCTGACAAAGAACTAATATCCAGAATCTATAAGAAACTTAAACTGAACAAGCAAAAAACAAATAACTCCCTTAAAAAATGGGCAAATGACATGAACAGATACTTCTCAAAAGAAGACACACAAGCAACCAACAAGCACTTGAAAAAGTGGTCCACATCACTGATCATCAGAGAAATGCAACTCAAAACTGCAACTAGATACTATCTCATACCAGTCAGAATGGCTATTATTCAAAAATCAAAAAACAACAAATGCTGGCAAGGCTGTGGAGAAAAAGGAATGCTTGTACACCATTGGTGGGAATGTAAATTAGTCCAGCCACTGCAGAAAGCAGTTTGGAGATTTCTCAAAGAACTTAAAACAGAACTACCATTCAACCCAGCAATCCCATTACTGAGTATATATTCAAAAGAAAACAAATTGCTCTAACAAAAAGACACATGTACTTGCATGTTCATTGCAGCATATTCATAATAGCAAAGACAGGGAGTCAACCTAGGTGCTCATCAACAGTGGACTGGATAAAGAAAAGATGGCACAAAAAGACCATGAACTACCATGCAACCATAGAAGAATGAAATCATGTTCTTTACAGTAACATGGATACAGCTGGAGGCCATTATCCTAAGAGAATTAACACAGGAACTGAAAACCAAATACCACACGTTCTCACTTATAAGTGGAAGCTAAACATTGGGTACTCATGGCTATAAAGATGACAACAATAGGCCGGGCGCGGTGGCTCACGCCTGTAATCCCAGCACTTTGGGGGGCCGAGGCGGGCGGATCACGAGGTCAGGAGATCGAGACCATCCCGGCTAAAACGGTGAAACCCCGTCTCTACTAAAAATACAAAAAATTAGCCGGGCGTAGTGGCGGGCGCCTGTAGTCCCAGCTACTTGGGAGGCTGAGGCAGGAGAATGGCGTGAACCCGGGAGGCGGAGCTTGCAGTGAGCCGAGATCCCGCCACTGCACTCCAGCCTGGGCGACAGAGCGAGACTCCGTCTCAAAAAAAAAAAAAAAAAAAAAGATGACAACAATAGAAACTGGGTACTACTAAAGGGAAGAGGAATGCAGGGGCAAGTGTTGATTAACTAACAATTGGGTACTATGCTCAGTACCTGGACAATGGGATCATTCATGCCCCAAACCTCAGCATCATGCTATATACCCAGGTAAGAAACCTGCACATGTACACCCTGAATCTAAAATAAAAGTTGGGAAAAAATAAATGGCAGCCAATGTTCTGTCACTGATGGGTTGTCTACGAACCGCTATTTTTATATGACATAATCTAAAATGTCTAGTCTACTAGTAAACACACTTCAAAATCTCACACATAAAAAAATTAATTTTCTTGTTCTATGTAAATATTTTCAAGCTTGTCTTATTTCTTGAAACATAGTAAGCATGATGGTTTTATATTTCTCAAATAATAATCTATTATTTAAAGCCTTTGTAGATCTATTTCTCCTGTCTGTTTTTTCTATTGGTTCTATTCCGTCATGGTACCAATTCTTTGTGTACTTATGTTTTTACTATGAGCTGTTCATTTTTAATGGAAACTTATTTGTGGGACTTCTTTGAGGCCTGTTACGTTCATCCAGAGAGACACAGCCACTGCTTCTACCCAGCTTGCCAAGGCCACCACCAATCCCAGACCACCTTAATCTAAATTTAGGGTGGCTTTTTTTAACCACCCAAATAATATAAAATTTGTACTTAAAAAAATGCATGTGGACAGATTTTTGTGGCTAAGATGTGTCAGGGCCAGTTCCCCTAACACTGGTTCTGCTCAGGACAAAAGCCACTTTCCTTGCAGTCCACTGGAAGTGGAGGTAGGAGTGACGTGTTCATTTCTGATTAACCTGTACCTTGAGGGTCCAGCCCGTTGGGACCCCAGTTTGATGGGTGGGATCTCCCATTAGACATTCTACCCTGGTCAAGCCCTGAGCTTTATTTTTTTTTTTTTTTGTCCTCTGAATCCCTTCAACCACCACACACACCCCAAAATAAAAATTTTAAAACTTTGCTGGTTCAGCAGTTCAGCAAATGCCTTTAGGGCAAAAGTAGTTTTCCTCTCAGACTTCTTGCTTTCACTAAGATTGGCCTGATAACTCTTTACAATATTTTTTACCGTTCCATGTTTAAGAAACATATATTTTTCTATACTGTATTATCAAGATTTTATAATTGCTTTTAGTAAAAGCATCCAAATACCTAGCCCACTGTACTCTAAGAAATAGAACTCTAAATCAACAGTAACTGCAGTAACTTCTCAGACATCACTTGATCATTCTATTGAAAAATGCAAAAGTGCTTGCTTAAAAATGTTTCAGTTCCATAAATATCCCAAGTTGTTTACTATCAATGATAAAAAATTATTTAAAATACACCCAATAA
This sequence comes from Homo sapiens, assembly GCF_000001405.40. NCBI lineage: Eukaryota > Metazoa > Chordata > Mammalia > Primates > Hominidae > Homo > Homo sapiens. The sequence goes on along the minus strand of NC_000006.12, from coordinate 111,961,081 downwards.
TCTCAATAATAGGCATGTGTTCTGGCAAATTCTAGAAGATAGGACTTTAGACACTGGGCTTACAGACATTTATTTTTTACAATAAAATCTAAACCTCTTGCAACAGCAGAAAATAAAGTATCCTGGATAGTTACATTGTTTTGATTAAGCAAAAAATTGTCATTTTGTTTTATTTTTATTATTAAAATCTTCTTAAATGTTTAAGTACACATTAGTTAAATATACAAAGTACCATTTAATGATTCAGAATCTTAACAATATTTCTTATTTAAACTTATGAAAAGCATTTTAAAATATCCAGAGTATCCTCTAGAAGTTGTTGTTCCAAAAAGTTCAAATAATATACATCTAATACATAGCACATCTAATGTTTGCTTGCCATTTGTCTGTCATCCAAGTCAAAAGGTGAGAGAGAGCAAATAGTGTCTGGCTAATTCAGGATAATAAATTAGGTGTTGCTCCAGTTAATTCTGGTTTCATTTTTAAACAATTCTTATTTTTCTCACAGCATTGTGAAAATGGCCAGTATTAACCCTCTTCCACAGACCAGCAAACAGAATATTACACATTGATTCAAGTAGTAAATAATCAGTTCAATGTTGAGATGGCTGAACTGTGATTTTATCTCCCCTGATACAGCTTTTGAGCAGAATTCAATTATTTTTAAAACCCTGAAAGAAGCGTTGGGTAGTAAGTCAACTGGCAAGAAAATCTAACATATAAGCAGTGAAGTAGGACTTGGGCAATCCCATGACTCAATGGATTTGTTCAATAACTATTTACTATGCACCTACTTTGGAAACGCACTAGACTCTGTAGAAACACACCAACAAGACAGAGTTCCTGCCCTCAAGGAATTTAGCCTCCAAAGGTGTTCTAAGACTCTTGTAGGTGGCCAGTGGGGATAATAGCTTTGCTTTTCCACCACTTTCCCTCCCATTCGTCTTCCGCTTGCTCTCTGCGATTGCCCCTGCTCCATCCCAACCCAGGGTGCAGTTTGGGGAGTAAGAAGGGCACAAGGAGGCCCCATCACCCCAGTATCTGCCTTGTTGACCAAGACCCCAGCTGGGTCCCATTTCCTCATCTCCCTCTCTAGAAGCCCTTCCTGTTCCTCGTCCCAGAGCTCACGTATTAGTCTGTGATGAAATGCCCTGTGGAGCCTCAGTCAGGGTTTGTTCTGAAATGTGGATGTTTATAGGGATGGTCTTACATAAACTAAGGTAGCACCGAAGGCAGCAGAGGGCTCCTGGCAGAGGCAGAACCACTCTTAAAGGGGTTGGTGTCAGTGAGAATGCCAAAGTAGAAAATGTGAGTGGGCTTGCTCCTAAGCACATGGAAGACACATCCTTACATCCTGGAGCCTCCTAAAACTAACTGCAAGAAGTCTCAGAAGGAAAGTCATAGTCCTTACCAATCAGAGGAAGCAGCAAATCAGCAAAATTGGGCATTAAGATTATTGCAACCTCATTATTAGCCAAAGCTAGTGAGAACTGGGGACATTCAGAACACATATGCTGACTGCTGTCTCTAACATGTAAGTCAAAAAGAGAAAAGGGAATTGGAGAGGGCTGAGGAAAATTCCGAGAGCCTCTTACACTCCAATTCTCTTTTAAAAGGCCGTGTGACTGTTTCAGAGTTGAGTGTATAGAAATGAGCTACAAGATTGGGTGGGCTCTGTCCCACAATGGAGTCTTTGAGGAAAGGATTTGGTTAGAAGAGATAGTTGGGAAATCAGAAGAAGCAGGCAGCCTAGCTCTGGGTTAAGTCAGAAAAAACAAACAACAACAGCAACAACAAAACGCAGGCATTCATTAGAACCAAAAAATATGCTCAAAACTTATTTACATTAGCAGGAAGGCTGGACTCCCACCCTCAACAGGACCTTGTTCCACCATCACCCGCTGCGGTCCCGTTCTCACCCCTTAATCCTCTCACTGCCACGACTTCCCACTTCATTTTAACCCAACAACCAATTTACAAATTTTAGGATCGTGGCTCTCAACCTTGGCTGCATATTAGAATTACCCGGGGAGCTTTTAGAAACCCCAATGCCCAGGCCAATTAAATCAGAAGTGAAACCCAGACATCAGTAGATTTTAAAGCTCTCCTGGTGATTCCGGTGTTCAGCCAAAGTTGAGAGCCACTGTTTTAGGAACATAACTTATTAATAATAAATGCCTAGCTTTTCATCAAAAGCAGAGTGTCAAAAAGGAAAACAGACTGGTGGGGGATGAGGCAGGGGTGGAGTGCAGAAGGTAGGCTTTTCCATCAGTAATGACAGACAGCGTGTGTGTGTGTGTGTGTGTGTGTGTGTGTGCATGCGAGCGCACATGCACGCAAGAGCTCATTCAAATTTACAGCAAAAATATTGAGACCTAAAAAGGGAAGTACACAGAGGTGATGAAATACAAAGAATAAACAAACATGGAAAAATCCTTTTTGCTGAAAATGAAAGAACTGACATTAAAAGCAATCTTGAGATTGCATTTTATAACCACCAGTGTTAAGAAGAAAAATCTTAAATGACAACTTTGATGAGCTAGCAATGAAACCAATATGCTCACAAATTCTGATGGCGTTATAAATTAGTTTTAAAATATCCTTCTGGATAGCAAATGGTAGCATGAAGAAAATTATAAAGATGCTTGGACCCCTGGACTCCTAGAGGTTTATCTTCAGGAGGTATCTAAACTGGAGCAAAAAGATACAGACTTGGAAACTATCTCTGTAACTAAGTAGCAAAAAAAAAAAAAGGAAAAAAAACAAATTTTCAACATCAGAGTAATGGTTTAATAATTCATGAACACTATGCAGCCATTAAGCTGACTTCTATGAAGGCTCTGTGGAAACGCAGGAAAAAAACACTCCCTTGAGGGGGCCCTGCCCCAGGCTCAACACAGCCTGGCCTCTCCACGGCTATCTGCCTGCAGGGGCCCATCCTGAGAAGGGAGCTGTAATTTGACCTGATTCCCCAGCTTCCCCAGAGAGACCTCTGGAGGTAGCTCCTGTCACGCCTCACACCTCTGTTTGTGACCTACCAGCACCACAGGGAGCTCAGCCTCCTGCCACCTCGGCCCTTATCCCCAGGGCCCTGAACATACCCTCATTTCAGTGAGCCCCTCCACATCTTCTTCCTCCCAAAGCTCTCAGTCTGCCCTCTGAAACCCACAAGGTGTCATCAGCAAAGCCCCCTGTATCTGCAGCTTCATCTCTGAGCCTTCCCTTGTCGCGCTCACTCAGTGCTTAGGAGGCATTTTGGAAATCTGAAACGTTAGTCATCAAAATGATTGTGCGCTGCTTCCACCAGGGTGATAGGATTTGCTGCAATGAGCACTAACAGTCCCTCACAATGAAGAATCGCCTTGTATCCTGCCGGGCAGTCCCACAATTTAGAAACTGCTTACCATTATCTGAACCTGTAATTTAACCCTAGTCTACATACACACCCAAAGTATTTTTCACACACTTTCAAAATACACTGAATTGTCCAGACATCAAGCTTCCGTGTACATTGAACTGGTCTTTGTCTCATGCACTTCCTAAGAGTTGCACACCATTTCAGAAACTCTCACCCTGGAAGGCAGCACACCTCTAACAGTCTGCCCGGGCACCTGTCACACTGCAATGTCCCCTCCACGGGTCCACAGTCATAACTAAACATTTTTATATGTCTACATGAAACCATCTTATTGTAAGTTACTTTCCCTTTATCCTTGTAGTAGAACACGGCTCGAGAGTTACAGAATATTTATTAGAAAAGGGGAGCATTGCGACGTAGAGGAATGAGCCCCTAGCTTCCCTTGTAGCTCTTGAAAGTGAAGTCTGAGTTCCTCCCTGCACACCTCTTGCACAGGACTTCAAGCTGGTGTATCTCTGTTGTGGCTTCCAGACCATGTCTCCTCTCTCCTCTATCAAAACTGTCACATTTTGAAAAGAAAAACATGCCATCAGACCATACCGCCCATATCCCGTTCTCAATGCTTTCAACTACTGACTTCGGGATCACTCCCCTTCATTTACTGATTTTTCATCCCTGGCTCACTGTCTTCCTTTCTACCAATACTTCTGTGATCATTCCTGGAAACTTCAGCCTTTACAGGGACAATCTACCATCACCCTGGCTTTGCAATTCTTTAATCTCCTCACTTCCAAAGACCACTTTTCCAACCTACCTTAGCCAACCGCTACCATGGCTATACCCACGGTCTCATCATCACCAGGAACGGCACCTCTAAAATCTCAGGTTAAATCCTCCTCCCTCTGACTACCACCTCCTGTCCTTCCAGCTCCCTTACTCTACTACCCACCTTCCAGCAATTCTTAGACCCCATTGGGACTTTCAATTTATCGTTCTCATCATTTTCCCACTATCTTCATCCCTGTCTGCACACCTGCCTCAACCCACGTCGTTACCCATAAGGTTATGTTTTTACTGTTTCTTGATCCAGTTTTGATTCCATAGGACACAATTCTAGACACACACACACACACACACACACACACACACACTCTTTGGTGACTTACTCCCTCCATTGTCTGGCAAAACCCTAATCCCAGTTAAACACTCCACTTCCAGCTGAATGAAGCAGAGGAAAAAAGCATACGACCATGCAAATTGTCTATCTTTAATTTATGACAAAAAATTTCAGGTAGGCCCTTGGCTCATTTAGATTGATAATAGGAAATTGACTTTCTTACTTTTTAAGACAACTCTTTCACATTTTCTCCTTTTCTCAAATCACCAGCACCATCTCCTCTCCCCACTCTCTGATGCTGATCTAGCATTTTATTTCATTGACAAAATAGACCCAGTTTCATGAGAATCAGCTCCTCTTTCCACTATTAAATCTAACAACCTACGTGCATCTGTATCTATACATTACATCTTTAACAATGTAAAAAGGATGAAATATTCATACTCTTATATAAGACCAACCCTCACTTGTGAACCTATTCCTTCCCATCACTTCCATCACTTCTTATCTGCTTAGAGCCTTTGCCTCAAAAATTATCCCTCTCTCATGAATCATCAGTTTCTCATTCCCAACAGCCTACGAATATGTTACATGTTTTCCTCCTTTACTATGTCCTTCTCCAGCTATGACTCCATATCACTCCACTTCTCTGCTCCTGCTCACAGCAAAACTCCTTGAAAGTTGTCCCTGCATGTCTTCACTTCCTCACTTCTCTCATTCTCTCTAGAATGCATTTTATTGAAATTTTGCCCTCACTACACTACTGAAAGAGCTCTTATCAAGATCATTAATGACCTCCATCTTGCAAAACCCAATAGTCATTTCTCTGTCCTCTATCTTACTTCACTTCTCAGGAGGATTCTACATAGTTGATCAGGTCTTTCCTTTTTTTTTTTTTTTGAGACGAAGTCTTGCTCTGTCACCCAGGCTGAAGTGCAATGGCATGATCTCGGCCCACTGCAACCTCCGCCTCCTGGGTTCAAGCGATTCTCCTCCCTCAGCCTCCCTAGTAGCTGGGATTACAGGTGCACACCACCATACCGGCTAATTTTTGTATTTTTAGTAGAGACAGAGTTTCACCATATTGACCAGGCTGGTCTCTAACCCCTGACCTCGTGATCCAATCACCTCGGCCTCCCAAAGTGCTGGGATTACAGGTGTGAGCCACTGCACCCACCCAGGTCCTCCCTTCTTAAAGTATGTATTCATTGTCTCTAGAAAGCTACACTACGATGTTTCTTCTTCTACCTTACTGGTCATTCCTTTTTAACTTGTTGCTTCTCTTCTGCTCAACCTCTAAATGTTGATGCCCCCTAAGCTTAGTCCTAATCCCCTTCTTACCTATCTATCCTGAGATCTGTGGCATTAAGTATCACCTACAAGCTAATGGCTCCCAGTTTTATATCTCTATCACCAACACTCTCCTAAGTTTGGATACATATCTCCTGCTGTGTATCGGACATCTCCTCTGGTGCTACCTAACAGGCATCTCAAACTTACCCTGACCAGGGCGAAATGCTTGGTGCTCCCCCACAGTCCACTCCTGCACTAATCTTCCCCACTGCCTTTCATGGCACCATCATTCACCCAGCTGCTCAGATAAAAAAAAAACCAGGAATCATCTGAAACTGCTCTCTTTCTCTCATCCTCATATCCAATTCAATAGTAATCTTTTTGACTCTACTTATCAAAATTGTTGTTTACTATGGGAAACGCAAACACTTAGCATCTCTTCGCTACCAGAGTAAATGTATGAGGCTCAGACTACAAGGGAGTCCAACCTGTCAGAACTCACTCAATCCTGGCCATCTGCAGACACCCACAAAGTTGCTTATTACCTAGATGTTTCAGTCATCTGGTGCTATATAAAACACCCCAGAACTCAGTGGCTTAAAACACAACTCTTACTTATTTGCTGACTATTTTCAAGTCAGGGAGCTCACAGAGAGGATGGCTCATCTCTGATCCACAAGGCATCTGCTGGGGAGCTTGCCCGAAGCTAGAGGATCTACCTCCAGGGTGGCGTCATTCACACGGCTGGCAAGTTGATGTTGGCTACTCAGCTATTACCACCTAGTGACCTCATTTGTCTCTATGTGGACTTATCACTGAAGCTTCTTGGATTTTCTCACAGAAGTGTGAGTTCCAAGAAGAGAGAAATAAAAGTTGCCAGTCTTCTCAAAGGACAGGCCTGGAATTGTCACTTCTATTGTGTTGAACAGTACCAGGGCTAGCCAGAATTCCAAAATAGACTTCTCTCATTCAGGGAGAGTGACAAAGAATTTTTGGCCATCTTTAACCCCTACACCGGCCCTTTGAACTGCATAACCAACCTGTAGCCCATTTGATTCTTTAGAAACGGTGGTGTGCTGGTACTATTTTAACAACTGCCTGGAGGGAAGCAGGGAATGGGAATTGATTTATAGTATTTGCCAATTTCCATGGAGTACATTCTCTCATCATGGCTGATTTGAGGCTACCAACATGACATCACTGAACACAGAACCGGGAAGAAAGGCACCCAATCTGTTCTTTCAAGTCAGTACAAGCTTGCTCCAGAAACAATGCTGATCCATTGAGAAGGAAACTTCTGCACGGTGTCCAGGCAATAAATGTTTATTGAGGACCTACTATGTACTGGGCATTAGGAACACAGAAGTGGCCAAAACAGATCCAAAAGTCCTGCACTCAAGAGGCTTGATCCTAATAAGGGAGTCAGATAATAGGTAACAAAGTACACACCATAATGATATGTGCTATTAAGAAAAAATAAAACAGGGCAGAGTAGAGAGGGATGAAGGATACTCTTTGAAGATAGGGTAATCAGAGAAGGCCTTTCTGAAAAGAAGACATTTAAGTAGGATAGCAACCGATAGTCAGTTGAAGCTAACTAGATGCTAACTCCCTTAAAGCACTTGCTGTGTGCCAGGCACTCCTTTTATCAGATTACACCTATTAATTCATGAAATAAATTTCATAAGAAAATTTCCTAAATTTCCAAAACATGCTAGGGTTAAAGCCAGACTGAGCACATGACACATTTAACTCAATAAAAAATAATAATGTTACAGCCATCCAAACATATGTCTAGGTTCAGAAAAAAAAAAAGTTGAAAGGGGCAGGAAATTTGGAAAGGCAATGCAGAAAGACAAAAGCAGACCTTCCCACATTCTCGGGAAGTATGTGATTTGGACTCTCATCCAAGCTCATCCTCTGGCAGAGAAACCAGTTATGAAAGGACAACCTAAAAAGAGAGTGAGGAAGTGAACTTACACATGTGTGATTCAGCAGTTTCAGGGAGAGTTTACAAACTGTCTTTAAATATGATGTTCACTATTTGGCCAACAAGGATGGAGACCTTACAGAGCCATGCCCAAGAAACCCGCCTTAAACATGTGATGTGTTTTATGATCCAGGCACTTTCACATTTATCCTCAACAGCCACCCTGTGAAGCAGCTAGGGCAAGAAATAGCCTCTTTTCACAGATGAGGAATCTTGGACTCAGTCAACGAGAGAGTCAGGCTCTAAATCAAATTAATTCAATAAATATGTCTTCAGTGCCTGCAATGGACCAGGCATGATGCAGAAGCTGGGGGTGAAACTGTTCTTCCCCATCATTTATCCACTGCCCTGGGAACATGGGGAATGTGGTGCCACACCCTCACGGGCTCCCCTACACATGGACAGGAGTAGCACACCCTGAGTGATTCATTTTTCAGGCAGAGGAGGATGCCAGGGAGAGGTAGGGCCCTTCCCTTGTGTAGTAGTGGATGTTGAACCTCACACACTTCTGCCTTAGCCCCCTCCCTCAGCAAGAGCAGAGACAAGCCACTCCCAACATTTCACTTGCCCCATCTGTAAAACAACTTCAAAACTAATTTCCCTTATAACTAAAAATCTTTCTAAAATGCTATACCAAAAACAACGATTTCATAATCACCATTTCTGGGATCCTGAGAGACCTCCCCCTAAATACCTGCTGTTGTTGCTCTCAATCAAATGTGTCAGAGCTGGAGCAGGAAAGAAGAGCCGCTCCCTGGCAGAGCCCCTGGGGCTGATGAAAGCTTTGACTCAGTGGGTCAGAGGGATGCATCCCCAGGGAAAGCATCTAAGAGCACTGAGTTGAACCAGGTGTCAGAACTCCCGTTCAGCCTTTTAAATGATTAAGGGGAGGCTGTGATCAGCAGAGTGAAGGGCTGCTGAAAGATCAAAGGCACCAGAGAGCAAGAGACAACCCAAGTCGGCCGTGAATAAGAAATTGTTTTCTTCCTTAAGGAGCAAAACATGCTAGGGTTAAAGCCAGACTGAGCACGTTCAGGCTACAGCAGATACAGCAGGAAATATTTATGTGTATGTGGAGCTGGTAGAGGGGTGGAAGAAAAAATTAGTCTATATAGTCCATAAACATTAATCTCCTCTGGAACTGTGAAGAAAATGATTGGAATTAGGGTCTCTATTTTTTAAAAGAACTGATGTTAGAGGAGGTAAATGTTGAAAGACTCTAAGTAGATGAACAGAAGCAAAAAAATAAAAATCCCAAATATTTTATTCTCTGGTCTAGCCATCAAAGAATGTATCCTTTATCTTAAAAGATGGTTATCTAGTTGCTTTAAAGCCTGGGGAAAGATCTGAAAATGGCAAAATGCCTAATATATAGACTCTCTTGGGAAAAGAGGAGGGGAGATAAGAGGTTTTCCTATCAATGGAATACCAAGATTGACTTTCAGCTAGGAATCCAGCCAATTTATTACTTCTTTCCCATTGTGAAGAAATACTATAAACGGACACAATAAGCTCCAAAGAAACTGGCTGGAGGAAAAGAAAAAAAAAATCAAAACCCAAGTGTAGAAAGACAGGCAAGTAGGATCAATTTGCTGGGTTCTATCCAAGTCCACCTAATTATTGCAGGAGGCTTGGCTGGCAGCTTGACATCAGGCAGGCGGTCCTCAGGTTCCCGGGCCCGGCCGGCAACTTCCTACCTGCACTGGGTGGGTAACAGGGCAGCGCATCAACCTCCTACAAGTGCTCGGGTTTTCTGTTTCTGTGCCCCAGGGAGAGCCCTCCCAAAACCTAAGTACATTCTACTTTTTAGAATTGCTCCTTCAGGAGAATGGCCAAGACCCGGTGGCTTTTTTTTCCTGCTTAGGTGCAGCTACACACAGTCCTTTCTCCCCCTCCTTGGCCTTGTCCTCTTTCTTTTTCCACTGACCCCACCCAGAAAAGACTGTATTTCATTGTCTCTAACTAACTGAGTTACGCTTTCCACACCAAGAATATTATTTTAGAGAAAAAGATTATAATACTCTGTGGCATACTCAGAAACATCTGGAGAGAAGGCGTATGGACCTCAGGCTTGCTCTCATCTCCAAGCAAGCACTAACCCAGAGGGACTTTCTTTGCTACATTTAAGCGTTAAAGGGAGGCACCTTCCCTCTGCTCATTCTCCCTTCCCTACATCTGCTTCAATCCCAGTCCCACCCTATGGCAGCAGAGTGCAAAGGGAGCTGGCGGGCCATGCCATCGTCTCCTCTGACTGACCCTGAAGGATGCAGGGTGACTCTTCGCTGCAGCCTGGGAGTCTAGGCATAGGCGGATTCCCAGGATCTGGACGGTGCCCATGGCTTGCCTCCCTCTTCCTCTGTGTCAATCAGTCGGTCCTCCTCTGCCAAGCCAGCTGTCTGCACCTGGACATCTCTGTCATTTTGCTCCCTCGCTCTGCCTGGCAAGTAGCCAGGTTGGCAGGGTCCCTGCTGGGGTCTGTGCTCCATTGTATGGGCAGCCAGCTGGAGCTAGGTGGGGGTAGGAACACTCTCATGGGGCCTCTGGCCCACAAATGCCTGAAGCAGCCAACCATGCTCTGGCTTGACCTGGCTTTAACCCAATGTAAACTCATCTTCAGGCTTCCAGGGAGCTTCAGAGGCTGTGCCCTAACCAAATGGACAGGACTATTGCAAAGTATTTCTATTTATGCACAATGTAGTGTGGATTTACGTGGGTAGGCATATCTGGAGACCAAAGTTGATATTCTCCTCCGTCATGTCTAAATAGTACCTTCAAATGTAATTTTAAGTAGTCAACAAGAAAGTAGATATTTTTCAATAATCTTTACTCCATTTAAGGTTCTAGGACCTTCCAAAATTCACTGAATCTCTCAAAAGTCTTCACAGAGCCACATTTTCGAGTACCAGAATTACACTGTGGTACTTGATGTCACAGGTCATGCAAGTCCACAGTTCCTTATGTTAAGGCTCTTTTGGTTATAAGCAACAGAAAAAAATCTGCTGGCTTAAGCAGGAAGAGGGAATTTTATTGTAAGATGCTTGCACAGCTCACAGAACCAAATGAAGAATGCGAAGGAAGGAAAGAAAGGAGGAAGGAAGGAAGGAAAGAAGGGAGGAAGGAAGGAAGGAAAGAAGGAAGGAAGGAAAGAAGGAAGGAAGGAAAGAAGGAAGGAAGGAAGGAAGGAAGGAAGGAAAGAAGGAAGGAAGGGAGGGAGGGAGGGAGGGAGGAAGGGAGGAAGGAATGTGGGGGAAGGGGTCCTGACGCCCTCAGCTAGAAAAGGTCACTGCCCTCTCCAAATGCATTGCCATTGTCCTGTGTTTTCGTTTTATACTGCTGTCATAAAAAACTACCAGAAATACAGTGGCTAAAAGCAGCAGAAGCGTATTAGCTCACAGTTCTGTAGGTCAGAAATCTGGCATGGGTCAACGGAGTTCTTAGCTCAGGTGTCTCCCAAGGCCAAAATCAAGGTGTCAGCCATGCCAGGCTCTTATCTGGAAGCTCTGGGGAAGAATTCATTTCAGGCTCATTCAGGTTGCTGGCTGAATCCATTGTCTTGCAATTATAGGAATGAGGTTCTTGCTTGCTCACCAGCTGGGGGCCTCCATCAGCTCCTAGAGGCAACTGCAGTTTCCTCTCACATGGCACCTCCATCTTCTGGTCAGCAATGGTGTGCCGAATTCTGCCCATGCTCCAAATCTCTCTGACTTCTGATGTTTTCAAGGACCCAAATGATAGATCAGGCTCACCCAGATTATCTCCTGATTTTAAGGCCAACTGTGCCGTGTAACACAATCAGGGGAATAATCTCTCATCATCTCACCATATCACAGGTAGGGGATAGGGTTAGACATTCCAACTACGACACTGTAACTTGGCTCCAATAGCTTTGAGTCCCTGTCTGTATTTGTCACATTTCAAAGTCTCAGGAGAGAAAATCTGATTGTCCAGTTTGGGTCAGGGGTCCATCCCCAATCAATCAGCTATGACCAGGGACAGGCTGGGTATAAATCAGGGGTCAGCCCCTGATATCAGCACCTGAACATCAGCAGCTGTTCTGAGAGAGAAAGAAAGATCATCGGGAGATGGGCACTGATCACAAGAGGAATCCTGCTTGAAGAAGTAAGTAGAGAAGTGACCAGAGAAGAGAACCCCATTCAACATAGCTAAGCAGACAAGCCAGACAAAAGGTCTAAGGGAAGCATAGGCACAGTTAAGGGCGCATATTTGGTCTTTGTATTTTCCATCTGGGTTAAAAATGTGCGGCGTTGACACTATCACAGAATAGAACTGTGACTTTGTTAGTGAGCAAGTCCATTTCTGGGAGTCGTATGTTTTTCTCTTGAGAGTTGGGGATGTGGGGATGTATATGCTCCCCTACCTCCTCCCCAAGGGAGAGGGTCTATAACAGCACCCACACAAGCAGGGTTAGTAGAAAGCAGTCCAGAACCAAGTAGAAAATCTTTGGATTTATTAGGGAGTTTTCATATCTTCTTTGCCACCCCCAAGAAAACCAGGATTTGAGGCCATTATCCTTTGATTTTAAAGACTTGAAAAGTGAAGCTCCTCCTTGACATGATACAAGGCTCTTGGACAAAAGCCCTTAGGCGTGATTTCATAGACGCTTTTTCTTATGGTAATAGTGACAAATGAATATCCCACTTTTGCATAGTAGCACTTCATACTTTTCAAAGTAAGAAGACATTCACTGCATTTTATACCATGTTAAGACTGTTTGGGGGAGAAAATGTACAGTGGGCTACATTATCTAGTGCCCACCATGTGCAGAGTTTACCAGGAGAATCAGAGAGATAAAGAAGCAAAGAGACCTCGTGGTACAGTGGAGGGAACAGGACCAAAACAAAAGATTCGTGGAACTGTGTTCTATTTAGAATAAGACGGAGCCTCTGCAGAAGTGACACAAAACACTCTAAAAATTACAAAGTCAAAATGGAATTAATTTTGATTCACTTTACAAGCTTACATGTCCTGCTACACCTGATGGCTATGATGAACACAAATGGAATCAGAGCTCTGCGACCTTTAAGAATGACGTTCTCTGCTTCACTTCAGCTCTCGCCACTAGTCCCTTCCTTATGTAAGCTGTCCCTCCTGCCTGGGAAGTGTTCTCTTATTCCTTTAAATTGTTTTCCTTCCCGTCTTCAAAGTTCTTCTTCAATGATTTACTCCTTTCCCCCACCTCCCTCTGCCTATTTTTTATTATTCTCACCTCACCAGTTATTATCTGAGTATCAACCATTGGCCACCCACCAAAAAAAAAAATGTATGTGCCATCTAAACTTAGGTTAGACACACAGAGAGGAGCTCCACCAGCCCAGAGGCTTGGTCTCATCCTGGGGGATGCCAGAGGAGTATTGAAAATGCCTTCATCAATACCAAGTGCATATTCTTTTTGTTTTGTTTTTGACAATTTAAGAGACAAAAAAATTATCATCTCGGGTGTCATTAGTTCCTAGTGATATTACATGGTGTCAAAGAATATAGCCTGAACAGCTTACATTTAGGAGAATTTATTAAAAGTTTGTAGTCTATTGTACGATCAAATTTTTTAAGCATTTTGACTTTGTAATTTTAGGGTGTTTTGTGTCACTTCTAGGGAGGCTCTGTCTTATTCTAAATACAACACAGTTCCACATGTCATTTGTTTTCATCCCGTTCCCTCCACTGTAATGCTTAAAATTTTTGAACTTTTTTAAGACATTAAAAAAGTATAGGCCTACCATTTTTCATACAGTTTTCCATTATGGCTAGTTAACAAGTTTATCAATTATTTTATTCAAATCCCCTAAATTCTTTTTAAAAAATCTAACTTGATCTGTCAAAGACCTTTTTAAGAAATTGTAATTGTGGTAAAATACACATAACATAAAATTTACCATCTTAACCATTTTTAAGTGTACAGTTCAGTGGCATCAAGTACATTCACATAACTGTGCTACCATGACCCCATCCATCACAGAACTTTTTCCATCTTGCAAAACTGGAACTCTATCATTAAATTATAATTCCCCATCTTCCCCTCTCTTCAGTCTCTGGCAACCGCCATTCATTCTGCTCTCTATCTCTAGGAATTTGACTATTCTAGGTACAAGCATAACTCAGAGATATTGTAGGTTCAGTTTCAGACCATCACAATGAAGCAAATATGTAATAAAGTGAGTCACACGAAATTTTTGGTTTTCCAGGGCATATAAAAGTTAGGTTTACACTATACTGTAAGTGGGCAGTAGCACTGTCTAAAAAAAGTACATACTTTGATTAAAAAATAATTTATTGCTAAAAACTGCTGACACAGAGACACAAAGTGAGCACAGACTTGCTCAATGCAGAGTTGCCACAAAGCTTCAATTTATTTCAAAAAGAAAAAGGCAGTATCTGCAAAGTGCAATAAAGTGAAGCACAATAAAACAAGGTATGCCTGAACTTCATGTAAGTAAAATCATGGAATATTTTGTCCTTTTGCGACTGGCTTCCTTCATTTAGCATAATGTCCTCAAGGTTGATCCATGTCATAGCATGTGTCAGAATTTCCTTCCTTGTTAAGGCTGAATAATATTCCATTGTATCTATCAACCACATTTTAATGTATCCATTCATCATTGGTGGACATTTGAGTTGCTTCCACCTTTTGGCTACTGTGAGTAATGTTGCTATAAACATGAGTTGAGTATACAAATATCTGTTCAAGTCCCTGCTTTCAATTCTTTTGAGTATATACCCAGAGGTAGAATTGCTGGATCATATAATAATTTTATTTTTAATTTTTTGAGGAACCACCACAATGTTTTCCATAGAGGCTGTACCATTTAACATTCCTACCAACCATGCACAAGGGCTCTAATTTCTTCATATCCTTGCCAACAGTTGATATTTTCTGTCTGAATGTTTACACAGTAGCCATCCCAATTGGTATGAGATGATATCTTATTGTGATCTGTCAAAGACTTTTTGAGAAGTATATCAAAATCTTCCACTACAATTGCGGTTGTGCTCTTGAACTCTAGTAAACAATTGTGCTTTTTATATTTGATATTGTTTTTTGTGCATAGAAGTATTACATATTCACATATTTGTTCAAAAAGTTCGTATTACATAGACATAGTACATTTTTGTATCTTATTGTCTGGCACGTTGCTTCTTAAATCCCAGCAGAGATTGAGGATAGGTGCTCACATTGTTGCTCAGTGCCCGGAGTTTGTGACCCCTCTGGTTGTCTTTTGTTCATTACCTCAAATAGAAATTAATATTAGCACTCCACTCTTGAAAGGCCATCTGGACATCAGGCCATCTGAACACGCCATCTGAACATCAGAGAAATAAGCTGACTGCAGTTGGCATTGATGTTCCTGTAACTCTGCAGTAAGTACTTGAGCACAGCCAGACTTTGGTCTAGGTGCTAGAAATGCAGCTGTGAACAAGATATGCACAGTTCCCACTTTCATGGGTCCTAGAATGGAGAAGGGAGACATTAAATAAATAGCTGTACAAGAGAAGTACAGGTGTTAAGTAGCACATAAGAGAAAGATCAAACCTAGTTAAGGAGCCAGGAAAACCATCCCTGAGGAAGTTACATGTAAACTGATCTGTAAAGGGTCATGCATTCGGTCAGTTATGGAAAAGCTTCCTGGTCAGGAGTGTGGACTCTGGATCTGGACTGGCAGCACCCAATCCCTGCTCTGGCACTTCTTAGCAGGGCTGTAATGGACAGAATGTGTCCCGCCCCAAATTCATATGTTGAAATCCTAACCCCTAATGTGATGGCATCAGGAGGTGGGACTTCTGGGAGGTCATGAGGGTGGAATGGAATTAGTGTCCTATAAGAAGAAACACAAGAGGGATGATTCCTCCCTCCTCCGCGTGAGGAAATAATGTGAAGCTGGCCACCTGCAAGCCAGGAAATGGCTCCTCACCAGACACCAGATCTGCTGACACCTTCATCTTAGGCTTCCCAGCCTCCAGAACCGTGAAAAATAAAGGTTTGTTGTTAAAGCCACCCAGTCTATGATAATTTGTTACAGCAACCCAAATGGGCTTAGATAAGGAGTCTAGGTGAGTTATTTAACTTCTTTGTAAATAAGCATTGCAATCATTGATGAATACACATACCAGTTTCCGGCACATAGAAAGTACACAATGAATGTTAATTATTCAGTAAACAAACATGAGTGCTTACTGTGCACCAGGCACTGTGCTGAGAGCACAATGATAAAAATGGACATACAGTCAGTAACAGACTATATAACAAAGTTTCAGTCAATGACAAACCACATATACAATGGTGGCCTCATAAGATTATAATGGAGCTGCCCTATACAAGTACATCATTTTTTATCTTTTATGACATATTTTGATTGTACCTTTTTATGTTTAGATATATTTAGATACACCAATACTTACCATTGTGTTATAATTGCCTACAGTATTCAGTACAGGAACATGCTATACAGGTTCATAGCCTAGAAACAACAGACTATACCAAATAGCCTAGCTGTGTATTAGGCTATACCATGTAGGTTTGTGTAAGTACACCCTATGATGCTCACACAATGATGAAATCGCCTAATGGTGCATTTCTCAGATGCATTTCTCAGAACATAGCCCTGTCATTAAGCAATGCATGACTGTAATCATTGCCTTTATAGTATTAGTCAATGGAGTACACCGTGATAGAAAACAGACCTCCAGAAAGATTTGACAGCTTTTATCTAAAGCCTCTAAAATGTCCCTACCCTTCACCTCAACAATTACATGTCTTAGAATTTATCCTAAAATGACCACAAATGTATGCAAGGTTTTAGCTATTTCTAATACTGAAGAGCTGAGTGCAACCTAAGTGTCCCACAGGAGATTGGTTGTATTTTGACACGGCCCATATGATGGAACGTCATGCAACCATTAAGAAGAGAGAGATGAAATTCTATTTACTGACATGAGATGAAATTTAGTATCATGTGTGAATACCTTTTGCTAATAACATTAACTAATCCATAGGAAGCAAGAGTGGAAATATCTAAACCAAAGTGTTAACAGTAATCGTCTCTAGGTGAACACACCAGCTAGAAATCAATAGAAACCAACTCTGGCAAACTTGGCGGGAAGGGAAGACTACTGGAAGAAGCTGGAGTAAGTTAGAGAAAGGAAAGACAAGCTGAACAACCAGGCTTTGGTCTGATAGAAACCAGATGGATCTGGAATCCAGGTAATAGAAATAAGAGGACAATCTCTGTTAAGCTATGCCATTGGTAAAAGTCAACTCAATCTAGTGTGTGTGTCTGTGTGTGTGTGTGTGTGTGTCTGTCCTTCTGCTTTCAACCCCCTCAGATTCAGATCTCCAAGAGAGAGAGTCTGGATTGGCCCAGACTAGGTCACTGTGATTGGTGTTGCAGCAAGACCGAGACCGCATGCAGTAGAAGAGCCACAGTGCCCCAGGGAGTGGGGCAGGGGAAAGGTGAAATCAACAGCTGTCCACTATCATGGGATTTTGGGCACAGTATTTCCCTTTTTTCTTTATTCATCTGTATTTTTTAATTCTTCTGTATTAGACAGACGGTGCTTTTATAACAAGAAATTTTATTTTTATAATTTAAAAAACCTCAGAATGCAAATAAGTCAAGTTTCCTGAATGGGTTATTTCTCAACCCGTTGTCTTCTTTAACATCCCACTGCTGCATCTTCCATAGCAAGCCCCATCCCCCTTGCCCTACACAAATCCTACACCTATTTATCCACGTGAGTTATTTATTTTTATGTGGTTATGTATAAATATGACATAATACAATGAGTACATAACACTCCAAATAGGCCATCACACTCCATTTCAATAAAATGATGACAAATCAATTCTTGAATTTATTGCCTAATAAGAGTGGAATTTTGCAAAATAATCTCTAAAAATTATAGCAATCATTTACCAAGTGCTTGTTTTGTGCCAGAGACTAGACTGAGTCTTTTACGTACATGATGTCACTTTAATGTAAAATACATGATTTGCCAAAGCAATATTTCCTTTCTCCAACATAGTATTCTTACTAGATTCTGTCTTTTCTGAAAATAGATCCTTCCTCTTCCAATAACCTCAGGGCATTCCATTCATATCAGGTATTCTATATAAATTCTCTCACCATCTCTAAGAGCAAAATACAGGATTGGATATTACCTTTCTGTAGAGTTGAGGACACTGTAGATGGGTACTTTCCTCAAAATTACACAGCTATCAGTAGCATCTGATCATCTCTCCATTTATTGAGCTAAAGGTATTGGGTGAGCTGTTCTTTTATTTAACAGACCTATTTTGTGGTCCTACTTTGTGTCAGCCATTCATGCAAGAAATCAAAGACTGATTCTTTTGTGTACATCCATACTGTATGTGCCCAGGCTGTGCTGAGCACTGGAACAAGGCAGATCAGTCCCAGTCCTAAAGAGGCAGAAGCCCTGCCTGCCCTCAGGAGTTTAAGTTGGTGGATAAACAGCAGAGTATTTGCAAGCAAGGCATTTGGCTTAAGAAACGGAAGTGAAAATTATGTTTGAGAAATTTGGGTGTGTGTGAAAATGATGAAATGAGAACAAAAATACAGAAAATACATGTAGTTCAAAGGAACTCTTGGGAGAAGATGAAAGTAACATGTTGTATATAAGGAAATGAGAAAGTAAATCACAAGCAGATATAATATCTCAAAATATTGCCTAAGCCCGGGTAACAATAAAAACACACACACACATACACCCTCATGCAAGTGTCTTTTTTACTCTGGAATGTACTACCCCTTGTTAGGAGAGACGCTTCTGACCCACTGTCAGTGACTGTATTTTCAATTACCTTCCCTTAGTGATGGGTTTGCACAGTCCTAGCTACACTCTTCAGTAGCCACCACATAACCAATCTCAACTCGCAAAGGCTAATAAAAGGTAAAATGATGCAGCTGCTGTAGAAAACAGGATGATGGTTCCTCAAAAAAAATTGCACATGGAATTACCATGGGATCCAGCAATTCCACTTCTGGATATATATGAAAAGAATTGGATGCAGGGACTTGAACATATATTTGTACACCCACATTCATAGCAGCATTGTTCACAATAGCCAAAAGGTGGAAACAAGCCAAATGTCCATCAACAGAAGAATGGATAAACAAGGTGTGGTATATCCATACAATGGAATATTATTCAGCCTTAAAGAGGAGTAAAATTGTGATACATGCTAGAACATGGATGAACCTTGAACATATTACGCTAGGTGAAATAAACCAATTACAAAAGTACAAATAAGGCATGATTACACTTAAATGAGGTACAATATGAGGTACTTACAGGAGTCAAATTGATAGAGAGACAAAGTAGAGTGGTGATTACCCAGATGTAGGGGAGGAGGCGATGGGCAGTAACTGCTTAGTTATTTCCATTTGGGGTGATGAAATCAAGTCCTGGAAATGGATAGTGGTGATGGTTGCACAACAATGTGAAAGTGCCTAATGCTACTGAATTGTACACTTGAAAATAGTTAAAAAGGTAAATTTTATATTATGTATATTTTGCTACAATAAAAATATTTTTTTTAAAAAAAGACTAATAATGAGATCACAGGGGAGGCTGGCACACTAGAAAGAAGAACCACTGTGACCTCTAAGCATAGTATCCCAGGGTTAAGTAACTCTAGTAGTGTGCTTCCCAGACACTGTGAGTACTTTAAAACCATTTCAATACAATCTACTTTACTGTAGACTCAATATCTTTCTTCAAATCAACTTACTTAATAAAATTAATTTCTGCTTTGCCTTTGTCCTAAGCAAAGATGTACCATACATGAAATCATGGGTGTTGTGTGCCATTCTATTTTTTTCTAACACACCCTAATGACATATAACTTAACATAATAGATATTGATCAGCATATAACCTAAAATTATGTTTTGTGTCACACTTTGGAAAATACCACATGTCAATAACAATATTGTTTCATTTTATACTAGTAGTTATGCAAATGACTACTAGTTTCTAAATCAAATGATGGAAAAAGAATGGGTTTGAAAACGATAAGAGGTAGATTTTAGAGCTGTGCTTTCATCAAGGTTCAACAGGGAATCAATGGCACACCCAAATCAGACGAATTCCAGGAGAGTTTATTTACAAGGGGACTGTTTACAAAGATGTGAGTGGGTGTGGGTAGGGTGACCATCAGTCCCAGTTGCACAGGACAGGGTGGTTTCTACCTATTATCCTGGTGTAATAATTAATAACCCTACCTTTATTCTCAAGGGTGCCCCAGCTTGGATAATAAGTTACATGATTTCTCTAAGGACAGGGGAATCACAAGGGATCATGCAAAAATCCAGGGTGAGTAACAGTGAAGCAGTCACCAGCTCTAGACCCAAAGGGATGGGGGAGGGAGCAGTTACTGGAACCCAGGAGGAAAGTCTGTCTAGTGGGCCCCTCAGAAGAAACTGTGCCTTTGGTGGAGGGATACAGTCAATTCAAGGCAACATTGCAGGGAGAGAGCCAAGGAAATAAAAAACTAACCTCATCCTGCTCTTTGTTCTCATCTCCTGCCAGAGCTCCCTTTGGGCAAGCCAGGGAGTGAGGGTGTCTATTGATACAGCCTTGATGGATCAGTTTCCTGGGCTGAGAGCAGAGTGGAGGGTAGACAGTGAATCTGGAGGACCACCGTTTATGTTCTTTGACCAAGTCCTTCAACCTCTTTGAACACCAGTTTCCTTACCCTTCACATGAGAGCCTCATTCTGGTCATCTCTAAGGATCTCCAAGTTTCAACACTGTATGAAAAAGGAATATTTATTAGTCTAACAAGAATTAGGGGAGATTTCCTTCTGTCATCTACTCAGAAGCATTCTTTCCCCCACCTGAGGTACGTTTAATGTTAACAGGAATCCTGTTGACCTGATGAATGGGAAGAGTGTCCATTAAATGACCAAAATGCCTGAAGCTCTAGGAATGTTAACCTTGGTATGCACCTCGGGAAGGTCAGTCCCCCTCTTGCTGAGGCAGCCAATAAGCAGAGATAGACACAAATGTCATAATATCTCCTCTTTAAATGTAAATACTATTTTTAATGCCAAATAGATGAGGAGCAGCAAGGAGATGAAAAGGAAAGAGGAAGATGACCATTACCACCATTGAAAGTGACTTCCACCACTTCCTCTAAGGATGCTACCTCATAATTACTACTGAGAAGAAGTGTAAGACACTGGCTGGCTGCCTGGGACAGAGGCTGAGCAAAGGGATGAACGTCTACATCAGAGAGCCTGCATCCATGGGAAGCCCAGGACTCTGATGGGCCTTCTGCCTGGAACAACACACTTCATTCTGCAATGCTGAGTGCTTACTGAGAACTGGCACACACGTTAATTGCAGAGTACAAGAATTCACCAATGTAAAGGGAGAGAAGGGTTTTCTCCACTAAGAAAGTCAATAATATGTCAGGCTTATTTTATCCAGAAATCCAATACACTTGCAGAGCTGCAGACTTTGACTTCTTGACCTGCACAGATGGGAGAGGTGACATGGTGAGGAGGTGAAGAAGTGGGCACAGAAGCCAGACTGCCTGGGTTCAAATCCTGACTCTGCCCTCACTAGCCATGTAATCTTAGCAGGTTACTTAACTTTTTTGCTCCTCATCAATAAAATAAGAACTGGTGCCTTCTCCTAGGACTGTTATGAGGATTAAAGTATTTAATAAGAAGCTAATAAACTTAATGAAAGCAGAATAGTACTATATGTGTTTAATAAAATAAATGTTTTAATAAAATAGATGTTTTAATAAAATAAATTAAACACTATATGTGTTTAATAAAATAAATGTTTCAATGGAAGGGCAAAGAAGCCCTCAAACTTAAACATAAGGTGGATGGCACAGTTGCCTAAATAAAATGGAAAAGATAAAGGTAATTTCTATTGGATTTGAGCAAGTTCCCAAGTAGACTTGAAAAGAAATTTCCTATTACCTTTTTTTTCTGTGTTTTTACAGATGTTAAGAAGTATATGGCCTATGATTTTCATCTATTACAGTTGTCATACATTTATATTTATGTGCATATAAATAGACACACACTATGTGCTCAAATTCTCCTAGTTCATAACCTACTCTCTGAGGCATGTCATTCACTCATAGTGAAAAGGGTAATGAATCCAAAAACACATTAGAATTTTGGTTCTATGCCTTTTTTGAGAGACCTTAGATAAATCTAGCTTTGGGAAATGTTTCACCATCTGAATATGAGATGATCTCTCAGATTCTTTTGGGGATCAAATGAGGTAATACAAGCAAAGCACTTAGAACAGTGACTCATTTTTAAACAAACAAAAGAAGCTAAATTGATGGTGTGAGACTTTGAAGACAAAAGGCACTGTGGCTTCCCTCGTACTCTTTCTCTGGATCACTCTGGGGGAATCCAGCTGCATGTTGTGAGGCCGCCTGCAACACCCTATGGAGAATTCCATGTGGTAGAAATCTGAGGCCTCCTGCCAGCTGTCAGCAAGGAACTGAGGCCTCTAGCCAACAGCCAGGTGAGTGCACCGTCTTAGGAGCAGATTCTTCCAGCTCCAGTCGAGCCTTCAGATGACTGCAATCCTGGCCAACATGCTGACTGCAACCTCCTGAGAGATCCTGAACCAGAACCACCCAGCCCAGCTAAACTGCTCCTGGATTCCTGCTCTATAGAAACAGTGTGAGATAACATTCATTGTTGTTTTAAGCTGCTAAATTTTGGGGTAATTTATTACATAGCAATAGACAACTAACATAATAGGGGTTGAATTCCTGGTCTACCTACATTTGGACTCAGAATAATAACAAGATGAACCCAGAAATTTGAGAATAAGATTATATAGAATAAGATGCTAAACTGAACCCTACAGGAAACAAGACTGAGCGTGATGAGGTGATCATTCTAAGGTAAGCTGGAAAATAAGCTGGAGAAACAAGACATTAATTTGCCAAAAAGAAAGTAGGGTTGGAGCTTAGTGTTTATTCAACTATGCAGCAAATAAATAGGGCAGCAACTATGTGCTACACACTGAGCTAGGATATTGAGCCACAAAGACAATTATCTCCACAATGATTTCTGCCCTCAAAAAATACACACAACACAAGTAAATAGAATTACAACATGAGTGATAAGTGCTCTCTGATAGTACCCTACAGTTTTTGGAAATTACGGAAATCTTCCCAGACGACGGAGTATCTAACAGAAACAGAAGGTTGGGGTTGCATTAGCCAAGCACAGAGGAGGAGGTGAAGTACAATGATCTAAGCCAAGGAAATAGCATATGCAAAGCCAGGATGATGAGAAAGTACAGCACACGACTGGAGGCTTGGACTGAGAGTCCAGGGTGGGGAGAGATAAGGATGGAGAGGAAAGAGAAGCTGGATCCTATAGACCTTATAAGCCCTTTAAAGAGTCTGCACTACATCATAAGTAAGGGAGAGCTACCAAACGGTTTGTTTTTTGGTTTTGTTCATTTGTTTGTTTGTTTATTTGAGGCAGAGTCTCCCTCTGTCACCCAGACTGGAGTGCAGTGACATCATCACATGAACGATCCATTAAAATTTTTAAAATGTATCTGTCTTTATCCTATTCTCTTTCATCTTTTTTAGACTTTTCCTATTTTCCATGGTAGATACTCATTTTCTTCCTGTCTCACCACACAGTTCACTGCAGCTTTGACTTCCTGGGCTCAAGTGATCCTCCCGCCTCAGCCTCCCTAGTAGCTGGGACTACAAGTGCACACCACTACGCCCGGCTAGTTATTTATTTATTTTCATGTTTTAGTAGAGACAAGGTCTGGCTGTGTATCCCAGGTTGGTCTGGAACTCTTAGCCCCAAGCAGTCCGCCCGTCTTGGCCTCCCAAAGTGCTGGGATTACAGGTGTGAGCCACTGCACTTGGCCCCAAAGGGTTTTAAAGTCAAGTTTTGGTAGAATAAGAGCCAAGTACAACACCATTCAAATGTATAGTGCCACCCAGTTTACAAGGCCTTCAAAGATATGCTGTCTCCTTAGTGCTTACCCCAGGTATGTATTATTTTAACTCCAATGCAAGGCACAAGCAACTGAGGCTCAAGAGTTTCAATGCCTCACACGTTAATTGTAAAAGGTAGAGCCGGGGCTTAAAAGGAAAGAAGGAAGAAGCAATTAAGGAAAGGCAAGTAGCTAGGGAACCCGTCTGGCAGGCCGGCACAAAGAATAGTATTATATTTTAAAAGCCATCTTCAACTATCTATTACTGTAATAGGACTTCCCTTAAAAAGCATGTTGCTACAGTGGTGTGAATGTATGTGAATTTGTGTAAGACCCACTATAACTACAGAGAACTAGAAGGAATTCTGACAGGTTCCTACTGCTTTCTTTATAACAGCATGTGTCCTGAGAGGTGTCTCACTGTCCCTGATCTAAAGTGATATAATGATGACACACATGTGATGGATACAACTCAGACTTCATTTGTGCCCTTCATAGTATGTAATTCCACTGCTGGTGAGACCAGCAATGCCTCCCAGTGACACAGGCCCCCTGCCCAGCTGGCTCTGCCTGCCTCCAGCCTGTTACCCACTAGGGTGTGTTCCTGTCTTGGTGTGGAAAGAAAATAAAAGCAGAAGCATGCCTGCTAAGCAAAAGGATGGTTTAAAAACCCTTAACTGGGAAAAAAAAAAAAAAAAATCCTTAGCTGCATTCCTGAGAACACTGTTGATCATTTTCTCTGAGGCCCTTCATTTACATAATTTATCCAAGTATACATTTTCAATTACTTGTAAGAATTTCAACCAAGAATCTTACAAAACAGCAACACAAAATTCATTAGTCTCAATAACTGTTGTAATGAGTAGCAGATTGTCCTTATGGCAAATCAAATATGTCTGAGGTTTTTTTAAAAGCATATCGCTTCTCATTTTTCTTTAATACTTTAGTAGTGAGAGAGGAAGAAAATGAGTATCTACCATGGAAAATAGGAAAAGGCTAAAAAAGATGAAACAGAATAGGGTAAAGACAGATACACTTTTAAAACTTTGATGGATCCGTTAACATGTAGGCTAAAGAAAACTGCAAATAAAAAATGAGTTCATTTATAATACAGAAATCCCTTTGATAATATCTTAATCCTCTAATCAGTCTCAGTCTCAGAATCACTAAAAATGGCCAGCCAGACTTTATATGCAAAGCACCACCTAGGAGTTAAAAAATTGAACTAGTATCTGATCAAGCCTCTAGACCTACCTCCCCATTTACAAGAAGTGCAGAGGGCAGAGGTACAAGTTAAATGACACAACAGAGAAGCAATTAGCTAATTTCAGAATATGGTACATTCTCCAGGACAAATGACCTGTTTTCTCCCACAAATCAATAGCATGAGAAGAAGAAAAGAAGGAGTACTGAAATGATAGAGACAGAAGAGAGATAACCAAATATGACGTATGGACCTTGTTTACATCCCAATCCAAGTGAACCAACTATAAAAAAGACATCTGTAAGACAATCAGAAAATTTGAATATAGCGTGAGTAATAGATACTACTAAGGAGTGGTAGTTAATTTTGTTGGCTGCGATAATGGCATGGTGGTTGTGTATTTTTAAAAACATCCACTGGGTGCAGTGGCTCACACCTGTAATCCCAGCACTTTGGGAGGCCGAGGCGGGCAGATCATGAGGTCAAGAGATTGAGACCATCCTGGCCAACATGGTGGAACCCCGTCTCTACAAAAAATACAAAAATTAGCTGGGTGTGGTTGCGTGTGCCTGTAGTCCCAGCTACCCGGGAGGCTGAGGCAGGAGAATCGCTTGAACCCAGGAGGTGGAGGTTGCAGTGAGCCAAGATTGTGCCACTGCACTCTAGCTTGGCGACAGAGCAAGACTCCATATCAAAAAAAAAAAAAATCCCTGATGGCTGGCAAGATGGCTGAATAGGAACAGCTCTGGTCCGTGGCTCCCAGCAAGATCAATGCAGAAGGTGGGTGATTTCTGCATTTCCAACTGAGGTACCTGGTTCATCTCATTGGGACTGGTTAGAGAGTGGGTGCAGCCCACAGAGGCTGAGCTGAAGCAGTGTGGGCCGTTGCCTCACCCACGAAGAGCAAGGGGTCAGGGAACCCCCTCCCCTAGCCAAGGGAAGCCAGTGTGAGGGACTGTGCCATGAGGAACAGTGCACTCCGGCCCAGATACTACACTTTTCCCATGGTTTTTGCAATCCACAGACCAGGAGATTCCCTCAGGTGCCTACACCACCAGGGCCCTGGGTTTCAAGCACAAAACTGGATGGCCCTTTGGGCAGACACCAAGCTGGCTGAAGTAGTTTTTTTTCATACCCCAGTGGCACCTGGAACACCAGCGAGATAGAACCCCTGGAAAGGGGGCTGAAGCCAGGGAGCCAAGTGGTCTAGCTCAGCGGATTCCACCCGCACCAAGCCCAGCAAGCTAAGATCCACTGGCTTGAAATTCTTGGCCAGCACAGCAGTCTGAAGTCAACCTGGGATGCTGGAGCTTGGTAGGGGGAGGGGTGTCCAACATTACTGAGGCTTCAATAGGCGGTTTTCCCCTCACAGTGTAAATAAAGCCGCCAGGGAGTTCAAACTGGGTGGAGCCCACTGCAGGTTGGCAAAGCTGCTGTAGCCAGACTGCCTCTCTAGATTCCTCCTCTCTGGGCAGGGCATCTCTGAAAGAAAGGCAGCAGCCCCAGTCAGGGGCTTATAGATAAAATTCCCATCCCCCTGGGAGAGAGCACCTGGGGGAAGGGGGGGCTATGGATGCAGCTTTAACAGAGTAATGTTCCTGCCTGCTGGCTGTGAAGAGAGCAGCGAATCTCCCAGTACAGCGCTCGAGCTCTGCTAAGGGAGAGACTGCTTCCTCAAGTGGGTCCCTGACCCCCGTGCCTCCTGACTGGGAGACACCTCCCAGCAGAGGTCAACAGACACCTCCTACAGGAGAGGCCTGGTTGGCATCTGGTGGGTGCCCCTCTGGGACGAAGCTTCCAGAGGAAGGAACAAGCAGCAATCTTTGCTGTTCTGCAGCCTCCGCTAGTGATACCCAGGCAAACAGGGTCTGGAGCGGACCTCCAGCAAACTCCAGCAGACCTGCAGCAGAGGGGCCTGAGTGTTAGAAGGAAAACTAACAAGCAGAAAGCAATAGCATCAACATCAACAAAAAGGATATCCATGCAGAAACCCCATCTGAAGGTCAACAACATCAAAGTCCAAAAGTAGCTAAATCCATGAAGATGGGGAGAAACCAGCACAAAAAGGCTGAAAATGCCAAAAACCAGAACGTCTCTTCTCTTCCAAAGGATCACAACTCCTCGCCAGCAAGGGAACAAAACTGGAGGGGGAATGAGTTTGACAAATTGACAGAAGTAGGCTTCAGAAGGTGGGCAATAACAAACTCCTCTGATCTAAAGGAGCATGTTCTAACCCATTGCAAGGAAGCTAAGAACCTTGAAAAAAGGTTAGATGAATTGCTTCCTAGAATAACCAGTATAGAGAAGAACATAAATGACCTGTTGGAGCTGAAAAACACAGCATGAGAACTTCATGAAGCATACACAAGTATCAATACCTGAATCGATCAAGCAGAAGAAAGGATATCAAGAGACTGAAGATCAACTTAACGAAATAAAGAGTGAAAACAAAATTAAAGAAAAAGGAACGAACAAAGCCTCCAAGAAATATGGGACTATGTGCAAAGACCAAACCTATATTTGACTGGTGTACCTGAAAGTGACCAGGAAAAAGGAACCCAGTTGGAAAACACTCTTCAGGATATTATCCAGGAGAAATTCCCCAACCTAGCAAGACAGGTCAATCTTCAAATTCAGGAAATACAGAGAACACCACAAAGATACTCCTCAAGAAGAGCAACCCCATGACACATAATTGTCAGATTCACCAAGATTGAAATGAAGGAAAAAATGTTAAGGGCAGCCAGAGAGAAAGGTCGGGTTACCCACAAAGGGAAGCCCATCAGACTAACACCGGATCTGTCTGCAGAAACCCCACAAGCCAGAAGAGAGTGGGGGCCAATATTCAGCTTTCTTAAAGAAAAGAATTTTCAACCCAAAATTTTATATGGAGCCAAACTAAGCTTCATAAGTGAAGGAGAAATAAAATCCTTTACAGACAAGCAAATGCTGAGAATTTTTGTCACCACAATGCCTGCCTTACAAGAGCTCCTGAAGGAAGCACTAAATATGGAAAGGAAAAACCAGTATCAGCTACTGCAAAAACATAAAATTGTGAAGACCATCAACACTATGAAGAAACTGTGTCAGCTAACAGGCAAAATAACCAGCTAACATCATAATGACAGGATCAAATTCACACATAACAATATTAACCTTAAATGTAAACAGGCTAAATGCCCCAATTAAAAGACAGAGACTGGCAAATTGGATAAAAAGTCAAGACCCATCAGTGTGCTCTATTCAGGAGACATATCTCACGTGCGAAGATACACATAGGCTCAAAATAAAGGGATGGAGGAATATTTACCAAGCAAATGGAAAGCAAAAAAAGCAGGTGTTACAATCCTAGTCTCTGATAAAACAGTCTTTAAATCAACAAAGATCAAAAAAGACAAAGAAGGGCATTACATAACGTTAAAGGGATCAATGCAACAAGAAGAACTAACTCTCCTAAATATATATGTACCAAATACAGGAGCACTCAAATTCATAAAGGAAGTTCTTAGAGACCTACAAAAAGACTTAGACTCCCACACAATAATAGTGAGAGACTTTAACACCCCACTGTTAATATCAGACAGATCAACTAGACGGAAAATTAACAAAGATATTCAGGACTTGAACTCAGCTCTGGACCAAGCAGACCTAATAGACATCTATAGAACTATCCACCCCAAATCAACAGAATATACATTCTTCTCTTATTCTAAAATTGACCACATAATTGGAAGTAAAAACACTCCTAAGTAAATGCAAAAGAACAAAAATCATAACAAACCATCTCTCAGACAACAGTGCACTCAAATTAGAACTCAGGATTAAGAAACTTGCTCAAAACCACACAACTACATAGAAACTGAACAACCTGCTCCTGAATGACTACTGGGTAAATAACAAAATTAAGGCAGATATAAATAAGTTCTTTGAAACCAATGAGAACAAAGACACAACATACCAGAATCTCTGGGACACAGCTAAAGCAGTATTTAGAGGAATATTTATAGCACTAAATGCCCACAGGAGAAAGCAGGAAAGATCTAAAATCGACACCCTAACATCACAATTAAAAGAACTAGAGAAGCAAAAGCAAACAAATTCAAAAGCTAGCAGAAAACAAGAACTAACTAAGATCAGAGCAGAACTGAAGGAGATAGAGACACAAAAAACCCCTCAAAAAAATCAGTGAATCCAGGAGCTGGTTTTTTGAAAAGATTAACAAAATAGACCGCTAGCCAGACTAATAGAGAAGAAAAGAGAGAAAATCAAATAGACACAATGAAAAATGATAAATGAGAGATCACCACTGATCCCACAGAAATACAAACTACCATCAGAGAATACTATACACACCTCTGTGCAAATAAGCTAGAAAATATAGAAGAAATGGATAAATTCCTGGACACATACACGCTTCCAAGACTAAACCAGGAAGAAGTCGAATCCCTGAATAGACCAATAACAAGTTCTGAAATTGAGGCAGTAATTAATAGCCTACCAACCAAAAAAACCCCAGGACCAGATGGATTCACAGCCAAATTCTATTAGAGGTACGAAGAGGAGCTGGTGCCATTACTTCTGAAACCATTCCAAACAATAGAAAAAGAGGGACTCCTCTCTAACTCATTTTATGAGGCCAGCATCATTCTGATACCAAAACCTGGCAGAGACACAACAAAAAAAGAAAATTTCAGGCCAATATCCCTGATGAATATCAATGTGAAAATCCTCAATAAAATACTGGCAAACCAATTCCAGCAGCACATCAAAAAGCTTATCCACCATGATCAGTTCGGCTTCATCCCTGGGATGCAATGCTGCTTCAACATATGCAAATCAATAAACATCATCCATGACATAAACAGAACCAATGACAAAAACCACATTAATATCTCAATAGATGCAGAAAAGGCCTTCAATAAAATTCAAACCCCTTCATGCAAAAAACTCTCAATAAACTAGGTATTGATGGAATGTATCTCAATAAGAGCTATTTATGACAAACCCACAGCCAATATCATGCTGAATGGGCAAAAGCTGGAAGCATTCCCTTTGAAAACCAGCACAAGACAAGGATGCCCTCTCTCACCACTCCTATTCAACATAGTATTGGAAGTTATGGCCAGAGCAATCAGGCAAGAGAAAGAAATAACAGGTATTCAAATAGGAAGAGAGGAAGTCAAATTGCCTCTGTTTGCAGATGACATGATTGTATATTTAGAAAACCCCATCGTCCCAGCCCCAAATCTCCTTAAGCTGATAAGGAACTTCAGCAAAGTCTCAGCATACAAAATCAATGTGCAAAAAATCACAAGCATTCCTATACACCAATAAGAGACAAACAGAGAGCCAAATCATGAGTGAACTCCCATTCACAATTGCTATAAAGAGAATAAAATACCTAGGAATAAAACTTACAAGGGATGTGAAGGACCTCTTCAAGAAGAACTACAAACCACTGCTCAAGGAAATAAGAGAGGACACAATCAAATGGAAAAAAATTCCATGCTCATGCATAGGAAGAATCACTATCATGAAAATGGCCATACTGTCCAAAGTAATTTATAGATTCAATGCTATCCCCACTAAGCTACCATTGACTTTCTCCATAGAATTAGAAAAAATTACTTCAAATTTCATATGGAAACAAAAAGAGCTCGTATGGCCAAGATAATCCTAAGCAAAAAGAACAAAGCTGGAGGCATCACACTACCTGACTTCAAACTATGCTACAATGATACAGTAACCAAAATAGCATGGTAGTGGTACTAAACAGATATATAGACCAATGGAACAGAACAGAGGCCTCAGAAATAACACCACACATCTACAACCATCTGATCTTTGACAAACCTGGCAAAAACAAGCAATGGGGAAATTATTCCCTATTTAATAAATGGTGTTGGGAAAACTGGCTAGCCATATGTAGAAAACTGAAACTGGGCCCTTTCCTTACACCATATACAACAATTAACTCAAGATGGATTAAAGACTTAAATGTAAGACCTAAAACCATAAAAACCATAGAAGAAAATCTAGGCAATACCATTCAGGACATAGGCATGGGCAAAGACTTCATGTCTAAAACACCAAAAGCAATGGCAACAAAAGCCAAAATTGATACATGGGATTTAATTAAACTAAAGAGCTTCTGCACAGCAAAAGTAACTATCATCAGAGTGAACAGGCAACCTACAGAATGGGAGAAAAATTTTGCAATCTATCCATCTGACAAAGGGCTAATATCCAGAATCTACAAGGAACTTAAACAAATTTACAAGAAAAAAACCCCATCAGAAAGTGGGCAAAGGATATGAACAGATACTTCTCAAAAGAAGACATTTATGTGGACAACAAACACATGAAACAAAGCTCATCATCACTGGTCATTAGAGAAATGCAAATCAAAACCATAATGAGATACCATCTCACACCAGTTAGAATGGCCATCATTAAAAAGTCAGGAAACAGATGCTGGAGAGGATGTGGAGAAACAGGAATGCTTTTACACTGTTGGTAGGAATATAAATTAGTTCAACCATTGTGGAAGACAGTGTGGTGATTCCTCAAGATCTAGAACCAGAAATACCATTTGACCCAGCAATCTCATTACTGGGTATATACCCAAAGGATAATAAATCATTCTACTATAAAGACATATGCACACGTATGTTTATTGCAGCACTATTCACAATAGCAAAGACTTGGAACCAACCAAAATGCCTATCAATGATATACTGGATAAAGAAAACGTGGCACATATACACCTTGAAATATTATGCAGCCATAAAAAAGGATGAGTTCATGTCCCTTGTGGGGAACATGGATGAAGCTGGAAACCACCATTCTTAGCAAACTAACACAGGAACAGAAAACCAAACACCGCATGTTCTCACTCATAAGTGGGAGCTGAACAATGAAAACACGTAGACACAGGGAGGGGAACATCACACACTGGGGCCTGTCGGGGGGTGGGGGGCTAGGGGAGGGATAACATTAGGAGAAATACCTAATGTAGGTGACAAGTTGTTGGGTGCAGCAAACTACCATGGCACGTGTATACCTATGTAACAAACCTGAACTTTCTGCACATGTGTACCTATGTAACAAACCTGCACGTGCTGCACAGAACTTAAAGTATAATTTAAAAAATAATAATAATAATAAACATCCCTATTGTGTAAAGATGCATACTGTACTTTGTATTGGTGAAGTAATGTGATAGCTTGGATTTACTTTAAAATACTGCAGATTTGAATGGTGATCACCAAGGGGAGGGGGGTCGGGGAGATAGTGTTCAAAGATTACAAAATTTCAGCTAGATAGGAAGAGTAATTTCAAGAGATCTATTGTACAAAATGGTGACTAAGTTAATAACAATATATTGTATTCCTGAAGAATGCTAAAAGAGTAGATTTTAAGTGTTGTCACTACAAAAAATAACTATGTGAGGCAATACACATATTAATTAGCTCAAATTAACCTTTCCGCATGGTGGAAACCTTTCCAAAGATTAGCTTGAGCTAATTAACATGTGCATTAACTTCACATAGTTATTTCACGTATTTCAAATATGTATGCTGTACATATTAACTGTATATAATTTTATTTATCAAATTTTAAAAATGTTGTAAAATAAAATGTTAAAAAAGAAAATACTGCGGATTTTTTAAAAGAAGTTTAGAGGAAACAAGATAGGTGAAATGATCAGTGTCAAAGCTGATTGACAGCACTGGGGGTTCCTTTTACTTTTCTCCCTTATCTTTTATGTGTGTTTGTAATTTGTCATTAAAATTAAAATGAAAAGATGAGGTCATTTAAGGACCAATTTCTGTGGTAGGACTTGGTCTCATGGTGATCTAATCTCATTTGGGTCACTGTAAACTAAATGAACTTGGAAGTAAAGACTCTTGAAGTCCAACAAGACTACAAGATCCCTGGAATTGCAGATAGGAAAATCAGTGACAAAGAGGTAATTGAGTAATCCAAGACATGCAGACAGCCTGTGGACTGCCGGGATTAATAGTCAAATTCTCAATCCATTTTTTTTTTCTCCACCATGTAGAAGACCAGTCCCTTAATCCTCCTGGAATTCAGTGTCTTTATCCTTAAAATGAAAACACCACCACCTATTCTTGTGACTTCATTCATAATTGTCCTGGAGATCAAATGATATCGTGATATGAGAGGGCTTTGCTAAGCCCCTCGGAACTGCAAAGGAGTTGCTACTGTTACTTCCCCTGCTCGGTTTCTCAGTATAAAACAGCAAAACTCAGAGTTCACCAAAAAGGGGGGAGAAGGAGGGGAGGAGTAATAAGGAACAAAAGAACAACAGAAGGGTCTTAATGCTGCCAAGACACACTCAGAGTACCCTCCCCCTGAATAAATCAAGATGATTTGGAGTGGAGCAACAATAGCTCCAAATCAAACCCACATAAAACGACAGCTCATCGTGTGTCTACCTGAGAGTAGCTTTCAGACGGGGCCTCCCACCTGAAGCCAGTTTGCCCTCAGGGGCACTCTCTTATTCCTTCCTGGCACGTCCTTTGCCCAAAAGCTATATGGCTCCCTGTTGGGAACCCAGGCACAATAGCGTGCGCCTGCCAACCAAGAGGTGTGACTTCTGTAATTGGCAAAGTCTGTTCAAGTGTCTAACCACCAGCTGACAGACACCAATGTTGACAGTGAGGGGTGGGAGTGGGTAATCTATGGGGGTGAAGGGGAGAGAGAGAGTGTGAGGTCTGAGAGGCAGAATTCTCCCATTACATTGATTCATCTTTTCCCTCCCCCCATATTTGGGGTCGAGGGATGTCAGCAGTGTAATTAGCTGTTTCAGTAAAAGGCATTATAGTAAGAGAAGCTGGATGCCCATTCAGGGACATCTGCTCTGCAGAGCACCTATAAAAATAACTCTAGGACCGTAAGGGAACAGCTGGGCCAGGGGAGCCCCAGAAGAAGGGAGGAGGAGGGAAGGCAGTGGAGAATTAGATACCTGCCTTGCCACATCTACCATTCCATGCTGGCAAGCAATGGACCAGTGACGAGCAGGCTGAGCCTTGTTCCCAGGGGCAGAAGAGGAAGCTTTTCCATCAATAAAATTGGTGCCATGATTCCAAACACTTGCAAAAGAGAAGTCATGCATAGAACGCAGAGAATCCAAAGGCTTTATTTCTTTCCTTCATTTGTCATTCAGCAAACATTTGTTTAGCATCACTCTGTGCCAGCTGCCAGACTAGGTGCTGGAGATCCAAAGGTAATGTGAGGACTGGGAGATGCAAGGAGTTTATAGGCTATTGGGAGGAACAGAAAAGAACAGATTTTTTTTTTTTTTCCCTGAGACGGAGTTTCACTCAGTCGCCCAGGCTGGAGTGCCGTGACTCAATCTCGGCTCACTGCAACCTCTGCCTCCTGGATTCAAGCAATTCTCCTGCCTCGGCCTCCTGAGTAGCTGGGATTACAGGTGCCTGCCACCATGCCCAGCTAATTTTTTGTATTTTTAATAGAGACGGGGTTTCACCATGTTGGCCAAGGTGGTCTCGAACTCCTGACCTCAGGTGATCTGCCCGCTTTGGCCTCCCAAAGTGCTGGGATTACAGGCATGAGCCACCGCACCCAGCCAAGAACAGATTTTTTACAAGATAGCTAAACCTTGGTTTCTGTGGAGACATCTAACTCAGACATGAGTGTCTGAGTCCAGGTTCCCCATTGAGTTGTTGGGTAATACTGTTTCCGATACCTGATCTTCCTAAGCTTTTGTTTCCTTACCTGGAAAATAGGAATAAAGCTGCCTTTCCCTTATGCAGAAGGCTCAAGTGAGATGTGTGAGTGAGGTAGCATTATGAATGGAGTTGTGCCTTTTTCTATGTCAGGATGGCTTGAGATTTCCAGAAAAATTATGTACCAACTTTGTCTCTCTTGACTGAGGTTTGTAAGACCTCACAAAAGAGAAAATAAATACATGGCCTATCTTTATATGAGGGTCAATAAAGATAGGTATGTGGAAAGAAACAGTTGTCCAAATGATGTGTGTCCCAATGAACTACAAAATGCAACATGGCAATAGCTGCATTTACTTAGCATTTACTTCATGCCAGGCACTATGCTATGTGTTTTACACACATACATGCACCTCATTAATTCCCCAAACAGTCCAGTGAGGATGACTTTATTATCCTTACTTTATAGGTGAAGAAATTGAGACCCAGAGAAATTAGGCAACTTACCAAAGGTCATGCATCTAGCAAGTGAGCCTTGGTTCAAACCCAAACTCTGTTTGACTCTGGGGTCTTTTCTTTTAAGCTCCCAACTACAGCATCTCTGCTGCTGGTGGGGAAGGACAAAACCATGACTCCAGGGAGTCAGCAGGGCACAGAACTCTCAGGTGGCAGGGCTGGAGGAGATCATCAAGGTCATTTGCCCTCCCTCCCTCCCTCCAATTCATTTTATATAACAGAAAAAAATAGGTCACAAAAGGATGAAGTATGCTGCTGGGGAAGGCCACTCATAATCCCACAATCTTCCCACCAAACAACATGGCCTTGGCTGCTGGGCCACCCAGGAGAACCTCTGGAAGAGGAATTTAGTAAGGGAGTGACTTTACAAGGACCACAGCAGTCAAGGGTGAGGAGCTGACTGCTTCTGGGCCTTCCTGACTCATTTCCTCCTCTAATGCCCAGCCTCCCATCTAGCTGCTTAGAAAAGCATTCTCTACTAGACCAGTGGTTCTCAAACTTTAGCAGGCATCAGAAGCACCTGGAGGGCTTGTGAAAACTCACCTTGCTGGGTTCCACTTCCAGAGTTTCTTTTTTCATTTGCTTGTTTTTAAGAGACAGGGTCTCACTTTGTCAGCCAGGCTGGAGTGCAGTGGTGCAACCATAGCTCATTGCAGCATCAAACTCCTGGGCTCAAGCAATCCTCCTGCCTCAGCTTCCCAAGTAGCTGGCACTATAGGCAAATACGGCCATGCCCAGCTAATTTTTAAAATTTTTTGCAGAAATGGGGGACTCACTATGTTGCCCAGTCTGGTCTTGAACTCCTGGGCTCAAGTGATCGTCCTACCTCGGCCTCTCAAAGTTTTAGATTATAGGCATAAGCCACCATGCCTGGCCCATTTGAGTTTTTGATTCAGGAGCTGATTCAGCAGGGTGGGGAGGTTGGAAGAATCTGAATTTTTTTCAAGTTCTCAGGTGATTCTGATGCTTCTAGTCCAGAGACCACACTTTGAAAACCACTAGTATGTAGAATTGAAGCATTGATCTTGAGGATGAGTGGGTGTTTAATACAATATTTAGCCAAAAACCGCTAGTCACTTCCTAATATCTATTCTCCCCTCTTTCTGCAGTAATAGAAAATCTGTTTGTTTATCTGAGCACACAGCCAACCAAAATAGAGAAAATATTTTTTAGCTCCCTTGCATCTGGGTATGACAATGTGATCTACTTACAGCTGATGGGATACGAGCAGTAGTGAGGTGTACAACTTTCAGGATGTGCTTTTGAAGTGATAGGGCAGGCCCTTCACTTCACTTTCTTCCTCTGTGCTGGTGGAATCTAGAGCTGGAGGTAAGTTATCTCGGACTATGAGGAGGAAGCAAAAGTCCCTGATGACTTAGTAAAACAGAGTTCTTAAACCATCTTGAACTCTGATATGAAAGAAAAATTAACTATCTTTATTTAAGGCCATTTGATTTTGGGTCTCTGTCACTTGCAGCCAAACCTGTATCCTAAATGAAACAGACAATACCAACCAATATCTTGGAGTATCAGAAAGGTAGATAGGTAAGCTAAACTAGAGTAGCTAAACAGATAGATAATTGACACATTATCAATCAACAGTCAGAGCCCAGAATGTGACACATGATCTGGAGAGCTAGATACATCACCAATCATCTTCAGCTGGTTTGGCCAAGGCTTAACTTTGCCAAAAGTCATTCAGCTGTTTCTAAAGATTTCATTTCAATTGACAATTATAGAAAATGTTCCCCAGTCATTTTATTGCCTTAAATTATACCTATAATCTTCCTAACTTGGATTGTTAACTGATACACAATTATGTTGCTAGAAGAAGACCAGAATCCCAGCAGATGATTTAAAATAAAAGTTAAATGGATGTAATTTGTGTTTATTTTTGTCTTATTGGAACCAAACACTATAGAATTGCCAGTGTCTATTTCACAGTGATGGTTTGAGGCAAGTAGTTATAGTTTCCCTTTAAATAGTCTCTCTGAGGAAAGTAAATGAGAATGAGACCAAAATTGTCCAAGGAAGGAAGGCAAGGTAAAAGGTCCCACCATGATCAGGTTCTGTTCGTGCAGATTCACTTTCACCCATATGTCACTTTCCAAAATTGTGTCCCCTATATTGATCTCTGAAAAAAATCAAATCAAAGTCAGAAGAAAGCAAAAATCAGAGCATCTTCATGTTGATGAACAACAACAAAAAGTTTTATACCTTTCTGTGGCATCTTAGACTTTGCAAAACATTTCACAACATGTTATTTTATCCTCAGCTGAAAGAA
Source organism: Homo sapiens (assembly GCF_000001405.40). Taxonomy (NCBI): domain Eukaryota; kingdom Metazoa; phylum Chordata; class Mammalia; order Primates; family Hominidae; genus Homo; species Homo sapiens. Next base: position 111,923,618 of record NC_000006.12, on the reverse strand, counting down.
ACATCATTTTTTTCCTTTTAAAATAAATTTCCAAGAGTTATCTCCCACAATTAAATGAAGTTAACTTTTAGAGTAACAAACACACAAGATTGCTTGCCAGCTCCACCTCAATGATATATGGCTCGTCTTGAGTTGCTCCAAATTGGGAATATTGGTTAATTGGATTTGGATGGAAAACATTGGGTAAACTGTTTTCTGACACTTCTGCCTGTTTCAGAGCATAGAGCAGTGTCTGGCATATAGGTATCACTTAATAAAAATAGAATGAATAAATGAATGCAACATACATAGAAGCAAGTAGGAATCGAGATAAGCAATTAAGAATTCTCAATATCCCACAATCAACATGACTTATGTGGGATTACAGAGCTGACTGAAAAAGATCCTATCTATTCCTTTGTTATTAAGTCCTTGGCAGAGCTGTAAGGTGATTAAGGATGACCATATTTGTGGCTGGTGTTCAGTTACATGAAGTAATTATAAAGCAAAGGCATATTTACAGAAGCCATTGACAATGCTTACAGTATGACAAAACACCCATGCTAATTATAATTCATGAACAGCACATGGGAATACTTATTTAAAAGACTACACTAAGCAGTTTCAGGATAATCTTCAAATTTCTGCAAGGGTGTCTCTTGCAACACCCACTGTGATTTCATCAGATTCTAACTGTAACTTTCAAATTAAACTGTGGCCACAGACCTCCCAAAAGTCTGATGTCATCAATGGCAGATAATTTCACTGAACTGCAAACTAATAAACTAAAAATACAGTGTTTTTTTACAACCTTGGAAATTATGGTGACAAGTTGCCCTCTGGAATATTTAAGCATTCTCATTGAACATCTAAATCTGTTTTTATTAAGGTGTAGAGAAGATAAATTAATGGAAGTTAGGGAAAAGGTAATGGCTTGGGTTACAATCCCACAGATAAATGGCCATTTATCCCCCAATGCATTTCTTGTTGTGACAGAGATGGATGGGGGAGGGCTTCCTTAATCACCTTACAGCTCTGCCAAAGACTTAATAACAAAGGAATAGATAGGATCTTTTTCAGTCAGCTCTGTAATCCCACATAAGTCATGTTGATTGTTGGATATTGAGAATTCTTAATTGCTTATCTTGATTCCCACTTGCTTCTATGTATGTTGCATTCATTTATCCATTCTATTTTAATTGAGTGATACCTATATGCCAGACACTGCTCTATGCTCTGAAGACAGACACCTGTAAGGTTCCTATGGAATTACATTATGATTAAGAAAGTAAGCTTCATAAGAGAACACTGCTGAAAGTTACTTTGAGAAGGTACAAACCCATCAAGAGGGCTTTTTAAATAAAGAAATGAAAGGTTGTTTGGCTAGAAGATACCACTCTTCTCATATTCCTTTATCGTTAAGCAGCATGCAGAGCAAAACTCATCATATTCCAAGAACATGGAAAACAAGAGCACTCATTACAGGATGTTTTTAAATATAATACTCAAGTAATTTTTGTATTTGTCAACTTGATTGCAAGCTATAAAAAGTGATTAAAATACTTATTGTGCCATAATTTCTTTATAATTTGGTATTTTTAGAGTCAGGTTTCCGAATGATAGAATCTAAGGGACTCTCAGAATTTAAATGCAAAATTGAAAAGCAGTTATACAACTAAATAAGTGCTTACCAGTAGCTAGTTCTTACTAACACAAAATGAAACAAGTTTGGGTTTTCATCAGGTGATAGGCAGGCAATTATCTCAGAGCGGGGAAAAGCTTTGAAGACGTAGTGCTTTTAACCAGGCTTCCAAATAAGCTGGTGACCAGCAGCCGTAAGGAATCCAACATCTGGCTGGGCTCATGGATATTCAGGGCCTGATCCAAAGGATGCAGTCCTGGGCAGGGGCCTACAGTGGCAGGCACTTATAAACAAATGAATGAATGATCAAGTATGGCTCGGAGACCATTGACCAAGAGAGTAAAAGGATTTTAGAAGTCTTCCTATTTGGTTGGTGATGGATATTTCTAAACTTATTTGCACATCTGACTTCAACAACTAAATTTCAAAGTGACCCTTTCCAAAGCAATGGAATCATTGCAGTAGTTGATCCTAAAACCAAGCCCCCATACGCCTAATGAGATGCTCCTCCCCTAAGTGTAACAGACCCCACCCCACCCCCAACTTGACTGCAGCTGTGGACTGAATGTTCATGCCACAAGATGCACCTTTCCTCCTCCCCACTTTCTCACCTGGGTCAGACAGTTGTTTTGACACAGTAACCTAAGGGAAAAACATACAGCATTGTTCACCCAGGTGGTGAAAGGCTGATGATTTTGTGGATTCTGCCCCCTGAGGAGACACTGCAGTTCAGGACCCTTCTGTCTTTTCCTGGCATCTGACACCCCCAGGCCATCCAGGAGAGAACCAGATGGCGCCTCTGGACTCTAAGGATGAACAAAAGGACAGATGGCTGGGGAGGGGTGGGTGGGAATAAGAGGCAAGACTTGAAAAGAAGGAGAGAGGGTAAGTTACCGCTGCAAAACTTAAAACCACCAAGCAGGTTCATAATAGGTTAGAATGTATTGTTTGAACCTGAGGAAAAGCTCATTCTAGACATTTTCAGATTCTTTCTGGGGGCTCCCTTTCCCCTCCCTTCTATGATACAGGTTAAATTCTGGGGCTACATTAAACTGTCAAAAATATACAAACAGCTACTGATTTTGGTTGATTTAATTTTATAGCTCAATAAAATACTTATCTCTGAGGTAGGTATTCTCCTATCCTCCCCTCCCCACCATGCACCACTTAACAAATGAAAAGACTGAGGTTCAGTGACTTTCCTAACCAAGACCTCTCACGCAGCAGGCAACAGGGCAGACTGGTGAACCCAGCTCCCCTGACCCCGAATCCAGGCCCGCTCCTCTAGACCATGATGAATTGCTGTGGGCTGCGCATAAACAACGATCTTTTCATTTGTTTGTGTGGCTGACTTTTTAAACATTTAATAGCGTGCCCACAGAGATCAAATCCGTAATGGTTTTTCTACTTTTGCAGGAAGAAAAATGACAGAAAGTCATCTTGGACTTCCTAAGAGTAGCTTCCCCTCTGCGAGGTGGGTGGATTCCCAGGAATGACTCTGGAAGTCAGGGGCAGAGTGGGTGGCCCGATTGTCCAGAGAAAGGACATACAGGATGGCAGCCTGACCCTCAAGGGCACTGGAGGGAAGGGAGGCTCTGAGTTCTGGCTGGCCTGTCAGTTACTGGAATCCAACAGAGTGTCCCCAGGCATTTTTCTGTCCAAGAGGGACTTGGACATGGGCAAAGAAAGGAAAATGACTGCAAGCGGAGGGCATGGAATGAAGGATGCAGCCTCTTCTACATTAAGGGCCAGCTTCTGCTCAGCCCCTGCACCTTCCCCACAGCAGGAAACAGCCTCAACATCCTTGGCTCACACCTGAGCAGGGGCTAGGCCAGCTTCTGTGAACTCAGGTCATCTTCCACACAGCCAGCTATCAATCAGCAAAGAGAACCCAGCCAGGCCAGGGTGCCCATCGGCCCTCACCAGCCCTCACAGGGGACACCAATGGGGCCAGGCACAAGGTGCCCAAGTGTCTGTACTAGCCTTAAACCCAGTGGGAAGGAGGTGGGCACAACAATTAAAAAGGAAATTGCTAAATATAGGATTTCAGTCATGGCTAAGCAAGTTCTACGCATGAAACACTGATCTTATACCTGAAGAATTTACCCCTTAAAAAGTGCAATACTTTTTCACCGAGGGTTGTGTTACCAGCTGGTTTGGGGGAAGAAAGGTGTCAAAGGCAGGCTTGTTTTGTGTAAGAACAGTTCACAGAACATGCTCACAGCCACTTGTGACATCACTGAGGACCATTTCTGCAAAGTTTACCATTTTAAATTATTATGTATTTTTTAAAGTTAAATTATTTTGTGAGTGCAAGGGCAACTTACTAAACTATCTTTTTTCCCTATTGTCTTAGCCTGTTTATGCTGCTATGATGAAATACCTTAGACAGGGTAACTTACAATGAACAGAAAAGTATTTTCCCACAGTCCTGGTGGCTGGGAAGTCCAAGATCAAGGCTTCAGCAGATGCGATGTCTGAAAAGGTCTGCTCTCTGCTTCAAAGATGGCACCTCGTTGCTGTGTCCTCCAGAGAGGGCCAACACTGTGTCCTTACATGGTGGAAGAGCAGAAGAGTGCAAAAAGGGCAGAGCCCTCCCAAGTAAATCACTTCCCAAAAGTCCCCAACACTTACTACCACCACAATGAGGATTAAGTTTCAACACATGAATATTGAAGGACACTTAGACCACAGCGTCTATATTCTCCCTTTCCCTCATTTTAAGCAGGGAGCCAGGTTTTATGACTTCTTGCCCTGGGAATCAACGCTTTGCAAAAAGCAGAAGCACCCTGGTGTCCAAGATTCTGTCTTTTGTAGAGCCCACACCCATGAAAAATGTACAAGCAGATGCACGCAGCCTGTGCCAAACAGGGACAACTCTCCAAAGGAATGACTCCTGGGAGCTGGAGTGTGATTATAGCTCAGGCAGAGGCCTTCCCACTCGACCAGAGTCCCAGATCCCCGGACAGCCCAGAAGCGGCAGAGCACAGGAGAGAAAGAACCAATGGGCTGGCAGAGGCTGTAACCACTGTGGGCTGTGACTAACAGCCTTTTCTGCCTGGGACTCCTGGACTCACACATCTGGGGTTGAGGACGGGGGAAGCTCTAAGTATGACTACAGTTAGATTTCCTGCCAAGCTGGTGGGATGCAAGCTTAAGGGTAGAAATTTTAGGCTGAGCATGGTGGCTCATGCCTGTAATCCCAGCACTTTGGGATGCCAAGGCAGGTGGATCACTTGAAGTCAGGAGTTCGAGACCAGCCTAGCCATCTCTGGTGACATTACATTCTGCTGGGCTAGAGATCTTAGTCCCAGAGGGAGGAACGCTGCCAACAGGATAACAATATGACAAAAGCCAGTCTCTACTAAAAATACAAAAATTAGCCAAGCACGGTGGTGCATGCCTGTAATCCCAGCTACTCGGGTGGCTGAGGCACAAAAATCGCTTGAACCTGAGAGGCAGAGGTTGCAGTGAGCCATGATTGTGCCATTGCACTCCAACCTGGGCAACAGAGTGAGACCCTGTCAAAAAAAAGAAAGAGAGAGAGAAAGAAGGAAAAAGAAAGAAAGAAAGAAAGAAAGAAAGAAAGAAAGAAAGAGAAAGAAAGAAAGAAAGAAAGAAAGAAAGAAAGAAAGAAAGAAAGAAAGAAAGAAAGAAAGAAAGAAAGGAAGGAAGGAAGGAAAAAAGAAAGAGGAAGGAAGGAAGGAAGGAAAAGAGAGAGAGAGAAAGGCAGGCCAATAACAACAACAACAAACCAAGGGTGGAAATTTCATTTGATTAACAAAATTCCATAGGTCTTGCACATGTAAATTTGAGGATTGCAATTCATCTCCACCATGTAAATTACCTATAGTAAAGATGCCAACCACTTTACCAATAAATCATACTGTGATTCATTATGAGGTATGGCCAGCTGGGTTAGTATTAAAGGACACAAGAATTCCTCAATATGAGGAGAGGGCAGTGGTGTAGGAACAAAGACCAGTGTTCCAGTCCCACAGCTTCTGGGTGGTCATAAATATCGGTTTTCTTGTCTTTAAAATGTGGGATTGAACTTGATAATTCCAAAAGCATGAATTTTAGGGGGTACAAGGACAAAGATTTTTAAATTTTAGTAATTATGTATGTAAATGTATGGATTAGAAAATATCGCCAAGACTACCATCTGTGGACTCATGGAATGCCTTATCCACGGTCATGATATTCCACATAGCATTGCCTCTGACCAAGACACTCATTTTACAGCAAAAGAAGTGTGGCAGTGAACTCACGTTCTTGGAATTTACTGGTCTTACCATGTCCCCCATCATTCTGAAGCAGCTGGATTGACAGAACAGTGGAATGGCCTTTTGAAGTCACAATTACAATGCTAACTAGGTGACAATACTTTGCAGGGCTGGGGCAAAGTTCTCCAGAAGGCCATGTATGCTCTGAATCAGCATCCAATATATGGTACTGCTTCTCCCACAGCCAGGATTCACAGGTCCAGGAATCAAGGGGTGGAAAGTGGAAGTGGCACCACTAACCATCACCCTTAGTGACCCACTAGCAAAATTTTTGCTTCCTGTTCCCATGACATTACATTCTGAGATCTTAGTCCCAGAGGGAGGAACGCTGCCACCAGGAGACACAACACAATTCCATTAAACTGGAAGTTAAGATTGTCACTTGCACACTTTGGGCTCCTCCTACCTTTAAGTCAACAGGCTAAGAACGGAGTTACAGTGTTGCTTGGGGTGATTGACCCAGAATATCAAGATGAAGTCAGTCTACTACTACTCCACAATGGAGGTAAGGAAGAGTATGCGTGGAATATAGACAATCCTTTAGGGTGTCTCTTGGTATTACCATGCCCTGTGATTAAGGTTAATGGGAAACTACAATAGCCCAATCCAGACAGGACTGCAAATGGCCCAGACCCTTCAGGAATGAAGGTTTGGATCACTCCACTAGGAAAAAAACCATGACCTGCTGAGGTTCTTGCTGAAAACAAAGGGAATACAGAAGGGATAGTAGAAGGTAGTCATCAATACCAGCTATGACCACATGACCAGGTGCAGAAATGAGGAATGTTAATTGTCATGAGTATTTCCTCCCTCTTTTTGTTAAGAACATCTTTGTGCATGTATACACTTGTACTATGAAAATATCTTTATTTTATTTCCTTTTTCCTTTATCATGTGACATAAGATTTATTGACTTCATGTCAGCATTTAAGTATTGCTAACTTTATGTAATAGTATTTGGGTTGGGGAATTGGTGAGTTTCCGGTTGTACGAAGGATAGTTGTATTACGTTGGGCATAATTATGACCTTATTATTGTCTTTCTTTGAAGATTGTGTATGATTTCAGGAGATGTGTATGGGTTCAAGTTGACAAGGGGTAGACTTATGATGGTTAGTATTGACTGTCAACTTGATTGGATTGAAGGATGCAAAGTATTGTTCTTGGGTGTGTCTGTGAGAGTGTTGTCAAAGGAGATTAACATTTGAGTCAGTGGATTGAGAAAGGCAGACCCACCCTCAATCTGGGTGGGTACAATCTAATCAGCTGCCAGCGAGGCCAGAATAAAAGTAGGCAGAAGAACGTAGAAAGATTAGACCCATTTAGTCCTCTGGCCTACATCTTTCTCCCATGCTGGATGCTTCCTGCCCTTGAACATTGAACTCCAAGTTCTTCAGCTTTGGGACTCGGACTTTCTTTGCTTCTCAGCTTGTAGACAGCCTATTGTGGGACCTCACCTCGTGATCACGTGAGTCAATACTTCTTAATAAACTCCCCTTTATACCTTTATATACACATCTATTCCATTAGTTCTGTCCCTCTAGAGAACCATATATATATATATATATATATATATATATATATATATATATCACATGAAACCTGTGATTTCATATATATTATTGTCTGGATGTTCCTCTCTCAGGCACTGGTAATGCAAATCATAAAAGCACTTGAATTATAGGGTTGTGCATAATGAGTACAGGATCCAGGAGCCTGATCCTCAACCATAATTGCTCAGAAGTAAGGTTAAAGCAGGTGCTGTTCATCTATAACTCAGATTCTTATTCCCTGAATTCCTAGGCACATCATTGTATTCTATCAGTAATATGTCAAACTATCCTCTTCAAAAGTTGACAATCAATTAGTGCAAAAAGGCTGTATCCATGGACATAACTATGCTTAGAAAAGGTAGACAGTTTATCTTTGCCTTGTTCGACTAAATACACACGTGACTTGGATTTCTCAGTGCTGGTTAAGCAGCTGCAGGTGCTAGACCCTGGACATGCCTGGCTTCAAAGCCCTGCTCTGCCTGTGACTAGCTCTGTAACCTCCGACAAGTTGCTGAACCTCTTTAAGTCTCAGTTTCCTCATCTGTAAAATATGGAGTATGCCAGTAAATACCTCATGAAGTCTTTATGGGGATTAAATATATGTTAAAGCTCTTAGATCTGTACCTGGTACATGGTAAGCCCACGATACTTGTTAGCTTTTAAATAAGTTTTAAGAATGTTTTCATTGATGTACAACCTCAATGAAACCTCTTACTCTCCAATTTAGCAACAAGTTAACGGTTGATCATAAATGACTTCAATGCTTTCACTGAGAAACTACGTAGAAATATATTTTTATAACTAGATTCATTATATCTTATAATTCATTGTTAATTTTTATATCTTAATAACATTCCTTTGTTTTCATTGACTTATTTTTACAGTTATCCTCTATTTTTGGCAAGTAATACAGGTTTTCATTTGTAGAAGTGATATAAACTTTAATTTAAATAAAAATTTTTAAGGCTGGGCTCACACCTGTAATCCCAATACTTTGGAAGGCTAAGGTGGGAGGATTGCTTTAGGCCAGGAATTTGAGACCAGCCTGGACAACTTAGGGAAACCCTATCTCTACAAAGACATTTTTTAGAAAATTAGCTGGGCATGGTGGCACACACCTATAGTCCCAGCTACCTGGGAAGCTGAGGTGGGAGGACCACTTGAGCCCAAGAGTTCCAGGCTTTGGTGAGCTATCGTCATGCCACTGTACTCCATCCTGGGCAACAGAGCAAGGCCTTGTCTCAAAGAAAGAAAGAGAGGGGCAGTGGGAGAAAAAAAGAGAGAGAGAGAAAGAAAGAAAGAGCAAGAAAGAAAGAGAGAAAGAAAAAAGAAAAAAGAAGAAAAAAGAGAAAGAAAGAAAGAAAGAGAAAAGGTATTTCAGTTTTTTATAAAAGTGATTCCATATAAATAAAATTATTAGGTAAAACATTGTACAAAGGATACCCCACTACATGTAAAACCATGGAGCTGCTACAAAGACTGGAGTTTGGAAACTGAACTAGCTGCTGCCTAAGCCTGCTTTCCCTTCTAGCATGCTATTTCTTCACATTCTGCTTATTTCTATTCTGAAAGATCTTTTGTAGTGTTTTATAGTATTTAATTACTTGTGGCTGGGAAATAGAGGAAAAGCTTAAAAGGAAAGAAAAAAATGCTATTTCATTAACCTCTAAAGCAGTATTTCTCAAACTTTAGCGTGCATACAAATTACCTACCAGGCATCTTAAATGCAAATTCTGATTCAGCAGGTCTAGGGGTGAGGCCCGAGGATTTGCATTTCTAGCAAGCTTCCAGGTGATGCTGATGCTGCTGGTCTAAGGACCACACTCTGATTTGATTAGGCAGGAACTAGAAGTGTATATATGTGTATATATATATATATATATATATATATATATAAGCATATATAGAAATATATGTGTATATACACATATATAGAGATAAATATATATATTTTTATGAGCACATTTTTAAAAATATATATTATATATAAAATATATATTATATATAATAAAAATGTGCTTATAAAAATATATATTTTACATATAATATATAAATATGTTATATATTATATATAAATATGTTATATATAAATATGTTATATATTATATATAATATGTTATATATAAATACGTTATATATAATATGTTATATATAAATACGTTATATATAATATGTTATATATAAATACGTTATATATAATATATAAATATATATTATATATAATATATTATATTAAATATATATTATATATAATATATTATATATAAATATGTTTATATATTATATATAATGTGCTTATTATTATATATAATTATATTATATATAAAACTATATAAAAATGTGCTTATAAGAAATATATATTATATATAAATATATATAATATATATTATATTTTTTATAAGCACATTTTTTTAAATGCTAAAATCACTAATCATTAGGGAAATGCAAATCAAAACCACAATTAAATATTGTCCATGAGGATGGCTACCATCGGAAACAAAAGACAAAAAAAACAGAAAATAAGCAGTGGCTAGGATGTAAAGAAATTGGAACCTCTGTGAACTATTTGTGGGGGTGTAAAATGGTGAAGCCAATATGGAAAACAGTATGGCACCATTCCTCAAAAAGTTAAGCATAGAATTACCATAAGATTCAGCATTTCACTTATGGGTATATACCCCCCCAAAAAATTGACAGCAGGGACTAGAAGAGGTATTTGTACACCCATGTTCATAGGAACATTAGTCACAGTAGCCAAAAGGTGGAACCAACCCAAGTAACCATTGATAGATGAATGGATAAAAATGTGGTATATACATAAAATGTGTATGTATATATATACATATATACATAGCGCCTTTAAAAGGAAGGAAATTATGACACATGATACAACATGGATGAACCTTGAAAACACTATGCTAAGTGAAATAAACCAGTCACACACACAAAAAAATACTGTGTGATTCCATTTCTATGAGGTACCTAGTGTAGTCAAATTCAGAGACCAGAAAATAGAATGGTGGGTGCCGGGGGCTGTCGATGGGGGAAAATAGGGAGCTCTTGTCTCATGGGTACAGAGTTTCAGTTTGTGATGATGAAAAAGTTCTAGAAATGAATAATGGTGATGATTGCATAACAATGTGAAGGTGCTTAAAGCCACCTAATTGTACACTTGACAATGGTCAATATGATAACTTTTATTATATACATTTTACCACAATTTTTTAAATTAAGGAACATAGCTGAAGACTGTAATAAATAGATAGATATATCCAGTGTTGGTAAAGTTACAAGGCATGTGATACTCTTATATTATCAGTGAAGGAGGAGTGGAAGAGAGATAAATTGGTACAAGTTTCTGAAGGATAATGTGACAATATAATTTTGCCTACCTTTTAACCTATAAAGTTTATTATTGGGTAAATATGATATGTGCAAATATTAGGCTAAAGAGCAATCCATAACAGTGCTATTTATAAGAACAAAAACATAAAAACTTCTTAAATGTCCAAAACTATGGGATTGGGTAAGTATGGCACATTAGCTATGAAATGGAATAAATGCATTCTTTTAAAATGATATTTAGAAGAATATTCAATGATCTGGAAGTGTATGCACAATTTAGTGGGTGGAAAAAGCAGGTTACCAAATGTAGGTACAACATACATGTAAAAAACAGTAAAAAATATTAACAGTGAGTATGTAGGGAAGTGTATTCTAAGTTATTTTCTTCCTTTTGCCTATCTATATTTTCTATCTTTTTTGGGTAAGGAGCTTTTATTACTTTGGGATCAAGAAGTAAGTAACTTTTCGGCCAGGCGGGGTGGCTCACACCTGTAATCCTAGCACTTTGGGAGGCCAAGGCAGGCAGATCACTTGAGGTCAGGAGTTGTAAACCAGCCTGGCCAACATGATGAAACCCCATCTCTACTAAAAATACAAAAAAAAAATTAGCTGGACATCGTGGCAGGTGCCTGTAATCTCAGCTACTTGGGAGGCTGAGGCAGGAGAATTGCTTGAACCAGGAAGTCAGAGGTTGCAGTGAGCCAAGATGGAGCCACTGCACTCCAGCCTGGGTGACAGAGTGAGACTCTAACAACAACAACAACAAAAGTAAGTAACTTTTAAAAATAATTTTTTAAGACCCTGGATAAATCTTGGGGCAAAAGGGTCTAATCATTCACTGGTCCATAGTGGGAGATATCCACTTTAAATTATTTAAAATGTTAAAGCAGTGAGAAAACTTAGAGAGGAAACTCTAAGATGCTCTTCCTCTTTAAAATTAGGAAACAAAGTATACAGACTTATAAGTACGCTGAAAAAGGCGGCTATATTATTTCAGATTCAGTTTGGCTGGGAGTAACAGTACTTTGGACGCACAGGTTTTTATTCACTTAAGCAAAATTTCTAGAGTTCTGCAGCTAGGACTGAAGCGGTGTCCCGCGGTATCTCAGGGAGCAGATTTTTGTCTTGTTGCTCTACTCTCCTCAGCATTTAGCATTTAGCTCATGAGCCAGCACAGCTGTTGGAGCTCCAGCCATCACATCTGAGAACTGGAAGTAGAAAGAGAGAACACCCACCCTCTCACTTTAAGGACACTTCCTGGAAGCTACTCACAACGTATCTGCTACACGCTAATAACCAGAACTCTGTCACCTAATTGAACAGGAATGGAAAGCAGGTCAGAAAACACAGTCTTTACTGCATGTGAGTCTGCGCTCAGCTAAAAATCAGAGTTTGGTTACTAAGGCAGAAAAGATCTCAGGGTACAGCTTTCTCTCTCCGCAGCTGCCTCACTACATATAGGATTGGCAATAGATTGGAATAGTGTCTCTCCTACACTACACTCGCCCAGCAGAGAAAGGCACATCAGAACTCTTACCCTTTCTGACTATGGAGAGTGGGAAAATCACCACGCTCTTCAATATGGAGTTTATTTAAAAATTCTATTTGCTAAAGTTTTAAATTATAATATATTTATCCAGTGTTACAATGAAAGAGACGCAAACAGGGAGACAATTCTATTTAAAAAAAAAAAAAAACTAAAGGATCCCATCTCCATAAATATCCAGTACAAGCTTTTGTAACCTCTTCTGATAATCACTTTTTACATGATTATGTTCTTCAAGATATATGCACAGCATTATAATCGCTGTGCAATGCTGTTATATTTTTTCACTTCGTGTTATTTAAAATATGCTCTCTGCTCTCTCATATGTCCATATCGTCAATATACCTACCATTTTTCATGCCAAAATATTGAATCAATGTAGCAATTATACCTATGTTACCAATTATAGGACATTTTCATGACTTCCAGTTGGTTTTGTGTTTGTTGTTGTTTTGTCACACAAATAGAATAGCTATAAACGTCCTAGTGCAAATAAGCATTTCTTTCTTCTAAGAACTTCTTTAGAATAAATTGTCAAACATGCGACTATCAGAGCAAGGACCATGGCCAATCTGGTGGCTCCTATGTGAACTATATTCTCTCCAGGAAATTCTCTAATCATCAAGGTATCTACATCATTTAATGATGCTATTTTGTCCTCAGCTCTGCCAAATATAAATTTCTACAACATTTAATGGTTTCTAATTTACTGGGGATATGGTGATATGAACTAAATCACTTGAGTCTGAATATATTTAAATGTTTTTTAAGCAGAACATCATTGATGTTTATTTACTATTTATGTTTTTAATCCCTTTGAGTCATATATCCATTCCTATTTTGCAATCTGACTACAATTAGAAACTGCTGTTGTAAATTTACACCAGTTCCTCTTATCTTCTGAACCCCAAATGTGTATCTTATCATTTTTATTATGAATGATCTTCCTTTCTGTTGCTTTTCTTCCCCCTGCTCCCTCCTTAGGGGTGCTCAAATGAAAGAGAAAAGTTTAAAAAGCAACATTTGTTAGAAGACATAATGATGCACATTTCTGCTCAACTGGGAGTACATTGTCTGCTGGGGCCAAGGTCTGGGAGGTATGTTTCCTATTAGAAGAAGCAGGTTCCTAGGTTCTCTCTGCTGCCCACAGAAATGGCAGGACTTGGAATGCAGGGGCAGCACAGTGTGTACTCAAGACAAAAGACAAGTAAAGGAAGCAAGATACTGTGCCCAGGCCATTCTAAGGGCCTACTGGCAGGCATTTTTCAGACCATATAGGTGGACTCCTAGTTTTCCATGGGATGCATTCCTAAAAAAGCATTTTCATTTGAATGTCTGAAAATCACACATTGGGATACATGTTACGGATTTATGGATTGGGGGAAGGCTGAAAAAACATTGTGAATCCCTAATTATTGGGTCCTTAGATACTGCTTATCTCAGGCCTGAGCCACTCAGTGAACAGAAGAGAGACTATTGAGCCCAACAACTTCTCCTCCTTTGTATTAGGTTGGTGCAAAAATAACTGTAGTTTTTTGCCATTAAAAGTAACAGCCAAAACCACAATTACTTTTGCACCAACCTAATACCCCTTCTCTGATCCATTTACAGGCCCCCTGCAGAAGGTCATGATGCCCTCAGTCTTTACACTTGAACTCTGGGACTCTCTAGTTACCTGGAGAAGAGGTGGCACTGTTTTCTAACATGGAGACAGACACAACACAAACAAACATATAAAAGCTAAAATCTGAAAAAGCAAGTAAATAAGCATGATAATTACCAACTTATGCAATAAAGGATATAGGCAAGGTGACGTCAGAAAGAGTAATTTGGAGGTGGTGCTATTTAAGATAACATCATCAGGGAGGCCCTCCCGGAGACGGGGACATTTGAGCTGAGATGCAAAAGATGGTAGACACACAAAGAGCAGAGAAGGGTATGCCAGGAAGAGGGAGCAAGCCAAGACCCTCCAGCTAGTGGAGAGTTGGGGCCTGCAGGAACTGAAAGGCAGGAGGGCAGAAGGGCAGAGGTGCAGGAGGGCAGAAGGGCAGAGGTGCAAGCAGGGGCCACCTCCTGGATGAGTTTAGAGACCATGGTGAAGCCAAGTTAAAAGACAGACATTATAGAAATATGATTGGACAAAGCAGGATTTAAAATGCTGTTTAAACAATGCTATTTTCTGTTGTGTCTGCTGTATTCTATATTACATTGCATTTAACTATAAAGATATTTTAGAGAGCAGGGGAGTGGAGGAGCCAAGATGGCCGAATAGGAACAGCTCTGGTCTACAGCTCCCAGCGTAAGCGACGCAGAAGACAGGTGATTTCTGCATTTCCATCTGAGGTACTGGGTTCATCTCACTAGGGAGTGCCAGACAGTGGGCGCAGGTCAGTGGGTGCGCGCACCGTGCGCGAGCCGAAGCAGGGCGAGGCATTGCCTCACTTGGGAAGTGCAAGGGGTCAGGGAGTTCCCTTTCCGAGTCAAAGAAAGGGGTGACGGACTCACCTGGAAAATTGGGTCACTCCCACCCGAATATTGCGCTTTTTGGACCGGTTTAAAAAAACGGCGCACCACGAGATTATATCCCGCACCTGGCTCGGAGGGTCCTACGCCCACGGAGTCTCGCTGATTGCTAGCACAGCAGTCTGAGATCAAACTGCAAGGCAGCAGCGAGGCTGGGGGAGGGGCACCCGCCATTGCCCAGGCTTGCTTAGGTAAACAAAGCAGCGGGGAAGCTCGAACTGGGTGGAGCCCACCACAGCTCAAGGAGGCCTGCCTGCCTCTGTAGGCTCCACCTCTGGGGGCAGGGCACAGACAAACAAAAGGACAGCAGTAACCTCTGCAGACTTAAATGTCCCTGTCCGACAGCTTTGAAGAGAGCAGTGGTTCTCCCAGCACGCAGCTGGAGATCTGAGAACGGGCAGACTGCCTCCTCAAGTGGGTCCCTGACCCCTGACCCCCGAGCAGCCTAACTGGGAGGCACCCCCCAGCAGGGGCACACTGACACCTCACACGGCAGGGTATTCCAACAGACCTGCAGCTGAGGGTCCTGTCCGTTAGAAGGAAAACTAACAAACAGAAAGGACATCCACACGAAAAACTCATCTGTACATCACCATCATCAAAGACCAAAAGTAGATAAAACCATGAAGATGGGGAAAAAACAGAACAGAAAAACGGGAAACTCTAAAACGCAGAGCGCTTCTCCTCCTCCAAAGGAAAGCAGTTCCTCACCAGCAACGGAACAAAGCTGGATGGAGAATGACTTTGACGAGCTGAGAGAAGAAGGCTTCAGACGATCAAATTACTCTGAGCTACGGGAGGACATTCAAACCAAAGGCAAAGAAGTTGAAAACTTTGAAAAAAATTTAGAAGAATGTATAACTAGAATAACCAATAAAGAGAAGTGCTTAAAGGAGCTGATGGAGCTGAAAACCAAGGCTCGAGAACTACATGAAGAATGCAGAAGCCTCAGGAGCCGATGCGATCAACTGGAAGAAAGGATATCAGCGATGGAAGATGAAATGAATGAAATGAAGCAAGAAGGGAATTTTAGAGAAAAAAAAAAAAAAGAAATGAGCAAAGGCTCCAAGAAATATGGGACTATGTGAAAAGACCAAATCTACGTCTGATTGGTGTACCTGAAAGTGATAGGGAGAATGGAACCAAGTTGGAAAACACTCTGCAGGATATTATCCAGGAGAACTTCCCCAATCTAGCAAGGCAGGCCAACGTTCAGATTCAGGAAATACAGAGAATGCCACAAAGATACTCCTCAAGAAGAGCAACTCCAAGACACATAATTGTCAGATTCACCAAAGTTGAAATGAAGGAAAAAATGTTAAGGGCAGCCAGAGAGAAAGGTCGGGTTACCCTCAAAGGGAAGCCCATCAGACTAACAGCAGATCTCTCGGCAGAAACCCTACAAGCCAGAAGAGAGTGGGGGCCAATATTCAACATTCTTAAAGAAAAGAATTTTCAACCCAGAATTTCATATCCAGCCAAACTAAGCTTCATAAGTGAAGGAGAAATAAAATACTTTACAGACAAGCAAATGCTGAGAGATTTTGTCACCACCAGGCCTGCCCTAAAAGAGCTCCTGAAGGAAGCGCTAAACATGGAAAGGAACAACCGGTACCAGCCGCTGCAAAATCATGCCAAAATGTAAAGACCATCGAGACTAGGAAGAAACTGCATCAACTAACGAGCAAAATAACCAGCTAACATCATAATGACAGGATCAAATTCACACATAACCATATTAACTTTAAATGTAAATGGACTAAATGCTCCAATTAAAAGACACAGACTGGCAAATTGGATAAAGAGTCAAGACCCATCAGTGTGCTGTATTCAGGAAACCCATCTCACGTGCAGAGACACACATAGGCTCAAAATAAAAGGATGGAGGAAGATCTACCAAGCAAATGGAAAACAAAAAAAGGCAGGGGTTGCAATCCTAGTCTCTGATAAAACAGACTTTAAACCAACAAAGATCAAAAGAGACAAAGAAGGCCATTACATAATGGTAAAGGGATCAATTCAACAAGAAGAGCTAACTATCCTAAATATATATGCACCCAATACAGGAGCACCCAGATTCATAAAGCAAGTCCTGAGTGACCTACAAAGACACTTAGACTCCCACACATTAATAATGGGAGGCTTTAACACACCACTGTCAACATTAGACAGATCAACGAGACAGAAAGTCAACAAGGATACCCAGGAATTGAACTCAGCTCTGCACCAAGCGGACCTAATAGACATCTACAGAACTCTCCACCCAAAATCAACAGAATATACATTTTTTTCAGCACCACACCACACCTATTCCAAAATTGACCACATACTTGGAAGTAAAGCTCTGCTCAGCAAATGCAAAAGAACAGAAATTATAACAAACTATCTCTCAGACCACAGTGCAATCAAACTAGAACTCAGAATTAAGAATCTCACTCAAAACCGCTCAACTACATGGAAACTGAACAACCTGCTCCTGAATGACTACTGCATACATAACGAAATGAAGGCAGAAATAAAGATGTTCTTTGAAACCAATGAGAACAAAGACACAACATACCAGAATCTCTGGGATGCATTCAAAGCAGTGTGTAGAGGGAAATTTATAGCACTAAATGCCCACAAGAGAAAGCAGGAAAGATCCAAAATTGACACCCTAACATCACAATTAAAAGAACTAGAAAAGCAAGAGCAAACACATTCAAAAGTTAGCAGAAGGCAAGAAATAACTAAAATCAGAGCAGAACTGAAGGAAATAGAGACACAAAAAACCCTTCAAAAAATTATTGAATCCAGGAGCTGGTTTTTTGAAAGGATCAACAAAATTGATAGACCGCTAGCAAGACTAATAAAGAAAAAAAGAGAGAAGAATCAAATAGACACAATAAAAAATGATAAAGGGGATATCACCACTGATCCCACAGAAATACAAACTACCATCAGAGAATACTACAAACACCTCTATGCAAATAAACTAGAAAATCTAGAAGAAATGGATAAATTCCTCCACACATACACTCTCCCAAGACTAAACCAGGAAGAAGTTGAATCTCTGAATGGACCAATAACAGGAGCTGAAATTGTGGCAATAATCAATAGTTTACCAACCAAAAAGAGTCCAGGACCAGATGGATTCACAGCCGAATTCTACCAGAGGTACAAGGAGGAACTGGTACCATTCCTTCTGAAACTATTCCAATCAATAGAAAAAGAGGGAATCCTCCCTAACTCATTTTATGAGGCCAGCATCATTCTGATACCAAAGCCGGGCAGAGACACAACCAAAAAAGAGAATTTTAGACCAATATCTTTGATGAACATTGATGCAAAAATCCTCAATAAAATACTGGCAAAACGAATCCAGCAGCACATCAAAAAGCTTATCCACCATGATCAAGTGGGCTTCATCCCTGGGATGCAAGGCTGGTTCAATATACGCAAATCAATAAATGTAATCCAGCATATAAACAGAGCCAAAGACAAAAACCACATGATTATCTCAATAGATGCAGAAAAGGCCTTTGACAAAATTCAACAACCGTTCATGCTAAAAACTCTCAATAAATTAGGTATTGATGGGACGTATTTCAAAATAATAAGAGCTATCTATGACAAACCCACAGCCAATATCATACTAAATGGGCAAAAACTGGAAGCATTCCCTTTGAAAACTGGCACAAGACAGGGATGCCCTCTCTCACCACTCCTATTCAACATAGTGTTGGAAGTTCTGGCCAGGGCAATTAGGCAGGAGAAGGAAATAAAGGGTATTCAATTAGGAAAAGAGGAAGTCAAATTGTCCCTGTTTGCAGACGACATGATTGTATATCTAGAAAACCCCTTGTCTCAGCCCCAAATCTCCTTAAGCTGATAAGCAACTTCAGCAAAGTCTCAGGATACAAAATCAATGTACAAAAATCACAAGCATTCTTATACAACACCAACAGACAAACAGAGAGCCAAATCATGAGTGAACTCCCATTCACAATTGCTTCAAAGAGAATAAAATACCTAGGAATCCAACTTACAAGGGATGTGAAGGACCTCTTCAAGGAGAACTACAAACCACTGCTCAAGGAAATAAAAGAGGATACAAACAAATGGAAGAACATTCCATGCTCATGGGTAGGAAGAATCAATATCGTGAAAATGGCCATACTGCCCAAGGTAATTTACAGATTCAATGCCATCCCCATAAAGCTACCAATGACTTTCTTCACAGAATTGGAAAAAACTACTTTAAAGTTCATATGGAACCAAAAAAGAGCCCGCATCACCAAGGCAATCCTAAGCCAAAAGAACAAAGCTGGAGGCATCACACTACCTGACTTCAAACTATACTACAAGGCTACAGTAACCAAAACAGCATGGTACTGGTACCAAAACAGAGATATAGATCAATGGAACAGAACAGAGCCCTCAGAAATAACGCCACATATCTACAACTATCTGATCTTTGACAAACCTGAGAAAAACAAGCAATGGGGAAAGGATTCCCTATTTAATAAATGGTGCTGGGAAAACTGGCTAGCCATATGTAGAAAGCTGAAACTGGATCCCTTCCTTACACCTTATACAAAAATCAATTCAAGATGGATTAAAGACTTAAATGTTAGACCTAAAACCATAAAAACCCTAGAAGAAAATCTAGGCATTACCATTCAGGACATAGGCATGGGCAAGGACTTCATGTCCAAAACACCAAAAGCAATGGCAACAAAAGACAAAATTGACAAATGGGATCTAATTAAACTAAAGAGCTTCTGCACAGCAAAAGAAACCACCATCAGAGTGAACAGGCAACCTACAAAATGGGAGAAAATTTTCACAACCTACTCATCTGACAAAGGGCTAATATCCAGAATCTACAATGAACTCAAACAAATTTACAAGAAAAAAACAACCCCATCAAAAAGTGGGCGAAGGACATGAACAGACACTTCTCAAAAGAAGACATTTATGCAGCCAAAAAACACATGAAAAAATGCTCATCATCACTGGCCATCAGAGAAATGCAAATCAAAACCGCAATGAGATACCATCTCACACCAGTTAGAATGGCAATCATTAAAAAGTCAGGAAACAACAGGTGCTGGAGAGGATGTGGAGAAATAGGAACACTTTTACACTGTTGGTGGGAGTGTAAACTAGTTCAACCATTGTGGAAGTCAGTGTGGCGATTCCTCAGGGATCTAGAACTAGAAATACCATTTGACCCAGCCATCCCACTACTGGGTATATACCCAAAGGACTATAAATCATGCTGCTATAAAGACACATGCACACGTATGTTTATTGAGGCATTATTCACAATAGCAAAGACTTGGAACCAACCCAAATGTCCAACAACGATAGACTGGATTAAGAAAATGTGGCACATATACACCATGGAATACTATGCAGCCATAAAAAAGGATGAGTTCATGTCCTTTGTAGGGACATGGATGAAATTGGAAATCATCATTCTCAGTAAACTATCGCAAGAACAAAAAACCAAGCACCGCATATTCTCACTCATAGGTGGGAATTGAACAATGAGATCACATGGACACAGGAAGGGGAATATCACACTCTGGGGACTGTGGTGAGGTGGGGGGAGGGGGGAGGGATAGCACTGGGAGATATACCTAATGCTAGATGACGAGTTAGTGGGTGCAGCGCACCAGCATGGCACATGTATACATATGTAACTAACCTGCACAATGTGCACATGTACCCTAAAACTTAAAGTATAATAAAAAAAAGATATTTTAAATATATAGTTTGTATCATTGATCCCACTTTGTTACAGGTAATTTATTCTATTATTTTAATGGACAAAAATGGCATATTTTCATTGCAGTTGTAGAAGTACATGATCTTGCTTTCTTAAAGGTATTTTATGAATATTTTCTATTTAGTTCATATTAAACTCATACACACATTACTTTTGCTGACAAGCCCAGTGTTTTGGCACCAGCTTATCTTCCCAGTGTGTGCCAAGATGGTAATTTTCTTGATCTGATTCTCATATTCAGACTAGGACTTGATAACCTTTGTAGTACAATCCCCTCTTCTTTCTTGGAACTAAAAAATGCTGAGGATAAACCAATGGTTCTTCAGTAGATTGCTCCTCCTGTTAATTTATTCATTTATTGATTCATTTTTCCCAGTCATTAACTCAGTATCTATTTCTTTAGTATCTTATGAGCCAGCTACTCTATTATCACTGAGGACATAAAGATGGATAAGATAGTTTTTGCCCTCCAGGAGCTCACATCCTGGTAGAGAAGACAGACACTAAACCAATAATAATGATGCGGTGTGATATGCTGCATAATTACATATGCAAATGCAAGGGTAACACAAAGTGGGGGCATAATTAATTTTCCTTGGGGTAATTGGTACAAATTTCAGAGTCTGGCATTTGTCTTGAGTCTTAAAGATCTGAGCAAGATTTACTGGACAAAGATGAGGAGAAGGTCATCACAGAAGGAGGAAAAAGCATGAGCAAAGAGGGGAACTTTTTTTTATATTTTAATATTTTCATCAAAATAATGCATTCACGTGGTTTTAAAATGTAATTTTCAAGAAGAGAAAATTATAAGAAGACGCCTCTATCCCACACTTTCATTCCTAGTCTACTCCAAGGGGCAACCACTATTTTTCCTTTTTTAAAAAATATTTTTTTTTATTTTAGAATAGTTTTAGATTTGCAAAAACATGTAAAGATAGTACAGAGATTTTCTGTATATGCCACACCCAGTTTTCCTTATAAATTAAATTAATAATATTAATATCTTAATAGCACATTTACTATAATGAATGAACCAATATTGATATAGTTTTAATCCAAGCCCATCCTTTACCCACATTTCCTAACTTTTTATCTAATGATTTTTTCTGTTCCATCCAGGATCCTACAGGACATTCAATCATCACGTCTCCTTAGGCCCCTCTCAACTGTGGCAGTTTCTCAGACTTCGTTGTTTTTGCTCTTTCTCTTTCACGTGGGGAGAGTGTGGTGAGCAGAATAATGGCCCTCAGAGATATCCTTGCCCTTAATATACAGAATCTGCGAATATGTTGTTTTACGGCAAAGGGGAATTAAGATTCCCGAAGGAATTCAGGTTGTTAATCAGTTGACTTTAAGATGGGGAGAGTAACCTGGACTATCCAGATGGACTCAAAGTGATCATAAGGGTCCTTAGAAGGGAAAATGGGAGGTAGAAAGGACCAGGGAGGGATCCGCAGGAGTAGGACTTTGCTGACATTGCTGGCTTTGAAGATGGAGGAAGGGGACCATGAGCCAAGGAGAGCTGGAAAAAGGCAAAGAAATGAATTCCCCCTTACAGTCTCCAGAAAGGATCACAGCCTTGCTAAGGCCTTGATGTTCACCCAGTGATATCTGTGTTGGACTTCTGATCTATGGAACTGAGAACTGATACATTTATCTTGTTTTAAGCCACTTAGTTTGTGATAATTTGTCACAGTGGCAATAGAACACGAATGCAGGCTTCCTTCACGTAGTCCATTCCACGTTGACTTCACTTTGACTGGTTAGGAAATCATCATCCTGTTGGAGGACTGCAAAATGCTAACATACTTTGTATCTCTTTTCCTAGGAACGGCTCAGTTTCTCCAGCAAGGAATCCTCCTGTCCTGTCTAAAAGGCAACCTGCATCCTAGGAGCAAAGAGAGGGAAAAGCACTGAGGAGTACGGCCATGCCATAGGCAGATTTGCAATTAATTCTCTCGCTTGCAGCCCTATGACTAATTCTGGGCCAGGCCGTGCATATTGTCTCCAAATCCTGAGGCTCTTGCCTCCCATTCTCCAAAGAATAATCAGCCTCCTGCCTGGGGGGGTGATTACACAGCTGCTAGGGTTCTATGCCTGAGCCGTAAGTGAGGTACACAGACTGTTTCCCATGTTAACATATTCTTCAGTTTATTCCCACACTCTCTGCTGTACTGGATTCCTCAGTTTCGGAGCTTCTCCAGGAGTCTACAGGACTAACTTATTGTCTCCTTGTTAGTACCAACTTCTTGCTTGTCCTTTAAGATATGATATCCTCAATCTGGTTATATCAGACACCTTTCCTACATTCCTTTCCTGTCTTTTGAAATATGATTGAAATATTTCATCAATTAATGTCTTCTCTCCTATTCTCTTTGTACTTGCAAGCTTAAGCCTCTTTTATCTTTTCAAATATTTTAGCAGGCTCTCTGAAAGGAGAGGCTATAAACTTCTATGTCTATTCTTCTATCTTTAAATTCAACAAGAGGCAGAACACTTTCATGGTTAAGTTAGGCCTGCATTTAAATCCTGCCTCTGTCACATACTTTTCTAAGACTTAGAAATTTGCTAACCTCTGGAAACCTTGACCTCCTTTCTGTAAAATGAGAACCTACCTCATTGGGTTGTTGTGAGGATCAAATAAAATATGTATGGTTGGCACGTACTTGGCATTCAGCAATTCCTTAATAAATGTCAGTAATCACCATCATGCAGATAAGAAAGGATTTGCACATGACTGAAAAGGGAACTTGGGGACATGAGGCCCCCCAAAAAGTCAAATTGGTGTTTGAATGGCTGACATGGCAATAACTTAAGAAGAACCTGTGGGCCAGGAGCAATGGCTAATGTCTGTAATCCCAGCACTTTGGGAGGCATAGGTGGGAGGATCACTTGAGCCCAGGAGTTCAAGAAGAGCCTGGGAAACATGGCAAAACCCCATCTCTACAAAAAATAAAAATAAAAATAACAAAAACTAGCCAGGTATGGTGGCAAGCACCTGTAGTCCCAGCTACTTAGGAGGCTGAGATAGGAGGATTGATTGAGTCCAGGAGGTCATGTCACTGCACTCCAGCTTGGGTGACAGAACAAGACACTTTCTCGAAAAAAGAAAAAGAAGAAGAAGAATGTGCATCAGAGTTCCAAGCTAAAGAATCCAGAAATAGCCAACCCGGAGATTCATTTCTTATCTATGAGGAATAGTTGAACCCTTGGCCCATCCCATGGAATGCGGGCCAGACAGAGGATTGAGGCCTTTTGTCTTGGGTTAAATGAAGGTTGCCAGATGGAGGTTGCTAGGGGAATGGTGCTAAGTGAAAACACACTATAAACTGTATGTTTTTTACAAGCAGTTGTGGTTCTCCTGTCCTCCCCACTGCCACCAGACTGCCCTGTAAGTAACTTCCCTCAATGAACCCTGTGTCTCCTTTGCTGGCTCTGGGTTTCTTCTTCAGCCTCTTGAACATGGTGTCATCCCTACTGAAGTCAAAAAGGGTCCAGCACAACAGTGTTATAATGAGGTAAACCATAGCAGTGACAGGTGGCTCAGAGAAGACAGGAGGCAGGGAAGTCAGTTATGAGGCTATTTCAGTGGTTCAAGAAAGGCATGAAGCTATGCACCCCCCGAAATGGCAGTGTTTGTAGAAAGGATAGGATGAACTAAAGCTAGGCTTAGACAAACTTATCAACCCTAGATGCAGGCTATAACCCCCTGGGGAGTTTTTTAAAACATACTAATGCCCAGGTCCCGCATTGAGACCACTGAATCAGAATACCTGGAGGTGAGACCCAGGCATCAGTGCTTTTAAAGGCTTGCAGATTTTAATGTGCATCTGGGCTTAAAAACCACTGGTTTAGATGGTAGAAGTCACAGGACTGGTCAAGTGATTGTCTGAGGGCATGAAAAGGGAGGAAAAGTGCAGAATAACAAAGTTTCTGGTTTAAATGGTTAGGTGGGTGGACCTTCGGTTTCAGGAATATGGTTAGGAGATCATCTATACTACTTCAAGCAAACTTTTCATCCAACTTCTTATGCATAAGAGGACAGAAGTTGGGATGGCTAATTAAATTGATAATAAAGTTTATTTCTAATTAACACACTACCTGTCCACCACCTGTTCTGCCTTTAGGGAAAGCCAAATGTTGGAACACTGTTTCTCCCTAGCGCATTCACAGCTGTCACCAGGATGCAGCCGGAGCTTTAAAAGGGTTCCAGGGAGGCAGGCACTCTGGGCCCACGTGGGAGGTGGAGGGAAGGGGAGGTTGAAGATCATTCTCCTTGACAGAAGCCCAAACCTGGGCTTGCAGTGGCCACAGTAGTTTTATTTATTTAGGATTTACAACCTGCTTACTTTCAAAAGGATTTGAGGTAGCTTATCAGATTAAGCTAAAGCACCCGATTAGGAAATCAAAACAGAGACCACCAAAGGGCCTGGAAGCATTAGCTGCTTCCAGGCATCTGGGAAGAGCTGTTCTCTGTAACTGGGCCCTGATGCAGGCTTTGGGTTCTCCAGAGGACACTGTGGGTGGGTTGTTGGGTTTTTAGGTTTGACTTTAAAAAAAGCACACCCTTTTCCAGGAGGGACCAACTCTTTTCTTGAAACCAAACTTGAAGAGGTTTTAAGAAGGAGCTAAGTAAATGGCCCAAGGACTGAAAGTCTCAGCAGGTATAAAGCTCACAGCATGTCACTGGGAATCAGAGGCCTGGGCTCTGTACAAGCAAGTCATTTAGGTTTCTTCATCCATAAAAAGACGGGACTGAACAGATACATTTTCATCTCTGATGCTTGGATTCATTCATTTCTGATTTAATTAGAAATGAAAAATAGAATTATAACTTTATTATAATTTAGAGTGAATACATCTGTAAAGTTCTCTCAAGTATTAATCTGCTGAGCTCTTAGTATGTGCTGGAGGAGTTTATTCATCTTTGAATCTTTAACAAGAACCTATACGACAAAATTTATTCTTGTGGTAAAGTGAGAACCAAACAATTTAGATATCAGATATGGGAAAGACAAAATGTGTTATATTCTCAGTCAGACCCCAGGCTAGCCTACCTCAACTAGATAGGGGGCAATAAGGATTCCTGCAGGCAGAGCCAGTATTTTATTTAAAAGAGAGTATTGGCTGGGCACGGTGGCTCACGCCTGTAATCCCAGCACTTTGGGAGGCTGAGATGGGCGGATCACCTGAGGTCAGGAGTTTGAGACCAGCCTGACCAACAATGGAGAAACCCCATCTCTACTAAAAATACACAATTAGCCAGGCGAGGTGGTGCATGCCTGTAAGCCCAGCCACTCGGGAGGCTGAGGCAGGAGAGTCGCTTGAACCCAGGAGGCAGAGGTTGCAGTGAGCAGAGATCATGCCATTGCACTCCAGCCTGGGCAACAAGAGCGAAACTCTGCCTCAAAAAAGTAAAAGAGAGCATTGACTCTTCATAACAATCTGTAATGTGGAAAAGGAATGAACATTTACTTGGTTCCAAGTCCTACTCTGGAGTCCAAGGGCCCTGGGTAACTCCAGCTAACTTCACAGGTGCTATATATACTTTATCTAATACTCACAAGAGTGATTTTAAACCAGGATACATTTCCCCATTTTACATTTGAGGAGACTGAAGTTAAATAATCTGCCCAATGTTATACAGATTGGACTCAAACACAGATTTGTGTCTTTCCCAAGTCCATGACCTTCCCCTTTTAATTGTCAATGTACTTAATTGAGTCTTTGAAGTGCTATTCCTTTCTGCAGGAAAACTATTATTTTCTGTACATATCTTTGTTAAAACTAAGAGTATGGCCAAAAGATTTTGACATGGCAACCAATAATATCTGCTACAGTGTGTAATTCTTTTCAATGTTTTTAAAGGTCTTCAAGTCTATTCGTTTTTGTTATTCTCCTAAGTCACAAGTCTATGAGTTAGTTTGGGGCTGGTGGAGTTAATCTCCCTTGACCTTATGGAAAAGTTGAGTCCCCCAGAAGTTAAATGACTTGCATAAGGGAGTCAGCTGATAGGCCAAAAGCAAAACTGCTCTGCTCCAAACCCAGTGGTCTTCCACTGCGAAATATTTCCTCAAGCCTCATTTTCACATGAAAGATTTGTCCCGAAAAGGGGGCTATATCATGTGTTCAAGCAACTTTTTCACCTAAATCTATATCATTGAGTATCAAAATAATAAAGAGGGTTATCTAGCAACAAAAAGCAAAAAAAAAAAAAAAAAAAAAAAAAAAAAAAGGTAGGGAGTAGGAACTGGTCCCTCACTGCTGAGAAAATGCTCAGGAAAAGTAGTGCAGGAGGTCAGATGAAGGAGTTTAAGTAGCCCTGTTTCCAAGGCCAAGTCCAGCTAAGTCTACTGGTGAAGACCAAGTCCTTTTCCCTTGCTGATGGGTGGGCCAGGGTTGGGGTTCATGGGTAGGGGATAGGGAGAGTAGTGGTTCTCTACACCAGGAAAGGCATTGACCTCTGGTTTATAATCTACAGAGCCTCCATCTCCCTCCAAATGGTAGAAAGGTCACTTTTCACACTTGATTCCTGTTTCCAGAAAAGGAACTTCTATTTTAGGTATTCAGTTATATTCAGCAAGTAGTATTTATATTGAACACCAAGGTCACCACTGTGCTAGTGTTAGAGAGAATTGCTATTATTATTAACCAAATGCAATATTATGAAAGTACAGTGTGCTACTATCAAATTCAATATTAGGGGAAGTGCACTGGGCTAGCATGGCATTCAGAGTTTATATTCTAACTCAAGAAAACAGGCCAAGAGGACAAATTTGGGGGCCCAGGAAAGGACCCAGATGAACTCTTTGGCAGCTTCAAAACCTCTAGTGAAAATAAACAAAATGATTCAATGAATGCTTTATGAAATCAAGTGACTTGAAATTCTTCATATCTAGGAATATCTGAATTAAATCTAAAATGGTAAAGGAGGCCAAGCACAGTGGCTCAAGCCTGTATAATCCCAGCACTTCGGCAGGCTGAAGTGGGCAGATTACTTGAACCCAGGACTTCGAGACTAGCCTAGTGAAACCCTGTGTCTACAAAAAAAAAAAAAAAAAGTAGCTGGGTGTGGCGGTGCACACCTGTAGTCCCACCTACTCAGGAGGCTGAGGTGGGAGGATCACCTGAGCCCGGAAAGTTGGGGCTGCAGTGAGCCAAGATCACATCATTGCACTCCAGCCTGGGTGACAGAGTGAGACCCTGTCTCAAAACATAAATAAAATAAAATGGCAAAGGAGATTAAGATAAATCTTTCTGAGAAACAAAAGGGATTCTTGAGTTTACATTTAATTCCCAATGTGACAGCATCTTCCTATAAACAAAGAAGTTACTACTCTAAGTAACTCTTTAGTCTTATGCATATCAGTAAGTAATTTAGGAGACATTTTACTCTTTGGGTATTATCTAATTCACCTTGAATATAAGTTCTCACAATGCGTAAAAGAATATTTTTCTCCACTGTTGCACACTAGATTCATGTACCATAGGGAAGGTTGAGTGACCCGGTAAAATCACAAAGGATAAGCAAGCTGCTCATCTTTTCGAAGCTTTTTAGCATGGACTGTGTTTAGATACATTTTTTTAATGATAGTTTTTCCATTCCAAAAACTGGGTACGTAAATAAGCAGTGCTGAAAATGCATGGCAGCACAACAAAACTCCACATGATGTTTGCAGTTTAGCTCTCATCACTTTGTCTTAGTATTTCTCTTAAACTCTTCATGGCTTATACCCTGGTAGTTTCAGACTCCAACTGGGACCAGTGCTTACTTTCTTTTCCAGATTTCACCATTCCAAGGAAAGAAAACCTCAGCCCTTGATTTCTTGGCATAATTCCCTTTAGCACAGCTCAAGCCCAGTTCACTTTATAAAAAGTGTAAACATTTTTTTTTATTTCACTTGAAATTTAGATGAAAAAAATAAAATTCTAACCTTAAGTTGTACACACCGGAAATGATACAGAATTATAAGTCAGAGGATCTGAGTCTGGTCCTGGTGCTGCAGCTAGAAGCAGTTGTTAACTTAGGCAATTCAGTTAGTCCTTCCAATGCTCAAGCTTTTATCTATAAAATGATGGTCCTGAATGCATTCTATAATGGACACCCACCTGACCATTAACTATTTGGGTGACTACTATGTGCCAGATCCTCTGCTAGGTGCTGGGAAATCACAGAGATGATGAAGGCATGAACCACACCAACAAGGAACCTTAATTCCTAGTATCCACTGATTGCTGATTGATATTAAGCTCTGCTGAGACAGGTGACAATGCTGCCAGATCAACCTGGTGACTATTTTTCTTAACCACAAAAGCCATATTTTAAGAGAAAATGTTAGCCTATTTTTCCTAACCCCAAATAAAAATAGGGCCATAATGTTAGCCTGTTATTATAATGTACACGTCACATGCAAAGATCCTGGGTCAGATTAAGGGAAAGGAGATCTCAGAATGAATTCCAATCATCTGCTTCACTTCCTGAAAGGCTCTCTTTGCTAAATATTTGGGGCAGCATTTCCCCAAATGTGCTTCATAGTACACTCGCTCCTCAGAACATTAGTGTTCTGTGAAAGAAGGTTCCAGCATGATAGAAGTTGGAGGAATCCTGGGCAGGAAAGTTAAACAAGTTTCCTTAGAGCAGGTGTTCTTTGTGCCTCTAATGTCTACAGTGGCTCTGACAGAGCAAGGAAGCATGTTTTGAAGTGTTAACAAAACTTATTTGACCATAGAAATTGTTTGTTGTTTTACAGAACTTTCCATGGAACCAGTCCTCTATGAAATGCCATTAGGACACTTCTGAAAATGATTATTTATTTTAAAATGTATGTCTTTCACACAAAAACCTGTACATGAATGTTCATAGCACCTTCTTCATAAAAGTCCAAAAGTAGAAACAATCCAAATGTTTATCCACTGATGAATGAATACTAAAGATGTGGTATAACAATTACAGTGAAATATTTTTCAGCCGTAAAAAGGAATGAAATACCGGTATAACATGAATGAACCTTGAAAACATGGTAAGTGGAAAGATGCCAGACACAAAAGGCCACATTTTATATGATTCTCTTGATGTGAAATGTCCAGAGTAAGGAACATAAAGTAATGGAGTGC
Organism: Homo sapiens; assembly: GCF_000001405.40. NCBI lineage: Eukaryota > Metazoa > Chordata > Mammalia > Primates > Hominidae > Homo > Homo sapiens. The sequence continues at coordinate 111,893,855 of NC_000006.12, read as the reverse complement.
TTGCTAGGGACCAGAGTGGGGATGAATATGAAATGACAGCTAATGGATATGGGTTTTCTTTGGGTAAGGGGTGATGAAATTGTTCCAAAATTATATTGTGATGATGAACATACAGTTCCAAATATACTAAAAATCACTGAGGTATACACTTTAAATAGGAAATTGTTATGTGAATTATATCTCAATAAAGCTGTTAATAAATACATGTCTTTGTGAAAAAAAAGATTAACTGAAAGGGTTCAGGCCTATGTTTCTGTGGGTTATCCACTTATAGTTAAGATTTATCTTCCTAGTGGTGTGCATGCTATAGTGGAAGGAGCTGACCTGGTTTACAACCCAGTTGTACCATTTAACAATTAAGTGACTATGGAAAAGTCCTAACCTCATCCAAAACTAGGAATAACAACAGGACCATTGTGAGGATTAATGAACTCATGTGTGGAAGTCCTTTTGAAAAGTGTAAACATTTAGGGCTGGGCACGGTGGCCCATGCCTGTAATCCCAGCACTTTGGGAGGCCAAGGCAGGTGGATCACGAGGTCAGGAGTTTGAGACCAGCCTGGCCAACATGGTGAAACCCCATCTCTACTAAAAATACAAAAATTAGCCAGGTGCGGTGGAGGGCGCCTGTAATCCCAGCTACTCGGGAGGCTGAGCTGGGGAATCACTTGAACCCGGGAGGCAGAGGTTGCAGTGAGCCGAGATTGCACCATTGCACTCCAGCCTGGGCGACCAGGCAAGACTCTGTCTCAAAAAAAAAAAAAGAAAACAAAAATGTAAACATTTAATAAATGCTAATTACTATCTTACTGCAAATAGTTCATAGAGTGCCTTGGTGCACTGTGAGATCATTCAGCAAGGCTGTTCTCTCCTTTGAGATAACAGAATTCTTTTATCACTGGGCTGTTAGGAGAATTAAATGGGTTAGTAACTCATGTAACACTGTTAAAATATGCCTGACACTTAACATTCAATATTTATCACTTAATTTCTTATTTTTCTTGTCAAGATTGCTTAATAATCTCTACACACTGTGGTTTTTTTCTTATTTCATTCTTCTCACATCTCCATCTTTTTGACCATATCCAATATAATTCCTCCCTTTCTTTTTAGTATCTCTTAGTTATTTATAAATCAAAATATCCTTGTTTTTCTGCCTTTCCTCTAGGCTGTGTATGTCAAATTATTTTCGTTGCTTCTTAAACACATGACCTTTAACCCGTTTCTGGCTGGTCTCCAATGTGTCAGCATCCTCTTTACTCATTGGTTCAGTTCTCCAGACGATGATGGTGATAATTAGAAGAAAGAGACTAAAAAGAACAAAGAAAGAACAAAAATTCTTTTTTTAAAAACAGTTATTACCTGCTGTCTCTTAAGGAGCAATAGTTTTTAAATGACAACGTCACCAAATATAGGTGCATGCTAAATACTGGCAGAGTATGTTGTGCATTTATAGGTAAGTGCTAATGAACTGAGCCTAGACAAGCAGGAAGGATGCTGTGCATCTCTCCAAGAGTCAGCAGGTTAATATTTTGTATAACTTTGGTCACTTTCTAGTTAAAACTTTATAACGAAGATACCTTACTAATCAAATGAGAAATATGAAAATACAGACTTCAGAAAGCATGAAAAGGAGAAAAGAAATAGGACTCATGAGATCTACTTACTAGTTTTGTTTTCTTCCTTTGAAGACTAGCATTCAATAAAATCCCTTTTTGGGTCTATGATTCTAAATCTATGATTCAGATAGGAGGAGGGTGAGGATTGAAAACCTATTTAGTGGGTACTATGCTTATTATCTGGGTGAAAAAATAATCTGTACACCAAACTTTATGACACGCAATTTACCCATATAACAAACCTGCACATATACCCTTGAACCTAAAATAAAAGTTAAGGCTGGGTGCAGGGGCTCACGCCTGTAATCTTAGCACTTTGGGAGGCCTAGGTGGGTGGATCACCTGAGGTCAGGAGTTCAAGACCAGCCTGGCCAACATAGTGAAACCCCATCTCTACTAAAAAAAAAAAAAAAAAAAAAATTAGCCAGGTGTAGTGGCATGTGCCTGTAATCCCAGCTACCTGGGAGGCTGAGGCAGTAGAATCGCTGGAACCCAGGAGGCAGAGGATGCAGTGAGCCGAGATGGCGCCACTACGCTCCAGCCTGGGTGACAGAGTGAGATTCTGTCTTAAAAATATATACATAAATAAATAAGTAAATGCATAAATAAATAAATGTTAAAATAAAAAAAAAATGACCCTAAAATAAATGAAGAGATTATAGTCACCATTCATGAGTTAATTCATTCAATAAACACTTATGGAGTGCCTGTAGTATACAGGAGCATAACTTATTCAATGAGTGGTACGTGAGAGGATACATCACAAGAGAATACCTCACCCACACTGGTAGTTCAGCAAAAGCTTCCTGGTCAACATGACAGTGAGCTAGGTCTTAAAGAAAATGCAGATATTAGGCAGTTGAAAGGAGGAAGATCATTCCAGGAAAAGGGAAGAGCTTATGCAAAGGTACAAAGGCTTGAGAACAGCCAACATGCTCTGAGAACCCATTATATTTATAAACACACAGTACAAACAACATGGCTGGTATGGGTGTTTGTGAAGGACACAGCACAATCTGCTATGAGTACCTAGTATATTTCTTAGTGTGTCATGCTGAGGAATTTGGATGTTGTCCCACAAGCAACAGGGAATAGAGATTTGTAAATGAACAAGTGACATAATCACATTTGCATTTTAGAAATATTTGGGAATATGGAAAAGAAGTAAGAGGAGAGGTGTAGAGGCAGGAAAATCATTTGGGCAAAAAATGATAAGGGCCTTCCTGCCTCTACACTTGTCTTCTTATTTCTTTTCCATATTCCCAAATATTTCTAACATAGGTTGGTGACCTAGGGGAGACCATCCTTTTGAAGGGACTTAGCTGTGAAGGGAAGGAGAGAGGGCAGTAACTAGAGGAGACATGATAGAGTTTTCTTTCTTTCTTTGTCTTAGGATGAAAATGTCATAAATAAGTCTGATGAGAAGGAAGAACTAATGGAATGCAAAAGGCTGAAGGGATATAAAAGAAAGGAGATAATTAATGGAATGAGTTTTACAAAAATATTCCTAATTAGAGTCCTTTAAATGGGATACTCCTCATGGGCCCATAAATTATTATATAATTTTACAAAAGAAATAGATTCCTTCTAAGCAGCACTTGAACTGTAGAAATCAAGAAATACTTGTGGTGTTGCTCTGTCATCTATAAGAAATATCCATATATCCATTAAAGTGTCTTTATTTAATTGTAAAATGAGACTATGCCCATTAATTCTGTTTATCTTCTCTCCTTCTCTCCCTCTTCTCTGCCATTCCTTCTTCTAAGCCATGACTTTTATTCAGGGCTCCAAATGGAAGGGGATGCATCTATTCCAAGCCTTTGTTCATTCTAACCCATGTGCTTTATAGTTTTCAATTTACATGCAGAAATTGAGACAGAAGAAATCTCACCAAAACCATTCATGTAGTCCTGTGAGATGACTGCCTAGAAGAAGAAGAAATTCAATAAAATGCATTCAGGTTTGTAGCACTGTGTTCAAATTCAAATTCTCCTGCTTCTAAGCAGCCACCATCATATTGTCCATCTTTCTATCTGAATGAACATAGCTCGCATTTGAGTCTTGGAATAGGGGAGAGGAAACTCTAGAAAAAAATTTCCTTTACTCCTTTCTGTTTACGTCGCTTTATGTTAAGTGGCAAAGTAGTTCATTTTAAAAATTAGAACACTCAATAGCTTAAAAGCTGAATTGATAGTTTTTAAAAATAAAAATTATATACAGATTTTATTAAAAGCTCTAACAGAACAGAGGGTATTAAGCAAAAGATAAAATTCCCTCCAGCCTGTCATTGCCCTAGGACCCCTCCCCAGACATAATCATTGACAGTAGTTAATTGGGTATCTTGCCAGAAATTCCCTAAGCATGTGTGAGCAAAAATATGATTACATTTCATTTGAAAGGAAGACGATGGCAGTTATGATCACTTGGTCCCTGTGCTGCCACAGTCCTGGGCTTTTGTTTCTAAATCTTTCGAGTAAGTAGGTCTTTAGCAGGTCTTTTTTTTTTTTTCTTTTCCAATTGAATTAACTAAAATGGGCATACCAACTGCACATTATAGTCTTGATTTGGTAGTGATAAAGTCCAAAGTAGGTGTTAGAAGTGCTAAGAGGGAACTTCAACCCTCTGATCCTCCTCTTTCTCCTCCAAAGAGGAAAAGCAGCTTTGAAAAGTGCAGCCCCTGCTGAGGTCCATCTCTGACCGCCTCCGGGCTTCTCTCTAGAAGCTCTGTCCTTTTCCCAGCTGGAGCCCCTCCTCCTTGGATGGGGCAGGCATCCTGCTGCTGCTGGCTGAGCCTTAATGAGTATCCAGTTAAATAGAAAGCTGAAATCCTCTTTTCTGAAGACAAGAGAGGATAGACTTGAGGTAGAAAACATCATGAACTAGAAAGTAAATGAGGAGGAATCAGAGTTTGACTTTAAATAAGAAGAAGAATCTTTTTAAAAATTCTGGCAATGATCTGCTGTTTCCCCACGTATCAATTTTCACGGATCCACTGTCGGAGAGAGCTCTCTTTCATCACATTACATAGCTACAATACCGCTTTAAATGTGCAAATCTGCGCCTTTGCTTGCTTCTGTTGACAAAAGATAACCCTCCTACTGTTTCAGTTTCAGCCTTTCCAGTCCTCAGTGACCTGAGCAAGTAAATGAGCAAAAGGGATACATAGACTCCTACTTTTTGGCATCGACCCAATTTTCCAATCTTCAAAATTCTCAGCCAGTTTCCCTCTCCTCATCACCGCATTGTGCTACTTGAAAGACACAGTGAAAATAGCTATGGGAACACAAAGAAAGAAAGAACACGCACCATGGGGTTAGCGAAGAGGAAACCCTCTTAACAGATTTCAAAAGAATAAATCCTGGAGCAATGCTGAGTCTTAAAAGATTTACCAGAAATATAGGCAGAACTCCAAGACTATGAGGCTGGAAAAAATTAAGATATTGGGCACTGTAAGATAGAAGATAAGGAGAGGAGAAATCCCCAATGAATTAATAATCAAATTCATGTATGGCTTCTTGTTAACGAGAATCCTACCAAGAATCCCAAGATTGAACCTGGTTACTCTGCTAGTTGTAGTAAATATGATGGAGTGCTTGTTAAAGTAATCTGTAAAACCTTATTTCTGAAGTAATTTCATGTACTCTTGGCCTTTCAGGTAGCCAAATCCTGCACAAAGTCAGAACTTTTTAGTAATTTTTTTCAATCAAATATTTTCTATAGTAGTATTGCCTGGTTTGTCTTACATTCTGGCAATACTTTCCCAGAAATATTGAAATCTATAGATTGATTGGACCACAGCAGTGTCCTCAGTAATTTGTCTCTGAGTTTGTTTTATAACTTAGCCAGTCTGTTATTGTTGGCTATCACAGTTGTTTTCCAATATTTCACTATCATACATGATACGGAGACCAAAAAATACAGCCATTTTTGCACAGATCCATGATTGTTTCCTCAGATGTGTTCTTAGGAATGAAATTGCTGGTCAAAATGGTTAATACAAAGCTAAGTCCAAAAATGTTATATAAATTTACCATCTCTTTATAGTAGTTTGGAGGAGAGCGCATCCCTCCCCCACTTTGAAAATATCCAGTATTTTGCCAATTTGATAGAAATTGTTTTAAAAAAGATTTCCTTTTTCTACTTGAATTTGCTTTTCCATGTGGTGAAATGCTTTTTCATTTGTTTGTGGACTTTTGTGTTTTGGTCTTGAGCCATGCGTATTGCAGCACCCCCTTCAGAACTAAACCTCCTAAAAAGGTCATATACTCTCTGTGTCCACTTCCTCACTGTTCCTTGATGTCTTAGCCCACTCCCCAACTAATCACCAATGACTTCTACTTCACGAAATCCCGGGTTCATTTTTCTGATCTCATTTTCCTAGATCTTTGGCTAATATTTGACAACATTTACCATTTCCACTTGAAAACACTCTCCTCACGCCTCCTCAGATACCACATCTGACTGGTTTTCTTTCTGCCTCTCTATCTGTTCCTTCTCAGTCTTCTCCTCTACCTGACCTCTCATGGCCCAGTCCTAGGTCCTCTTTCTAAGTGAGCTCATTCGTTTCCCATGACTTTAATTACCACAGATATTAATTACCTCATTTATAACTCCAACCCAAACTCCCTCCCCCACTACCAGGCTCCAGATTCATACATTCAACTGATAATAACATCTCTGCTTGAATATGTCTCAGGAATCTCAACTTTAACATGTTCTAACACAAACATAAGCTCTCCTTGCTTTTCTCCCAGACTTCCCTGTCACAGAAAATGTCATCACCATTTTCAGAGCTACTTAGGTCAGAAACCTGAGGGTTATTCTTGGTTGCTCCCTCACCTTCCTTTCCCACTCGTAAACAAGTCCTATTGTTTCTCTTTCCAAAATATATCTTTTTTTAAACTTTTATTTTAAGTTCAGGGGTACATGTGCAGGTTTGTTACATAGGTAAACTTGTGTCACGGGGGTTTGTTGTACAGATTATTTCATCCTCCAGGTATTAAGCCTAGTACCCGTTAGTTATTTTTCCTGATCCTCTCCTTCTACTGACCCTTCACCCTCTGGTAGGCCCCAGTGTGTGTTGCTTCCCTCTATGTGTCCACATGTTCTCATCATTTACCTCTCCCTTGTAAGTGGGAACATGCAGTATTTGGTTTTCTGTTCCCGCATTAGTTTGCTAAGGATAATAGCCTCCAGTTCCATCCATGTTCATGCAAACAACATGATCTCGTTCTTTTTTATGGCTGTATGGTATTCCATGGTATATATGTACCACATTTTCTTTATCCAGTCTACCACTGATGGGCATTTAGATTGATTCCATGTATTTGCTATTGTGAATAGTGCTAAAGTGAACATACACATGCATGTCTTTATGATAGAATGATTTATATTCCTTTGGGTACATCCCTAGTAATGGGATTGCTGGGTCAAATGGTAGTTTTGTTTTATATCTTTGAAGAATCATCACACTGTCTTCCACACTGGTTGAACTAATTTACACTCCCACCAACAGTATATGAACATTCCTTTTTCTCTACAACCTCAACAGCACCTGTTATTTTTTGACTTTTTAGTAATAGCCATTCTGACTGTTGTGAGATGGTATCTCATTGCAATTTAAATTGCTTTTCTCTAATCATCAGTGATGTTGAGTTTTTTTTCATTTGCTTGTTGGCTGCATGTATGGTCTTCTTTTGAAAAGTATCTGTTCATGTCCTTTGCCCACTTTCTAATGGGTTGTTTGATTTTGTTCTAGTAAATTTGTTTAAGTTCCTTATAGATGCTAGATATTAGACTCTTGTCTGACACATAGACTGCAAAATTTTCTTCCATTCTGTAGGTTGTCTTTTTACTCTGTTGATAGTTTCTTTTGCTGTCAGCAGCTCTTTACTTTAAATAGATCCCATTTGTCAAATTGTGCTTTTGTTGCAATTGCTTTTAGCATCTTCATCTTGAATGCCCATTCCTGTGTCCAGAATGGTATTGCCTAGGTTGTCTTCTAGGGTTTTTATGGTTTGGGGTTTTACATTCAAAATATATCTTGACCCATCTGCTCCTCTCCCTCTACTCTATAAACCTCAGTCACAGTCAACATTACCTAGGCTAGTCTAAACCCCACCACAATTTCCCATCTGGCCACCCTGTTTATACTTACATCCCTCCAATCTATTGTCCATGTAGCATTCACAAAACATTTTTTTTTAGTGTAAAATTTGATAAGGTTATTTTCCTGCTTAAAGCCCTTTATTGGATTCCCATAATTTATAAAGTTTCAAACTAGTTATCATGATCTAGAAAGCTCTGCATAACTTGACCCTTATCCATCTTTTCAAGCTCATTCCTTACCACTCTGCTTGCCCTCTCCCTTTCCACCCAGGCCTCCTTTCTGTTTCTTGTATCACTAAGCATTTGCCACCCCAGGGCCTTTGCACGTGCTGATTCCTCTTACTGGAATGTTTTTTTCACTTCCTCCCACCGTCTTACCTAGCAAGCTCCTTCTCATCCTAAAGGACTTAGGCCTTTCCTGACCACTCTATCAAAGTACTTCCCTTCAGTATTCTCCGTTACTCTGCCTTATTTGATCCCCTCATAGTACTTATGACAGTTTGTAATTACAGATATATTTGTTTCTTATGAGCTATGTCTCACCTATTAGACTCTAAGATCTGGGAGAGCAGACATGATGTCATTTTTTTCACCAGCATATACTCATTGCCTAGAACAATGCCTCCCATATAACAGGCTCTCAAGAAATATTAGTTAAATAATGGGTGAATGGCTATTTTGCCCAGTTAAATTTTTATTGGTGTTTTAATATTTTCTTGTTGATTTTCAATAATTTCAAGCACTGTATATATTAAGTATATTAATCCTTTCCCTTTTGTCTTTTATTCCGTTTTATTCGGGCCTAGATGTTTTCAATTTTATGTACTCAATTCTACCATTTCTTTCCTCTCAGATTCTATCTTGGGTGTCAAGCTGAGGCAGGACTTTCCCATTTTGAGAGTCCATAAATATTAACCTTCATTTTATTCTGTTTGGTACTTAATATTTTTATTTTATTTACATTTCAATCTTAAATTTATATGGAATTTGTTCTACTATATGACATGATGTAAGATTTAACTTATCCCAACAATATTTATTCAATATTCCTTTCATTTATGGCTTATGTGAAATGTCATATGTAATATATATTACACACTTATAAACATTTGGGTGTGTTCTTGCAATTTTTAGGATTTCTGTGCTTGTCTTTACTAGTCTTGCACCAGTACTACTCTATTTTATTATCTGGTAAGAGCAATACCCTCTCATTATTTAAAGAATTCTCAAGGGTGACATTGACTACATCCAAGTTTTCAAAAATTTTTTATCTGTTCTTATTCATTTTTTTCCTTCCAGATAAACTTAAAAGAAAAAAAAAGACCCAGTAGAATTCTAATTGGAATTGAATTTGATTTATAGTTTAATTTGGGAAAATTGAAATCTTAACATTATTAAGTATTTCCTCCCAGGAACTTGGTCCACCTCTCCATTTAAATCTTTTTTATGATTCTCAGTAAAAATGTGTGGTTTTTACATGTAGATCCTATTCTTTTTGTGTTAACATGGTAGACTCTGCCAGTGACTGACTTACCAAATACCCTCCCACTTGCCAGGGCCGCTTCCAGTGCATGCCTGCGCTCTATGAGGGATCTTTTCTGGCCATTGGGATGTTAGCAGGGTAAGCTGGAAATCTGGAGTTTGTGTCCCTAGAAATAGCCTCTAACCAATAACAGTGGGGAATTATGTGGGTACAATTGCTAATTTCATGTGTCAGCCTGACGTGGACATGGGGTGCCCAGATTAAACATTATTTCTAGGTGTGTCTGTGAGGGTGCCTGCAGGTCAAATTAGCATTTGAATTAGTTGACTGAGTAAAGCAGATTGCCCTCTCTAATGTAGAAGGGCATTATCCCATCCCTTGAGGGCCTGAATAGAACAAAATGGTGGAGGAAAAGGGTATTCACTCTCTCTTCCTGACTGCTGAGCTGGGACATCAGTCTTCTCCTGCCCTTGACTGGGACTTATACCATTAGCGCTCTTGCTTTCAGAACTACATCACCAGCTTTCCTGGGTCTCCAGCTTGCAGATAGTAGATCATGGGATTTCTCAGCCTCCATAATCTCATGACCCAATTTCTTATAGCAAATCATATACATATGTGCGTCCTGTTTCTGTGTAGAACACTCACTAACACAGTGAGTGAACACCCGGCTTCCTCTGCCTTCTGCTGGAATGACTGTGATGTATACTCACAGTGTCTCCCGGAGGGGACTCAGTGAGGTGACACTCTATTTGCCCCCAGGAGTACTGGCTTCATAATTCACCATCTGTGGACTTCCTTCTCTTCCTACCCTCATTCCCAGACTGGGTTTCCTGGGTTCACTTTTCAACAAGCAACTCTAACACTCATCTTTGTCTCAGGGTTTACCACTAGGAGAGCCCAAACCAAGATGTGACCACTACTTATTTTTGGTTGCCATTGTAACCAAAAAACTTTTAAAAATTATAATTTCTCACTAGATATATAGGAAAATTATTCATTTTTTTGTCTGTGGCATTTCCCATATATATAAATAAAAATATATTCAAACACAAGTTTTTGGTGTGCAAAAATTAGTATTGTTAAGTTGTTTTACATATATACTCGTACATGCTGCAAATTACTATATATTTTATATATCTATACAGAAATTGCATCCAGAGTTGTATACAAAACCCCTCATGTATACAGCACTTCAGGGGCAATTTGGATAATTTTCAAAGGTGATTTTGACTATGCACAACTTTCACCTAACTCACTGTTTTTGGAACCCATCCTCAAGATCTTTGGCAACTGGCTCCATAGTGAATTCATTTATTAGTTTTAATAGTGTTTCAATTGATTCTCGTGGTCTTTCCAGGTAGATAATTACATTAACAGGAATTGATAGAATTTTGTCACCACTTTGTCATTTATATTTATGGTTTCTTCTTTTTGTCTTACTACATTTACTAGAATTTTCAGAACAATGTTAAGTATTAGTGGTGAAAAGAGTGTCTTTGTCTAATTTCAGTTTTGAATAGAAATTGAATGTTCCTCTTTTTATTGAAAGACAGACAGAAAGAATTTGGGGAATGCCTATGGCTTATCCAAAGCCAATTCATTGAAATAAATGATAAATGAAATGCAGGATGAAATAAATTTCAGTTTTGCGTCTGTATGAAATATTTTCTGATTTTTTTGTTTTTTTTTGTTTTTTTTTTTTTTTTTTTTTTTTTTTTTGAGACTGAGTCTCGCTCTGTCGCCCAGGCTGGAGTGCAGTGGCGCGATCTCGGCTCACTGCAAGCTCCGCCTCCCGGGTTCACGCCATTCTCCTGCCTCAGCCTCCCGAGTAGCTGGGACTACAGGCGCCCGCTACCACGCCCGGCTAATTTTTTGTATTTTTAGTAGAGACGGGGTTTCACCGTGTTAGCCAGGATGGTCTCGATCTCCTGACCTCGTGATCCGCCCGCCTCGGCCTCCCAAAGTGCTGGGATTACAGGATATTTTCTGATTTTTTAACAGACCATTCTTAGTAAATTTGATTCTCTTGGGGTAAAATGAGTTTAACTTCTGTAAGCTCATGAATAATTTATGTCTATTTGAGATCTCTTCTGGCTGCCATTGGGTGGTTGACCTTGATTTGCAAGCTAGAAAAATTAAACCTCCAATATGTAACAGAGATTTGAGTTTCTATACCTGTACTTGCCAAATTCACACATCCCAAGTAACTATTTCTGCTCTTTTTGGTTCAGACAGCCAGTCCCAGGTATTTTCACATATATATATACAAGATACATCTATGTAAAAATATACATATATTTATATAGAGATAAATACATACATAAACATAGATTATATATTATAAACTATATCTGTGTGAGTTCATTTTGAACTCACTACAATATCCTAATATCTAGCCAATACATGTGTTCTCATGTCCAAGGTAGACAGATATGTTTATAAATGTATAAAATGATGTACGTGTAAGGACAAGAATTTCAGCATATTTGTAATCACAAAACATTGGAAGCATCTTATACGTCCATCAATAGGTAACTAGTTAAATAAATTGAGAAACTTGCAATAGATAGTGGCTTAAAATAGATTCAATTCTTTTGTAGACTTAGTAGAAAGTGTTTATTTCCTCTCATCTTCCACTTTAGTATAGCTGACCCAGAATCTGTTTCCACAAATCTGGAGACAATAGGGAGTGGGTGAAGAGTATGGTGGACTAAGGGATTTTCAAAGTATATCCATGAGGATGAAACTTTAACATTTATAAGCAACAAAAATTGCATCTAAGATTCCTCAAGAAAGAAGTTTTGCCCTTCATATACTATCAACAGATAGATGCTAACTTAGAATTAGTGCTTTTTGACATGTACCTGGCAAAAATATCTCTTGCCGTCCTAGTGTCTGGCTTGATGAGGACTGCTACGTTATAATACAAACAAAAACGTAATGCTAGCCAAATCAGTAAAGCAACAGCCAAAATGAAATTTAGAGAAGGATAGCTGATATTACTTCCAAGTTTTAATATTATCTCAAATTTTTGTACTGTATATCTATGTAAGACATATTTTGTATCTATGTAAAATGCATATCTATGTATTGTTTCCCCAGAGTGCTGCTCAATTTTACCATCTCTCAATGTGGCACACAGACTAGATACTGACCAAAGCCATTTCCTTTTCTTCCTGGGAACACCACTAGATTACATTTCCCAGCTCCCATGCCTACAGGTGTGGCTGTGTGATTAGTTCTGGCCAACAGAAAGTGAGCAAAAATGATGTATGTCATGTTTAGACCTGACCCCTAAAATCTGCCATGCAATTCCCTCTCCTTCCTTGTTTCCCAGTCATATAAATAGGATCCAGTGAAATCCTGGTTAAAGGAACCTAGGTCCCTGAATCACTTTAAGAATAACTGTCCATCAAAACCCAAATGGACTGTGACTTTAGAGAGAAGTAAATCTTTATTATGTAAAACCACTGAGATTTGGGGATTGTTTGTTACAGAAGTTGGTTTTAGTTTACTAATTTGTTTAGCTGGCTAATATACCCAGCTCTGTATCTCTCTTATCCAGTTTTCAAATTCTTGGTAAATAATACTTGGCTCATTCAGGGATAAGTGTCTATCCCTGGTCATTTGGCTATAGCTAGTGTATTAGTCCATTCTCACACTGCTAATAAAGACATACCGAAGTCTTGGTAATTTATAAAAGAAAGAGGTTTAATTGACTCACAGTTCCACAGTGCTGGGGAGGCCTCAGGAAACTTACAATCATGGCAGAAGGAGAAGCAAACACGTCCTTCTTCACAAGAAGGCAGGAGAGAGAAGAATGAGAATCAAGCAAAGGGGGAACCCCCTTATAAAACTATCAGAGCTCATGAGAACTTACTCACTATTACAAGAATAGCATGAAGGTAACTGCTCCCATGATTCAATCACCTCTCACCAGGTCCCTCCCACAACATGTGGGGATTATGCAAACTATAATGCAAATGTGATCTGGGAGGGGACACAGCCAAACCATATCAGCTAGGATGGGGTACTACAGGGTCACTTGATATAGACATGGCATCCCGGACACTCCTGGGCACTGGGAGCTATTCCCAGAAGAGAGGAATCACTGTGAGCTGGTACCCACACAAGAGTGTTTCCTACATAAAGAAGGATAATAAACAGGAAGAAAGGAAGACTGACAGAACCTCATATGCAGATTATCAGGGTAGGAGAAAGCATAAGAAAACCCATCAATCTTCCCATTCCTGAGAAGCTTCACATCCCTACAAGATGTGTCATAAATCCTGGCATTCACTCTCAGAGACAATTAACTCTCCCTTGGGAAATGTAGAATAACTGAAAGTTGAAAGATCATTCATGTTAAACATTATGTTCAACAAATATTGTGTACCTTGCTAAGGGAATGTAAGGGTGGGCCTAGGGGACAGACTGGAAAGGAAGAAATTCCTGTTAAATGAATAGGGACACTCAATCATGGATCACTGAGGTTCACAGAGATCTGGGTGACCAATTGCAGTGGGCATTTGTCATTTTTAAATTCTGGCCCAGCATCTCGTCGCCCTTTTTTTGAGGGGGGAGAGTCCTATTATCTGAGTTGGGTGGAGCAAAATTATCTGACCATTTCCCACAGAAGCTGAAAATATACAAATCTCCCTTCCCTTCCTCCGCCTCCTGCCCCCCAACTCCCTCCTACCCTGGCTGGCAGCTGGGGTATGGCCAGCATATTGGATGCTGCCACCTAGGAATCTGAATCTTCAGCAAGTGACACAAGGATAAAGAGACGGCTTGGAATCTACATCCGGTGGTGTTGCCCCTTGGCAGTGGCAAAAGTCTCTGGTAGAATGAGGACACCAGCAGAGGTGTCCTAACCAGCTCTCAATTCTGCCCCTGGGTAGTGATACCTGGTTCCCTCTTTTTTTTTTTTTTTCTTTTTGAGCCTGGTTCTTAAGTCTTCCAATTGATTCTATGAGCCAACCAATAGCTTCCTAAAAAAATTCCTATTCTGCTTAAATTAGACATAGTAGGGTTTTCTTTGTGTTGGTTTTTGTGTTTTGTTGTTGTTGTCATTTTGTTTTGTTTTTGAAACAGGGTCTTATCATGTCGCCTAGGCTGGACTGCAGGTCACTGCAGCCTCAACCTCCCAGGCTTAGGTGATCCTCCCACCTCAGCCTCCCATGTAGCTGGGACTACAGGCTCACGCCATCTTGTCTGGCTAATTATGTATTTTTTATAGAGATGGAGGTTCATGATATTGCTCAGGCTGGTCTCGAACTCCCGGGCTCAAGCAATCCCCCTGCCTCATCCTCCAAAAGTGCTGGGATTACAGGTGTGAGCCACGGTGCCCAGTCAGACATAGTAGGTTTTCGATGCTTGCAACCAAGAACCTTGACTGATACAATAATTTCCTCCTCCTTCAGTTCATTTTTTCCCTTGACAACTTGACAGACAGAATATTTGAATTCTTGAAAGTAGCAAGATAAATGTCATAAAGTCCACATTTCACACAGATGTAGATCACTAAACTAATTAGAAAGCTGAGGCATTATCTCTTTTTCTTTAGGACTACAAGAAGCTATGACCAGGAAAATAACTGAATCATTGAGGGCACACTCTAGGAGCTCTATCAGATAAAAACAAAATGAAAAGCATCTGCTAGCCTCACAGTGTCACTCTTGAGGGTCTCCCGTGGAGTGTCAAGTCAGGGTCAGCTCACCTAAAGAAGATCAGGCCTAATCAACCTGTTCCTGCAAACAGGGGAGTCCAAAGGTTTCTGATCCAGTTTTCTGTACTAGTGTGGGGTGTTCTATTGGCTCCACCACCCTGGAGGAGTCTTAAATACCATCACTGCACTGAGTAGAGCTTGGAAATAGCAGACAGTGAGGAGTCAAGAAAGGGCCAGAGTGAAAGGTATGGCTGGTTAGTATGCAGAAGAAAGGGACAGGCCATCTTATGACAGAACAGCCTCCTTTGTTAGGCTCCTATGGGGTCCCTGCAGGAGGTGTGTTGGGAGATAACTCTATGAAATTAGAAGGGTTTCCATCTAGAACCCCAAGGTTGACTAAGACCCATTCTCAGGCACTTGAACTTCACAAGCTAATAATCCAAGCCACCTTTGGGGAGTCGGGCAAAGAATTAAAGAAGCGCATTTTCAGTCAGTGCCATCCCATTCACCCTCCCTGTGGTCTGTTTAGGATATAGGCCTCTCTTCCTCCCCAGCATGCCTGGCTTGCCCAGTACTGACCCTGACATGTTGAGAGCATCCAAAAGAGGTTCAGTGCACCTGGGTTCTAAAACCATGTTCATAATAACTCCTATCTAGTCAGTCCACCCTCCATCTTTTTAAGAGAAAAGGGAACTGGAAAGCCAAATGCCAAGAGGGCTCTGCTGTGGCCTGTCAGGAGGACCAGCTGTCCAGTATGGACACAATTTAACAAGAGAGACAATGGTAGAAAAGTAGGGCCAGAATCTCAACTTCAGAAGAGCCACAGGTATCTTCCTTCCAGAGGCAGGTTTAACATCACCTACGCTCCTTTCTGAGTTCAGGCTGGGGTGTTGTATGGAATGTCCTTCCCACATGAGATTTTTCCAGGACCATCTCCTGCTGGCTCATGGCAAGCTGTGGACCCAAAATGCCCTAAATCCATTGGCTGTGTTCTAAAGATTGTGTATATAAAAATATGTAACTCTTTATGTATGGACTTGATATGAGGCATCAGAAGAAAGAGGTAAACAGTGAACCA
Organism: Homo sapiens; assembly: GCF_000001405.40. Taxonomy (NCBI): domain Eukaryota; kingdom Metazoa; phylum Chordata; class Mammalia; order Primates; family Hominidae; genus Homo; species Homo sapiens. The sequence continues at coordinate 111,877,897 of NC_000006.12, read as the reverse complement.
GGTATGCCAAGTACAGACAGGTTAGCCCTGGGGCCACTTTAGCAGTGGTGTCCCACTCTAAGAGTGAAGGGGTTTTTTTGCTTGTTTTTTTCATTTTGTTTTGTTTTGAGACAGGGTCTCACTCTGTTACAGCAGTGCAATTAGAGCTCACTGCAGCTTTGACCTCCCAGGCTCAAGCAATCTTCCCATCTCAGCCTCCCAAGTAGATGAGACGGCAGGTGTACACCACCACACCTGGCATTTATTTTTTTTGTAGAGATGGGGTCTTGCTGTGCTGTCCAGGTTGGTCTCAAACTCCTGGGCTCAAGCAGTCCTCTGGCCTCAGCCTCCCAAAGCACGGGGATTACAGGCACGAGCTATCATGCCTAGCCTCAAAGTGAAGTTTTATAAGAATCATTCCTGCAAGTCCCAGAAGACCCACCAGAAACAAGAAGGGTGTCTGTGGGTGGATGGAAGCAGAAGGCCTCCCTCTGGTCCTGGTCTTGATTCCTGAACACTACCCTGGGGCAATATGCCTTCAAAAGGGAGGAAAAACAGCAGACAGGAGGCAGAGGAAGAAAAACGAGAATTAAAGTAGCAAAAAAAGGTACAAGTTTAAAATAAGTTTTTATTGTTTTTTCTAATAACATAATAAATGCCCAATGTAAAAAGTTGAGGAAATTAAGAAAAAGATAAAAAATAAAATAACAATGACCTAAAATATGATTACTTGGAGGAAATGATCATTAAAATTTTTGTGTATGTATTGCTTTCTATGAAAATTTACACATATAAATAAGTTTAAAAATAATGGAAATATATGTGTATTAATACATATATATAAACATACATATGTACACATACAAACACAATACTAATTTATTAGCTCTTCTTAATTTTAATTTGTTGTGAACATCTTTCCACACAAATAAATAAATAAATGGCAATGTTATAATTTTATGGCTATATAGTATTCTATTATAGATATAACATAATTTACACACCAAATCCCTTATCAATGAACTTTTCTCAGTGTTTCACTATTATAAACAATGTTCCAATTATTCCCATGATATGTGCGCTTGTGTTTGTGTATTTGCAAATTTGTTCCATTCTTTCCCAGAAGTAAAATTGCTAAGTCAAATGTATACATTTTTTTAAAAGGCTTTTCACAAATGCTATTAAACTGCCTTCCAGCAATGTTGTACCAATTAAAAATTCCACTAGTAGGGTATGGATATCCATTTTCCTGTTGAACCTCCTATCACATTTACTGGCCATTTTGGGTTTTGTTTCTGTTGCACATATTTTTCAGTTCGAACGTTCATCTTTATTTTCTTGTTGATTTGTAAAAACTCTACATTGAGGGTTTTTACCCTTGCCATATGTGTTGTTGTTGAGTTGACATTTAAGAGAAGATTAAAACTAAAATAAAATAATAAGACAAGAAAATGTTTTAGCTAATAAAAATAAGAAAAAAAAGTTACTTTAAAAGCAAGATATAAGATTCAGATGAGACAAGTTCAAGAAAGCCAGAATAGAAAGAGGAAACTTTAAGGTAAAACAAGTAGAAAAATACAAAATATATAAACAATATCAATAAAATCAAAGAGAAGTTCTAGAACAATGACTACATTCTAATTTGTATAATAGAAGCTACTCATAAGAAAACAAAACTGGTGGTTGTGGAAGACAATATTACTTACCTTGGGTAGGCCAGGGACAGCGTCTCAGATCTTTAATCAAGTTCTTGGTAGAGATTGGCAGAAAAGATCAAAACGGGAATAGTATACAAATCTTTTGCAGTGCTCTATTCACTTGTTCAGACCATTAGCAAATCCTCCTGAGGAGTCCAAATCCATTTAAAGCTACATTTAAGACGGGCAACAGATAAAAAAGTAGGTAAGCAAAGAATTACAAAAAACAGGATGAAGTCTTGATGGGAGCAGGTTAATCTGTCATTTTAATCACATTGTCTCTTTGTCCACTAATTAGATCAAGAAGCTATTACAGTTGCAGACACTAAGAAGTGACTTCTCGTGAAGAAACAGAGAGAGAGGAGGAGAGAGGGAGAGAGAGAGAGAGAGAGAGAGAGAGGACTTATCCCACCTACTCCAGATTTCCAGATTTAGCGTAAGATAGATTGAACTAAACATGAGATTTCAAGGAGATATATAGCCTAAGAGTGTTTTTTTCTTGAGAGCATATGACACTTAGTCTGTCCGGAATAGTTTGAGAACAGTTTTACTATTTTTCCCATTTTACGTATGAGGACACTAAGGTTCAAAAAGGATAAGCGACTTGCTTCATCAAAGCGCTCCCAACAGTGAACTGTGGAGCTGGAATCAGAAACAACTCCAGACCAGTGCTGCCCGATAGAGATATAACTTGAGCCACATAGGTTATTTAAAATTTTCTAGTAGACGCATTTAAAAAATAAAAGAAACAATTTAATTAACTCTAATAATGTTTTATTTAGCACAGTACATTTAGACTATCATTTTAACATGTAATCAATATTAAAATGGGATACTTTACATTCCATTTTTCATGCTTGATCTGAAATATCTAATACATCTTTTACATTTACAGCACATCCTAATTTGCAGTAGCCAAATTTCCAATACTGAAGTACATTTCAAGTACTTAACAGTCATGTGGCTAGTGGCTACCTCCTCGGACAGCCCAATTCTAGAACTATGGTCCTCAAGGTGCTGTCTCCAGATTGGCTGTATCAACATCACCTGGGAACTTGCTAAATGTGCAAATTCTTGGGCACCATCCCAAACCCCCTAAATCAGAACCTCAGGTGGTTAAACACAGCAATTCATGTTTAAGCAAGCCCCTTCAGTTATTTCTGATACATGTCAAAGTTTGAGAACCATTGCTCTACCCAACTGCCTCTGCATCCCAATCCAAATAAACCCAGAGCAGCCATTGCGGACTAGCCCTGAGGACGAAGAGCCTCTGCTCTTGAGATAAGCAATTCTTGGCTAAATGAAGCTGGCTTTCTCTTGTATGGAAATATCCTAGTCCTAGCTATGGTTCCATTTCTTGGGATTATGGAATTTCCAGACACAATTTAAACATGGTTTAATTTGTCATTTTGTTTAAGGAAAAGGAAAAAAATCCAGTAACCTCTGTATACTGTCACCTTGAGTTAGTTACTTAACTTTTCTTTTCCTCAGTTTCCTCCTCCATAGGATGCAGATCATTTAATAAATGTTAGCAACTTTTCTTAAAAAGTAGTGTGTACAAAAAGAAAAAAGTCAGCAAAAGGGACAGATTTTTTTAAACTACAGTAAAAACAAGTAGTGGGCCGGAAAGGCAATATTATAGATTTTGAGCACAGAAGCAGAAGCTGATTCACTTATAATTTCTTAGAACATTAGATTTGCTGAGGGGGAAGGTAGGGTTCTTGCCAAAATCATTAAGGAGAGCGATTCTGAGTATGCCTTAAAGCAGAACTTTCAGTAAACAGGAATTACCTATAAAGAAAATCAGGAAGCCAAAGTGTTTCTTTTTATGAAGTTACATCCTGCCATAGAAAAGCTGGATAGGAAATAAAGACCGATGCACTCCCAACTGTATACTAAACCGGCAATTATTTCATCAAGGGAAATATGAGCAAAAGCTCAGATTCAGTGAAGGGGAAAAAAACATGAGAAGTTTGAATGTTATGAGAAACCAAAGACAACCAATGACTACAATTAAACGAGGTTTTTTGGGGGTGGGGCGGGGAATGTACGAACAAATCTCTGTCATTTCAGGTTCCTTAGTCGCCGCTTGGCCCCTCCCCCTATTTCAGTAATACTTCCTCCAGACTTTTGCTAGAAAAAAAATATAAATGAGTGTCCGCAGAAATAGGGGACTGATAAAATGATCCTAATCTCCTTCTCCTCCTCATTGTTATTTGTTGTGCGTTTCCACGTTTCAGGACAGGATTCTACTTTGCTCCGTACTCTTTTCAGTTTGATCAAAGAAAACGCTGCTATCACCGCCCAATTTTCCATTTCATCCTCTCACCCTCAAATGAAAAGACACCAGAAAGGCAAGATAGCCCTGTCTCGAGGCAGTTTCCCATGGTTTTGGGGGAATGGCAGGTGCCAATCTGCAGCAGCAGCTGCAACCTTCCGCAAAGCGGAAACTGCAGTTCACACTCTCCGCTCTTTCTCCCGCCCTACTCCGCCACCTCACAACTCCACACAATCCTTAAAAACACACAGACCTCCTCCTCCAACCTCGCATTTTCTTGCACACCCTGCACCGCACGCACCCTGGGATGCCCGCTGCCACAGTAACGCTCAACCCACTCGGCGGCCCCACCTACTGCCGTCCCGCCCACGCCCCAGGCGCCAATGGTTGCGGCTCGCAGCTCCCAAGGGGCTCTTTGATAGGGCAGCCGGGCCTGTCACTCTCGAGGCGCGCCCCGCCCCCTCCTCGCTCCCCTCCGGAGCTGGAGGGGCAGAGCATCAGCAAGAGTAGCAGCGAGCAGCCGCGCTGGTGGCGGCGGCGCGTCGTTGCAGTTGCGCCATCTGTCAGGAGCGGAGCCGGCGAGGAGGGGGCTGCCGCGGGCGAGGAGGAGGGGTCGCCGCGAGCCGAAGGCCTTCGAGACCCGCCCGCCGCCCGGCGGCGAGAGTAGAGGCGAGGTTGTTGTGCGAGCGGCGCGTCCTCTCCCGCCCGGGCGCGCCGCGCTTCTCCCAGCGCACCGAGGACCGCCCGGGCGCACACAAAGCCGCCGCCCGCGCCGCACCGCCCGGCGGCCGCCGCCCGCGCCAGGGAGGGATTCGGCCGCCGGGCCGGGGACACCCCGGCGCCGCCCCCTCGGTGCTCTCGGAAGGCCCACCGGCTCCCGGGCCCGCCGGGGACCCCCCGGAGCCGCCTCGGCCGCGCCGGAGGAGGGCGGGGAGAGGACCATGTGAGTGGGCTCCGGAGCCTCAGCGCCGCGCAGGTAAGCAGGCGGCGGGGATGCGTCGCGGGAGGCCTCGGGGATGCTGCGGAGAAGCCCGGCCGCCGGCGCCCCCGCGCACGCCGCCCCCGCCGCAGGGCCCGGTGCTGCGGTCCCTTGGCCGCCAGGGCGCTCCGCGGGGCTGCCGGGGAGTCGGTGCTTGGGGTCTTCCCGCGGTTGCACCGGAGGACACCCCTGCGGGGTGCGGCCCCGAGGCAGCGCGGGGATGGGGACCCCATTTCCTCGCCCGCAAGCGGGCGCCGGGTGAAAATGGGAATTGGCTTGGGGGCGAGGCTGGCCCAGACTCCGCCCCCGCCCTCCTTTTGGGGCCCCCCGCGGGGACTGGGGCTGTGTGTGTTGTTTTAATGTCAGGGATGATGTAATCACTTAATAATTGATGCCCCGTGCTGCTTCCCTCCCCACCCAACCCCTGCCCCACTCCTCCACCTCTCGGCCTCCTCCCTCGGCGGCGGTCGCCTTCTCCAACCCATCCTCCTGCCTATTTCTGGCACCTCCCTTGCACTTCCCCCATCCTCCCCTTCACTCTTCCTGTGCCACCACCCACCCACCCTTCCCCTTTCCCCTGTGCTGGAGCCTTCCCTCCTCTTCCTCTGTCCCCCACCCCTCTGCTCCCTCCAGCTCTTTTCTCCTTCCTTTCCGGCTCCCTCGCTGGATTTCCTCTCTACTTCCCTAGATCCATGGCTGTTTTTGTTTGGGCTCCTCCCCTCTGTTATCTCTGCGGCCACAGGCGGAGGGGACTGGGCCAGAAGGAGGCCACCGAGCTTGGGCCCAGCAGAGATGTGCTGGGACTCACTGGGAAGAGGGATAATAAAATCACCCTTCTTGCCCCTCCTTCCCCCAATAAATCACACAGACTCGCCGGGTGTGTGAGTGTGAGTGTGACACAAAGAGCCCTTTCAGTGCATAGAGAGGAGACACACAAAGTACCCTAGGATAGGCACGATGCTTCTTGTCTCTCTTCCCTGGGGCTTCCCTTTCTTTCCCATGAAGCAGTTGATCTCTCTGAGTCTTTCCTGCCACATTTACCAAAAAATAAAAGAACCCCCGGATGCCGGGTGGCAGGTGTCGGCATTTTGCTGTGTTCAGAGACCGGTAGTGTTGACTGGCAGCTGCAGTGTTTCTTAGATTTAAGGGAACAGTTATCCCAGCAGTCTTAAGAGTTGCTTTACTTTTAAGGTAGCCTCCCCATCCCCTCGTTCTTTCCCCTGTCCTTTTGGGAACAAGTACTAAGAGCTGGGGTAGAGTAGATTGGTGTGGGGGTCACAAGAATTTTGTTTCTGAATCAGAATTAAATTGTTATTTGATAAGAGGGAGGCAGCCTGAATGGCTTCTTCTCTCAAGTCTAAGAGGGCACTGTACTGAAGTCTTTTGAAATGAAATCCTGTCTGCCCAGTGATGTTGTTTTACCCTTTTATTGAAGTAAATACCTGGGGACGTGGATAAAACGGTCTAGAGTTAGCATTTGGAAGACCACTGCAGACTGCCTCTTGCCTGCTTCAAGGTAGTCTTGGGACGCCTACTTCCTTTCTCACCACCCAAGCAACTGCAATACTTTCCACCCTATGTACTGTCTTCTTCCCCAGTCCCTGCTCCATGGGTACCCTGTATTCAGATGAAGGGACTCACAGACTTTTGGAGGAAGTGGTTTAACTATCTGAGGCTTTGAGGCCACTTGGCTATGAACTGGGGCTGTAGAGAATCTTGACTGAAGTCTAAACCATTTGATGTTCCCTTTAAGGAAGAAATGTTAATGTAAATCTGGGGGCTTAATGTTCCGTTTTGTAAGCCAGTGACTATTACATGCTTAATCGATATTGTCAAAACTTAAGTTGAACCTGTTCTTTCCTAAAAGTATGGCTCCTCGACTATTTTTATAAGTAACAGAACTGTAGGTTTAGTCTTCAGTAATTTTATTAGAAAAGAGTTATGATTCATTAAATATTTACTTACACACTTTTTAAGAACATTCATCGTGGAACTTTTTACGATAAAAAAAGCAATAGGGTTAATGAGTGTACTGTAAAAACAAAGGGTCGTTTGTTTGATGCCAGACCCAGGAAGGAAAGCCAGAGCACATAAACTCACACTCTGTTGACCAAGTTTAAGAGACTTAATGATAAGGTTGAATGTGAGCAAATGCACACTCTGCTTTCTCCTGGGTCTGGAATCTCCAACCCCATCTGACTTGCTCGAAGTCCTTTTTAACCTTTGGGGCCCAGCTCAAATGTCATCTCCTCTGTGAAGCCGTTTCCATCTTCTCCTTTCCAAACAAATCATCATGTTTTGGTTTCAAACTTTGGCAGCAGGCATTATGTTTCGCATGAGTCTATTTCCACCATTAATTGGTCAGCACATTGATAAAAGGAACCTTATCTTACTTATCTTGTTTCCTACCAAGTTTTATCTTAGCGGGTATTCTGTTTCATTTAACATTAAACAAATGTGAGTTAGGTCTTTGGTATGTGCTCAACACCTGTATCAATTAGGCTAATGTTAGCAGGTGTAACAAATAGGCCTGCAAATATATAATGGCTCAAAAGCAATAGACGTTTATTCTTGCTCATTTAATAGTCAAAAATTCATGTTTCTGGTCGGTAGGTGGCTTTCCTCCATGCAGTGACTCTGGGTCCCACACCCCTATCTTGTAGCTCCACCATCCCATAGCTTATCATCGTAACCTGTTTCAGTTTACAGAAGGGGCAACAGAGAGTAGACGGGGCACACCCACTTTTAAAATACCTTAGCCTGGAAGTGCCACCATCACTTCCTCTCACATTCTTTACTTGAGGGCTAGTTATATGGCCACATTTAATTGCAAGGGAGCCTGGGAAATGTAGTTTAGCCATGTGCTCAGAAAAAAGATACAGAATAAATGTATTTTTATTGAACAGCTTTGTCAAACACTGCCACTTATCAAGGCACATTCACTGCCCTCAAGAAACTTATAGGCTAATGGGAATTAAATAGAAACCTAGAGCGGACACCCGTCATTGCTTTTCTTTTGATTTTATAAGTTTAGATCTTTTCATCCTAAGCATGTTTCAAAAATCTTACTTTTTGTCATGTTTCAAATTTTATGTTTCAAATGTTGCCAATTCCTACTCAATAATCCCATGTGATACAATCATCTGATGCTTCCTGTGTTGACTTTGATGTGGTTCTTTTACTCCAAAAGCACCTTTCTTGGCTTCATTTTTCATCTGGTCATTCTGTAGACTCCCAAAGTTGCTAGGAGAGTCCTTAGAAATCACACTCCTTCTGGATGTTGCAGCTCACGCCTGTAATCCCAGCACTTTGGGAGGCTGAGGTGGGTGGATCACTTTAGCCCAAGAGTTTGTTATCAGCCTGGGCAACATAGTGAGACCTCGTCTCCACGAAAAATCTTTTAAAAACTATCCAGGCATGGTAGCATGCATCTGTGGTCCCAGCTACTCAAGAGGCTGAGGTGGGAGGATCACTTGAGCCTGGGAGGTAGAGACTGCAGTGAGCTGAGGTCATACCACTGTACTCTAGCCTGGGCTCCAGAGTGAGACCCTATCTCAAAAAGAAAAACAGAAATCACAGTCCCACTCCCTCTTAATTGGAAGAGGAAATTAATTAGCCTGAGAGGTGAAACTCCTTGCCCCAAGGCCTTGCAGCTTCTTAACGGAAGGGCAGGAGGCTCAGCCAGCCAGCTCTTCAGGCCCACATGGGTCTCCTCTGTCACTCAGCTGCCCTCTTTGTCTGTGAGTCTTGCATATTCCACGGAGGTTAAGTGAGCTTCCAAATCTCCATGAGCAGGGTTCTAGTGTTCTGGGTAGTCCCTGTTCTCCACAGGCTTCCAAATTGTTGGAGCAATTCCATTCATACCAGCCATCATAATTGTTAATGCACTTTTTTTTGCCATGAATACTTCATTATATTCATCTGTTCTGCAGACATTAGCCTAGTATGTTACTTTGTGCAAGGCACTGGGGAGATGAGGTCCTGGAAATGAATACTTCTGCTGTCCTTGCTTTTCAGAAGTTCACGGTCTACTAGAAGAGATAAAAATAATTAATAATTGTTAACATTTGTTGAGCATTTACTATATGCCAAGCACTGTTTAAGCTCCGATCTTAACAATAATAATATGAAGTGGTTTCACTTATAATCTCCGTTTTACAGATGGGAAATTGAAGCAAACTTTAGTAGCTTGTTAAGTAACTAATTCAAGATCATACAGCTACTAAGTGGTAGAGTCAGGATTCAGGTCCAATTAGTTTGGTTCCAAAGCCTTTGCCCTTAGCCACTAGGTAATATTCAAAATACTACATATAATGATGATATTAAAATACGTTATGTGCCATAAGGGAGGGTGACTGAAATGCTTTAGAAACTAAGACTTTTGGTTGATGAGAAATATAATTTTATAGCCAAATAGAAATACAATATTCATCCCTACCCTCCTTCCATTCAGACACTTATCTACTACTTACCTGGGAAATACAAAATTAAATTAAACAATGGTAAAGCAAGGCATGTCGATACTGGAAATAATTTTACTCTGTGTGATTATTTAAAGCTGGGTCTTTCTGTGGTACACAATTAGGTCTGTATAAGTTTATGAATTGTCTACATACTTACTCATTTAACAGCATTCATTCATTGCGTATTCTATTTGCCAGACAATTAATTCGATGGTTCAAGGCAAAAGAGATGTGATCCTGTCCCGAAGGAACTTACTTGCTAGTTTTGCAGAGCTATAAAGGAGTCTCTGACCAATGTTAGAAATGCTGGGATTTTAGGGGTCCATGTAGGATGGCAGAGAGTGTGCAGAATGGAGCATGAACCTGGAAAAGAGGTGGGCAAGTGGGATAGCCAAGCAGAGAAGGCTGGAAGAGGAGGGGTCTGAAGGCAAGATGAGTAGAGATGGCTAGGTGAGTGTTGTGGGAAGCTCCCTGTCCCAGAAAGAACAGCCCAGAGGGCGAATGCACAGACCTTTTGGGGAACTGCAGTTAGTTCAGGGCTGTTTGGAGTGGTACAGAGATGGACAAAGGGAAATGACAGAGCTGAAGGAGAAACTGAGAAAGATTCTTGTACGTACTTTATCCTGAGTGCCATTTAAGAGTTGTAAGTGGAGATGTGGCTTTGATGTGATTGTATTTTTATAAAGATCTGGCCACAGTATGGGCCTTTGACCGAGGGCAGGCAGAACTAATGCAGGGAAGGTAGTTATGGAAACTTAAATGAGTAGTAGATGAGGGTCTAAATGGAAGGAAAGGAGGTGCAGATGGAGCAAAAAAGAATTAGAGAGCAGTAGACAGGGTGTAGGGGTAGGTAGAAAAGAATTTCTCTGGGAAATTAGGTAGAGACAAGCAGTCCAATAAGGAAAGCAGGGGGCAGGTATCTAAGCGATGACTTTATCTTAAACACTTTAGACTTCCAGGTGTAGTAGCTCATAGGCAGGTAAATAGAGAGGTCTGGAGTGAGGGAAGAGGACTAGGTCTTTTTTTTTTTTTTTTTTTTTTTTCCCGAGACGGAGTTTCGCTCTTGTTGCCCAGGCTAGAGTGCAATGGCGTGATCTCAGCTCACTGCAACCTCCACCTCCCAGGTTCAAGCGATTCTCCTGCCTCAGCCTCCCGAGTAGCTGGGATTACAGGCACCCAACGCCACACCCGGCTAATTATTGGGGTTTCGCCACGTTGGCCAGGCTGGTCTCGAACTTCTGATTGCAGGGGATCTACCTACCTCAGCTTCCCAAAGTGCTGAGATAATAGGCATGAGCCACTGCTCCCAGCCAGGACTAGGTCTTGAATATAAATTCGTTAGCAAACAAATTACAAAAATTGAAGCCATGGATGTGGGTGAGGTCACCCAGGGAGAATGTGTGGAGTAGAAAGAGCAGAAAGGGCAGAGAGCAAGCCCAGGAACAGAGGAGGAGTCAGGCCCAGAATGGGAGAGGAGCCTGCGGAGTACTAGACCAGCTTCAGAGTTGAGCAACATAAAGAACAAAAAATGCAGTTGGATTTAGCACTGAAGATATCTGAACCTGCCCAAAGCAGCATCAGGAGAACTAGAGGGGGAGAAGTCTAGAAATCTGTTGCTCCCCAGCCAGGGTAAAAACACATATCAAAGCCTGTAGAACATACAACCATGAAGGACTCTTGCGGTTTTTCATGGGCACAGGCCATGGAATCTTAGAGATCATGTAGTCAACATGTTCATTTTACTCGTGAGGAAAAATGAAGTTAAATGAAGAGGTTAAGCAACTTGTCCAAGATGGCAAAGTCACCAGGTTTCACACCTCTCAGCCCAGGTGTGTGGTGTGGTTAAGAGCATGGGGTTGGGGCCGGGCACGGGGGCTCACGCCTGTAATCCCAGCACTTTGGGAAGCCAAGGCAGGTGGATCACCTGAGGTCAGGAGTTCAAGACCAGCCTGGCCAACACGGCGAAACCTTGTCTCTACTAAAAATACAAAAATTAGCCCGGTGTGGTGGCACAGGCCTGTAATCCCAGCTACTTGGGAGCCTGAGGCAGGCGAATCGCTTGAGCCTGGGAGGCAGAGGTTGCAGTGAGCTGAGATTGTGCCACTGCATTCCATCCTGGGCGAGAGAGTGAGGCTCTGTCTCAAAACAAAAGAAAACAAAACAAAAGCATGAGGTTGGGGTAGGGTCCGGGTTTGACCCTTTCCAGCTGTGTGGGCTGGGCCAAGTTACCTGGTCTCTCTGTGACTCCTTTTCTTCATCTTTAAATGGAGATAGTAGTTCCTGCCTCAGAGGGTTGCTGTGAGGATTCAGTGAGTTAATACATGTCAAATATTCAGAACAGTGTCCTACACATAGGAAAAGCTATGTGTTTGCTGCTGTTGTTAATCCATATGTATGTGTGTATGTGTATATATACACATATGACATACATGCTTTAGGGAAGGGATGATGACAATATATTGTGTGTATGTAAGGAAACTTTGAATATTTTAGAAAGAGATTTGGGTGATTGTCGGTTCTGAATCAAAAATTGTTAGAAAAGTTGGGAAATTTACTTACATGGTATGATTGAAAACAGCATTTTTAGTAAGAAATGCAGCACCTTCATTCTTGAGAACGGAAAACATGAAAGCATTCTGACGTTAACCCTGTAAAAGGGTTTCTTTTAGTCAGATAACCAGAATTTTAACCTATTTACAATGGAAATCCCTCGAGTTTGACTTCAGAATGTCATTGTGACTTTTCTAAAGGTAGAATGAACTATAAAGTAAGAAAAAACTATGGGTTATGACTTTCACACATTTGGCTCCTATGAAAAAAGAGTGATTTGTGTTATTTAGAGGACTATAATAATTTTTTTAGTGTTTCTAGTTGAGCAAATCTAATTTTTAGCTACTAAAACACATGAGAAGCCTGAATGGTATTATCCAAATGGACTTGGGTGACATGCAATATAGACAACTTAGGAATAAGTGACACTGTGGACTTGATTAGAACGCAGTAATCCTGGAAGAATATAAATTGAATTGGATTTATGGTCTAATAAAAACGTGGGAGGAAAAGATAATGCTTACTGACTCATGAAACTTTAACAATGTTTGTAAGACTCCGAGTTGTTGTAATATTTGGTTGAGAGCGCTTTCCCATTTGTCTCAGCCTGCTTCCAGAACAGCCTGCTGTGCACCTCCGTCTGGAAGTGAAGCCTGACTTGGGTCTCCTTCTTGGGTATACTTAGGAAGCAGAGATCATCACATACTCTGCCCTTGTAAACCCATGACCTCGAGCAGCACTTGGTTGGTTTAGGCAAATATGTATTGAGTACCTATTAACTGTAAGAGTTTGGGGGAGAAAAAAGTACCATGGGAAAGTCCTAGCTCATTGCTTATTTGCACTCAGAAAGCTTTTTTAGAGGACTACTTGTTTCTGGCCTTGTATTCTCCTTTCTGTGATACTGCAAAAAAGTAGAGAGCATACCACAGCTACCTACTCCTCCCTGAATACACCATAGAAATAATAGCACCTGCCATTTTATTGAACTCGGAGGCATGTGTTAGGTGCTTACATACAGTCATGTACTTAATCATAGCAACTCTAGGAGGCATGTATTATTATACCCATTAGTCAAATGGGGAGACTGAAGCTCAGAGAGGCAAATGGCTCATGGTCACACAGCTAATAACTAGTGAAGCCAGGTCTGTGTGACTGCTAAACTCTTTCCTGCTTTTGCTCCAGAGCTGTGGTTCCTCATTCCCTGCCTCCTTGCCTTTGCTTTGCAGTTACTTCTGTGTCCTGTGTTGCAGGATGCAGAGGCACCTTTACCCACCGTGGAAGTCTCACCCTTTCTGATGACTCCCCTCAAAACCTACTGCCTCTTGAGAAGCCCTCCCATCTCTCTTACCTCTGGGCTCCCAGAGCACCTGATTACCACCTCATCATCATCCTCATCATAGCCTGATTCGTAAGGCTGAGGGAACCAGCTGGGTAGGACAGTGGGGCAGGCACTGGCCTTTCCCACCGACTTGTGAGCTCTTTGGAAGTCAGGGACTCTATTTTATGATTGATTTGTCAACATAACACCCAGCACAATTCTAGGAGGTACTACCATTATTATCCCATTTAAAAGATGGAAAAACTGAGTCACAGAGGCTAAGTGATTTAGTCAGCGTCACAGAGTAAGTGACAGAGCTGGGATCTGAACACAGCAGTCTGGCTCCAACATCTATGTTCTTCACACTAAATTTGCGCCATCTCTTTAATGAGATTGTAAACTGTGAGGGTGGAGGTGGTGCCCAGCAGCTCCCAGCCTAGTATCTCACAGACTCTGCACAGTAAACATCAGCCCTTTTGTTCTCCTGTCCACCCCAGCAGAGTGACAAACAGAATATATTGAACCAGGTCTTATCGCATAATAAGAAAAGAGCACAAATATGCTGAAGATCTCATAGAATGCATATCCCCAGGCCTCATTTGGATTCAGTGGGTATGGGCCAGGCAGGGCTGAACGCTTCTCATCTTTTCTGTATCTGGGAACAACAGTGAGAAGGGAAGAGTCAGCAGGCAGCTCTGGAAGACAAGGAAGGAAGCAAACATAGGGAGTCCCAACTAGAGTAGTGGGAGCAGGCGGAGAAGTGGTAGAAACCATCAGTCAGCAAGAGTCAGAGAGTGCCGAAGCTTGAGAGGGGCCCGGGATCATAAATCCGCACAGAAAGACCTCTTAACTTGTAATTTAAAGGTTTCTAAGTACCTGTGCCTTTTGAATATGCTGGTGGGATTTTATCTGATGAAGTCAAACACTTTCATTTTCTTCAGAGCTTCCATCTTTGAGGTATCCAAAAATAGTAGGCTTTTCATGGAGTTGTATAAGGATTCCATCTGCTTTATATTGAAAAGTAGGGCTTTAATGGAAAATTAAAAATGAGCCAGATCTCCTTTCCCACAACAAAGCCCAGGGCACTTTTCCCAATCCTTTCTTCTTTTAATCCCCAGAAAGTTACTGAATCTGTATTTCTGTGAAATCCTGCCCAATTTAAATTCTACTGAAAAGGCAAATAAACACCAACAACTTCATTTCCACACAAATGTCATGTCTATTTAGAAGCAATAACAATTTCAAATGTTGTCACTTGTGAAATTTGATTTTTGTTTTAATTTTATTTTTTTGTTATTCTAGAGATTGTGTGATGTATTGCCTGTACCTAGGCACATACATGCACATAAGGATATTTTAAGAAGCGCTGATTTCTGTTAATGGTTTCTCTAGTTGCTGTCTGAGTTTGAAGGGTATCACCTTTTATTGTCTAGTTTGGCTTCACTCTCATATTTCCTAGATTGAGTGAGGAGGTATTGATCCATGTCACTGTGGATGTGCCGGCTAATGTAGATACTGGTTCTTGGATCCTGTCCCTTTACTAAACAGCCCAGTGAATGGAGGCAGAATGACCAGGTTCCTTAGCCTGGCCTTCAGTGCCTTCTGTAGTATCTACGTTCTTCCTTAGTCATCCTGGCTCACCTCATTTAGCAGATGCTAATGCTTGGTTAGCCAGAAGCCCATTACCATCTCGTTAATTGGCAATATGGCTCCGGCCTTTGTTTTCCTTTCCCGGAATCCCCCGTCCTTCCCTTTCCTTAGAATTCTACTCACCTGTCTAGGCCCAGCTGGAATCCCAACTCTCAAAAGCTTCCCCCAATCTCTTTATTCTCTTGCATTGAACACTTGTATCTCTCAATTGCCTCCTAATAAGTGATGCCTGACATTGTTAGTTAAATTCAATATGAGAAATTCAGGGTTTGGAAGGTTTTTACAACTTGCCCAAGTTGGTACATCCGGTTACTACTTTAGCTTAGACTAGAATCCAGTTCTCCTAGACATACTTGGCCCCACATATGCCGCTCCCCTTTTTGACTGTCCACCTAAGGCACGTAGCACACTGTCATTCACAGTGTGGATACTCAGCAATGTTCATTTAGACAGGCCCGGGGTAAGGCACTGGAACATGCAGCTGGCTTTCTGGGCATCTGCGCTATGAGGCTGGCTTCTTTTTGGACATTGAGCTTCTGTATTTTCTGGTGGCACAAGATTTACTCCCTACTGACCCACAACACAGTTTGGGTTCATTAACTGTCCTAGACTGCTTTAGAAACCACCATTTCATTTTGAGAATGATATGTGTTTGAAGATTTTTTGTTTGTAATCTTGAGCTTTTTGTTAAAAATTTAGGGTGATTGGGGAAATAGTTACTCCTTTGCCCTCTGCCATCAGGTTTTCATCCATAAGATTTTCACTAAAAAAGAAAGGAAATGACATCCAAGAGCAGAGAGAAAATGCAGAATTCTTCAAAATCTAGAGGAAATTGGAGGAATACAGTAATAAATGATGGGCGAGAGAACAATAGCCAAATGGACTGCCAGTATTGTTGGGCCTGAAAGTATTATGTACCTACCCACACCTGGACCTCACAAAGCAACATTTAACTGAGTGCCTCTGCCATGTATAGCCCAATTTTGGCTGTGGAAGTGCCTTCCTCTCCATGCATTGATTTTGTTTACTTTGTAGTAGAATCTCCTTAGCATAGGAAGAGGGTTCTGTCCCAGACTAAGGCTCTACGAAGTAATGATTTAACTCTACAGCTCAGCTATAGCCTTTGTTTGTATATCCTTCAAAAGAATGATTGAAAACAAGCTTTATAAAATGTTTTCCATGGTCATGGGGAGGGACCCCTGGAGTCATTTCTATAACGAAACTCAAAACAGCACAACAGGCAGTGTTGGTCTGCATTCATGAAGAGCCTTCTCAGCTGCCTGTGAGAGCTCGCTGTGATTCCTCGTTAATGGCTTCCCCTGCCTAGTCCTCTCCTGGATGCCAGGTTTAATGTATCTGGGATAGAGAGCAATAAGAACACTTTCTGTGGATGTAGGCCAACTGCTGCAGCTGAAAGGGGGAGGGGAGGTACCTGGTGCTTTACTGTTGTTTGAAATGCTATTGTGATCTTCGAGAAGCAGTGGTGGATTTTTTTTCCTTGCTTAACCATACGCCGTCTATTATTTAAGTGCTTTTTCTGCCACCTCCCCGCTACCACAACTACCACCTTAAATGTGGGAGATCACATGGCACTTTGACAAAATGTACTATCCCCTTTGCTGGCATATAATGTTACCACTTCATGTATTTATTCATTCTGCTCATGTCTACCCTCTTTTGTACACATCAGCGTCAATATTGTCCATTTTCAGTAGCAAGTTTCTAGAAGGCTGAGAGTGAACCTTGTTTAATTTGCCTTGTGCTGCGTGATACTACACTGTGCATTTATTAAATGCTCATTGGTTCTGATTCTAAGCTTCCAAGTTGGGAGGTTTTACATATGTTTTCAGTACTTCTAGAATGAGATGCGTCTTAAGTAACTTTTCTTCATGCAGGTGATACATTGGGTCCTCTGCACTGATGGATCCTTGGAGTCATGGTTTAGAATCCAGATTTTGGTTGCATGTTTTAGATTCCCCCTTATGTTCTGCCTCCTTGGGTGAAAATGCAATAGCCCTACTTCTAATCTTGCCTCTCCGTTAGGGCCAAAGCATAGATAATGTGCCATACCTCACACTTCTTTTCATGTAAGTGTGGTTGACCATGTAATTCCCATAGTCATTATTCAACAGATTCTTGATTTCAGACTGCCAAGTGTTAGAGGTTGTTCTCTTGGAGGTTGAGAATTACTCAGTGAAGACTAGTGAGGATGAGGAGTGTCTGGGAAGAATCTGGAAGGACTGTGGTAGAATGAACAGAACCAGATGCCTCTATGGGTGCCAGCAGCTCCTGGGAAAGGGACAGGTTCTGGTTAATTTATTTGTTAAGTATGATCCAAGAGGGATTGGCACTTAAAAAACTGCAACCCTAAACATTATTTGATTGTACCCCAGTCCAACATGCCATGTGGGGAAGAGTCCCTAATCTGGGGTGCCCAAGGCAAGCCCTACTGCTTTCCCTGATCCTCACATCTCTAGCTGTGACAGAGGTTCTGTTTCCAGGGAATGAATCACCCTGGCCCCCATCCCCAGAACAGGGCTTCCTTCCACACACTTGAGATCCAGAACTGCTGCTGCTGGAAGATTCCTGCTCTGTGCTGCCCACCAAAACACCCATGGGGTTTTCAGTCTAGCCCATGGTTGAGCTAGAACATGCAGGAATGATCCACTGAAGAGGGAGGTGTTGGTTAGGCAGGAGCGAGAAGGAACGATGGATGGAAGATTGGTGAAGAGTTGGTGGAGATGAGATCTTAATTAAGTTAGACCTTTTACTGGTTTCCCGGGACTGCCATAACAAATTCCCACAAACTCGGCTTAACACAAGAGAACATTTTCTGTCATAGTCCTGGAGGCCCAAAATCAGAAACCAGGCTCTCAGCAGGGTTTATTTCTTATGGAGTCCCTGAAGGAGATTCTGTCCCAGGCTTCTCTGTGGCTGCCGGCAAACCTTGGCTTTCCTTGGCTTTGTAGGCATGTCACTACAATCTCTGCCTCCATCTTCACAGGGTATTTTCCTCTGCATGTCATTGCATGGCCTTCTCCTCTCTTACAAGGAAACTTGTCGCTGAATTTAGGGCCAGCCCTAATATGGGATATTCTTATCTTGATATTCTTAACTTAATTACATCTACAAAGACCCCTTTTTCCAAATAGGCCATATTCACAGATTCCAGATGGGCATGGTGTGTTTTTTGTTTTTGTTTTTTGTGGTTGGGGGGTTGGCACCATTGAACCCACTATAACCCTCAAAGTAATAGAAAGTAGCAGTCACTCAGAGGGAAAGAGAACAGACAAGAACAAAACAAGATCGCATGCCTGCTAAATGGCAGGTATCGTGGTGCTATGTACTTTACCTGTTTGATTTTAACTATTACTGCAAGATAAATAAAGATACAGTGAAATTTGCATGTAAGAAGAAAGAAGTTCAAAGGAATGGAGTGTCCTGGAACTTTTCTATGAACTGGAGGCTGAACTGTCATCTCATGTTGAGAGATTTGAAGAAGGGAGAGTGGGCTTGGAGAATCTAGAAAAAATTCAGCCAGCCACTAAACTGTAGCACAGTGTGTAAATAGATGGATAAAAAATATGGAGTGAGGCCCCATTGGAATTTGCACGTATGTTTATAGTTCCCTTTAGCCCAATTTTGTGACTCTGCCTGGTAATACTTGTCACTTTGGAATGAAAAATCTGGCCTTGCGGTGACTTAGAGTTGGGCATTGGTTTGAATAATAGGTTGCTCTAAGAGACTAGAGAAAACATCATATGAATCAGCTGAAACTAGTATTCAGGCTGGAAGGGGCGTGAGCTTGGATTGGAGGTGATAGGTAAGGAAGGGTCTGAGGCCTCAGGGATGTGATGAGTGGGCACAGCAGGTACGGAAGAGGAGTGACAAAGGTAAGGGGGCCCTCAGTTGAGGAAATCCAGGGAAGTGGAGAGTTCCAAAATGATGCTGATGCAGGGGTGGTTTTGGACCTCCACTCAATGGTAGAACAGAGATTGAGGATATTGGGTAGGAAGAACTCAAGAAACGGAAAGCCATAGGCTCCCCTTGCCCTTGGTTCAAATATAAATATATAATGATATAAATGGTATCTTCTAGGAGAATGGCCTGTCAATGTGTTGCACTTTTTTTTTTTTTTTTTTAAATCCTAGGTAAGTGTTCTGGGACCTCTGAGACCTTGCATTATGAGCAGCTAGTTTAGTGGGAATAATATTTTGAACTGGTATTCAATTTACTTTCCCTTCCTCCTAATTGCTGTTGCCCTGGGAGTCTCCCCCATTGAAGCTAGGGATTCCATCACTTCAAGGGGAGGACAGAACATGGTCAACGACAAAGAAGACATTGTTCAGCTTTTGACTTCCAAAACAGGCCCTTAAAGCCTGTTTCAGAGAACAGAGTTAGCCCAAGCCTTCATTTAAAAGAGACAGGCTTTGTTAGAAGAAAAATGGTTTGTGGTTTCCAAGCAGCCAAATCTCAGAAGGCCTGGCATATATTGTACATTAAGCCACGGAGGAGGGAGGCTACAGGATCACTTCCGTTAGCCCAAGAAGGAGAAAATTGCTTCCTGGGTTGGAAGGAGGAGCTTGCAGAGATTCAGAGGATTCCAGGGTTAAGAAATGGATGGGTCACTGAGATCTAGCACCCAGTTGTCCTGGGCTTCTGCTTACGGGGTTATTGAGATGATAGAAGGCCCAGGTAGGTGAGCGACCCCCTGTAAGCAGAGAGCACTGGTGCCCTGCCTCCTCTCTGGGACTCTGGAAGGAAACCACCTTGTAGTTTGCCCTGCAGTGGGGTGTGTTTAGGTAGAAACGGGCCCTGAGGTGGTGTTCCTTCCCAGTTCCCCAAAACCTGTACATGGCGTGGGGAAATCCCGACAGTCCTGCTTATGCCCTTGGGTGGATGTAAAGGTACTGAGATATCTAGGGTCAGAATAGAGAGGGCACAGAAGGGAAGTGTGCCAATCTCCCTGCTGGAGGCTGGCTGGGATCGTGGCCACAGATACTACTGAGCCCCAGTGAGGTATTGACCAGCTACATCAGCCAAACCAGGCCAGCACCCAATGACAAAGGAACAAGACATCCCACAGAGGCCAGAGGCCAGCACCTAGACTCAATCCTCTCCCCATCACTGTGATGGTCTGTAATCTCCCTGGGGAGAAGAAGGAGAACGAAAGGGACACAGCCCGGCAGCTTGAAGTGAATTTAATTTGACTGATTGCCCTGAAGCAACTAAAGTTTTAACTCTGAAGCCACTAGGTTACCTGTAATGAGTAAGATTGTTTTTTTTTCTGCCATAAGTAGAAATGCAATGATCATAATCAAGTTGAATTCAATCATGCACAAATAAAGTAACATCTTTTTATATTGTTAGGTAGTAAGTGTATATTTCAAACCTGCCACTCTGCATTTGGGCTATATTTTAACTGCTTAAACTTTTTTATTTGTGACAAATTTACCTATACTCTTATAGTATACCATTTTTCCTTTGATAAATCGTGGCTTAGTATACCTGTCCTAGGTTCATTTGGGGCAAGAAGTGTGAGATTATGTCCTTAAGCGGCAGAGTTTTCCACCTGATGTTTCAAGATAGTGTGGGGTTTCTGGCTTCCCCTTGTTTAGCTAGTGGCAGTTTTTCCCTGAGAAGGACCTCAGTTGCCTTCGGGCCTCAGGTCAGTGGAAAGTATTAGAATTTCAAGCCTTTCTCTAATGAATTTACTGTGATGCTGGAGATTAGAGGAGAATTTTTACTGTGTGTGATCCTTCAGTTTCATATTGTAAAGGTAACAGGGTGAATAGTAGAAATGTCTCTAAATACAAGGGGAAATGCTCTTCATTTTTATTCAGTTCTCATGTGCTAAATAAAGTATCAGTTTATGAAAGGATTCATTTCCAAGTATAATTTGTAAGTAGTTACCAGAACACTCAAATGAGAGAGGGGGAGAAAAAAACAGTTAGCTCTTTTTAATTGCATTTCATCTCTCTTTGACATTCATATGAGGATGATGCTGCATTTAAGATGATGTATTTTAAAACCTGCTGTTTCTGAAATACCTAGTAATTTTGGAAGGGAAATCATCAGGCTTGCTTTAAAAGTGTGCCTTTATTGGGGGTGTTCTGGGGTGAGGTGCGGAGTTGCCTGTTTGGATACTGCTTATGTATTTTCTCACCAGAAAATTATTGTGACACTCTTAGCAAATTTTCTCAAAACATAAATGCATCTCATATTTTTACCTTGTGTGTCGGGGGGGAGCCAAGAGAGTTAGAGATGGAGAACCACATAATTTAAATTGAAAAGAGTCAGCAAATAATTAAATGGATAGAATTTAAAAAGTATTGATTTATTAACTGACATTTTAAAAATATGTTAGACCTATAAAATAGTTCTCTTCAGAATCTTTTCAGAAATAAAATTTTTAAAACTTAAAAACATATGTCCATATAGATTAAATTTAAAAAATCTTATATTATCTGAGTTTTATAAAATAATAACATAAGTAATTATTTTTCACTCCCATTAGTCAACTTTTTAGCAATGTCTCTAACTAACCTATGCCAGTGATACTCCATATGAAGAATGAATTGTTTTTAATTTTCTTAATAAAGTTGCCTCCAATCTCTTCAAAGTTGTGTTTATAGTTAGTATTTGAAATTAATATCTTTGATTGGCTTCTATGTGTACATCACAATATTTCTCATTCAGAAAATAGCTCTTAGATGCAAAGTCCCTGGTGAGCTCTGAACAAATTCTGCTCAGTGGAAGCTCTTCTTAGACAAGTTTTTAAAATGTTGAAATGTGTAACTGTTTTCACCCAAATATGTTCACAGATCTTTTTCTCTCATTCAGAATTCTTCAACAAATATTTTTATAAGACAAAACTTATGAAATTAAGTTTCTCTGTGGTCCTTTCAAATGTTTTGTCAAATTTAGATGGCACAAAATTGCAGACCTTCTCAGTTTCACTCCATTCTGGTACGGAATATAAATGTATCCAGTTAAAACTAGGCATTCCATCAAAAGATTGCCACAAGTCAAGATATTACAAAACATCAGAACAGAATTTCAGAATTAAATCTTGAACACTGAGTTCTCATCATGCAATGTGTTCAGTTCCTCCTTTGCTTTTGTTGGGATAAATTTGAGCATCTTCTGTTTACAAGCCTTATTTTCAATAACTGCAGTTGGCTACAGGCTTCAAAAGCTGAACTGTTTTGGTGCTTCATTCACTGCTTTGATCAAAGACTTCCAACTAGTTTGGAACAGAATACACCCAAACTTTTTAAAGGACTTGTCTATGATACCGTTATGGCACGCCCAGGTTGACAGAGAGAGTCATTTCTCAAGCATTAACAAAACCCAGTTGATGATGACGGGGACAAAAGAGAAGGAATATACTGCTATGTTGAAGTGTTTTTTGTATTTAGTATTGGCTTTGTCACAAAAAGTTTGGGATATTTCTAATTGGGTATATATAACTATTAGTTAATTTCTACCTCTACAGTTTTTACATTCGATAGGATATAGCCACTTGTTTGAATGCAGTTATGAATTATGCATGTGACATAACACATTCTAAGTAACATTCTGCACCATAGGTTTCTTGATTTAGTTAAGAACCTTATTTTTAGCATCACAAAATTTGTATTATTCCTGCAAAATCAAATCATTTCATCTCCTATGTTGAGCTTTTTACAATTTACAGTAGCATTTACAATAATATGAGACGTTTTACCTGTGACAAAATAAACTTCCACAAGCTTTATTTTGATCCCATGAGATAAATGAAAAAAAATATTATTTGAATTAATTGATTTTCTGTTTAAAACACCTGGTAATACTAACATAAAACTGGAATAATTTAACTCTTGGTGAAGTTTTTTTCTTCTGCTAATGAAGCTAATACATTAAAGTCATCGTTTCACTTTTCATATATGCACAAAAAAACCTGAGTTCAAAAATAAGCAAAATCAATTTGGAACAACAGACATTTCATCCAAAAGAAATGTCTCCTAGAGTGCTATGTTAGTAAACCTTCTGCAGCTGCGTATGTTAAATCATCTTCCTTAACATAGTCTTGCATCATTATTAACATTTGAAGTAGTTGCTGTTGCCTCTTTAGCAGATTTGTGACTTGTGGTTTATGTAGTCAGTGATATCACTAAGGCTCCCATGATGGATAGTAAGTATCAACAAGCATTTTGTGTGAATTTATGTTCATCATCTGCTTTCTTGAAAAGCAGAAATTTGGTACTTAATTTTTTATTAAACTTGCATTTTCTTTTTCTTTTTAGCTCATCACTGCCAAAAGGTATATTGCAAAATAAAATAGTATAACGATTCAATAAATGACAAAAACACTGAAATGAGAGCATTCAGACAATTCTTTAAAAGATCTGTAGCAGATCTGTTTCCTGCGAATATTTCATGTATGCCTAACCTATAACTTTCTGTGTTTTCCATTAACCCTTCTGACTGCTGTTCCGTGCATCTCAGGCTGCAACACAGGTCACAGTGCAATGGTCAGCACATCTAGTGTCTGGTGAGGCAGTGGCCTGGAATACTTTTCCTACTGCCAATCAAGACCGGAAGGAGTTAGCTGCCCTTAGCTGCTCATGTCCAAGTACTCTTTGTTTTATGGTGAGCATACTGCGTGTTGTCCTTGAAAGGGAGGTGTTGCTTACACCACGATTGGAAAGGGACAGGAAAAGAAATGGATTGTCATTGGTCATCTTTCAGCTTTAATCACATGTTAACATGAACGTTCCCTTCACTGTATAGTCGTCTCACACACCGGTAGACAAGGTATGGGAGAAGCTGCAAGTGCAAACTGGAGGTTACAAAACCCATCCTGGTGTATTTTAATATAACCAGTAATAACACTTGGTTTATGAAGTGAAACATCTGAACAAGTGCTTAACCTGACTGTCTGCTGCGACAACAGGCATAAACCAGCACTTTTGCAGACAAAGGGAAGGACACTGTCAACCTGGGTAGAAAATCACATTTCTCCATCTGCTTTCCACCCTCCTTTGTCTGGACTCTGCCCTTCTCTAGTCTTGATCTTTCCAACCCCACTTCCCACAATGGCTGAATGAGCTTTTAAAAATCTATATGACAAAGCAGGAGGATCACTTCAAGGCAGAAATTCGTGACCAGCCTGGGCAACACAGTGAAACTCCATCTGTACAAAAAATTTGAAAATTAGCCTGTCATGATGAAGCACTTCTGTAGTCCTAGCTACCCAGGAGGCTGAGGTAGGAGGATCGCTTCAGCCTAAGAGGTCAAAGCTGCAGTGAACTATGATCTTACCACTGCTCTCCAGCCTGGGTGACACAGTGAGACCCTGTCTCTAAAGTTAAAAATTCATATATTTAAAAGAATCTCTATGAGATCATGTTGCTCTCCTGATGTCATCCTGTCGCAATTAGGATAAAATCCAGCTCTTTGCCACAGCCCAAGCAAGAGGCCGTTTGTGCTCTTGCCTGATTGTCCCCAACTAGATTTTAAGCTTCCAGGGAACATACACCTGGCTATGTGCCTTCTTTGTCAGAAGGGGACATGAGAGTTGCACAATGTATTTTCTTGATGTGATGATTTGGTTTACTTTGAATTGATGAAAAAAAAAAAAAGGAGTGTCTTGGTAATCCATGCCAGTAAGCAAATTCAAGTCCAAATCTCTATGTTCCAAATATGATTTGTATCTCTGATAACAAAGTTGGTCAGCAGAATGTATGACAGGACTGGATCCTCTCCATTAGTGGAAGTCTTACAATGCATAAAACCATTCTGATTCCGTGGTCTTCCAGCCCCTCCCCACCTCTTGGAAGTATGAATTCTAGGGAATCTATTGTCTTCATCAACATTAGATGAAGACTTTTTAAGTACATTTGGAAAGGTGCTGCTCTGGGTGATTTGGGGAAAACTGACATGCAAAAGCTCAGGCAATTCTCAGAGACCTATGATGTTGGTGGTAGAGGAATACTCTGAAGTCACAGTTGTGAAACCTTGTTGTGTTCTTGCACAACTGGTTCTGTTGCTTCTCTTTGTGGAACGTGCTACTGTTCAATTTTATCATGAATGCCTTTCCAAGGACAGTAAATGGTTTTACACACTATGACATCGTTTCCATGGCAACTAATGTATTTTAGCAAAGAGAGACTGTGATAGAAGTAGGCTAAAAAGGACAAATACAGAAATGGCACAGTGTAAAATGTAGGGCAGTGTGTGTTGTAGTAAGGACTTTTTTTTTCCTGGCTTCTTGTTTAGGAAAACCTATATAACTAGATTTTGGATTTTTTTTTTAACTCTTACTAATAAAATTTTTACTGCACCCAACACAGTCTCGTATTTTTCTGACACAGTTCCTTCAGTTGGTACTTGGGCTTTTTGTTTGCTTGCCTTAAAATGAGATAATTTCCATAACATATAAACATTTGTAAGTTTATCTATCTTAAAGGATGTACTCTTCTTAATCCCCATTCTCCTTTGGCCAACACCCCACTTCTCTACCACCCTTTATTTCAGTTCTTCTTGAGAGGGTTGTCAATACTACCTGTCTCCACACGGTGTTTGTTAAAAATCAGAGCCATTCCAGTCTGGCTTTCATTCCACCATTTGATACAGTATCACCAGCTGGTCACACCCTCATCCTCTAAGTCTACTGCAGCTCTCTTCTTTTGTTTATTTAGAAGCTAACTGCATGAGTGTACATTTCGAATAATTCCACACCACATCAAGCCCCATTTATGTCAACCATGGTTAAGAAATATAAGGGAACGTGTTACCCTGCTTTGTATATCTGAATACATTTGGATTATTTTGTTATATGATAATGGAACCCCCTCTGTGCTCTTAAATAAATCCCCAGTGGTGAGCAGATAGTCAATTTCCTATTTAACAGAAGGAGAAACGGAGGCATGTACCTTTTTATTACTTCTAAAGATAGCAAACCACTCTATGGGCTGGATCATACATACCGTCATTTATGTTTTGTTGGGCCACATGGTGCGTTTCAAAAATGTAAACTAACACTTTTAAATAGGACAGTATTACATAAAAGCTGAGATTTCCAGCTTCTCTTGAAAAAAAAAAAAAGGGAAGATTTGGCAAAACTGAACCTGCCTTCTCTAATGATAGCAGCCTGCCCAAGCAGTGTTGTGGCTGTCTTCTTTGGAGGGAGCAGGGCTCTTCAGCTCACCCAGCTTCATCTTACCTGCTTTATTCATTTATGTTGCTTACCTGGCCCCTGGGGTTTTTAAATATGTGACCCTTGCCACACCCTCTCCCACCCAATCGCAGAGCAGATAAATAGCAGAGCTAGGGATGGAACTTGGTTTCCAAGCCAGCCTCTTCCTCCCTGCCTGTGGACCACAATTCTGTATTGTAGAGAGTAATTCACAGGTCAGGGATGAAGGGCATCATCAGGTGGTCATCATGATACTAACTGAAACAGACCGTGCAGTTAGTGCTTCTAGGTACACTGTTCTTATAGGGTCCCTTCCCCTTTTGGTTGCCTCTGTCAGAAGTTGTGTGCTCTCAATTGTGATGTGCAAGGCGGAGGTGCTGGGGTAGAATGTGGAAATTTGTATGTTCATACAAAAACTGGCCCAAAAGGAAAAGCTTCAGTATCATAACAGGGGTTTCATATTTTCCAAATCTTCAATGAGCGTGTATTACCTTTTTAATGAGCTAAAATAAATATTTACGTAAGATAAACAAGAACAAAATAGTAATACAAAGTACACATAGCACTGGCTGATACCTGTGCCATCCTCCCAATGTGGGGGACACCAGGGCCTTCCCCAGCCACCTCTGCTGTCCTCTACTAGACTAGAGTCTTCCCCTAGATGCCCCTGGGGTAGTACCAATGTCTAGTACCATGTTCATCACGTGCCCCTCATTTTGAACGTGCACATATCACTGTACCTTGATTAGGACTGAATAAGACAGGAGAAGAAGTTGCAGTTGCTGCCATCTCTAACCTTGGGAGAAGGTTTGTGTGTGGAGCAAGACACAGGAGAATGAGCTAGTTTGGGGCCAGAATGAATGGTTGGAGGAAAATACATTTTTCCTGGGGAAACGTGGCAATGAGGAATGCTCCACAACAGAGGGCCTTGTCTGAGCTGGGTCCTGTCTCAGGCGCCTAACCCAGCTGTTGGGCACACAGGAGACTGTGGAGACCCTGAGCGTGGATGGTCCCACACACTGCATGTCTGTCTGCAGCTGCACAGGCCTCAGGGAGCCCTGTGAGAGTGGGCCTGTTCCTGGGCTGCAGGCAGAGAGCCAGGGGCTGCCCCGTTGCCAGAGAGCATTGAGGAGCTTCTGTGTGTGCTGTGTATATGTCTCAGCCTTCTTTGGAATTATGGCAGAGTCTGTCCCTGCCTGGTCATTTTTGTGCCTTTGATCCTAAGTTAAGAATAAGTGAAGGAGCACTTGTCCCTGTGGACACGCTCGATATGGAAGTTGCATCAAACGGCTATTTTATCCTCAGTCACCACTGACATCACTCCACGTACGGTTCTGAGGTTCTCACTTTAGTTGTGGTTGAATAGAGCTATGATCATTGGTGCAGAAAGAAGCCATTCCGATGTGAATCTGTGAAGATGTGTCTAGCAATGTACAGATGTTTTTTGGCAGGTCAGTGAATATTTTAAATCTTTTGCAAGTAGTAAAAAGAGTTGAATTTGAAATAGAGAAGACACCATGGCAAGGGAAAATTATACCTTGTTTTTCTCTCAATCTTCCATTTTTAAGATAATCAGACAAAATCCTGAACCATTATTTAAATCTTGGATTCATCATGGCTCTTAAATGTCCTTCATCCTGTATGATACATGGTTATGACCCTAATGTATTGAATCTCTTTCAATAGCAAGAATTGCTGGGTAGTAGTAAACATAATAGCAGAATCTCCAGTTTGGATCTCCATTGATTTAATTCTCTCTGTCACCTCCCCTCTTCACCCTTCCTCCAGCCATCACCAGAGATGGCACACGCCCCTGTATCTTGCAGGTACCATGCTTGGTGTAGTCCCAGTCACCAAGAAGCTGACAGTCTAGCGGGGAAACAACGAAACAGGCTCTGCACAAAGTGCCGTGGGAACACAGAGAAGAGGAAATCTAGTCCTGCATGGGGGTGTGGGCAAAGGAAAACAAGAGTGAAAAAGTGATTTTAATCTGGACCCTGCAGGCTGATTAGGAGAAAGTTGCTACCCAGCAGGGTTGGTGAGATTGGAATGACAAGGCATAGCCCAGCACCAGGAATTATTGGGGGCTGCCTTTCTTTTTCGGCCCTTTCCTGGGATAGAGGCAGGTTGAAAACACAGTGGTACAGTGCTACTTCTGGCTGCCTTCTTAGCTACTGTACACCGTCTCTCACAGTCTGGCCTCTGCCTTACTTCCCACCTTTCTCCCTCCAGCCTGCCACCATCCTCCTAGCCACTCCTCTGTTGTGCAGCACTGTCAGGCCTCTAAGCGTGCAGCCCATGCTCCTTTGACTGTGTACTGGTTGCTTTGCCTGCACTGCCCTGTCGTGAGGTTCATAGGGAGATGTCTGTGGGCATTCGGAAACAGTGCAGGGGGGTGACGGGGAGCTGGAGGGATGGCTGTATCAAGAGAGAGCTCAGAGTTGAGGATTGCTCAGTTTTATTTATTGTCTGTGTGTTCACCCAATGTTGGAGGATTGGTCTGATCTAGGCAGTTGGAAGTAGTTCATTTTTGGTCAGGGTCTTGTCCTTTGGCTTCCATTCCTGCAGTTGACCACACATTTGCAACATTAATGGATCAGCCTTTTCCACTGGGCTATCTGGGTCACTTCAGTTATGTTTCTCAAACGAAACATCAGCACTGCTTCAGCAAGAAGAATAAAAGCATGGAAAATGCCCTAATGCCCAAAGCCCACAATTGAATGCATAGACAACTGTTTAAAATGTCTGTGTAACTACATATGCATATCAATATAATATATCTGTACGCACATGCACACACACACGGGGGTGGGCGTGGGAGAAGCCTATCTTCCCTTAGTCTTGGAAACCTAAAACTTGCATCTTCAAAAAATCAGATTTAGAATAAAGATAAATTAGGAAGATAATTGGTCAATTTTTAAAAAATGATTTTTAAGAAAATATGAATCTTTGAAATAAAAAGTATCTCTATTTCACTTAAACATTTGTGAATAAACATTTACTTTTTCTCAACTTTTCAGAAAGACAGCCTTAAGAAAGATATACGTGGTTTTAAAAGCAAATGCCACTCTTTATTCTAGATAGCAATTCTATTTTGCGTCCATCCTTATCATCTTGGAAACAGTGGAGCCGCTCTCTAAAAATATTTCAGTATCTTGCTTAGAGTCCTCAGAGTTAAAGCTGTGGTGTCCTCCTTTTGGTTTATGGCTGCAGAATGATGGGTGTATATATTGTTTTTGTTAGTTAACTCCATCTGTTTCGTAAGCCTGAAAAAGAAATTGGATGATGCCGTATATATGTATGGATGGATAACACTCCTTATGCAGTAGTGAGTCAGCAGCTTCAAATGGGTTTTCCGTTTTCCTATTGGTACTGGTTGCTAAAGTGCTGTAGCGTGAAGGCTCATTCTTTCAGAATCTTGTGAATTGGGCATCCTATGTTGTTGGAATTACACAGTATGCTTGAAAGAAGGGTATTAAAGTTTCTTCCCTACTTTGGAAATGGTAATGATTCTCCAAGTGCTCTTTCTAAGGCTGATGAAAAAGTCTTCCACCTTGTAAATAGAAATCTCCTTATTGTGACCTGTGAATCAGAGCAACAACTTTTCTGAGCCTCTGCAGAAGTGTTCAAGAATAGAAGGCAAAGTTCCACTCTATACATGTTCCCTTTTGTGAAGAGTTCTCATAGTATTGATTTATTCTCTTCTGATTATAGGGAAGCAAGTTAAAATTTCTGGACAAATAATTCTCATTTTTTACAGCTTAGCAGTGTCTAGATCCCTAGTGGGTTAGCCAAAAGAAAAGGCATCTATTGCCTGGCGGTTTCTCCGTAGGACAGGACAGCATGTCTCAGAACCCAGGAAGAGGTGAGATGATATGGGTTGCTAAGGCATGAGCTGCAATGGCATGCTTATTAGCACATTCTCTCTCACCTCCATGGTGGTTCTCTTGCTCATCTCCAGTGAGTTCATGATTTGAATGCCCATCTGCAGAGAACAATATATGAGTTTCAAATTCTCTTCCTCATGGTCATTTTTTCTTTCCTTCATTCCGAGTCATCTTTGATTAAACAAAACAAAGATGTTACTGTTAATTATACATCTTTCCAAACAGTGCAAAAATTCTTGTGTGTGTGTGTGGTGGGGGATGGTTTTGATGGGAATAATAACTTATCATGGGGGTGTTTTAAATCGTGGATCAGGAAGAAAGATACTAAGAGTCACATTGAAAAGCTTAAGAGTCTCTACAAGATAGGAAAAATTGTTCCTGCCTTTTTTCATATTTCTTAACTCAAAGCTCTCTGCCCTAACATATTGTTGTAAACATAATTCCATTCAACTATTTTTATTGTTCTCTTTAGACACTTTATTAAAACTGCAGCTTTATTCAAACAGCTAAAATTGCAGATAATAAATGAAGTACCATAATATTGGCCAGTTGTAGGCACAGCGTGTGAGCAAACTGGAAAGCTGCCATCCTGCTCCTGGCACTTTAAAGATTAATGTGAAGCATGCATGGGTGTCATCAGAACCAGCACTCAGCCTCGCCAGGGGCTTGGCACAAGGTTCTAAGGTAGTCCCGGGGCTGGAGTTCCATGGACAAGATGATGCAGGCTGCTGGGTTGGCAAACCTCCTGCAGAGGGGAACCCCAGCTGCTGGGAACCAGGGGCCATCCCCAAAATGCTTTTTTTGACAGCGGGGCCCACCCACAGTCAGATAGGAAGTGGGGAAGGTATGGGCTGGGTGCTGGGGGTGTTTTAATCCAAGAGGTAAATTGAGTAAGACCTTGGAAGACTCAGTTTTAATTGTGCCCCAACCATTGATGACTTGTAGAGACTCTGAAAAAGGGAAGTGTGTTTGTGTTTGTGTTTGTGTGTGTGTGTGTATGTGTGTGTGTACACACAAGGCCTCTATCCTTATCTTTCCTGATTCCAGAAAGTTAAAATCTCATGCTGGCTTCCTTTGGTGGTACAAGGCCAGGTCTTTGCAGTTTCAGACAGGTGTTTGTGGCAACTGTGACTTAGCAACAATTGTGTGAATGATAAAAAATTTGTGGGCAAATTGATTGTCTGCAACAAATGGAAATTCTATGGTGGTGCTTTGTGGGTGGTTTGTAGGCAGAGAGTACTTGGTTCTCTTTTGATGTCTCACTTTTTTTTTTCTTCTTCTACAGTTTTTTTGAAGAAGCAGGATGCTGATCTAAACGTGGAAAAAGTAAGTTGGCAAGTTTTGCACTGAGAGCAAGTGCCTTGTGAATTATAAAGGGCTTCCTGTTGGAACCTAGGATGAAGTCCACTTTTAATTTGGGATTGTAATTCTGAGTCCATAGATTTCTAAGAGAGAGGTCGAGTTGGAGAAGGAACTGGTTTGTGAAATAGAAAGAAAACCTTACCTCCTTTGGTGGACCCACTATTTTCTCCCTTCCCTTAGTTGTAACACTCAATTCTGGTAATTTATGGGAACATATGTTTTGACTATAAGTTATGGCTCCCACCCCAGAAATAGAATGGAACAGCTGTCCCATGGCTGAGGAGCCTTCAGGCTGGGGAGGAATGGGGAGCGCCTATCCTCAGGCTGGTCAAGGAGGTCGTTTTCAGTCCATTCATTGTTGTTTTTCCTCCACTCTCAGATGGCTGCTGCTCACCTCTGCCTGAGCCGTATCTTTGAATTGCAGCCACTGTGTAGCAGGTCATTCTTTCATTAATGTAACATTTTTTTGGTTCCTACTGGGTGTTAGACATCATGCTGGACTCTCTTGAGACAAAAGTGAATGTGACTGACAAGTACTCAGGTAATGATGGTACAATCTGAGAGCTGTGCAGAAGGGGCTTGGAAGCTCTGACTGAGGGCTGAGCTATCCAGAAAAACTCCATGATGGAGTGGGTGTGAGGAGCTGTGAATGCATTCTTTCTCTGAATGTTTGCTGAGCCTTCTCTGCCTGTACGTCTCTCTGCCTCCCCAGGTGCCTTGAGTTCCCCCACTGAAAGGCTGGACGTCGCAGCTCTCGCTAGCCACCCAGGCGTCCTTTTCGGCCCCCACTACTCTGCCCAACCACATTGCCTTGGGTGTAACTTTTCAGCTGTTCTGAGTTATGTTCCTCAATTCCCTGGCCACTTGGGGGCTGCCCCTTCATCATCTGAGAATGACTTGGGGTTATTTCTCATCTTGATTTGAGTGCAAGAGAGGCTTTTCTTTCTGAACTAGAGCCATTCTGAATGCAGCTCGTTTGTCTCTAAGTTAGGGAAGTATACTATCTGAAACATTGTTCCAGAACAATTGTGAGTAACTCCTGACCTTTGACCCCATGCAGGCACCTAGCTTCTGCAGGATGGCCTGTGATCTACTGCTAGTCACGGGCTTTTCAGCTCATACAAACCAGGGCAACTTGGGGAAATAACACAGCTCTAGTTAGGACAAGGCAGAAGGAGCCTTTTTAGAATCCGCATGCACTCAGGTTTTGGCTGTGGAAGCCAGGGATTGGCAAAGACTGTCGCCTATGGGAGGTCAGTATACTGTGACCCTTCTGGACTAGGCCAGGTCCACAGCAGGCAAGAGCCTATGGGTGCCAGGAGCCCCCTCAGGGCAGTATTGTGCCTTGGAGCCCAAAGAAATGCCTGGCATTTGCCCCAGACTGCAGGACTTGCCCTCCCCTGTCCAACTCAGGCAGTGAATCCTGCAGCCACAGGAGGGGGAAGTCCATTCATCTGGGTTCCCAGTCCTGGCCCCATGCCGGGCAAACAGCAGGGCTCAGTTAGTGGGGTGTGGGGGGCACTGAATGGAATGTGTTCAATTTTGCTTCACTTCTGCTGTTAACTTCCTGTTAGACCTTAGAAAAATCATTTCTCCTCCCCAAGTTTCATTTTTCTTATCAGTAAAGTGGTCCCTTTCACAGGACCAAGTAAAATTACTCGCTTTTAAATTGAAAAACACAAACCAAATACATTTTGTTTTTGTTTTTGTTTTCTGACTTGGGTCTTGAATTAAAATGGAAAAAGGGCTGTTGGCCACCAGTCTAAAGAATGCCAGGTAAGACCAGTTATGGATTGGGACTGAAGGAGCAATGAGTGTCTAACAAAAGAGTGAACACGGGTGACTGACCCGTGGTGTGGATGTCTGTAAGTGCACAGGGAATCCAGATTAAGAGAAGCTAAACGGGTAGAAATGCTGCTTGGATGGAGTGAGTCTGAGGCACCTCTGAAAGGCTCTGCCTGCACCCTCTCCTCAGTCAAGTAGTTGATGACCTGAAAAACAATCATTGCCTTAGGGGAGTTTGCTGTTTTAAAAGCTCTATTCTAGAAGTTCCACTTTCAGAACCTTTTTCTGTTGCTGGTAGAACACTGTTGAACACGGATCTATCAACTTTTCTTTTTGTCTGTGTTTACCTATCCAGAAGAATCTAATATAGGATGTGCATCTGTTGTATAAGTAAATGATACCTGTTGGCCAACTCCAGTGGAGAAAAATTGCCAAAGTTACAGTGTTTGTTCTTCATGTGGATTTTTAAGTTTCCTCTTTTAGTTGAACGTTTTTGTAAAGACAGAAGTGGAAAATTAGCTTTATTTTGACATGCTAAAGCTCAAAGACAAGTTAGCATAAATTCTGTATTAATTAATATCTATGGTTTATTGAACTTCTGCTATGCAGAGTGCTTTATATCATCTATGTTACACTTCACTGTGACAGCAGTCCTGTGAGGGAGCTATGAGAGGCTCAAGGTGCTGTAGTTATAGTAAGGATTCTACTCAGATCTGTCTGGGCTCAGAGCTTTCCCCTTCCCATACCCCACCTTACTTTGGAGTTTATATAATATTTGAGACAATATGTTTGTGTGCCTTATTTTTTTTTAAGTTTCGTAAGTTCTAAGAAAGCGGCATTTGTTACTTTTTAGAGAGCTCTTCCTTGACACTCCCCTAAAGGCCCAGGCTGGATGGGGTTGCCCTATCGCCACGGCCGCTTCAAAGCTGTCATTGTGGTTGCATAGTTATCTGTGCAGTGACTGTCTGACAGCAGTGTTCACTGTGGAACTGCAGGCTTTATCAGCTCAGAATCCTTATCTGTGCCAAGCCTAGTGCCTAACTCATAGTAGGCCCTCTTAAAAAATTGAGCAGGCATGAATGAGTGGAAACCATGCTTGTTAATAGCATTATGTGGCGATAAGACCATCATTCCTTGACTTGCTCCCCAAAAGTACAAAGTTTCAAGCAGACAAATGAACAGATCATTCTTAAAATTGAACTAATCTGGGCAAGCAAAGAGAGTTCAAAGATAAAAGAGGGGGACGCAGTAGTGCACAAGGGAAACATTAAAGCAAATATTTTCTTTTCCACAGAATCTTTTAGAATTCTTGAGGGTTACAGTTCCAGATATCATTGCTTTAAGTGTATAAAGTGTATTTTTAAAAAGTGAAACCCATACCCATTTAAAAATTGAAAAATATGTAATCAAGTTGTATCAGAACAAAAATGTGCTTTTTGTGTAAAAAGCTAATTAAATGGAGTCATCCTATTTAGTGATTTAAAAGGATTTGATTAAAATAATATCCACTTCAACTACTCTCAAAGGGCTGAGGAGAGAGGTTTGGTTTCCGTGCATCCTGGATGGCCTTTGTCTGGTGTGATTAAAGGTATTTCAGTGCCTGCCATGAGAGAGGCCCCTGCCATTTCTGCAGTTTCAGTGAGACCGAGAATTCCTGCAGTGTCATTCCAACTGTTTGCAGGGTTTAGACAGCTGCGTTCAGGCCACAAATATGGCCACAAACACTACTGCCTATTTGATAGACACAGAGGCCTTCCGAAACAAAAATTGTCATTCAAAAAGAAAAGTAAAAAGAAAAATTACCTCCTGCCTTAGAATTGTTTACTTTTCCTCTGAGTGAGTGAGTTCTTTGAAATGTGTTGGTCTGTTAATGTAGAATGTACATGGAAGTTGCTCCATTTTTCAGTGTTTCTTTGGTTTTAATAAGTCCCAAGAGAAATGATAAAAAACCTCCTAGATTCTTAGTGTGGGGATAATTGTCTTGTGGGGGGAAAATCTAATTCTAAGTAATCGAGGGTTAGAAATTTGAGGCCGCATCAGGAATCCAGCTTTAAAGCCATGTCCGCATGATTTCTATGCAGCTGGTTAAGAGGTGGGAAAATTAATTCATACAAGTTTTTTCTTTTGTGGGAAGAATAAGATTTCCGGGGTCAGAGGCCAGCAGTGTTTACATGGGGTATCCAAAGGCCTCACAGTGCTGGTTGCTGGGGTGACATGAGGATGTGTCTCCAGTGTGAATAGGGGGACATTGGCTTTGGGGTGTACCGCGCAAATGCGTGTACTGGTTGCTTAAGGGAGGTGAGGGAGAGAGTGAAGAAGAGGAAGGGAAGAATAGCATAAGCACAACTCCCTGCCATTTGTGGGAGCCATTGCTTCCTGAGTGGGCATGGGCGGGTTGCAGGGGCAGGACTCAGGTGCTTCTGGTGCCTCTGAACCCATGGACACTGGACAGGGCAGTTCCTATGTGCAGACGGGAATTGTTCCTCAGGCCCTCCCTGATACATGTACTACAGGCTGCCAGCCTCAGAAACTATAGGAGGCCAAAGTGGCCTACATTCTTCATTTACCTTTCTCAACCTCACACACAGATTGACCCATTCTGCTGGTGATCAGGCAACGGAGTGACCCAGCCTCAGTGTATAACTGAGTAAGGGTCACGTTTCACACAACCCACTTTTCTGGCGACTGGGGACCAGGAAAAGGAAGTGGCTTTGACTTGCGGGCAGGGAGAGAAAGAGCAAGAATGCATGCATGGGTGTGTGTGTGTGTGTGTGTGTGTTTAGGAGGAAGGGACATGCTTAGAATTCTGTTTTAGACTCAAAGGCAATCATTGTTAGTCTTGGCCCAAAAATAGTTGTTATGTATCATGCGTAATAACTGACCAGCTTTCTTTTATGTAAATCCCTGGATTGTAAAACTAAGCGGTGCTGTCTAAGAAGAAAAATATACCTACCCTCTGCCAATTTGAATTTCCAAAAAAAAAAAAAAATCCCTCTTCCTAGACATTCTAAATTTAGGAGGATATTGATAACTGATCTAGAACAACTGCAGATAACAATATTTTCAGCGTGATTCAAGGAAAGAGTTGAAAAATTGAGGGTTCCTTGTTTAGTCCTGGATATAGAACAGTTCATTCATTCTTTACACATTAACGAACACTGGTAGGCCAACCACTGTTTTAGGCCACATGTTATCTTATTCGGTTGCCCCACGTTGTATGTGAGGAAAATAAAGCTCAGCCAAAGGGGAATGAATTGCCCAAGGACTAACATCTAGGAAGCAGCAAGATCCAAAACTATATCTCAGACTTGAAGCACCCTTCTCTTTCTCCTCCACTGTGGATGCTCTCTTGTCCTGAAGCCATCATTATCAGCCTCATGTAATTTAACTGGTATTTTTTTACACATCTTTCATTTTCTCTTCACTGAATTTAAAAGGTCTTTCTCCCTTATTTGTGGTTTTAAAAGTAGTAATGATGTTTTTATCAAGGAACAATTGGAAACCTTGAAAAGAGAATCACCTCTTTAACCTGACCTGGCCCTGCAAGGTGGTCGCCCTGTGAAAGCGTGAAAATGACTTCCAGGGGTGGCATCTGCAGGCAGTGGGAGTGGGGGAAGCCCATGAGACACTCATTTTCTTTCCACTGCTGGTTCCCAGACTTGGGGATCATTTCGTATATTCTTCATCTGAGTAGCATTCATCATTCCCTATGACAAAAGCTGGATGTTGCCAGGAGAGAGTGGGGAGAAATGCTGCCCACGTTACAATGGAGAGACAAGACGAGCTCTCACCTACATACTTTGTACCATTTGTTTTTACACCGAGGCTTTCTCCTGTAGCCATGAGATACTGCATAATTTGTTTCACTGCAGCCAGGCCTGCTGTGTAGAAGTTGGAATCATTTGGTTGTCTGCCTTGCATAGACTTATTATCTGCTGAAATTGCATGTGAAGGAAAGATTATTAATAAAATATATGTGAAGAATGGCTGAAAAGATGCTTTTGTCAGTGCCCCTAAATACTTTTAAGAGCAGAGCTGCAGTTTTCTAAGAGTGGTGTTGTATAGGCCATAAAAATACATAAAAATTTAAGCTTTTCCTTTAAAAGGTTATTACTGCCCACTTTTAGCCCACAACAAAATTTTATTTGAGCAGAAAACCTTCTTTGTTAGCTTGCTGTGCCTGCCGTCACAAATTACCACAAACTTGATGGCTAAAAACAACAGAGATTTATTCCCCCACAGTTTTAAGAGGTCAGAAGTCCAATAGCAAGGTGTCAGCAGGGCCACGATACCTTCAGAGATGGAGAGAATCTGTTTCCTGTCTTTCCAGCTTCTAGTGGCTGCAAGTGTTCTTGACTTGTGGCCACATCACTCCAGTCTCTGCCTCTGCCCTCACATTGCCTTCTCATCTGTGTGTCTTCCTCTGCAGCCCTCTTATAAGGATACCTGGGATGGCTTTTAGAGCCTGCTGCATAATCCAGAATAAGCTCTTCCTCTCAAATCCTTAACTTTATCACATCTTTGCCATATAAGGTAAAGGGATTAGGAAGTGAATACCTTTTGGGGGGCATTTTCTGCCTAACATACCTCAATTTGGGAATTTCTGTAATTTTCATTTATCGAAACATAAAGCTTGCAACCCCTTGTTTCACTCATTACTTCAGTCAGTTTAATTTTCTTAGAAGGGGCCACTTGGAAGATCTAAGAACTAGTCTCTTCTCCAGTCCCCAGAGCGGGCAAGGCCACGCCTGTCTTCTTTCTCAGATTGAGGTTTATGTAAAGAAGAGGAATTATGGGCTCTGAAAGCTGGGAAGAGGCCTTGGAAATCATACCCTCTCAGTCTTTGGGGGAAACTGGGGCTAGAGATGTAGGGTCACCCGAGTCTGGAGCAGAGATGGGACAAGCACTTATTACACTAGCCCACACCTTCCGCTTTGTTCCTGCAGACCCCCAAGCTGTCTCTGGTGATACAAGCCTCTAGGTCATCTTCCATTTGAGAGCCCTTCAGTACCTGAAAACCCAACCCCTGAAAAATCCTTTTTTCCTAGTCCAAGAGCCCTAGTTCTTATAACTTTCTTGCATTAGCTGGTGTCAGGAATCCCGTCATTCTGGTCACTTCCTCCTGGATACATTGCCTTTATATCACTGTCTTTTTGAAAACATGGCTCTTGGACATGAACACGGTACTTACAAGATGGTTTGACCAGTGTAGAGTAAGAGGTTACTATCAGGTCTCCTTAGGTGCACATTTTCTGCATCAGTATAGGCTATACTGATGCAGACCAATATTACATCTCTCATCGAGTCACTTTATCATATCTTCAGCTTGCATTGAGCTTATGTGTGATAAAAATCCTTAGGACTTCTTAAGTATGAATTGCTTTAAACTCATCTCCTTTCCCCATGCTACATAGGAGATCTGGATTTCTGTCAGTAGCTGGATGGTATAGCTTGGGATCCAGAATATAGACCAGATAGGGATCTAGAGAACAAACAGATCCATGAGCTGGGGCATGCTCATGGGAATGGTACCAGCAGCAGAGTAAACAGAAGGCAGTTTGGATAATCTGGTAAGACATAGTACAGAGGAAACTCTTCTATAGGTGGCTGTCTAGATGGACAGAAGTTTGGCAGCAGAAATGTATGGCTGGGCATGTCGTAGAGCCAGATGAGAGGCATGCAGATGTGCAGGGACTTCAGTTCAGAAGCTAATGCAAAGAGCTGAGTCCAAAAGAATGAGTTATAGAGTCAACTACTGAAATGAGGTAGGCCCCAAGACAGATACTTGAGCCCAGAGTAAAAGGAAGCCCCGGTCTGAAGTCAGAATCGTAAAATTGATATGATTCTGAATGTCTGTGGCTGAAAGCCATACCCACCCAGAGTCTGGAGACAGGATCACTGGCAGAACTTGTAAACAGGATGAGTTGTTTCCATTCAGTAAACAACTGAACGTGAGGCAAGTGATAACACCATCCTATCCACACATACCATAGATTATTTACAATTGAAAGCAAGATTTTATCTGTTAATTTGGAGAGGAAGATGGTGTTCTTTTGGTCAGTTGTGGCTGTCATTCTAACCTATTTAAGTCTTTTAAAATCTCTATTCTGTCGTCCAATTAATTAACTATCTCCTTTCAACTGTGAATTATTTGTGACTGCTATAAGCACATCTTGATGAAAACATTGACCAGGGACAAATGTGCAAAGCCCTGTTCCAAGGACCTCTCTCCAGGTCAGTGTTGTTCTTCTGTGATGTTAGTGTCTTTGGGTATGGCCATTCAGTCACTGAGGCCACTAAAGTGAATTATCACTTGGACCAGGGTTTCCCATCTTGCTTGGATATGTTTTTGAGTGACTATCAGGTGCTTTGCTGACATCAAGGTATTCTGCATTTGTGATCTGTCATAATAGTCTTGTGAAACTGCCCTGAGATGGAGCAGTACCATGGGAAGGGAAAGTTGGTAGGGTGCTTAGTCAGTCACTACTGTGAGTGGAGAGGTCCCTGGATGTCCTCATTGATGTTAGTAGGTTTAAATCTTGAGTCCCACTTCCTGTAACATACCCAAATATTAGCCCATGGGTGATTTTTTTAAAGGAGGGACTGGAATCTTGCATTCAGATGAGGAGTACTAATCTTACTAGGGTAATGAGGGTTAAGTGTTCACCTCTACTAAAGACTGATCCTCCTTTGTGGGTATGTGTGGTCTGTGGAGAGCAGCTCCCACTGTTGGGTGAGCATGATGGCTTTTCGGAAGATCTAGGGGCGTTCATTAAGTTGTGAAATGTGTCACTACTGAATACAGTCAGAGTGTAAAGTGAAAGAAAGTGAGATGCTGCGTGGATCAGTGATGATAACAGAAGGGATAAAACAGCAATTTGTGCATTTGCATAGTCCCTCCAGATAAGGCTGCCATGAGAAAGTGAGATGGTTTCAGGGTGGAACATGAGGCAGCGTCGTGTGGTGGAAAGTATGTGAGCCTTGGGGGCTTGAGGAAGTCCTGACCGTCTCACCAAAGAGCTAGGCCACGGGAGAAGCTGACAGTCATCAAGAGTAAGGTGCAACTGTGAAGAGTGTCTGAAGTGGAGGCACAAAGTGCCGTGAAATCCCCAACAGGAGTTAGATGAAGAGATGCCAGTGAGGGGAGAAAATCATCATCATTTACCAACTTCTACTTGTTGTACCCCCTTTCTTTGGTCAGTACTGGCCATGGATGGACTAACTCCCAACTTTGACGTCGAGTGGATTCATACACAGGGTAGAAGAATGGCAAGAGGGAAGGCACCTGTCCGTATTGTTTTTTCTGTTGCTGTGTGTCAACATAGATAATGCTACGGTAATTGAAGACAAAACCTTTGTGTCGGGGGAGGATTTTGTCCATCTTTAGAATATTCTAAAGAGTAGGAGTAGGGGAAATGTAATTTAAAAAAAAAGCAAAACTGAAGTACCTGCCACTTTCCCCATTCTACTGTTACCAGATGAGGGAAAAAACATTTTTTTCTTTTACAAGAGAGTTTGATGTACATCAAAGTGCCGCTTACCGCAAAAAAGTAAATTTGATAATGAGAAAAAGTTTAAACAGCCCTTAGGTATTGAAAATAAAGTAACTTATAAAACCCACTCGTAAAGTTTAGAAGTCGTTATGGTGACCGCAGTGAGGTGCTAGGTGTGGGAAGGCCTCACTGGTAAAGTGTCAGGAGTGTTTTTTTTATATATGGCCCATGAACTGGTAGGACAAAAAACTTTTGACAGTTATCATAATATTTATTCTGTTTTCTTATATTTGGTATTAATAAATATTGGCTAACTAGCCAATCATATATCTTTACAGTATTCCATTTTTACAGTGGCCAAGAAAATATAATTAGGCTTTTGTGTTTTCTAGATGATACTGTTTAATAACAACAACAAATACTATATAATGTTCTTGGCTCATTTCAGAACCAACAGAGCAAAATGTGTCCGTTCAGAAAAAAGCATTTGTTGTTTTTCTTTGTTTCTTTTTTGAGACACAATCTCACTTTGTCAACCAGGCTGGAGTGCAGTGACACAGTCACGGTTCACTGCAGCCTCAACCTCCTGGGCGATCCTCCCACCTCAGCCTCCCTAGCAGCTGGGACTACAGGTGCCTGCTACAGCGCCTGGCTAATATTTTTTATTATTTTTGTAGAAACAGTGTCTCCCTATGTTGCCCAGGCTGGTCTTGAACTCCTGGGCTCAATTCATCCTCCCACCTTGACCTTCGAAAGATCTGAGATTACAGACATGAACCACCGCGCACAGCCTAGCATTTGTTTTGTTGTTGTTGTTGTTGTTGTTGGAAATATAATTTAAAAATTTTTCTTTTGGGGGCTAAAGCCCAAATCAGTTAATATCTGAGGCCTATTTGCATGTAAATATTAGGCAACCATCATTCACTGGATGTTTAACCCATGAGTATCACTCCATATCTCAGCTGAGATTCGAGATAGTGAATGACAGGTTTTCATATTTTCCGTCATATCGCCATCTCCTATGATCATTGAGAGCGTTCTTCACCCACATTGGAGGAATTGGCCACCTCAGATGCCTTTCTCTGAAGGCCTACTGTGTTTTCTCTTTCCTCACAACCAGGTCCCTGAGACCAGTTCTTGTCACCTTTCACTTTGGAATCACCTTCACTCACCTGGCATTTCAGAGTTGTCTTTCAGTTTCTCTGTTTCTTGCTGAACTCAGAATCCTGCATGGAGGGTATCCATTCAGCCTGGCCCTTTAACTGTACCAGTGTCTTGCTCCTCGTGGAGCCAAAGTTTGCTTTACAGTATGCCACCACCTGCAGAAACCTGTCCTTACTTTTCTTGTTTTTGTTTTTCACATTCATCCTGTGGGATATGATGAGGTTTCTCTTCCAATAATCTGATCAATCTTTTGTTCTTTAATTCATAGAACCCCTCCCCCCACACACTTTTCTCCTTTTTCTCCTTTTTTCCTTTTTGCCTTTGTTAGATGCCCAGGCACGCCACAGTACCAGGCGTTATCAGTACCAGCTCACATTCCTTTCCTTATTTGGAAAGAGGACTAACTTTCTAGCTCATTACAGACACCCCTTCCCCTTCCCCTCCACTTTCTTTTACGTGCCCACCTTATCTAAAAAAAAATCAAATGTTTAGCCAACTGGGATTAGTTTAGATTGTATGAACCGACCCTGGCCAATGGGGAAAGGGTACAGGGGCAGGACTTGCTTCAGGAATAAAGGCTCTCATGACCCTTTGTTCAGGTGTGTTCTCATGGCGACTGGCCAAGGAGGCACCCCTCTGCGCAGAAGTAAAATTGCTTTGCTAAGAATTCTTTGTTCGAGTGTTCAATTTCCTTAGGATTTTGAGCATTATTCCTAACAATCCTTCACTTTAGTATCACTTTAGTATTTCAGTGATCAAATGAAAATAGGGTCATTAAAGTGAAAATGGAGATTTGCTATTTTGTTTTCATGTTACAATGCAGATGGTGTGAAACATTTTTTAAGAAAAACCAAATTACCTAGATTCAGATCTTTAGGACAGTAGTTACAGTTTCTCTGGTTGTTATAGGTAATCTACTAAATAGTTGAGAAAAATTGAAATGAAAAAACAGCTGAATTCACTTGCCTTTGAATTAACTTACCAATTTTAATTTTTGAGTAGGAAATAAGAAAAGCTTTTAGAATAAA
This sequence comes from Homo sapiens, assembly GCF_000001405.40. NCBI lineage: Eukaryota > Metazoa > Chordata > Mammalia > Primates > Hominidae > Homo > Homo sapiens. The sequence goes on along the minus strand of NC_000006.12, from coordinate 111,835,082 downwards.
CATTCCTGAAATAGAATAAATCCAATAAAAATTCCTATTTTGTCTAAATTCAGGCCATGGTACCAAGACCAGGAACTCCTAACTGTGGGTGAAGCAGAAAAATAAACTCTGAGTTTACTCTTAAAATGGGGATAGGGGAAGGTGGAGAATTATGCCAAGTTGAGAGTCTGGGTGTCTGAGAGATGGGTAGGTCTGGGATTATTCTATAGGAATGAGGAAGGAAGAAGGGGTGGTTTGGGGAAGTCAGTAGTAGTGAGGTACCACTCAGTAGTAATTGGGGCAGCAGTAATACAACTGATAAACTTTTGTGAACAGGAGGCAACCCTGGGGTTGGCTTGTGGGTGGGAGACCTAGGCCAGCACTGCCGCCTGCAGCTCCTGAGTACAACTCAGCAAAAGGTGTCTGCACTCTGGGCAGACAGATTAGAAATGGGCACTCCTTGCACGTTCCCTTGCAGCAAGGTTGGCACCACCTTCTGTACATCCCTGCTGGGTTTCACCTTCCCATCAGCAGTAGCCTGGATAAACGCAGGTGAGTCCTTGTAGAGAACAGAGGTCATCAATGTTGAGTCTTCTGTTTGATTGGAGCTGGGAGGCAGAAGGAGCAAGTGCTCCAACTAAGACGAGTCCAAGCCCAAGGCCCTACAGAGGGTCAGAGTACTGGGAAGGAGGCACTGAGGAAGGTGGGCCCAGGGCTCAGGGTAACATAAGAATTTTTTTTAATATGAGGCATACAAAGGAATAGGTGTGTGTATGTGTATCCACACTCACTCACACATCTACATTGTGTGTGTGTGAGAGAGAAATAAACAATCCTCTTACTCATCCTGCAGCTTGGAAGCCCCTGTGAGTTCACTCTCCACACCCTTCTCCTTCAATGGAACCAGTATTCTAAATTTCATGTTTATCATTTCCTTGCTTTTCTCTGTAAGTTTGTTTCCCTAAACAATTTATTGCTAACTTTTATTTACCTTGGGACTATATATAAATGGTCTTCTTCTACCATTTGCTTATTTCCATCAACATTTGTTAAGATTCATTCAACATTTTTAAGATTCATTCCTACTGATGCATGAAGCATCATGCATCAAATTTATTTATCTTCACTGCTGTCTGGTCCACTCATTGTATGAGTGGAAGACCACTTTATCCCTTCTCTCAAGAACAGTTGGGACATTTCCAGTTTTGCTATTTAAATAGTGTGCTATGAACATTCTTGAATGTGCATCCTGCTGCAGTTTTTCTAGAATGGGTGCCTAAGGGAAGAATTTCTGGGTCTTAGAGTGTGTGCACCATCCACTTTGCTGAATAATAGCAAATTGTTTTCCAAAGTGGTTGTACCACTTGACATTCGCACGAAAAAACATTAACTTTTAAGGCAAGGGCAAGTACAAAGGAAAGAAAGGAAATGTGGAGAGCTGGGGAAATGAAGAGAAGGATGTAGATTTTAAACAGCCATTATGGAAAGCATGAAAGGTTAGCTTGTGTGGACTGTGGGTCACATTGTCATCAGGGAGTAGATTCCATCTTGGTATCTACGGGTATGGAAACACCCGTTTCTCTCTGTTTTCACTCAGTTTTCCCTGATCAGCAATAATCTCCAGGGCTCTGAGTAGTAAATGCTGCCAAGCATGTAAATGTGCCGTTTCTACATCAAACTGATGGTGGCATGGATCCTAATAAAGCTTTTAAAACAGATATCTACGCAGAGGCACACAGATATTTTGGAGATTACTTTCCCCAAAACACAAGTGATTTTTCTGACAGCCATGCTTTGTGTCTTATAAATTCAGTAAACTTACACTGGATTTGATGTTACTGTCTCTTTTACTTTGTAGGTTTCTTTGATGAGAACACAGAGCTTTCCTGTGGTTGCTCATTCACTTGACCTGAGAAAAATGGGTCCATATTTTAAATAGCAGATTAAGTGTGAAATAGGAATAGTCCCTGGTGAGCATATTGGCTTCATTTGTAAGTTCTAACCACTCTGATATGTAAAACTGGTGGGATTTGTTTTGTTTTTAAACATTTCCATTCTTTCATATCTAGATTTTAGTAAGCCTAACTTATTTTGTTAGCATTCCTATGAAACTGAAAGTAGAGCATTAAACCATTAAAAGCACATGTTCTCTGGAGTCTCAGAAGTGCAGCTTTTTTTAACTTGTTATTTCTGGGTCACCCTTCATTAATAGCATTCATCAGATTTACTTGATCCCAGGCCAGAAAGATTAGTGATGGTGGCATTTTCAAAATATTTCTGTCAGAGTTTTTAATTATATATTGACTAGTATTGTCTATTTGAAACTTTGATGGTGACAGTACATATTTGAGAAGGCAGCATGGTATTCTGGAAATAATTTGGAAATGTTGTTTTTGGCCAAAAAAAATGGAAAAAACCTCAATGTTCCCCATTTGAGATTTAATTATGTAAACTGTGATACATCTATTAAATTGAATATTATATATTAATTAAAATGATGATCAAAATTGCTAAATAAGTTGGACAAATGTTTAAGGTTGTTAAATAGAAAAAAAAGCAGTATACCAAATCACATGCGGAATGTGAAGATTGGATAGGAAGAAGTAAAGCTGTCTCTATTCACAGGCAATATGACAGTTTATGTAGAGGAATCCTAAGGAACGTATAAAGCAAATACTAGAAGGTACTAAAAAGTAAATTTAATAAAGTCACAGGATAGAAGGTCAATAGACAAATCAATTGCATTTCTGTATATTAGCAGCTAATAGCTGGAAAATCAAGTGAAGGAAACAATTCTGTTTGCAGTAGTAACAGAAAAATATGAAATATCTAGGAATGAATTTAACACAATCCAGTCCTTCGGCGCTATCCCTGGAAGCACTTGTGTAATGGATGCTAACAGTCCCAGAAAACTCCCCAGGGACTATACTTTGGTTTTGTATCCCTTATCAGTTTTCCAAGGGAAAAAGTTATATCAACTTGCATAATTGTTGTTTACCATCATTAATGTATGGATTATAATGTCAATTGATATTCAACAAGCAGCACTTCATAATTTACCTGATAATTTACCAAGCATGTTTTCCTCAAACTTTGGGTGTAGCGTGTAGTCCTGAGTGACGGATGGGGGCCAGATTCAATCTCAGGTATAAGATATTCACTCAGACAGTTGTATTATTCTTTATTCTTTCTTCCTCCCTCTCTCTAGGGTGTGATGAGGCATTTAATCTATCAGACACCAGGAGGATGTATGTAATGAATTTCTACATGCCCCAATCATTTTAATGTAATCATCCTTCTTTTAAAAGGCTTCATTAAGTCTATTGTTAGGATTGTAAAACTACCTAAGAGAGACAGGAGGGCTTTCCTCATTTTCAGAATTCAGACAGTTTTGTTAATTGCGTAGCTTTAGGTGAACAGTAATTAAATGGGTTGTGAGAAAGTGCAACATTTATTTATAGTAACATAAGCATGTCACATATTTATAGTCATTACTGCACAGTCTACTTGATAACATCCTTTTGAGAGGGAGGGTCACGACTGTTAGAAGTAGCTTCAACAACTGTTTTTGGCAAGGTCCTTGAATATTACAGATTTGTGAATATTGCAGAGCCAGGTACCCTTGTGCTAAAGAAATCCTATACATATTAAACTTTTTGTGAGGAACCTATACTTGCAAGGTTTTAAAATATGCTTTTAACATTTTACATGTAAAATATTTGAGTTAAGTATGTTTGCCAATGTCAGTCGGAGTCTTTGGATTATTATACCAAATTTTGTACCTTAATTTTAACAAGATGATAGAATAGTAACAGTTATTCTTTGGTTCTTAAATTTGTTAATGAATACAGATTTAGTGCATTATTCTTAAAGTGCTCTAACATGGCACATCTATCAAGCAGATAGGAGAGAAACTTTCCATCAAGTGTTGAGGATTTTAATGCCAACAAAATCACTATTTGGGGGCCTTTTGAGGATCAGATGAAAGCTAGAAATCTTCCCCCACAGAAACCTGTACATGTATACGCACACTGATACAGAATGATATTTCAGGAGGTCTTGATTGAGACCCCTGCGTGCCTATTCAAGGACCCAAAGATATGTGTGGATTACACAAATAGCCCCCCTTCTGTTTTGCACTTCCACCCCCTTGCCTAGTCTCTCCCATGCCCATGTCTACAGTGTCTACAATGTCTACAAATCCATCTTTATATATACCTTCTCTGCATAGGACATTTTTACTCAATATCTTCATTTTACCAATCAGTCTAAATGTGACAGAAACAGAGATCCCTTTTTCACTACCATTGATTTCCAGCTCATCCCCTTATATCCTCAGTTACTAATATTATAGGTTGTCATAAACTTCTCCCTCTGCCCTATCTCCCAGAGAATTTATAGACAGTTCCCTTGGAACAAGCATGCTTTCTTAACTCCATGCATCTAGTATATTGATAACTTTTTATTCTGTGTTCTTTCAGCAGAGCTACCACTTTTGTCCCTTCTGTTATTTGTCCACACCACCACAGTGCAAGCCTTAAAACATCTGTCCTTTAAACTCTCCCAGTCATCTTGCCCCTGGACTCTCTCCCAGCACTGTGCTACCACACTTTCTAACTCAGTCTTCCCTTGTATGTGGTCTGCCACACGCAGGCACACACTTTACCTTGCTCTCACCTCCTTGGCCACCTTCAGTGGTTCTCTATCACTGGACACAGCAAATTTTAAATTGCCAATTTATTCACTGTGGGAGCTGGCTCTCCTACTCCCATTTCTGCCAGAAACTATTTTTCCAGGTTCCTTGCATATCTGTCTCAAACCACTGTTATCCCATCTTCCTGTACTGCTGACACTCTGCCCCTGTAAGATCATTAGTCTGTCAACAAGCCATCGTTGGGCATCTCACATTTTCTGTGTATTAAGTCACTGGGCTCTGCAGGAAGATGGGTCCCCACGACTTGGCAGCCTTATTTCTGTGGAGGCTTGCACTTCTCTTCACCTAGCAACTTTTCCATACCATCTGTCTGGCTCCATTGAGTCAGTAGTTCAATAAAGATACTTTAGAAACACTTTTTAAAAAAATTATGGGGGTGGAGGACCAGGAGAATACTACAAAGGAAATGAGTCCCTGACATCCCCATGTGAGCAGCCTCATCTTCTGAGGCCAGCTGGTCTGGAGGCCAGAGGCTCCTGCTTTATTCAACAAGGAGCATGGAGACAGTGATCTGTTCTTCTCCACATCCTAGCACCAAGCCAGGCACAGGGTAGGCCCTTAAGCATCTGATGAAGGAATCATGCATGTATCCGTGGCATGTCTATTGCAGTATTTCATAGACTTAATGGAGCTGGAAGTGACCTTTGAGGTTATCTCTTCCAACTACATCATCCGACAGCTGAACAAGCCGCAAGTCAGGGAAGCTAAATAACTTGTCTAAGGTCAGACAGCAGTAAAATCAGCTTCTCAACCTATGTTTTCTGACTTCCATTCTCCCAGTCTCCCTGTTTTTGCTCTACTGGAAGTGCTCAGTCTATGGTTCTTTTCCTTTCTTTCATTTCTGTGCTTATTGGTGTCTGTTCTGTGCTTAACAATCTGAGCTCCTGATGTGAGAGACCTGGGCTCTCTTCCTTGTCTGCTGCACCTTAATAAGCATTAGTACATACTTACTAATTATCCTACGTTTTGAATAGCCCTTGGTACTTTTCAGGTTCTTTTACAAATGTTTCTAATTAGATTTTACTACAGACCGGTGAGATAGGTTGAGCAGGTATTTTTCCCACACATCAGGTGAGAAATCAGAGGCCCGGGGAGAGTACTACTTGTTCAAGACCACCCTGCTGATGAGTGACACAGTTGAGGATAGAATCTGATTCTCCTCTATGAGAGGATGATGGTGAGTTAAGACTGTTTTGAAAATCTGACTTCAGGCTCTGGAATCTCGCCTGCCTCTATGTAAATGTAAAAAATAGGATTTCATGTTTTCTAACAGTTTTCCATTTAGTAGCTCATTTCGTAAAGCATGTTCTGAAGCACATTGGTCCCAGGAGATGTGTGGAAAATGGATTCTGTGGCCAGATAAGCTGGGAAGAGCTGCTTGTTATATCCCCCTCTTGGGGATTCCCTGTGCACATTAACATTTAAAGGCTCTGAGAAGTCCTACTGCAAAGACTGTTTAATGTGTTGTTTTTTTAATTGTGGTAAAACACATGCCACTAAAATTTACCATATTAACCATTTTAAAGTGTACAATTCAGTTGTGTTAAGTGTATTCACATTGCTGTGCAACCAGTCATGACTACATCTTGGAAAACTTAAAATCCATACCTCTTAAACAACAACTCCGGATTCTGCCATTCCCCTAGCCCCTGGCAACCACCGTTCTACTTTTTGTCTGTATAAATTCGACTCCTCTAGGTACCTCATGTAAGTGGATCATATAGAATGTGTCCTACAACTGGCTGATTTCATTTAGCATAATGTCCTCCAGGTTAATCTATGTTGTAGCGTGTGTCAAAATTTCCTTCCTTTTTAAGGCTGAATAATATTCCATTGTATGTATAGACCATATTTTGTTTGCATTCATCCATCAGTGGACACTTGGGTTGCTTCTGCCTTTTGGCTATTGTGAATAGTGTTGCTATGAACATGGACGTACAAATATCTTTTGGAGACCCCGTTTTCAATTTTTCAACTAGATACCCAGAAGTAGAATTGCTGGATCCTATGGTAATTTTATTTTTAATTTTTTAAGGAACTACTGTTGTTTAACATATTTTTATACTCAGTTCATAAACTTGTTTGATCACAAAGTTCTTTTTCCACATCACACCTTTGGGTATCCCACAGAGCATGGGTTTTTCAGAAAACACTTTGGGGAATCCTGAGCTCAGTAAGCAATTTCTGCTTGCTCCAAGGGGCCAGAAACCTCAGGATGCTGGCTGGGGAATTTGGCCATTAAGTTTCCAGCCCAAGGACAAGGTCAGCAGTGCAGTCCCAGGAGCTGCAGAAGAGGAGGAAGTTCTCAGGGTACACAGTCAACTGTAACCAGGGTTCCTCCGCTACTCTAGAACAACACTGTCAACTTGACACGGAGTGAAGCGGCCATTGTGGTGCTGAGGTTGTTTTGGACTGCACTGGTTGGACAGCATCTTTACTGGCCAAGAGAGTAAGGAGGGCAAGCCTGCCTGCCTCTGTGCAGTTAGGGGCCTGGGGAAAGCTTTATGATGAGAAGTGTCAGATTTCAGAATCCACCGTTTCCCCCATCTCCCCCAAGAAGAAAGAGTACCCTTAGTCAAAATCTAAATGGGCTCCTCAGCAGGGCTTGTTGTGTTGACTCAATCTAATTGGTCTTTAATGTGGTTCTTAAATAGCTGAGGAATAATTGTGAACACTGTAATTGTGTGGGTGGGTAAAACTTTCAACCAAGTTGATGGAAAGGGTATGTGGGGGCATGGGCAGTAAACTGAGGAAAGAAAAATAATTCTTTTTACCCCCAAAAAGCTGTCGTATACCCCCAGTGTCACTGTGGTCAGCTTTTCTCCAGGACCAGCTCAGGAAGCCTGAGCCGCTGGTGACCCAAAAGGGGGCATTACATGATTGAACACCTCAAATCCCCAGTGTTGTTCCTCTACACACTGGCTTAAAGATGGGCATGAGCCGGAATGGTTTTAGGGACATCTAGAAGAAAGTAAACTGGGAGGTTCCTGTAGCTGTTGCAGCTTGGTGTTAAGGATGAGAAAAACTATGGAGAGGACATAGAGCCCCAAAGAGTCTTTGAACCAGCCTGCAATAAGACCATAGAACACTCAGCTTCTTAATTTACTTGACTGAGAACAGATAATGATACCTCACATTGTGGGATGAGAATTTCATAAGCTCTCTGAGATCCTTAGATGAAAGCTGCTACTGATCCATAGACTATTATTATTATGAGACTTTACTTTTCTGTAAATAAATGTTACAGCTTCTTCTCTCTGACTCTCTTGCTCTAAATGAGGTGAGATTCAGCCTCTCTCGTTGGCCGACTCTTGCCCTGTCTCCAGGACCACAGTTCTGCGTGGAAGCACTGAGATGAGCTGGAAAGAGCTCTGATAAGGGCTCAGGAAATTCTGTGCAAAATTTCAGACAAGCAGCTTCCCCTCACAGCGCCTCAATTTTCTCATCTCTAAAGGTCCCTTTCTAAGGTCCCTTCCAGCTCTGTAGGTTTGTGATTTTATCAAAGAAACAGAACAAAAAGTCAGCTTCTAATTACAAATGTTTATTGGGTCCCTGGTATGAGCTAGGCACTGTTTTCGGTACATGGCCTAAATCGGTGAACAAGGTCACTTATTTTAGCTGGGAGAAAAGAGATGAGACAGTAAGCAGTAAATATTAATACATGAGTAAATTCTGTCATTGTTAGAAGGGGATATGTCCTATGCAAAACTAAAATAATGTGGTAAGGAGAATTGGAAATGCAAGCAAGAGTGCAATTTTAAAAATGTAACAAAGAGGAACTTTTCCATTATGAGTTACTAGAAGATCAAGTATGTCATTAAGGGAGTGGGGGCTATAAATCTCTCCTTTGGAGATTTTTTAGGAAGCGAAATTAGTCATGTTTTTGGATTCAGGCATATTCTTGTTTGAATGTAGAAGGGATAAACAGATTACCCTTTTGAAGGCTTTCTTTTTAAATGATTTAATGGTATGTGCAGGGGTAGCTCCAGAATTCATGTGTGTGCATAAATACACATACATACACATATACACATATATAGAAGTGCACACACGCGTACTTCTTAAGGAACAGTAAAAGCCAGAGTTGGGAGGCCCAGATGCTAACATACCTCCACACCAGCTCTGAAAAGGCCAACTAGTGTGCCATAATGCTGTAGCTCTCCCACCCTGCCATTTCACAAGGGAAAAAACTGAAACACCGAAATGCTAGCAACTCACAGAAATCCCAGTGAATCAGGGATGGGTAATGGAACCTGACAGTCCTCTGGCGTCTTCACTCCTCCCTGTATTCCTTTTTCAATGAGATTGGCAGCTCAGTTGTTTTCCCTTCGCCTTTTCTCTTGCTTGTCTACTGCTTCTACTCCCATGGTTGTATACTTAAATAGTAATGAAATTATAGAATACTCGCCCTAACTCTTAATGTATCCAGACCCACCCAATCCAGTGTCAGAATGATATGAGTCAAAGAAATACAATCTAGTGACAGTAATTTCAGAATAGCACATCTTGACTTGTCTTTCTCAATACCATAGAGGGATATAGAATTACAGCAATATTTCTTTAAGTCCCTCTTTTTCCCTCCAGCTTTCCTCACACGTTACAGCCCTTACAAATGAGCCCCCAAGCCTTTCCTAACTGTGGCCCACCTGCTCTCCCACCTTTCCTCCTGATTCTGCATCACAGAACTCCCCCAAACAGGTCAGGGCAAAGGGAAGAACCAGGAAGGCAAAGCCAGAGTGCACATGAGCAGCTGGGAAGAGTAAGCCTGGGAATATGTGTTACTAACTTCCATTCCCTCACACGACCATGTGTGTCTGCACTGCACTAGGCATTCTTCTATCTTACCTTATATAATTTAATGCTCACAGAAATCCTGTGTGGTAGGTATTGAGATCTTCATTTTACTGATGAGAAAACCACAGTCAGAGAAGCTTAGTAACTTGCCTGGTATCCTGTGATAGAGAAAATGCTAGGATTTGAGCCCAGGTCTGTATAGTTATCAAAACTGTGCTCTGTCTCCTATGTTGCTACCCTCTATAGAGTATAAATCCCAGAAGCTCTATGTTATTTCAGTTGCCAAATTAATAAAACTCGCTGTCTGGTGTTTATATTAAGGCAATTAAATTGGTTTTCAGCTAAGATCTTGAAAGTACAGTAGCTACATGGAAAAGAGGGTGCCTCCCACAAAGGGCTTGTGCACTGGAATGTTTGTCTTGTTCGGGACCATGGAGAGCTGTCCAGGCCTCCCTGCCCGCAGTCCAAAAAGATCCCAGCAAGGCCTGTGGACCACCATTCCTACGCATCAGAGGCAATGGCTTTCTGACTCTGTCAGTCTTCTAGCAGGTTTTACAACCAGTGGAGTGCTCATGTTAGGCCTGACCATCTGAGGCAATGCCTGCAATGCTCAGAGATGGGAGCTCAGAGGAGTTTTCAGAAGTAATGAAAACTTTAAACAATTCCTTAATCACCAGAATAAAATAAAGATTCTTTTTGACAAATGCATTGGTTCAGTTTATGAATTTGTGAACTTGATTCAGATAACCTTAGGAGTAAAAGTGTGCAAGACCTCATTTTGTGGCTACCTGGTAACACTTTGGCTGAAAGCTAGTGTTCATTTGAATAGTGAGTAGTGGAGGGGACAGGGTCTGAAAATGAAAGAAGGCATAAGAGACCTGAGAAGAAAAATAGCTAAACCCAAACCTAAGCAAATAAAAAGTGAAATTCAGAGTAATGACTGGGGGAGAGTAAAGCAAAATAGATGAGACAGAGTGAGCACAGAAAGATAAGTTAGAGGAGAACTATATGTGACCTGAAAACGAAGAATGCAAGAGAGAAAAATGTACTATAGATAGACAAAGGTACAGAGTCATGGGCAACAACATCATCTGATGTTAACAAGATGCAGTGTAGATTTCTCTCATCCATGATGGTGTCAAGGCTTTCTCCTAAATTTCAGGAGAAAGTTAAGTCTAGTATACAGGGAGCTTTTGCATGAGTTCTTTTTCCACATGCCTGAGAATGTATTAGTTACCTTGGGAGGAAAATCATTTCAAAGTAGAGGCACTAATATTTACCATCATCCACGTTGCCCCTTAATAGACTATGAAGAGACCAGAGCAGAGTGAAATGAGCTTAGGATAGATTCTGTGGCAGTGGCCCACCCAGTGATGTTATCACAAGTGAGTCATTACCAAATGCATTCTTCACATCTTGCAAAAGATGTTTTTCAACTTTCCAAAGTTTGCAGTGGGGATTTTTTAAAGACCATGTGCTCACAGAAGAGCAGTTGAAACTTTTCCTTTGTAGAGTTGCTATGCTTTTTAAGCTATTTGCCCAGTTTGAAATGTTATTTGACTTCTGAGTATTCTATATCCACAGCTGATGACTTTATGTACTCCTTGCTTTCAGTTCCTGAGGCATAATGTATGCCGAACTGATTAAAAATAGCATTCTAATGAAATGGTTGGGTGTGTTGTTACAATATACGTCAGCTACAAATGGGAACTTCTTTCCTCAGGAAATTTGATAAACTGAAAGTCAATGTGAGTGTTTATATATATTCTGTGAGAATGTTTTGTCCTTCCTCATGGCTTCCTTTTCAAAATGACCAGTTAATTTGGGCTTCCCACCCAGACACATATTTTAACACTTGTAATAGTTAGCTGAGATCTGTTATGTTAGCATGATACAAGAGCTTGGATTAAATGTTTATTAGCAGAGCCTGCGAGTGTGTAGAATCTTAAAGGAAAGCAGAGAGAGTCCTTTTTAGTTCAAATATTGGATATTTTAAAAGTAAGAGGGGATGATTTTTATCCCTTAGATCTTGGCCCTCAGCAACATGTGAAAAGCTTCCATTCTTTATAAAAGGGGGAAAAAAGTATAAAATTTTTTGCCTGACATTTTCTCCTCAATGCCAAGCTTACAGAAAGCCGTAACGCTTGAGGTGGCCCCCATATTTTGTCTAGTCCAGTGTTTTCTAAAAATTTGAGCCGGTGTTTAGAAGTCAGGATATTTCACATTTTTTTAAATGCAGATTTATGGCTTTTCTTTAAAAATAGGATGATCTAGCAGCACAAGGCCAACATGGCCTCTCAGCAGCCACGGCTGGGGCTGGAGCTGTGTAGTGACCACCTCTGTAGGTGGTTTCTGGGTCCTCCGTTCGGTTCCCTGTGGGTCCCCACACCTGTAGCCTATGGCCACAAGTGTTGGTTGCCATTCATAATCACTGTTAGTCACTGCAAATGCACTGTAGATTTTTGTAAAATTGACAAGAATTTTTCTGTACCCATCTGGTAACGTGAAAGACACAGAGGGACATAATCTCACTTGCTCCCAGCTCACCTCACTTGTGTGTTAGCCGCCCTGTGGCATGTGATGTGCACCTACTGCTCATCCCCTTACACCCCGTTTTTACCCTGCTGCAGTTGTATTTCCACTGCTGCTGTTCCACTGTAGCAGCCATGTGGAAATTAGAGCTTTCTCTTGTGTGACAAGCCCTTTCTTGGGTCCTCATGCTCCTCTGCCTCTTTGACAGTCAATGATGGTGTGGTTGACATGCATTCCCTCTCAACATTGTCCTCCCCTCGCCTCTCTGACTCTACTCTCTCTTGCATTTCCTTCTACTTCTCACTCATCTCTCTCAGTCTGCTTTGCAGCCTCTACCTCTACTGTTTATTTCTTTCTTTTTTTATTTTTTAAATTTATTATTTATTTTTTAGATTATTGTCTCTGTCTTTATTTTTTAAATTTTATATATATATATAATACTTTAAGTTCTAGGGTACATGTGCACAACGTGCAGGTTTGTTACATATGTATACATGTGCCATGTTGGTTTGCTGCACCCATTAACTCATCATTTACATTAGGTATATCTCCTAATGCTTTCCCTCCCCGCTCCCCCCACCCCACAACAGGCCCAGGTGTGTGATGTTCCCTGCCCTGTGTCCAAGTGTTCTCATTGTTCAATTCCCACCTATAAGTGAGAACATGCGGTGTTTGGTTTTTTGTCCTTGTGATAGTTTGCTGAGAATGATGGTTTCCAGCTTCATCCATGTCCCTACAAAGGACATGAACTCATCCTTTTTTATGGCTGCATAGTATTCCATGGTGTATATGTGCCACATTTTCTTCATCCAATCTATCATTGATGGACATTTGGGTTGGTTCCAACTCTTTACTATTGTGAATAGTGCCACAATAAACATACATGTGCATGTGTCTTTATAGCAGCATGATTTATAATCCTTTGAGTATATACCCAGTAATGGGATGGCTGGGTCAAATGGTATTTCTAGTTCTAGATCCTTGAGGAATCACCACAGTGTCTTCCACAATGGTTAAACTAGTTTACAGTCCCACCAACAGTGTAAAAGTGTTCCTATTTCTCCACATTCTCTCCAGCACCTGTTCTTTCCTGATTTTTTAATGATCACCATTCTGACTGGTGTGAGATGGTATCTCATTGTGGTTTTGATTTGCATTTCTCTGATGGCCAGTGATGATGATCATTTTTTCATGTGTCTGTTGGCTGCAGAAATGTCTTCTTTTGAGAAGTGTCTGTTCATATCCTTCGCCCACTTGTTGATGGGGTTTTTTTTTCTTGTAAATTTGTTTGAGTTCTTTGTAGATTCTGGATATTAGCCCTTTTTCAGATGAGTAGATTGCAAAAATTTTCTCCCATTCTGTAGGTTGCCCGTTCACTCTGATGGTAGTTTCTTTTGCTGTGCAGAAGCTCTTTAGTTTAATTAGATCCCATTTGTCAATTTTGGCTTTTGTTGCCATGGCTTTTGGTGTTTTAGACATGAAGTCATTACCCATGCCTGTATCCTGAATGGTATTGCCTAGGTTTTCTTCTAGGGTTTTTATGGTTTTAGGTCTAACATGTAAGTCTTTAATCCATCTTGAATTAATTTTTGTATAAGGTGTAAGGAAAGGATCCAGTTTCAGCTCTCTACATATGGCTAGCCAGTTTTCCCAGCACCATTTATTAAATAGGGAATCCTTTCCCAATTTCTTGTTTTTGTCAGGTTTGTCAAAGATCAGATGGTTGTAGATGTGTGGTATTATTTCTGAGGGCTCTGTTGTGTTCCATTGGTCTATATCTCTGTTTTGGTACCAGTACCATGCTGTTTTGGTTACTGTAGCCTTGTAGTATAGTTTGAAGTCAGGTAGTGTGATGCCTCCAGCTTTGTTCTTTTGGCTTAGGATTGACTTGGCAATGCGGGCTCTTTTTTGGTTCCATATGAACTTTAAAGTAGTTTTTTCCAATTCTGTGAAGATAACTATGATCCCTTTATCAAGTATTACATGAACTTTCAGGTTATGTTTTTAAAATTCAGACAGTACAGAGGTATGTAAAGTCTTTTTTAAAAAAAATTATCCTCCTTCCCACTCTGCTTCTCAGAGTTAATTAGTCATGGTTAACCCCTGGATAGTTGTCTTTTCCTGACCCTTTTCCATGTAACCTAGTTGTTTGTTGTTGTTTAACATAAATAGGATCGTTTTATAGCTACTGCTACTGACCCTGGTCTGCATAAATAGATGTCTACCTTACCTGTTTTATGATCTACCAGCTACTTAAATGTTGGTATTTCCCAGCATAGCATTTTGAATAATTCCAGTGCTTATATCATTTTTTTTTATAATTATGCATCTGTTTTTCCTAAGACTCTGAGCTGGTAATAATAGTGTCTTTTCATGTTCCCTTGTCTATACGTACCTGTAAATTCAGTGAGTGAATGAATGAATGTTGGCATTTTTGCACATTCAGTTAGATCATCCTAATTTATATTATGCAGAGAATACTAAATTATATCATAATTTAAATTCAAACGTAAATATCCTAAGCGCTGTAGTAAACATATTAGTATAATTTTTATAAGGTACAGTTAATCTATTTCTCAGGTTATTTCCTAATAGTAATATATTAATTTTGCTTTTGTCATTAAGATCACCATACTATTCAAAAGAGAATTCTGCACACCATTTATTTTGGTTAGGAGAAATATTGGCTAGTTGTTTCTGTTTTGTATATTTTGAATGGGTGTGTATTTTGGCATCTCACTAAGACAGTATTTTGTATGCAATTCATTCTTCATAAAAATATCATTTATCTTTAAAGGGAATATAAATGCATAATGGTTATATAAAGAGAATTGCCTTAACACAGCATCTCTTCATTAGGAAAATAGTTGAGGTTTATGAAGTGAGCCTTGTCAGATACAATTTGAGCTGTCTTGCTAAGGGTTCCCATTCAGTATCATGGACTGTTCACAGCCCTGATTTAAGGAGAAACCAATGAAAACATCTATCATCTGATAGCCATAGGATGTCATCCAAACTTGTGTCATGGTCCTGTAATGTTCCCGGGTTTGTGGAGTGAAGAAAATAACACTTGGGTATTTGGAATTTATTCTTAAGCTGTTTTTGTCAGGGATGGATGAGTTTCTCATTCTTGAGTTGAAATGAAACTTTTAAATATTCTTAATAACTGTCTTATCGCCAGACCCTCTGCATGAGACACCAAGGGTGAGTGTTTGAGAATAATATTTTTTAAATTTATTTGGGTATTTTTTTTAAAGTGGGGGAGATGAGACTAATTTATGAACAGTAATGAGCTGAAGTCAGTTGGTCACTAACAGTCCATATCAAGCCATGATCCCTGCCTGCACAAATTTGAAAAACATGTAAACAAACACAAAGTAAGTAGTAAAGAAACAGGAAAGTAGAAACTACACAAAGACCTTTACAGTCTATGCGTCTGTAAAACTAATTAAAAATCTGCCTAAGGGGTTAATGGAGTGGCTGAAACTCAATTTAATATGGGTCATGGTCTCGGGGAAGGCAGTTCAAGTACTATGTTTTAAAGACAGGTTCAGAGAGGAAAGAATATTCTATTTCAGGGACTGTCGTAAAACAATAATCCAAGATTTAGTTGGAGACTTAAAGTGAGTTCATATTATGGAAGGATTTAAATGTTGGAATAAGAATTTGAATGACTTCAGCAAGGAACAGAAAAGGAATAAAATGATTCTGCCCGTACTGATACCTTGTATTTGTAGATGTACTGTAGTTTACAGACTCCTTTTGGGAATGTTGTTTTATTTTATCTGCACTAAATCTTAATGAAAATCACAAGGCTTTTTGAAGACTGAATCTCCAGGATTGCTGATGGCAAGCTGCATCTGGATGTAGGGGATTAAGGGGAGAGAAGAGAAGGAGACAACTCACTCTGGGTTTCTGTGCACCCAACCAAAATAGGGAATGGAAAGAGGCAGTTTGGGTGAGAAAAGATGATCAAACCTAGCCAAGACTAGTGAGGAGAGCTGCTGACAGTGTTAAATGTCAGGTCCTGGGGGATGAGAACAGTGAAGTTTAGAGGTTGCTGGTGAACTTTGCAAGAACACGTTTTGCAGCTTGGTGAGCTTGAGAGCCACCAAGTCTGAATGGGGTGAAGCATAGCCGGATGGTCCAAGAGACACATAGTTAGGCAATGGAGGAAGCTGATGGACTCAAGAGGAGAAGTAACCAAAAGAGAAATGTGAGGGTCAAATGATGCTTGTAAATCAAGGAGCTGCTACGATGTTACAATTTAGAGAAGCAGCAGCATGACAGCATGAGATCATGTTCTGTGTTGTTTATTTGCAGTTTGTTGAATTTTACATCCCTCAGGAAATAGCTGTGGCTCAAAGGCAGACAGCTTTGGGTAGAAGCACATGACAGCAGCATCGGAGAAAGCTAGTCAGCAGTGGCAGCAGCAAGGCAACAGACCAGGTACTCATTACCATGGAGGGAGCTGGGCCCCTGGGATGGGCTGTGGGCGTTGAACAGCACAGTCCACCAGGCTGGCCAAGCATCTTGCAAATTAGTGGTACCAACATCAAACACGTGTGATCATTACCACTGAAAACATAACTCAGAGCTCATGCCCATAGGGTTGTCTTCATATATATGCCTTTTTTTAAAAAGAGTATTTACATTAAGTCCATAATCAGCTTGATCAGATCAAGCCAGCCACCCTCATACCTGAGGTATTTATAAATGCTTTGTGTGTTGGGTGTGTGCTGCTGCTGTGCTCAGCGCCCACCTGGATTGATATTGCACCCAGGAATTGCATGAAGGGAAGTGGTAGATGTGTATGTTTTCTCCCAGTGGTCCCTCTTCGTTTCTCTCAGCCTTTCACCTTGCCATTTCTGTGCAGGATTATTTGGGGGTAAATACTGCAAGACCAAAATATATAGCTTATTCTTAGCGTGGTGAACCCTTGCATTGGCATGGCATGAGATAACTGTCAGCAGATTTCTGGAATTCACATAAATGGCATCCAAAGGAAGAGGCTGTCAGTCATCAGGTCATCTGTGTGCTCTTTGCCATTCTCACAGTTGGCTGATTCTTCAGGGCACATGTGCATAGATGGAGCATTTGTTGGCCCTGACTCTTGCTTTCAGAGGCTGACCAGAATCACAGCCAGGCACTGTTGTAACCAGACAGTGCCCCAGTGGAGGAATCACGCTGCTCTTGTTGGAATCCAAAGAGAGACACTTTGTCATTTGTTTATTAGGGATACTTATATTTTATCCTGGATTGAAAACAATAATTACCAGAAACCATTTGTTATTGACACAAGCTGTCTACTTTTAAACTCAATCCAGCATTTAAGGAAAGCAATGTATCTTCGCCAAATAACTTGAGGTCTTTGTGTGAGGAGCCGACAGATGGAGTCCATTGATGATGAATGCACTTGGATGCACACAGAGTCCAGGAGAGCATCCTTGGGCCATGAGGGTTTGCCAGAAAGTTAACAAGGCTGGGTTCAGAAGGGCTGTGGACAGAGAAAGTCAAACCAGTGAAATAGCATGCATGGAGATTCTTTTTTCAGTGGGATAGCTACGAGGGCATTTATTGCACCTGCTTTAAAACGGATACACCATGTATTCGTTTAGTTTTGGCCATATTATAGGAGTAACTTACAGAAAAGAGGACTTTTAGTACGATAGTACTTGAGAAATCAAGGGGAAAGAAATTGTCTTAAATTTTACCCTGTGAATGTTATCTGTTACTTAATAATACTTCTATAGCTTGAGTGGTTGGGATAAAAATTTAAAGAATAGGACTTCCCTCAACCAAATAGAAAATATGTGGTTGCTATGTTTTTTTAAAAAAACAAAAATACAGAAAAATATATAGAAAAAGGTGAAAATTATCCAAATCCCACCTGTATACACAGGTAGAAATATATGATTTCATGTAATTGGGATTGTACTCTATAAGCTAATCTATAATCTATAATCTATTTTAATCACTCCTTTCTATGTTGTTGAATATAATTTTACATCAAAATTTTAATGCCTGCATAAAATTCAGTTATACATGTATATCCTGTTAATTTATTCATGGTGACATTCATTCATCAAATATTTATTTTCAGTCTTACTATGTAGCAGACACTGTGCTAAATTCTGGGGATGCAGCAGCAAACTCCTCTCTCAGTGGATATTTAGGTTATTGCTGATTTTTCTGTTAGAAGCAACACTGCATTGAACATCCAATACTGCAACATGTCTTTGAATACTTTATTTTCTCCTTAGAATAAGTTCCTAAGAGAATTGTCTGGTCAAGGAGTTGGCACATTTTGAAGTTTGATCTGTATTTATTGCCTAAACATTCTTTACTGGAAGTGTCAGATGATGCCAGTTACTCCATATTCTCATGATAATAGTTTTTATTGGTCATCATCTTTGCAAACTTGATACGTGAAAAATGATACTCTGCAATTTTAACTTATATTTCTTTGATTTTTTAGTGTGCTTGGAATGGGAGTTTTAACTACTAAGAAATTGTGACCTCCTTATGATCTATGGAGTACACTTTTCTTTGAGTCTTAATTTTATTTCTCTTAAAAAGGAAGATCTTTTTTTATTTTCTTCTTCAGGGTCAGGTTAGAATCAGTGAGAGGTTGTCTATTTCAGGGAACTGAATCCTCACTGAAAGGATATTGTATAAATATTACTACTGACTTAAATCTAGTTGGTTTTAGCATCGTGTAACTATTATCAGAGCTTTTGCTCTAGTTGTTAGTATGTCATAAGGAAGACTTATTTAATTCAAAGATATATTTAACTCAAAGATAACCCTTTGAGTTAAATATGTTTAAATTTGTATGACTTGATTAATTGCCTTTTGTTTTCAATAGATGCCATATTTTTGAAAACATGAAAGAACAAAGAGGCATTTAAGGAGTACTTAAAAAAAATCATAAAGGTAAATGCCTAAAAATATATGGTCTCCATTTAGCTTATCACCTAGCTATGTAGCATTTAAATTTTTAAAAAATACTGTTTATTTTCTGGCCACAAGTGAAATTCAGCAGTAGCTGAACAAGACAGATATGCCAGGCATGGTGGCTCACACTTGTTATCCCAGCACTTTGGGAGGCTGAGGCAGGTGGATTGCTTGAGCTTAGGAGTTCAAGACCAAGCTGGGCAGCATGGCAAAACCCCGTCTCTACAAAAACTACAAAAATTAGCACATACCTGTAGTCTCAGCTGTGAGGCTGAGGTGGGAGGATTGTTTGAAACCCAGGTTGAGGCTGCAATGAGCGATGATCACACCACTGCAGTCCAGCCTGGGCAACAGAGAGAGACTCTGTCTCAAAAAAAAGAAAAAAAAAAAAAAAGAAGTACTCAGAGAACAGGATAGAACTCCTTTACTGAAGTTCCGCTACTCAAAGATGACCAATGTCTCTGGCCTTTGGAATATTTTATTCTAGTATTTTTTTCCTCTAGTTATATATTTTACAAAAATGGAACCATACTAAGACTGTACAGCATTTTGAATCTCAGCAAATGTGTATACTTAGTTATTAACAAAGAGAGGGAGTAGTTACCTAGATTTTTTTTATGCTGGTTTAATGGGGGATTTTGTTTGTGTTGCTATTTATTTGTAATAAATTTTTATTGGAATGAAAATTAAGTATAATTGAAAGACATTTTAGACAATTAAAACTACAAACATTTCAGTTCCTCCTAATTCATTGTTCAAATCTCCTGCTTGTTATGCAATCAGAAATAATATGACCATTTTCTCTGTTATTTGGGAAGATGTTTAAACAGTTTACAGGCTGCAGGAGGCTGCAGCTGTAGCCATTTCCTGCTGCTTCTACTCCTGGAGAACATGGAGGTGTTGCTGGGCTGACCGAATATGAACTGCCTGAATAGGTGTCTGCTCTGAACCTTTCTCAGCTCTCCAGCTCTCATCCAGTGTGATTGAGCTGGATTTCATGAGCTAGTTCTGTTATTGAATACTGTCAAAATTAAATTTTCCTATATTAAATTTGTTTTGAGGGAAGCCAGCTCTTCAAAGAAGTCTATTAGGAAATCTTTTTAAAGCACACCTGTGTACATACACACATGCAGAACTGTGAATTCACCAGCTTACCTGCCTTGCCTATTTGAGATTATCCAGGAATTACATTTTACAATTTTTTTAAAAGTTGAGAACATACCTGTTCGCTGCACTCATGCATACGTGTTCAACAGTCAAATCCTTGCTTGCATTTCTGCCCCATATAGAGTAGAACTTCCATGTGAATTCATTTTAATGGAAAATTAATTATTTTTATTTTATTGCCATCTCCCACTTTTTGTTATAGAACAAGTATGGAGTTGTTTTGAAGGCTCAGACCAAATAGATATTTTTAAAATATGTATTGTGTTTGGCATTGATCCTTGAAAATATCTTTGCCACTGGGTGAAATTCATAATTTAGGTTTATATAATATTTTCTTAATTCTAACAGTATATATTATTCTATACTATGTATATAAAATTTTTTGCAGAATTTTTTTCCATTTCAGATTCTTCATTATTTCCAACTTTTCATTAGCATAGATCAAATTTTACCTGTATTTAATTTAGAACTTTAATTATTTCTTTATTCTTCTAGGAAATTCCAGAAGCTTGCAGTGAAAAAAAATCTTTTTATGTTTCAGATTTTGCTTTGTTTTGTTTTGGGTGAGAATATGGGACCTCATCAATGAAAATGGCTTTATCGTTTGGCTTTATTGTTTTCCTCCCCACTTTTGTCTTTAGAATTATAACAACTCATAAAACCAGAGCCAATTCTGAAAGTTTCCCCAAATGTTAGGTTTTGTTTTCTCCCCATCATTTTGACCTATTTCTAAAATGTTGAATAGGAATACTGTTTGAAGTCGATTGTTGGCATGGGATTTTTCCCTGTAGCTTTTCAACTCCTCCAGAGCAAATGTGCTTTCTCTTTACAGAGTGAACATAAGTCAAGACAGCAGTGAGGCACTCTGGCGCTGGGACACAGTGAGAAATTAAGATTTGCTAGTGCTGGTTCCAGGGCGGCCTGAACTCTTGTACTTCAGCTCATGTCATGCTGGGACAGATCTGAAGGAAGATCCATCTCCCTCGGGTTTCTTGATACTTCTGTGCCTTCTGTCTGGCAAGGGCGTCAGAGCCACGGGAACTTAGAGGTAGCAAGGGCTCCCCACCCGTCCTCAACCCACTTGCAAGTTTCAACTCACATCTCTTTGAGGACACTCTGGCATCCACGCACATCCTCTTACCACATAGTGAACATCTCCATTAATAGCTAACATTCCTCTAGCACTGCTAAGACCTTCAGTATTCACTGCTGCTTTTTGGAGATCCTGTGAAATAGGGGTCATTATTATCTCCATTTTGTAGATAGCAAAACTGAGGCCTAGAGAGGTAAAGTAGCTGATTTAAGTCTGCAACTTCTCATTATGGTGTGGAGTCTGTTAGAGTCCTGCATGCTAGCTCTTAACCACAGCACTCAATACCTCTTTCTTCCAAGCAAATTCCAATAAAGTGAAAGTTGAAGGCCATAAAAAGTATTTGAGAAACACTGGGATTTCATTTATTGGGATTTGACCTACATTCTTTCTGGGAATATTGTCAAGATGAGATATAGTTTGTAAATGAGGCTAGTGCAGTATGATTATTCTCTCAAGTTTGCATTTCATGAGTCATTTACTCATGCTGTGTTTTGTAGAGTCTTCCTGAAGGTGTTGGGTTCTCTGGTGGTGAGTATATCTTTCTTAAATTGCTGCTGTGGTAGGCCTTGGTAAAGTTCAACTGGGTTGGATGGGGAAGTTCTTTGAACTCTTTCAAAAATCACCAAACTACAGATAATCGCAAATCTAGCAGAGGGAAAATATCAGTTATTTAACTTTGAAAACAAATCCAACTTTGTATTTTAGAAATTACTTGCAAGACAGTAAGTCCATGATTTTACAACACAATTGCACTTGTAGGTTTAAAATTAGAAGTAAATAGCATAGTAAATGCTCATTCAATAGTTGTTTAATGAATTAAGTAATTATATTGTTTGTATAATTTTGAGGAACTAGAAAGATGAGTGAGGCGATTTCAATGTGTACATGAGGGCAACAATCGTGTATAATATCTACTTGGCACTTCACAGAGGGCATGACTCTTTCCATAAAAATATTTAGTATGTTCATGATGTCTTTTATCTAAAGAATTTCATGCTTTAGATATTAGTCAATTCTCAAAACACTACTCTGAGGAAGGTGAGTGACACACCCCTTTATAGACGAAGAATTTGCAGTTGAGGCTGGTTAAATGTGACTAACTCAAGATTAACACTGGTGGTAGGAGACTTGTCTCTGGCCTCATTCTGTGCCCATGACCTGCTCTTTGACCTTCAGGAAGCTTTATAGCCTCCTCCTGTCCAACCTCCCTCCCTTAAAAAAAAAAAAAAAAAAAAAAAAAAAGGAAAATTTCTGATTTAATTACCTCCATAAAGGAAGAGTGATAATTTAGCTGTGTAAGCATATTTGGTTTCTAAGTATACAACTAAAGTATTTCTAGCCATTTCTCCCCAAACTTTTTTTCTTCACACAGTTCCACAAAGTGCACACCAAGCAGATGGTACAGACAAGAACATGGGTTATTTACAGCCAGTAGAGTAGACGAAGGCATATGCGCTAAGCCCTCTTAAACCCACTCCCTGGGAGCCATTAACACATCCATTTAGATGAAAGAGTCCCGAGGTTTTGCCATGGGCATTTCTGCTACACTCCCCTGAAGCATCGCCATCTGCCCTGCCTCCTCCCAGAGGCCTTGTCACCCCCACTCCTGCCCAGCCACAGCCCTGTTCTTCCGAGTGCCCTCATTCACTTAGATGCAGAGCTGATAGCAGTTGCTCTCTGTTTTTCACTTAAGCCAGTTTAGCTCTATGTCTGTCTGACTTCCTTCTACCTCCAAGGATGTACAAGGCTCTTTACAAGGCTACCCTTGGGCCAAATTCAGTTCCCTACAGTTCCATGTAAGTGTTTTGAGCACTGTCTACACTTTAAACTGGGTCCTGGGGTGCAGAGGGTCCTAGGACGTGGTCCCTTGGAGCCAGTACATTTGTTTCTTCCTTTGTGCTGCAGTTTCAAGGCTATACCTGTGATGCCTGGAGAGTCCCGTTCTTCCAGATCTGTAGACCAGCTCCCTCTGCTTGTCCTTGGCCCACAATAGGCGCTGCAGTGCCCACGTCTAATCTATATAATCTGACAGTTTAGCAACCCACAGCTGACTAGCAATACCTTCTTCATTTTCGAACTCCAAATTCCTGGCAGAACGATCTAATTAGTTTAACTTATCTTTTTAAACCAGGCTACAACTTGTAGGTTCCTAGCCAGTATAGGGATGAGCCTCCCTTGCATCAGTTGTTCACCCCTGCCCCATCATATGTAAGGTCACCCCTACCCTCATCATATGTAAGGTCAAGTAAGGTTGGAACAGATTCCCAGAGAAGGGGATAAGGGTGGGGCAGTCACCCAAAAATGTGCAGATGTGCTTTGAGAGATCATGAAATATAAAACTACATTCTGCCCTTTGTCTTCAAACAAGTCTATTTGTGAAACTGGATTCAGTTAGAATAAGGAACACAGAAGCCATTTGACCCACATTGTCCAGTGTTTGCAGTACTTACATTTACAGCTCCAATCCTTATACTGTACACATACCCCAAGCCCTACAGCCTGCTACTACCCATTATGGCATCTTTAAAACGTTTCCTTTTGAAAGTTTCCTCTAAACTTGATGGCTTCTGTAAAATTAAAGTCTGTTTGTTTCCTGTAATTCTAGCAACTTAGTAAATCTAAAGAAATTCATAAATGAAATCATACAGCATTAAAAACTTTCTGTATCTTGTGTACCTAAAACTGAGCTCCTAGAGTTAACAGCTCCTGACTACTTGTATATTCAGCAAAGGCACAGGCAGAAGACAGCCATGTTTGCCACATATATCAGCTGGTGCCGGGCAAGGTTGGCTCCTGTGCCAAGCAGCTCCAATTATTCTTTAGTAAAACACACTTTTATTCATTGAGGAGCAGTTGCTTGCCAATGTATTATACAATTATATAGTGAATGGAGAACAACGGATGCATTGTAGAAATATTTTTAAAACAAGTAAACAACAGTGGATAGGAAAAGGACCCTAACTCCAAAGTGAAGACTGCTGACATATGGGATTTAGCAAAGCGCGAGTGTAAGGAAGAGTTCAGAAGGACAGAATGCTTTGTTTCAAACACCTCTTCCTGGAAGGGCCCCAGGCAGCATTCATTTCTGCTCCACCCACAGGGTGGGTTTTCGGGGAGGCACAGGGAGCAGGGGTGTGTAGGCATGTGTGGAAGTGGGTGTGAGTGCACCCAGGCACTGGGCTTCACACTCGTATTTGTAAGAAGAAAAAAGACAGCATACATTGGTTGATTTAGTGCTTCCTGAGGTCTTAACTTGAAAGGAACATGAACATAAATGTAAATTTTTCAAGGGGTTAGAGTTTGCGGGTTTGGGTGACTTGGGATGAAACAGGGCCGAACTAAAACATCTAAGAGATTTACAGTTCACACAGGAGGTAACCATTGAAAGTGTTTGCACTTTCAATACCGCAGAATATTCAGTATTTTTACCAGACCGACATCAAGTGGATTCACATCCCATGACTGATTGCACTTGTAATTTAATTCTGCCTGGATGGCCCTGGGATACTCTCAGTGAAGGCCTTCCATGAATCAGAGGTTTTTCTCTTCCCATTCCAGTGACAGCCAAAGGCCCCCTTGTTAGACCTGATGCCAACAGACAAGGAGACCACCTTTACCTTACCCTCATGATGTATATTCCCATATTTTCATCCTAATAGTGATATAAATCTTTAAACCTTAATCCTTAATCATTTATCATAGGCATCTCTGTCATATTATGAACAAGACAGGATTCAGATTACAAAGCAGTTTTACTAAATTTTTATTACCCTCTTTGAGCTACAGCCATCTGACCAGAGAGCTACTACCTTCACTGAAAGGATTGCTTTTTATAAAGTAAGGAAATCAGTCATTAATCCCTATTTGAGGGCAGTTAGAACTAAAACCTAAGTTTTTCTGATTCATGAGGTGTACTTAGTATTACATCAGTGTTTCCACACTTTAGTCATTTGTATACTACCTTAATGATTTTTGCTATATCTATGTGCCACCTTTTTAAGGGAAAATATATATTTTCCCTTGAATTTATTTTTTCTACTAAATTTTTAAAAGAAATTTATATGACCATCTCAAGTAGAAAACCGATATTCTTTGATAGAAATGATAACCATTAAAATCAATAAGTGAAAATAAGAGAGGCCCATGCCTGAAGGCTCCGAGCCTAAGGCCACACCTCCCCAGTGAAGAGGGGGATTGGCAGGTGTTGGAGGGTGTCACTGACATGGCAACATCTGGCTGAGACTTTGGTGCCTGAAAAATATTGGAAAATAAATAAGGTTCATGTTCTGTGGTTTGATGTTAGTGCCACCTAACATCTGCCATGTGTTTGTGAAATAACCTGGTGTATCCCTAGGAGCTCACATCATTCCCCATGCCACGAAGCACCATGACTAATCCAGAGGACTCAAGAGACTCGTGCTTATTCTTCACTTATGCTGATGAAAAGTGCACATGGATACAGGGAAATGTAAATGTCTCTCATTGGTTACCCACTGAAGGTAACCATAGAGTAGAGAATGGCAATCAATCGCGATGCCTCCTGAGAACTTTTTCAGGTTAGTGGAACTGACGTTAGTTGTGTGGATCTTGAAAGATGGGATAAAGCTATTCTTCAACCCATTTATTTTAGACTACCTGAAAGCACATCATATGTTTGTTTGCCAAGATGGAGGTAAAACCTAACTGGAAAATCATATATTTTATTTTTAAAAGGCCACTTTTGCTATAGGCCATGAGTATGGGCAGTTAAAGCTTAGTATCTTTCCATTTTAAAAATCTGAGATATTTTCCTTTTCTGTAGTGTATTTATTTTTGTTTCTTTTAGGAAAAAAGCAATGGGGGCTTCATAAAACCAGATAAACACTTACCGAGTTTAACATAAAACACATTGAAACCTTCACTACATGGCTAAAGTAAGATATCATTTCTTGCATGGAATAGGTGCTCCATAAATATTTGATAAGAACATTTGTGAATTTATTGTTGAACGACTTCTCTGGACGAAGTTGTGTCATTTCAAAAGTTACTGGTAGAACTCTGCAGTTACCTATAGCATCAGGTGCTTCCATGAGTGGGTGTGGCACAGCCTTTAGCTGCTGTCCTGTGTGATGATGGTGGTGAGGGTTTGACACTCCCTGGTATGCTTGCTTTTGAAGTTTTGCACCTGGCGTCTTCGTCATACTCCTCTGTATCCAAATACTCTCCACTCTGCTCTGTGCCCCAGAAAATTGACTTCTATGTACAACGTCAGTGAGTTCCTTTCCCTTTGGTTTCTAGTTGAGTTTAGCAAGAAGAATGTCCAGAGACTGGAGGGAGGGAGAAGAGGGAGGTCAGAATATCTACCCACAGTGGGGTCCCTCCTGATTCGCTACAGCCCTGAAATGGGGTCACTATCCCTGTCAGGCAGCCCTTCCGTGAGCGTTTCTGTCCAGGTTCTGGTGTCTGCTTCCTCACCTTGCCCCTTCAGCCTTTAGGTATAACAGAGCCACCCTACCTGTTTCCCCCTCAATACTAGCCCAGGGGGCTGCACTAGGCCTTGTGCCCTGCTCACTTCTTGGCAAATACCCCTTTGTGATAATTTGAGGGTGCCACCTGTCTCCTGCTGGTACCCTGATTGATAGAGAGTGTGTTTGCAGATTTGCTGCTTCAGTGCCTTTGTAACACAGCAAAGCTGAGTGGTTCCAGAGGGACTGACCTCTGATCTCAGGTTTTTTTTGTTTTTTGTTTTTTGTTTTTTTTGAGGCTGAGTGTTGCTCTATCGCCCAGGCTGGAGTACAATGGTGCAGCCTCAGCGCACTGCAACCTCCGCCTTCCAGGTTCAAGCAATTCTCCTACCTCAGCCTCTCGAGTAGCTGGGACTACAGGTGCATGCCACCACACCTGGCTAATTTTTGTATTTTTAGTAGAGATGGGGTTTCACTATGTTGACCAAGCTGGTCTTGAACTCCTGACCTTGTGATTTGCCCACCTCGGCCTCCCAAAGTGCTGGGATTACAGGCATGAGCCACCACATCCGGCCCTGACCTCACCTTTAATAGCAGGGTGTTCTATACCAGTGTGGTCCCCAAACCTGGGGGTGCTTCAGAACCCCCTGGGGAAGTTATGAAAATGCAGGTTCCAGGCCTCACCTCCCAACCTATTCATTTGGAGACACTTAGGATGCCTCTAAGGCTCTTGCAATGATTAACCTTTTGTAGTTGACTGGATGCAGAACCTGATAACATAGCACCCAAGCCTGGGCAGCCCTCTGAACAGGTGACTAGATAAAGGGCACTCGATCCCTGCTTTTTGTGCCATGTGTTAGTCTTACCTGGGGGTAAGTGAGTGAGTAATCAAGAGAAACTCCTGCTGGCTGTAAAGAAGAACTATCCTTTAAAAATACAGTATAATACAAAGTCAAGAAATCAAACTAATTTGAGAGAGAGTGGAAGAATTGCTCTTTTAACTCCTTGTTAACAACAGTGAACTGATCCATTAGCAGGAGTGACCAGACTTCCCTGGCTCACTGCACAAGATTCTGAAGAGGCCATTTTCCATTATCCAGGAGTAAAGCCCAGTGTCTATTTTGCCCTGGAGTTCCTCACCATCGTCTGCTGAGAAACAAATTCTTGTGTGCTACAAAAGTACAACTCAAGATATGAAATGTAACTAAATACAAGACACTGTTTTCCTACAAAAAATATTATAAATAAGTCCTCTGTTAAAATAAATCCCTCAGTAGATCCCTTGTTATAAGCCCATGAAATGAGTAGTCTGTCCCTGTCACACACAGCGCAGCCAGAAAAGGCATCAACATTCCATTCTTCCAAGGGAAACGTGAAATCAGAGCTCAGCACTCTGAATGAAACAAATAGCGTGTGGAGGACAATCAGCGCTGGGGTCCGGAAGACATGAATTCAAATCCTGCGTGGACCCAGGGGTCCATTTCTCCTTCCTAGGCTGTTGGGAGGATTGAATAAGAATGTGAAGCTCTTGGGGCATGTAGGATTCTCAGCCTCCCACTCCCACTCCTACCATCTAAAACATTTCCCACCCTAGTCTCGGCATAGTTAGGAAGATATGAAGATAATGGGAAGGTGCATTCCACTGAGTCAGCATGCCCAGGTGCCAGCAGCTCTCTGCAGTGGGTATTGCAAAATTATAAGACAGAATTTCTTGGTCCCCAGTTGGTAATAATTTACCTCACCTTCAATAGTGGGCCGGGACATTCAGCAGCTCCATCTCCTGCAAAGGTCCTATGAGGGTCACTCTGCTGAGGCTAATTGCCTGAGAAGGATAGTACACTATCTGTTTTGCCACATTTTGTGATTTACTTTGTTTCAAGCCTTTTCCTTTTGGTGGTTTGGTGAAATGCTGTTAGCTGATGGGTTGTGGGCATGAAGGTGAAGGGTCATCTTGGACCGAATAACCTAGGGACAGGGATCCTTCCAGGAGGGCAGAGCTGGGCCGAAGGGGTGTCCTCCTGACCCAGTCAGGGGTGCTTGAGTAATACTGATGCAAGTGTGTCCCACCCCCTCCTCCTCTGGTTAGCCTTCAGAGCCATCTAGACTGATGTGCTCTGGAAAGAGAGAGATGGTTCTTTATGGCCCCTGGGGTTATATTTGACCAACGTCCAGGTTCCAGGAGTTACAAGCTCGTGCAATTGTATTTCATCTCCGAACACAAGCTGGTTAAAAAGGAGAAAGTTCAGTCAGGCTTTGTGTTTTCTACAATCTAAATTAGATGCTAGTGCTGGGGCACCCTAGGAACTGCGTGGGAAGAATGTGGTGACCAGTCTACACGTAAACCCCAGCTTCCTACTGCACCCATCCCACTTCCCCGTTCCTTTTTTCCCTTATCTACAGGGTCTTCAACTGCCTCAAGAGCTGTTGTGGGCTCAGAAGAAAAGGAAAAGACTAGGAAAAGCAGAAACACGCTGGAGGAACTACTGTGAGAGCCAGCTCCTAAGTGGTCCCAGCTTCCCCCACCCCTCTGCCTACTTTTTTTTCCACTTCAACTTTTACACGGCCTGTAATTCAGTCATTTTAATTTGAGGTTGTAAATGACCTTTAAAGAAAAAGCAGTGGTTTCAGAGGGGGCTGATGACTCATTAAATGATCAGTGATGCATGTGTATGAGTTAATTCAGCCAGCTTGTTCAACCAAGGGAAGGGGGAGGGGGCTGTGCTTGGAAGGGTGGTCAGTAGACAATTCAGGTGCCTCAGGAAGAAGGGAGCCAGGTGGGATGTGTAATGCTGTGAAGCCGATAGGAGGAGCAGAAAGGGGGCCAGTGTAGGAGGGCAGAAGGAACCTGAACCACATGGACCCTTGTTTTATTCTGCGTAAAGACTGGTTTGGTGAGGCAGCCTGGTACCTAAGACCAACAACAGCAGCGTCTCACATGTGTAGAGTTGCCAGATTTGGCAAACAGCAAAATATAGGACACCCAGTTAAATTTGTATCTCAGATAAACGATGTATAATTTTTAATGTAAGTATGTCCCAAATTGTGTATCTGAAATTCACGCTTATCCAGACATCATGAATTGTATCTGGCAGTGTTCACAATGGCTTAGAACCTGATATTTGACAGCTCCGTGAGAAAGATGTCTGTCCCACTTTAGTGATGGGAATGCCAAGGCTAAGAGGGGTTGTGGTTGCCAGCCTCTTCGCTGGTAGAAAAGAAGCCTTCAAAGATAGTGTTCCTGCTCCTTGGCCATACATGTAAAACGCCTTGTAGGACTAAACAGTTGTCTGGCAAACACACTTCGAGTCATGTGGTGTTTATCTCGGGGTAGCAGAAAGGGCACTAGATTAAGGGGAGGCCTGTTAGAAAGGCTGAAGCAGGCTGAAAAGGACTCCTGGAGGTTAACCCCTGGGTTAGGTTTAAGGCAGAGAGGCCTGGAAGAAACATAAGAATCACCTGGTGTACTTTGATAAAGAAGCTGAGGACTAAGGAAGTGATGTGGTGACTCAAATCACAGGAGAAATGACCAGCGAAGCCTAGAGCAGCATCAGGGTTTCTGAAGTCCTCACTGAGTTCTTTCTATTATATTACATGGTGCTGACGTAGCAGATTCTTATTAAAGCCTCCAAGTTTCCACACAACGCCACAGTACCCACTGGTGGGAAGGACCACATACTGCTTATGAGTCACAGCCCTCGTTTTCTTTTCTGTTGGTGTAAGTACTGCCTAAGTATCCCCTTGTTACCAAGAGGCTGATTATGTGTTATACCCCAGTGAACAAAGACTAGGGACCAAAAATTCAGGTTGTGCCATTTATTGCATTGGACGTAATTTAGGGCATGGTGTGTTTGTTTCCAAAATCCAGCTACTCAATAGAATGAAAGAGAAACTTAAAGTTTTACCTCCTTCTGGATTTTTTAAAAAATTCATTGGTTTTGCGATGTAGCATCCTATTCCTGTGTGGAACAGGGATGCTGGAAAGCCGCAGTCCCAGTAGTCTGCTTATGAGCTACTGGGGACCTCTACAGCATCCACCTGGGAAGAAAGGAATGCCCAGAACAGAGGGTGCCGCTTCTAAAGCTGAGGTCTCTGTTCCCCAGTTCCCCCCAGTTCCCCCATAAAATCTGAGGGTTTTATGATCACAGGGGATGTGGGTGTTCTTCAAGCCTGACTTTGGCCTGTTTTTCTGAATCCTTAAGCATGGCCCTCGTATATTTTCAGAACGATGATGTCTCTTCCTGCCTTTAAATACACAGGAATGAAATGTTCCATTTTGGTTTATTTGGTTTACTTTAGCAGCTTTTGATGTAAACTGTGGGTTTCAGCATAAGAAGACTTAAGTGAAACTAGTAGCTGTATCCACACTGTCTCATCCCCGCAGTCAATTAGCACGTGGGAAACCATTTTGAGGGGAGGAGGTCATTTCTGGGAGAGAAGAAGCTTTTCCTGTTCTCTTCTCATGTGGTTTGCTCCATTCCTAACACTATGGATATTTTTTTGGTGTTTCCTTGGAAAGCAAAATATCCCATATTAACATACCATGGCTGCTTTGGGAAGCTGTGCATTTCCGCAGATTATTCCTTCAGGAAACTCTACATTTGCGCTGTTGGCTGCAAGAATGAAATTATCCTTGGCAAGTTGTTTCATTTTAATCTCAGGAGCAATGGTGTTAAATGTTAGCCAGTCAAAGCCATAAGCAAAGACTGTTATTCAAGTTTCTGTGTTAACCCTTTATCTCTGTGGTCTTTCCCCACCTACCCCACACCCCCATGCCCCAGGAGTCACTGGTTCAAAACACTATGAAGTGGATTACTTCCTTCCATGATACTAACAGTATTTATACTTGACTCTTCACAGATTGGAGAATATGAAACAGAATGTGAAACTAAACAGCTGAGGATATATGATGAATGAAACTGGCTGGGATCTGATCAGTTTTATAATTTGCAGTCCTCAATTCAGAGTAGTTTAGGAATAAGAAAACCTCTTGGACATTTATTAATGTTACCGGTTGACTTAAAAAAAAAAGATTGTGGGGTAAAACCTTACTTCCACAGTCAAGCCATAAAAGTGGCATGATTTGGGAGAGAAAAAAAGGTTATAATGAAGCCCAAATATTTGAAGTGATTGAATTAATACTTTCAGAGGAGTGCCCCTGAAGGGCAGAGTGATTTGGAATATCCAGAATATTAATACTACCAGTTAGCCAAAAGCAGTGCTCAAGGGATGAAGCAGGAGCTTGGCCTTGGAACTCCAAATGGCCTTTGAGGGTTAGTGGGAAGCAGATGTTTTGAGGCAGTTGGAGGATCTTGTGAACAGTCTTCAAAGCAGGTGGAGGCTTTTTAATAAAGAAAAGTGGGTAAACAGCTAGGCTGCTGGATTTCCATTTTTCTCCCTTAGAAGAACTAGATTCTGGTCATCTTCTGGTCCCAGATTATACGATTTCCTAGCCAAGAAAATCATGTATGATTGAGAAATCTAGGACTTTTTCCCAGTTTATTTAAGAAACCCACTCTACATCTATGTTGGTAAATAGTGGTTAAGTGGACTGTGGCTCTACTACGTTCCTGTCCCACAAAGGAATAAGATGCTGCATTGTAAATCCAATGAATTTTTTTTTTTTTTTCAGCCAGAAAGAGTGTTCTCACACTGCTATGAAAAATTACCTGATTGGGACCAGGCACGGTGGCTCATGCCTGTAATCCCAGCACTTTGGGAGGCTGAGGCAGGCGGATCACTTGAGGTCAGGAGTTCGAGACCAGCCTGGCCAACATGGTGAAACCTGTCTCTACCAAAAATACAAATTAGCTGGGTGTGATAGCAGGCACCTGTAGTCCCAGCTATCGGGAGGCTGAAGCAGGAGAATCACTTGAACCCAGGAGGTGGAGGTTGCAGTGAGCCAAGGTCACACCACTGCTCTCCAGCCTGGGCAATAGAGCGAGACTCTGTCTCAAAGAAAAAAAAAAGGGATTACCTGATTGGGTTATTTATAAAGAAAAGAGGTTTAATTGGCTCAGAGTTCCACAGGCTGTACAAGAACCATGATGTTGGCATCTGCTCAGCTTCTGTGGAGGCCTCAGGACATTTACAATCATGGCAGAAGGCATGGGGGAACCAGGACTTCACATGGCCAGAGCAAGAGGAAGAGGAGAGGGGGAAGTGGGAGAGGAGAGGGGGAGGTGCCACATGCTTTGAAATGACCAGATCTCATGAGAACTCACTATCATGAGGGCAGCACCAAGTGGGACATCTGCCCCCATGATCCAGTCACCTCCCACCAGGCCCCACCTCCAACATCTGGGATTATAATTCAACATGAGATTTGGGCTGGGACACAGATCCAAACCATATCAGTATTGCATTGTTAGTTAATGTGGGATATGTATATTGCTTATCTGCCAAGTAGGCTACAAACATTTTGAATGCTGAGATGGTGTCTGGTGCTTCTCTATTCCCTTCATTGTCATCTATCCAGTGTCTTGCACCTTGTTTAGTCATTCATTACACAGAGATCTTCCCCTGGTGCCTAACAGATTTAAGCCAGGAGTTGTGGGGAGCTGAGATGGAGGCAAAGCCATTTTCTCAAAGAATGCTCACATATGGTTTGTCCACAGAACACCCATATATATGTATGTCTAATACCAATGGAAGTGAGAGGAAGGAGTAAGACAAAAACAGTGCACAACCCAGGCACTGTTTTCATTTGTCACAGTCTCAGATACACTTGCTACTTTTATAAGTGGCTTATGTTTTTCTAGTAGGATCTGGACTACTGGAGAGACTCCCCAGTTTACTGAGAATTGAGAGTGAACGACGTATTCACTGATGTGTCTAAGTGGCTGGTACGGAAGTTCTGTTGAATTTTGGTATTCCAGCATTATCCAACCAATCATTTCCCTAGCCAACAAATGTCTATATATATTTGTTCAATTAAACTACATGTCGTAAGAATTGGCATTTATTCTGCTTCCTGGCAACTAGGCAGGTGATAAAAGAAAAATGGGGAGCTCCTTTGAAAAGCCACCTAATTCTAAATAAAATGTACACGGTGTATGGAGCTCTGCCTTGATGATGATGGCCATGGTTTACCTTGGAATATGTAAATTCAGTACCCCCTTAAACCTGAAGTGCTCTAAAATCTGCTGTGTGGGAAGTGACCACTGAGCCAGAAGATCAAGATACTACCCTGTTGTTGCCAGTGGTTTGAGCGTTGCTTGGCCACCTGCAGCATCGCCAGCGGTGCACACAGTGTTTCCAGATCTCTCAGGTATGAAACTAGACTCTCAGTGGCTAAATGTACACATCCCCATTCTTCTCCCACTGTGCATCTAATCCTTAATGTTGTGGACTTGTAATTTGTTGGCAGAGGTCCTTCTACTGTCTGTGAAGCATCAGGATGAAATGTAAGGAAGTGTAAGGTGACTAAGTATGAACGAGCAAATAGTGATTAGACTTTTAGATTCAAATTTTGCTCTATTCTTTTCTTAAATCATGGAAGTTAGTCATTTGCCATTTATACTTGTCTGTCTGCTGCAGCCCCCATGGGTTGCTATCCTCTGGGGATATCAGTAATCTGGCATTTGATTTCCCATGAGAAGAGTTGAGGAGAGAACTGGAGATGTGGGCAGGAGAGGGTTAAATCTAAAGCTGGGCTTCCAGACATTTGAGGCAGAGCTCTGTGTCACTGCAAAATAACCTGTTCATTAGGAATTCTGTGGCATCATCCTTGGAACTTAAATTCCCATTTTCATCTTAGTGGGTATTTTTGTAAGCCAGTGAATAGTATTAACTTAAGCTCAGAAAAAAATGGGATGAGCCTGTGACAGATTTAGGAAGCGCGGTTGCAGTCGTTCCCGTTTTAGATCATAGTAAATTCCTTCTGCATCAAGCTCACTTTTTGTACGTTTTCTTTTCCTCCCTTCCTCATATTCAATATCCCTTCGGCAAGTTGTGTCCATCCCTCCTGCTCCACTCCCGTGAGTGGCTGTGAGGACTCGTCCCACAGAGCCTCCCACAAGCTGTAGAGCCTTGTTTCTCCCATCCCCCGGATCCTTCCTACCCTGTGCTGAGACCTGTGCCTCATTTTCAGCTCTTCTGGGGTACCGTGTTATTACTTGAAAGAAAATTTGAAAGCATTTTACGTTGCTTATTACAGATCATTAATGGAAGCTCCACTAAACCCTGGGAATTTATTCTCTCATTGATGTGTATATAACTCCTATTAACATTAATAAAGTTGTTTAGAATCAAAGAGCCAGCAGAAACCCGTAATAGAGAATCCATTTTGATCCTGCTTCACAAAGTGACTCATACCCACAGGGCATCAACAAGCATTTTAAAGATAATTTTTACAACTCCCTTTTTAAAAGTACAGCAACTACTGAATATATCATGGCACACTCGTGTCCTTCGGAATAAACCCTGCCGGTTACCATTTGTACAGGACTGCCCTACCTGGGTGGGAAGCTGCGAGGTTTGTCCATATTTAACCAGTGCTGGAAATGTCACCCGTGGCTGCCTTCCCTGCACGTTTCCACAGGGGAGCTGGCGTGTGCGGGACTCCCACATAACAAGGGTGGACAAGGCATGGGTGCAGTAAGAAGGGAATTGCACAAGTGACAGCCTCACAGACAGGGGGCAGTGGAGATGTCCATTCACCTGAACCACTTGTGCCCTGCCCTGCCTCAGTGGCTCTGGACAGGCAGCATCATGAAACGGAGAACTGAGGGGTAGGGGGATTTTAGTCCAGATATTGTGAAGCTGTCTGAACCTATTAATACCATTTACCAATCCTTACTTGATGAAAGGACCACAAGGAGACGGAAGATGTCAGAAATTAGTAGTATGTATCTGGGAAAATATCCTTAATCTTTCACATAAAATGCGAACACCAGGGGGTTAGAGTTGCACTTTCTCTGTCAGTGTATTGGTACACTTGTTATTAAGTCATGTCAATAGCCAGTAAAGGGAAACATCTCAACTAGGCACATCCCATTTTAATGTCTCTGTATTTTTCCCTCTCCCCACCTCTATTTCCACCTCATCTTCTAATTTTTACAAATGTTCCCAATGTTTGGGAAGTGAGTTCAGTTTGGGAGAGAGACAGGATATATCTGCACATTTACTTCTGATTTGGACATATGGTTGGCATCCTTCCTGTGCCCTTGAGTCTTTTCTTAGAAATGTTAAATTTTTAAAAACTTGTTTATTTTTGAACGTTGCTTTTTTAGAATCACCCTTCCTAAAAGGGAGAGAGGAAAAACTGTAAGTGAATCTTATTAGATTTTTGAAGTGCTCATCATAATTGAACTATTTCCCTAATGACTGGTAG
This sequence comes from Homo sapiens, assembly GCF_000001405.40. Classification (NCBI taxonomy): domain Eukaryota; kingdom Metazoa; phylum Chordata; class Mammalia; order Primates; family Hominidae; genus Homo; species Homo sapiens. The sequence continues at coordinate 111,799,071 of NC_000006.12, read as the reverse complement.
CATCTCACCTAGATTTGTCCTTGGAATGGTTCCTGAACGTTTCAAGATCTTCCAGTTCCACTTTACTTTTGGCTGTGGTTGGAAACATGGGTGTTCATTTCTGTAATTGTTAATCTGGATATTCTGAGGAAGAAAAATATGGAATATCCCTTTAATCACTGAACTTTATTTCTGACCCTTTATGTTTCCTAAAGAGTAAATATACAATTTTCAAAGGAAGGAAACAACAGTAGCTATTAACATGTAGAATCCATCTGGCACTGTATAGATAAAAACAAGCCCAGAACGCTTTTTGTTTATTCTTCACCACAGTGCCACGAACTGGGTCAGGATTATCCTTGTTTTACAAATGAGGCAGCCAGAGCCAGAGAGGTGAAGCCAGCCTTTCTCAGAGCCACACATCCAGGAAGGGTCAGAGCCCAGATGAGGTGGGAGAATTGAGAACAGGTCTGCCCAGTTACTACCCAGCCCAGACTTCCACCGCATCTTGCAAGGATCAGGGTATGTAGGACAAATGTCAGCCCAATGGGTCATTTGTTCCCGGGGACCCAGTTTGACCCCCTGGTACCTAACGGAGTGCCAGGAGCATGACAGGCACTCAGTAAATATTTGTTAAATGAATGTATTGTCAAAGTCAAAGAATTCACTAAAATGTGTCATCTCATCCTGGGGACTGCCCTTGGCCACTGCTGAATCTGTTTTGAAACCTCTTTGCAGGCGAGTTTAGGAATATATGAATATATTTATTTAAAATAACATTACCAGAATTTGCGACATGTGCCAGTGTGGTTGAGGCCTCTGGTGGCTAAGGTCTTCAGCAAATTAGAGATGCACAGTAGAGGTGCTATGTGTATACTTTCTCTTTGATTTAAACTTATTTAAATAACTTTTTTTTCCTGACTTTAAAATTTTACTTGTAGAAAATTTGGTAAGCTATAAAGAAGAAAATGAAAATATCTCTTAATCACACCATATTGAGATAGCAATGTTAAGATGTATTTAAACTAGGGTCGGGCACGGTGACTCAACACCTGTAATCCCAGCACTTTGGGAGGCCGAGGCGGGCGGATCACCTGAGGTCAGGAGTTTGAGACCAGCCTGGCCAACATGATGAAACGCCGTCTCTACTAAAAATACAAAAATTAGCTGGACATGGTGGCACATGCCTGTAGTCCCAGCTACTCAGGAGACTGAGGCAGGAGAATCACTTGCACCTGGGAGGCGGAGGTTGCAGTGAGCCAAGATCGTGCCACTGCACTCCAGCCTCGCCAACAGAGTGAGACTCCATCTCAAAAAAAGAAAAAAGATGTATTTATTTTGTCGTTTTTGGGAGGGGTGTGTCATGTGTGTGTGTGTGTGTATATATATATATATATATATATATATATATATATATATATATATATGAAACTTTGATTTTGAGCTTGTTGCTTCTTTCATTTAATATTAAGTTGTGATTGTTTTCTAATGTAATTGAATAATAACTGAAGTTTTCCATTGTGTGAGCAGACTAATTTATTTAACCATTCACTATCCTATTACTATGCAGTTAAATATTCTCATATTTGAGATTATAAATAATGCTGTACTAAACATTCTGGAGTGAAAATATTTGCTCACTTCTCTGGTTATTTCTTCATGAAAGGATTACTAGGTTTGGTGAAAATATAAAAATTCTATACATAAAAATTCTAAATTAAAAGCAAAAAAACCTTAGGAAAAATTTATTTGCCACAAATACATTAAAAATCTTAATATTCCGTATCCTGTTTTCCTTTCACTCAGCCTAATTTTTTGTCCTCACATTTTTGTTACCAGGCACTCATTCTGATTGCTTAGCCATCGTACTAGTTTCCCATTTGATTTAACTAAAACTGTTTCAGTTAAACATTTATTTCTTTGCTCATGACCCTGATAACATGCAGCATGATCTATCCTCCACTACTGAGACTTTCCAAGGATTGTCTGACTCTTGTCATTACATCTGAAAATCCCTGAGTAACTTCTGTACATCTTTCTTGGAAACAACATTATTAAAAAAATAGTAAATTCAAACTACTATGCACTATGCCAAGCACTGAGGTGGGTGTTTTAAAGTATGATATAGCCCCTGCCATTGAAAAACCTCCAGATAAGACATGACCACATGACAGGTGAACCTGGATACAATAAATATTAAATAAAATTACTAAAAATTTCTGTTTAGTAATCCTGACTCATCATCTCATTTTCTACAATTTCTGCAATTTCATTGGCCTGTGCCTTCAACCCACCTGAATCTTACCTGCCACTCCCCTTACCCACGAGGGGATTTCAATCAGCATGGTGTGGTTACATCATTAAGGTTTCTTACCCATAGCATCACCATGATGGCAGGATCCCCAGCTCTCAGAACAGGGCCTGGCACATAATATGTGCTCAGTTAGTGTTTATTGGATGTATGATAAAAAGTATGCATTTTTTTTCTTCAATTGGAGACCACCAGCAGATAGTTATGTACAGTCACGCGTTGCTTCAGGACAGGGATACATTCTGAGAAAAGCATCATTAGGTGATTTTGTCATTGTGTAAACATCATAGAGTACACTTACACAAACCTAGATGGTATAACCTACTACACACCTAGTCTCTATGGTATAGCCCACTGCTTCTGGTTACAAACCTGAACAGCATGTTATTGTACTAAATACTGTAGGTAATTATAACACAATGGTAAATATTTGTGTATCTAAACATAGAAAAAGCACAGTAAAAAATATCAGCATTGTAATCTTAGGGGACCATTGTCATATATGTGGTCTGTCACTGACTGAAATTTCATTATGTGGCACATGGCTGTACTTAGATTGGCAATAAATACAATTAAAAGAGAACATTTGTGGTGGGCAAGAGCTCTAGCTCAAACGTCAGACTAATGAAGGTTCAAATCCTGGGTCTTCAACTTACCAGCTTTGTCATCTTGGCCAAGTTAAATGATTTCTTCTACATTCAGATTCTTCAACTGAAAAAAATAGTGATAGAGTCTAAGCCATTGGGTTATTAATAAGGATAAAGTGAGGTTTATGTTAAGCCTAGCCCAGAACCTGGCACACAGTAAGTATTTAGTAAATGTTAGCTATTATTATTTATAAATCGTTTCCCTTATTTATTGCCTAACTACAATCTCAACCTACTCTCAGGAATATAGAAATAGAAATTGATTCATCATGAGAAATAATACATAAGCTTTGGAGTCAGATCTGGCTCTGCCACCTCAGTAGGTTACTTCTCAATGCTTTAGTTTCTTTATCAGGTGAAGACCTATTGCGTAGGGTTACTGTGAGGACTAAAATGAGATAATATATGCAAAGTGCCTAATATGTTCAGTACTCTTTTCTCTTTCTGTGTCTTGGTTCAATTAGAACACCCTTCTGTTTCTGATTTTGCTACCAAACATGTATTTTTCTCCCTCTGGTAGAGTGTTCTTCCATTTATTTTGGTGTGACACAAATAATTTAATACATGTTTATATCACAAGTCCACATGTGTGAGTGAAACAAAAACTCCACAAAATAATGCTCTGTGTGATTCCTGTACTAATTTGCTATGGCTGCCATAACAAAGTATCATAGACTGGATGGCTCAAACAACAGAAATTCATTCCCTCACAGCTCTGGAAGTTAAAAGTCCGAGATCAAAGTGTCAGCAGGTTTGGTTTCTCCTGAGGCCTCTCTCTTTGGCTTGTAGATGGCTGTCTTTTCTCTTTGTCCTTACATGGCCTTTCCTTTGTGTGTATCTGTGTCCTAATCTCCTCCTCTTATAGGGATACTAGTCATATTGAGTTGTGGTCTGCCCATATGACCTCATTTTAACTCTGTTACCTCTTTAAAGGCCTGTCTGCAAATATAGTCACATTCTGATGTGTGCTAGGGTTTAGGGTTTCAATCATGAATTTTGGAGGGATACAATTCAGTCAATAACAGTTCCCTTGATATTTTTATCTGTATTTCATTAAAGAAAATGCTGGGCAGAATCAACCAAGTTAAATTTTGTGACCCATTGAATTGACTCGGGACCACAGGTTAAAAGAGTGTGCTTTAGCGGGTTGTGTTGGCTTACCCGGTTAGTGTGAAATTGAAACCAGCATTAGGACTTGCCTGTGACTTAGTGTGGAGACAGGCCCAGAGGCACAAAACAGTAAGAATCAGAGTGGACATCCTTCTGCAAACACAGACATCACCTTAGCCCAGGGTTGGCAAACATTTTCTGTAAAGGGCCAGATAGTAAATATTTTCATCTTTGCGGGCCATACAGTCTCTATCAAGACAATTCTGCTGTTGTGTGTGAAAGCAGCCATAGACAATATGGAAACGAGTGGGTATGGCTGTGTTCCAATAAAGCTTTACTTACGGGCACTGAGATTTTAATTTTGTATAATCTCCATGTGTGATGAAATAATCTTTTGATTTTTTGTGACCATTTAAAAATGTAAAAACCATTCTCAGTTCATGGACTGTACAAAAGCAGGCAGCAGGCCAGATCTGATCCGCAGGCTGGGGGTTGCTGACCGCTGCCCACCACTGCCCTTGCTGGTAGAGCCTCAGTCTTCTGGCTGCAGACTCTCGAGGAATTGACCTAGGTGATTTTCCTCTGTCCATGTACATTTTGAACTGATTATCTTATTTGACCCTTGTGATTCCTCTGTGTTTTCAGTAGGAAAATCTCTGTGGCATTCATGATCAAAAGTTATTTAAAAAGCATATGTTATCTTCTTACCAGAGAACTCTAATTAGGGATGGGGGACCTTCTTAAAGGACCCACACAATTTTTTGTCAGATGGTGAAGTTAGGAATAGAGTTGACACCGAAAAGTCTATGCAAAAACAACAGAGCTTGAATTTAAGGAGGGCTCTCCTTTGGGAAGCTAATATCCAGGGAAACAGAGTGACCAAAGAAAGGCCCGGGTGTCCTCATGGCGGATGGAGGAGAGCAGCTCAGTGGCAGGGGCCCTGCCCCGGGATCTTCTCCCAGGTAGGGGCAGGCTGGAGGGTGAGTGAGGTCTCCACAGTCCCCACATGGTTTCTTTCGCAACCCAGAATGCAAGCCGAGGTGTGTGTGGCTGCCTCTCACTTCCTGTGGGGGCTGCCTGCAGTCTCAGGATGTCCATCTCGGTGCCTGCGTAGATCTCCTCCCCTCCCAGAGGGTCCAAGAGAACAAAAGTGTCTGAGAAAGCCAGAGTGTGACCACGCGGTTTCTATGCTCCAAGGGATTTATTTCAGTGGTAGGTGGAGCAGCTCTGTGGAGCACATGGCTAATGATAATGGATTGACTGACCAGAAGCAGGAGAGGACCTAGCAGAAGCCGGAGGTCAAGCTGCCCCAAGACTGGGGGACAGCCTGGGTGAAGACTCTGGACCTCATGACCATGTATATTCCAGAGGGGGATCTAAAGAGCCCCAGAAATTCACAAAGGTGGGAATGGTTATTTTCACTATTTCAGACTGACAGAAATTATGCATTTATCCAGAGTGACAGTGCAAAGGCAGGCTGAGCTGTTGTTGCTTCCATTGGCAGGAATGAGCCGATCTTATGGACTGACTCTGGAAGAGCAATGTTGAGTGCCTACTTTGTGCCACAGAGGGAAAACCCGTTTATCCCAAGGGCTTTCTCATCTGGGGATGCGCAGACTGTAAACCAAGGCCCCAGGAAACGGTTTTTAACTAATGTGGAAAAAAAAAAATGGGCTTGAATATCCGAAACTTCACTTTAAAAAATCAGTAAGATAAAATTTAAATGATGTGTATTATTTTATTTTGAGACTATTTGCTTCATGCCATCCTAACATATAGTAATAAAATAGCTTTGGCCTGACATTCATCTTAAAGTGAATTAAAAAACGTAATTTAATGAAATGGCACTTCTAAGCTTTTAGTGCAGCAAATTTTCAAATTATCTTGCTTAAATTAAATTGCTGTGCTTTTTTGCTTTCGATACTTATAAGAGCTCTGTTTTGTTTCTGGTTTCATCGTGTTCGCCCTGAGATGATTTTTTTTTAATTGAAATGTAGCATTCATGCAGAAAAGTGCACAAATTCTTAAGTGCACTGATAATGAATGTTCACAAAGTGAACTCTCCTTTGTAACCAGCGGCCAGGTGGAAAAAGAATGTCACTTAAACACTAGGAGTCCCCTCAGGTCCCCATCCAGTCCCAATACACCCCAGTTTCCATCAAGGGTAACTGATAGCATGACTTCTAACAAGAAAGATTGGTTTTATCTATTATGAACTTTATATAAATAAAATTGACCAGAAGCAGGAGAGGACCTAGCAGATGGCAGAGGTCAAGCTGCCGCAAGACTAGGGGACAGCCTGGATGTCCCCCAGTTTGCACTGTCTTGTGTCAATAGAATAACATTATATTTAGGAGATTCATCCATGTTGTTATAAGTAGTAGTTTGTTCATTTTCATTGCTGTGTAATACTGTTTAACATATCAAGATGTATTTAGCCCCTCTCTTGTAAGTGGCCTTTTGAGTTATTTCGAGTTTGGGGCTGTTAGAGATAGTACTGGTAGGATCATTCTTGTGCATATCAGTGGGTAAGCATATGTAGCATTTCTGTAGGATAGGCTCTGGATGGCAGGATCTGGGATCACAGGATGTGTGTGTTCAATGGAAACTGCCAGTTATCAGTGGACACTCCCACTAGCAATGTATGAGAGTTTCAGTTGCTCTGTATCCTTACCAGCACTTCATGGTTTTAGTCTTTATCATTTTAGCCAGTCCTGTAGGTGTATTGGTAATGCGTTGTGGTTTTAATTTGCTTTTATTTGATGGCTGAATTAGAGCATCTTTTTATATGTTTATTGGCCATTTGGATTTTCTGTTTTGTCCTCTCGAGTATTTGTCTATTTCTTTATTGGATTGTCTGCCTTTTCCTTATTGATTTTTAGAGTTATTTGTTGTATATATGTATTGCAATTATGTTCTCCACTCTGTGGCTTCCCTTTGATTCTGTTGATGTCATTTGATGAAGACATTTTTAATTTTAGTATAGTCCAAATTATATTTTCCTTCGTGGTTAACACTTTTTGTGTTCTCTTTTAAGAAACATCTTTACCTATTACAAGGTATGAAGGTGTTCTCTATGTTTTCTTCTAAGAGCTTTATTATTTTGCCTTTCACATTTAGTTCTATTCTTCATCCAGAATTAATTTTTGCATGGTATACGGTGGAAGTTAAGATTCATTTCTTTCATACGGATACCCATTGTATTCATTTCCTAGGCTATTATAACAATGTGCCACAAAATGGGTGGCTTAAAACAGCAGAAATTTATTCTCTCATGATTCTGGAGGCTAGGAGTCCAAAATCGAGGTGTGAGCAGGGTCATGGTCTCTCTGATGAAGGCTCTAGGGAAGAGTCCTTCCTTGCCTATTCCCAGCTTCTGGTGGTGGCCAGGAATCCTTGGCATTCCTTTCTTGGCAGCTGCATTGCTCTGACCTCTGTCTCTGTGGCCACATGGCCGTCTTCCCCACATGTCTCTGTGTAGATTTTTTTCTTTCTTTAAGGACAGTCACTGGATTCAGAGTCCATACTAATTCACTATAACTCATCTTAACTAATCATATCTGCAACAACCCTATTTCCAAATAAGTCAGATGCTGAGGTACTTGGGGGTTAGAACTTCATATCTTTTTGGGGGACACGGTTCAATCTATACTACCCAGTGAACCCAGCATTTATTACTTTTATTTTTATACATTTATATTTTATTTTTATACATTTATGCATACTTTTATACATTTATTACTTCATTGTCACCTTTGCATAAGTTAGGTGACTGTGTAGCTCTATTTTTGGACATTCTATTTTATTCTCTTGGTCTGTTTGGCCTTGCACAAATGTCACACTTTTACTATTACTCTATAGTGAATCTTTGTATCTGGTAGAATAAGTCTTCCAGCCCTGTTCCTCTTGTTCAGGATTAACTTGGCTTTTGGCCCTTTGCATTTGCTTATAAACTTTAGAATCTGCTTGTCAATTTCCATCAGAAAAAAAAGACCTAGTTTAAAAACAAAAAAAATTGGTGGTTCAGTTAAGATGCAATTGCGAGGAGAATTGACATATAAAAATATTGGACTTCCAGCCCATGTACATGGCCCAACCCTCTATATAGGTCTTCTGTAATTTCTCTCAATAACGTTTTGTCATTTTCAGCATAAAGTCTTACATATCTTTTGTTGGACTTATTCCTAGGTATTAGGTATTCTTTTGATGGAGATTTGTGTTGATGAAATAAAAAGCCAAGAGAGAGAAGGAAGGCTTCTACCAGGCTTACTACTTCACATTATTGAGGAATTTTTCCAAGTTTACCAAGCTTAGCAGAACTGAGATTCAGATCAAGATCTCCCTGACTCCAAATCAGAGCTGGGAAAATAAATCAATTATTACTTTAAAATGCAATGTTAGTGAGATAATTCAAAATGTGGGAGGCGCAGGTGGATAAAACAGGTCCTTGGTAGGGAACCCCTGGTAGATGCCCTTGGTCTCCAGTGTTGCAACATTGAGAACGTGCACGTGGGCTGGAAGAGATGTGAGAGAAGACTCAGATACTGGTTAGGGGTGGGAGACTCGATCTGAGATTTTCAGTGTTCTTAGGACTTTAGAGTTACCCAGAAGTACCAGGTAGGCCAGGAGGATGGCCATGGAGGTAGGAGTTTGAGTCCTTTCCCTCTTGAACCAGAGCTGTTCTGTTGCACTTTTATCTAATATTTTGGAGTTGAGCCCTTCAGAATGTGTGTGTGTGTGTGTGTGTGTGTGTGTGTGTGTGTGTGTGTGTGTGTGTATCTAAGGTTCAGAACTACCAATAACAAGAAAAGAATTTTTTTTTGAAATAAAATGGTTCCCATTATAATGGATTCTCCAGGTATGTGGTGTGCTAGCTGGATATCTTTTGGCATAATTGTTACACATTTGGCATGGACACACACACACACACACAGTTCTGATACTAAAGAATAGCTTAAAAACTATCAGACTAGTTATTCTTTAACATTCCGTTCAGCCCCAAGGTTCTGGGATTCTGATATTGTAGCCAACCTAAACTCAAGGGGCTCTGCACACATCATTATTAACTTTGATCTTGGCAGCATTGTGATACTGTGTGTATTTCATGGGCCTTCCCCAGAGCCACTCCAGAATGTCTACTTGGAGGGACTTGGGAGTAGTAATCCGGTTGGAAGAGAGCTAGACGTGTCCAGCAGCTGCGCTTGCATCATAGCAAAGCAGTGTTTCTGTTCAGACTGTGGATTGCAGATCTTAGGAACAGCTTAATTTAAAAGGGCAAGTCGGAAGAATTCAAGTACACTACAGAACAGAGTTTTTGTTTTATTTTCTTTTTTTCCTGATACATGTGATGTGATCACCTGACAGGGACTCATTACCAGTAAGAAAAGAAAGACATGATTATTATAACTGTATGCTTCATTCTCATGAGTCTCATAGAAGCAGAATTGTTGTTTTTTCCTCCAGATAGTCAACTGATTATTCCAATGGCATTTGTTTCTTTTATTTATTCCCCAAATAAACTGGGTACTCATGGCCTTAACGTTGAAATATAGTAATAATAATATGAAATGATATCAGTACTACTGCTGCTACTACTACTATTGCCTGGGGGTTGATGGGGATTGGAGATGGGGAGCTAAAGCCCTACCCCCACCCATCCAGTCATCCATTTGCATGACTCTGCCCACCCATGTGTGCCAATGAGCCCCAAATCTTTATCTCTCCAGTCCAGCTTCAGAGCCATGGATGCTGGGACCCCTACACCTGGCCTCTAGGGCAGCTGAGCATGAGCTTATATTGGTGCCTTGCTCAACAGTGAGCCTCTGATCCCCTCTAGACCTGGCAATAGCCAATGAGAAGGGAGCAGCCAGCTTGTGACCTTCCTGCCCCCTCATTCTGTGGTCATTAATTCCTTTCTGCTGGCTGAGCACCTTCCATGCTTATCTCTTTTTCTATTCATCTCTCCTCCTCCTCCTCCTCTTCTCTCTCTGCTGTTTACTCCCACTCAAGCAAATAATAAAACAACAACCACAACCTTGCTTGAGTCTGCCCTCCTGTTGGAGTGTAGCCAGAAGGACTCTAGCCCCTGCAGGCAGGGGAAGCAGATGGGTCAGTGTTGCCTTCTCAGAGCACCCCTCCCACCTCCCTCCCACCCACTATATCCAGTGAAAGGGAAGGCCACAGTCAGTCAAAAGTAAGCTCAGTTTCCTAGGAAACCCTGTATTTTCTAGTTCCCATCCTCCTCCCTGGCAATTGGGCTTTGTTTGTATGCTTCCTTGTTTAATGGTTTATTTCACCATTTGGAACTCTAATTTTTCAGACAATCAAGTTTGGGCTTGCAGAGAATATTGTAGCATGGCAGGTTGTAGGACTATACTATATTTTAAATTGACAGTTATTTTTGTGCACAAGCTTCCCAGCTTGTACCTCATGTTGCACAGGATAGCCATGGGCACAGAGAGCTTTGGAGGGGAGTGGAATTCATGCTCCCTGTCTCCCCTCACCCCCATTCTTTGCTTTCGAAAATGAGACTCAACAAAGACTCACACAGCAGTTCCTTAGCAAGTGGGCCCTGCAAGTGTGTGTTAGCTGTATCATCAGTCTATACATGCTAGAGGAAGAATTGGAATCTCAGCTACAAAATGTATGTAATTTGGTCACAGAGGTGAACGAAAAAGGATGAAGCCCTTTGAATGCAACAGAATGACTAGAACTGTCTCCTCTGTGCAAGGCATTGGGTCAGACAAGGTGCCAATGGTTCGAAGATACATTTAGCCTGCATTCTTGCCCTCAAGGACCTGGCCATTTTCCTTGCAGCAGATAGCGTGAAAAGTTGTACAGTAGAGGTATATAGAGAGTAAGACTAATTCTAGTGGGGGAACTGGGCAAGAACTTCAGGGAGGGATTTATACGAGAGCTGGCTTGAGGGACAGGTTGGTTCTGTATTCTTGCAGGTGGAGATGAGGGCACAATAAGAGAGGAAATAGGACAGGTGAAGGCTCCGAGGAGGGACAAGTGAGAACAGCAAGTGCTCTGAGAAGGCAAGGCATGAGGGAGGAGGAAAAAATGAAAGATACGGCTGATGTGGTGGGTTTGGAATGATGGTGGATGGCTTTGAGTGCAAAGCTGAAAAGTTTGTGGAAGTCATTGGTCTTTCTAGCAGTGTCACCAAGCCCTGAGTTTCCTGGGAGCTGGCTTAGGCACTGCAGGGGAAGAAGTCTGGTGTGCCAGCTGCTCCCCCAGTTATAGAGGAGAGAGTAGCTCCTCTCATCTTCATTTTATATACAAGGATATTGTCTGTCTTTTGAGGAGTGTTCCACTTTGAGAAAAACTAAAACCCATTGGCATATGCGTGAGACCCATTAATTTATTCAGTCAGTCACTCAACAGATATTAAATGCCTACTGCATACCAGGCCCTGTACAAGGTTGTACTGAAAGACCGTTGAAGATTTTTGAACTGGTCAGTTGCCTGGTAGCAGGGGTGCTGGGTCTTGAGTTAAAATCCTGTCTTTGCCTGGAGGCATCACGCTACCTGACTTCAAACTATACTACAAGGCTAAGTAACCAAAACAGCATGGTACTGGTACCAAAACAGAGATATAGACCAATGGAACACAACAGAGCCCTCAGAAATAATACGACACATCTACAACCATCTGATCTTTGAAAAACCTGACAGAAACAAGAAATGGGGAAAGGATTCCCTATTTAATAAATGGTGCTGGGAAAACTGGCTAGCCATACGTAGAAAGCTGAAACTGGATCCCTTCCTAACACCTTACAGAAAAATTAATTCAAGATGAATTAAAGACTTACATGTTAGATCTAAAACCATAAAAACCCTAGAAGAAAACCTAGGCAATACCATTCAGGACATAGGCATGAGCGAGGACTTCATGTCTAAAACACCAAAAGCAATGGCAACAAAAGCCAAAATTGACAAATGGGATCTAATTAAACTAAAGAGCTTCTGCACAGCAAAAGAAACTACCATCAGAGCGAACAGGCAACCTACAGAATGGGAGAAAATTTTTGCAATCTACTCATCTGACAAAGGGCTAATATCCAGAATCTACAAAGAACTCAAATAAATTTACAAGAAAAAATCAAACAACCCCATCAACAAGTGGGCAAAGGATATGAACAGACACTTCTCAAAAGAAGACATTTCTGCAGCCAACAGACACATGAAAAAATGCTCATCATCACTGGCCATCAGAGAAATGCAAATCAAAACCACAATGAGATACCATCTCACACCAGTTAGAATGGCGATCATTAAAAAGTCAGGAAAGAACAGGTGCTGGAGAGGATGTGGAGAAATAGGAACACTTTTACACTGTTGGTAGGACTATAAACTGGTTCAACCATTGTGAAAGACAGTGTGGCGATTCCTCAAGGATCTAGAACTAGAAATACCATTTGACCCAGCAATCCCATTACTGGGTATATACTGGGTGTATACCCAAAGGATTATAAATCATGCTGCTATAAAGATACATGCACACATATTGCGGCACTATTCACAATAGCAAAGAGTTGGAACCAACCCAAATGTCCATCAATGATAGACTGGATGAAGAAAATGTGGCACATATACACCATGGAATACTATGCAGCCATAAAAAAGGATGAGTTCATGTCCTTTGTAGGGACATGGATGAAGCTGGAAACCATCATTCTCAGCAAACTATCACAAGGACAAAAAACCAAACACCGCATGTTCTCACTCATAGGTGGGAATTGAACAATGAAAAAACTTGGACACAGGAAGGGGAACATCACACACCAGGGCCTGTCATGGGTTGTGGGGAGGAGAGAGGGATAGCATTGGGAGATATACCTAATGTAAATGACAAGTAAATGGGTGCAGCACACCAACATGGCGCATGTATACATATGTAACAAACCTGCACGTTGTGCACATGTACCCTAGAACTTAAAGTATAATAAAAAAATAATTTAAAATAAAAGAATGTGGCACGTATACACTATGGAATACTATGCAGCCATAAAAAAAGAATGAGTTCATGTCCTTTGTAGGGACATGGATGAAGCTGGAAACCATCATTCTCAGCAAACTATTGCAAGGACAGAAAACCAAACACCACATGTTCTTACTTACAGGTGGGAATTGAACAATGAGAACACCTGGACACAGGAAGGGGAACATCACACACTGGGGCCTGTCGTGGGGTCGGGGGAGGGAGGAGGGATAGCATTAGGAGATATACCTATGTAAATGACGAGTTAATGGGTGCGGCACACCAACATGACACATGTGTACATATGTAACAAACCTTCACGTTGTGTACATGTACCCTAGAACTTAAAGTATAGTAATAAAAAAAAAAGAAAAAAAGAAAAAAAATTCCTGTCTTTGCCACCCACTAATAAGAACTTGGGCAAGTCTCTTGGCCTTGATGGACCCGTTTTCTCCCTGTAAAGCATAGGGTTGGGCTGCTAAATCCTTCCCAGCTGAGACAGTCTGGGAGTGACATGAGAAGTGCTGTAACCAGAGTTTGTGTGTGTTGGGAAGCGGGGAAAAGAGAGGCCAGAGTCAGAGAGAGGTGGTGATGGCAAGAACTTCTGTGAGTCTGAGTGAAGCCTTTCATTTATTCATTCAACAAACATTTCATATTCAGTGCCAGCTACTGTGCTAAGCACTGGGAAAATAACAGTAACCAAAACAAAATTCGTGCCCTCAAGGCACTATCTGTAGGGGGTGGCAGAGGAGCTGGGAACATGGGAGATAGATCTAGAGATGTAGTGTGAAACTTATCCCATGGGATGACAGTTGGGACAGTGGAATTGTATGTACCAGGAAAGAGATAGCAAAACAGTATTGAGAGAGAACGAGTTCTGAGGAGACAGAACCTGGGAACATCCTGTGGAGAACCAATCAATGTTCTTCCACTCCTTGATAGAAAGCACGTTTCTTCATCAAGTCAATACAACAAACCTAACCCCAGAAATATGCTCTTGTGGCTAAGAAGTTAGGACACACCAAAGAGATAATGTCCATTTAGACATCCATTTCTCCTTGACTCTGTCACTTCTATGTGTGAAGCAGAATTAGACCAAAGCCACGTATGATTTTGTATAATAGCTGGTCTATTTGGTTTCCTCAGAAAGGTCTTTAATAAGTACCAGTGATACGTATAAAATACGTATGGGTGGCTTCCCAAGTGAACTGCCAGTCCCTCAAATCTTTTCCCAGACCAGCTGGCTCTTTTATTTTTTTTCCTTTTCCCCAAGTAATTGGAGCAGATCCAGAAACAGATTTGGAGAGCCTCAAGCTTTTCCTTTTTTACCCTTCAGTAATTACATATCACAGGTTGTCTTCCCTGTTAGAGTCTGAAGCTGAGCAATTAGTCTCCCATTGTCTTTGCAGGAAATGACATATCAGTGTGGCTTCTGGGGAGGGCAACTGTTGACCATCCTGGTTAAAATAATTTGGAAAGTGTTCAGCATTTCCTCCAGTTGATCGTTTAGACTGGCTGATTTAGAAAGCTGTTGGAAATGTGCAAATGTACCATGGTTATCAGGACTGGAAATACTATGGGGTCAGTTCCCTGAGCAAAACGAGTTTCTCAACTATGGCTTTGATCTCTGGACCTACTGCCTTGTCCCTCATATGATTGAGCCCAGGGCCTTGGCATTCTGTTCTTTTTATAATGCTTTGTTGGAGACTGATTAGTCAGGATGTTTTCCAGCTGCAGGTAATTGAAAACCCAAGTCAAGGAGTCCTAAACAAGAAGACATTTCTTGGAAATACAGAGATGCCACAGACTTCAACGCCAACCTAATGCAGTAACCTACACTCTGCTTCCCTGTGTTTGTTCTGTCTCTGGACCAGCTTTATCCTTATACTGAAACAAAATAGCTGTGGAAGTTCTAGGTGGCGCATTCCACACTACATTCAGAAGGAGGGAGCTTCTCCCAAAGGAGTGAGTAGAAGCTCCCAGAAAAACATTCTTCACATCTCATTGGCTTAAATTGGGCCACATGCTTATTCTTAAACCAATCACTGGCAGTAGGAATGGGTATCTCTTGGATCGATGCTTCTCAAACTTCAGTGTGCACACAGATCACCTGGGGAAACTTTCAAAATCAATTCTGATTCAGTTGGCTTGGGTGAGGCCTCAGCTGACAGCTCTTACAAGCTCCTGGTTGATGCGAATGTTGCAGGTCAGCACACTGCAAAACCTTGGACTGTCCCGCCCCCACTCCCAGCTGGGCGTGCTGCCATGTGCCCATGAGCACTGTGGGTGCAGAAATATGGGGGCTCTTTTGGGAAGAAGAAAGAGGGAATGACCACATGCAGATGAGAACTATATTAGAGATGCTTGTTTTCAGTGTGTAATTAGCATTTTAACTTTATACCGGGAGTCATACAATAGTCTGTGATATGTATTAAAAGCAGAATTGTTACGTGGGAGCACTCACGAAAATTTCATTCATTTATGGTGATGCAGGC
Source organism: Homo sapiens (assembly GCF_000001405.40). Taxonomy (NCBI): domain Eukaryota; kingdom Metazoa; phylum Chordata; class Mammalia; order Primates; family Hominidae; genus Homo; species Homo sapiens. The sequence goes on along the minus strand of NC_000006.12, from coordinate 111,783,543 downwards.
GTTGCAGCTCTTGAAACAAAAGATTAAACAGTCATGCCACCCGTTTTGTTATCATTCAGCTATTTTTATTGGTAATGAATACCATATATCTGGTGTGTCTCAAAAAGAACAAACTCAAATGAAATGGATTGAAATAGCCTTAAGTATAAAAAGAGTGTGCCAAATCCAGCCTTTGTTCTGTGAGTGGAAATCTCATCAGTCATGGTTATTGGGGAGGGAGAGTACACCCCCACTTGTCCTAAGAGTCACTTGTCATGATATTGGGTATGAAAAATGCTGCCAATGGTGAATTTCTGCCAAAGCAAATGGTCACAATGCCCTTATAAGTGGTTTTCAGTGGAGAAAGTCATTATGCTCTATTCGTTTGAAAAGGAAGAACTGTTCTGTTATTTTGTTGTGCTTGACAAAAGATACACAGGATTCCTGAGCTGCAGCTGTTCAGGAAAAAGGCTGATAAGATGGAGGGACCAGTGTCCACGCTGAGGCTGGACAATCACAGGCTCAGCGTGCTTAGCATGAAGTATGTGGACAAGCACTGAGTAGACCTTCCCAAGATAGTCACTGTGGTAGTTGCTGTCCTGGACCTCATGTGCAAAGACAACATCACCCAGGAGGGGACATGGAATTTCACTGCTCAGTCTATTTGTCCCACCTGCCTCAGAACCACCGGTTCACATCTGTGAGACTGATGGGAAGCTGGAGCTTGGTGTGGTCTCTTGTAGAGGCCAGAGCAACTGTACCTGGCCTCACCAGCATGGATCACCAAAGTGCCCATACTTAGGAAATCACAAGTTGTGTCTTGTCTATTCAAAGGACCTGAAAGGTTGAGAGAGTATCTGCTACTCTGGGCTAGCTGGGGAAAGCTGCTAGACTTGAAGCCCCAGGAAGGCAGGCATTATGCTTGTGTCACACAGGCGCCCTCTATATTGACAGAATGATTGAACAGCTAGTCTGTTCCCAGGTGATCTGTCAGTCAACAGCATGGACTAATCACTCACTCTCAAAAGAGAAGTATTAAACAAGACAACATTGTGTTGCCTAACTTCAGTAATTTATAGTCTAAATATAGAATGCTTAGGTGTCCCATCTACATGTTTAGGACCTCATAGGCTGCGAAGGAGCAATGAGATAATATTAATGATTACCTGAGCTCATGTAGGACAAGCAGATTGCACCATTACCCGTGGATGGACTCAGCAGTCCTGATGAGCGCCTCCCTGCTGTGCTGTGATAAGGCGAGGCATTATTAACTGTGGAAGGAGTTTTAAAATAGGGAAGAAGATAGGACCTTCCCTGACAACTTAAAAGGCTGACTTTAAAAGTAGTACATTTATTTAAAGTACCTATATCAAATAAAGTACTTTTAAAAAGAGAAAAATAAAGAGGCATAAGATAATACTGCTTTGGGAAAATCAAGGTGGAAAAGTCAATGAGAATGAAGCTAGGCCTGAAAGCTGGGTCCATGCATGTAATTCAGGGGGCCGATGAAGTTGGATGGGGAAAAACATGATCTCATCATTGTCTCTAACCCTTATCTGAAATCGTACATTTCCTAATATTATGAAAGTAGCATTAGCTATTTGTCCTTAATAGAAATTATGAATATTTTCATAGTTATAGATATTCTGAAGTATCATTTATGCCTAATAGTACTTCAAAATTACAGTATATTAGACTTGTTGGAAATTATTTAAGTATTGAAAGATGTTCATAACAATTTTGTCAAATATTTTGATAACTGTATAAGAGTATACTCTGTTTGACTCCTGTGCATTTCATGTATTAGTTTCAAGCATTTGTAAACATCATTCTGAGAAAGATGTCTTTAGACTGCCATAGCACAAAAGGTAAAGAGCCCCTGCCCTTGACAATGGCCAGGCCTCCTACCAGAGGAGGGATGGCCTGCCTAGAGGCTCAGAGGCCGGACAGGCCTCTGGGCGTTACAGCATTTGATAGGATAATGTCGAAAAGCTGGGGTGAGCTTGAGTGCCAGGCTAACATGACTCGACAGGTAAATTCGCAGGTCATAGGAAGTGGTGGAAGGTGCATCCGTTGAGGAAAGACAGGCTGTGTAGGTTGTGTTTAGAAAGGATTCCTTGTGCAGCCATGAGAGTTGGATGGGAAGGGAAGAAACTGGAGGCCAAGAGACCAGTGTATGCCAGGCATGATGCTGACCAGATGGAGTGTAACGATGAGAATAGGGAGAAGCAATGTGTTCCCAGCACCACTGTGAAATTCTTGCGGGGCTGGACTGGGCCAAGGTTTGCAGTGGAGGTGAAGAAGGCGGTGTTAGTTTACAGGCCCGAGGGACTGGGAGAATGATGATAACAGCTCAGGCTTACTGAGTGTTTACTGTGTGCCAGAGGCTGTTATAAGCCCTTCTATGTCGTGTATGTTCTTTAGTTGATATCATTTAATCCTCATAGCAACCCTATGAGGTCAGTACAGTAATCCCTATTTTACACATAATAAAGCCTAGAAAAGAAAGGTTAGGAAAACTGTCCAGGGTCTCACAGCTAGCTGGCAAGAAGGGAGGATATTACTGGAAAGAAAGAAAAGAGGAATTGGTTTGGGGGAATATGTTGTGAGTTCAACTGCAGATATTTTTCCATTGTTCTCTTGTCTTCAAATATTTCAAAGGGCTAAACATTCAGATATTTATAAGCATAGTTTCTGGTATATTTCATTGTCCAGTTTTAAAATTTTTTATTAGTGAATACTGAGATAATTTGTAAATTGGTTTCATCTTCCTGGGAAAAACAGAGGAAACTGGTAGGTGGAATTTAGTACATCGATGGGTGCCCGAAGCAGAGGAAGAGGTTGCAGTTTACAGAGAGAAACATAATATGTGTTCAATTATTTCTGTTTAATGATGTGGTTTTTCTTTTGTTGTGGTATTGTTTTTCAGGACCAGTCCTGCCTCTGTTGTAGAAGACATGTGGTGTATATAAAGTTTGTGATCGTTGGCGGACATTTTGGTAAGTGTTGCTGCATTTACTTCTAATGCCTCTTGCTGTAAAAGGGTGCTCACGAAGGGAAGCTGTTGCCTTGTTCTGTCCATCTTTTACTTCTGCACTAAACTCAGGCAGAATGGAGTTCTATAATTAAATGTGACATTGAATTGATGTTTTCTGACAGTGTGATACTTTTTCTTGTTATTGCTGATAGTATTAAGCAATATGGGGTTTTCTAAAACGTAATAAGTGTATATTTAGAAAAGTTTCCGGATGCCGGTTAAAGAATACCCTTGGCAGTTTATGTGCTAAGCCAGCCATATAATATAAGAGTAATAAACTTGCAGACCCAAAGAATAAAATAAATTCTCCAAAGCAGAGAGATCCGTGTGACCCATATATTAAAAGAAAGAGAAGCAGGCAGCTTAGGAAATGGAAAATTAAAGGAAGCTACAAGTCCAGCTTGCCTGGGAGCCAGCCCACAGACCAGCATAACAGTGGTCTTGGGAGACCAAGAACGTTCAATTCAGCAACCACCCAGACCTTGCTAGCAGGGAAAGAGGACAGTCTTTGGGATCAGGAGACCCGGGTTAAAATGTAAGTTCTATACCTACTGGTTGTTAGATAACCTCTCTGAGCCTGTTTCTTCTTCTGTAAAATGAGGCTTATCATGTTACCTACATCATAGGGTTGTTGTGAGAATAAAATGAGGTAGGTAGTGCTGGAGCATAGTAAGTGTTCAATAAAGCCAGTCATTCTTAGGAACAGAGCAGCCTTGTTTGGAGACTAGACATTTCCCATTGAAGTCAGGCTACCAAGAGGCATATTTATTTTCCAGCAGGAAGGCAGCTGGGGATGGGCCGGTTACATCCATTTGATGTTGCTAGAGCATCCCAGCTACTCACCACAACCCCTCCTCCAATATTCACTTCATAAGAACCTGTGGGAATCCCTGCAACATTTACCACCTTCTCCAACCCTGGTGACCCATTCTTAGACAAGCTTGGCTAAATAATTCCCTTCCTGCCATCCTCACAACCAGTGAGGTCACCTTGTTTGAGCTGTGTTCATTTTTGGAGTTAATGTCATTTTGAATCACATTTATGAGGAAAGAAGGGTGGGGGTAGATGATACCATTGGTTGGACTTCAGTTGCCATATTTAAACTTTCATTTCCAAACCTTTCTTTTGATTTTACGTTTTTGTCTATGCTTATTACGTAGCCTTCACAGGGATCCAATTGCTGGGCTGAAATTTTTGAGCTTTGACTGAAAGAATTTGGCTTTTGGGTGGGGCCTTTACCTGTGGTTGGGAAACTCAGCCGTGGCATTGCAGATGGGCCAGTGTTTAAGGTCAGATGTCTGTAGGTGACTGTGCTGCCATTTCATAGAATCAAAGAGAGGGACATGGCTTCAAGGGTTGTCTGGCCCAATCCCCTGCTAGCAAAAAAAAAAAAAAAAAAAAAAAAATGTCTCCTACTGATCCCTGACAAGGGAATTCAAATTCTTCCAGAGATGAGGAGCTTGCTGTTGCACAGGGTACCTTGGTTCAATTAAAAGGACAGTTAGGGCCTACAGGGAAACCCTTGTGAGGAGGGGGTATATAGTTGTTCTGTATCTTAGTGCTGGTGGTATTTATGCAGTTGTATGCTTTGGTGAAAACTCACAGAACTGTATAATAGAAAGGGTGAGTTCTCTTGAATGTTAATTAGACCTGAATTTTAAAAATGGAAAGAAAAAAAACCCCAGCATTTAAAAATTGAACAATTAGCCCAACTTGTTAAAAAGAAAGTAAGGAGGCTGGGTGCGGTGACTCACGCCTGCAATCCCAGCACTTTAGGAGGCTGAGGCGGGCAGCTCACAGGGTCAGGAGATCGAGACCATCCTGGCCAACATGATAAAACCCCATCTCTACTAAAAATAGGAACCCAGGAGGCAGAGGTTGCAGTAAGCCAAGACTACGCCACTTCACTCCAGCCTGGGTGACACAGCGAGACGCCATCTAAAAAAAAAACAAAAACAAAAGAAAGAAAGAAAAAAGAAAAAAAGAAAGTGAGGAATACAAAGGAGAGAGGGAGGAGGGAGGAAAGAAAAGCAATCTAGTCCTTATATTGAACTATTAATACAGTATATGTGCTCCATGGGACAGGGACTTGGTCTTGTTCCTCCCTGGAGTCTTGGTGCCTGGATAGTGCCTGTCACATAGAAGGCATAAATGTGTTAAGTATTTATTGAATCACCTATTGCTCTTAGTCACCTTCGAAGTAAGTCCACTCACTTTCTAACACTCCAGCCCACCAAATGTTTGAAGACACTGTCCTTCCTCATTCATCTTTTCTTCTCTGGGTGAATTTACCATCTCCCGGGCCTGGCCTCTTTGTCCTCTGATGCTATTTTCATATCCCTCCCCATCTGGCAGAGCTCCTTGAGGAGGCCTCTACTTCCCCACACCTCTCCTGTGCACCTAGGCCAGCATTAGACACGCTGCCCCACAGGTCTGGCCCACGAGGAGCACAGAGGGTGCATTGCTTCTGTGGATGCTGTTAATAGACACCCAATCCTCTTCCTTCACAATCAGTATGAAGTGTCTGGTCATGGATCATAAAGGATTTATTTAGTGCAGTCTTCTAAGAAAGGAGCTCCTAAAAGTAGGGAGGGTGGCAGTGCAAGAAAGAGCCCAGGCGCAGCTCATCCTCTTACAGGCCTTGTCTGAAATGAAGCCAGGTCCTGGCACCCTCAGTCTGAGGCAGCATGGTGCTGTTGATGGATCTTTAGAGGCAGTGCTGTGTCACAGATTCCGATTTTTCATTACAAGTCATAGGAAGTTTGAAATTCTTCAAACTAAACTTGTGGGTGCCTTGAAAAGCCTAGGTTTCTTTTTTCTGGCCATGCCAAGGAATGATATATAAACACGTAAATACATAGAGCAGTGGTTTTCAACTGGGGTTAGTTTTGCCCTCCCAGAGGACATTTGGTAATATCTGAAGCCATTTTGGGTTGTCACAGTTAGGGGAGGGAGGAGGGTGTGTGCTAGTGGCATCTAGTGGGTGGAAGCCAGAGATGCTGCCAAATGTCTTGAAATATATCGTAGATCAGTAACGCACACTCGTGCACACATGCAGAATAATCGGGCCCGAAATCTCAGTAATACCAAGCTGAGAAACTCTGAGATTATAAGTAATTTTTAAAGTGTAAATATTTATAAAGTACTTATTATTTTGAAGGTTTAAAAATGGAAATATCTTAACATTTGATTTATGTAAATATACAGCTAAAAAACTTAAATTCGTTCAGAAAATCATCAGAGTGGAAAGGCTGCTAAGAGGCTATCCCTTCTATTACCCCTAACTCCAAGCGAAAAATGACCTAAATGAATTCAGACAGACAGATGGGCCTCTGACGGCTTATACAGAATGACGGTCAACTAAAGATAAAAACAAGACTCACACAACATGATCCCAGCATTTACACAAAGAGATTGTCTCGTATTTTAAATTTTAACCCCAGCTTCTTCAGATGTGTTAGTCATTTGATGACCTCTAAGATTAAACGGTATTTCAGTCTGGGCTAGTCTTTCTTTTTGAATCAAGGCGGTTCTGGTGTGATGAAAATGTGCTTAGGGAGGAGAGAGATCTCATTACAGATGATTGAGATTGAGTATTTTGGTACACAGAGCTGTTTATTTGCATCAGTTTGCTAGTGACACCACAATCTGGTTTACATGTGAGTCGCTGAGAGCTTTTGTAGCCTAATATGGCTACATTTGCTGAAGCAGGGAGATTAAAGCAACATATGTCAATTTATGATATAGGACAACCCACTGCAAAAGACTTTACCTAATTATAGGGCCTATTTTGGGAGGGTAATGGTGCTTTTTGTGAAGTATATTTTGGGATGCACTCACCCGGCTTCTAGGCCAGTAATATCTTCCCAGAAAGGGTGTGGTGTGTGCTTGTGGACATAAATATTTTCTTACCAAAAGCTGTGGTGTAATATTCTCTCAACTTTACTACCCTTCATTTTTCTTTTTCTGATAGTCTTTTCTTTTGCAAGAATGCTATGAAAATGTATTCTGGAAAGCCAGAGAAATGGAAGATAAAAGATCTCATTTCAGATGGCCAAGTCCAGAGATAACAGAGATTTTATCAGTCTACTGTTTTTAAGATGAATGGGATTTGGAGGCATTCAGCAACACTGACTAATAAACAGAGTTGAGGGAGGTGATAAAAACACCGTGTTGGCACTAGATATTTTTATGTAAGTATCTGTGGGAAAACTATCCATTTGCAACCCCTTGTGTCCCAGCCAGCACTGCCCCTGCTCCACTCCAACCCCTGGGTGATCCTCAGGGGCCATTTCCATGCCTTTGCTGTTGGCTTGTGACCCAGGGTAGGTATCTGCTTTTACTTTTGTTCTTTAAGACTGTGCCTTTCACCCACTCTACCTATTAACTTCTCTGTTAATACCTGAGACTTTTGGCCTTCAAGGAGAGGTCAGAACTTGCTGTCTGGTCTGCAAAATAAAATTAGCTTCTTATTTACACAATGTGTGTACAGGGGGAGGAGAAGCTGAGATGAAGAGTGAAAATGGACAATTTTGTAACCCAAAATCCAACCAGACCTAGGGGCTGGAGAAATGCTTTTACCTAAATTCTGAGTCATGAAGGCCATAACATGAGAGCAAGAATATCCCATGGGGAGAGTTAAAGGCGGAGAATCCCACCAGAGAGCCCTCTGGAGAGGTGTCCCTGAGACTCCCTGAGCAGCCTGTGGGCCCCTTCCTCAGAACTGGCCTAAGAGCTCATTAAACGCACAGATCCTGGCCTACCCCAGACTGGTAGAATCAGACAGAATCCCTGTGGTGGGTGTGTGACTTTATTCTTAACAGCCTCTCCAGGCGGTGCTTATGCACACGAAATTGTGAGAATCCCTGTTCCAGTCTCCATTCTCAGCTTTTCTTCAGGGCTTACAGTTCCATTTGAGGTTGTATGCAGCAGTCTGGCCCCGCCTTTAAGACTGATTCCCTTCCATAAGCGTCACTTACATATTTAAAGAACAGATCCCTAAAGCACATCATTTTGAAAATCAGCCCTGTGCATAGGAGGGTAGGGTGTCAACTTCTGTGTTACTGTGTAACCTTGGTTCTTAAAGTAATTTCCACAGTCATTGTATCACTTGCTCACTAAGAAAAGTATCATTTTCGTTCCAGGTTAGTTCTGGCAACATTCTAAACCAGATTCCTTGAAGTTGCTTTGCGGGAGGCCATCCTGCTCCTCTGCTACAATCACCCAAGTATTTGCCATCTGCTTTCACTCTAAAATTCACACTATGCTGTAGTTTTTATCTGTAGCAACACTTATAAACCAAAATTTCCCACTTATTAAGGGGAACATTTTCAGAACAAGTAGCTGTCACATATTCTAGTGCATGACTAGAGAGATAAGACTGTAATAGTTCCCACCTGGGATCCAGGTGGTTGGTCCCACCCCACAGCCTTTCCTCTGATGGCAGGCTGCTTGTGCAGATGCATATTAGGGTATCGTAGGCATAGCTCATTTAAGTTTGTAAACAGCTAGCTGGGTGCAGTGGCGCATACCTGTAATCCCAGCACTTTGGGAGGCTAAGGCAGGTGGGTCACTTGAGGTCAGGAGTTCGAGTCCAGCCTGGCCAACATGGCGAAACCCCATCTCTACTAAAAATGCAAAAGTTAGCCGGATGTGGTGGCACACGCCTATAATTCCAGCTACTCAGGAGGCTGAGGCAGGAGAGTCACTTGAACCTGGGAGGTGGAGGTTGCAGTGAGGCGAGATCACGTCACTGCACTCCAGCCTGGGTGACAGAGTGAGACTGCATCTCAAAAATTAAGGGGACTCCATCCCCTTAATAAGTAGGGGGGGAAAAAGCTGCAGCACATTTGATCTTCCCAAACCACTTCCTAGGCAGTGCAATGTTATCACCAGTTGGAGGCTCAGATAATTTAGCTGATGTCTAAGGCAGGAGGCATTTGGGAGTGTGTGGGGGGGATGGGGAGGGGTTTGTTGTTGTCCTCACAAAGACTGGGAGGTGCCATTGGCACATGATGCAAGAGAAAGTGGGGCAGGGATGGTAAATGTCCTGCAGTGCCTTGAACAGTCCTGCCCAGTGAAGAGCTGTCCCTAACACAGTGTTCATAGCACCCCTATGGAGAAACACTGCTCTGAGGTTGTACTAGAATGCAGTAGAGCCAGGTGCACACCCGCACTATCTGAATCCAGATCCTTTATAGCCCTCTCTGTGTTAAAGGCATCACAGAATTAATTTCCACTTCATTGGGAGCTCTCAGTCCCTGAAAGTTGAATCCAGAGTGGCTATTCTGCAGGTCATGCGATTGCTGCCCCAGGCATCAGAACTCAGGCATGGCCCACTCCATATGGAAACAGGCTCTCTAAAACCCCAGTGGCCTGGCTAGCCAGCATGTTATATTGTACCTGTCCTATCTCTATCAGTGTCCAGTGCAGGTGTGAGAGAGAGTACTGTCTTTGGAAAAGATGAGAGCCCAGTAGGATGCTCGGCCCACAGCCTCGCATCCACCTGACTTAAAAACCATCGTGATAGCAAATTGGGTGTTGATTTCAGAAGTTTTTGATTTGTTATCTTAAACGTCATACCTATCTGGTGAACCCTTACAGGAGCTGTTGGAGTTTTGTTTAAAGTTTAGTTTTGATGTCAGCCAGTAAGGGAGCTGAGACAGTGGCTACATCAGTTTGATGAGCACACAATGAAATTTATTAAATTGGTAAAAATAAAACCATATTGAATGAAAAGGAACCCAGGGCAACTGACCTGAATATAGATGTTGAAGGGATTCTAAAAGAGGGAGAGAAGGAGTAGTGATATTATCTCATCTTTTTTTCCTTTCCTGTTTTGTATTTCTCCCTCTCCCTCTCCTTTTCCCTCTTCCCCTCTCCCTCCCCCTCCCCCTCTCCTTTCCCCCTCTCTCCCTCCCCCTCTCTCCCTTTCCCTTTCCCTCCCCCTCCCCCTCTCCCTCTCCCTCCTCTGCGTCTCCCTCTCCCTCTCCCTCTCCCCCTCTCTCTCACCCGCTCTCCCTCCCCCGCTCTCCCTCTCCCTCTCCCTCTCGTTTTCCCTTTCCCACTCTCTCCCTCTCCCTCTCTCCCTTTCCCTCTCCCTCTCCCGCTCACTCTACCCCCTCCCTCCCTCCCTCCCCCTCCCCCCCTCCTCCTCTGCCTCTCCCTCTCCCTTTCCCTCTCCCTCTCCCTTTCCCTCTCCCTCCCCCTCCCCTCTTTCCCTCCCTCCCTCTCTTTCTCTCCCAGTTTCTTTCCCAACTTTTTATTTTGGAAAATTTCAAACTTGCTGGTTGGGAGAATTATAAAACAAATTTCAAACTTGCTGGTTGGGAGAATTGTAAAACAAACACTTTATGTCCTCTGCCTAAATTCACCATTTGTTCTACATTTGCAGCATTTGCTTTATTCCCTCTTCTAATTATATATATAAATTATACATATTATATAAAATTTTGCTGAACCATTTAAAAGTACCAAACATCTTGACACTTTACCTCTAAATATTTCACCACCCGTCCCCTAAGAATAAGGACATTCTTTTATATAACCATACTATAGTACTATTTCCACATCTTAAAAATTTAATAATAATTTTATATTATCTAATATTCAATTCATATTCAAATTTCAACAATACAGTCCCAAATAATATTTTATAACTTACCTCCCCGCCCCCACCCCAAAATCTGTAACTGATCAAATACACTTGATGAATTTGGTTGATAACTTTTCCTTCATTCATTATATAACTTTAAACAATGACTTTTTGAAAAGTTCAAGTTCGCTGTGCTATACAGTGCCTTACACTCTGGGCTTGTCTGCTTCTTCACAGCATTGTTTAGCATGCTCTTCTCTTCCTAAAATTGGTTAGATCTAGAGGCTTGTTATTAAGTGGAGGTTAAACATCTTTTGCCAAGAATACTTTATAAATGATGTCATGCACCTGATATTATATCACATCAGGGAGCAGAAGAAGTCACCTTGTTCCACCATCCTCAGTGCTAGGTTTCATCTCTTGGGTAAGATGGTAACCAGACCTAACCAATGTCAAGGTGCACCTTGAGTTAATAAATCATCTGTAGTCTGATACATGGGTCATTTGTGAACATCCTGCTCCAGCCTTCCTTTCATCCAGTGGCTTGAGTAACCATGGATAATCCTCACCTGATTCAGTTATTACTTTGGAATATTGTCTGATATTTTTTACTCTTTCCTTTCTCTTCCTGAATTATTCGTAGTGTATGACCTGGGCCTTCATATTTTTGCAGTGATGGTTTTCTAGCCATTTCCTTGATGGTCACCTGGATTTTGCTGTGATTAGGCTAAACATTTTTTTTTCTTGCCCTTGGGTTAAGAAGGAATAACTTTAGCAAAGCATTTACTACATGCTAGGTACCACACAGGCTCCTCATGTGTAGAACATTTTTCACTTTCTTCCCACATTACAGCTTAGACTAGTGAAGTGACTTGCCCAAGGTCACCCAGACTCTATGGGAGAGTAAGATCAAGCCATATCTGTCAGGTTTAGAGCTAGGATTTTTCAACAATTCCATGTTCCCTCTCATCCCTTCTGGCCATGCCCCCCATCCCTGCCCCCACTACTACAGTTCTTGCCTCAGGCCACAAGTGCCTGCCTGACTGAGTAGGTCCCTAAACAAGGAAAGTCAGCCAGGAGACTGCAGCTGGAGAAGCACAAGCTATGCACCTCTAAAGGGCAGGTACTGCTGGACCTCAGACGAGCCATGCCTGACTGGAAACCGGGATCTTTATGTTAACCATTCCGACTTTTCAATGGCGGTGACTAATTCAGATACACGGAACTCACCAGCCCAGTTGCCAGTTTTCAGCACCAGCATTACTGCTGTCTGAGGCAGCCTTGGGTAGGCCAAGGCTTTGTTTATAAATGGAATTTCATTGTCATTTGTTTGTATGTTTGTTTTTAACATCCTCTTTTACACAGAAATTAATATGCTTGGGAAGTGATAGTGTTTTGATTTGGGGGATGTTTGATTTTTTGAAGAGGGGGAAAGTTGGGTTTCATAGAAGTGTTATTTAACTGGATTACTTAATAGGTTAAGGTGTTATTATAAAATCTTGGATTTTTTAATTGGTAGGTTAACATTACAATAGTAGGTATTTCATATGTAAGTTTAAAGGAAAACAAATACATTTCCTTCTACATATCATCTGTAGGATTTTGCTGTTTTGAATTTTTCTGACTCCTTAAGAAGGGTGTGACATCTGTTGTTCCCATCTTGCACTCTTTGTTCTTTGTGTCTTTAACTGTGTTAACATGTCACAGGAACTCTGTCAGCTCAGTCCCTGAGAGGGACTGAAGCAGAACTAACAGATAAATAGCAGTGACTCTCCAGATGGGTCCAGGCAGAGGCTAAAGATCTCTGTTGGTCATTCTACTTGTTTTTACCAGAATTATTCTTGAGTTTGGAGTGACCGGGAATGGTGCAGGTAAAGAGCTTCTCTAGACTTACTTCATCATGCAAGAATTTGGTCCTGCCTCTCATTTTACACTTTAACCGCCTGAAGCACAGAGAGGTTGAGGAGGACCCAGGTAAACCTTGCTATGGTTTGTTCCCACCAAATCTCATGCTGAAATTTGATCCCCACTGTGGCGGTGTTGGGAGGTATTTGGGTCATGGGCAGCTGGATGCCATTCTTACGATAGAGAGTTCTCATGCTCCCAATTCTGGATTAGATCTCGAGGGAATGGTTAGGGTTCTTCCAAAGTGAGGACACCCCTCCTAGGTTTGGCGTCTTCACACATATCTGCCATGTTTTGACCCAGCACATGGCCCTCCTGAGAAGCTGAGCAGATGCCAGCACTATGCTACTTGAACTTGCCAGCCTGCAGAATGATGAGCTAAATAAACCTCTCATCTTTATGAATTACCCAGTCACAGATATATAAGAACACAAAATAAACTAGGACAGACCTGATTAGCTTGGGTCTCTTGTGATTGTTCTTCATACTCCCTAAGCTAAAGTTTTCAGTCTACAAGCAGTCACCATAATGCTTTACCCTGACCTGTCACCTTGTCACCCACAATGTTTCTTCCCATCTGAACCACCCCAGCTTCCCACCATCAGCCACATTTAACAAGTGAAGAAGTAAAGGTCTGAATCAGCACTGTCCAATAGAAACCAAAGTCAAGCAGCATGTACAATTTAAAGCTATCTAGAAGCCAGTTTAGAAGAAAGTAGAATGAAATGAGTAAAATTAAACTTTACATTTTATTTAACCCAATATATGTCCAAAATATTATCATTTACCATACAGTCAGTATGTTAAATTATTGAGATATTTTTGTACTAAGTCTTTGAAACTTCATATGTAGTTTACATTTACAGCGTATCTCAATTTGTACAAGCCACTTGAAATGTGCCCAGTGTGGCTACTGGCTATGGTGTTGGGCAGCACAGCAGTACAGAAGACATAGTCCAAGGTCACACCCAGCTATGTTCTTTAATTTAAATCTCAAGAGAAACTTGATCTGCTTTTTTGCCCTCCCCCCATCTAAAACCACATATTCCTGTCCTCTTTGTGCCATTCTCCCCCTCTCCAGCTAACTCTAATTACAGAGAGATGCTTGGTTTGGTCATAACTGCTAGCTCAGCAGTTTTCTACCAGCCCTGGCAGCTGGTGAGACCAACATACACTGCCTGTAAATGATAGTGTAAAGCATACTTTTAAACTTCTCCACAGCAGAGTTTCCATAATTTTCTTTCTCTTAGAAGTAATTCATTGGCATTTTTCAAAGCCAGGGTGTGTGTGTTTTTTTTTAATTCATTCTTTCTTAAAGTCCCATCTTAATCAATGGATTCATAAAATATTTACTAGCTAGTAATCTCCCCAGGACCACAGCAGAACAAGCAGGCCTTGTGTCTGTTTTTTATACCAGTTATACCTCTGTTTTGATTAACAGTGGTTAGGTTTCTTTTTTCCAACTAGTCAAATAGTCTCCCAATATGTCAGTCCCATTTTGAGTATTACTCACAATGAAATATCAGTAAAGGTTAGATTCCATTTCCACTAAATGTCAAGTCTCTGACCACTGACCCCACTACTTGAATTATTAGATTATAATCACAATCTCAGGGGAGAAAATGACAAAAGAATGGCGACAGACTCCTGGAGTTTGTTGTGATAGACTTTACTAAAATACAAACCCTTAGCTGTAAGAATTGAAATTCAAATAGGGAAAAGATTGTCCCATATTACTAATTAGAGGCCAGAACCCCACATCTTCCAACATTCTCAGTTAAGTGAAGGCTAGAGGAGATCATGTTTTTTGATATCTTTCAGTAACTGAAGGATGGCACTGCAAAGCCAGCCCTCTTGTAATACAAATGAATTTTCTTACATTCCCTTCAGTGCTGTATCCTTTGGATTTTGACTTGATGTCAACCTCACTATTCACAGATCCCCTAAAATCCACCATTTAAAAAACTTCAGGTGTGGGGTTGCATTTGGAATTAGAACAGTGTTGTTGTGAGTGGCTTGGTTTCTTCTCTTTCCCCACCATTTCCCTAGAGTAATACACACTTAGAGCCCCCAAATCACAATCCTTTTATCCCATGCTGATTCAAAGCCTTTTCATTTCTTTAAGTGGATATCTCATGTTCATTTCAAAATGTCATTTAGCAGCTGTATTTCTGCTAAATAACCAGAAATTATAGTTGACTCCAGCCAAGTGGCTGAGTACCTAGATTTTGTTTCCAAGTATGGTGCTGAGCAGAAATGTTTTGGTTTCATCCTCAATATTAATAGTTGACTGAGAGTGATGGATGGGCCTGGGGATGAGAAAAGGAAAGGAAATATAAAATATAGTGGCAGAGCATCATCTGCTTCAGGGACTCTTGACCTGGGGTTTTTACCAGAATTACCTGAGATGATATTAAAAATCCAGGTTCCCAGGCCCCACTGTCCCTCCATTCATTCGGAGTCCCGGAGAACAGGGCCCTGGCAAGTGTGTAGGAACCACCTGCTCTTACTCAATTGTATCCACTTATCAATACTTAGGGAGAATTTTACTGTATACAAATTACACCTCAATAAGCTTGTCCTGAAATCTGTTTGTACACATGCATATAAATTTTTGAAAGTTTTGACTTTCCCTACCATGAGGAGTATATTGACTGTCAAACGTTCTGGAGTCTGAAGACAAACTCACAGTTGAAACAATCATTCATTCACTCAGTAAACATGTAAGGAACAGTGCTGGGCATTGTTCCTAGTCTGGGAAAACAGAGATACATCCAGACACAGCATATACCTCGAAGGAGTTTGTTTAATGGATAAGAACCATATCCAACAATTATGCCACAGTGTGAAAAGTATATCTATAGAGCAAAAAGGGAGGAATCCCCAACAACCACATACACGCATGTGTGCACACACACATACATGCACATATTCCCACTTCCACCCCCCTGCTTTTTGAAGGTAGAAGAGATAGGCTGTGTTGTGAAAATTTTATAGAAAAGCCACAGCACGTGATTCCTGAGGTGTGAGTAGGCAAGGAAGTGAAAAGTGTGCTGCCTGTTTTTCAAAGGAGTAGCTCTCAGAATTTGATTCTAACGTCAAAAAAAAGTTTTTACACCCTCATTAGTTTTAAGGGGATTTTAACAACCCCTGATGTGATTCAGTTTGCTTATCCTGATCTATCTAGTCCCAGCACAGGTCTCAGTGCTGGCACACAGTAGGTGCCAGAATAGAAGTGATGCTTTTAGCAGTTTTGTCTCTCTTCTAACAAACCATTAGCCACAATTGTATCTTAGAGTACACACGTAATTTTCAAGATAGCACCTAAGGGCCAGGCAGGGTGACCCATGCCTGTAATCCCAGCACTTTGGGAGGCCAAGGTGGGTGGATCACAAGGTCAGGAGATCGAGACCATCCTGGCTGACATGGTGAAACCCCATCTCTACTAAAAATACAAAAAATTAGCTGGGTGTGGTGGTGCATGCCTGTAGTCCCAGCTACTCGGAGGCTGAGACAGGAGAATCACTTGAACCCGGGAGGCAGAGGTTGCAGTGAGCTGAGATTGCGCCACTGCACTCCAGCCTGGGCAACAGAGCGAGACTTCATCTAAAAGAAAAATAAAAAAATAGTGCCCAAGTTATCTTTGTAAGTATTGCTTCCAAAATACCAAAAATCTTTGCCCTTGAAGGAGAGCACATTTAAGAAAATGTGAATTATTCTACTGGCATGGTATGTTTTGATTTTTATATATTAAGGGAATTAACTCTTTCTTACCTGATTTTTACTCTTGTTTTTCAATATACCTGAAGTTTTAGAAGAGCAGCTATGTCAAAAGATCAAATGATCATAGCATGACTTACTTTGTCATTTAAAGGTAGACACAGAAAACAGCATTGTATTTTCCTGGATACTGGGTGATCTTGTTGGATTTGGGGAGCAGAGGTTATTTGAGAGCAGCTGTTTATATTGCATTAAAAATATAGTCGATGTTGGGGTGGCTGCTTACCTAGGACAACTATATCCCCTATATATTTTTGCAGCTTTATGTGTAAATTATGATCATTGGTTACTTTGATATTGTAGGACACAATAGGAGAATTCCCAACTTGACCCTTTGACTGTGTTGTGATAGGAAAAGACATTATATGATTTGGCTGTGTCATCACCCAGATCTCATCTTGAATTGTAGTTTCCATAATCCCCACATGTCATGGGAGGGACCCGGTGGGAAGTAATTGAATCTTAGGGGCAGTTACCCCCGTGCTGCTGTTTTCGTGATAGTAAGTGAGTTCTCACGAGATTTGATGGTTTTATAAGGGGCTTTTCCCTCTTTGCTTGGCAATTCTCCTTCCTGCCATCACGTGAGGAAGGATGTGATTGCTTCCCCTTCTGCCATGATTGTAAGTTTCCTGAGGCCTTCCCAGCCATGCTTAACTGTGAGTCAATTTAACCTCTGTCCTTCACAAATTATCCAGTCTCATGTATGTCTTTATTAGCAGTGTGAGAATGGACTAATATAGACAGCAAGAGCTGGTTTACATATGGCTTTGTTTAGAAGGCTGAATGATATTTCTAGAGGTGCCCTGTGCATTGGAAATTTTTTGTGGTTAATCTGCCTGCTTTCCAACCCTAAAAGCAATGTACATTCCAGGCTCTGTTAAGATAGCCATTCTGACTGGGAGGAAAATAGATGATGGTGTGGGAGGTGAGCTTGAGGTTAAATGGCAGGAAGGGCAGGGCATTAACTTTGCTACTGGGCATGTGCTTGCATCTGAGCTCCATTGCTGACCAGCTGTGGGGTCTTGGGCAAGTGACCACCCTGCTGTGACTCAACTTTCTCATGTCCAAAATGGTATTGTTTTGAGGATTAAAAGAGAAGAAGTGTGGTGCTGACATGATGCCTGACACTCATAAGTGCTTACTCTGTGTCATGTCTCTTCACTTTTCCCTTTTTACACATATATCAATCTTGTCATTCTCTTGTTTCAGAACTTCTCAAGGCTCCTGTTATTCCCCCAAGAAAGGCCTAAACACCTTAACCTGGCATCTGAGGCCTTTTATGATCTGTCTGTCCAACCCACCTCTTTAACACATCTAACTCTTTCACTTCAAATGTGATCCTGTAGCAAAACCAAACCATCTCTGTGCCCTTGGAGGGCTTTGAACACTCATTTTCTAACCTCTTGGGATGCCTTCCTGCTGTCGCTTAGAGTCTAAGTCTAATCTGCTGCAAGGATCTTTTTTTTTTTTTTTTAATTTCTAGTCAGTCTCTGCTTATCCAGCAAGGCTCATCTTAAGTGTCACTTCTTCCTAGTCCATCAGGCTAGAAAATTCACCTCTGTGTCCAGTACTGTGTCTTTTTCATCATAGGTGCTTAAAAATAACTGAAGTGTTATGAATAAGTCTTAGAACATATTCATAGATAACACACGCCAGAGAAATAGGTAAAGGTTCCTTCCAGGTGGGCATTTATGTCAGGGGAAAGGCCTGGGTGGCTTCAACAACAGAATCATATTTTCTCATAGTCTGGAGACTGAAAGTCCAAGTTCATGGTGCAGGCAGGGCCAGGGTCTGGTGAGCCTCCCTCCTCGTCTTGCAGATGGCCACTGTCTCTGGTGTCCCCACATGGCCTTTTTCTCTCTGCAAGTTCCCCTGCTGTCTCTTCCCCTTCCTATAAGAAGACCAGCCCTATTGGATCAGGGCCCTACCTCTTTGAACTTATTTTTCATCAACCTCCTTTAAGGCCCCCTTCTCCAAATACAGTTACATTGGGGGTTAGGGCTTCAACACATGCATTTGAGGGGACACAATTCAGTCCATCACACATAGGTATAAAAATTCTTCTGATCCTCTGAGAGTGTGTGTGCTCATGTGTGCACACACCCTGTGTGCAGGTCTCCTCTGTTACAAGCATTCGTTCCTGGCCTCATTCAGGAAACCCACAGGATAGCAAATGGCCTTGCTCCCTTGCGGTGGCCCAGCTTGGCCTGCCTACTCTAGCTGCCTCCGCATGATCCCAGCCCACAAAGACGCTGCTTCGGCCCCACCGAGAGGGCTCCAGACACATATTTTCTCACCCAGCGGTTCCATCAGAGCACCCTCCTGCCTCCAGCTGCCAGCAAAGGGGAACAAGAGAGAATGAGCCACAGCAGGGAAGGGAAGGAATTCAGGAACTAGAACAGGAGGGTGACATTTTGTTTTTTAAAAGAGCATCTTTCCTTTTACTTCTGTTTAACATTGTCCATGGGGTTTTTTTTCTTCCACCTTTCTCCAGATTCCCAATTCTGAAAGCACTAAAGGAACCCCTTAGCTCTACGAGTTAAGACAGTTGATAAGTGACGTGGGAGAATGCACTCTAATTAGGTCCTTGGTTAACCTACCCCTGACTTAACAGAGGGAGGCTGTTTGGTTACAAATAGTTCTTATTCTACTAAATCAGAGGCTTCTCACGCTGTGTCATCTGCCTGCAAATTAGCTAGAGGCACAAGCTTTGCATTATGCAAAGTACTTATTCTCACAATTAATATGCTGGAAAGTGTGGTTTCACACTTTTCTGCCGGCACAGGAGTTCTCACTCAGGAGTGAACCAGATCACCTGGGGAGCTTTTACAAAATACCCAAGGCTTGTCCTTCCTCCTCCCCATGCTGCCCCACAGCCGTGAGAGTGAGATGTGGGGCCCCCAACCCTGCACCAGTAACCCCAGTATCACTACTTCTTATTACTTCCTCAGAGGTTTCTTATTAAATATTTCAAATCGCTTTTTTCTTTTTTCTTTCTTTCTTTTTTTTTCTTTTCTTTTTTTTTTTTTTTTGCTTGACAAAATCCAGTGACCAATTTTCTTTTTTAACATTTTATTCATTTTTTTTTATGGAAAATTTCAAATGTATAGAAAGTAAACAGTGTAGCCTACTGGACTCCCTGCAACCTCACCCAGCTCCAACAGTGATCATCAACATTCTGCCATTCTTGCTTCACCTATAGCTGGATAATTGTTGTCATTATTTTTGACCAATTCAATTTTGTTTCATAGATAGCATAGCCTGAGCGCTGAAAATTGGTTATGTGTTCCTACTGCATATTGAATTGACTGTGTGCAAGGCACTTCCCACACCTTATTGCATTTAATCTGCACAGCACCCATAGGCATTGTTACCCACATTTTATAACAATGGAAACTGAAGCTCTAAGAAATTACACACCTGCCCAAAGTCTCCCAGCTAGTAAGTGCTCAAGCAAGCATTCACACTCATGTTTGAAAAGCATGCTTTTCCCCCTAAGCTACACTTCAGAAAAATAAAATGCATGAAAAAATGTATAGTTAAAAGTTTTGTAGCATGAATAGATGCATAGCTATTTGATAAAGCACGTATGTTATAATATTAATGTTTAAAGCTGGGTGGTAAGTATATGGATATTCAGTGTAAAATTATGAAAACTATGTTTGAAATTGTTCACAATAAAATGTTGGAAGGTTTCCAACAAAAGCAAACTTTGTCTTAACTCTCAAGCAGTGGACAAGACAAACAAGCTATTTTCAGATACCTATCCTGTTGATATCCGCTCCAAAGAGAGAGCTTTGAGACTTGGTTGAATTTTGACCTTAAAAATAGTAAACCTTAAAAATAGTAAAGTGTAAGCCAAAAAGTATCTGAGACAGGTTTCAATCAATTTAGAAGTTTATTTTGCCAAGGTTAAGGAACATGACCCATGACATAGCTTCAGGGGGTCCTGAGGAACAGGTACCCAGGGTGGCTGGGTTACAGCTTGATTTTATACATTTTATAGAAACAGAAGTTACAAAGACAGAAACCCACACATGTAAGGTATACATTGGTTTGGCTAGCAAGGCTGGACATCTCGAAGGCAGTGTGTGTCCAGGAGGTGAAGGAGGGGGTGACTTCTAGGTCATAGGTAGATTTAAATATTTCCAGATTGACAATCGGTTCAAAGAATTAAGCTTTGCCTGAAGAGTTGAAATCAGTTGAGGTAAGTGGGGTCAGGGGGCCTGAAAGATAAAGATTCTTGTCATGTGGATGAAACCTCCAAGAAGAAGGCTTTGGAGAGCATAAATGTAAATGTCTCTTATCAAAGGAGTCAGAGTCACAGAAGAGACCTAGTAAGGGAAGGAGATTCTCACCCGTGTCCAGCCATTTGAATGCGAGGACTTTTTTAGTTACCTGTGGTGGCAGGTGGCAGATATCACAAAAATTATGCAAGGACTTTTTTTTTTTTTAAGCTCATCACCTATCATTAGTATATTTTATGTGTGGCCCAAGGCAGTTCTTCCAGTGTGGCCCAGGGAAGACAAAAGGTTGGACACCCCTGCATGCAGACTTCCCCCACAAGAGACACAGCTTTGCAGGGCCATTTCAAAATACATCAGGGAAATATATGTTAGGGTAAAATACTTTGATTTCCTTTTAGGGCCTGTTATCTGTCATGTGATGTTATGCTAGTGTCAGGTTGGAGTTAGTATCATATTGCTATAAGAGTCTGTTCTGTCAGCCTTAGGGTCTCTGTTTTAATGTTCATGCCAGCCAGTTGTGCCTGAACTCCAAAGGGAGGAGGGTATAACAAGGCATATCTGACCCCCACCTTCCCTTCATGGCCTGAACTAGTTTTCCAGGTTTCTTTGGATCCCCATGGTCAAGAGGAGGGTCCACTTAGTCACTTGGGGGGCTTAGAATTTTATTATCGTTTACAATAAAATAGACATTACTTAGAGGTATAAGTAATGAGCATTAACTGGTGAGGTCTTAGGGAACTGAGAAAACCAGATGCAGAAGCAAAGCCTCTCCCAGGGTGGCCCCCAGCTGTGGCCAACAGCTCAGGAAGCTTCCTCACCGCTGCTGCTCGTGGAAAGCCAGAGCCAGATAAAATGAACAAGTTATTTTTTCCAGTTCAAGCCACTTAGATAGGATTCCATGATGATTTCTTTTTACCATTTACCCAAAGGAACATTTTGCATACACACAGCCTACGTGTTGAAGCTGTTCCTTCTCACGGAAGGGCATAACCAATTTCTTCACATAAAAAACATCGAGCCACCCACACTCCTCCATGATGTAATGCAGGTCCTGCTTTGACGGTGAGCTGACCAGGGATTGCTGAGCAGTCTCAGCATTGGGAATGATGATTGGATGCAGATAGCCTGTCCAGGGGATTCTCGAGAGCATTTTTTTTGCTAAAAGTACAAGGAGACCCTGGGCAAGCAGCTAGCAGCCCCCTTTCACAACCCTGCAGAGCGTCCTGGAGGTCCCAGCAGCCACTGTTCTTCCTCCTAAGCTTGCCTGCCATGGCAGCATCCACTCCACCCTTCAGTGCTTGAAGCCAAGTGGTTGTCGCCCCGGAAGGCTCTGCCCTTCTGGTTTTAGACTGCTGTGGAGGAGGGAGCCACTTGGAGATACAAAGCCCACCTCTCTAGAATCTTCCAGGGTCCCCACAAATTATAAAACTATGGTCACACCAGGAAACCAAGGCATTTTCAATAACAACCTTTCCTACTGATTTCCAGCTTCATCTTCCAGAATTCCAGTGCACTGCCATTCATACCATTCATTAACTGTTCTCCTTTCACTAGACCACGAGCAGGTATACAGCCACAAAGAGGAACCCATCTCATGAGTTAACTACTCCATCAGCTTCCTTCACCCTGAAATCTTTTGGCAGTACAGGCTAGAAGGAAGAACAGGCTTTGCAATCAGACCTGGGAATGAATCTCATCGGCATCATTACTGGCTGCAAGATTTTGGGAAAGTGGCTTAACTTCTTAGTCCAGCTCACAGGATTAATGTCAGGTTTGGACTCAGATAAAGAATGTGAAGGCTCCCTGCCTAGTCTCTGGCTTGTAACAAGTGCCACCAAGTGCTAGTGTCCTTTTTCTGTATTATGTATGTTGAGTTGTAGATATCTGCTGTCAGGCCCTGTCCCTGCCACTGGCTGGTGATGTGAACACATCTTGTGTCTTTGCATCTCTGCACCACAGTTTCATCATCTCACAATGAACTGCCTGCTCTCCAAGATGTGGAGTTTTTTAAATTATACAATTTGGTTGCACCTTAGGGGATCCCTCTGATTATGGAGGCACAGTAAGGTCCTGAGCATAGGTGGTCAGCAGTCCAGAAAGGGAGAAGGCCGAGGGCAGACTGGAGAATGGGACTGGTGAGATTCAGATAGGAAGAGCAGGGGAGAAATGGTCAAAGTGAGACTGGAATCAAAAGGTTGGCATTTCTAAAAACTATAATTGCACTTAAGAAGTTTTGCCAAAGGCGATTTAGTTACCCCACAGTGAGGAACATGGGTGCCTATGTCTCCAGTCACTTCCCCACAAGAAACCTAATTGCAGCCTGGGCTCCGTGCAACTCCCAGCTTGAGGGGAGGCCCATGGGCTTCTTTGTGTGAGGAGCGCGCTGCAGCATTCCTGCCCACACACGCCACTGCTGCCTTTCTCCTGAGAAGGAGTTCCGTTATTATTTCATGTGACCTCACAGCCAGGGGAGCTGGTTTGCCATTTTGCATAACACACATTAAATTTGTTTTTAGATGTGCTGTTGAGCCTTGCCTGTGGATCTTCTGTCCTCTTGTCGGTCCCTGCCTGCTGCAGCCATCCAGGCACTTAGGATGCCTATCTTTTTCTCTACAGCTGCGAGGAGCCCAGTAGTTGGGTTTCCTTAAATGCAAGCAGATGGAAGCGAGCAGGAGTGTGGAGGCAATTAGAGGATTTCCTCCTCCAAGCAGTGCGGGTTTGCTCTCTCTTTGGGTGTGTGGCTGTTCTTGCTCATTTTAATTTTCCATTTGGGTTTTGTCAGGCTGTCAGCTTTTTTTTCTGGCTGTATTATGCTGCTGGTTGCAGGAGCTTGCAAAATGGGGTGATTTGGTTGCTTATTGTTTGGAATCAAACTTTTCACAGTACGGTATGGGTGACGCATATCGTGATGATGATGACACTTCATATTTGTAAAATATTCTGCAACGTAAAGAATGTTTTCACATACGTCACTGTCTCATTTGGTCTGGACAGAGGCCCAGAAAAAAAAAAAAATGAAGGCTGTACTCAGTCTGCTAGAGTCAAAGTTTTGCCTTATCTTTTTACGCCATCTCTAGTCAAACCACAGCGGAGAGAATAATCGAATGAAAACTGAAGCTTTCTGCTTTATTCCTTTTCTCCTTCTCCTTTCAGTCAGGTAAATATTTTTCACTTTCTGAACACAGTGTTAGATTCTCTGGTGACAATTAAATAATCGTAGCAGATAATCGTTGCCGTCGGGGAGCTTTCAATGTAGGTGGGGAGACAAGACATACAACAGTGAGTTTACATAACAGTGCCTGGCACACAGAAGGCACTAAGGAACTAGGTGCTGAATGAGTGGGTGAGTAAATGAATGTGGAACATAGCCCACCAAAGTCCTGAAGGGCAAGAACCCCTAGGGGGGGAACCAAAAGATCCACAGTCCTTGATGAGAATGGGCACCGAGTGCCTGGGTGCCTGGGAGTGAGCAGGCGAGAGGACCCAGCACCGTTGTGGACAGCCTCCGTTCGGTTAGCACCACTGCACGAGGGCTGGAGTAGAGAGGAAGCCATTTGTTTATGAGCTGAGAAGAGTGAGCAGGAAAAATGCCATTCTTTGCTCTTAAGGATGAGACAAGCATAAAAAGAGAGGCAGACAGGCAGACCAGAAGGAAGAGATTGCTGACAAAATCATTGTCAGGAAAAGTGCCAGTGAAATCACTCCACCTTAAAAGATCTATGTTCTGGTTTTGAGAACCTACTATATTGTAGACCTGTGCCAGAAGCCAGAAGAAGGCAATGGGAAGAATCAAAGAGATTCTTGGCCCCAACCCTTACCAGACCCTGCCATGCACAGGAAACAGTTAAACAATGTGACTGTCTCACCTGCAAATGATCAAGTGTTGGGTATAAGCCAAGGAGCTGAGAGAGGGGGAGACCAGCGCAGGTCTGAGGAGCTGAGAAGGGAGGCTTACGTGAAGGGTAAGACTCGCATGGGCCTGGCCGGTGGACAAGATGTGGGAACTGCATGGACAGTTATGTGGAGGTGCATTCCATCCTGGCTGGAGAGTGTGTGAGGGGCAGTGGGAGATTGGTGGAAAAGATATAGGCCACTGGTGTGGAAGGCTGGGAAGCCACGCTTCAGATCGGAGAAAGTTGCTAATCAGAGAAGCGGCGTTCTGGAGGTGGTAAGTGGAGCTTTGTTCATGCCCAGAATTTTCATTCCTGTCCTGCCGTCCTAAATGCTGGGCTGCAGTCTGCACTGTCCCCCGCTGATGGTATGAGAGTAAGCCAAAGGAAGGAAACATCTTGTTGGGATGGCACTGAGCCATTTCAGTGTCTCCTGGGGGCACTGAGCCATGCCCCAGGGCAAATGCCCAGTGGAGAACAGGAGTTCAGGAGAAAAGGTCGTCCTCCAGTCTAACAATCAGCAGGACACTTGGCTTTTGTTGGGTATTTTCACTGCCATGAAACTATACTTGGTTTGTGAATGTTTTGGTGACCACCAAAAATGTATATGATGTGAATTCTAGGCATTTTCATTATGGTGGATTTTTTTAAATAACGTCCACATTAATATACACCCCTAGTGTAAAGTACTTAAAGATACAGAACAAAACAAAAGTCACCTATTAACCCATCACACAGAGATAGTCACGCACATCATTAGTATTTTGTTGAATGTCCTTTCCCGGTGCAAATTTAGGAATGTTTAAAACATGGTTTCAAATTGGACTTAATGTTTTATATCCTACTTTGTTTTAACTTAGCAGTGCACCGTGAATATTTTTTAGTCACTAAATTTATGTTGCAATATGATTTTAGTGCTATATACTATTCCATTATAGGTATGTACTATATTTAATCAAACAGAAAATCAGTCTACTATCTTTGCTTATTTTGATGTTTCCAGTGAGTTAGGCTTTTAACATATTTTTAAAAACAACATCAGAATCTAGTGTTTTCAGATAACCATGTTTTTATTGAGTGAGTTGTCCAGCAAGATCCACGTGAATATAGAACATTCTCTACCCTTTTATCTCATTTTTTTTGTCACTTCATTAAAAATGGTAATAAGTCAACCCCTCTGTGGAAAAAAGAAATCGTATGTGCCATAGTTTCCTTCTCTAAGACTGTTAAAAACATGAGCTGACCAGGCCCCCATGCCGATGGACATACCTGGATATACAGTAAGAGTACAGGGAACGCAATTGGATCAAGAAGTTCTTAGAATTTAAATGACATCCTGTGTTTTGTTGTAGTGAAATTTCAACAGAAGTAACTCTCCCTATTATCTTCATGTAAATGAAGAACCAAGCATTCAAGAGCTTTCTTAAGAGCTTTGCCTACCTCTTGACCAATGTCTCCCTTCATAGCATCCATCTCCTTCCTGATGTGGGATGCCATTTTGGAGGGCCACTTCCTGCTGACTTTATTGTAAGCTGTGTAGAAGAGAAGGTATCAGCCATATTTTTCCTTTTAGGCAGAGTTTGATTTGCAGAGGCCTGGACTTCCTGCTTATGTGTCTTTCCAGTGAATAAGTGTGATTCACCACAGTTCAAAGTAACCCCATCTACAACGCCTCATTTTTTTAAGTGAAATTTTTCCATGGGAATAGAATAGAGAGGAATCCTGTAGGTCTTCCATGAAATTATACTCCCTGCCTCTCAGAGTTTTACAATATAATTAGGTTACTTGTTTGTCTTAAATTTTTTTATTATCCTGTGCTTATCTGGTTGAGGTGCCTGTTGAAGAGCAGGAGATGAAGGTCAAGAAATATAAGCACAGTGCTCAATTTTTTAAAATAACTTTGTCTTACTGTTGCTCGTGGATAGAAATAAAATTTTTCATATTAAACTAATACTTAGCCGTTTGCTGAAACCTCTTATCAATTCTAATAATTTATCTGTATTCTCTTAGTTTTTCTGTGTAACAGACATACCATCTATAAATAATTACAAGTTTTTGTTCTTTTTCAATCTTTTATCTTTTATATATTTATTTTTTCTTTTCCTACCACTCTGGCTAGGACCTGCAGGAAATAGCACAGGGGATAGGAAGTAGGGATAGCGGGGATAGGAAGTAGGGATAGCACAGATCCTTAGCTTGTTACTGATTTTAAAGGGAAGGCTGTTAGCATTTCACCATTGAGTATGGTGCTTACTGCTGGGTTTTGGTAAATACTTTCTATTAGATTATGAAAGTCCCCTTCTGATCCTAGTTTGCTAAAAGTTTCTATTTTAAAAAATTATAAATGTGTTAATTATTACTGAGTGCCTTTTCTGTATCTATTGATAAGATCATTGGGGTTTTCTCTTTTAATCGGATAGTACAGGAATTATTGTCATCCATTTTTTAAAGTTAAATCATCCTTGCATTATTAGCAAAAATCCACATTAGTCGTGATATATTTTATGCATTGTTGGGTTCTGTTTGCTGATATTTTATTTAGGATTTTTACATTTGTATTTATATCTGAGAGTGGTCCATAATTTTCCTTTTTCCTACCATCTTGGATTTGGTTCTGAGATAGTCCTAGTGCTTTTCCATTTTCTATCTCCTGCATTTTTTTTTGGTTTTGATCTAAAACACAGATTTTTTTTTTACTTTTTTTTCTCTAAAACCATCTGAACCTAGTGTTTATTGGTTTTTGGATTTTTTTGGGTGGAAGGATGAGAAGCTTTTTAACTAATGAATCAGTTTTTTAAAGGTTATTAGACTATTCAGGTTTCTGTCTTGTTAGAATAATAATTTGAATTTTTCTGTGATATTCTTCATTTCATTGAAATTTTCAAACTTAATGGCACATATTTCTTCATAGTAGTGTGCTGTTATTTAATCCTTGCTGAATCTGTAGTTATGTTCTCTCATTCATTCCTAATGTTATTATTTGTAACATCTCTGTATTTTTCTTGATCAGATTTGGCTCTTATTAGTCTTTCCAAATAAATAGCTTTTCCTTTGTTCATCTTCTCTAGTGTATCTTTGTTTTCTGATTTTAATTTCTACCCTTTATTATTTTCTTCTTCTGCTTTCTTTGGATGTACTCTTATTTACTTTCTGACTTCCTGAGTTGGATACTTGTTCATTAATTCTCAGTCCTTTTTTCTTTCTAGGACAAGATTTAAGTATTTTATTCTAAATAAAACTGTAGTGAAATCTGATATATTCTAATATGGAGTATTTTTATCATCACTCAGTTATAAGAATGTTGTAATTACCATAATTATTTCTTCTTTGATTCATGAGTTTTATTAGCAGCATCATTTTGAATTCCCAAATGAATGAGAGTCTTTAGTAATCATTTTGTTACGGATTTCTAACTTAAAAAATCTGTTGTGGTCTGGGAATGTTGTTTGTATGATACTATTTCCACAAAATGCATTGAGACTTGGTTTGTGGCCTAGGACATGGTCAATTCTTTTTAAATATTCCGTGAATTTCTTTAGTGCATATTCTCCGATGGGGGCTGTGGGGACAGAGTTCTAAATATGCCCATTAGATTAAATCTCTTCATTCTGTTGCTCACATCTTCTATATCCTTATTAATCTGTCAATCTCTTCAAGAGAGGTGTTATTAAAATCTCTCACTGTATGTGTCACTTTGCCCTTAAAATTCTGATGATTTGCTTTATAAATGGTTATAACCATTTTCCAGGAAGAACATTAAAGAACTTTCCATTGGCATTATCCAGTTTCCCTCAAAATACTGGTTTTTTTTATTTTGGCTTCTAAGCAGCTATGAATCCAGTTTCTCAGAAGCCCTTGTCTCAAGGCATTTGTTTCCAGATTACCTTGTTAGCATCCACACTATGGGCTATTTTAGAAAAACAAAAAAAGTATCAAAATCATATAGCTATGATTTTCCTGTGCTTGAAGGAGCCTTAAAGCTCATCTAGTCCAGCCAGTATTTGTTCATCCAAATTCTGCCAAGAAATCTCTATTGTCAAGATATTCTTTACCATCTTTGGGACATTCTCATTATTAGAAACAAATCCTAAGAAGAAATTCTGCCATATACAACCCATCCGTTCTTTAAAAAAAAAAAAAAAACAGCTTAAATTTTCTTGTCTAAGCACAACAATTTCCAGTGTTTGTATTAGTTTTTCTCAACAGAATTTCGAGTCCTTTTAACATCGTATTACTGTTAACAAGTTCTAAATTCTGTGTGGTCATGCTTTGAGAGACTGTCAGATTATACACACACACTCAGGTTGTGTGTGTGTTTGTGTGTTTGTGTTAAGGAATGTTTTAGTGGGCACCTATTAAGGAAGCCTCTCAGGAAACTACTGTATATTAAGGCCAAAACCAACTGAACCCATCATACGATTTCTCTCCCTCAAGGAAAGCAAATGAGAATGAGCGACTGTAACCCTTGCCTGTTGTTCATAAGCATGTACACCAGGATCTGTGTGATCCTTTTCCTGAAGATAAACAGCATACTGCTCAAGGAAGGAAAACAACGCATAGCAACAAATTTCCTGTTTTTTAAAGAAAGATCCAACTTGGTTTAGAAATTATGCTGGCTTGCTTTCTATGTTTCTAATAGAGAATAAGGAGAAACTTGCTTCTCATTTGCCGACATGAGGTAAGTGTTATGTCTGAAAGTTCCAGAGATCACAGTTTATACATTGAAGAAAGGTAGTAAAAGGTTTGCGAAGACCTCCTTCCCCGTGGGAGAGGTGCCCTACTGTGCATGCCGGGAGTTGGCTGTGGGTCATGGGCACAGTACCCCTCACCCAAATGATTCTTCCCAACCATCAAGAAAGTAAACCCCAACTTGGGGCCCAGAAATATTCAGACAGTAGAAGAGTTCCACATTCAGACAGACGATAAAAGAAATATCTTCATATTGCCTAGCATTGAATTTGATAAGGAATAGAGGAACAGTATTGTCCTTCTGACCGGGCTCTGTCTCTTGCTGCCTAAAATTTTATTATCATTGCATTTAAAAAAATCAAAGTTCAGTCTTACTAGAATGGATAGAATGGGTAAGTGTAGCTTCTAGTTTGGTGAGTCCTTCACTGTTTCTTCCTACTAACCTCCCTAGCTCAGTCTGGCTAAGGGCAGGGCCTCCATGATGACCAGCAAAACTTCTCTCTGGTTAAGCTGAGCTTGGTTTGTTAAGCAACTATACCCAACATGTTTATATCAAAAGCACCTGTGTTTCTCAGTGTTTCTGGAATCCCAACTTAAGTGAGGCCGGAGCTAATGCTGTATTTCAGTAAATACCACATTAGATCACACTTTTAAGCAGCCATGTCAAACAATTGACTTAAATTGAAATTACTTTCAGCTAACACTTCCCCACAAATTGTTTTTACACATGCTGCTGCTAAACCACATGTCCACCGTCCTGTACTTAGGCAACTTTTTTTTTTTTTTGGTTTAGGCCCTCACATTTGTCCTTACTAATTTTATCATGTCAGTTGTGGCCTAATACTCCAGCCTACCAAGATATTTTTATATCTTGAGATTGTCACTCCTGTCCCTTCAAAAGTTTGTTCCATCTGAATATTTCACCATACAAATTTTCAATATCTTCATCTAAGATGTTGACAAGTTTTTGAAGAGCTCAGAGCCCCATTTTAGGCCTCCTGAGACCACCTTCTAGGTGGACCTGAGCTCACCAATCAGCCCCACTTAAATATTATAATTCACTTCATTGTTCTAGTATCTAGCCCACATTTTCCTATCTTATTCCCAAAGGTATTATGAGAGGCCTTTTTGGATAATGCATTACTGAAATCTGTAAAGAACCACACTTCTCTGACCCCTGTCAAAATAGAAAGTGGCATGACTATTCCTCCTATGAAAGCATCCTGTATGGAGGATCAGACCAAATGCTAAAACACTTTAGTAGGTTTACCTAAATACAGCTTGTCTTTCATATATCATGCCTTGACACTTCTTCTGCAAGACCAGTTTTTTCTGTAAGACTAATTGATATTGAGATTTCAATATATATAGAAATGGGACTAAATTTTATCCAAAGCTATTTTTGCCTCTATTTTGGGGGCATTCAAGTTAATTTCCCCCACTTACACTAAACTGTCAAATACTAGAATGTGGAAGCTTGAATATTAGAGATAAGTAAGTGCCCAGTTCCATTCCACCAGTTCACAGCCCTGTCTATCCCTCCATCCCACCCTCACCACCACCCTCCTAAAGCAAGATTATTAACACTGAACTGGACTGCTAAAACTTCTTCCTAGCATCTTTCAGGTGCTTTTGTGGCAGAGCCATTCTGCATGGAGCTGCCAGACCAAGTGTCATTCTTGCTTAGAACTCTTCAGAGCCTCCCCTCTGAGCTCCAAATTCAGTCCAAGTCCTCTCTTGGCTGCTTGCCTGATCAGAGGAGCCACTGCCTCCCCACTCAGACCCTATTCCACCTGGTGGACTTGTCACTCTTCCCTAAATGTCTTCCATGCCTCCCTGATGCCCATCTTTGCCCTGGCTTTTCCTGTGGCCAGGAATGTCTCAACCCTGCTCTAGATTTAGAAATCTTGCTTCTTTCTCAAACAACAAAATGTCTCTCCTCAATGGAGCCTTGACTGATCTCTCCATTGGAAGTGACTTCTTTTTCCACTAAGCTCCTGTTAGCACCCTACAACTTCCAACTGACAATTGTCTTGCATAGAATTATTTGTACACTTGTTTTATCAAAAGCTGCTCCAGTGGGCTGATAGCTTATTCATCTTTTTAATTCACCAAGGGCTGAGCATTTAGTAGAGAGGATGTATTTGTTGGATGGATCATGGGTAGATGGATAGATGGAGGAATGGATGGAGTTGAGGTTTAAGAGAGGATAAATAACTTGCCAAGATCACGAAGTTGGACTAATAGAATTAATAATAGACTCAGTTCCCAAATTCAGTATTAACATATTTGTCTAGCACCACTCCACATTCTCTTCCATGGTTTTGCTTTGAACTTTTGGTAGAAGCCTTAGTAATAAACATCCAGTTTTATAAAATAAAGTCTTATATTTGTTTATATTATAAATTTATTACTCCTTGATTTACATGCTTAGGAATATAAATCTGAGAAAAATACATGGTAGGATTTTCCTACCACATTCTAAAAGCTTAAGAAATATCTGAAGCTAAGCATGGTGGCTCATGCCTGTAATCCCAGCACTTTGAGAGGCCGAGGCAAGAGGGTTGCTTGAGCTCAGGAGTTCAACACCAGCCTGGGCAACATAGTGAGACCTTGTTTCTACCAAAAAAAAAGATTATTTACATGTGGTGGTGCACAACTGTAGTCCCAGGTACTGGGAGGCGTAGGTAGAAGGATAGCTTGAGCCCAGGAGGTTGAGGCTGCAGGGAGCTGTGATTGTGCCACTGCACTCCAGCCTAGATGACCGAGCAAGATGCTGTCTCAAAAAAAAAAAGAAAGAATTTGAATGGAGACACTGCCACTTCTGCACATCTGTCCTATATGATTTAAAATATCTCTGAATACCTTGAAAACACTGATCTTTTCAACTCTAAAACTCAGAATTCTCTTAATAAAATAGTATGCTGTAGTTATACTGTGTCAGCAGTTTTGGGGGGTTTTTGTTGTTAATTGTTTGTTGTTTTTGTGAGACATGGGCTAGGGATCTGATGTTAAAAATAGACATTAAGCCCCAGGACAAAATGGCCATTCTACCTAGAGACAGCAGTTCTGGCGTTCTGAGGCCACAGTGTAACATAAACATGATGTTGTCAACCTGAGCCAGGGCTGATTTGCCTCATTTGAATCTGAAAGGGAGCCCACATCCTTCCTGTTGCTACACAAAGATGCTGAAAAGAATTCACAGAGAAAACAAATGGACTAATGCGTGTTATGTTTCCCAGAAGTTCTGTCCCCAGTGCCCCCAAAATAGTAAAATAGTTGGGAATGAGGTTGAGCAAGAAAAGAATAAAGGAATAAAAGTATACAATGCCAAGGAAAGGCCAATAGAAACTATTCTTTTTGCTTTGCTTCTCTTGGTGTTTTTTTCCAGTGTGACTCTGTAGATAATGGCAAAGAGAAATGCAGGGTCATTTTTTCCATTTTCAAGTAAAACTTATTTTGCACAATAGACCCACTGAGGCTTGCACTCATTCATGTCTACGACTCCCATCTCTCCAGTCTCAACAAAAGTGAAGGTGGCCATTGTGTCCTTTCATTGTTCTGTGACTTTGCTGCCCCTTTCTTGCTTTTTAAAATAAGTTCCTTAGAAGTATGGAATGGCGGGAACGCATGCCCTTTGTTTCAGCAATTCAGTCAAAATTTCCCAACTTGCCTTCAATGTTAGTAAAAAAAAAAAAAAAAAAATGACATGAATTGTACTGGCATGAATCTAGGTGGTCTGGCCAACAAAGAAAGGAAAGGAGGGAAGAAAATGAGGAAAGGAGGAGAGAGGAAGAGCCTGCATCCCTAAAATTTCTTTTCTCAACAAATATTTACTTGGTTACCTCTATTACAGGCATTTATGGTCATTGTATTAATTCATTCTCACATTACTGTAAAGAAATACCTGAGACTGAGTAATTTATAAAGAAAAGAGGTATAATTGGCTCGTGGTTCTGCAGGTTGTACAGGAAGCATAGCGGCTTCTGCTTCCAGGGAGGCCTCCGGAAGCTTCCAATCATGGCGGAAGGCAAAGGGGAAGCGAGGCATCTCACATGGTGGGAGCAGGAGAGAGGGCTAGGAGAAAGGTGCTACCCACTTTTAAACAACCAGATCTCACAAGAACTCACTGTCATGAGGACAGTACCAAGGAGGATGGTGCTAAACCATTCATGAGAAACTACCCCCATGACCCAATTACCTCCCACCAGGCCTCACCTCCAAAGTTGGGGATTATAATTCGACATGAGATTTGGACGGAGACATACATGCAAACTGTATCGGTTATGTTGCAGAAAGTCAGAATGGAAGGAATCTGGAGCCAAGTACATAAAGGCAGGAGCTACTTCAAAACGGACATATATGTTAGTAGCAGTTGTACATGCTGTCACTCTTGGATCAGAAGTTAAAGATGTCAGACTTAAACTGGATGTAACAGGGAAATTCTACAGATGTGGGGATGCAAATTATGGGATTTTTTTTTTTTCCAGGAGAAATCATGCAGTCTTCCTAGAGGTCTCCATCATAAGCGAGTTTTCCATCATGTAGGTCATTTATCCCTGTCATTTCTTAATTCCATATTTGTTTCCACACACAGATTTTGAACATATATTTTGAACATATATTTATTTAAAATATTTGTTTTTATCTAGCATTGTGCTGAAAGTTTTACCCTATTATAATTGTGTTATCTACATTTAAGTTTTTTACCTTTTAAGGAAAAGAAAAAGGAGAAACTCTACAATCATGCAAAAAGTATATAATTTGCCTGGGAGATGCAGAATAACTTCTAGCAGATAATTACATGCTTTGAACATGAAAAGAAATAGGGTAGAACCTGAACTAAAAGAGGACCAGGTTCTGTTCTCCCTCCCTCAGGGGAGGATATTTTAGAATATTTTGTGTTCATGTTTTAATAAGCTTTTGTTGGATTATTAAGGTGCATTTAAGTTTTTCCATCTTAGAAGTATTCGGCTGGTGCAAAAGTAATTACCAATTACTAATATAATCTTGTCAAGTAAAACCCACTCATTGGGGTACATAGAGCAAGCATCCTCTTTTCCGTAGGGCAGCTCAGTCTGTGTATCATAAACATGATTATCATTGCCATTCAATTTTAGCTGTTGCTCCAGAGAGACTTAAAGGCATGTCACATGTGAGAGATCAGCAGGCAATATTTGGGGCTATGAATATTGAGCAAATATTAAGGTTTTTTTAAAGTTCACCTTCACTCATGATTTACCTGCCCTAAGGAATTTGCCACAGATTCCAAATGTCAGCACTAGAAGAAGTGTCCGAGATGATCTGGATGAACCATTATAGTGACTGAGGCCCAGGAAGAGTGAGTGGTTTACCTTAGGTAACCAGCAGGTCAGGGTAGAATGCATGTTTCTGTTCAGTCATTTTATTCACCTCCTAGGAAACATATTGCAGTGCAGTTGGTTTGCCACTTTTGATCAAATGCACCAAATCTTCAATTTGGATTAATCTTTTCAATTACTGAGTATACCGGTCCTTTCCCATAGACTTAGAACAAACTACAAATGCAGGCAACACAGGTAATTAATTTTAAATTACCGAGTAGCCACATTTAAAAAGCAAAAAGAAACACATGAAAGTAATGTTAATATTTTTAAATTTAAGACGACCTGTGTAAAATATTATCATTTCAACATGTAATCATATTTTAAAATTTATTAAACATTTTACATTCTTTTTTCATGCTGTCTTTGAAACCTGGTTATATGCTTTATACTTACATTACATCTCATCTTGAACCAGCCACATGTGGTTAGTGCTTGCTTACCCTATTAGCACAGGTCTATATGGATGAACAGGTCCAAGCTCTACACCAAACCACAGGCCCCTAACCCTTGAGATCAAAAATGTCTCTGAGTACTAGTTCCCATTTCTTTGAATTTTTGCTCTTGATACGCCATGCATGTCTCCTGAAAACCCAGAGAGGTGAGCAAGCATGAACTGCTATAAAATGAGTGTGTCTGTTGAAAACATGGTCCAGCTCCTGCTAAGATAGCGTCATTCTGTGATACAATATTCCTGTCTTCATCTAATTCCATGAAGTTCTGCATTTCCTTAATGTCAAAAGTTCCCTTACCAGCTGCAGCCGTTTCCTGTGGATAATGTTCTAAATGGCTTTTATTTATGAGATGTCTTGTGCTATAACTGCTATCAGAATGAATGTGTATTCCAAAACCTATTCCCCAAGTCAGTCTAATTAACAATCTTCTAAGAAATAATTGTTAAACTTCAGCTGTAGCTCACAACACGGGTATGTCTCGCTTTGACCTAATTACAGAATGTAATGTTAAAATATGTAAGGAAGGAGATCAAAGAGGAAAGTCATTTTGCTTTCTATGTCTTCATCTTGCTTTCTATGTGCCTCATATTTCACAGCTCCCAACCTCCACTTCCAACTGGCTGAGGGAAGGAAACACATGGAATAGTAATGAATGAGTATAGACGCTGAGGCTGTTTTATTTTCCTCATCTTTGAAGCAGGAACAATAATAGTGCCTATCCTGGAGATTCGTAAGAATGAAGCATGAAGCATGGGATCTGACATATCGTTGATGCTCAACAAATATTAAATTGCTTCAGAAAAATAGCAAATAGGTATATCTGGTGCGAAAAATGGAAAGGAAGCCTGCCAGCTTTTTTTAAGGACACTATCTGCATTATTCTTGGAATTGAATCCGGCTCCACCCAGGGCTGAGAGCTTTTCGTTTCCATTGTGTCTTTAGCATAGCCATGCAAACCAACATCACTTCCAATGATAGGGGAATGCTGGAGTCAAAGCGACTAGTTCACTTCAGAGGACAGGCAGTGTATAATGTCAGGGGGAGGAGCTGACCCAAATAATGTGTTTCAAGTCATCAGAACACGTTCATGTCTGGTTTTCATAGTAAATTGTGACAGCTGCGCAGGAGAAGACAGAATACACTTTTTAGATGTTATTTTGTTTATTTTGTGATGCTGCTTTAAACAGTTCCACAGAGTAAGGAAATGGAGTTTTTACACTGTGAGACTTTAACTCCCTTCTTTCCTTGACTTGCCTCTTGGCTCTGCTTAATAAGCCCTTTCAGCAAGACCTCATCTGCTTTCCTTGAAGCTTCCAGGTATTATCTCTTGGTTGAATATAACAAAAATCACACCAAGTAGCTACCTGACACTCATGGGTGCAAGTATCTCATAGGAAACTGGTGAATTCTGAAAATGCTTTTGAGCCACTTCCTTTCACTGCTGGACTCTCTTAATCTACTTACTAAAGTGCTACTTGGACAAGAGAGTATTGACAGTTACAGGGAAAAACAATGTAGAATCCCAGGCCATGTGTAGGTTTCTGTGGACACATTTTAATTTTTTAAAGA
Organism: Homo sapiens; assembly: GCF_000001405.40. Classification (NCBI taxonomy): domain Eukaryota; kingdom Metazoa; phylum Chordata; class Mammalia; order Primates; family Hominidae; genus Homo; species Homo sapiens. The sequence continues at coordinate 111,747,035 of NC_000006.12, read as the reverse complement.
ATATTTTAGTTATCTAAATTATGTACCTAACCATTTATATTGAGTACATAAATTCTCAGTAAATTAGCGTCTCTCTTTTGAGGGCTGTGTGTTATCTGCTCCTGTGATCCAAATATATAGCACTAAGACAATATAAGGGATTCTCTCTCTCTCTCTGTCTCTCATTCTCTCTCTCTCTTCCTTCCCCCCTTCCTTTCTCTCCCTGCCTCCCTCCCTCTACCCTCTCTCTGTTTGTCCTAATTTACCTGACGTTTTAGCCCTTGTTGCTGTTGGAGGATTCTAAAGATGAAGCCACTCATAACCTTAATGCCTGATAGCATAGAGAATAGTTGGTGACTTCACCAGAACTTACACACCCATGCCTTTTCTTTTTTGCTTTGCCATGAGTAGGCAGTTGCATACTTTATTTAGCAAAAGAGAGAACTGTTAAAAAGCTACTAAGTAGTGGTATATTCATACCATGGAATACTACTAGGCAATAAAAGCTACTATAATGGATAAAGCAATAAAAACTACTATGCCACTCAGCAGCAATAAACTACTGAATATACAATATCATGGACAAATGTCAAAAACTTGCCACATAAAATAAGTAGACACAAAGAATACATACTGTATGATTACCTTTATATGAAACCCTAGACCAGAGAAAACTAATCTGTCGTGGTAGAAATCACAACCGTGTTTGCCTGGGATGGAATTGACTACAAAGGGACCCCAGTGCATCTTTCTAGGGTGATGAAAATGTTCTAGATCTTGATGGGGGTTTAGATTATACAGGTATATACGTTTGTCAGAACTCATTGAACTGTAAACTTAAATCTGTTTATACATTGCACTGTGGATAAATTATGCCTAAACTTTAAAAAAAAGAAGAGGGAACTAAAAAATCCACACGCCTTGCTAAACCTCCTCAAATTATTAGAAATTCTCTTTCACTTATGAACTATTTTCTTGAAAGACAGCTACCAGGTATCACTATCACCATCTTTTTGTACCAGGTACGTGGGTTCCTTTCAGACTCTTCCTGGTGCTGCAATACACAGTGGTCACCCACATTTGAGAAACATACAGTGCCTTCCTTTTCCCAGGAGATTATCCCAGAGTTACATGGGAAATCAATGTTGTATAAGTTGCACAGGGGAAACATTACTGAAGGCATTTTTTTGGAAGGTATAAGTGTATTCACTCCCCAGTGTATTGTGGGCTGTGTTAATTCAGAATTTGGAAGAGAATGCTCTTAAGCCAGGATGTTTTGTAAAGTGTTCTGTGTTGCAATGTGCAGATGTTTACATCAAATTTTAAATCTTTCACTTACCTGCTCACCTTCTCCCTCCAGAACATGCTGCCTGTTGTTAAGCACTGTTTCTGAAATACAAATCCATTGTGCAACTCTTGCTCAGAAACTACAGTGGCCTGCTCCCTCCTTCACATTTGGGCCCTGCTTAACTCTCTAGTTACCTGCATTCGCTCATTCTTGGCTTGTGTCACACCAAACAAAGCTGCTCCCTGGCATGCTCCTCTCTCCTGAATCCATGCCTTTGTAAGAGCTGTTCTGCAGCCTGCAAAGCACCCTGCCCATCCCCTTGCGCACCCCCTTTTTCACCAGTCCTTCCCACAGGCCCCACTCAGATGCCCATCCTCTGAGAACCCATCCCAGCTTTTGCAGGAGGGATGAGTCACATGCCCAAGCTTCAAGAACACTGTATGTGTTTCTTCAGGCAAGCAGGCTTACTACATTGGAGAGAACAGGTCCTTTCCTTGTCTGCCTTCTCCCATGGGCTGGACACCCTTCAGTGAAAGAGATGGCATTCGCGTCTGTATTTTGTGCACACTGCTTGGATACATAGTATTTGCCCATGAATGATGGGTGAATGGGTGGGTAGGTGGATGGATGGATAGATTCATTCACTCACTCACTCATTCATTCAACACTGCAGCAGTAGCCTTCTTTGTGGGACCACCAAAGAGGAGACAAATAAGAACCAGAATGTTGTGTGGCCCTAGCAAAAGCAGATTTTTCTGGGCGGATGTTAAAGTATTCCAGTCCCACTTTCCTTGCTTTATTTTTCCAAGCAATAAGGAGAACATGACAATATTCTTTGCCGGGGTTGTACTTTCTACCTCTCCTCTGCATAAGGGTATTCCTACCTAATTCTAAGAGAAAAAATGAAAACTTACCACTAATGATATAAAAAGCATATTTATTGTTAGGTGATATTTGTATTTTGGGGGTTTTTTCCTCACTAGGAAAATTTTCTAAATACCTTTGCATATACCACTTTGTTTTATCTTTACAAAAATCTCATTAATTAAGCAGGGGATGGATCATCATTCCCACCAGGCAAATGAGATAACTGACGTGTAGTAAAAGCCTGATGATTTTTCCAAAGTTACACATCTGGTTAGTGATAATGCTGGGACCAGAATAGGAGTCCATGTGTTCCCACCAGACTGGGAGATTGTTCCAAAGAACAAGTTCCCAGGAAAGATCAAATAATTGCTGGAAAAGCACTTCCGATCTCCAGCAAAAACAGATCTTTCCAGCTGAGTGCCCTCCCTAAGGCCTGAAGAGTATTATCTGCCAAGTAGCTATTCTTTTGTCTTCTGCATAAACCACTGCAGGCTGAAGGCCACTGTGAAATCTGTGAGAATCAAGAGCAGCCATCCACTGCAGAAATATATGTTATGAAACTTAAGGAATAAGTCACTGTCCATCCAGAGAGAAATTAGAGAATGCCTTTTCTGAAATCTCTGCTAGGACACAGGTGTGGGCCCTAACGCAGATATGAAGCTTTGTCCCCAGTGCTAAGACGAGACAGCTATTTTTGCTGGGCCAATGTAATATTTAAAAGCAAACATTTAACAGTAGGATAACGGCTGCTGAAGCTGCATTTGCAGCTGCAGCTGCATCATTCCTCTGGGGAAGGCAAGATGGCTCTTCTCCAGCTATTCATGAAGGGCAAGAGTTGGGAGCAGAAAGAGAATTTGCTCATACGTAATACTGTGCGGTCCAATCTCATGTCCCATGTGAGATGCCTAAGTCAGAAGCTGACTGCAAAGACAGCTCATCGGCTTGGAGACCCAGGGTTCATTCTGCAAGATCTTTCAGGCCACTTTTTTTCTATAATAAATGAAATCCTTTGCATTTTATTGGGAGTAAGAGAGCCAGATCTTTTCAGACATTAACAAATGAGGGGCCGTGAATGTGGTCCACCTTACTGATTTGCTGCACCAAGGAGACCACAGTCACTCCAGATCTTAAACATATTCATAATTGTGTTTGGAGCAAAGTTACCATTGGAATCAGATTTTCACAGTGCTGGTACCGATCTCTGGGATCCTCTTGTCCTTTTTTGCATTTACTCTGCTCTGTTCCTTCTTTCCCACTTATCTTCCTTTCAGGGTCTCCACTGGCTGTCTTTGCTAACCAAATATACAGGAGTTTCCTTGGTCACAATTAGAAAATGAGCTTCCAAAAGAAGAGGCACCGAGGGCCCTTGGCACAGGACACAGGAAGGGACTGATCACGTGAGCTGTCTCAGTTGAATCCCTCATTTCTCTGATGCGGTCGCCAGAATTACTCAAAGTATTTCATTTTATTTTCATGTAAAACCCATTTATACAGCTGCCTCAGGGATCTGTTATAAAACATGTGGAGAAAAATCATGATGTAAAGTAAGAAATACAGGGATACAGATAGAGGAAGCCACATTTTTGTTAACCTTGTTCTTTGGAATTCTGATCAAAACTACGATGTAAAAGATTCTTGGCCAGGCGCGGTGGCTCACGCCTATAATCCCAGCACTTTGGGAGACCAAGGTGGGCAGATCACGAGGTCAGGAGTTCAAGACCAGCCTGGCCAACATAACCAAACCCCATCTCTACTAAAAATACAAAAATTAGCCAGGCATGGTGGCGCGCACCTGCAGTTCCAGCTACTCGGGAGGCTGAGGCAGGAGAATTGCTTGAAACCGGGAGGCAGAGGTTGCAACGAGCCGAGATCGTGCCACTGCACTCCAGCCTGGGCAACAGAACGAGACTCCCTCTCAAAAAAAAAAAAAAAAAGATTCTTATCAAGCCCCTTTGTGATCTCAATATTTATAGCACTTTCTCAAACTTGTGGTCGTGTGTGACCAAAACGTAGGACAAATTGTAACTCATTGGTTGCACGGGTATTTGTAGGCATGGGGACCTTGTCACCCGGACTTCTCTGTCCCTTGTTTATGTCCTCTTCAGTAAATGGGAATGGAGCAATAACTAGTTTCTAGTTTACTTTTGACATAAGATGGTAAATGATATATTCCCATCTTTGTGTTTGGCTTTTAGCCTTTGAATTTAAACTTAGTTCTTCAAAGAGTGGAACAGTTCTGTTCAGTTGCAAAGCCTATTAGGGCCTTTTTGCACAGAACATGTGCAAATTCTTCCCTTTGTTGGAAGCTGAGATCCATGATAAATTCCCCCTCTCCCACTTACTTCACAGAAGGCTTGCAATAATAAGCCAGGCATCAACTTGGATCATCTTTACTCTGGGGTTTTGGGGTTAGAAGTTGCTGAATATCATGTTAATGAATAAACCTGGCCCTCAGACCCAGAGAAATGATTGGATGTTAATATCAGTGTATATGCTTTTAGTGCCATTAACAACGTGATGTATTACAATTTCTTAAGGGTGTTTTTTTCTACACTGGAAGATGTTGATTTGCCACTCTGAATGCCACCAGCTTTTCATTCTGAAAGTTGGAGAATGAGCATAAACTTTATAGTCAGATAGACTTGGATTTGAAATCTGATTCTGTCACTGCCTGGTGGTTTGCTCTTAGGGAAGTTCCTTAACCTCTCTGAGGTTAGATTTTCTATAGTAAAAAGGATTAAACAAACAAGTAAAATGTAGACCATCCCGCACAATGCCTGGAGGAGAGGAGGCTCTCAAAAATTACTTATCCCTGTTTGCTTCCCTTCTTTTTCAGTTGGAACTTCTGGAAGGGGGTGTGAAAGCTAGGGTTTTCCTTAGCATGGGGGATTATTTTAATCACTATCATTCCTACAGAAAGAGCAAGACATTTCTAAGGGAGCCGTAAGAGGCAATATGGCATAGCCTAGTGGATCTCAGAGTGTAGCCCAGGACCAGCACAGCCAGCATAACCCTGGGACTTGTCAGAACGCAGGACTTAGGCTTGATGTTGCTTCAGACCAACCGCATCAGAAATTCTCAGGGGGAGGCCCAGTGGTCTGTGTTTTCACAAGTCCTTCAGGAAATTCTCATGCTCATAAAGTTCGAAAACCACTAGTGTAGTGAAAAATACACTGGACTAGTTTCTTGCACATTCTGCTGAAACGAGAGGTGGGATTGGACCAAATGTCCTCTAAGATCTTTTCTAATTCTGGCATCTTGTGGTTCTAGTTTTAAGCCAGCTGTTGTCACCATTTTCTTAGAATGACCATGTTCTTTAAAAGGGAAAAGAAAAAAAACTGGTTTATTATTTTTTATTTCAAAAGTAACACACTGTTATAAAAAATGAATATAAACAAAATGAAAAAACTTAAAACCATCCAAAACTCAACATCCTGAGATATTCTTTTATGCTGTGCTCTTATTGTCCTTCTTTTATGCAGATGCACACGTATGCATTACTCTGTGTGTACATACATAAACATCTCACCATAGCCATTAGCATCCACTGAGTGTCTGCTCTGTGCCAGGCACAGTTTTGGGCATTATGGGTATACCATCCAGCAAAGCCTCTACTCCCATTGAGCTTTCTTTCTCATGAGTGGAGGTAGATAATAAACAAGAAAACACCTAAATAAAGACCATTTCTGAGATTGTTAAATGCCATGAAGCAAATAAAACAGTGATGTGAAAGAGTGACCAGGCAATGGGCAATTAAGATCTGATACCAGGAAAAACCTTTCTTTCTTTTTTTTTTTTTTTGAGACAGGGTCTCACTCTGTCACCCAGGCTGACACGATCATGGCTCACTACAATCTCTGCCTTCCTGCCTCAAGGGTTCTTCCTTGAGCACCTCAGCCTCCCAAGTAGCTGGGACCACAGGTGAGCACCACCACACCCAGCTAATTTTTGTATTTTGTAAAGTAGGGTTTCGTCATGTAGCTCAGGCTGGTCTCAAACTTCTGGGCTCAAATGATCTACCTGCCTCCACCTCCCAAAGAGGAAAAACCTTTCTGAGAGGTGGCATCTGGGCTGAGACCTGAGAAGGAGCCAGCTGTGTGAGTATTTTGGGGAAGAGCATTTCAGGCAAAGGGGAAAGTTTGTGCAGACTCACTGAAGTAAAACAGAGCAGAGTGTGTTCAAAGAAGAACAGAAAGGTGTGCAGTGTTGCTGGGGAGGAGGTGTGAAGAGGGAACCACAGAAGATGGGGCTAGACACATAGGCCAGGGCCAGAGCAGGATGACCATATCATTTAAATTCATTCCAAAGACAATAGGAAACCATTTTAAGCCTGGGAGTAACTTTAAAAAAAGATGACTCTGACTGTCATAGAGGGTATAGAGCGCAAGATTGGAAGCAAGGAAAGTAGTTATGTTTCTACCTCGTGTTTTGTGACTTGTATATTTCCCTTCACTATTTCATTAATATCTTTCAGGATTGTTAATGTCCTGCTGTGTTCTCATTTTTAACAGCTGCATAGGAATCTGGTATGATACCCTACTTTGTTAATCCTCTGAGTGCCTAGATTGTATCCAATTTTTTTATTATCATGAACAGCACTGAAATGAGTGTTGTTAAATCTTTCTGCACATTTTTGTTCTCAGGATAATTCCCAACAGGGGAAGTCCTTGACCAAGAGTAGGATTCATTTGAAGACTTTTTCTCGAGTCTATTAGTTGGTTTCATCTGTATTTATTTAACTGAGCATTTTCAATTATTTAAAACCTTTAGTTGATAAGCTTTTACTAGATAGGGGCCAAAGTGAGATACTCCCAGCACTTTGGGAGACCGAGTGGGTGGATCACAAGGTCAGGAGTTCAAGACCAGCCTGGCCAACATGGTGAAACCCCATCTCTACTAAAAATACCAAAATTAGCTGGGCGTGGTGGCAGGCATCTGTAATCCCAGCTACTGGGGAGGCTGAGGCAGGAGAATTATTTGAACCCAGGAGACAGAGGTTGCCGTGAGCTAAGATTGCACCTTTGGGTTCCAGCCTGGGCGACAGGGTGAGACTCCATCTTAACAACAACAACAACAAAAGATTGTCAAGTATCAGTAACTTTCTATCAGTAATTTATAGTAGTTGGCATAATCCACATTTTACAGGGAAGAAACCAGAATCTTTTTAACCACCTACTCAAAATAGAAACCCTTCATCTTAATCATGGCTTTGTACACTTCTGACACCCTGAGGGAATGAGAAAGGAAGAGAGCAGGAGGAGGAGAGAAGTGGAAGGAAACCTGCCTCAAAACTGATGGAGTGGAACTGAAACCATTATAAGAAAAATCACTTCTGTTTCTCTCCCACATGCCACTCAAATAATGAACTGCCCAGCGGCGGGGCCTCTCATGAGACAGGCGGCTGGGCAGGCAGCAGGCAGCTCCAGTGGGACCACAGCATCCCCAGGCAGGAGCCAGAACCCTGCCAGGGCTGTGGGCATGTGGCCAAGTTGTGGGGAGATGGGCTCCCTGTATGTCCTCCTTGAGCCCCATTCCAGACTCCATTTGTGTTTATCTCATATCATCATCTCCATTTCCTCTCAACAGAGCCTCCACATCTCCCGTGCATGTGCATCTTGCCAGAGCCCTGCACTGTCCTCAGTGAACAATTTAAACAGATTGTCTCCACCCTCCGTGCACTGCTGGTGCCGAAGGGCAGGACAGGTTTCAGGTGCCCAGTGGAATCTGTAGAGCTTTTGACACCTTGTAGGTATCTTTAAACCTAAAAGAACGATAGCAACATGGTCATTGGTACTTTGCCCTGGGGTCACTTCAGTTCAAAATAGGAGAGTGATGGCAATGGACAGAGTTAGGCATTCGGCTTCATGTAGGGATGGGGAGAGAAGCCATTCTTGGCAGGAGGAATGCATGGAAGTGCAGGTGACAGAGCACCATTATACAACTTTCATTAGGGAGAACAGAGCAGGAGGAGGGAGGGCAGCTTCACACCAGAAGGCAGAAAGCCCCTCCCCGCCCCACCAAGAAGAAGTTCTTTATTCTACTTTCTCATCCTCATCTGAAAGTATTGCTTAATAAAGGCCAGCCTTCACAGGGCTCACCCCTCAGTGTTACCTTCTAAAGCCCCACCTAGATGTTTCCTCTTTCAGCCAGGGAGGATCACATTCATAGCAGCACCAGGGCTGGGTGGGCACTTTAGGTCTTTGTGTTGAAAATGAGGATGATGCCAATGCCGACCCAAGCCCATCACTAGGTGAGGTGAGTTTTGAGCCACATCTTGCTCAGACAGCTAGGGGTGACCAAGAGGGAAGAGCAGGCAGCTGGTGAGCAAAAGCATGCTGATACTGTGCTGGATTTTCCCAGATCCTCAGAATAGTTACCTTTGACCAGGGAGGAGCATCTCCGATGGATGTGCAATTCCCCATTACCCCTCTCCAGTGAGCAGCTTTGCCTGGCTGCAGCCATGAGCCTTGGGGGCACCTGACTCCAAAAACAGATGTGAGTTGAGGTTGTAAGCCTTCAGTCCAAGACCCCTGCAGGGGAGGAGGTAACATCACCAGTGGACCTATAAAAAGTGCAGATACCTCAGATTCCTGAGCCTCACCTTAAACCCTCAGGGTGCATGTATTTCCTGTTTCAGGTAGGCATGGTTCTTTGGGGTTTATGCCTAGGAGTGGAGTTCTGCTCATGGGATAGGTACATCTTCATCTTCACTAGTAATGTAAAATTGTTGACGTCCTGCTAGCGGTGTGTGTGGAGCTCTTGTTCCACATTTTCACCAGTACTTGCTCCTAACAGACTGAAAATTCTGCCAGTAGCATCACTTTATGTTGGAATTGCAATATAGAAATGGAGGATGACAGTTCATGATGGGTGTTGTGTTGTTTAGGTTGAAAATGAGTGAGAGTTTTGTCACCTGGCCTAGCAGGAAAGTAAAAATGCTCTGGTACCAAAGAAAAAATTATTTGTTTATTTGTTTTTTTATGGGAAAATAGTCAAAATTAAGGAAAATTTGAGGCCATTAGTGATATTGTGAAGTGTATATTTGGTCACTGTTTTCTGGCAAACAGCTCCTAAAATCCTTGGAATCTCCAAAGTAGTAAACGTCTAGAGGATGGGGACTGGTCATGGGAAAGAGAGGATTAGAGGGTTGGGACTTTGAGCCTTATCTCCCAGTCTTTGGGGAGAGAAAAGGGGACTGAAGGTTAAGTTGATCACCAGTGGCCAGTGATTTAATCAATCATGCTTATGTAATGAGGCCTCCATAAAAAGTCAAGAGGACAGAGTTTGGAGAGCTTCTAGATAGCTGAACATGTGCAGGTTCCTGGAGGGTGGCAGGGCACAGAAGCCGTGGACGCTCCACGCCCTTTCCTTCATACCTCACCCTGTGTATCTCTTCATCTGTATCCTTTAAAACATCCTTTATAATGAAGTAGTAAACATAACTGTTTCCCTGGGTTCTGTGAGCTGCTGTAGCAAATGAGTCAAACCCAAGGAGGGGGTTGTGGAGATCCCGATTTATAGCCGGTGGGTTAGAAGCACATACCACAACCTGGGGCCTGTGACTCATGTCTTAAGTGGGGAGCAGTTTTGTGAAACTAAGCCCTCAACCTGTAGGATCTGACACTATCTCTAGGTAGATATTGGCACCAAATTGAATTGAACTGGAGAACAGCCAGCTGTGTCCACTGCAAAATTGCTTGCTTGCTTGCTTGATATGTGGGGAAACAAAACCCACACATCTGGTGTCAGAAGCATGTTGTAAGAGTAGAGGAGAAACTAAGTTTGTTTATTCCTCTGTCCACACCATTATTTTAAAGAGTCGAGTGTTTGAGGCACAAAACAAATAGTGACAAGAATGGATGATTAACCAGCAACCATGTTAGAACAGAAACAGATTTCAAACAGTTGAGATAGTTAAGAAAAACAAAGTTAGGGAACAGTTTAGTGGGTTTGGAAAAGTAGAAATGGTATAAATAATCAGTCTCTTCTATAAGAGTTATGCAGATCCACTAATTGTTAGCAGTATTTTTATTTTAGCAGTGAACCTATATAGAAAATACAAGTCTTAAGAGAGAAGCAAGATGGCTAGAAAATGATGAAGGGACTTAGAGGGGAGTGCATTTAGTGCGTCCAGATTAAGGAATAAACCTGGTGGAACGGTGAATACTCAGAATGTGTAGGCTGGTTGTACACAGGACCATTTTGTTTCACTTGGGCTGGAAATCAGCATGTCGAGTCAGCTTTTGTCACAAAGAATTATGGCAGAGCTGTTTCCTGGGCTTATTTCATGTGTGTACCATCATTACTTGCTGGGTCAGTTTGGGTTGTATTGAGCCAGAACTGGGGCAGGGCATGAAGCCACCCTTGGGCCATCATTACCTGGAATCTTCTAAGGCAGCTCCATCGGAGCTCTCAGGGACAGGCCAGTTCTGCTTAGTGCTGGGACAAAGTGCTTCTGCCAGAGCTGCCGATTGATGACTCTTGCTGGTGGATGAGCAAGAGTTTACATCCTCTGACTGTTCTAAGCCTGTATATGTGAGTAGAGCTGTCATTGCTGAAAAAATAAGCTGCCTTCTAGCCCAAAGAATGTGTTAATATTATATTTTTTATGCAAAACTGAAGTGTAACTGCCACTTCTGCATCATGATAAAGACATTCGTATTTGACTTGACAGAGCAAACCCCTCCACAGCTGGAGGAGAACAGTGGTGATCCCCTGTGACCTCACATTCATCTGCACCTCTAACCCTAGCCACTCCTTCAGGATCCTCTTGTGACACCGGTCTGTTGTTGGATTCTACTTGTTACATGCCCTTTTCAGTGGGCATTCCTGTCTTTCTTCTGATGACCTGCATTGCAGATGTCTATCTGTGGTGTTACCTGTCCTCATCATGTTTAGGCAGCCACTTACACAACTGTGCAAGCCTATTTCTCACTCCTACCAGCCCCAAAAGATATGAAGTGTTTTGTGTGCCAGGGCTCTCAGATAATGTCACTTATATAGTTCCAAAGTAGATCACCTCTGCAGCCATTTATGGTTTCAGATCTTTATTCTCACATGTAACAAAAGCTACGGCTTTGCCACAGTTGGGGATGATTTGTGAGGTATGAATTATGAATAGACAGGTAGCTAGAATGGATAGAGTCATTGGTCCACTTAGGAAGTCATAGCTTACTTAGATACCTCCCTGTCCAGCCACTTGCATGCAGTCTCTTTCTACCCTTGCCTTCTTGATCTGGCACCCCCCCATGCTTCTCTTTTCTCCCCAGCTTCAGTATGTGTCTATCAAGACCCAGTTTCACTCCTGCTTAATACTGGATAAGTATCAGTTGTATAATGTGCAAATGCTTTTGCTTATAGGTCTCAGATTTAGCCAGATCTGGGTTAAAATGCAGTTAAACCTAGCACTGAGGCCTTAGGCAAATAACTTTACCTCCCTTCATTGATGATGATGATAATACCCAGCACAGGATGTTGATGGATCAAAGGTCATTTGCATATTGCACCTAGGAAAGCTTTAGGCACCATAGTGAGGGCTCAGTAGAATGGACTCATAGTTGTTTAAGATTTGGCTTCTGACTGCTTCTCAAGCTCAGCCACTTACCCAGCTACACATTTCAATCCCATTAAACTATAAGCTCCTTTTGAGCAGGGAGCCTGTCTTCTTCAGCCTTAGCACCCAAAGCCTCGAAATATGCTTGGCACATATTTGAATGCTCCATAAATATGGCCATAAATCAAATAAGCCGTAAGAACACTTACGGTTCTTTGAGGGTATCATGGTGTTCCACACCTCTGTGCCCTCAGATATGCTATTCCCTTGCCTGCAGTGCCCATCTCCTCCCTGCCTGGGCTAATATCCAGTCACTTTCTCAATTGCTGACCTGGATGAATTAGAACTCCCTCTGTGTCCCCTCTCCAACCTGAGTCCCTCGATTTACTTGTCTGTCTCCCTCTTAAGTATATATTAGCTCCCTGAGGACAGAGGCCATGTGTACTTGACTTTATACCGGCAGCCCTTAGCACAGTGCCTGTCACATAAAGGGGATCAAAATATGCTTGTTGAATAAAGGCTAGAGCTGGGGCTGAATATAAATAAAAGGGTATGTGCAGAGAAACAAAAATGCAAAGGAAATGAAACAGTTGAAAACTGGTGATTTGTTACTATGGTGATTTCGGAGTAACTTTTGTTTGGGGTAGGGGGGGTCGTTTCTTCATTCTTGTTATTGTTTTCTTCTAACTTCATCTCCAGCAGCTCAGAAGGAGAACAGCTGTACCTAGCAACCCTGTAGGGTAGAGCCAGAGAGAAGTGGAGCCTCCCTGTGATGAGGGAGGAGGGTCAAGACCACAGCATGTCATGAATGCCAGAGTTGGTTGAGCCAGATCATAAGTTGTTCTTCATTTTAGCAACAAAGGAAAGTGGAGGACATAGGTCTTCTGAAAACTGTAGTAAGAAAGAGTACTTTAAACCATAGGGCAAAAAATTAAATAAAAACTGTAGGACACAGCAATGCCTAGCTCTTCTCACATCATTAAAACTCTCATAATGTACCTTCTCAAGGCTCTGGCACAGCAGGGGTCATCTGAGCATTTAGAGCCAAACCTGAGCACTTGGTCAGGTCATTCCATGAGTCCTCATAATTCCTGAGGTTCAGCTGAGGGCCAAGAGCTGCCTGTCTGTCTGTGGACTCAGTGGTTCTGCTCAATGTGTGCAAAAGGTCTTTGGGCTCCTTCAGCATTGGTGTGAACCCTGGAGGGCTCCTTGTTGAAGCTCACATTTTTTTGTTTGTTTGTTTGTTTGTTTTTTGTTTGTTTGAGACAGGGTCTCACTCTGTCACCCAGGCTGGAGTGTAGTAGCACGAACATGGCTCATTGCAACTTCAATATCCCGGGCTCAAGTGATCCTCCCGCCCCAGCCCCCCAAGTAACTGAGACTACAGGCACATACCACCATGCCTGGCTAATGTTTGTATATTTGTAGAGATGGGGTTTCTCCATGTTGCCCAGGCTGGTCTCCAATTCCTGGCTTCAAGTATTCCGCCCACCTCAGCCTCCCAAAGTGCTGGGATTACAGGCATGAGCCACCGTGCCTGGCTTGGAAGCCCACTTTGCTCCACTGATGAGGGAACTGGACTTCAGAACTTCAGAGTGACACGCTTTGTGCCACGGGGCTACTCAGCAGCCTGGTTCCAGGCTAATGCACTGATGAGGAAACTGGGCTCCAGAACTTCAGAGTGACACGCTCTGTACCACAGGGCTACTCAGCAACCTGGTTCTGGGCTAATGCACTGATGAGGAAACTGGGCTCCAGAACTTCAGAGTGATACGCTCTGTGCCACAGGGCTACTCAGCATCCTGGTTCTGGGCTAATGCACTGCTTACAGACCTTCTCTAAAACAGAAGACTTAATTCCAGACTAAGATGTCCCGGAGACTTGGGAACAAATGCTAAGCTGGACTTAGAAAATGGCTAGGAGCAGAGCACGCTTCTCAAAAAACAGCATGGTGTAGTAGGTAGAAGATGCAAGCGTATTAGATCTAGATTCATGTCCAGGTCCCACGGCCTGAGTAACTCTGGGAAAGTTACTCCAATTCTGTGGGCCCAAGGTTCCTTGACTGTAAAATATACTTGTAAGGTTGCTCTGAGGATTAAATGAGATAGCATATGTAAAAGGTCAAGCAGAAAATAAGTTCTCAAAAAGTGGTAGGCATTGTTATTGTTACTGTTGTTGTTATCCTACTAACTTGCCTTAATTCAAGTTTAACTGTTTGTGTCAAAGGTAATCAGAAGTTCTTATTGGTTCTCGGGAGTGGGGAGACACGTGGCCCACACAGCCACCCTTTGACCTCTGTATTAGATTCACTTCCTCCGTGTGTTGCTGCAGACTCCCTGTTATAACAAAGATCCCACTGCATGCCCTCCCCCATCTCCTCCCAAAGAAGCAGTGGCCCACACAAGATCAATATTCATGCCTCTCGTGTTGGGGTCAGTGGTGGGTGCTTTCGGGTAGACGAGCAGCTGTGCTCCGTGAAGCTGTCCGGGGCCCAGGTTCCTTCCATCCTGTGGTCCTGCTGTTCCCTGTTGGGTTGCCATTGTCTGTCTGTTGAAGCCAGTTCACCAGCACCACACCCACTTCCCAGCCCACAGGAAGCAGGAAGGAAAGTGGAGGACGACCAGCTCCCTTTTGAAGGATTCAGGAGTTGAATATATTATACCCAGTCACAAGGAGTTGACTAGAATTAAGTGATCTGGCCACACCTAGCTGCAAGAGAGTCTGAGAATGCAGTCTTCAGCTGCAAAGCCAGAGGCTCACTAAAGCTATTATGATGGAGGAGGGTGGGGTGGATTTGGTGGGACAGCGAGGGGATAGCAGGCAGCCTGCACACCCTTCACCTGCCTTCACCCGCCTTCACCCTCCACCGCTCGCTTACTTTCAGTGACGTGGATTTGGGCTGCAAGATTGCCAAGGCCGTGTCCCTTTAGACCCAGGGCAACCCTGCCTGATACCAGAATCCTGCAAGCACCTAGGAAAAAGGGAAGATTAACTGCTGTGCCATTTTTAAGGAGTGAACTTAAGGTTTAATCACTCTGTAGGACAACAGTATAAAAAAACATTGTATTCTCTACCTCATTCATAGGCCAAGTGAAAAGTCACTATTAAATTGCTTCACCATAACTTTTACAAGCAGTAGTGTTCGCAGAATGTATGCTGGTATGTAAACCCAGTGTTACCTTTTTTGGATTTGTTAAGAAAAATCTGACTGGGTTTCCATCAGGTGTTAAGTAGGTCATCCACAAGTGGTCTAGCCCATGTAGCACATGTTCCTCCCACACAGAGTGGCCACAGCTTGTCATCCCAAATACTGTTTTTTGTGTGCTGCTGGGGAAAGCATCACTACCTTCTGGTGGTTCCACATTCTCTTCCTCTTACTGATGTTCCTCCTTTAATTTCCTCTGTGTCTCTCTTGGCACTCAATTTGCATTCATAAATGCAGACCTCTAGTGAAAACTTTACTGAGACACGCACGACATATTCAACCACCCTGGGCTCACCCAGGGTGAGGAAACCAACATCAGGGAAGGCAGAGACCATCCTCCTTTCCTTCAGGCAATAAAGTGTAGGAGGAGGCTGGCTGGAGTCTGCCTCTCTGCTCCTTTTGTTCCCGTCCTCCTGAGCCATTCTGTCCCCATAGAGGCCGTGGAATTAGATAGACTATGCTTTCTGACTGGCTACTTTATCTGCATTCACACCAAAACAGCTGCAAGAAGCTTTGAAATTCTACACCACGGCAGGGGATGCAAAAGTTATCCCTGCTGTTGTTGCTGATTTCTGGCAGCCTGAATAAAGTGCCAACACAAAGACCCAGGGGCCGGGGGACTGGGCTTCATGTTATTCTTCAAAGGAAAGACACCAGCCTCTGCCCCAAAAACACAGTGCAAGTGGCCTCACAGCCAAATTCTCAGGCTGGTAGATTTAGATTGGGCTGTGACTTCATAACCAGATAAATGATCAGCGAAAATGGGAGACATGGAGACCACAAGCACCGTGCTATCAGCTCAAAGGCAAAAGAAGTCAAATCTCCTTCTTCAAAGTCCTTTCTGTGTCTTTAAAGGAATTGGATCTTCTTGACTGGAACTAGTGAATTAAAGAAAGAGAAAAAGAATGCACTGTTTTTGAAAGGATGAGGCCACATTTGCAGAATCATCTGGCGAGGAACCTCTATAGAGACTGGGAAGATTGGCAGGGCGGGTTTTGTTCGGCCTTGGAGAGTGAACCTCCTCGGCTTTCATTCTCAGCGGTCCTCGTACTTGGGGAGGGGGCATTGATGACGCCTATTCAAACAGCCGCTTTGTGCTAATGTGTTTTCTTGTGGCTCTGCCAGGTGACACCCTGACCCTTGGGCCCTCGGCCAGTTCTGCCACCACTGTTCCTTAAACAGGCGCAGCCCAGAAAGCTAGGCTCTGCCACTGTGGCCCAGATGTGACACTGACCTTCCTGTTTCTCTTTGCTGGTCATGAATAGAAGCCCACGTTTTTGTTTTTCTTTTCTCTTTTTCTCTGGTTGATTGTTTTTATAGAATGAGGGTAAGGAGGGTAGGAAGATACTTGATTGGATATCAACATCAGGAAGAAACATCTCTTCTGTGCCTAGTGTTTCTGAAAATTTTCAGGTCACATGAACCAGTGTTGCCTACTGTTCTGTGCCCTGCTTGGATTGCCCCAGGTTCTAGGGGCAGTGGCTCAAAGTCAAAGCATTAAAATGCCCAGCTCAGTGTCCCAACAGGAAAGGGTGAAGGCAACAAGAGCGAGGGCAGGCCCCCTTCCCTCTCCCACCAATTGGCATCCAAAGAACAAAAGTGCTTTGTTTCATCCTCTCCACCTTCCTAGAGCCAAGCCCATGCGTGGTCTTCATGACCTCACTCACAGAGAGCTCCTACAGACACCTCAGGAATCAGATTGCCTTGGTTAGGTGCCAAGGTAGACTTGAGTGAGTACCGTCATTCTGAATTTAGTGGGTGTCCCCAAGTACCTAGGATGTGTGGCCCAAAGGGTCTCAAAACCCCACTAATCCAGCCACCCTGCTTTTGGTTCGGTTATCCCAGATTCCACACTTGTCCCCTACAGGATCCTCTGCATGTGGCTTTGCCTTTTTCGTGCCCTTAATTAGATATCTATGGCTGTTCATTGCTGTGCACTCACCGCCCACTCCCAGCACTGCGCCTCACTGCTTACTTTCCAGCACAGATTAGTTAAGAGCACACGCTCAGCAGGCTCACTGTCCATTGGTACCTTTCACCCTTCACACCTTCTAGAAGGAGTTGCCTCTCAACAGGCTTTGGAATCAGTCAGTCTCTCCCTCTTAATTTTTCAGTTGACAAAGTATACTTCATCAATGTGTAGTTGTTTCAACTTACATACAAATTCAATCAGTAACTGATAATATTAAAGGGAACTTTCTTATAGAAAAATAAAGGTGATTTATTCTCATTATAAAAAAAGTACATTCTTGGTATAGACAAATCTGAGAAAAAAGACACAGAGAGCAAAGAAAGAACAGTTGCCCATAGTGTTATCATCTGCACACCACCATAATCTCAGCATGTTTCCTTCCAAAGAGTTTTCTAGGCATTTGTTATATAGTTGCAATCATGTGATCCTTCCTAATATAACATGAACATCTTTCCATATTGCTGATAATTTCAGTAAATGTAAGTTTTAATTTCTGCTTAACTTGTCTTTATGGGCATACCTTACAATTTACTTTAGCCATTGCCCTCATGCTAAACAACTAACAAGTTTTCTAATTTTTCAAATGATAAATAATACTTCATAGAACCTCTTCATGTCATTTTTTTAAAAGGCGTGTCTTTAGCACACATTTACAGGTTAAAGGACATGCCACCCCCGACCCCCTTTTTTTTTTTTTTTGAGGCAGTCTCACTCTGTCACCCAGGCTGGAGTGCAGTGGCGCCATCTCAGCTCACTGCAAACCTCTGCTTTCCTGGTTCAAGCGATTCTCATGCCTCAGCCACTCGAGTAGCTAGGTTTACAGGTGCCTGCCACCACACCCATCTAATTTTTGTATTTTTAGTAGAGTTGGGGTTTCACTATGTTGGCTAGGCTGGTCTTGAACTCCTGGCCTCAAGTGATCCACCCACTTCAGCCTCCCAAAGTGCTGGAATTACAGGTGTGAACCACCACACCTGGCCGAGTATGCCCATTTTTAAGAATTTTTTATATTGCCAAATTGGTTTACCAAATGGTTTTACACTGATTTCTGGTCTTCTATCAGCAATGTAAGAGAGTCATATTCATTTCAAGGAAACTTCATCACTATTGAGTATACTTATTTTTTTAATGTGTGAATTTAGAAGTGATACATAGTATCTCACTAATCTAAATTGTATTTCTCTGATTACTACCAAAGGCAATATTCTCCCATATGTTTCACAAATTGTTTTTCCTTTTTTTGTTGCCAATATATGTTTCTGTTTCCTAAACTTAGAGTTTCTCTTATCTGTATAAATTTCTTATATATTGAAATATTAATCTAAGAGAGTTGAAAACATATCTCCACAGAAAAACTTGAGCATGAATGTTTGTTGCAGTATTATTCATAAGAGCCAAAACGTAAAAACCCAAATGTCCATCAGTTGATGAATAGATAAACAACATCTGGTATATCCATACAGTAGAATATCTTTTAGCCATAAAAAGGAATGAAGTACTAATACATGTTACATGAATGAACCTGGAGAACATTATACCAAGCAAAGGAAGCCAATCACAAAAGACCACATATGATGTGACTCTGTTGATATGAAATGTCAAGAATAGGCAAATCCATAGAGACAGAAATTAGATTCGTGGTTGCCAGGGGCTGGGGAGAGAAGGGAGTGGGTAGCGATTGCTTAATGGGCATGGGTTTCTTTCTGGAGCAATGAAAATGTTCTGGAATTAGATAATGGAAATGGTCTCCTTTGTAAATGTACTAAAAACCATTGGACTGTGTGCTTCAAGAGGGTGAATTTTATGGTATATGAATTATATCTCACTTTAAATGAAATTTTAAAAATATTAACTACAAGGGGCTTTTCTATGGTCCAAAAAGGCTTGCGGGCAGGGGGTGGAGCCTGAAAAAACTTTACAACCTGTGCTCTAATTCTTTCTGAAACCTTTGGCATAGATGGGGTTAAAACATATCATCCTTGTTTTCATCACCATTTCACTCTTGTCTTAACCCTGAGATCCAGAGCAAAATGAATTTAAGAAGAAAATGTTCTTACTCTTTTCTTGGAGCCTTTCCATGGTTTGGTGTTAAAGCCTCATTTGGCCATTTAGGTTTGGGACTGGTTCCAGCATTCAGTTGACTGCAGTCTTAAATCTCACCACTGGGGTCTGATGCTTCCATTTCTCTTTTATTGAGCGCTTTTGAGTCTTCGGGCTCGAGAAATGGAAGGCTATGCAGAAAGGAAAGAACATGTTTGTTGCAGGGATGTGAGCAGCTGCCTCTTAGCCTGGGGGCCATTTGAACAAGAAAAGCCAGAGATGGGGACCCACAAAAATATTCTAGGTGCCAGCAGTATGGCTTATTCTTAAAGTAACATGACATTTTTAAGAGTGATTTATATTACTTTGGTTCCCTTGCTGTGCGGTATGAGAGAAGGTTGATCCTCTTCCCCCTCCAGAGAACCTTTGCAAAGTCATGCGTAAATGATCGAATGGGTTCAACTCCACTTATTTCTGAAGCAAAGCTTGGGTTTGATTTTTAAGTAGGCTCTGTTCTCCCATGATTGCATGTGGCTAGTGTCTGCATTGTGTATATTCCCACTTTTACATCTATCTTCTCACCTCAGAGACTGTAATATTTTAATACTTGCATTTGGCGAGGGGCTCTCCCTCACAGGCTTCACCAAGAGTAGAAAGCTGTTATTTTGTGCTTGGTGGAGGCATTATATGTGTATCTCAGTTTATGCAGTAAATATGTTCCAGAAAGTTTTGCCTGTAAAGCAAATCATATTTTAAGTGCAATAGGAAAGCTGATTTTTATACCAAGGAAACCAGTGCCAACTCCTTCATGGTACTTATGAATACCCTTGCCATGACTAGGAAAGATGAGGAAATTAAGGGCTGCTTCAGTGTCATCGGCCCAAATAGTCATTAATATGCCAAACCGCACGAAGGAAGATGGTGACTCACTGCACCTAGTATGGTCCAGCATCTCTACAGAATCCACTGTCTTGGGGGAATGGAATGTGCATTGGGGATGGAGGTGAGACCTAGTCCCTGAAATCAGTGCCTCCGTTAGTAATGTATACTAGTCCATTCTCACACTGCTGTGAAGAAATACCTGAGACCGGGTAATTTATAAAGGAAAGAGGTTTAATTGACTTGCAGTTCCGCATTGCTGGGAAGGCCTCAGGAAGCTTACAATTATGGCAGAAGGCAAAGGAGAAGCAGGCACCTTCTTCACAGGGCGGCAGGACGGAGTAAGTGCAAGCAGTGGAAATGCCAGATGCTTATAAAACCAACCATCAGATCTCATGAGAACTCACTCACTATCACGAGAACAGCATGAGGGAACTGCCCCCATAATTCGATTACCTCCACCTGGTCCTGCCCTTGACACATGGAGATTATAGGGATTACAATTTGAGGTGAGATTTGGCTGGGGACACAACCAAACCATATCATAATGTGTGAGATATTGAGCTCTGTGGAACCAATTCTTCCCTATAGGATTTTTCCCTCAACACCTCCAGCCCTCACACCCACACCCTTGCATGGACTGGCCAGGATTCCATGGTCAGGAAATAGCTCTAGTATAGAGACTCTGTGTGTTGGCCATGGAATCAGGCTATCTGGTTTCAAATCCCATCTCTATGACTGACATAGCTGTGGACAAATTCCCCAACCCCTCTTTTCCTCCCTTGTAAAGTGTGGGGAAATAGTAATACCTGTGTTTTAGAGTTGTTACTAGATTTTAATGGGACAGCATTTTGCAGAGTCCAGCCTGCACCTAGGCTACAGGGAACACTGATTGGATATTGGTCATGACTGCTGAAATTGGAGCCATCATCCCCATGGTGCCCATCCCACCAAAACATGTATTAGTTTTCTGCTGCTGCCTAACAAAGTACTACAAACTTAGTAGCTTAAAACAACATCCATCTGTTAGCTCACATTTCTGTCAGTCACAAATCCAGGCACGGAGGGGATTCTCTGCTCAGCAAAGCCGAAATCAAATGTTAGCTGATTATGTTGTTGTTTGAAGGCTTGACTAGGGAGGAATCCATTTCCAGGTTCATTCAGGTTCTTGACCGAGCTGTTCTCAGCTCTGACCACCCATGTGTCTGGCCACATAGCCCCTTCATCTTTAAAGGCAGCTGTGGAGAATCTCCCCCACAATGAAGGCCTCTCTCACTTTTAATCTACTTTTCCAGGAACTGGCATACCGTTCACGGGTTCACCTGATTAGGTCAGGTCCACCCAGGATGATCTCTCAAAGTCGGCTGTGCCAAATAACAACCCGATGATGGAGTGACTACCCCATCATTCATAAATCCTAGGGATTTGCAGGGCACATACACCGGGAGTAGGAGTCCTGGGGGACAGCTCAGAATTCTCCCTACCACAATGTCATTTAGCAAGGCACATATTTTCACTCCCTCCAGTTGGCAGCAAAGAGAGGACTTTCCCACATTGGCAGAGTCCTGCATGCTTTTTTTCATAGCTGGGCTGGGGCCATTGGCTGAACCCAGCATCAGTGCTGAAAGTGTTTCATCCCTCAAGTATTAACATCTCCAGAGGGCCAACCCAGCAGTGACTTTTTCTCTGCTTCAGTACCTTGGGAAATGCTTGTGATCCCAAGAGTGGCCAGCATAGCCCTGCTTTCTGTCCAGCCTCCCCAGTCCTCCCTGGCCCTTCTGTCCCGTCTGTCCCCAGAAGGCAGCACTGCCTGCACTCTCTCATGGGGTGTCAGGATCATCTGATGCAGTATGCTACAGAGGAGAAAAGCCCCATTGTAAAGGATTGAAAGGTGCTGGGAAATTAGGAAATTTGGGTGACAGTTTCTGTGGCCCAACCTCATTGCTGCTGATGTGGTACTCAACTGTCTCTGAATGTCCTTCTGCTCCCAGTAATGACAGGGGAAAACTAAAGAAGGCTTTCCTAGGCTTTCAATGGATTAACTCTCTCCACTGAGAATGTAGCAAAAGTCCCCAAGTAGATTCTTATGGGTGTTTCTAATTTTGCGAGGATCAAGAGCCCTCTGCCATGAATCTTCTATCCTGAAGTCAAATAATTTCAGATGTGTCTCTGCCACATCTTATCCTTTTCCTAATGCTATTCCTGCTGACTGAAAAAGTGTGTTTGCTTGATAAGCTTCCAGTTTTTGCTTTTTTCCGAGAAAAGTGTGAAACCATGCAGTTGATCTGCAGTTCAGCTTTAAATTCTTTTTTCAACTGCCCCCATCTCAGTTGCTTGCATTTGGTTTCTAGGTTCTTAGTTCAGTTCCCTTCCTTGTTCTTATACTTCCATTATGATACCAGGAAACATGCCACCTCTAAGTACGGGCCAAATGTGGCTTTACCTGTCACTCTCCAAAGTCTGCTGGAGGCTGTCAGAAGCAGGGATTATGCCTAAGGGCTGTCACTTCTTCACACCCACCTAGGTTGGCTTCTGAGACAAAAGAGCATACACCCCTGAAATTAAAGTTATTTGTTGTCGGTTTCACTTCCTCTTCCTGCCATTCCTCCTCTGCCTGCAAGTGTATGTGTCTCAAGAGAAAGTAATTTGCTTGTGCAGAAGACTGCCAGTGGCCTTTTTCCCATTTTGGTACCTAGCTCCTGCACACACCTGAAATCTTATCACACGTCCTGCAAGCTTATAACTTGGGCTTACTGGCATTGCTTTATTGATTGGCACATGACGAAATATGAATGTGTCTGTGTTTAATGTGCATCTTGTAGACTGGACTGTGGTCTGTCTACATCAGGAGGAGGGAGTGTATGTTCAACCAGACTCATCTTGGATCGAAGCACCCTGTGCCTGTGGTAGTAAAGGATTGAATCTATCCTTTAGGTCAGTTTCCGTCAATCACTACAGGGCTATGTGGAGAAGCATATCTCCCATAGCATGGCAGCAGAAAGGGCTGTGATCTGTTGATAATGTCTGCCCTGCTTATGGGAGCAGGGTGCGGCGTTCCTTGAATCCTGTGTCCGGCAATTCTTCCCAGGTTGCTTAACACTATTGGCACATCTGTAAAGAACCACAGGACTAGGGAAATTTTAAATAGATCAAGTTTTATTTGCTTAGTAGAAAAAGGGCCCCTCCCTTTGCAAAAGGATTGGAGAATAGAGGCTTCACAGCTGTAATCCAGACACCTTGATCACAGGCACAGGATCCAATTGGTGAAAATGCCCTTCACCAGTTTTTCTAGGCATGATAACTTGCAGAAGACTATAGCCATGAGTTCATGGCATGTGGTATTTTCCTGATCAGAGTAACTCCAGGGCTCCACATTCACGATGGCATCATTCAGTGTTTCCCGGTGCCCCAGAGATCTATAGCAAGTGAATTAGTACATTCTATGTCACGATGCACTTACAGCATTGGACATTAAAGCCACAGCACATAACTCTGCATAATAAAGGATACTTTTATTTTAGCATGAATGATCAAAAGTTTGCCTTGTAGCAAGGAGCCTGGGCACACTGAATACAGCTCATGTAGCGTCTTCTGACTCTTCTGTCACGAAGCAGTTAGTCTGACTGCCCCACGGGGGAGAAAGAAGACCACAAGTTCCTACATAAATATTTTCATTGTGATTAACTTTTAATGACTTGAAACTGCATTTACTGATTTATTTTCACTTCTTCCTATGTGTCATTGAAGAGAAAAGAGTAAGCAAGATCTGTATAGAAACATTACTTAACTCAGAATGTCAAATGCGTGAAGTGGTGATGGTGCTGTCTCTTCTATAAAAGAGGATTGTTTTCTCCAAAATGATTTTGATTATTTTTAATTTATTTATTTAACTAATATTTATTGAGTGACTACTGTGTGCCAGGCACTGTTCTGGCCACGCAAGATGCAGCAGTTAAAAAAAAACAAAAATTCCTGCCTTCAAGGAGCTGATGATTTTTCTTCTCTATTACTTCATAAAATTATAGATAAGCTGCTAGTTGCTTATTATAGTATATTTCTTTTTTAAAGTGGATTTTGAAAGATTATTTTTTCTTAGTTTGGTTAAATGTAGGATCCTGTTTTCTTCAGGGTTCTTATATGGGGCTTATTTTGTTTTGCTGGAGTTGGAAGAGTGGTTTGCAATGAGTGTTCTCATTACTTCCAGGTTCTGTTTCTCTATCACAGTGCACAAGCTTCTAGAGAAAATCAGAGCACTTCATGTCACTCTTTAAAACTGCCTGCTTCTACCTAACATGCCTGTTCGCCTGAAGAAAGCATGATGGGTTGCATGTTAATCACATCCATGTAAGGGAAACAGCTGTTAAACTGCTTCAAAGATGTAGATATAAATTCTTTCCTTCGTGTAAATCAGGATTTCTTGACCTTGACACTATTAACATTTGGGGCCAGGTAACTCTTGTTTGTAGGAGGCTGTCCTGTGCATTGCAGGAAGTTTTAGCAGCATTCTTGGCCTCTACCCAGTAGGTATCAGGAGTATCCCTCCCCTCTGAGTGTGACAACCCAAAATGTCTCCAGACATTGCCCAATATGTCTCTTGCAGGGGAGTGGTAAAGTTACCCCCAGCTGAGAACCACTGCTGTAAGTGATATGAGTCTGTGATTCAGGTCTCACATTCTCTAATTACAGTAGATCAGTGAAATTCATGGAAAAAAAGAAAAAACATCTGGGACAAGAAGTGTTTTCTGTCTGGTCTTTGCAGAAATGTGGAGCAACTTTCCACCACGAAAGAGTTAATATTATATGAGCAAGTTATCAGTCTGATGAAGCAACATCAACAACAAATGATGAAATTCCTTTAGTACATCATGCCTTGGAAATAGCTTGCATTTCCTATTGGAAACTTGTTAAAATCATATCCATTTACCATAAGTTACAAAGCATGTTGGGCACGGTATACTGTAAGTTAATCTCAAATGATTTAGGAGTAAATGTGTTCCAGATTTGGTGAGCTCAGCTCAAGCAGTAGGCGTCTCTTTTCCAAACATTTTCATTCTCAAGAACTGACATTCAATTCAATAAGTATTTATTGAAATGTGTAATATGAGAGAGCTTTAGAACAGTCTGATACTGCTCCCATCACCCAGTCCAGCAGAAAAGCAGTGCTCAGAAGAGTGCCCAGGGAGCACTCTTCTGATATGGCACCTCCTGCATTGGTTTGCAAGATAGTATAGAAAAGCATGCCTTCTCCTTTGCTGCCTCAAGCCCTTCCCATCCTGTGCCAGCTGTGCCCTCCCCAGTGAATAAATGTTATTACACATGATGGCATGTGTTTCTTATGTGATTCTTTGGTCCCAAATGGGCTAGTTTGCGGTTTTGGCAGGGACCTCCACTGGCCTGTTCTACCTGACCCCTGTTGGCTTGTTGGGGTATTGCAAGTCCAAAGGGGGACCATTTAACCAACTTGTATTTCTGAATCTTCTTCACTTCTCACACACATACCAGTAGATTTTAAAATGCAAGGTACACTGCTGATAAAAGTCACAGGAGGGGCCTGTCACGGTGGTTCACGCCTGTAATGCCAGTACTTTGGGAGGCCGAGGCGGGCGGATCACCTGAGGTCAGGAGTTCAAGACCAGCCTGACCAACATGGTGAAACCCCATCTCTACTAAAAATACAAAAAATTAGCTGGGTGTGGTGGCAGGCACCTGTAATCCCAGCTACTTGTGAGGCTGAGGCAGAGGTTGTAGTGAGCCAAGATCGCTCCACTGCACTCCAGCCTGGGCAACAGAGTGAGACTCCATCTCAAAGTCACAGGAGGGATCGGCTTTAATACAGAGAGGGTAAAAGAGAAACATAATAGGCTACAGAATCTTCACTCATCTGGTTGCTATTTATTGTTCCAGGCACTGGCAATGTAGCTGTGATGAAAACAGACAGGGTCCCGCTTTCCTGGAACTTGCAGTCCATTGGGCAATGAGACAAATAAACAGGCCCTGTTTTAATATGGCGCCAAGGGTGCCAGAAGGAGGGAGATGAGGATGCCATGGGAGCACTTCAGAAAGCACAACCCAGCCTGGAAGGGCAGGGCAGTCGGAGAACGCCTTGCAGAGGAAGCGGTGCCTTATTAACTAGGACATGGATACGTCACATATCAAAGAGGAAGGGGAAAAAGTGTTCAAGGTTATGTTCCAAGGCCCGAAGCGGGTGGGGGAATGGAGTCTTTGAGGATCTGAGAAGTTGGGCGTGTTTGAATAGGAGAGCCGAGACAGGAAGAGTGGGAAGTAAACAAGGAGGAGGAAATGAGGATGCTTCTCAGGATGCTGACTGGAGCAACTGGGACACTGGTGGTCCCATTTACTTAGATGAGGAGCCTGGGAGAAGAGGGTTTGAGGAGGGTGGGGTGGCAACAACTCGAGTTTTTAATCCGCCACTAACTCTGTAACATGGGAATGATTTTTTTTTAATGTTTTTGAAGGATGTCAAAAGCTAATGGAAATTTGAAAAGTTAATTAGCAGCTTTAAGTGATTTCATTACTGTAGACTATCATGACATCCTGCAAATATACTCTGACCTCTTAGGTTCTGCCGATTTTATTTTTCATCCAGTAACTAGTTCTTAGTTTTGATACTTAGCATCATCTTAGTGCTTAAAATTGACCAGTTTTGTGCCTGAAGATGTGGTACCCATGAGTGAAGCAGTCTAGTGACTTGATTGAAGGTTGTATTCTGGCTTATCCAACACTCCTGTGCCCTCTTCCTTAAATTTCCTGTGCCCTGATGGAAGTTTTTATTCTAATGTTGCATAGACTCATTCTACAGAGCATGTATTATTTTTTTTAGATGGCTAAAGGCAGAATTGGTAAATATGATTGGACCGTCTGTAGGCAGGTGTATGCTGTTACAGAATTTTACGAGATACAGGCCTTATTCGAGGAAAGTTGCTGCATGGTGAACATTGTGCTCCGTGATGATGCTGTCATCCAGAACATATGGGGAACAAATGCGATTGTGGGGTCAAGGAACTGAACTTCCTCCTAACCATCTCCCCAGCCACTGCCTTTCCTCATGCCCCCTAATAGGCCTGAAATAGCCAACAGTGAGCCTTGTCAATTACTCCTCGTTTACTGTAGAGCAACCCAGCAACTAGGGAGCATCCCAGCTTACGTGCCCCCTTTTTTGTCTTTGGCAGGAATTTAGATAATGGGCTGTGTGCAATGTAAGGATAAAGAAGCAACAAAACTGACGGAGGAGAGGGACGGCAGCCTGAACCAGAGCTCTGGGTACCGCTATGGCACAGACCCCACCCCTCAGCACTACCCCAGCTTCGGTGTGACCTCCATCCCCAACTACAACAACTTCCACGCAGCCGGGGGCCAAGGACTCACCGTCTTTGGAGGTGTGAACTCTTCGTCTCATACGGGGACCTTGCGTACGAGAGGAGGAACAGGTAAGCCCCCAAAGTCACAGAGTGCAGAGAGGGGGCAGCCACCCTTAAATCTTTTGGCAATTGAACATCTGGGTTCCCATCACTTCCCTTTGACTAGGGGTTTCACATGTAAGTTTCTAATCTGTCTCCTCTACTAGATGAGGGGTTGTAAGAAAAGCCAGAGTTTGATGTACAAACAAAATGCTTGGCTACAGGGTTGCAAGGTGCCCCAAGTTGCTGCTTTCTGAGGATTCTATATGGGTTAGTGAGCTACAACATTCTACTGAGGCACTGTAGGTCAATGACTCTCAGCCTCACCTGGCTGGTTGGCACAGAAGAACTAGGGCAGCCTTTTCAAAACACGGATGCCTGAGCCATGTCCCAGTCTTTTGAATTAGAGGCTCCAGGACTGGGTCTGGGTGTGTGTATTTTGAGTTCTCTAGATATTAATGTACTCCCTCTTCCCACTCACTTCTTCCTAATCCTCAGCCTGCCTTTCTTTTTTTTTTTTTTTTGGAAGTTTCCTTGTCTTTCATACCACAAGGCTATATTCTGCTGCCATGTGTATTTGCTGACTTAGCTAATACTTTGTAAAATATCTGGCGTACGTTCTCAGACATATGTTTTCCGAAATATTTGTAAGTTATGTCATGCATCCCTAGTCATCCAAATTTTCTCTGAGTATGTGAACCATGGTAACTAGATATTTCACATTATTTGTTCCAGAATTATTTTGTTTATTGCAAAAGTTTGAAAGAATGCAGCATCTCTCAGTTCATCTGGCAGCAGATGTCTTATATAAAAGTTTGAAAGAATCCAGTATCTCTCAGCCCATCTGGCAGCAGGTACCTTTTCACCTAGGGAGGAGGCACTACTAAGGCATTAGCAAGTTTTTTTTCCCTCTGCACCCAACACACATCACACATCAGTGTAGTTGTATCAAGGAGCCTGACCCTGAGCCTTTGGACATTATCTACTTCTCTTCTGCTAGCATAGCACACTCTGCCCAGTAGAAGAAGTATTTATGTTCACCCTCATGCTGTGGTGACTCTAGCTTTCCTTTTAACCCAGGCCTTGCATGGGTTGAATACGTGCTAAGTACCTTTACCCATCCTTCCCACCTTCCCAAAGGTGCCTGAAGAGACACAGACAGGCAGTCTAAGGCCATCTGTCTTCTGATGATGCAGGAGAAAAAAAGAGGCAAACACAACCCCCATCCTTGTGCCTACCGTGAGAAGCATAAGGGCTTTGCCAGCCCAGACTGTTAATTCTACTGACACAGCCATTGTCCTTGTTCATTCATTCACGAGTGCTGGATATGGACCCCTGGGTCTGCAGGTATCATTCATTAAAGTCACTAGAGAGGGCCACTTGTGTTGAGCATGTGGGTCTCCACCGTAGTCAGGAGGAGTCTTTGTTTAAGAGGCTACCTGATCCCTTATAAAATTTGAAAGTTAAAACACAGTACTCCCAAATGTTGGCAGATTTTTCTGCCTTGAGTTATTTGGTTTTAATATATATGCATGTCCTTTCTCCCAATACTGCCTTCAGTCCTGTAAGGCCAAGAACAACGTCTGTGTTTCTCTGTAACCTCCTTTGATTCTCCCCTCAGCTCCTGGAACATGGAACATAAAAGCCCTCAGTGAGAACTTGTCAGCTGATGCAAGGAGAGAGTGGGGTGCTGGTCTTCATGTGCCTTGCCTTCCACACAGTGGGGCTGGCTTGGCTTCATTTTTAAATTGTTTTTAAAGAAGGGAATCTGGTCATGGAGTGTTAAATAAGAATAGGCATGACCTTACGGGCACCCACATTTTTGTTTTAAGCCAATCTCTTTTCTTACCTTTCAAAGAAATCTAAGGAAAGAAGGAAAGTTGCCAAATGAGCCTAGCTTTGCATGGTCAGACCTCTGAATGCTAACTCTCCTGAGGAAAGTCCCACTTGGGATGGGGCAGAAAGACAAGCCCCACTCTTCTCTGTGGTCCTTGAATAGTGCCATGACACATTTCTTCCCTTGGAACTACCTACACAGCAAATTGGCAGCTTGGTAAAAAAGGTGGACTCTGGCCGGGTGCAGTAGCTCATGCCTGTAATCCCAGCACTTTGGAAGGCTGAGGTGGGTGGATCACTTGAGCGCAGGAGTTTGAGACCATCCTGGCCAACATGGCGAAACCCCGTCTCTACTAAAAAATACAAAAAATTAGCCAGGCGTGGTGGTGGGCGCCTGTAATCCCAGCTACTCGGGAGGCTGAGGCAGGAGAAGTGCTTAAACCCGGGAGGCGGAGGCTGCAGTGAGCCGAGATCACGCCATTGCACTCCAGCTTGGGCAACAAGAGTGAATCTCCATCTCAAAAGAAAAAAAAAAAAGTGGGCTCCCTGTCATTTCTGTAGGTCATAGCAGGCACTCTGAAGTGCAGAGAGACCAGAATGAAAAGGCAGACTGCAGGGAACTACTATTAGTTATCAACTGCTGTATAACAAATTGCCACAAAACTTAGCAGCTTAAAACAAAACACATTTAATTTCTTTTTTTTTTCAATTTCAGATGTTTTTTATTCAGAGGTTCTTAAAAGAAATAAAACAGAAAAGCTAACAGTCTGATCAAACATACAGCTCAAAAATGTCTTTTGACGTTTAACAACAAGTCCTAGGAAAGAAAACTACAGAGTTATCTTGAATGGGGTAAATAAGTTACCACTGGCAAGTCTGTGGCACTAGTAAAACAAAAATAAAAAATTAAATCTCGGCCAGGCGCAGTGGCTTACACCTGTAATCCCAGCACTTTGGGAGGCTGAGGCAGGCAGATCACGATGTCAGGAGTTCAAGACCAGCCTGCCCAACATGGTGAAACCCCGTCTCTACTAAAAATACAAAAAATTAGCTGGGCATGGTGGCAGGCACCTGTAATCTCAGCTACTCGGGAGGCTGAGGCAGGAGAATCACTTGAACCCGGGAGGCGGAGGTTGCAGTGAGCTGAGATTATGCCACTGCACTCCAGCCTGGGCGACAAGAGTGAAACTCCATCTCAAAAAAAAAAAAAAAAAATTAACTCTCTTGATCATATAGATATCTCTATATCTCTTTTTTTCAATCGGGTACAAAAGATCTTTCTTCATAATTTTTTTTATAATTTAATGGCTATCTACTATATGATGTTTAACTAATTTTTTTTTTAATATACAGAGGTTATGTTTCCCAAATCTTACCCAGACGAGTATGGCACTTAGTTAGACATTTCTGGCAACAGATTTCCCCTCCCCTCTAACCAAACTATCAAATTTCTGCCTTAACTAATGCAGAAGTATCAACTAGTGGGAGACCCAGGTTTATAACTGTACTAGGTACACAGAGGGTGCTGCGTTCAGCCTGGGCTTTCACAAAGCAGTAATATTCCAGGGAGCATAGAACCAGTGATACCGTGACTTTTAAAAAATAAAACAAAAACAAATTTATCTTATGACTATGTAATTTTCACTAGAATCTACACTTCTCAGAGCAGCCAGGACTTTGGAAACTATGAAATGTCACTGACATTTATCATCAAATACAAGCATAAAATGTAAGAACTAAAAAATACTCAAAAGAAATAACTGCTTAGCCCTAGCTTCTGAGCTAGGAGGATTTGGGCTGTGGAAACAGGGAGGGCCAGCAACCTGTCCCAGCACAAAAGAAAATAGACTCTGAGGTAGATAACTGATCATACACAGCTGACCAGACAAGTACACAGTTTTGGAAGGCAACTTAATTTACCATTGCTTTTAAGACATATGCAATTGCCTTAATAAAAGAGCTTTAATAACAGTGTATTATCTTATATGTACTAAAATAGAAATAACTGTGTATTTATGAATCAGGAATTTCATAGTTTCAAAACTGGTTTTCTTTACACTTGAACACTTGTAGTGATGACATAAAGTGTGGCACCGCTTGGATCCAAATCTTCCTTCATGCTTTTTTGTTTATGTGTGTCCATACATCAATTAAAATTATAAAACCTAAATTTACAGTTTCTGTGGGTCAGGAATCTGCGAATGGTCAGTTCGGTCCTTCAGAATCTCTCACAGGCTGTAATCAAGGTACGTTGGCTGGGCTATAGTCATCTCACAGTTTAGCTGAGAATGATCTGCTTCCAAACTCATGTAGTGCTGGCAGGATTCGGTGCCTCGCTGGCTGTTGGCCAGAGGCCACCCTCAGTTCTTGGTCACATGGGCCTCACCAGCATGGCGCCTTGCTTCATCAAAGTACACAAGCTGAAGTGGCAATAGAGAGAGTCTGCTAGAAAGACGGAAGTCACCATCTTTTGAAGCCTAGTCACTTAAGGGACTGCACATTCTGTTGAGTAGAAGCAAGTCGTTAGATCCAGCCCACACTCAAGGGGAGGGGCTTGCACGAGACTGAATACTAGGAGGCAGGAGTCACTGGGGACTATGCTAGAATTATGCCTGTTGGGTTGGGCACAGTAGGTCACACCTATAATCCCAGCACTTTGGGAGGCCAAGCCAGGGGGATCACTTGCACCCAGGAATTCGAGACCAGCCTGGGCAACATAGTGAGACCCCCGTCTCTATTTGAAAAAAAAAAAAGAATTATGCCTAATTATATGGAGGAAATCCTAGGCCAAATGACACTGGATATTCTCTGCTGCTGCTAGCAAACTTCTGTAAACCAGGAAGGGCCTCTCTAGAGAGCCAGATGAGAGGACATAGGGTGGGTGTGAGGAAGAGTGAGTGCTACAAGACAGTGTGAGGAGAGGTGAGTTCAAGGTAGGGGGAGGACAAGGGAGAGGGTTCCATTTTCAGCAGTGGGGCGAGCAGCACAAAACTGCAAAATGAACTGCAGATGCCAAGGGCAGTACATCCTCTAATTGGGGTGAATATTACAGAAACGGTCTTCTCTAAATTTCCCCAAGCTGCAGGAGGCATTTCCTATTACGTTCTATGTTACTGTTTTACCAGGAGAAAGGGTGGTGCATTTTACCCAGAAACTAACATAGGCTCCAAGTGGAGGAGAAGATACGACCAGCAAAGGATGTCAGTAACTGCTGCAGAGCCCTGCAAACCTGAACCCTGACGCTGACGCTGCCCTTTTGTTTGGGATGCAATTTTAATATTTCCCTGCTCCTCAGCCCTCATTAAAAGCTATTACAGAAAGAAGCCCTTCAGGTCTAGGTTTCTTTCAGATACAGTAAGGCTTCCCCTACAAAGACCAAGGCATAAACACAGCCCTGTGACTGTGGTTTTGACACGTTAATTACAACACTTCATCATGTTATTAGTGCTGGCTAGATGTAGATTGTGAGAATGAGATTTTAGTGAAGATTTAATTTCTTGGAATTAATTTCCCCTTGTGTAATAATCTCCCTTCTTGTGAATTTCGTTTCGGCAGGAGTGACACTCTTTGTGGCCCTTTATGACTATGAAGCACGGACAGAAGATGACCTGAGTTTTCACAAAGGAGAAAAATTTCAAATATTGAACAGCTCGTAAGTTTGGAGAGGGAGGAGAAGCATGTATACCTTTCAGGTTGGGAAGGGGTCTTGCATTTCTGGTCTGCATCTCTTCAGATGTCTGAAATGCTAAAAGAACATTTGCTAAATTCACTGGTTTACAACAATATACTTTGAGAAAAAGAAGAGTCAGTGACACAGTGCAGTATTTTATGGCACTGTGTGTCCAAGGAGATTTTTGGAGAGTACCAAAAATACTAGCACAGTCCATGTTTATTGGTTTTGGTTTAGGTTTAAAGGTTGTAAAATCACCAGCATCGCTCTCCACAGCCCTGAGTGTTTCTACAAACCTACAGTTTCAAGTGATTGGCACAAGCCTTGGCTACCCACGTTTCGTGCTCTCTGCCTTGAGATTTTCTTCACATTTCAGATGTTACACTAGCTAAGCCCTCACTTGAGGCTTGCAACAAGTTCTTTATTTTATAAACTGCTAAACATTTCTTTGGTGAAGCCTGTGGAGGCGTTTCCCTATAACAAAAATTTGGGAGTGACTGGAATCTTTTGGAGCTAGAAGAAGTGATTTTACCCACTCTTGAATGAATATGCTGCATGGTTGTTTAATGTTGGCCAGGAGGAACAACAGTTAAACAAGCAGTGGGGAGATTTCAAGAGTGAGGATCACTCACTTTTCAAATCCTACATTCAGTACCTCCATAAGAAGAGTAAACACGGGTCAGATTTTCTTAGGGTTTATAAATACTGCCTCTATTAGATTGAGGCAGTGTATGTGGATGAGGCCCTTCAGAAAAAAATCTAGGTTCTGAAGAAAGTGTGGGGGGGTGGGGTTCCACATCAGCAAGCCAGGCATCTCCAGCGTCCCTATGAGTGCTCCCGGTGGTTGGGAAAGAATGCCACCCAGGGGCTGAGGGGCACACCAGGAAGTTCTTCTATGCCACCAAGTCTGGTTGCTTCTCCTCTGCTCTCTGAGCAAATCAGATTCCATGTTGGCAGAAGGACTTGGAGCCAGGCTCCTCAGCTTTCCCAGAAGGATATGCCAGAGGGAGTAAGAGGCAGCCCTGGTCACACTGCACATCCCAGGAAAGAGGAGTGCTGATTGCCACAGGGACCTCCTTCAGGCCTGAAAACTGCCTCCTTGGAAAGCCCACCCTTTTCTTGAATGCCCCCTGGCTCACAGAACCATGCAGTGAGAATATGCCGCCTTTCAACAGCAAGAACTGAATACTGCCATAAAGGGCCAACGACTCTCTTCGAGACATCAGAAGGCACAGTCTACATAGCCACAGGGTTTTCAAACATATATTAGGATTGTCATCATTAACAAAGGTGTGGGGTGGTGTTTTTTTAACTTTTTGTTGGAACACATGCAGAAAAGTGCACGTATCAAAAGTGTACACAGTGATGTTGCACAACAGTGTGAACGTACTTACTGCCGCTCAACTGTACACTTAAAAATGATTAAAATGATAAATTTTATGTTGCCTATATTTTACCACAATTTTCAAAAAGTATACAGTTTGCTGAATTTTCACAAGCTGAACATGCCTGTGTGGCCACCAGCCAGGTCAAGAAGAGTGTTACCTGCCCCCCAGGAGTCCTCCTCCTGTAGCCACAGGAAGTTTTTAAAAAATAATAAACAGCTACCATTCATTGAAGGCTCCTGATGTACCAGCCATGAGCTAAGTTACAAACATTCTCATGCATTCTTCCACTACTGTCTGAGGTATGCATCGACGTCATCGTTTGATATCTGAGGAGCCAGAGGCCCAGATTAGGAAACTGCCCCAGAGCACAGAGCTGGCAGGTGGCAGAGCCCAGGGCGAGGTGCAGGGAGGCATCCTGAGAACAGTGTCAGGTTTGATCTGGGAAAGGCCCAGATACTTTATCAAAGGGGATGGGAACCTTCAAGTGACAGGAAGCTTTGGAGAGTTGACTGGGGCTGGGGAGGAGGGGATTGGGCTTTGATCTCTCTGGGTATACCTCCTTGCTGTTATTTTGCTGCTTGTTGGAGTCCATTAACTTTGAATTCTGAAATCCTCCGCCCCTTAGCCTCCCCTACATGCCAAGGTTGATTAGAAATTTCAAGACTATTTGTAAACTTTCAACTGCAAGAACCAAGGAATAGTAAGAGTGCAGACCCAGCTCTCAGGAGGCTTTGTCCACACTGCACGTGCGTCTGTGCATTACGCTGGAGGGCGTTGGAAAGTCAGTCCCTGCCAGTGTCAGTCCCATGGCTTCTTCCTTTGTTAATCTGGAAACGATCTGCAGTGTCACCAAATTGAAATTTTAGAGAAACACTTAAGGAGGATCCAATCCGTCTCAATCTCTATTTTGTGACTTCCATGCACGGCCTTTGATGTTTACGGAGTCCTTTGAGCCTCCAACCCTGTTCTTGTAGAGGAAAATATTACAAAGGTTCTCTTCCTCTTAATGTTCTTCCTTTCTGCCAATGGAATTCCATATCAGTGGAATTTTAAAATTCCCTTTCTCAAGGTTATAGAAAAGAAAAATAAGGTTTGTGTAACAAGACAATATCCTGAAGTCAAGGGTAATAACAGGGAAGAGAAAATCGTGAAGGAAAAACAAAGCAATAATACAGAAGCAGATGGCACACGGCTCCTCCCCTCCCCCATCCTCTCCCGCCTCTGGCTCTGGTCCTCAGAGGAGAGGGAGGAATGGGGCTCTGTTCTGCCAGGGCAGCTGCCACACCTCCTAGTGTGTGTCCTCCCACTCCCTTCCCTGGTGGAGCCCTGGTGGCGCTGGAGGCCACAGGGCTGGCTTTGTTAAAGTACAACATACACCGTGGGATGTGCATGTATGTATGTACCCAGAGGCGGTGTTCCTGCTACCCAGCAAGGGGCAAAGGTGCTTCATTGACCCGTTGTAAGTGCTCAGTGTCATGTATTAGGACATTATTAAATTTGAACCCCTTTTGCAAAGTATTTAAGTTCATCCATTTTATTCCTTGTTTTCACATTTCAAGACTAGTCGTTTACCATCTACGAACAGTGACTCTTTAAAATGTAATACATGTTTTACACAGAGTGGAGTATTGGTCACAGCTGAGGGTAGGTTTGTTGTTTTTTTTTTCCTATTGTGATAAAAAGAAATCCTGGTTTAGAGCCCCACCCAAGCATTTGATAAAATTGTTACCGACATAAAATGCTACACTACTGAGCAGATCAAGGCTGACTTCTGTTGGCAAATAACTACTCCCTGGCTCCAAGGCTCTAGGGCTCCCAGCTCCGGGGCCCACAAGCCTACGAGCAACTTTGGGGTTTGGGGGTAGACACTTTTCTTGGTGTGGGGTGTGGTGGGGGCACAGAATCTTTTAGCAAGTCTTTAAATCAGAGGAACAGAGACAGCTGTTATAAAACCTTAAAAGCCATTCTAAACCAGCGCCAGGCTTTAAATCATATATTTGAATTAGAGCAAGATAACAAAGAATATCTCACCAAGTGCAAACTGAAAAATCTGAACTATAAGAACCGTTTAAAGAAATACAGCTTTAACAATGCTAATTACCCACAGTAACTCAAGAAATAAAAGATAACATAGTAGAGATCCTATTTTCCTAAATCAACATGAATATAGAGTATATCTATTTATAGGTGAATTGGTGCTTCTAGTGTATCAAAAAGATGACTTAATTCACTCGCTCAACGGCTCTCAATGAATATTTTGAGTCTGTACCAGCCTCTCTAGGCTCAACATGTGAGGTTTACTACATAATAAACATTGAATCTTTGTCACTTTATGTCTCCTTTGATGAAGAAGATGACCCTAGAAAGCCTAGAAAAAGAGAAATCAAGGATTTTATCTTTCTCATGAGTAGCTGAAAACCCTTGTGAGATTAATAGGGTCAAGTGAGAAAATCATGAATTCCTGATTCATGACTTCAGAATGAGCTGATAATTGCATTCTGATCTGTGCTACACTATTTAGGTACCTAGACCAAAATGAGATAGTTAATGCTAGATTTGAATTGGAAATGACTTCATTAATGCCAGATCACCTGAATAAGGCTGGGCTTGTCCCAACCTGCAGCAAAATGTATTGGCTTCCCGCCCCTATTGACAGTCTCAGATACCCTAAAATTGATGCTAGCCATTTTTTTCTTAATTTAATTCAATTAGAACTAACTTGATGAAGGTTATCTTGCATTAAAAAACAATAAGCCTCTGCTACAAGCACTTAATTTTTTCCTCGCCATTTTGGAGCATTTCCCAGGCTGGGCGGGAGAGGGTGGAGGGGGAGGAGCTGGGTATTGTTATTTTTAATGATGAAATGTCTCCATCTAGTGGAACTTCAGAGCAGTAAACCTTGTCACTATATTAAAGTGAAGATTATGTCTCCAAAGCCATTTTCCTTAAACACATACAGTGTTTAAAGAAAAAAATAAACTTCCACATATGTTCTTAGATGATATCCTTACAACTGTATGTATTCCTTTTGGAAGGCATAGAAATGAGACCAGTACAAACTGTTAACATTTTTAATGTCATGATTTGAACCTCAAAGAGAGGGGTGCTTACAATAGGGGAGCAGCACAGTGCAGATCCCACCCAGTTGGTAACGATCTAGCTCTTAAGTTGGGCAGTGGGTTCACGGGGTTCATATATACTGTACCTATATTCTTCAGTATGTATAAATATTTCCTAACAAAGATCTAGACATGAACTAAATTTAAGATTATGAATAAATCTAGACATGAACTAAATTTTATGAATAAAGAACTTTCTGAATATGAGTACTGTACTTTTGCTGGATTTGTAATAGGGTAAAAAGGAGAGATTAGGAAACTAAATTAAAGCATAAGGTTTTAAAAACCTTTGCTGGCACCTTGGTTTTTTTTGTGGGCTATTCTGTTACTTATGCCACCAAACATTTTCCCACAGCAGCACCCCCAGCACATGCTGGCTGGTCACCTTTGTTCTGTTGCTCTATTAAATCCTATCTGGAGGCGTTGCTCACTGCTCACCTTGCTCAGAGAGTCCAGCTTTAGAGAGCGGCCTCTGGAGTAATGCTTGAGTTTAATGTGGAGGCTGATTATTCTCTACCTGATTAAATCTGTCTGGGGAGCATCTTTACCATGGCCAGAAGCTAACACATTTTTTTTTTCCCCTGGCTGAAAGCTTTGACACAGAACTCAGCCAAAAGAACGATTTTTTTTTAAAATGCCTGAAGTTTTGCTTGCTGCCTCCAAGGACCAAAAAAGGAGGAAAAGAAGGTCCTGAGCCCCAGGAGATCAGATTTGCTGGGAGGTCTGATTTGCTTGAGGGCAATCATGTCGTTGACTGCAGGCTGGTGGAAGGTTCTGCAGATACTCAGTGGATGTCAGAGCCGCAGCGCCACATCCATGGCCTCCCCGATGTTAATGGGAAGAGGTACACACTCCATTCCTGCTCTTCATCACAGGTAGCCCTGTTTGAATCTAAGCAGATGAATTTGAACTGCTTAATGTACTCACTGGCTTTAAGATGAGAGTAGCTACAAGATCCCCTTTCACCTCCTCTGAGAGCTCCCCAGATTGATACCACACTGCTGTGCTGTGGCATGGAGCCTAAGGCAGTACAAAGTGGCGTGACTAAAAATCTCACTCCCTTGCCGAGTTTCTGTGCTTCACCTGTGCGAGCACACGCAGCCATTCCCATCCTCACCCCTTGCCCATGAGCCTCAGGCCAGTGC
Organism: Homo sapiens; assembly: GCF_000001405.40. Classification (NCBI taxonomy): domain Eukaryota; kingdom Metazoa; phylum Chordata; class Mammalia; order Primates; family Hominidae; genus Homo; species Homo sapiens. The sequence goes on along the minus strand of NC_000006.12, from coordinate 111,708,676 downwards.
TCTGGACATTTGATGGAATCACTTCAGACTGAAAATGCCTGGGGAAGGTGATCCTACTGTAGCATCATTCTACCTGCAGAGAGGTGTCTCCCCATCTTTTTGAGAGCAAGCCAGGCACGTGTTTAGAGCATGCCTTCATCCCTCATCAGACCTCCTAACCTCCCAATGTTAAGATGTTAACATTTCTAATGTCATGATTTGAACTTGAAAGAGAGGGGTGCTTACAATAGGGAAGCAGTACTGTGCAGCTCATATTGACCTCAGACCTCCTAAAAAGCTTCCCTTCCCAGATGATCTGCAGCTAACATGTTCTGCTTAATTAGGCTGAGGCTGGATTCCTTTTCCATCCATCCAAGTTAAGGACACTAACCAAGCAAAATGCCCCCTACCAAGAGAGACTTCTCATGGCCAGGATTCCACATTCTTAATTCACAAATAAGGCAAGAGACAACTGTGGGTTCATCTCATGGCTGACTCGAACTGGAACCTTCTGACCTTCACAGGGGGACTATGTTGGAGTTCAGAGTAAAGGAATAGGTTGGAGAAATCGGGTGGCAGGATGATTAGGTGACAGTTATACACTTCAGACCACAGTGAGTCTCTAACTGCAAGCTGTTGAAATGGTCAACATATTTACTTTTCTTTTTTATTTACAGGGAAGGAGATTGGTGGGAAGCCCGCTCCTTGACAACTGGAGAGACAGGTTACATTCCCAGCAATTATGTGGCTCCAGTTGACTCTATCCAGGCAGAAGAGTATGTTTCATTTTGTTTTCACTTAACTACTTGATTTTAAAAGTTGATTGCCGCAATAAAATGCCATCAGCATTGGGCAGGAGGGAGAAGAAATTCACAGCAGTGATTAAGGCTGAGTTTTTCAGGCTTTCTGCCCCGGTTTTTACCCTGTGTAATACTTGCACTATTATTAACTTAATGTTTCTCTTGAAGCCTGCTCACTTATTTTGAAAGAAAACTTTCTATCAATACCCTAAATGAAAAGCCAGTAAAACTTGTCATAGATTAAAAGTAGCCATAAAAATATGAAATGCTAGCTAGAGCATATATTATTGCCAACCCAAGTTTCTAAGCCCGCAGTCCACTCCCTCTGTTGGGAAGAGAGGGGAGAGTAGCAAGTAATTGCCACAGATTAAACTAAGATTTTTCTCCTAAGTGTGATCAGAAATATTAAAAGAGTGCTGAAAAGACACCTTCTATGCCCGGTAAAAGTGACTCACATACAGTGTGTCCCCCCAACTTGGGAAATACTACAGTGATTTGGAACCTCAGTTGGCTTCTTTGGTAGTAAACAGTGACGAGCAGTTATTTGGCCCAACTATTCAACTGGTAGCAGTTTAGGAAGGTGTTCAGTAGGCTGAAGGGATCTAAAAGGGATAACCTTTCTCCCTTCTTCTGACCCATGAGGATTAACAGGCACTCCCAAGGGGAAGAACTGCCAGTGGCTGTTTGCCAGCCCTGAGGGAAGGAGAGATGGAGCCATGATTTCCCAAATGCAGGAACTTGGCCTCCTCCTGACACCTTGGGTCTTGCCTCTCTAAAAAGGAAGTTGAGAAAAGTCAGTCACCAAGCCCAACCTTTGGCTCTGCTATTTAATTTCACCATGGATTTGTTTAAGTAGTGCAAGAGGGATTAGACTCCACACCCTAGCCAAATCCCCAGTTGGATTGTTCTATTCTTTAATTCCTTTGTATTTCCTCTAAGAGGATCTGTTTTGTTTCCCACTCTCAAATACTCAGTGGTTCTTAGTTGTTTCTTTCTCCTAGTGACTGTGTTTCGTCATCAGTGAATCAAGGTATTTGTATTTAATTTGTATTTTAGGGCAGATTTGCAAACATCTTTGTGTTCTTTCAGAATAAAAAGTACCACCAAAATGTAGCATTACCCTGATTTAACTGGGAATTTGTCAGCTATATATTTAAGTTATTTTTATAATGGTCAACTTTTTAAATATTTTGTTTTTAAAGAATATTATTTTTTAAAATAATGCCTTCGGTTTTACATATGCAATTAACTATCATTATCTTAAAATACTATTGTTTTGGTGCAATCCATTGTTCTAACAATTCCTTTTTCACCACTGTTTTACACGGCATTCTAATTGGGTTATTGGTACAAACCCAGAAAGCCATTTCTCACAAATAATTGACGTACTAGTCTTTACGCCACCTAATGCTAGATTAAGAATTGTTGCACATTTTGGTGTTTCTAAAAGTCACTGAGGAGCTAATACGCAATGTCTCTTTTCTTCAGTGAAACTTAATTCACAAAAGAATTTGACAGTGAACTCATGATACCTATATTCAAGCATAATGAATTGAAATTTCATTTTAGAATCTGGATTCTTTCACAGTTAAATATTCTAAAAATGGTTCCCACACACAGATTCCAATTGAATGCTCCAGCATTCTCCCTTGGGTTTTGGGGGCACCTGCTGCTCATTCAGCACCTAGTGCTGAAATAGTAACTAATTGCCAGGCTTGGTTAAGGCTTGAAAGTGCAGGGGGAGGATATAAGGCAAATAACAAAAGTCTTGAGGTGACTTAATGTGATGCCTCCTAAAGTGGCACAGAGTATCATTAGTTTCTTCAGGGATAATATATTGAAATATCTGCAACACCAAGTCATTTTAAGGGCATGCTTTTTGACTGGGCACAGATCTCAAAGGTGTACAGTAACCAGTTCTTACAGTTGTGCCAAAGAAAAGATGTACAGGGTCCACCGTGATGGCTCCCTCCTGTAATCCCAGCACTTGGGAGGCCAGGGCGAGAGGATCACTTGAGCCCAGGAGTTTGAGACCATGCTGGGCAACATAGGGAGACAGTCTCACTCTGTCCCCAGGCTAGAGTGCAGTGGCCCTGTCTCAGCTCACTGCAACCTCCACATCCCTGGTTCAAGCAATTCTCGTGCCCCAGCCTCCCGAATAGCTGAGATTACAGGCACATGCCACCATGCCCAGCTAATTTTTGTATTTTCAGTAGAGTTGGGATTTCACCATGTTGGCCAGGGTGGCCTCGAACTCCAGACCTCAGGTGATCTGCCTGCCTCAGCCTCCCAAAGTGCTGGAATTACAATCATGAGCCACCACTCTTAGCCTCTACAAAAAAAATTTTTTTAGTTAGCAGGTGTGGTGATGTGCACCTTTAGTCCCAGGAGGCTGAGGTAGGAAGATTGCTTGAGCCTGGAGAGGTCAAGGCTGCAGTGAGCTATGATTATGCCACTGCACTCCAGCCTGGGTGACAGAGTGAGACCCTGTCTCAAGAAAAAAAAAAAAAAAAGAAGAAGAAGATGATGAACACAGATCACAATCCAGGTGCTTGGTAAATAAATGCCTTTACTTATCCAAGTCCTCACACACCTAGGGGAGGAAAACAAAATACAAGTAAGTACTCATGGGCGTTTTTCTCAGAATTCTTATAGGGAGGAAGTTATTGAAAATACTATTCCTTTATTCATATCATATCTATCTAATCTGACTTTTTTTAATGCTTGATTATCTTCATATACATTAAGACTGTGTTTTGTTATTTCCCAGCAGTTACAATAATGCTTAGATATCAAGAGATTCAAGAGTTTTGTTTTTTTGTTTATTTTTTGTTATGAGACAGAGTCTCGCTCTGTTGCCCAGGCTGGAGTGCAGTGGCGCAATCCTGGCTCACTGCAACCTCCACCTTCCAGATTCAAGCAATTCTCCTGCCTCAGCCTCCTGAGTAGCTGGGATTACAGGTGCATGCCACCACACCCAGCTAATTTTTTGTATTTTTAGTGGAGATGGGGTTTCACCATGATAGCCAGCATTGTCTCCATCTCCTGACTTCATGATCCACCCACCTTGGCCTCCCAAAGTGCTAGGATTACAGGCATGAGCCACCATGCCTGGCGTTTGTTTTTTTTGTTTTGTTTTGTTTTGAGACACGGCTTTGCTCTGTCACCCAGGCTGGAATACTATGGCACAATCTCAGCTCACTGCAGCCTGGGCCTCCCAGGTTCAAGTGATTCTCCTGCCTCAGCCTCCCGAGTACCTGGGATTACAGGTGCCCACCACCACACCAAGCTAATTTTTGTATTTTTAGTAGAGCTGGGGTTTCACCATGTTGGCCAGGCTGATCTCAAACTCCTGACCTCAGGTGATCTGCCCACCTCGGCCTCCCAAAGTGCTGGGATTACAGGTATGAGCCACCATGCCCAGACTAGAGTCTTTTAGATAAGTGTGGAAAGGGTCTCCTGCAGTAACCATTTCAAATCAAGGTCTTAGATTTCTGGTTTTTTGCATACAGGTGGCAGTTTTAACACAAACCAGTTCTGGTCATGTCTAGAGGGGAGGAAAACAACCCACAACTCAAATCTGATTTTTTTTAAAGAGTGAAAGAGATGAATTAGGGATAGAATCCAGGATAGATTGAAAAGGAACTGAATTAAGCTAGAAAAAAAATACATCCAGGGAAAGGTTAAGGACTAAATTGGAGGAGAGGGGAATTCATGGGCAAAAAAAAAGCCTATGCTGTTGCATTTTGTAAATGACTATTTCAAAATATTTTCTTTCCTTGATCTAATTTAAAGGTGGTACTTTGGAAAACTTGGCCGAAAAGATGCTGAGCGACAGCTATTGTCCTTTGGAAACCCAAGAGGTACCTTTCTTATCCGCGAGAGTGAAACCACCAAAGGTAAGATAACGAGTTGAAGAAGTTGGCTTGTCATTCAAATCTGTGGATTAGTCAGAGGGGATGAAAGGCTTATCTCTAATGTACAAGGATTTTAAAATGGCACATACCCTCCCTGCCTTGTGAGTGGAGTCCTGTTTTCAGTCTTCCCTCCAGGCTCTAAAACTGCAGACAGCACCAAAAGAACTACAGAGGCCCCAAATCAAGACCTTCCTCCTGAAACGGGCTGGATGCAGCTACACTGCTCCAGGCACACAAGATCGTAGAATTTTCAGAAGTCCTTTAGAATTTTGATTTTCTGAAATCTTAGTTCCTCAGGTGCCAGTCATACAGGTTGTTTTTGCTTTCCTTTTGTTTTTTAAATAACTGAGGACTTCACTTCTCTTCCTCCAACTGTTGGACTTTTCATTATTTAACAACTCCTTACAACCCACAAGAGGAGACAGGTCAAGGAAGAAAAGAGTAGTGGCCTCTAGCTTAATTTGCCAGATTATCCATTCCTGTAAAAAGTGTTGTAAAGCAGAAGCTTGAAGCTCACTTCTAGAGAAACAAGCCTTAGATTTCTTTTGCACATGCTGCTGCTACCTCCCAGTATGCCCCTGGGTAGAGAAGACAAGGGAAGCAAGCTCAGCCATTCATCGTGGTCCTTCTTTACCCTTGGGGGAAAGGAGTGTTGGAATTGAGTCTACGCTGTATTATGCAACAAGGGGTACCGAACAGTGTGTTTAAGAAAAATGTCCAGGAAGCTTTCAGTCTCAAGGGCAGAATCATTTTATTGCTAATATATTCTGACATTTGCAGAACATCAAGAAGCATCTTCTTCCTGTTACTGAGTGGAGATGCTGTGTGTGTGTACATGTGTGTGTGCATCCTTGGTAATTATTAATCAGAGTCAAGAAAATGAGGCCTAAAAAGCAAGCTGATACTCTAAATGATTGGAGCTGCTAATGCTTTCCACGTTTACCAGGTGCCTATTCACTTTCTATCCGTGATTGGGATGATATGAAAGGAGACCATGTCAAACATTATAAAATTCGCAAACTTGACAATGGTGGATACTACATTACCACCCGGGCCCAGTTTGAAACACTTCAGCAGCTTGTACAACATTACTCAGGTAACCTTAATTCTAACTACCTACTAACCATTTGGATGCTGGAGGGAGTGGATAGGCCCAGAGCAGGAAAGTGGAAAGGGGTAAAACTAATATGTACAAAATCACTTATAGAGTATGTTTTCTTTGCCAGCCCTTAATGGTAGGGCTTGGCTGTATAGGTTCTATTGCTATTGTTCTACTGTTGTTATTATTAGTTCCACATGTTTGTCCGAAGATTCTATAATATTTTTGTTTCCCAAGTAGAAAGCAATAGGTTAAATTTTAAAAGTTGTTTGTTTTTTCATCTTCAAGTTGTCTTTTCCCATTCCCCGCGTTGCATGTGAGAAAGCAGTCTCTCGGAGGGCGCTTACATGGGGACTCCTACAAGGAATATTGTGTTTCCACTATCACTTTACCCTCAGCACTGTTGCAGGAATAGCTGCACGTACATTTCATTCTCATGCAAGCCATTTATCATGTTCCCCACCAATACTGCTGTTTCCTAACTAGGCTTAGACTTACACAACCCACAGCTCTTAGATCTATTATGTCTATTGTGTTAAATTAAACTTTTATAATGTACATCAGTTTCTGTCCTAACACCCAGATATCACCATTATTTTGTTCTTTCTGAAAACATATAATTATTAGATATGCAGTTTATACATTTTATCAAAGACTGGTTTTATGTGCAATTGTTAAAATGATTGCTTTCTTTCCTAGATTAGCAAGTATTATATGCCACTATATAATACATGTTCACATGTGCCTATAGATATAGGTGCACATGTATAGACACATGTCTATATCCTATTAAGCCTAGAGATATTTTTTTGTGTGACCCATTTCTCCATTTTCTATTGTTCTCCAGGACAAAGGCAAGACTCAAAAATAGTATATGATTTACCTCTACTATTGCTCTGTGCACAATCATTGAAATATGTATGTATAATTTTTGGCATGAAAAAGCAATCTTTCGAAAATGACAATAAGAAATGTCTGTTGATCCCTTGCACTAATGAACAATAGAAAATATTAACAGCACTTGCAGTACTAGTTGATTATGGCATTGGCTAACTCGGTTTATGTGGATTCTAATGAAACATTTGGGAGAAATGGAACAAAATATCTCCCTGAGCTTAAGTGATATACTCAAAATGCCTGCATGTTGTAAGGATTTTTCAAATGCTGAAATATATTTCATTACAGCCAAACATCAGCAGGATCCCCAGGGTTTGGATCATTTGAAAATACTGTGTTCGAAAGGGCACCTTAATAACATTGTAAAGCTGGAAGGAAAGAGGGGATATGAACAATAGACACTTTTTTTAATCTCGGGGAAAAAAAATCCATCTCACGTTAGACTTGTTTTTATATTGGCTTTCCCTCTTCCCTCTTTCTCTCTCACACAATAAAATGCCTTTGAAATGCTGACACATAAATAATTTCCTACCTAAACATCTCAGAGCCTGATTCCATCAAAAAGAAAGGAGTAAAAAGCAAGTTACAGCCCAGCAGCACATCTGCTTTCCCTGGGTCCGGGGGCTGCCAGGAGGGAGCGGGAGGTCTGTCCACCTCACAAGGCAGGCTCTGTCAGCTTTTGTCACTCCCTGATTTCTTATTCTTTGTTACCTTTTTTCGCCTGACTGATTTTTACTTGGCATTTAAGTTCCCCTTAGCACTGCCAGATTCTAAAAGGTTATATTCTTTTTAAAAAAGAAGAGAAAGAAAGAAGGAAAGAAGACAAAGAAAGAATAAAAACCTCCGAGTGTTAACTACTTTTTCCTTTCTTCTTTTTTTTATAAAGAATACATTCTTTCACATCTTGAATTTCTGTGAATTTTAGTTTCCATTCTTTCTCCTTTCAAACCAGACACCTAAATTATACGTCGAAGACTGTTAAAAAGTTGTTTTTTTTTTTTTAATGGAAAATATCCAAGAAGCAGCCCAGGAGTATCTGACATGGTGGAATGGAATCAGTTAGAAAGCGAAGAAATCACTAAAAAAAGTTACTTCTTTTTTTCCCCACCAGTTATAATCTTCAACCTTACTAGTTTATAACAGTTTAATGTCCTATAGAAGGATCCTCCACTAAAGTTATAATTTTAAGTATAGTCATATAGAGAGATCCCTAATCCCCTGGGTAATCTAGATACTAAAGGTGGGGAAGAACAGTCATATTGACATTCTTTAATCCAAAACCACTGTTTGAAATTAGTAAGGATATTTTCAGCATTCCCAAAAACATGTTATTAGCACGTTGAGCTGAAAACGTTTTTCTTCCTCAGTGAGTACAGAAACCAAAGCAGTCTGCGTGTATGTCTATGTATAGACTGTATCGTACCTGGGCTCATGGAGTAGTCTAAATTTAAAACGTCCTCTCTTCTACCTCCAATGAAAATGTTTCCGTGTGTGGCGTCTGATCTTCCACCGTGTGTGTGGTCGTCTGCTGGTGTAGCGCTGTTTAAGGAGCGCTGTGTGCTGCTAGTGTTCCACGATGTGTGTGGTCGTCTGCTGGTGTAGTAGCACTGTTTGAGGAGCACTGTGCGCCGCTAGTGTGGGTTTACACTTATGAGTGTTGTCATTACATGTGTTCTGCTCTTCTCTCCCTCTCCTGCCCCTGCCCTGCTCCATCAGAGAGAGCTGCAGGTCTCTGCTGCCGCCTAGTAGTTCCCTGTCACAAAGGGATGCCAAGGCTTACCGATCTGTCTGTCAAAACCAAAGATGTCTGGGAAATCCCTCGAGAATCCCTGCAGTTGATCAAGAGACTGGGAAATGGGCAGTTTGGGGAAGTATGGATGGGTATGCTGAGACTCAATTACTCTCTTATTAGCTTCCCCGTTTGGAAGATCCCAAACACCAAAGATGGAAGGTGAAAATAAAGACTGCGTGACCGGGAAGAAAGTTTGAATTACTAATAGTGGGGAATAATAATTTCAGTTTTGGTTTTAACATTCTGGAATTCCTAAAAAAAAAAAAAAAAAAAAAAAAAGATAGTAAGTGGGCAAAATTGGCAAATGGCTCAAGTTGTACTATTACATGACTCTCAATTCATAAACCAGCAAATGGTCCAAGGAATGTTCCAGCTGCCATAAAATATCTTGCTCTTCATTTCCAAAAGCAAATATTTGTTGAGTGTCATCCTAACGGGCAAGTCACCTTCCATCTTTCCTAGTGCATGCATAATTATGGATTATAAGGACTGTGTTTTCTTTATTAATTCCCTTTCCTGTAGAGAAAGCTGATGGTTTGTGTTTTAACTTAACTGTGATTGCATCGAGTTGTACCCCACAAACTTCTGGATTGGCTAAAGATGCTTGGGAAGTTGCACGTCGTTCGTTGTGTCTGGAGAAGAAGCTGGGTCAGGGGTGTTTCGCTGAAGTGTGGCTTGGTAAGGCAGAGGGCACATTTTGTTTTGGCTGCATCTCAAAGCCGATTAAAAGGATGGTTTTGAACAAAAATGCACACACAGCCGTTGGGACAAAGACACTTAACCTGGATAACTAGACGGGCACAGGCCATCCAGATTTTCAGAATATGCTGATACCTTGCTGTGCTCATCTGTCCTACTTCATGTGGTTAATTAAGGCACCCGCAGAACAGGAAACCAGTACACTATGAATCTGGTGTTTCCTCTTCCTAAGAAATGGGAAGGTAAGATACTGTATATGGGCAGCCATAAGAAAGACCATGGACGTTTTGCTCAATGGGCCTGGGTTTGAATCCTTACTAGCTAATTAACCACGAACAAGGGGCATATTTAACTCCTTTAAGCCTCAGTTTTTTCATCTGTAAAATTGGAATGATACCTTTTTGTTGTTGTTGAGACGGAGTCTTGCTCTATCACTAGGCTGGAGTGCAATGGCGCGATATTGGCTCACTGCAACCTCCACCTCCCAGGTTCGAGTGATTCTCCTGCCTCAGCCTCCCGAGTAGCTGGGATTACAGGTGCCTGCCACCACGCCCAGCTAATTTTTGTATTTTTAGTAGAGACGGAGTTTCACCATGTTGGCCAGAATGGTCTCGATCTCCTGACCTGGTGGTCTGCCAGCTTCATCCTCCCAAAGTGCTGGGATTACAGGCGTGAGCCACCACGCCCGGCTGGAATGATACTTATTTAAAGGATTATTTTTAGGATTACATGGGTTAATATGTTTAAAGTCCCTTGCAGATAGTAGATATTCAGTAGAGATACATACTTCTCTTTATTTGATTGTCATTGATAAGGCTGGCTGCACTGGGCCTTTGTAATTTCTTTTATAGCCCTTTTGGGTCAGTTACAGCTTTGCTTAGAAACAATTCATGGGTTTAGGCCCCACTCAAAAACATGTTTCAGTAAAACAATATTAATACTTATGGAATCCTCTATCTTCCTTCCTCAGAACTCATTAAAAACAATATCGATCAGTACCCTTTGCTACGTGTGGGTATAGATCTTTAGGTGTGGTCTGCATTAAAAGAGTTAATACAGGTGGCCGGGCACAGTGGCTCACACCTGTAATCCCAGCACTTTGGGAGGCCAAGGCAGGCAGATCACCTGAGGTCAGGAGTTTGAGACCAGCCTGACCAGCATGGAGAAACCCTGCCTCTACTAAAAATACAAAATTAGCCGGGCATGGTGGTGCATGCCTGTAATCCCAGCTACTCAGGAGGCTGAGGCAGGAGAATCACTTGAACCTGGGAGGTGGAGGTTGCGGTGAGCGGAGATCGCACCATTGCACCATTGCACTCCAGCCTGGGCAACAAAAGCGAAACTCCGTCTCAAGAAAAGAAAAAAAAAGAGTTAATACAGTTAAAGCACTTAAAACATAGCCCAGCAAATGATAAGTACTACAAAGATGTATGTAGGTATGTTAGGTGGATAAATAGGTAGTAGACAGACATACACATATATATGTATGAGTTAGCTAGTTTAATAAATCCACATTATTGTGTCCATCTCTCTCTGGACTTAATCTCAAGTATCGTAAAATATATGACCTCCTTCTTCCTCATTCACCCTCTAATAATAGAGGATTTTAGTCAAATTACTCACACAATCACAGAGAATTGGACCCTATTAGAAAATTTATTTTCAAATTTTACAAATATCAACTTTAAATCATTACATATACTGTTCACATTTTGTTTTCCAATAAACACAAGACAACATGCCCATCAGAATTGGGATGGATGTCTGTGTAATTGACGAAGTTTGTATTACAGAGGAAGATCTTAATGTATTTAGAATTTTGGGTGCTGACTCTTAAATAGCAAAGATCACTTATAAATTGTCAAATTTCCCATGAATGCTTAGTGGGCAGATATTTTATGAAGTTTAAATGAACTTTTCTTTAAGCCACTTGTTTTTTCATAATTTATATTTTGTAGGTTGCATGTTGTAATTGTATGAACCATGTCTTTAACAGGATAATAAGAACTCCAATTTACAGAATCCTTAAATTCCAAAGTCAGTTATATTAAATATAAAAATCTTAATTTAAACCAGTCTTCTTTTTCAAATAGAAAATAATCTAAATTAGCAGATTTCTTCCCCTTTATAAAGTTATTCTTAAGCATCATAGGTCTAATAATGGAATACACAAAGAACCTAGGTATGGTTTTGTTTTTTGAATGCTGGGGCTGAAAGAGACCCAAAAGATAATCCAGTTCCATTCCTATATTTTACAGATGAGGTAACTGAGGACAATCATAATCCAGGCCTTGCCTTCAGATTTGCTAGATTTTTTTTTAACATGCTAAATTTAAATATTTCTGTTCCCTCTCAGCTGCTGTTTAATTTCCCCTGTCTACCTACCTGACAGAAGCCATTGTTCTTGTGGCTAGCCATCAGTAAAGCTGAGGAAATTTGCCTTACCTTGTTGAAGTATTGGCAAGCAGACTGTGAGCTCCTTGCCAGTGCTTATCAGCATGCTTGGCACACCTGTGCAAGGACTCAGTCAAGTAACTTGTCCATTGCAGACATTGAAAGTCTAGAGGTAATTTCCAGACATCCTCATGTGGTGCCATATTTTTAAATGGCACACCCCATAAACTTAAATAATCTAATTTCTTCCATGCACACTGTACTCCCTAAGGGACAGCTATTAGATGGCCAGGCCTGTTCCAACCCCTGGACTTTCATCACTGTATGGTGCAGAGCTTTTGGTATAAATGTGTAATCATATGACTGAGCCAAAAAAAGAGAGAGTGGTAATATATCAAAATTTAAAAAAATTTTAATGAGTTATAAATCTTAATATAGCCATCTTAGCCATAACCACAAATAAACTCATTTTTTCTGTTAAAATACTTGACAGAGTCCTTGCAATTGAATGTCTTTGTTCAACAAAAACTGTATTAAGTGTTTTAAATTTAAAATCTAATCTTATGCAAATAGCTGGTGGTCAAAACCTTTTTCCATCAAAAGAAGATCTTTGGTTTGACTTCATATTCTGGGATGTTTGTAGGTACCTGGAATGGAAACACAAAAGTAGCCATAAAGACTCTTAAACCAGGCACAATGTCCCCCGAATCATTCCTTGAGGAAGCGCAGATCATGAAGAAGCTGAAGCACGACAAGCTGGTCCAGCTCTATGCAGTGGTGTCTGAGGAGCCCATCTACATCGTCACCGAGTATATGAACAAAGGTTGGGCAACACCTCTCCTGTCTCCAGCTCACAGTGCCTTAAGGGGTTGTTTAGGGGAGAGAAATGGAAGTTTCCTACTTGCTACTTTTCTAGTTTCTGCCTGGGTCAAGTATTCCCATTAGGAACCACCAGTTATGTGCTCGTTAATGAAAACATTTTTTAAAACAGACTAACCTTGCGTTTACCCCACCCCAAATCCTTATGAAATGCCAAATACTTTTTACATGTTATGTGTGTCAGAAATTCAAGCTCCTCTCCATAATTAAAACATTCATTTTTAATATCAGGGTGGTACGGAGGGTTATGATAGTTTGCTGTTATTTTGAATGTAGTAGCTTTTGTTACATTTCCTTTTTGCAGGGCTAAACAATTAATATCAGACACTGGTCTCTAAGCTAAGTTTAGTCTCCATCATTTCAACATCTTTTTTATTTCCAGCTCTCTTCTTAAACGTCAGGCGATGAAATTACATGCTTTCAGAGACCACATTTATTCTCACATTCTCTCCCCTACAACCCCTCTGTCTTCCTAATCAAACCAGCATTGTTAGGGATAAGGCCAGAGATCATTTTGTTTTGGAAAAATAGATGAACCAAACAAGAAACAGCCTTAAAAGGCAATACATTGTTTATCAGAGGATACCAGTGTAATTTTTCTTTTCCATGTACTTTCTTTTAAAATTTAATGGGAATTTTTTTTTCTGGCAAACGGTTTGTCCTTTGTATCCAGGGTTATTTTGTAAATAACTTTGTGATTAAAGCATAAAATATCACTGATGACCATCATAAGCCTCCAGCTTCTGCAAATGATTATCCCTGCTTTGGTGTTAGTTCTAAGCCTTCTTAGGCTGTGTTATAATAGTGGCTCTGAAGCTTCCAATGTTTCATTTCAGATGTCTGATTTAAGGCTTGGCTGGCTGTGATCTAATTAAGGGGAACCATCTGCCCCACCCATATTCTTCAGATTGTCTTTTCTTGATTCAAAATCTGTAAATAAGCTAAGCTAGTGAGTCTCAAACTTTACCTTGTATTATTAGAATCACCTGTAGGCCTTCTTAAAACCCAAGTTTCTGGACCCAACCTTCAAAGTTTCTGATTTACTCGATCTGGGATGGGACCTGAGAATTTGCATATCTAACAAGTTCCCTTGTGTTATTGTAGCTGCTGGTCCCAGGACCACAGTTTTGGACCACTCAGCTGGGCTGTATTTTCCCCACATCAATTCTTTGTGCAGGGGTGATTGGGGAATGGGATTGAAGAGGTGCAGTTCTTCATAGGTTCCTCTTTATGACATACAGGGAGATTGAGTCCCATTTCTTCTAGTTTTATCAAATATATGTTGTTATTCCTAGAAATGGAATTAATGCTGTTTGTTTTTAAAAGGTAACTGTTACTTCTCCATGCCTATACTTTTTTCTACCCTGCTTTTTTATATAAACCTTTTTGTCCCCCCATGTGGATGGCATTATTCCATTTGACTACCTTATTACTTTTAATAAGAAAACCAAATACAGCTCTCTGTTGGGAATTATCTTTCAAAGTAAATTGAAATGATTTTATGTTTTGTTCATAGGAAGTTTACTGGATTTCTTAAAAGATGGAGAAGGAAGAGCTCTGAAATTACCAAATCTTGTGGACATGGCAGCACAGGTAGGCCCTGCAGGGTAACTTGATGTGCCATAGATTTAATGACGTGTCTAAGTACATTGGGTCGTGGTGTAACATGTCCTGTTCCCTGGGTTTCCACAGGTGGCTGCAGGAATGGCTTACATCGAGCGCATGAATTATATCCATAGAGATCTGCGATCAGCAAACATTCTAGTGGGGAATGGACTCATATGCAAGATTGCTGACTTCGGATTGGCCCGATTGATAGAAGACAATGAGTACACAGCAAGACAAGGTGGGCACTTGAATGACAATGGCTCGTGATCACAGCTGTGAGAACAGTCACTTACTGCACAGCCCTTCCTTCCTCCTTCCCTTCCCTTCCTTCAGAAAATACTTGAAATGTCATTCTTCAGCTTGGTTTGGACACCTTGATCTGGCAGGAATTTGACAGCTCTGCAGGTGGGAGACTGTTGTGGGCCCAGTGGAGGGATGAGATATTGGTTTTTGGTGGGTGGGTGGGTATTGGTATTTGCTGCTGTGGTCCTCTTGGCTCATGCTGGTCTCCTCACAGCGTCCAGGCCTAGAATACTCTGTTTTTGGAGAAAGAGACCACATTTATTCTCACATTCTCACATGCCTGTGTTTTTTACAAAGGCACAGGCAGGGTTTCAGAAAGCCAACAGGGCATGGTGCAGTGTCTCAGAGCTTGTAACAGCAACAGAACTAAGGCCTCAAAGGTAAGGGGGCAGAGAAGTGGGCACAAGAAGTCAGAATGGGCCACTGCACAGAGAGGGCCTCCTCAGTAAAGAGAGACGTCAGGGATGGATCTGGGGATTCACACCCAACCCCACTCTAGCCCACTTCTGGGTCTTCTGCCAGACCCAACCAGAAGTAGAGGTCACAGGAGCTCAGCGATGAATCCTTATGGGTCCAGAGCAGGGAGAGGGAGAGTGGAGAGTGGACTTACACTACAGATGGTAACAGCATAGTTACTCGAAAATCTCTACCTCCTTTCATCATCCCCGCCATCCCACCCTCTGCAAAAATTTATAGAAATTAGCCTTTAAGTAAAATATATCCCAACTCAGCAGCCATTCCAGTGGGGCAGCTTTTCAGGTGCTATTAGAGCACCAGATACTAGAAAGGAGTTTTTAGGAATATTTTCCTTCTTCCCAGATACTGACAAAGTGGTCACCAGGTAAAAGTGTGTGATTAAGTATGTGGTTTGCAATCGAGTATAGGCTCCTCATGTAGAATATAATGTTTATAGCTGGGGCAAGGGGGAACTTTCATTGTTGGTGTTTCTAACCAAAGCCTAGTCATCCCAAGCAAAGCGGAGCAGTGACTGGAATGTATTACAGGGTGATGCTTTCTACTGCATTTCATAATGGCCAGCTCTGGAGTCCTTTTCTTTCTCTTTTTCCTTCTCCTTCTCTTGCCCCTGTTCCTCCTCCTCTTGATTCTTTCATTTCATGCCAATTATCCTCTCCCTTCATTTGATCTGAGAATGGAAGCATTCTTAGCAGCCTCAAGTGATGAGGAAAAATGTTAAACTAAGACCCTGGCTGCTACCGATACTGTCCAAATGCTGAATTACATGTCGGTCAGACAGCTCAGCTATTTGAATTTCCCCAACACGTGGCAGTTCTTGTCCTGGAGCCAAATGCCCACACAGCAAGCATACCCGTGCGTTACACACACACATACACCCCCGGTGCTGGGCCAGATGGCATGCTGTATCTCTAATCAAAGGCGCACTGCAGCTTTGATTGGCACTGGCCGTCCAGAGAGGAATGTGCATGTGAATTTGAGGCAAGGTGAGCCGAGAGGACCTGAGTGCCAGTGGATCTGAGACTTGCCCTGAATGAGGGACTTTATCCTGAGGCAAGTCTGTCAGATCCCAGCTCCTCAGACTCAGAAGGAGAGTGGGCAAAGGTTGTGAGACATGAATATTTGATTAAGGAAAGGGCTAGAATAGAGCCGTGTGCTCACCCTTCTGTGTGTGAGTCGAGTTTTTCCCCTTTTCCTGGACTTTGAACTCTACAGGGTTTGTGGTTAACGCTCATGAACCATGGGTAAATGAAAAGGTTGCCAGGCCAGGAGCCAGAGGATGCTGGCAGGGGTGCTGTTAATAGGGCCTGGGGGTTTAGTCCACGCCTTATTCACTGGAGTGAGGCTCCTCAGGCTGTGGCCCTAGGTGATTGGCACCCTCGCTGGTTCCCCTCCCATCAGGCTGCTGCCCTGAGCGGGTCCCAGGCTGCTGCCCTCAGCCTGGCCCCCAGCCGTTCCTCTGCATTAGCTGTCCTGATTGCCCTTCTGCCGGCTGCCCAGCTGCACCATCATGTCCCCAGGTGCCGTCAGAGCCCCTTTCAAAAGGCCAACCTTGTTCTTTTAGCCTTTGTACTGCGTTTCCTTACTTAATTTCCAAATCGAGGGTCCCGTCCTTCCTTCTTCAAACATTTTTCTTCTTTCCTCCCTTTCCCAAACACCTTCAAATCCATGCCAAACACTAGAAAGAGAGAAGTAAGAAGTAAGTGAACTGGAGAGCTGAACTGGGGGGGGGGGAAATGAAGCTTGGCAAGGCAGGTCCCAGGATGTCCCAGGAGAATAAAAGACATGCTGTCCTGCAGCAGAGGGGTAGGGAGTGGCAGAGCCATTTATAAAACACCTTCCAAGTGCCAGGCCTGAGAGGAAACGTGAGGACCAAGCAGGGAAACAATAGGAATAGACTCAGAGGGGTTAAGTAACTTGTACAAAGTCACACAGCTAGGAAAATAGCAGAGCCAGGATTTGAATCCAGAAATGGCTGACCCTGTTGCATCTACCATTCTAAGCTATGCTGACCACATCTCATCAAGTCAGTGATCAAAAGAACAGAAAATAAAGATAGAGAGGATTAGTCATACATCCCTTTTCCCCTTTA
Organism: Homo sapiens; assembly: GCF_000001405.40. Classification (NCBI taxonomy): domain Eukaryota; kingdom Metazoa; phylum Chordata; class Mammalia; order Primates; family Hominidae; genus Homo; species Homo sapiens. Next base: position 111,691,743 of record NC_000006.12, on the reverse strand, counting down.
TTTTATGGGACTGTTTTTAAGGAGCACCTTCTAGTGTGTCTGTATGAGGGAGTTGGAGAGACCTTCCTTTTCCAGCACTGGGACAACCCAGCTGTTTATAAAATTCCTCCCGAGGGCCTGCCCTGCCCTGGCTGCTTTACGAGGCAGAAAGGGCCTGGTGTGTGTCTGCTGGTGTACTCTGCAGATGGCATGTGTGCTGTGTGCTGAAGTTTCTGCTGGGAATTAATCAGCTCCTCCAGACAGCTGGTCCGCATGCCTAATAATATTTGCAAGTCGGGTTTTATGTTACCCACAGGCCACAGCCATGCTGCATCTTGATTATGGGAATGCAGGCGGCATTCGGAAACATGCACCAAACACAGATATTTTAGGACCATGAATGACAATTGTTTTCAAAACAGTTGTGAGTTTCCCATCTCAGCGTGCACGGAAATATCTGTCACCCCTTGGGCAGATGAGGTGGCATTGCATAGGGCACAAGCAGAATTGGAGTGTGGAGCTGGGTTCCACAGTCCTTCCTGTGCTCCTTACTTCGCACCATCCCAGCTACCCAGGACTGAGCAGCAGCCCATGTCAGGGAGGTGGTCAAGGCCAGGCCCTGAGCCTGTGAGGTGGTCTTCCACTGACAGCACTCTAGAAGCAACTAGAAATTTGGGGCGATTGCTTATTCTCTATTCCCTGGACATCTCACTCAATTACAGCAGATAGTTCGTCTTTAGTTACAAACACTTTGCTAAATTCTGCCCAATCAGAGTCTCTAAATAATGCCAACATCAGTTATTTGAGTGCCTTATCTATGAAAGGACTTTACTAGGAGCTACTGATATCAAGAAGCCTAAGACTGCACGACAGTCAGCAAGCATGAGGAGGAAGACGTGGGGGATTGTTGAAGTCAGATGGAACTGGTTTTGAAATCCAGCGCTACCACCTGATGTTCTGGGGTCTTAGGCAAGTTATTTAACTTTTGCCTACCTCAGTTTACTTATCTGTAAAATGGAAAGACATTTTGTCTGCTGTATGCATTTTTGCAAAGATTAAGTGAAACAATGCATGTAAAGTGTTTAACAGGGTACCCAGCACATAGTGATAAATGTTGCTTGTTACTGTTGGTATATCTGGTACAATACTAAGTTCTTGGGGAATAAACAAATGAGTGAATGGATTGTAGATACATGGAAAGTCTCAAACACTATTCAGGAAAGGGAGAGAAGAATCAAAGATAATTCCCAAGTAGTCAGATGCAGGTGATTGTGAGAATGGCATTACCAATAACAGAAATGAGTACTTGGGAAGATCTTACTTTCAGAGAAAGAGGATGCATTTGGGTTTGGATCTGTTGAGCTTGAGGTGGTGGTCTTGGTCCTCCAAGCCCAGAAAGATGAGTCGGGGTGCCCTCACTGGGTCTCACTGCCACAGCTGGGCCCTCAGCCTTCCAGCCCTCCCCTGAGTTCTGGTCACAGCCACCTCCCTACCCCACCACTGCACCTTCTTCCCAGAATCATTCCAGAACTCACCACAGGCACCACAAGGATCTGCTGTCCATCTTCTTGTCCATACCACACCTGTCTCCTGTGACCCCCGACATAGGCAATGTCACAAGCCTTGCTTCTGGAAATTCACAGCCCCTCCAGCCCTCACTTCCTTCAGAGATTGCACAAGCAGGAGAGAAGCAGTGGGAAAATCCTCTGCAGACTCTAGTTTTTTCTTCATGAGCTTTCAGTGCCGACTAATGTTGATTTAAACCTAACAAGTTCAGACAGACATGGCTGTGTGTAAGCATAACTTCCTTTTGTGGATACCTTTTTGTTCTTTATGAGCTATAACACACATACAGTAAAACGAACAAATCTGAAGTGTGCAGCCCGATGAATTTTTATGTACATATATGCCCCTGAATCCACCCCGAAGATAAAGATACAGAATACCTCCAGCACTCCAGAAGACCCCTTATTCCCACTCCCAGTCAGTAACCACCCCCACAAATAGCCTTTTTTCCCCTTTTCACCATAGATTGGTAAGTTTTGCCTGTAAATGAACATCACAGACATGAATCCTATAGTATTACTCTTGTGTCTGGCTTCTTTCCCATTATGTCTGTGAGATTCTTCCATATTGCTGCATGGAACAGTAGTTCTTTTCATGGCTGAGTAGTATTCCACTGTACAAATATATCACAGAGCCTCCATTCTACTGTTCCTGAACATTTGGGGTTATTTCCAAATTGGGGCCATTATAAATACGGCTGCTGTGGTGATACACACATGCCCTCATCTCTCTGGGCTGTGTTCTCCAGTGGAATTGGTAATTACAGGGCAAACCTAGGTTAGCAATTGCAGTTACTGCCTAACAGATTTTGTGGACATATTTTTAAAAAGGTGAATACACACTTAGTGTGTCATTTGCCAGTACTGTACTTGCCTCTAAGCTGCTAGTGAGGCAGCCTAGTGAGACTGAGGAACCAGGGGTTGGACATTAGGATCCCTGGCTTTGAATCAGCTCTGTCACTTACAAGCTTGGTGTCCGCAGGCCAGTTACTTAAGCTCTTTGAGCCTCATTTTTATCATCTGTAAAATGGTGATAATAAAAATGATCACCTCACATCATTAGTGTGAAACTTACATGGGCTATCTATAAAAGTTCTTTGAGAGTTGTGAAATGTAAAAATCATCCTTATCACCTCAACTTTTTGTATTTGACATACATTTTCCTTGAAAACAGTCTAAAAAGTTTTTAAAGAGAATCACTATTAGTAATAAATAGGGAAAAAATCAATCTTTCAAGAAAAAAAATACTGTCTCCCTATTTTATAGCCTAGGCCAGTCAGTGGATCTGGGCAGTCACCACTTTGATATACCTGCATGCTCCAAGGGCCCCCTCACCCCGGACACAGCGGGGAGTCACACATCCACTGTCCTCATCTCCGGCCAGCTTGCCTATTTTCTCATATTTGCATTCTCTGTTGAGAACTATCCCTGCCTCTGCGCTGCCTCTCTTGTTTTTAATCTTGTGAAGTCTGAATATCAGATGGGCCTTCTCAGCATTTTCACTGAGGCATGTGCATACACACATCAACATGAGCACACATGAGCACACACACGCTGCATGAGCACACACACGCTGCGTGGGCACGGCTGGAGCAGTTCTCCCGAGTATCTGTGGAGTCGGTCTTACTGCTTCTCTATAGAAGTGATTTAGTTTAAAGACTAGCAGCGGGCCCTTGTAGACACAGAGCACATAGTAGTATTTAATAAATATTTGTTTACAGCAATGGAAATAACCAAGGTCACCAACCCCCCCACACTCTTGTGAGACATGCTCTCCTGCTGTCTCTCATCAATGTGCATGGCTCTCTCTGGGAATCAAATGCTGTTGTGGCTGCAGGAACCTCCAGAAAGGGTTGTTTATTGCATTGATATTCCTTGCACACTCCAAGATTGTCTTTGGAGTGATGGGAAGCACAAGAGCTTTGGAGCTAGATAAGCCTGTGTTCACATCCTGACGCCGTATTCCTAGAGCATAAGTTCTGGCCCCTCTGAGCCTCACCTTTCTCATCATAAAATAGGATTGGTGTTGGTTACCTTTAAGGTGGTTGTAAGAATTCAAGAAGACAATTAGTAGAAGTTGTTGGTATTATTCACTTCTTCCAGCTCCTCCCCACAACACTTTGGAGTTTTTTTGTTCTGTTTTATTTTGGTTTGTTTTTTGTTTTTTGGGTTTTTTTTGGATAGCTTGACCTCTTTTCTTCTTCCCACATACACCTCAGTCCCCTCCCAAAGAGGGCAGGGCCTGGACTGGTTAAGAGCATGACCCATGAGATCAAAGTGTCTTGGTATAAATCCTAGCATTGCTGCCAATTCACTGTGAGACCTTGAACAAGTTGCTTAACCTGTCTGAGCTTTTATTTCTTCCTCTTAAAATAGGGATAATAATAGTTATCTATATCATAGAATTGTATGGCTTCCCTGTGAATAACCATAAAGCAGTTGGCACAAAGCCAACACTGAGCTGATAGTGGTAGTTGGCAGTAGTAGTAATAGTAATATTATTATAATATTGATCCAATGGATGCCAATAGCTGTGTTTCTCTCTCTCTCTCTCTCTGACACACACATACACACACACACACACACACACACACCCACCCACCCCACTTTGGGTTTTCCTGATCGCTCCCATCAGGGCTCCTTCCACATGGAGGCTCTGCCTCTATCATCCTTTCTCCTGATTTGAATCCTCATGAAGGACAGGAACTGGGGTTGCTCTATGGTTTTGGTTGGTTTGTTTTTTAAGTTCAAAATTAATGAAACAAATGTCAAGGAAACATAATCTTTGGATCTTTGGACTGTAAATAAAAATAGGAACATTCGGGTCTTTGTATAAGACTGCTGTAAGTTTAGGCTTATGTATTAAATAGAAGAAGAAAAATGTGTCTGTTCAAATGCTCCCAGTATTGAGGGTTTAAATTGAATAGATTATTGTCTGGAGGAAAATTCAAGTATAAATTAGACTACGAAGAATTACTAACTGTTGCAGTTTTCATGTTAATTATTTCATGTTAAAAAATTGTTACCGCATAAATTAACACATTCTTTCATAGAAAACATATTTTAGAAAGATTTGTTACTTTAATAACTCTTTGTGTATTAGAAATCCCAGATGCCTGTACTAATTAAATATAATCAGATTTTAGATTCAAAAAGCACAGTAGCCATTTAACACAAACAAGCAGGCAGCTAGGTTGACAAACACACTCAGGAAGAAGTGGATCCCTGTTTCTTTCGAATTTTGAATTTCACAATCCAGAACTGTGAATTCAATTCCTGTCCTTCCTTTGTATTACAACGACTGGGGATTATTAGACTCAGAGCGCCAGCTTTCCAGCTCAAGGGCTCCTGCAGAATTATTAATCAGCCGCTTCTGAGGCCCCTGTAATCCGGTGGCAGATCAAGGCTGATCTCGCCGTGAGATGCCCTCCCTCTGCCCCCGTCAGCACATGAATTTCTTGTTCTCTGTCAACAACAGCATTGCCATTCCCGCACAGTGTGCTGTGACCTGAACAGCAAATATCAGGAGAGAGAAAAGGAAGAAAAAAAAAACCTTTTTAATTACTGAATTTAATCTAATTCTTCCCATGCTAGAGAAGCAAACCATCCTTTCATGAAAAGCAAACCCTTTAAAATGCAAGCCATTGTCTTAAGCACCGACTAGTGTGTTCCCAACTCAGTGGTGCCGCCATAAAATGACCATGCCAACCCCCACCTCCCCAGCCCACATTGAGAGTCTATCATCCTGAGGGCTGTCTAGGGAGAGACCCCAGGGGACTTGCCCGACAGAATGCCCTGCCCTCCGAGGTCAGACACGGCTTTCCCGCTGAGCTGAGTCGCATGCCTGAACCGTGCTGCTTGTAATCAAGCTTCCCGGATCCGAGTTTGGTACACTTCAGTCACTAAGCAGAAAAGCTCCTTCATTTGTATTCTGTCGCTTCAAGCTCTGAGCTTCCACCTCGTTTCTGGGAGGGACGGCTTTGTTTATCTGCTGAGCCACCGTGGAGCTTCGGGGCCCAGATTAATAGTTAGGGGGAGCAGGTCAAATTGGCAGGGAAATGGAGATGAATTGTAGAGCGCATCCATTTTCCTCCCGGAAAGGGTGTGTTGAAAGCCAAAGATGAAAATTAAAAGAAAAGGGACTCTAAATCACCCTTTCCTACTACAGTCTCTCTTTAAAGATTAAAACTGTTTCAGGTCGGAGATGGGACCAATTTCTTTCATTCCCACCCTCGGGCAGCTCTGACTCTGCCCAGAGGATACAAATGGATTGGAGGTAAGCAGTGGTCACCTCAAGCCCAGCTTCTTTGCACACCTTTCCCCTTTATCTGTGCTGGTCAGTCCCATTTTGTATTCTGTGTGAGCATCTCTTTCTCCTTTGTGCTGTTTTGGGCAGAGCCTTTTGATGGTTGTTTATGAATGGTCAAGAGCAAGTCCTCAGTCTGTGCAGCCCACGTTTCTTGGTAATCATCAAGAAGGAAGCAGATGGTCACCCTCTGTGATTTTAAAGTGTGTAAATAGGAACTGTAGACTGCCATCAAACATCAAAAATGTCAGTTGGCTTCCTTGTCTTGCTTTGCTGGCAAAAGGAACTCCTGCATTTGCATCATCTGGGTAATCATGGACACGCAGTACATTTGTAAACTGCCCCAAGTTCTGAAGCCTCATTTCTTACAGCCAAAGGAGGGGGCTCAGTGGCATTGCTCTGCCATCCCCAGGGTGGCTCCCCCATTGGCACAGACACTGTACCAGATTGAAAAGGGGAGCGGTTTGAAAAAGCCACCCCAAAGTGATGTTTGTCTTCTGTATATCCTATTATCCTTTGATATGTTCTGAGCTCCCAGTCAAACCCCGTGACCTCCAACTGTTCCCACACAGTATCCCCAAACCCAGTGCTGCCCATGCAGCCCAGCTCGTCATGTGGCATGAAGTCAGACTGACACGGGCCCTCTGCCCCTTCTGGGGGTGGCTGGATTCTTGGCATCATTTCTGTGTTGAGCTACATCCCACACATCCGTTGATCACTCAGGTGAGTTCCTCTCACCACCCTGGGCAGCAGTGTGCAGTTGGTTACAAAGCTCTTGTCTTTTGTTCTGGATTGAAAGTCCGCAAACATAGCGTTTATGCTGTTGAAGCTGTGAATCAGAATTTTTATTCTGTTTGTTTTGTTTTGTTTTGTTTTCTCTTTACAGAGGTAATCAAGTTACAGAATTTTTATTCTGATATTACTTCCTTTCTGGCTCTTCGGAAACTGGAAGGATAATTGGAATTATTCAGAGCCTCAGTATTCTAGAACAGCAAGCAGGGCTCCTTTTTTCTTCAGTCCCACCCAAGATAACCACTTAAATAAGCCTCCATAACACAGTCTGTACTCCAAGGAAAGTCCCTTCGATGGTTCTCAGATTTCCTTCTTAAAAGGACTAAATACCCACAGTTTCAGGAGATGCCCATTAATGTTATCCTCTACTTTTGTGTTGCCCCCATAAGTTACCCTGGGTTTGTCATTGGTCACCGTTGCAAGGAGGGTGATGGAGAAAGGCAAGCAGCCCAGAGTTTCCTCCCTTCACTTCCTGGCTCCTCTAGGGATATTTGGAAGGAATGTCACAGTTTACCTTCTGGTAGCCTCCATGTCTGGATCGAATGCCCTTCCACAATTTATCCTGCCTATCCTTCCCCGACTGCAAAACCCCAGGATTAATACCTAGAGTCCAGCCTTGCCCCTGCATTCTCCCTGGTAGCTGAGCCTACTCCCCTGTGTCCTCTAGTTGTCCTGGGTTCAATTTTTAATACCCACTGATGGACCTTCTGTCTCTTCTCTGTCCAGTCTTGAACTCTGGGCTCTCTTGGAACTTTCCTCACCCCTCTCAGCCTGAATATTCCTTCCATGGATTCCACTCAACCAGACTTTGGATCTGTGCCTACTTAATCAACCTTATCTTTGCAATATGTTCGGGCCCACCTTCCACTCCTTGGTTCTTGTCCTCCTTGGCCTAACTTGTCCCTTCTCCACTCACATCCCCGGTGGGACAGCATTCCTCCTTCCTCCCAACCTCCCTCCTTCTCAAACTTCTTGCTCAACATTATGAAATTTCAGATGGAATATAATCTTAACCCATTGTAACATATACTTTTCAAAAAAACATGATGCTAAAACTTTATGAACTTGAAGTAGAAGTTTCAACAGAGTGCGTCACCGGGGATAACTGGAAAACACCCAGTTGTATTACTTCAGAAGCATTTGGGAAATCTGAAAGTCATTCCTTTGGCCTAGTGTGAAAATTCTGAGTTTTGCTTTGCCAAGTTTCATTGGGTTTGAAATCATTGTTTTGTTTAAATAACCACAAAGTTCCAGGTCAGGTCAGCTTTGATTTTGCTTCTTTCACAGGATATCCTGTCCTGGTACCGCCTTGTCACCTCCCCCTCCTGTAAACCAAATTTCTGTTATTGGCATTGTTTGTGATTTTTTTTTTTTGTTTTATTACCCAGAGTAACTTTCAAGTTGAATTATTGCATACTATTAAATATTGGATATAATAATTTGCAGAGTTAGTGGCTTTATAATTAAAAAGGGCTCTGGGTGGCTCTTTGGTTCAGAAAAACAGTGTCTATTGTTGAAGTTAATGGGTTTCCTCCTTGAAAATGCTATTAGGGCACAGCTCAGATTCTCTGTAGGAAGGATTTGGCTTCTTTTATTCAATACTGACTTCACCTTCTCCACCTTGGCCTAGTTTTTTAGCCAGAGGGGATATTCTCTGAGACTATGGAATTGGCCTGGTCACCAAGAAAAATAAAAAAGAGAGAGACTTGGCAGTTCAGCTCTCCGGAGATGTGAGCTGGGCCCACCCAGGCCTGTCCTGGCCCCTGCCGTGACCCTCCCCACCGCAAGGAGAGCCATGGGTCATGCTGCATCATTCCAATGCGGCTGCCTCTCCCTGAAGCCCTCATCTCCTGCTTATGTTCTCTTTTCCTGTCTCTGCTGAGCCCTCTTCTTCCTAAAGGCAGTGCCACCATTTAGTTCTCTGTTGGGTTTGCCCGTGAAGTCTGTCTCCCTGGCTGCCTAGAAACCCCAAGGGCGGAGGCAACCTGTGCTTGGTTTTCCCAGGAGCGCCTCACAGGGTGCTGGGGACATCATGGACCCTCAGAAGATTCTCAGTGATTGGTTGATGAGTGTTTTGATTAGGAGGGTTTTTTCATCTTCTTTTCCTCTTCTGATGTTTGGAGAGCTTTGGCATTGCTGATGGCATTTGCCAGTGCAACTCAGGGACTTTAGGCCTTTACTATCTGAATAAAATAACAGCTGGTATTTATTCAGCTATTACCAGGTACCAGACGCTGTGCTGAGCCTTTTACATCAACTGTTCTTCCCACCACAACCTTAGGAGGTTATCATCCCCAGTTTACAGACAAGGAAACTGAGACTTAGGGATGTTTTAAATGATCAACCAGCAAATCCAGTGTGCAAGCACAGGGATACCTGACTCGGAAGCTCCTTTCCTAAATGATCATAGTGGTCCTTCCACAAGTGACCACTCAATCCCAGCTCAGCCCACAATCGGACCACTTTGCATTGTCACTGAAGAGCATCCACTCCTCGTTTCCTGGCCGGCTTATGTACTCTTACTGCAGGAGGTGATTTGGCAGCAAAAGTATCTGCAGTCTTCATTGGAGCATTTGAAATGCCCATGCCATCATCTTAATGTATGAAAACACATAAAGAACAGGAAGTAACTGAGTCAAGTAAGCTATTTCTATTTGAGGCAGAAGTGAAAAACAGATTACCTGGCCACTAGGGATAGAGGGACTTCATTAACTGGAATGTGGCCTGGGGCTTGGGATGGGCCATCCTGACATGATGACTTTGGGCAGTCATCCTGTTGGCACTGAAAAACCGAGAGCATCAGTCAGGCTGTGCTGTCGTATGAAAGGAAGATTTTATTCCTATAACTTTTAAGAGTGAAGAAAATTATTAGTTTATTACACCACTGTATTGACACTCTTTGCGTTTAGTTTGATTAAGTCTGTGTAAAGGAAGAGAATTACTTTGACCGTCAGGGTGTCAGATAACTTACTGCCTGGCTGGACCCTTTAGCTAGTTAGAGCATTTATTGCTGTTTAACCAGCCTTAGGCAAGTTGCTATGAAGAAATATGTGTCTCCAACCTCAAAGGATTTGCATTCTATTTAAGGAGATTTTTTAAATAACTTATGAAAGAACTAGTAAAAGGACACAGAGGAGACATGGACACAGTGGAACAGTGTATAGTGTTTATGCAGTCAGGCTCTGGCACCTTCGGTTCAAATCCCAGTTCTGTCATCTACACTTGTCCTTTGTTTGGCACATTGCTTTCCTCTCGGTGTTCCGTTTTCTCATCTGTAGAACAAGACTATTGCTGGCATCCACCTCATGTGCCCAGTGCTTTGCATGCCTGACTCTTAGCAAGCGCTCAGTGTATGTTTAGCTATTGTGGTAGCTGCTATTATCAAGCATTAAACTGTTGTTTCTAGCACTGGCGCTAGGTGCATTGGAGAGATTAGTGAAGGCTGGAGTAATCACAGATGGCTTCATGAAGGAGGTGGGACTGGAGCTGAGGAGGCTGTAGCTAAGCAGGTGAAGAGAAAGAGAGCATTTCCAAAGCCAATGTAAAAGAAACAAGTGTGAGCATGCTAAGTGCAGGACACAGGTTATAGTAAAGCAAACTGAACTAGATTAACTGTGTTTGGGGTAGCAAGAACCAAGTTAGGTCAGGCACGGTGGCTCACATCTGTAGTCCCAGCACTTTGGGAGACCAAGGCAGGAGGACCACTTGAGCCCAGGAATTCGAGACTAGCCTGGGCAACATAGCAAGATCCCATCTCTACAAAACATAAAATTAAACTAGGTGCAGTGGCTCATGCCTGTAATTGCAGCACTTTGGGAGGCCGAGGTGGGTGGATCACCTGAGGTCAGGAGTTCAAGAGCAGCCTGACCAATATGGTGAAACACCGCCTCTACTAAAAATACAAAAATTAGCCAGGCATGGTGGCGTGCACCAATAGTCCCAGCTACTCAGGAGGCTGAGACAGGAGAATTGCTTGTACCCATGAGGTGGAGGTTGCAGTAAGTCAAGATTGCACCACTGCACTCCAGCCTGGGCAACAGAGTGAGACTGTCTCAAAAAAAAAAAAAAATTAAATTAAATTAAACATTAGCCAGGCATGGTGGTGCACATCTAGCATCCTAGCTACTCAGGAGAGGCAGGAAACTTGCTTGAGTAAGCCCAAGCAAGAAGAAGAGCCCACAGGGGAGACACACAAAATGCTTGGAAAGAAAGGAAGGACATGGGGAAGAATAAACTCAGAAAAATAATTCATGCATTTCTCATAGAAATGTTTGAGCTTTGCGGGTTGGAATATGCTAAGTTTTACTGCTTTGTTACCGAAATTATTGGTATTATTCACATGTGAGAAGTGTGCTAAAATAGTACAAATGTACCCAGAGCCACTCGTTAAGTAAACATGACAGAAGTGACAATGGAAGCATCATCTACCCAATTGCTAATTGCTGATAGACACCCATGGGCCTTGAAATGTCACGATGCTTTTGAAGAGTTTTGAAAAGTCAAAACACTTTTCCCATTCTGTCTCATCATAAGTCATTCTCAAGGTAATGATGTGTTATCTTCCATGTTTTAAAAGACAAGGGGAAAGAACGACGTGGGAAGTCATCGCACTTCTGCTCACAGCCCAGTGACTTTCTGTTGCGCTTAGGATGGAATCCAAAATCCTAGTACAGGTTACAGAGTCCCACAAAATCTGTCCTTGTACCCCATCTTATTATTCTTCATAGCACTTTATTGTAGTTGACATATATAATAGCCATTCATTTATTTTATCTCCCTCAAACTAAGCTTCCAGCTCCATGACTGCCAGAGACTGTGTTCCCTTTCGTCCTCCTGGCACCGAGTGCAGTGCCAGGCACTGGGGAATACTCCAGAAATACTTGTGGTAGGAAGAAAGAACAAGCCAGCCCAGCAGTGGTGGGTGTTTGTGTTGTTATTTCTGTGGACAAACTTTGATAACTGAATAAATCCACAGCCCTCTCCTTTCTCTTGCTTGAAGCATGGATGATTATTAACTTTATTTTAAATGAGGAAGACCAGGGCTTGGTGAGGTCAAAATGGTTGATGTCTAGTCACTTGCATTCATCCCAGTCTATTAAGAATTTATTCTTAATCCAGTCTATTAAGGATTTTCCACTTTGTTTCACTGTGAACTCTCCCAAGGCCCCTTGCCACCTCGTCTTTCTGCTGTTGTAACTAACCACCCCCATCCCCAGCTGCAGCCCCAGTGAACTGGGCCCCCTTGTCCTCAGAGAACAAAGTATGGGGCTCCCCCACTCAGATACATTCACTCCGACCCAAAGGGGATCTGAACACACTTCCTTTGGCAGTGAAAATGCAGGGTTCTCCAGGTGTTTTAAGTTTCATTAGTGTGTGGCTGTTGCTTTTCTATTTCAATTGGCAATTCTTAGACTCTTAAAAGGACATCCAGACAGTGACACTGGTGCTGTCACCAAGGACAAGTAGAAGACTCACCAGAGGGCAGGGAACTGATAATACGCTCTGTAAGGAACTGTGGTTATTCAGCCAAAAAGGGAAGGGCTGGGAGGGCTGACCAGCTACTCATTCATTCATTCAGCACCTGTTTATCAAGTGCTTTCTCTGCAGCAGACACTGTACTCAGTACTGGAGATGTGGCCATCTGGGAAGACATGCTCCAGCACTCAAGCACAGTATTTATCTGGGGCAGAGACAGCCTTCAGACAATTCATGCATTCATTGCCCTTTAATAATAACAGCTTCGTTAGGCAATATTTACTGAAAAAAAGTAGTGACAACTACAAAGAGGGAGGTGCTCTGGCAGCATAGAAGTAGGAAACCTACCGCAGTCTTTAGTGATCAGGCAAAGGTTCCCTGTGCAAGTAACACTTTGGCTAGGAGCAAAAGAGAAGTAAGAATTAGCCATGGGTTAAGGGCTTTTGATAAAGGAAATAGCCTGTCCGTGAAGCAGGTAGGAGCTTGGCATTTGCAAAGCAGTCAAAGAAGGGCAATGGAGAGGTTGCAGAGGAGAGAGGAGGGAAGCAGAGGAGAACAAGTCTGGGATGATAAGAAGCAGCTGGGGAAGTAGGTAGGGACCAGATTATGCATGTAGATTCTATTAGAAGGCTACTATAGAAACCCAGGGGGGGACATGCTGAGCAAGCGAGGACTAGAGGAAGGGTAGTGAATTCAAGATCATGAAATGGTCAGGATGTAATGGACCTGACACGGGCAGGGACAAAGCAGGAGAGCACAGAGATCATTCAGTAAAGATGTATTGACCTCCTTCAATAGGCAGGCCCTGTGCTGGGATCTGAGTGCACAGTGATGAAAAATAGAGTGTCCAGGTGAGGATGATTCTCAGGATTCTGTTGTCACCAACTGGGTGGTTTACAAAGTCACCAAGGATTGAGAAGCCAAATTGTGGGGAAGATAAATTTTGGATGTTGCATTTGAGGGGCACTGACTTGTATAACCAATTTCATGGAGAGACAATTGAGAGGGAAATTGGTTATGCAAGTCAGGGACTCGAGAGAGAGGTCCCATCTGGTGATATAAATGCAGGCATCATTGGGGTCAAGATAGTCATTGGAGCCATGGGATTGAATAAGATCCCTGATATTACACAGAGTTTGTGACCACTTATTTCATATCTCAACAGAATTCAGAGAAACAGGATTGAGCTGTATATCAGAAATTATTTAAAACATCGACACATTTATTCATTACAGGAATAATTCAGCCTAAGGCTAACTGGTCTTATATATGTTCCTGGGAGTTAAATGACTAAGGCACAAAGATCCTCTTACATGGAAGTTCTAGGACATGGGTACCAGTGACAACACCAGGTTGTCAAGTTTTCACAATGACAAGTCGAGGTTTCGGCAATGAGTTTACCTTGGGAGTTTGGTAAAATTTGCAAATAGTACCTGGAAAACATTCAGTGGAAAAGATGCTTCCAAGTACACACACCACACACACACACACACACACACACACACACACACACACACATATTATGGCCTTCGTGTATTGGCTTATCCTAAAGAATCCTAAACTGTTAAGCTAATTCAGTAAGAAATGACAGAGTGGTCACTTCTTTTTTTGAATTCATGTAAACATGGAACAAGTACAGTAAGTGTTACAGTGAAGCTCAAGATATCAGTGACATAGATGATCATTACCTGCATAGTTTGCTCTGTTTCCTCTAAATAAAATGCAAGGAGGAGAAAACTGTTTTCATATCTAAATCCTGCTCCCAAGCAGAAGAATTTCAAAGTGTGAATCAGCTAGTTACATAACAATTCCAAGTTAACTGCATTGCGGTTCTCCTGATGTTTTCTCCGTTGTTCTGTAAGTCCATACTACTTAGAAGACCACTTTGATTCTGACTTTTTGCCTGTCAGAACTTTACTTTCAAGGGAAAGGCAACGTTTACACCCAGGAGATCCTTCCTTCAAGGTGTCTGAAGTCTCCTAACTTACAGAGCTCACTGCAGCAGCCCTGCAGCAGGGACATCTGTGGGATTGTATAGGTTATGTACTACACAACCTTAGGGATGCTGTTTTCATAGACTGGGATTTTACACTGTGCAACCTGCAAGGCTAGTTTTAAAGACACCTGCCAAAAATCCCCAGTTAACTCCACCACATTTAGAGCTGCATTTTAGGGCCAATAGCTTTGTACCCTCAGGAGGTGGGAAGCCAAGATAAGGGGAAACAGAAGTAATGAGATGTGTCCAAGAGGAAGCAGGGATTAGCTCTTTTCAGTAGAAACCTCAGTTAATCATTAATACCTTATTGCTGCTTTGATTTAACCTTTTGTCTTCCTTGAAAAGGAAAATGAGTTATCTATAAAGAAGCTTCTTTTGTTGAAAGCAGCTGCTGTTTTAAGACAGAGAAGAAGCAGGAGAAGTTGGACAAAGACATTATGTTTTATTCCTCCAAATACATTATAAATACATTGTTTGGTGTAAATATATTGCTTGCCTTAGAAAGAAAATTAATACAAAACAAATTTAAGTAAGTTCCGACTAGTAGTAACTCAGACCACATATCTACAAATGACTTCCTTTCAAAGATTCCTTACATTAATGCAGCCTTTGTTTTAACATTTTTTGAAGGTTTATATATTATAATCCTTATTGTAGATTATAAAATGAGAAAATAATAAAGCTGACTAATGCAACTGGCTGATATTGCCGTTGGTTTTTTTTAATCTGAAATTATGAAATCCCTTGGAAAATCTAACATGACAGTATCCAAATTTTAAATAGTCACTTTCAGCAACACACACACCTTCACCAATGTTGAGTGATTCAAAGAAGGGGAAAAACAACTCCTTTGGTTGTCATTTTATTTACAGGATTTGTCTGCACAGCAGAGAAAAATGTTCCATTTACTTCAGAGATGGTCAGAGATTTCCAAGCCATTTGGCTCAAGAGATGGTTTAAATAGGAATGAATGTAGTATACCTTTAATTCTCTGAAGTAAGAGAACTCCAGCTGAGGTTTGGTCCAGAGCAAAGTCTGCTCTCAACATTGAAGAAAATCTATCACATTAATCCCAGTGGCTCAGAGTCCAAAGCTGCGTGAACAGAATGCTAAAGGATAGGAAGTGTGAGAAGAATGCTTTGAAAGAAACCTTAAAAACAAAACAACTGACTATTCAGAGAATACCAGGTCTTATGTGGAATCATCTAGCACGTAAGGAAAGATATAAATAATTATGCCTGAGAAACATAACTAATTAAAAATAACTCCATGCATAAAAGGAAAACTATAGAATAACTTTTCTGCTCCAGTGTTAATGTGAGATGCCTCATAATGAAATAGTAGGATTTTTTTCTTTCATTTCATTTCACACAGACACATGAGAGATGGAGAGGAAAATTATATTGCCTGAAAATGCCAGGGTAGATTTACTAAAGATGTTATCATATGCTGTATTTAAGACAAAAATCTAATTGCTGTAATTTATCATACCTCTGGCTATTAAAACTGTGCCAATTTAAATATTTTAATCATTCGCCACTTTTGTACATAGTGACTTTTTATAGAAGATTCTATGAAATGTTCTGATTTTGTCAGCCTTTGTATGATTTTCAGGAGCTCCTTAAGCAGAATGAACATGCTTTAAGCATGTAACTGTGTTTCCATAAGTAATAAAAATTCCTTGTGTTTTTCTTTTAGTTTGTTCAGTAAAATACCTGGAACTGCTTTATAATTGCTGAGCTGAATGTTTGAGAGCACAAGCTGCTGAATCCCTTTTATTTTATTTTATTTTATTTATTTATTTATTTATTTATTTTTATTTTATTTCATTTTTTTCTGAGACGGACTCTTGCTCTGTCACCTAGGCTGGAGTATAATGGCACGATCTCGGCTCACTGCAACCTCTGCCTCCTGGGTTCAAGTGATTCTCCCGCCTCAGCCTCCCAAGTAGCTGGGACTACAGGCTCGTGCCACCATGCCTGGCTAATTTTTGTATTTTTAGTAGAGACGAGGTTTCACCCTGTTGGCCAGGCTGGTCTTGAACTCCTGACCTCAAATGACCGCCCGCCTCTGCCTTGTAAGGTGCTGGGATTACAGGTGTGAGCCACCACACCCGGCCTGAATCCCTTTTAATTCCCTGCACACACATCAAGCTTGTAGAAAGCAAGGTGGACCACACCCTTCCTTTTGGTTTAGAGACAGGATTCTTTCAATGATCAAATAAATTTTTGAAAAAAAGGACTCCACTGACTTTGACATGAATTTGCACCTTGGTCTTGAAAAGTCAGAGACTCATAAGACAGTCATGGAGGCAGAACTGCTCTTTAAAAAACAAACATTAAATAGTACTCTTGCTG
Organism: Homo sapiens; assembly: GCF_000001405.40. Lineage (NCBI taxonomy): Eukaryota > Metazoa > Chordata > Mammalia > Primates > Hominidae > Homo > Homo sapiens. The sequence continues at coordinate 111,675,273 of NC_000006.12, read as the reverse complement.
GGTGGTAGAAGAAAAAGTGGTAAGAAAGTGATCTTACAGTATGGAAGAAAAAACTATCCCAGGAGTAAAGATGGCTACTACAGGGAGAAAGAATGGAGGAAAAACAGCAAATGTGGAGAGAGAAGGAGCTGGAGGCAGATTCCTTTCCCTGCTGTGGGTGTGGGAGGCCTTTGGGAAATCTAACACATTTCAGCAGAACACATGGGCAGTATCCAGTTGTCCCCACCCTGGGAGCAGCTCAGTGGTTTAATCAGGTTTTGTGTACCCAGTGAGACCACACTATCTTATATACCCGAGGACTCATGAGAGCAGCATTATGACTAAATCCTATGTATGTTTATTAAAACATAGCATTATTTCAAAGTTAAATATATATATAATTTTCCTAAATCATAAGAAACCAGGGCTTCTTCCCCCCTTTATTGAGGTACTAAGGTGCTTTGAGCTGGATTACTTACGGTCACACAGTCAAGACCAGACCCTACATCTTCCCAATCCCAGCCCATTCCTGCTTCACCTCCTTTCTGTCTTCCCCTCTAAACCTGCTCTCAGGAAAGTAGCTTGCCAAGTGCCTTTCCCTCCCACACCCCATGCCCATTGCAGTGCCCTCTGCCTGATGAATAACCAAGTGTTCATTCTGCAGGTGCAAAGTTCCCCATCAAGTGGACGGCCCCCGAGGCAGCCCTGTACGGGAGGTTCACAATCAAGTCTGACGTGTGGTCTTTTGGAATCTTACTCACAGAGCTGGTCACCAAAGGAAGAGTGCCATACCCAGGTAAGAGCAGGGCCTCACAGACATGGGCCTGAGATTGGAGGCTTTTTTGACACCATTTGGGAAAACTTCATCCACTTTGCTTTCTAAGCCCCATCCTCAGCTTTCTGCTGAGCTTGAGTTTGAAGAACATGGCCAGGTATTCAGCGAGAGAAAAGCAGAACTGGGAGCCACCATGTATGTAGACAAGCAGCCACCATGAACTGTGTGCCAGGATTAATGTAAGTAGCAGCTGGTCTAAATGCTTCAGTCCCCCTCCAGTTCATAGAATCTCTCCTCTCTCAGTAGGAGTATGTGTCTGTGGTTCCCAGAGCAGAAATGTCACTGGCAGTGCCTCTGCCCAAATGGAGTTTGCAGACATGTCTGGGAAAGAGAAGGAGAAAAGCCCCACTGCTTTTTGATTACACTGTAGCACTGACCCATGGAGTGAGCCTGGCAGGAAGGTGCCAGGACCTGTTCTCTCCACAGGACCCAGCTCCAGATGGCCAAAGAGAGCAGAGGCACATGTGAAATGCAATTTAGAGCCACTCACTGCCTGTTGCTGAACAGTCAAAACATGCTATACCAAAGCAAGTATAATGTAAAGAAATTGGAAATTCTTAGACTCTGGAATGTTTCTGTATTATCAGATTTATGCTCTCCAAAGAAACCACGAGTTTGGCTTATCCATGCTTAAATTGATTAACGTCGACAGATGGTGACATAAAGGACACCCATGCCATTTCACCTCCACGCTTTAGTGGTTATAGCACAGGGACGATCTGCTTTTTTGAAATGTTAAGGACATATTTTTCAGTTACTGCTGAGTGAAGAAAGAACATAGCTCCCCCTCATTCCCTGCGTAAGAAAGGAGCTTAAAGAAAAAAAAAAAAAAAAAAACAATGATAGAAACGATAGTGACGATTAATGAGGAATTTAGGTCTCTTGCAAATCCTGGGTTTGTAATCATAGCTTTGCAGTCAGAGGAGCTAGCGAAGGCAGATTAATTTGTAATCCCTTTGTTCCTTTTTTATGATTGTTTCTGGTCATCTTCAGAGAACACAGAGAGGGGCACATCAAGATAATCTCGTTCTGGGTTGGTGTAGCCTTGAGACTCCTAGGAGAGCCAAGTTGACATGGAGGCAAAATTGACAAATTCCCAGTCTCTGAAGTGCCGGCACTGGGCGTTTAGAGATGCGGGTGTAAGTCAGTTTTATTGATGCTGCGGTGACTGCTGCTCCCGGCATGCACACACGGGCAGACACTCCGGGAATCGCCAACCAGCACAGAAGAAAGGGCCGCCCTGGGGGATGGAGCACAGCGTGGGTGTTTCTGAATTGCTTCTCAAGGGGGGAAATGTGCGGGTCTCAGGAGGGCGAGGATGTGAAGGCATCTCTTCTTTATTTATTGTCTGAATTTTGAACTGATTTCTTCCTGATCCCTCCCAGGTTTATAGTCACCCTGTGTGTTAAATGCAACTGGGGAGAAAAGGTTAATGTTGTTTTGCGTTTCTGTGAAGCCTTCCCTTCCAGTAATACAAAGCAGCTTTTTGTTTCTCAGGGTCTCACACAGAAACCAAGACAAAGGGGTGGAGGTGGGGGCCTTGGAGAAGGAAGGCAGGTGCGTGTTTCTGAGGGAGTCTTTTGTCAGGTTTGGTTTTAGCATAAAGAAAATGCCCTCATTTTACCACTTAGACCAGGATTCATTCATTCAGCGTAGCTTCAGTCACTGTGAACTGTGCCAGGCATTTTCCTCTATCGGGGAGATAGTGCAAATAAGACCCTCATACTCTAAACAAGCCTTGATTAGTACCTGCCTCAGGCTAGGCATTGTTAGCACAGTGGGCAAGTAAATAAATTTAGTCCCTATGTTCATGGATATTACAGTCAGATAGATAAAATGTGCATCAAATCCAGGAAGAAACCAGCCTTCTTTATTCCTTGTTTATTATCAGAGGGAGTCATCCTGAAAGGATGGACTACTTGGCTTTACCTACTATGGGGCCTAGATCTTCATTCTGATAATGGGGTCAGGGACACCTGATCCAGGTATCCACACACAGCAGGTCCTGAGAGGGACTCTTCAAGCTGAGTCCTGTGAGGATGGCAGAGGAGTTTGAAGTGAGAACTAACTCCAGCGGCTCCTGCAGAGAGAGCTGTGAGCAAGTGCTGGTCTGCAGTGGGCTGTGATAACTGCCTCTAGCTGTGGAGGAGTGCTGGAGAGGGGGCTGTGTAGGGAAGGCAAGTAAGCCAGACCTTGGAAGCCAAGTAGGTTTCCTCAAGCCCAGAAGGCGGGAAGAGCATCCCAAGGTCTGGCACGTGGGAAGGCACATAGGCCTGGGAGGACAGTTCCAGGGACCACAGGATGAATCTGAGAAGATGCCATGTGCAGGGGCACACCTGGAGATGTGACTGGAAGGGTGGCCGAGAGCCTGCGTTGGGGCCTTGCTGGTTGGCAGTGGCAACCAGGGAACCGTGTCCTCATTGGGGGTGTCGTGAGCTGGTCCTCATTCAAAGAAAGCCACAAAAAATTGTTCCCAGGCCTGTTCCTAGCCATGGGTTCTTCCTGGGTTTTGCTTTTTAACATAGCTATAATCCTATTTAATTGGGTTTGTGAATCCAACAGAAAACTCTTCTTGAGGGAGAAGCTTTTACAGAGGGATTCCAATTATAGGATTATTACCCTAACGAAGGATAATAATTCCTAAGGAACAAGAGGTTTCACGAAGCTTCCTTCAGATGTCACTGTGAAGGCAAAGAAGGACCTTCCTCTCTGCATTCTTGCTATTTGTTGGTGTGGCAAGTCAGTCAGTGTGCGCTGAGGGGTCCTTCTCAGCTTCCCACGTTGCGTCTTTGTGCCTGTTGCTGGTACCTCAGGACAGACTCCCAGTCCCGGTCCGTCATGATTTCCATTCTGCATTTTGATGTAGTCATGTCTCATGTCTCAGTTGGCTAGAGTATATTTTGAAGTAATTCTTTTTTGGAGAACAGTAGATGGTGGTACATTTTTCTGAGTCTTCCATACCTGAGAATAGCCTGCTGTTTCCTTGACACATAAGAAAGCTCCTTTGCCTGGTAGGTGAAGATGGAGGTGCGGGAGGAGGGGGTGACATATAAATTGGTTTTATAAAAGCTTTCCAGGCATCTTTGCCCAGCGTGAAAGAAGGTCCAGAAGTGACAATCCCAGAAGGAACTTAGAGTGGAGTATGTGAGGTGTGACCAAATAAAGGGCAAAGGGAGGCGGAGATGTTAGAACATTGGCAAGTTGTGTGAGAGGAGTGGACAAAAGAAGGGAAGACGACAATCTCAAACTGAATGATAACCTGGAAGCCGAAGGAAAAAATACTGAAATATGATGCTGAGATTAACGGGGGTGGTAGAGAAAAGTTACATCACCTTACCAGATGAGGAAGGTTGCTTTCGAGATGTGTAACAAGTATGGATGCAGTTCCAAAGAAGAGCTCCATCAGTTCCCCGCTAGCAGCCTGAGCTGAACGCATTCTCTGCATTGCAGTCTAGCTTGCTTTTCTGCAAGCAAGAGTTCAGAAGCTTTCTTTACTTCAAGATTAGAACTGATTTCATACTGATGGATTGTTGTATGTGAGAAATAAAAAGACTTAAGTAAAAGCAGTTTTCTGGGGTTGATGCATAAAATCAGTTATGCATTTTTACCTGTCATTTCACCTTAATACCTTTCTCAAATCCTTCTTTTCCCCTCTGCTTCCAGTTTCTCCCCGCCTCCCCACCACCCACCCACCCACCATTCTATCATTGTTGCCAACAGAGTTAGTATTCTAGAAAACACAGACCTGGTTATCTCACCCTGCTAGTTAAAAACGTCCACGGCTTCCCTTTGCCTTTCAGATAAATCCTAGAAAACGTAATTCTACATAGTTCTTCATAACTCTTTTTCTGTAGTCATTCCACAAATATTTATTGTGCACCTACTATATGCCAGGTACTGTTGCAAGCACCAAGAATACAGCAGTGAAGCAATAGACAAATGCTGCTGCCCTCATAGACTTCCATTCTTCTTTGAGGAGACAAACAATAAACAAAGATAAATAAGCAAAATATATTGAATGTTTGCTGCTGGTAACAGCTAGGGAGAAAAATAAAACAGGGAAGGGGAGAGAGGGGAGAGTGGCAAAGGAGCACCTCACTGGTGAGTAGAAGACCTAAAGGAAGCAAGAATCCAGCCAGGTGGGTATCTGGGAGCACAGCCTTCCATCAGGGGAAGGGAGAGTGCAGAGACCCTCCAGAATCAAAGGAGGCCAGCATGGCTGGAGCAGAGGGAGCAGGAGGTCCCAGAGGCCCCAGGGGCAAATCAGATAAGGCCTTTCTAGCTCATGGTTGAAACTTTTGCTTTTAGTCTTAGTGAGGTGGGAAGTGAGGGGATTTGAGCAGGAGAGTGACATGATTTCTCTCTTGCTGTCTTCCATCCTTCACACGTTACCAAGACACATCAAGAGATGTCTCTTGAACATGCAGGTCTCTCTTTGTGGCTCCCCTGTCTGCCTCAGAACCCTTCAAAGCCCAACTGAACATCATCTGCTTTGGAAAGCCTTCCCCATGTCCAGACCAAATGGGGTGCTCCTTCTGCTTGCCTCCATGACACCTAGCATATTTCTGTTGGGCCCCCCGTTTGTGTGTATTTCTCAGCAGCTTCAGAGAAGGGAGTCCCTTTGATGGATTCCCGAGGTCCAGCACAGGGTCCACCCCATAGTAGACTGTCAGTAAGTATAAGCAAATAAATGAGTGAATGAAACAGAAAAAAAAGAACTCACCTATGAGGTTTTTGAAACAAGGTTTTTAAATTTAGCCCATAGCCTGCAAAGCCTTTTAACTGCATTCCATCATCTTCACACATGGATATATATTTTCCTAGCCACAAGGTAGCCTCTGTCCTCAAAGTTCTTCTGGAAAATTGACCCTGTGATCATTTCAAACATCATGTTCCAACACTATTCTAGGCAGAGTGTCCTGGCTATTCTGTGCCCTGGCTCTTAACCGAACACCTGTTTTGTGGATTTGGCAGGACCTGGTAGAACAGGAACACTTTCTTTTTTTTTTTTTTTTTTTTTTGAGATGGATGGAATCTTGCTCTGTCAGCCAGACGGGAATGCAGTGGCATGATCTCGGTTCACTGCAACCTCTGCCTCCTGGGTTCAAGCGATTCTCCTGCCTCAGCCTCCCAAGAAGCTGGGATTACAGGCACCCGCCACCACGCCCGGCTAATTTTTGCATTTTTAGTAGAGCCAGGGTTTCGCCATGTTGGCCAGGCTGGTCTCAAACTCCTGACCTCAGGTGATCCACTCTCCTTGGCCTCCCAAAGTGCTGGGATTACAGGTGTGAGCCACTGCACCAGGCCAGGAACACTTTCTTAAGCAAACCACACTTATTCATTCATTGGAAGCACTTTCAAATCATTCAACAGGTGACTTTCTTGAATACATCTAGTCGCTTGATAATGACCTGAAGAAATAAGGGAAATTAATGAAACTGGTGGCTTTTTCCTTAAAGGATTCCAAATGCCACTCTGGTCCTCCCTCTGCCTTAGAGCCCTGAACCGTAGATACATTTTCCTTTGTGTTCAACATAACAACAGGAGCAGGTTTTTCATGGGAGAAGAAAGGGTTAGGACTCTCCAACCAGGAGGAGACTGGGAAGCCGAATGAAAGCTCTCATCTTAGCCGAGGGTGCGTGTCTCTCCCTGGCTCGTCCACAGTCCCTGGGGTTTTTCCTGCAGCTCATGATGTCCCCTCAGAGAGGGAACCCTGCCTGGAATGCCCAGAGGTCATGCTGTCACCTCCTTCTACAAGATTTCTCTTGGCCAGCATGTCTAGTGAGAGGAGGAGGGAGACCAGGGGAGAATGCGTGTGAAGAGGGTGGCCAAAGAGGGACTTTCGGCCCCCAGTCCTGTGTTCCAGCCTCACGTGCTCCTTGTTCTCAGGGGTGCAGTTCCGGGGCCTTCCTCATGGGCACCCTGCCTCTCTTTTTCACTCCTTTTTTTTTTTTTTTCTGGGACAAAGGAGTTCTCTATGATACTGTATTATCAACTTCAAATACAGAAATACCTGTGTATTCAGTTACATGAGTAGCTGTCTTTCTGTGTTTATTAATACAATGGGCTGAATAAAAACAGCTGTCCTGAGGTTATCTGGCAAGATGAGGAAAGAGAAACAAAGCAAGTCATTATTGTACCTTCTCAAGATAAGTTCTTTATTCTCATCCACACTCTTCCATCAGCATCTCCCTGCCCAGAATTTTCACAATGATCCTATACTAAAACCTAACTCAGTGTCACGGTTATTAACCAGTACGATAGCAAGGACACATGAGAATCTGTTAATACAAGCACATGCGATGGCGCAGGCTCATGCTGAGCAAGCACCATTAACACCCCTCCTCCTTCCCAGCGCCAGCACAGCACTGCTCAACAGACATGTAAACACCGGGCCTTTTATGCACAGAAGCAAGGGGAGCCTCAGACCCAAGGCCTTATGCACAACGTTGTGTGATTCCCTTTGAACGGAAAGCTCAGTTAGCAAAAGGAATTTGGGTATCTGATAATCTAAACATCATTCCCATTGTTAAAGTGCTTAATTATTCACATGGCACAAAAACCCAGGTTTTGCAACCCATAGTCAAATCCAGATGCAAACATGGACGGGTAACACTTAAAATCCCTGATTGTACAGATATGGCCCATCTGAGATCCATATTGGGAAGCTGCACAAATGGAAAGCTATAAAACACAAACACTCTTCTTTCATAAAAGACATTTTTTCAGATAGCTGAAAGCACAATGAATGTTGAGGTATTTTGTTAACAAATGGAGAAGCCAAGTTCAAGGGAAGTCAAGTCACTTGCTAAAAGATGCAAAGTTAGAAGTCAAGAAGTGACATCTATTTCGGTGCTCTGCCAATGAAAGTGATTTTTATTCCTTCCCTATAGAATCTAAAAGAAGACCAGGTATAGTGGCTCACAGCTGTAATTCCAGTGCTTTGGGAGGCTGAAGCAGGGAGGATCGCTTGAGGCCAGAAGTTCAAGATCAGCCTGGGCAACATAGCAAGATGCTATCTCTACAAAAAAAAAATAAATAAAAATAAAAATCAGCCAGGCATGGTGGTGCATACCTATAGTCCTAGCTGCTTGGGAGACTGAAGTGTGAGGAGGATCGCTTGAGCCCAGGAGTTCAAGGCTGCAGTGAGCCATGATCATGCCACTGCACTCCAGGCTGGGTGACAGAGCAAGACCTTGTCCCTTAAAAAATTTTTTTTCAAAGAATCTAAAAGGAAAAAGGGAAGACTACTGAGTTCATGTACAGCTCAAAGAAGTGGAATAGGGAAGTTTAAAAGAAAAGGGAAAAGAAAACACACACACAAGAATAGACACTGTTGGCAACCCTACAGAGTCAGAGTTTGAAAGTGAGAGTTGGAAACTTGACCTCTGAGTTTGCTGGAGGAAGCCAGCAACATGATTTAGAAAGGATAATATAATCATAATGGCAGGAAGTGAGCACAGTCTTCTTGGCTGGAGAATCTCAGTTGCAGTGTTTGGGGCAGACTGACTGGAAATGATGCTATGTCGGGGACCATGTTTGAAAGCCTAAAATCTGAGTTGACAAGGAGATGTTCCATGGAGGCTCTGGGAAAGAGGGACTCGAAGGCAGACCCCCACACAGCGGACTAGTAAGGTCTCGCTCTGTCACCCAGGCTGGAGTGCAGTGGCACCATTTCAGCTCACTACAGCCTCAACCTCCTGGGCTCAAGCAATCTTTCCACCTCAGCCTCCTGAACAGCTGGGACCACAGGTACATGCCACCATGCCCAGGTAATTTTTGTACTTTTTGTACAGACAGGGTTTTAACATGTTGCCCACGCTGGTCTCGAACTCCTGAGCTCAAGCGGTCTGCCTGCCTCAGCTTCCCGAAGTGCTGGAGGTGTTTTATGGATTGAGTACTGTTCAGTTGTACCCTATGAAAGTGACCCACCACAATGGCCTGTTTTCCTGAGCAATTCTAGAGAGACAGCAGAAGGGGCTGGTGGCTCCCGTGAGGCTAGAAGGGCAGAACAGCAGAGGAGGAGAGGGTTGGAACAAAATTGGGCAGTGGCCTCTGTGCTTGCTGGCTCCCCAGCCCCAAGCCGCCTCTCTGTGGGAACCAGGGAACATTCATACTGCTCGAACGTGGCTCTTCCCACAGTCAGACACCACTGGCCAGCCAGGATCTCCCCTCCTGTTGAAAAATGCTCTCCCTTGCAGCTCCCACTAGGAAACCTGGAAGGCCAAACTGTTTATGACATTGTTTCCCTAAAATGTGCTCAGACACCATGTTTTATAAAGTTTCTGTCTCTTCTTTCTGTTAAGAAAGGAGAAAAAGGATCCCAGCTACTCAGGAGGCTGAGGCATGAGAATTGCTTGAACCAGGGAGGTGGAGGTTGCAGTGAGCCGAGATTGTGCCACTGCACTCCAGCCTGGGCAACAGAGCGAGACTCTGTCTCAAAAAAAAAAAAAAAAAAAAAAAAGGAGAAAAAGGAAAAACATTTCCAGCACTCTTGTCCACCTCCTCAGTTGGAAGTGTAATAAAAAGATTCTTCTGGCTGGGCATGGTGGCTCACACCTGTAATCCCAGCACTTTGGGAGGCCGAGGTGGGCAGATCACTTGAAGCCAAGAATTCAAGACCAGCCTGGCCAACATAGTGAAACCCTGTCTCTACTAAAAATATAAAAAATTAGCCAGGTGTAGTGGCATGCACCTGTAGTCCCAGCTACTCAGGAGGCTGAGACAGGAGAATTGCTTGAACCTGGGAGGTGGAGGCTGCAGTGAGCCGAGATCACACCACTGCACTCCACCCCAGATGACAGAGCCACGCTTCATCTCAAAAAAAAATAAATAAATAAAAAATAAAAGGATTCCTCTCTCTAGTGTACCCATGTCTCTCAAGACACTCTCCCAACTGCCCTGGTGCCCAAACTCGTGTTTATTCCCTTCCTATTCACTATCCTTCACCTCTCAGGTATTAGGTAAAGCCAATGTCTTGGGGAAAAGTGGCTAAAAAGAGGAAATGACAGTTTTCTTTCTAACAAAAATATGAAACCATCTAAGAAGAAAAAAATGAAGTAGACCTATCTTTTTGTTAGTGTGCAGAGTAAAAGCCATTTAAAAAAAATTATTTAAAAAAACCATGATTTTCAAAATTCATATAGCTGAGAATACTGTATTTTAAATACAGGTTAAGTATCCCTAATCCAAAAATATGAAATTCAAAATGCACCAAAATCTGGAGCTTCTTGAGCACTGACATAACACGCAAAGGGAATGCTCAACTTACTGGTTGAGCAGCCCTATAATGCAAATATTTCAAAATCCTAAAAAATCTGAAATTTAAAACACTCCTGATCATAAGCATTTCAGAGAAGGGATACTCACCCTGAATTAACACAATCCATTCAATTTAGCTATTGTTTATAAAATAAAAACTAGCCCAAGCCTTGCTGAGTGGGCATATCTTGATTGCCACCGTTATTGTTGCAGAGGTACATTGTGAAGTTGCCAGGTCTGCAGGTCAGCCCGTTGCAGGTCCTGGTTTATGGATGGTTGGAAAAGAGCTAGTCCCATTCCAATTGTCATTGTCAGCCAAGTGCATTGTCAAAATATCCCACTTTCCTGGCAAAGCCCTCATTGGTATGTTTCCACTTGGCCCAGTGCGTGGAATTGTTTTCATATACTCCCCTTGCTTTGAGAGGTCTGGGCAGAAGAAAGCAGGAGAAGAAGAGGAGTGGGGAAGAGCGGAGGGGTGCAGACAGGAAAGGGGAGAGCGAGAAGGAGCCTGACCATGTGGGTCTGCCAGGACCCTGCATGGGCCAGCTTATGCCCTGTCCCCTGGCTCCAAATGCCCAGGAAAGACTGCCTCGGGAGACGCTACATGTTGAGGTTCACATCACCAAGTGTGCTGTGTCTGAGGCTTGGACCGAGCACTGGAAAAATGACCCAGTGGCCAATTAAACTTTCCATTGGCAGACATTGGATGAAAACTTTTTTTTTAAGTGAAATCTTTCCATTTGAGTAGTTTGTTTTTTAATGAAATGAAACATGTACTGACATGCGCTCTGTGGAGCAATAGGAGAGTGATTAATTAAACTCTGTGCTGCCATTTTGGAGGGAGGCACTCAGAGCCAGAGTCAAGCATTAGGAGGCGTTTCAGGGGCTGTAACCGCACCCAGAAGGATCTGTCAGGCCCTTCTGCCTGTTTCCCCTCAGTTCCTGTGGACTCCTGGAAGGGACAGAGACAAGGGAGATTTCTGCTGGTCCAAGCTCTGTCATTGCTGAAATATGAAACCAAGGACAGTACTAAAAGATGCGGCAAGGCAAATGCTTTGGAGAGTGCCAGTTCTGCTACGTGATTACACACTCTTCCTAATCTTTCTGGGCAATATGTATGAAGAAATAAAAACAGTAAATAGCCTCGTAATCAGTTCAGGTTTTGTGGCCAGATGAGGTCAGTTCAGATCAGTTCTGTAGTCAAGTGAGTTACAAAAACTTGATGGTGTTCAGAGCTCGTTGGATGGTGGAATTGTGGAGAAGGAAATGCTGGCCTCTGTCCGCGTTTATCTAGAGCCGGAGGAGGCTGCCTTTCATTCCCGAGCATGCTCCAGTTCCTCCCTTGCTTCCAGCTCCCCGCCCCCATCCCCCATTTTCAGCCATTGGAGGAGGATGTAGGCTAATTAGCCACAGCGCTGCCTCTCACTCCTCCCATGCAACTGAGGAAGTCGCTGGTAAAGGCATGCATGGCACAGAGGCAGGGACCCTGACTCCTTCACCAAACCTCTCTCCCTAAAATAAGGGGTCGCCCTGACACGTGAGTGAGGTTATTTTACAATAATTGCATTGAAGGCCTACTTCAGTACAGCAGAAACAATATGTGAATTTTTATTACCTCAAGAAATGATAATGGCAGAGAATAAGAAAGCATCCTGAAAAGGTCTGGAGAGACATGTGACTGACAGGCTGTGGTTGACAGCCAGGAGGAGCCAGGATACACTCAGCTCCACAAGTAACAACACAACCAAGAGGACTGGCAACAGACCCCGAAGTCCGAGTGTTCCCTCTGCAGGGGGACAGGCTGTGCTCTGGCCCAGCGCCTCTGGCTGTGCTGACAAGTTTCTAGCTAACGGGTCGCCACCTCCCCTAGAAGTAAAGGAAGCTCCATGCATATGGTGTGTGCTCCTGCTGGCTGTAGCCCTGGGAAATAGGGGAAGAAATCTTGGTTTCTATATGGCTTGACATCGGGTTCTTGCTCCTGCAAATTAACCGGGTCAGATACTGGGGAGGATTCCAGATGACAGCCTCACCGGCCAGGAAGCAACCAAAGCACAGCACAGCTTGACGGGGAGCTGGCAGAAGGTGATACAATGAAAAAGGGAAGCAAAACTAGAGAATAGTGGCTGGCAGTAGTTGGGAGGAGGTCAGGACACTGGCCACCCCCTAAGCATGGTAGTTCCTGTAGTGTTAAGGCAGCCAGTGTGCAGGAGGCCGCACTCTCTGAGGAGTTAGCGATCTGTCTTCTGTTAGTGCTATGCAGCCCAGTGTTTCAACAGCTTCCCAAGAGTCAGAAAAACCTCAAATGATGGATGGCCTGGCTGAAGTCATCAGTAGAGATAGGCCCCGGACATGGTCTATCTCCCCATCAAATTCACCAAACCTCAGGGCACTGTGGGGTTGCAGGGCCAGACAGTGCCCAGCCACGCTGGCATGATGGCAGATCTCCAACAGTGGGGAACTAAGAGTTTGCCCAGGCATGAAGAAAACGAATTTATGAAGTTCATAAATGGAGTTTATAAATGCTATAAACAAGGGGCAGCATGCTTTCATTCTGTGTGGATTTTTTTGTCTGCTTTATTCATATATTGTTGTCAGTTTAATTGAAGTATAATCTACACACAATAAAATTCAACAATTTTAAGGATGCAGTTTATTGAGTTTTGACAAACATAAACAGTCACACCACCCCATACATAATATAGAACAGGGGTTGGCAGGTCTGGCTCCCAACCTGTGTTTGTTTTGTACGTTTTTAAAGGGTTGTTAAAAAGAAGAAGACAGGGATCATATGTGACCCGCAAAGCCAAAAATATTTACTGTCTGGCCTTTTACAGGAAAAGTTTGTTGACCCGTTGACCCTGACAGAACATTCCCATCCCACTTGGAGTTCCCTCTGGCCCCTTGGCAGGGATTCCTCCCCTCCCCCAGGCAGCCACTGATCTGCTTTCTATAGATGTAGTTGCGCCTTTTCTAGAATTTCGCATGAATGAAATCATACCGTATGTTGCCTGTTGTGTCTGGCTTCCTTCACTTATCATGTTTTGAGAGTCATTCTGAATTTTTCATGTCTCAGTTCTGCACTCCTTCTTTACTCCTGAGTAGCATGGCAGGGTTTGACTCCTGGGGGGATGGGAGTACTCCGCATGTTTTAGCCACATGCAGACGCAAAGAAGAAGAAAGGGGATCTGCAAGTGCGGCGGTCAGGGCCTGGATCCCCGGGGTGCCCACTCTCACTGCGCTTGTCTTTGCAGGCATGAACAACCGGGAGGTGCTGGAGCAGGTGGAGCGAGGCTACAGGATGCCCTGCCCGCAGGACTGCCCCATCTCTCTGCATGAGCTCATGATCCACTGCTGGAAAAAGGACCCTGAAGAACGCCCCACTTTTGAGTACTTGCAGAGCTTCCTGGAAGACTACTTTACCGCGACAGAGCCCCAGTACCAACCTGGTGAAAACCTGTAAGGCCCGGGTCTGCGGAGAGAGGCCTTGTCCCAGAGGCTGCCCCACCCCTCCCCATTAGCTTTCAATTCCGTAGCCAGCTGCTCCCCAGCAGCGGAACCGCCCAGGATCAGATTGCATGTGACTCTGAAGCTGACGAACTTCCATGGCCCTCATTAATGACACTTGTCCCCAAATCCGAACCTCCTCTGTGAAGCATTCGAGACAGAACCTTGTTATTTCTCAGACTTTGGAAAATGCATTGTATCGATGTTATGTAAAAGGCCAAACCTCTGTTCAGTGTAAATAGTTACTCCAGTGCCAACAATCCTAGTGCTTTCCTTTTTTAAAAATGCAAATCCTATGTGATTTTAACTCTGTCTTCACCTGATTCAACTAAAAAAAAAAAAGTATTATTTTCCAAAAGTGGCCTCTTTGTCTAAAACAATAAAATTTTTTTTCATGTTTTAACAAAAACCAATCAGGACAGGTGTTTGTTTTTGTTTTCTTTTTTATAAATATGAATATATATAATATATATGTCCCTGTACATATACAATGTGGGTGCTAATGTGGAGACTGTGGCCGGCCTGAGCCACCAAGCTGCGGGACCCAGAGGGAGGATTTTACTGCAAGTCAGCATCAAAGCACCGGTGTTATTCTGAAAACACCAGTGGCCTCATTTTTGGCTTTTGCAAAGCATGAATTTTTTCATTTGGATTGCACTTTCCTGGTTCATGACTGTACCTGTAGGTGGTTGTTACTTTGACTCTTTTCAGGAACCACCCCCCAAGCTGAATTTACAAGTTCTGTTAGCACTATTTGCTTCAACTTACTGCGATTTGTTCTCAAAACTTAAAAATAAGCAAGCAAATGGCTGATACTACCAAGAGAACTGGAAGATGGATACCACACAAACTTCTTGTATAAAAATATGAATGCTGAAATGTTTCAGACATTTTTAATTTAATAAACCTGTAACCACATTTAAGTGATCTAAAACCCATAGCATTGTAGTCATGGCAACCCGCTAAACTTTCTCATGCAACTAAAATTTCTGGGGGAAATGAGGGTGGGGGTTGTACATTTCCCATTGTAAAATAAGTGTTTTAAATGTCCTGTACTGCTAACGAATGACTTTCTATATGTCCAGGAGTTCTCCAGTGGAATAACTATGCACTACTTTACATTTCATGGGGATGCACAAAAACAAAAAAGTATTACATTTTTAGTTGCTGTTTGTACCAACCTTAAATTACATATGTTTAACAACAACAAATCAAAAATCCTATTTCTATTGAGTTTTTAATACTGACTAGCAACTCTGAAGTCTTAATTCCTTTTTTGTTATGATTTATTTGTGAGTTTACATTTTTAAATTGTTTAACTTTCTTAATTTAGTAATTAAAAAGAGAGCATTTTACATTTGAATTTTTTTTTTGTTTATTTGTTTAAATCATGGAAGGTACTCGTAGTTCTGTGGCACATCTGTCCCACACCAGATGGTATGGAATCACCTGGTGAATTTAGCCTTTGTGCGATGACTTGCAAATGACAGAAACATTCAGAACATCTGGAGAGTTCTTTTCCCTCTAGAAAGGGTAGGCTCTTGACCAGCTATTTCAGAGGATCATTAAAGCAAAAGTAGGCATACCTTACCATCTGAATTTATCAGACATTTTTTCTAACCGGAATTTACTGTGTCCTGCTTGTAGGAGAAATAGACAATCACAAGAAGAATCTTTCTTGTCCTGGAGTCAGTATATTTATTTCCAAATGTCCCCCTACTTCTGTAATGAAGGAGCTAACGGAGCGACAACCTGGTGTGGTAGGAAGGGCAGTGGGTGGACGCAGGCTACCTGTCCACGCCTGGCTCTGTGATCATTCAGCTTCAGGACCCTGAGCCACCTCCTGGCATCTGTCATTTTCAGGGCCTGTCTGTAGAACTGAAGGGGTTACATGAGATTCACTCCTTAGATCTCTACAGCTCTAAGATCCTGTAATTCTAAGATCACTGATGCCATGCGGGGTCATACAAAGAGGATGGTTTTCTTTGTTGAAATAACCTTTACATTTAGGGAGGGCTTCCAACATTAAAAAAAAAAAGATGAAACAGGTTCTCTGATTAATCAAAACTTTATGGTATTGTTTTTAGCATTAATAGACTTGCTAAACTGATAAAATTTATTTATTTATTTATTTATTTTTGAGACAGAGTCTCTGTCACCGAGGCTGGAGTGCAGTGGTGCCATCTCGGCTCACTGCAACCTCTGCCTCCCGGGTTCAAGGGATTCTCCTGCCTCGGCCTCCTGAGTAGCTGGGATTACAGGTGTGCGCCATCATGCCTGGCTAATATTTGTATTTTTAGTAGAGAGAGGGTTTCACCATGTTGATCAGGCTGGTCTCAAACTCCTGACCTCATGATCCGCCCGCCTTGGCCTCCCAAAGTGCTAGGATTACAGGCATAAGCCACAGTGCCCAGCTGATAAAATTTTAAAGATCTTATACATATATTATTATCACATTATTAGGTAGTTGATTAACATATTCTATATCTTTTTCAAGATAACTTTGCTTTTAATCCTCACACCCCACTAAGTTGGATAATTTGCAAATATTTCTGGAGGATTTTTATGTTCTGATTCATTCAAAACAATCTGGAAAAAAAAGAACCTGTTTTAAATAGAAATTATTTTTAAAAAAAAGTCTCTTCAAAGTATAGCCTTTAATTTATCAGTTGAGTTCATGGTGGACTGTCTTATATGAAAGAAAGCTAAGGACTTGGGTCACCTCAAGGGCACTCTTAGGAAACAGCGTGCTGTAGAGTGAGGTTGCAGAGTGAAAGTAAGAGAACATCTGTAAATACAAAGAAGTCAAAGACTTCCAGGTTTTTTCTTCCAAGAGGCAAATGTGCTTTCAAGAGATATTCCTGAGGTAGACCATTCCAGAGAGTCCCCACACCTCCCAAGAAGCCTCTCTTCCTCATAAGTTGTACAAGCTTAGGGTGAGGAAACGGAATTTGCTGACCAGAAACTTCTCCTGTTAAGAAAGAAAAGTATCGCCTTAATGTCAGGGTGATGGTGAGTAATTTTTTGTCTTCAGTAACCTGGCAGTGAATAAGTATTTGCTTTGTTGCCTTAGGAAAGCTGGCATCTAGCCCTCCTCTGCTGGAAAGGGAGCCTTCCTAATAAACTATTACTTTTTACTTTTTTTTTAAGACAGGGTCTTGCTCTGTCACCCAGGCTGGAGTGTAGTAGTGCAAACACAGTTCACTGCAGCCTCAACCTCCTGGCCTCAAGCGATCCTCCCAGCCACACTAGCTAATTTTTATCATGATTATTTTTTGTAGAGATAGGGCCTTGCCATGTTGCCGCAAGCTGGTCTCGAACTCCTGAGTTCAAGCAATCCTCCTGCCTTGGCCTCTCAGTGTTGGGATTACAGACGTGAGCCACTGGGCCAACCTCTTTTTACTTCTTTCAAACAACGGGCCAGATGCGGTGGCTCACGCCTATAATCCCAGGACTTTGGGAGGCCAAGGCGGGTGGATCACGAGGTCAAGAGATCAAGACCATCCCGGCCAACATAGTGAAACCCTGCCTCTACTAAAAATACAAAAATTATCCGGGCGTAGTGGCATGCGCCTGTAATCCCAGCTACTTGGGAGGCTGAGGCAGGAGAATCACTTGAATCCAGGAGGCAGAAGTTGCAATGAGCCAAGATCGCGCCACTGCACTCCAGTCTGGCGACAGAGCGAGACTCTCTCTCAAAAAAAAAAAAAAAAAAAAAAAAAAAATCAAATAAACCTATCGGAGAAGACCATTTGCAAAGTTCAGACATTGTAAACTGCGACTAAAGGATTTCTGTTCACTCCATTCTCTGTAGCTCCTGATCTCCTCTGATGATCAGTTCACGGGCTGGGAGGATTAGAAAGCCTAGGAGACAGAGGGTCCCATGCTTTAGAACATCAGGGTAGATAAAGACAAATGATGCATTTGGCTCTGCCGTAGTCGTGACACAGAAAGATGTATGGGGAACCAGGCATTTCCGTGAGAAAAGTTAAGAGTGTATATAATCCCTCAAACACAGCCACACTGTTGAAGATTTCCTTACAAGCACCAGAAGGTGTTTACCTGCTTTGAGAAAGATAGGAATCCTCCTGTGGCTAAGTGTTGGCACCAGAGGATTTTATAGTAGCATTAGTGTGGCAAAATGTTATCTGCAATTTCCCCGGGAGTCTTAAGAATGTTTACTATATTAATTGGAATGGTTCTTTCATGAATCTTGAAAGAGTATGGTTTTCAACAACAGGCAGAAGAGAATTGTACTAAAGCCCACAGCAAAAGGGATGTCATCTGTTCATTAGTCATGACTCAGGACAAAGAATGTCACATGATAGGCATTTCCTAATAAGTTGCATTGGAATAAAATGATCTTTGGTCAGTTTGTTCCTGAAAGGTATTTTAATAGGTTTAAATGACTTTTGTTGACCTTCTTACCACTATATATTATACAATACTGTTGGAATTCAATTATGCTATCAAAAATATTTGTTAGAAGGGAGGGAGGAGACTGGTTTTGGTTTGGGGGCAGGGGAAGGAAGCTTAAACACATTTTTATTCTAAAAATGATACAGGGGGATATAGATTACTAAAGCAATTGCCAAATTTTAAATATATTTTTTATCTCAAAAATAGTTTATAACTACAGAGAAGAAAATAATGAAAAATAGTACCTTTACTGTATTTGAAATATCAAATAGACATTCATAATTTATGTACACCTATGTTCCCAGAAAATTCTCATACATAATAAACTCCTAAATCATACCTCATTCTTTCCCAACATGCAAACTATTCAGAATCCTATGGAGGGACAAATATACCTTTATTTTAAAAGTTAATTCTGAGCACTGAAAATAAAAATAAATGGTTTTCCAGTGTTGCAGGGACCATTCTAACAAAACGTAACCAGTGACAAACGACGGCTTCCTCAACAGCCAGAACACTGTGCTCCTCTCCATACGGCTTACTACTCTCTAATAACCTGTTTAATGCCACCAATGTGTTTAATACTGCTCTCCTCTAATGTGTTTGCCCTGCCAGACTATGAGCCCGAGAACAGAAACTTCCTGATTGGTTCACCATTATTCTCCCTGCACCTAGAACAGTGATGAGCTTCTGGCAGATGCTGGCTGGACTGATGGATGGACTGTTAGGTGGATGAGGCCCACTGTCCAGTGGGGCCAGTGGTTTACCTTCGAATGACACATCTACCTAAGAACCTGCTAAGCACATGGGACTGACTGCATGCTTCCCACAGTGCTAGCCCTGAGCATTATGAATGTGTGGCCACCAGTGTTCCAGATATGATTGAAGTCCCAATCTATAGCCTGAAGTGAACACCCTTGATACTTCCCAACTCTTTCCCCAGAACTGTCACAATGCCAGTGAGGATAAACTTGTACCTCTTGGAACCTGAGAGACAGCATGAAGTAAATGGCACCAAGTGATACATACTCTTATTTTGATTCCGTTTGGTTTTGAGATGGGGTCTCACTATGTTGCCCAGGCTGGATTCAAATTCCTGGGCTCAAGCAATCCTCCCACTTCAGTCTCCCAAGTAGCTGGGACTATAAACATGTGCCACCACCCCTGGCCACAGTCTTTGTTTTTTGGGGATGCGGGGAGGCGACAGGGTCTCACTCTGTTATCCAGGCTAAAGTGCAATGGTGTGATCATGGCTTACTGCAGCGTCGACATTTTGGGCTCAAGGCATCCTCCCACCCCAGGCTCCCAAGTAGCTAGGACTACAGGTGCATGCTACCACATTCGGCTACATTTTTTTTTTTTTTTTTTTTTTTTGGAGAGACAAGGTCTTACTATGCTGCCCAGGCTGTAGCCTTAGGTAAAGTGCCTTCAAAGGCTCGTTTTAGCTTTGTCATTTTATGAAAAGTTGATATTCTACTCCCTAAGATATCCATCTTTGTCTTCAGATAAAAATTATTTTCCCAAGTCATCAAGTTGTGCCATGTTACCCAGCCTGTGGCTTGTAGTGTCCCTGACACACCCTTGCATAACGCAGGGAGCCCCTGTGCCCTGTGTGAGAAGCACAGCGTGAAGATGTTGTCCATAATATTGTACATGGAAAAGGTAACGTTAGCCCCCATTAATGTGGATTCTCTCATCTAATTTCCTCTTTTCACCCAGCAAAGTGCCCAGTGACTGAGAATGAGACAGAAGATGAGGGCGTTTGAGGATGAGAAGGAAGAGGAAAGTCATCAGAGCCACCTGGAAGTAGAGGTCTGGTCAGGTTGGCCTGCTTAACCAAGATGGCAGCCAGGGGAGTAGGAAGGATGAAGACATTGCACACATTTGGAGGAAGAAACCAAAGCTGGCATGAGAGGAGTCCTTTCCAGGGCTGTTCAAGGCAACAGGATGCAGGTGGATATGACTGTAGATGGGTGTAAAGACTTACCATTCACTCCTCCAAACTTTCGTTGTATACTTATTATGGGCTAGGCCCTGGGCCTAGCCCCAGAAATTCAAAGACAGACAATTAATATCTACAGTCTAGTAAGGATAAAGACCCATAAAAATCGTTGCAATAAGCTCTCAGATGGAAGCACAGTTGTTAGCAAAGTAGTAACATCTAGCTCAGAATGGGGGGGGGGGGTACAGCGGAGGCTTCCTGGAAGAGGTGCTGCCTGAACTCTCTTAAAGACAAATGGAAGTAGGTTACATAGTGTTTAGCGGAGCCTGGTGCTCCTTGCCTTTGGATTTGTTTCCTTCTGATTTCTAGCCCCCATTAGGGGTTACCTCATGCTTTCAATATGGAAAACATCAACAAATGGGTCTCAATGAAGAAAAACCAAAAGTACACACACACAAGCATCTCAATCACTGTCTCTCTGTTTCTCTCCTCTCTTTCTGTCTCTCTCTCTCCTCTCCCGCCACCCCATTAACAGTATATAGGTACACCATTTATTCTGATTGGTGGCCACTAAATAGAGGGGGTGGTAGATAATAGCATTCAAGGACGGAGGAAGGTTTTAGCAGGTTGTTGGCTCCAGTGTCTCGATTAGGATATGGTCTGAAATATATTCATATTCACATTCTCATAAAGTATGAGAATAAAAGAATTGCCAGAAAGAAGCTTGGAATAATAATAACTCTTCACTACTTCTCTTAATAACAGCTGGTGGGAGGCTTTCTCCTATTTACAAATCCATTGTCATTCTTCCACTTACCAGCCAGGCTGTTTCGCTTGAATCATCATGCGATATGTACATTCATCATGGAAGGTATATACTAGCAGTTGCATGGTGTTCTGGTTGTTTTGTTCTGGGTAGTTTTCCTTTAGTTAATTATCAAGTGCTTACTATGTAATAATCAATGAGTAGCTAATTGGAAGCAAGAGAGAATGAAATGGGTATTATTCAGATAGTGTTTTTAATGAAAAGCATAGACGTAGTACTGTGGGGAAATATCACTAAATAGCAAGAGATTTCATCTGTGTGTGTGTGTGTGTGTGTGTGTGTGTGTGTTTACAAAAGGATTCATTTAAGCCACTCATAAACTAAATCCAGGTATGTGAATCTTTTCTTTTTTTTTAGACTCCTCCCAATGGGTAAACATTGGAAGACACCAGGAGGGAAGCCAAGCCTCTAGAGATTGCTCAGGAACCCAAACCACCCCAAATGGAGCCGGAAGGTCTGTCAATTCCCAGAGAGGGAGGAAATGGTAAGCAAATGGCAGCAGTTGCTTAGAAAATTAGGGAATGAATAACAATGCTTTCTGGTAAATTAACCATATTACATTGTGCAGGGGAAAGCGATAGGAAAACCCTGTTAAAAATTGAATAATAATTTGCCCACATCATTTATGCAAAATGCATAATTTTCCTACTTCAGTGGACTTTAGTTTGATTTAAAAGATGAGCAGCTCTAGGACTATTCACCAAAGCATAATTTGTAAGATAATTGGGAAGGGGAAGAGAAATCAGACTGTAATCAGCACAATCTTTCGTAAGTCACTTCACCTTCCTCCTCTCACCTGCAAATTTTGGAAAATATTTGTTTACCCTTTCCTGAAGTTCTCTAAATGGAAGTGCAAAGCATTAATCATTGTCATTGCTACCACTAAACCATGACCTCACCATGAGAGGGGGGAAAGCCATGTTTCATTCTATTCAGTATTTTTCTGCTCTAATTCAAATAAGTACTTGTTTTGAATAGTGGGGAAAAAAATGGAAATGTAGCAAAGCTATAGTTAAAACAACAAGCTGAGAACAAAAGCAACATGCATGCAGGCAAAGGAGACCTTGGAAGATACACAGATAAAACAAAAAGCTGTGCTTGGCTGGGATTCTGTTTCAGAATCAAATGCAAAATGGAGAATATTGTTCCAACTGTAAAGGTTTTGCAATCTACAATCAGTCAGAATGAAAAGATATCATGTAATCCACCTTAACAGTCAGAAGCTGCACTATTGCTGTGAATTATGATATTTGTTCATGACTAATGTAGATTTTCAGACCTAGAATGGTTGAAGGTGGGCAGGAATTTGTAGGTATACCAGATACCCTTCACTTCAACAGGGCACACCCATGTCAGCTGATGTTTATATCTCTTCCTCTCCTCCTTTTCCCTCCTCCTCACCCCTTGCTCCCCAATCTCATTAGAATCATGAAATTTTTACTTATATATTCATTAATTCTCTTCATCCCCATCTCTCCACAAAAGATCATTATCTACTTATTAAATTCAGCCCTTACACAGTGTCTCATGCCTGTAATCTCAGCTATTCGGAAGGATGAGGCGGGAGGATTGCTTGAGGTCAGGAGTTCGAGAACAGCCTGGGCAACATAGCCAGATGTCGTCTCTAAAAAAATTAAAATTAAAAATTTAATAGGGCACGGTGGCACACACCTATAGTTCCAGCTACTCAGGAGGCTGAGGTGAGAGGGGATCACTTGAACCCTGGAGGTCAAGGCTACATTGAGCTGTGATTGTGCCACTGCACTCCAGCCTGGGCAATAAAACAAGACCCTGTCTCTGAAAAAAAAAATTTTTTTTTTTTTAAATAAATTCAGCCCTTAGAGTTCTACCTTTCAGGGCAAACCTGTTTCCTTTGTTGGACTAATTCCTGTCTCTTCTACAAACTTGCTGGTCCCAAAACGCTGAACTTTGAACCCCACAAATCTCAATACTTCTTATCTGTTGGGTGCCCATTCTGGTTAAGCAAAAGGACCTTCCCTAATCCTAATACTCGTCCCCACTCTTTCCATCTCTATCCCCAACCGCTGCTACTGGCTGAAGATTATTAGATACTAGTTTTGTACCTATGCGTCCTGCCACTTGCTATAAATCGCCTTTATGCAAATCGAAAAAGCTACCCTGCCTCAAGACACTTTGCTGCCATCTGCCAGGAAATTGTTGTAATAAATATGCAAAAGGATAATGACTAGAATGTGAATGGTGCCCCTTAGAATTGTGCAGTATGCAACTGGCACAACTATATGTGACAACCCTGTTGTTTGAAATCACCTGAACTCTCCTGGAACCCTGTGTAAAAATCACAACCACCATAGGTCAGTTTTGCCTTTTCATGACAGTTTGCCACTTCAAAATCTAAATCTTCCACCATGATCAGAAATTGCTGAGGGGCAGTTTCTAGGAGAGACAGAGTCCCCACGCAGCAGTACCTATAAGATTATAGGGCTCTTCCAGCATTCAGCCCAAGCTTTGACCTGCTACCTGGGCAGATACAACCCAAACCATACTTGGTTGATTTTCGGGAAGCATCCAAGTTAGAAAGCTGGTAAGGCTGAATGTTGGGGTGCAGGGGGAGGTAGACCTAGCTTACATTCAGGTCAGCCATTACCCATCTCTGGCTTTGGCGGCTTCATTTCTTGTTGATTGCCCCATCTGTTCTCCTCCCTCCTTCCCATGCAGCACAACCTGCACGTACTGGTGATCTCTCACTACATAACAAACCACTCCAAAACTTAGTGGCAGAAATAGAAACAGTCATTTATTTTGATCACGAGTCTGCAATCTGAGCAGGACTCATCGAGGCCAGCTCACCCCTGTTCCACACGGCATCAGCTAGCGCAGCTCGGGTGTGGCCGGAGGAGCTGCTATCACAAGGGCTCTTGCATTTCACAATGGCTCTGCATCAACACACTGCTACGTTGATGCCAGCTGTTGACCTCAGGAGCTCAGCTGGGGCTACTGATAGGCGCTTTTGTTCCTCTCCACTTGGGCTCCCATGTGTGCGTGGACTTGCTTACACGGTGGTACCCATGTTGAACTACCCCAGCTGACTCATCATTAAGTAGAGACAAGCTGGACCCACCCAGCTCTGCCCAAATTTCAAATTTCTGAACAAAACAAATGACTGTGGCTTTAAGCCATTAAACCTTGGGATAGTTTACTTTGTAGCAATCAATCAATAGAATGTATACTCTATGCTAAATGTTGCATGAATCCATTCCCACATCTTTCTAGGGTGCCTCCTGGTGCTGCAGAGTCTAGGAAGCTAAAAACTACACTGCCCAGAGTCTCTTTTCATTAGGATCATGATTGTGAGTTAAGCTACACCAATTAGACTTATTTGCACAAAGCTTGGAAGGCAGAGGCCAATGTCTTGCAGCTTTTGGCTACTTTCTGCTGCAAAGCAAGATCATGGAGCTACTGATAGCCACTCTCCAGCTTCATGGGCATCAAGAATCTTGTGGACGTGGCAGTGGCTAGGTTCCTCTGCCTGGCAAATGCGGTGGTGGCAGTAATTCACGCTGTTCCTGGCTTGCTGACCACTTTCTGGCCTTGTCTTGCAGCCATGATGTTCTTGCAGTCAACAGTCCCAGTGGCAGCTTCCTGAGTCCTCCTTCCTGATTGTGGCAGAGGTGATAGCACCCCTGACAGATTGATTTTACCACATTCTGGGAGCCATCCTCGGAGGCCCAGCCTAGAGCCCTCTCTTCCAGCCTTTCCAACAAGTTTGCAATTCTTCATGTTATATTCTTTTTTGCTTAAAAACTCTAGCATGGTTTCTATTTCCTACACAGAACCCTGTAACAGATATCCAGGTGATCCCAAAGTTTTGTCTCTTCTCAGTCTTTCTTTTGTTCTTGCTTGTTTGCTTTCTCTCATTTAATCATTCCTTTAATAAATATTTATGGAATGTCTACTATGGGCCAGGCACTGCACTAGACCCTGGAGAAAAATCGATGAACTAAGCAGACATGGCCTCGCCCTCATGAGATGAGGCAGGGCAAAGACCATGAGGCAGCAAAAGACAACCCTTGGGTCCAGTCGGCCCCTGCTTGTTTTTGTATATAACGTTTTCTTGAAACACAGCACACTCATTCATTTATGTCTTGTCCATGGCTGGTTTTGCCCAACAATGGTAAAGTTGAGTAGTTGCAACAGAGACTATATGACCTACAATGCCGAAAATACTTACTATCTGGCCTTTTTTAGGAAAAGTTTGCCAGCTCCTGTATTAGATAAATAAAACGCCAAGTCATACTCCTTTGGTTCCCCACAGCCAATAAGTTGCTCTTTCTGTCAATTCTGCGGACACCAGGGGTCCCCAACCCTTGGGTCATGGAGTGGTACCAATCCGTGTCCTGTTAGGAACCGGGCCGCCCAGCAGGAGATGAGCGGCAGGTGGGTGAGCATTACTGCCTGAGCTCCACCTCCTGTCAGATCAGCAGTGGCATTTAGATTCTCAAAGGAGTCTGAATCCTATTGTGAACTGCATGAAAGGGATCTAGGTTGCAGGCTCCTTATGAGAAGCTAATGCCTGATGATCTGAGGTGGAATGGTTTCATCCCGAAACCCTCCCCCCACCCCCATGCCCACCACCAGGCTATGGAAAAATTGTCTTCCATGAAACTGGTGCTGGTGCCAAAAAGGTTGGGGACAGCTGGCAACACCACAGCACCATGCATGGTGCTAAGCACTTCATGAGAATCCTCTAAGTTAATTCTCAGAACAACCTTTGGGATACATTATTATTATCTCTGTTCTACAGACAAGGAGACTGAGATTTAGAGAGATTTGGGCTTAGGTGACTGGGAGGATGGTGATATGGAAAAGGAATAGAAAACAGGCAGAAGATGACAAGCTCAGTCCGAACTCACAGCACATGAGGCACCTGCAGAGAGGCACACGGGGCTATCCCGGTAGGTTTCAGGCTTGGTGTGAATTTCAAGTCTGGACAGCTTTTAAGTTCAAATCACAATTCTACCATTGACTAACTAGCTGTGTGACTTTGGGCAAGTTACTTCACTTTCCCTTCTGGCTTCTTTTATTTTTTATTTATTAATTTTTTTTTTTTTTGAGATGGAGTTTCACTCTTGTTGCCCAGGCTGGAGTGCAATGGTGTGTGATCTCGGCTCACTGCAACCTCTGCCTGCCTGGTTCAAGTGATTACCCTGCCTCAGCCTCCCGAGTAGCTGGGATTACAGGTGCCAGCCACCACGCCTGGCTAATTTTTTGTATTTTTAGTAAAGACGGGGTTTCACTATGTTGGCCAGGCTGGTCTCGAACTCCTGACCTCAGGCGATCCACCCACCTCGGCCTCCCAAAGTGCTGGGATTACAGGCTTGAGCCACCACACCTGGGCTATTTATTAATTTTTTAAAGAGACAGGGTTGCTCTGTCACCCAGGATGGAATAAAGTGGTACAATCATAGCTCATCACTGTAACCTCAAACTCCTGGGCTCAAGCCATCCTTCCACCTCAGCCTCTCTAGGGGCTAGGACTACAGGCATGCACCACCACACCCAGCTAATTTTGTGTGTGTGTGTGTGTGTGTGTGTGTGTGTGTGTGTGTGTTTTCTTTGGTCCAGGCAGGTCTCAAACTTCTGGACTCAAGTAATCCTCCCACCTGAACCTCCCAAGGCACTGAGATTACAGTTTTCTCATAAATAAAATGGGCTCTTGTGAAAACTAGAAAAAGTAATATGCAAACAGTATCTAGCATCATAGGGGCTAGGTACACAGATACATGTGCCAGGTATATGGTACGTGGTATATGTTTGATACGTGTTGGCAACTTCTCCTTCCCCTTCAGTCTTATCCTTCACATGGTAGAAAGTAATCTTCCAGAATTACAGCTTTAATTATGTTATTTTCCTCCTCAAAAAATGTGGTAGTTCCCACTGACCCCCACTGTCATGGAAGGAGACCTGTTTGGAGGACCTGCCCAGCCACGCCTCTTTCTTTCAACTTCCACACACACTATCCCCTCTATTGAAGGGTGAGCACAGTAGGTTGTGTTTTCACTGTATAACACCCCCACCCTGCCCCCGACCAGAACAGCTGATATTTGAGGGGTAGACACCTGACCAAGGGACAAACAGTCCATTGGCCACTGGCTAATCAAATTGTCTCTGTCCAGTTGGATCCAAGAATCAAGAGACCGTGGTGACAGATGCTTGGCCTGCAGGTTGGCTTAAGTCAGGGCTAGAGTTGCCCTATGGGTGATCAGATGACACAGCGTGCAGAGAGAAGCAGTGGCAAGAAACCATGGGCCACCAGAGAGAGTGACTGGGAATAGCTACTGTCCACGCTCTAGCATCTGGAGGTCCAATAGCGCTACCCCACATCATTTCTGTGAGATTCCTCTGAAGCATTGTGTACATCAGCTCTTTACTTGAGCAAATCCAAGGGAGTTTGGTCCACTACAGTCTGGCTCCACTGTCTGGCCAGGCTCATCTGTCCCATCACCTCCACCATCACCCCTGCCTTATCTCCTGGCTACACTGAGTTACCCACAACTCTGCAAGCATGCTCTGCACTGCTCCTTTCTTTCCTCCTTCCTGGACTGTTCTTTTTCCCTCCCTCCTCTTCTTAAAAGCTTATCCACTCTTTGAGACTCAACTCAAATGTCTAGTGATGGCCACCCTCTGAGAACGCCCTGCTCCTGGCTCTGGTCTTTTGAAGGCAGTCACTGCACAGCACTGCTGGCTGCAGTTGTTAGCATACATCCTTGAGTTTTGCTCCTTGCCACTAAGCTCACTGAGGGTAGGAACCTGGCACACATTAGGACTGATATATGACAATGAATTTAATCCAAGGATTGGAATCCTGAAACACAAGCTGAGTTTCTTCAATAAAGAGAATTGTGCCAGTAGAAGGCATTGTTCGTTAAAATGGAAATGCATTTAGAGAATACTTCAGATTAAAGGGATGAAGATCAAAGGGCACATTTTTGGCCAGGAGTTCTGAGTCTTAGAGACCCAAATAAATTGTAGACTTTTTATTTCCTGAATTGATTGGAACCATAACACTGGATTTGGTGCTGTAATATAAAACTTTCTGGAACTTTTAGCCTGGTGGGAAGGCTCTGCTGTAAGCGTTAGGATTGCTCTTGTCTAAAATTAAAGCACCCACGCCTATTGCTGAAACTGGCTAGTACACATGGAAGGCCTGATTTAGACTTCCACGGTTGATCAGGGAACCATCAGAGCCCTACCTTAGCTGAAGTTACAGACATACCCTGCTTCAGACTTATCAGGAGAGGGTGTGTCTATATTACATGTGGACACACGTCCACTCCGGTTCGAGATCCTATGGCCCACGTCAAGAACAGAAAGCAGCTGCTCATGCAGACGGTGTGTGAAACATTAGCTGCGTTTTGCAAACATGTAAGAATTTCCCAGTGAGAATCTTGACCGCAGATGTGGGCCTGGCAGCTCCTCCTGGGCCTTGTGCCTGGGGCTCAGCCCTGGGGATGCTGTTCAAGCTACACTTCCAGCCTGGCTCAACATCTGACTGTCCCTCTGTACAAAGGGGCTGGTTTTGAGGTTCTGGGTCACAAGGTGGATCAAGCCCTTGCCCCTTATCCCAGGGAGGGAAACTCCTAACAGCTGAAGCAAAGTCTGCTTTATCACACTGACCTCTGACCCTTCTCAAGCTTTCTGAACAAACCTCAACCAGGTTAACCTAAAATCACCATTCTCAAATCTGCCTGTGCATGACCTAAGGGAATCTTTCATTAATTTTTTTTTTTTTTTTTTGAGGTAGAGTCTTGCTCTGTCGCCCAGGCTGGAGTGCAGTGGCGCAATCTGGGCTCACTGCAACTTCCGCCTCCCGTGTTCAAGCGATTCTCCTGCTTCAGCCTCCCGAGTAGCTGGGATTATAGGCAAATGCCACCATGTTCAGCTAATTTTTGTATTTTTAGTAGAGATGGGGTTTCGCCATGTTGGCCAGGCTGGTCTCTAACTTCTGACCTCAGGTGATCCGCCCGTCTCGTCTCGGCCTCCCAAAGTACTGGGAGCCATCACACCCGGCCTAAGAGAATCTTTTAAAATGCAGGTTTTGATCCTTTAGTTCTTAAACATGACAATTGGATGTTTATGCATATGTGTGAGATGTGTCACCCTTGAACCTTGTTACCATGTCTGCACATTACCTATCTGACATGAAAAAAAAAAGAAAAATGCAGGTTTCTCAGCCCCTCCCAGACTTACTGAATAAGGCTTTCTCAGGCAGAAGGTCATGAATTTGTCATTGAACATGTCTTAGTCCATTCAGCTGCTATAACAAAAATACCATAGACTGGGTGGCTTATAAACAACAGAATTTTTTGTTGTTTTTATCTTTTTTTTTTTTTTTTTTTTTTTTGAGACGGAATTCTCACTTTTTTGCCCAGGCTAGAGTGCAGTGGAGCAATCTTGGCTCACTGCAACCTCCGTCTCCCAGGTTCAAGCAATTCTCCTGCCTCAGCCTCCCAAGTAGCCGGGATTACAGGTATGTGCCACCACATCCAGCTAATTTTTTGTATTTTTAGTAGAGATGGGGTTTCACCATATTGGCCAGGCTGGTCTTGAACTCCTAACCTCAGATGATCCACCCACCTCGGCCTCCCAAAGTGCTGGGATTACAGGTGTGAGCCACCATGCCTGGCCTGTTTTTGCCTTTTGAGAGTTGGGGTCTCACTCTGTTGCCCAGGCTCGTCTCAAGGTCCGACCTAAAGTGATCCCCCTGCCTCAGCCTCACAATTAGCTGGGATTATAGGTGTGAGCCATCATACCCAGCTAGAAATTTATTTCTTACAGCTCTGGAGGCTGGGCGGTCCAAGATCAAGGCACCAGCAGGTTTGGTGTCTGGTGTGGGCCTGCTTCCTGGTTCAGAGATGGTGCCTTCTTTCTGTGTCCTCACCTGGTAGAAGGGAAGAGGGAGCTCTCTGGGGTCTCTTTTATAGGGGCACTGCTCCCATTCGCAAGGGCTCTGCTCTCATGACCTAATCACCTCCCAAAGGCCCCACCTCCTAATACCGTCACACGGGGTGTTAGGATTCCAACTATGAATTTGGGGGAATAGAGCATTCAGTCCCGTATGCCCTTTTCTCCTCTCATTTGCCTCCTGCTGGAAACTTCTGGCAGCAGAACAATTGCATGGCATACTTAGGGTTCCTTTTGAGTCCCTCTTGCCACAGCCCCAGTGGCCCAGCCATGGAAGGCTCCTGCCCTCAACTCTGTTCTGGGCATCCCTGTCAACCATCTCACAGTCTGCCCCTGCTGGCAAGGAGGGACACAGAAGGGGGCTGGTGAGCAGACACTCCAGGGCACGGGTGCAGATCCTCCTCTCCAGGCAGGGCAGCAGGGCAGCCTCAGCATGGGGCCTTCAGCTGTTGGAGAAGCCAACCAGGCAGGTCAGGCGGACTTGGCATGACTCAACTGCTGAGAAAGCAAGTCGCTGATACAACAGGGACTTGTGAGCTGGGAACAGCCATGAAACTGGACTGGGGATCTGGGGACCTGACTCCTGTCACACCAGGTGAGTCTGCCCAGCTCTCAGCTCTTCCCCTACTTGATTTGAGGCTGCAGGGCCTGGGCCTTCACACCAGCACTTCAAGGAGGTGCCACCCTGTTGGGTTTGATGAGCCTGACCTCCAGCAGAGAGTCCCAGAAGATCACAGACTTACAGGGTATGAGGGACTGTTTTTCAGGGCAAGCCCCTGGTTTTGTAGATGAAGCTGTTCAGAAAATATACTGAAAACTCCCACTAGCTTTATTCCTGTCCCCTACCTCATCCTTGTCAGAATGTCTCCACGTGGAATGGTGTCCAGTGCCCTCTCCCTGGGCTGGCCACACTTTAGGATGCCCCACCTTGATTCTCATGCCCTCTTTTGATAAATGCAACTATCTCAAGTACCTCGTCTTACCCTTCCAAGATTCAGATAAACTCCCCCAGGGGTGGGATGGGACCAGGGTGGGATGGCGATGCCCTGTAGAGGGCAACCTAGCCATTAACAGGGACTTTCTCCAGCCGCTGAATGGAGTCTTGCTCTGTCACCCAGCCTGAAGTGCAGTGGTGCGATCTCAGCTTACTGCAACCTCCGCCTCCTGGATTCAAGCGATTCTCCTGCCTCAGCCTCCCAAGTAGCTGGGACTACAGACATCTGCCACCATGCCCAGCTAACTTTTTGTATTTTTAGTAGTGACGGGGTTTCACCATGTTAGCCAGGATGGCCTCCATCCCCTGACCTCATGATCTGCCTGCCCCAGCCTCCCAAAGTGCTGGGATTACAGGCGTGAGCCACCGTGCCTGGCCTCGTTTGGTTTTCTTAAAACCGAAAACCCTCAGGCAGAATTCTCCACTGCCTCCCCCACACAGGGGAAATCCTGCAGTGTGCCTTTTGCCCAGGCCACATCACATTTCCAGCTCTTCCCCTGGCTGGCTGCTTCCTCCTGAGCTTGCTGCTGACTCAAGCAACTGAGAGGGCAGGGGCTGAAAATTTAGTTAAATGCAGATTCCTAGACTCTTCTGATTTGGGGTGAAACCTAAAAATCCAGATTTAAATTTTTTTTAAAAATTTTTTAGAGACAGGGTCTCGCTCTGTCACCTCAGTTGGAGTGCAGTGGTGCAATCACAGCTCACTGCAGCCTCAATCACCTGGGCTCAAGTGATCCTCCCACCTCAGCCTCCCGAGTAGCCAAGACTACAGGTGCACACAACCATGCCCGGCTAATTTTAATTTTTGAATTTTTTGTAGAGACAGGGTCTCACTATGTAGCCCAGGTTCATCAAGCAATCTTCCCACCTTGGCCTCCCAAAGTGCTGGGATTACAGACATGAGCCACCAGTTCAGCTACATTAAATACATAATATTTTTCTTCTTAATGGCACAGTAATATATGTGTACAACCTAGTCAGTGTAAAAACAATAAACACTACAGATAAAGCAGTGACCCCCCACACACACTTCTCAACATCATACCTTACCAAAGGTAATCACTTATCAACTTGGTTTGTATCTTGGTTTGTATCTTTTTTTAAATACATTTACATAGACATGCCTTTCCTTTACATAAATGAAATCTTACTGCACATATTGTTCTGCATCTTGACTTTTCATCAAACAGTATGACTCAGAGAATTTTTCTCGCTTCTTTTTAACAAATAATATTTATTAGTATGCCATAAGGTGGAAATGGCATCATTTAACCATTCTTCTGTTGATGGATATTTAGGTTATTTCCAGATTTTCAGTGTTACAAACAACGTTACATCCTTGCCCTTTTTATGGACATCTGTAAGGCTTTCCCTTGGAGAAATATCTAGAAGTGGAATTGCTTCCATATTAATTTTAATATATTATTAAATTTAGTATCTCCTGCTGACTTGTTCCATTAAACTCCTTAGTGTAAGTGAGTAATCATCTTCCTATAATCTTCATTTTTAATAAGTTCCAGATGATTTTGATACCAGTGTCCAAGGACCATATTTTGAATATGTCAAGTAGTGGTTTATCATTTGACTATTGCTACAATAATGCTAGGCTTACAGAAATTATTCCAAAACTTAACGGCTTAAAATGACAAGTTGGATTTTTTTTTTTTTTTCTCATGGGTCTGCAGGTAGACCAGGACCCTGCTGTACTTGACTGGACTCCAGGCTCAGAGTTCCAATTTGCCCACGGCAGAACTTGGCTGCAGGCTTCAGGTCAAGTTCAGGTCTGTTTCACAGTGTTTATTCTGGGCCCAGGCTGAAGGGGGCAGTGGCTTCCTGGGAAATTCGTGTCTTATGGCTATCACAGAAGCCCTCAGAGCTAAGTTAAGCCTTTCAAACTTTCAAGACCTCAGAGTGCATCGCGATGTCTCAAATTCCATTGGCCATTCTAATAATGTGGCCAAGCACACATCAATAGGTCAGGACATATTCCCTGTACTTGAAGGGTGGGCTCTGCAATGTTATGACAAAGGGGAGTGAAGAGTCACGACCAAGTCTTTCAATCTCATCTACCGTAGTGGTGAAGGGCACAGGCTTTGGTGCCAGAAAGAAGAGTTGGTTTGAACCCCTGCTTCTGTGACACTGGGGAAATTACCAAATACAGAGTTACTCTTCCTCATTGTTGTGTTGAGATGATCCTCACCAAAAATGAATTTTAGGAGTCAACTTTCATATTTGGTTTAGAGGAAACCAATAGAAGTCAAATGTCTTTTCTTTTTTTTTTTTTTTTTTGGCACAGCTTCCCACTCTGTCACCCAAGCTGGAGTGCGGCGGTGTGATCTCGGCTCACTGCAGCCTCCACCTCCCAAGTACAAGTGATTCTCCTGCCTCAGCCTCCTGAGTAGCTGGGATTACAGGCACGCACCACCATGCCCGGCTAATTTTTTTTTTTTTTTGAAACGGATTCTTGCTCTGTCGCCCAGGCTGGAGTGCAGTGGCGCGATCTCGGCTCACTGCAAGCTCCGCCTCCCACGTTCACGCCATTCTCCTGCCTCAGCCTCCCGAGTAGCTGGGACTACAGGCGCCCGCCACCACGCCTGGCTATTTTTTTCTATTTTCAGTAGAGACGGGGTTTCACTGTGTTAGCTAGGATGGTCTTGATCTCCTGACCTCGTGATCCGCCCGCCTCGGCCTCCCAAAGTGCTGGGATTACAGGCGTGAGCCACCGTGCCCGGCCATGCCCGGCTAATTTTTGTATTTTTAGTAGAGATGGGGTTTCACCATGTTGGCCAGGCTGGTCTCAAACTCCTGACCTCAAGTAATCCACTCGCCCACAGCTTCCCAAAGTGCTGGGATTACAGGCGTGGGTCACTGCGCCACGCCAGAAATCAAATGTCTATTTATAATATGGAGTTTATTAAGTAGATTTCAAAACTGCTTTGCAGCAGCACAGCTCTTCAGTTTTCCTGTGAAACACACATTACCCTAAGTTAGAAAACCAAGTCATGACTCCCTCACATGCTCTTGTTAATATGCCATTCACACCTTCCTTTGTGTTCATTCATAATTGGAATTTAAAGAGATTCACTTATTTCTCACTGTTTTATTCCAAAAGAAAAAAAATACAGCAATTACCATAGTTCCTTAAAAGATTTAAATTTTTAAAAGTACAACCTAAAATTAGATTCATGGTGTCTTCCAGTAATTTTTATCTATTTTCATTTTATTTTTGAACTTTTTATTGAACTATAAAGCATTAATATACATAGAAACATGTTTTTTAATTAAACAGAATCAAAGATTTTTTATAATTACTTTATGAGATTTAGCTTGAGAATTTTTATCTTGAGAATTATTGACAATACTATTTAAATTTTTGATTTTTTCAGTAATTATCCTTAACATCACCCCCACCCCCACCAAATTTAGAAAATCTCATTTGTCTAGAATTTTTTAAAGAAAAAGAAAAACAACCTCAGGAATTCCAAAGTGCTGCTTACCATCAAAATGTTTTCAAAAAAGATGACTAGGCCGGGTACGGTGGCTCACGTCTGTAATCCCAGCACTTTGGGAGGCCGAGGCAGGCAGATCACCTGACATCAGGAGTTTGAGACCAGCCTGACCAATATGATGAAACCCCGCCTCTACTAAAAATACAAAAATTAGCCAGGTGTGGTGGCGTGCACCTGTAATCCCAGCTACTTGGGAGGCTGAGACAGGAGAATCACTTGAACCTGGGAGGTGGAGGTTGCGGTGAGCCGAAATCACACCATTGCACTCCAGCCTGGGCAACAAGAGCAAAACTCCATCTCAAAAAAAAAAAAAAAAAAAAAAAAAAAGACAGCTCTTCACGTGCTGAAAACAGCCTGGTCTGACTTCTCTGTAGACGTGGGAAGTTGCTATGCTTTTAGAGTTTTAGACTAAATGTGGCACTGAAGAATATAAAAATCAACACAAATGTATTAGTTTGCTAGGACTGCCATAACAAAGTACCACAGACTGGGTGGCTTAAACAACAGAAATTTCTCACAGTTCTGGAGGCTACAAGTCCAAGATCAAGGTGTCAGCAGGTCTGGTTTCTTCTAAGGCCTGTCCTCCTGGCTTAAATATGGCCACCTTCTCCCTGTGTCCTCCCTCAGGTGGCCTTTCCTCTGATCACACACATCCCCACTGTCTGTCTATCCTAATCTCCTCTTCTTATAACAGCAGACACTATCAGATTGGATTAAGGCTCACCCTAAAGGCCTCGTTTTAACTTAATGACAGTACCTCTTTAAAGGCCTTATCTCCAAATAACAATCACATTCTGAGGTATTGGAGGTTAGAGCTTCAGTATATGAATTTGTGTGGGGCAGGGGGAAGATACACGATTCATTCCATAAAAATAGATTACAGACAACATTACTTTAAAACTATTTTAAACAGCTTTATTGAGATAGAATTCAAGTACAATTCACTTATTTAAATTGTACAATTTATTTTATTTTATTTTTTTTTGAGACGGAGTCTCGATCTGTCACCCAGGCTGGAGTGCGGTGGCACGATCTCGCCTCACTGCAACCTCCACCTGCTGGGTTCACACCATTCTCCTGCCTCAGCCTCCCGAGTAGCTGGGACTACAGGCACCTGCCACCACACCTAGCTAATTTTTTGTATTTTTAGTAGAGACAGGGTTTCACTGTGTTAGCCAGGATGGTCTCGATCTCCTGACCTCATGATCCACCCACCTCGACCTCCCAAAGTGCTGGGATTACAGGCATGAGCCACCGTGCCTGGCCTTAAATTGTACAATTTAATGGCTTTTGGTATATTCACAGAGTTGCACAACCATCACCACAATCAATTTTAAAACATTTTCATTACCCTAAAAGAAGCCCCACACCCCTTATCATTACTGCCCCAATCTCCTCCCCTCTCCCTAGTCCTAGGCAACCACTACTCTATTTTGTTTCTATGGATTTGCCTATTCTGGACATTTTATTTAAATGAAATCATACAATATGTAGTCACTTGTGACTGGCTTCTTTCACTTAGCATAGTGTTTTTCAAAGTTTATCCATGTTGTATCAGTACTTCTTTTTTATTGCTTAATAATATTCCATTGTATGGATATGCCATATTGTATTTATCCATTCATCAGTTGATGGACATTTATTTCCACATTTTGTCTATTATGAATAATGCTGCTATGAATATTCATGTACAAGTTTCAGTGTAGACATATGTCTTCAATTCTCTTTGGTGTTTGGAGTAGAACTACTGGATCATATGGAATTCTATCTTAACCATTTGAAAATAACTAAAGTTTTACCCAAATTATTGTTATCAAACTATGTAATTGAGAAGAGATATTCCATCTTCATGGATTGTAATACTTTCTACTATTAAGATGTCAGCCCTCTCTAAATTGACCTAAAGAGTCAAAATCTTAGCAGAAGTTTTTGTAAAAATTGACGAGATTCTTACATTTTTATAAGGAAATTAAAAAAACTTAGCCAAAACCATTTTGAAGAATAGCAAATTTGGAGGACTTATACTACCAGATTTGAAGATTCACGATAAAACTGTAAGACAAAGTACTATTGGCCAGATGCGGTGGCTCATGCCTTGTAATCCCAGCACTTTGAGAGGTCTAGGCAGGCGGATCACCTGAGGTCAGGAGTTCGAGACCAGCCTGGCTAACATGGTGAAACCCTGTTTCTACTAAAAATACAAAAAATTAGCCCGGTGTGGTGACGCATGCCTGTAATCCCAGCTACTAGGGAGGCTGAGGCAGAGAGAATTGCTTGAACCCAGGAGGCCAAGGTTGCAGTGAGTTGAGATTGTGCCACTGCACTTCAGCCTGGGCAACAGAGCGAGACTCCATTTAAAAAAAAAAAAAGTACTATTGAGACAAGGATAAACACATAGACCAATGGAACAGAATAAAGACTCCAGAAATAGACCCACATATATATATAGTCGTTTGATTTGCAACAAAGGGACCACTGCAATCCAACAGGAAAACAGTCTTTTCAATATATGGTGTCAAGTCATTTACATACCATGTTGAAAAAAAATTTTTCACACTTATTTTACAACATACACAAAAATTAATTTGAGCTTAAGTCATATTCTTAAATGCAAAAGGTAAAACAATAGGCCTCTAGTGAAAAACAGTGGAATATCTTCATGTCCTTGGAGTAGGCAGAGATTTCTTTAAAATATTTCACCGTAAAAGTAAAACATGGTAAATTGGACCTTTTCAAAAATAAGAATGTATGTTAATCATTTTTTTTGTTGTGTCTCTGCCAGGCTTTGGTATCAGGATGGTGCTGGCCTCATAAAATGAGTTAGGGAGAATTCCCTCTTTTTCTATTGATTGGAATAGTTTCAGAAGGAATGGTACCAGCTCCTCTTTGTACCTCTGGTAGAATTTGGTTGTGAATCCATCTGGTCCTGGACTTTTTTTGGTTGGTAGGCTATTAATTATTGCCTCAATTTCAGAGCCTGTTATTGGTCTATTCAGGGATTCAACTTCTTCCTGGTTTAGTCTTGGGAGGGTGTATGTGTCCAGGAATTTATCCATTTCTTCTAGATTTTCTAGTTTATTTGCGTAGAGGTGTTTATAGTATTCTCTGATGGTAGTTTGTATTTCTGTGGGATCGGTGGTGATATCTCCTTTATCATTTTTTATTGCATCTATTTGATTCTTCTCTCTTTTCTTCTTTATTAGTCTTGCCGGTAGTCTATCAATTTTGTTGATCTTTTCAAAAAACCAGCTCCTGGGTTCATTGATTTTTTTGAAGGGTTTTTTGTGTCTCTACCTCCTTCAGTTCTGCTCTGATCTTAGTCATTTCTTGCCTTCTGCTAGATTTTGAATGTGTTTGCTCTTGCTTCTCTAGTTCTTTTAATTGTGATGTTAGGGTGTCAATTTTAGATCTTTCCTGCTTTCTCTTGTGGGCATTTAATACTGTAAACTTCCCTCTACACACTGCTTTAAATGTGTCCCAGAGATTCTGGTATGTTGTGTCTTTGTTCTCGTTGGTTTCAAAGAACATCTTTATTTCTGCCTTTATTTTGTTATGTACCTAGTAGTCATTCAGGAGCAGGTTGTTCAGTTTCCATGTAGTTGAGCGGTTTGGAGTGAGTTTCTTAATCCTGAGTTCTAGTTTGATTAAACTGTGGTCTGAGAGACAGTTTGTTATAATTTCTGTTCTTTTACATTTGCTGAGGAGTGCTTTACTTACATAGAGAATTTTAGACCAATATCCCTGAGGAACATTGTGCAAAAATCCTCAATAAAATACTGGCAAACCGAATCCAGTAGCACATCATACAGCTTATCCACCACGGTCAAGTTGGCTTCATTCCTGGGATGCAAGGCTGGTTCAACTCACGCAAATCAATAAATGTAATCTATCATATAAACAGAATCAAAGACAAAAACCACATGATTATCTCAATAGATGCAGAAAAGGCCTTTGACAAAATTCAACAGCCCTTCATGCTAAAAACTCTCAATAAACTAGGTATTGATGGGACGTATCTCAAAATAATAAGAGCTATTTATGACAAACCCACAGCCAATATCATACTGAATGGGAAAAAACTGGAAGCATTCCCTTCGAAAACTGGTACAAGACAGGGATGCCCTCTCTCACCACTCCTATTCAACATAGTGTTGGAAGTTCTGGCCAGGGCAATCAGGCAGGAGAAAGAAATAAAGGATATTCAATCAGGAAAAGAGGAAGTCAAATTGTCCCTATTTGCAGATGACATGATTGTATATTTAGAAAACCCCATCGTCTCAGCCCAAAATCTCCTTAAGCTGATAAGCAACTTCAGCAATGTCTCAGGATACCAAATCAATGTGCAAAAATCACAAGCATTCTTATACACCAATAAGAGACAAACAGAGAGCCAAATCATGAGTGAACTCCCATTCACAGTTGCTTCAAAGAGAATAAAATACCTAGGAATCCAACTTACAAGGGATGTGAAAGAACTCTTCAAGGAGAACTACAAACCACTGCTCAATGAAATAAAAGAGGACACAAACAAATGGAAGAACATTCCATGTTCATGGATAGGAAGAATCAATATCGTGAAAAGGGCCATACTGCCCAAGATAATTTATAGATTCAATGTCATCCCCTTCAAGCTACCAAAGACTTTCTTCACAGAATTGGAAAAAACTACTTTAAAGTTCATGTGGAACCAAAAAAGAGCCCACATTGCCAAGACAATCCTAAGCCAAAAGAACAAAGCTGGAGGCATCACACTATCTGACTTCAAGCTATACTACAAGACTACAGTAACCAAAACAGCATGGTACTGGTACCAAAACAGAGATATAGACCAATGGAACAGAACAGAGCCCTCAGAAATAATATCACACATCTACAACCATCTGATCTTTGACAAACCTGAGAAAAACAAGCAATGGGGAAAGGATTCCCTATTTAATAAATGGTGCTGGGAAAACTGGCTAGCCATATGTAGAGAGCTGAAACTGGATCCCTTCCTTACACCTTATACAAAAATTAATTCAAGATGGATTAAACACTTAAATGTTAGACCTAAAACCATAAAAACCCTAGAAGAAAACCTAGGCAATACCATTCAGGACATAGGCATGGGCAAGGACTTCATGTCTAAAACACCAAAAGCAATGGCAACAAAAGCCAAAATTGACAAATGGGATCTAATTAAACTAAAGAGCTTCTGCACAGCAAAAGAAACTACCATCAGAGTGAACAGGCAACCTATAGAATGGGAGAAAATTTTTACAATCTACCCATCTGACAAAAGGCTAATATCCAGAATCTTTTTGTACAAAAAGTCAAACAAATTTACAAGAAAAAATCAAACAACCCCATCAAAAAGTGGGCAAAGGATATGAACAGACACTTCTCAAAAGAAGACTTTTATGCAGCCAACAGACACATGAAAAAATGCTCATCATCACTGGTCATCAGAGAAACGCAAATCAAAACCACAATGAGATACCATCTCACACCAGTTAGAATGGCAATCATTAAAAAGTCAGGAAACAATAGGTGCTAGAGAGGATGTGGAGAAATAGGAACACTTTTACACTGTTGGTGGGACTGTAAACTAGTTCAACCATTGTGGAAGACAGTGTGGCAATTCCTCAAGGATCTACAGCTAGAAATACCATTTGACCCAGCCATCCCATTACTGGGTATATACCCAAAGGATTATAAATCATGCTGCTATAAAGACACATGCACACGTATGTTTATTGCAGCACTATTCACAATAGAAAAGACTTGGAACCAACCCAAATGTCCATTAGTGGTAGACTGGATTAAGAAAATGTGGCACATATACACCATGGAATACTATGCAGCCATAAAAAAGGATGAGTTCATGTCCTTTGCAGGGACATGGATGAAGCTGGAAACCATCATTCTGAACAAACTATTGCAAGGACAGAAAACCAAACACTGCATGTTCTCACTCATAGGTAGGAATTGAACAATGAGAATACTTGGACACAGGAAGGGGAACATCACACATCAGGGCCTGTCATGGGGTGGGGGGAGGGGGGAGGGATAGCATTAGGAGTTATCCCTAATGTAAATAACGAGTTAATGGGTGCAGCACACCAACATGTCACATGTATACATATGTAACAAACCTGCCCGTTGTGCACATGTACCCGAGAACTTAAAGTATAATTTTTAAAAAAATACAAAAAAAAAAGTATGTTAATCAAAAACATCATTAAGCAAGTGAATAGGTAAGTCACAGGCTTGGCAAGATATTTGCAATACATATTTCTTACAAAATACTCATACCCGGAGTATATTAAGAACTATAAATCTATAAGAAAAGGACAATTCATTTAAAAATCGGCAAAAGATGGGCTGGGCACAGTGGCTCACGCCTGTAATCCCAGCACTTTGGGAGGCTGAGGCGGGCAGATCACAAGGTCAGGAGATCAAGACCATCCTGGATAACACGGTGAAACCCTGTCTCTACTAAAAATACAAAAAAATTAGCCAAGCATGGTCGTGGGCGCCTGTAGTCCCAGCTACTCGGGAGGCTGAGGCAGGAGAATGGTGTGAACCCGGGAGGTGGAGCTTGCAGTGAGCCAAGATCGCACCACTGCACTCCAGCCTGGGCAACAGAGCGAGACTCCATCTCAAACCAACAAACAAAAAAATTCGGCAAAAGACTTAAGAGGCCCTTCACAAAAGAGGATCTCTTCATGGCCAATAAACATAGAAAAAGATGCTCAACAACGTTACTCATCAAGGAAATGCAAATTAAAATCACATTTGGATGGCACCGAATGGCTCAGCAAAACGAATGACCTTGCTTGGACAAGGATGTGGAGCAACTAAAAGGTCATTCATTTTCAATGAGAGTATAAATTTCTCTCACCACTTTGGAAAACTGGCAGTAAAGTTAAGCATACACTTACTACCCTATGTCCCATCAACTCCACTCCCAGGTATACATCCAAGAGAAAACAGTACATATGCTTACAAAAAGACTTGTACATGAATATTCAGAATAAGTATATTCATAACAGTCCAAAACTGGAAACAACCCAAATGTTCGTCAACAGAAGAATGAGTCAATGAATTGTGCATAAATTTATACTGTGGAATATATTACACAGCAATAAAAAGGAACAAACTATTGATACAAGTCATAATATGGATGAAATCTCAGAATTATAATTTGAGACACAGAAAGAAGGAGACATAGAAGAGCACATTCTGTCTGATTCCATTTGTATGAAGTCCAGAAACAAACAATGTCACAATGGTGACAGAAGCCAAGCTAGTGATTATCTTAGGGTCCAGAGGTAGGCACTGGGAGGGGACACAGGGGAACCTTCCAGAGTGGAGAAAATGTTCTAAATCTTGATCAGATTAGTGGTTACATTGGTATATATGTAAGTAAAATTCCACTGAGCTATACACTTAAGACTAGTGCACAACTGGCCGGGTGAGGTGGCTCATACCTGTAATCCCAGCACTTTGGGAGGCCAAGGCAGGCGGATCATGAGGTCAGGAGTTTGAGACCAGCCTGGCCAACATAGTGGAACCCTGTCTCTACTAAAAATACAAAAAATTAGCTGGGCGTGGTGGCAGGCGCCTATAATCCCAGCTACTTGAGAGGCTGAGGCAGGAGAATCACTTGAAGTCGGGAGACAGAGGTTGCAGTGAGCCAAGATCATGCCACTGCACTCCAGCCTGGGTGACACTGCGAGATTCCATCTCAAAAAAAAAAAAAAAAAAAAAGACTAGTGCACAATACTGATTATAAATTATTTCTCAACAAAAAATAAAATAGAGACTACTCATATTAACAGAAAATGTATACAAACTTAAATGTAAGTCTCCTCCCTCTTTAAGGGTCTGGTAGAATGTTTAACTTCTCTGAGCCTCAGTTTTTCATCTG
Organism: Homo sapiens; assembly: GCF_000001405.40. Taxonomy (NCBI): domain Eukaryota; kingdom Metazoa; phylum Chordata; class Mammalia; order Primates; family Hominidae; genus Homo; species Homo sapiens. Next base: position 111,633,149 of record NC_000006.12, on the reverse strand, counting down.
TAAATTGAAATACCTGTCTCATGTGTATTAATTTGATGAGCTAATGTGTATAAAATTTGGCATTTAACTTCTCTCTTCCTCAGTTTTCCCATCTGTAAAATGGCTGTAAGAGTACTCACTCATATCAGAAGGTAACATTGAGCCAATTCTCATAAGGCACTTATAACACAGGTCTAGTGTCTGACACAAGAAACTCTTAATAAATGCTGATACAGTGGTTGTTACTGCTATTATCCACATAATCAATATGAACTAGATTAACTTCAAGACCTCACTCCACTGCTGCAGGAGTCTATGCATAAATGGAAGGCTGGAAGATTGGGGGTGTGTGGTCTGTGGTCCCTGTGACAGGGCTGAGATAAAAGGCAAGTCCTTTGACTCCCTGCCCAGAGTTCTTCCCTGCGTGAAAGGGAGGAATCCAGCGAAGTCTGAATGCTGCATTTCTGTCTATATGCCTGGCCCTCGTGCCTGGCCTTAGCATTTCTCTGTTTAGGAAGCATCAGGTAGCCACAAGCGTAGGGGAGCAGAGGGACTTTCATCTCCTCTTTTGTCCTCCTCTGTGTAGTGCTTAGACTACTAAGTTCCCCTGCATATGCCAGGTTCTGTTCTAACCAGTTGCTCACATTAAGGCCTATTATCCTCATTTCATAGTTGGGAGAACTGGGAAAGGTGTCTGAGTGACTTGCCTAAGGTCACGCAGCTAATAAGTGGAGAAGCCAGAAATTGAGTGCAGCCAGCCCAGTGCCAGAACCCACCCTCCTCACCTCTGCACTGTGCTGCCTCCACCAACAGGGCTCGGTTTCTCCAGAAACCTTTCCTGGCCATAAATCACTCCTTGAAGGACTTTGCCCGCTCTGTTCTCAAGATTGAAGGAGCCAAAGCAACATTAGTATTCCAGGTCTTCACAAGAGCAGGGGTCATTGCCCCAGGTGGCCCTCAGCTTTCTCTGAGGCCGCATTGGGTCCACAGCTCTCCCTTTATTGTGCTGGCTTCCCTGGGGACCCCTGCTGCCCTGGCTTTTTGAGAGAGATGTTCCAGGTCTAACCCAAGAGTATCAATTTACATTTCCTCAAGATGACACTCCTTCCTCCAAACTCCACCCACCACCACCCCGACGCGGCCTCGCCTTCAGGCTTCCAAGGCCAACATCCACTCTTTCCTGGGAAGTAATGATTTATAACATGGGCAGCCTGGCAGGTGCCACAAGGAAACCTGCCAAGGCTCCTGTGGTTTGGGACTTCAGTGTGTGAGAAGTCCTTAACCCTGTAGACTTCAGGGTCCCTTTCGTGCACATACATCAATGTGTGCAATCTCACTAAGTCAAAGACGAAGCTGGAGGTGTGGATCCTGTGGCACATCCCGGGGCACATCGAGAGTGGGGGCGCTGATATTGATTTCAGTGTAAAAAGCCCCTAAAAATGTTTGATTTAGTGAGTTCTTTTGGAGATTCTCCATCCCAAAACAGAATTCTAAAGTAGAACCACATACTCATGTGTCAATAGACAGGAGAATAAAATTCTCTCTCTCTCTTTCTCTCTCTCGCTTCCCCCTCCAGCCTCCTTCTTTCTAACCCTGGTTTCTCTGGAATTGACTAAAACCTCCAAAAAGGGAGTTAGAGGGTGCTGCCTTCAGTGTAACAGATTTCCTATACTGAGCACATTCCATAGTAGGAAAAGCAGCTCCAAGTTTGGATTTGGGATCCTAGGTGCTAGCATGGGACTGGCTCTCTCTCTCTCAGATCCTTGTTTTGTGTGTTCTGTTAGGGGCTAGCAAGGCCTCCAGCTGATATCATTTGCGATCCAATAAAGGGGGTGTTTGAGCACACCAGCCCAGCTGCCTGTCACCACAGGGAACCATGCTTTTTCCAGAACCAAATTTACGTCCATCCTCCATAAACTTTATATTGTGCCATGCTGCTGTTAAAAATGATTTACTCACGAGGTGTTGGATCACAGGATGCAGACCTTCAGGAAATCCGTGCTAACTCTGTGGGCGTCACATAAAGAAACCACCTGAGGGTCAGGGCAGTTCTCCAGAGGGTCTTGAATCTCAGCGGTCAGGGGATAGCTTCTCCCCAGCTGAGGTCTCAGAGATGTTCTCTGGCTGACTTTATAGCCTGACAGCTGTGAGATCAGAGGAGGCTGCAGAAGTAGATCTCACTCGTTTGACCTGGAAGGATACCTATGTGCAGTATCTTTCCTTTTTCATCCATTCATACCCCAAAAAAGTCCATATATATTCGGAGGTTATCTGAAGGGGAAAATGGAGGGAAATGTGTGTGTATATAGTCATTTAATATACATATTTAATATAAATATACATTTAATATAATTTAAATATGAAAAATAAGGCACTTTAAAAATATTTGTGCATTATATGTGACCAAGTCTATTTCTGCTCATCAGTGAACAATAGAGCCCAGACCTTGGAAGCTCTTCCAGTGGGCAAACAGTGTGGACCCGGGTGGAGCTACCTGACAGAGTGGGGGCTGGGCTTTAACAGGGAAAGTGGTCCCTTCCGTCACACATTCTATTGTGTGCCTCCATGTCAAGCCTCTTTATACAAATAACTAATTCCCAGAAGCGAGAGAAGAACATGCCCTGATGTTTTATTTTCAGAGTGTCTTTGTCTATTCAGTGCAGTGACCGGTTTGCCACGATTTGCCCTCCACACTGGGCCACAGTAAATTACTTTGGGACTCAGACATCCCACACCTAACATACATAGAACCAAAGAGAATGTATGATCTAGCTTCCTCATTCTGACAAGCTCAAACTAAAGGAATAATGAGTACTATCTCTCTGCTATTTAAGCTTAAGAATGAGACTGTCCTAGGGCTCTTAATTTGCACAGTGTATCAGTCAGGGTAATTAACACTAGCTACAGTAATAAAAATTCCAGTAATATCAGAGGCTTAACACAATTCAGTCATACTCTAGTGCAGTGTGATTTGAGCAGCTCTCCAGAGTATCTCTCCTCTAAGTTATCACTTGGGCTTTTTTCACCTTAGGGCACCACCATCCCCGAGAACTCCTTTGGAGCCTTCTACTGGATCCCCTACCTTCATCTGGCCATCAGTGAACTGATGGTCTAATGGGATGTTTTAGGGGCCAGATCTGGAAATGGCTTTCTGCTCAAATTCAATTGACCAGAACTTGTTGCATGCCCCACCTAGCAGCAAGAAGTCTGGGGAATATTTTCTCTTCGTGTGCTTGAAAGCAGAAATGGAATTGGTGGCAACTAGTCAGTCCTAGACACACCTAGGAATGGAGGTGAACTTGAACTAAGAGCTCAAGGCCTGACAGCATCCCTTTCCTGCCTTGAAGCAGCATTTAATAATCCCATCAGTTGTGATATACATTTATGTCATCTATATAGTGTGATTTGTGGACCATTAGAAAGCTCTTCATCTCCAAAATACCTTCACTAGCCTGCTTATTCTGGAACTTTACCATTAGAAATTCATCCCATTGGGTTCAACATTGCCTTGATCTTTTCTTTCTCTTTTACAGTATGTGCTGGTTATAAGTTTGTGGCCTCTTGACTTTAAATTCACCATTCATTGCATGATCTTCAAAAATGGAGCTGTGCCCTTCAGATATTTTTCTCTTGCATCTGGCACAATGTTAAGCTGTGTGTATATATGTTTAGTCATTTAAATATATACTGTGGTTTGCGGCTTCAGTAGAGGGGTCTGGGGAGACACTGCAGGAGGAAGGGGTTTCTGTCCTGGTTCCCTTATGCTTGCTTGGCAGACACCTGAAGCTTAGCAGGCTCCTGTGGCACAGGCTGCTTCTCCTATGCCTGGCTCCTATAATGCATGGTGACCAGAGGCACCCAGTGGCCAGCAGCTTCCTGGGCACTTCACTCACCTTGGGTGGTTTTGTTGCAGAATGCATCTGGTACAATATCTTCCTGTGATCAGCTTTTCCGGACACCCTAGAGGATGGATTTCCAGGAAGTTTCACCTCTCTGTTCTCTCTGTCATCCCCTATGCCAGAGCTGAGCCTTCAAAAAGTCTGGATCTCAGCCCTGGGGGGCCTCTTTCTTGGCCTCTATCTCAGCTCTAAAGGTAGTGGCTGCTCCTTATAGCTGCCATTCGGATATTCTTTAGAGTTCTTTTTACATCTTACCAATCAATTCTTTGTTACTTTAGTCTCCTGTTATAATGAGTAATTCTTTATATTACACTTTCCCTGTTCAAACTACTGTATAGTTTCTCTCTCTTGATTGCATACAGACTCATATAGAACACAAATGTCCTTGGGGTAGAACTCACAGGGAGTCAATGACACTTTAGTGTAAAATAGTTTGTTTTGTTTTCCTGGCACCTAGAGAGCAATAGTTGCCTTGGAGCTGAGCGAGGGGACAGTAAGAGGAGAAACACCCAGCCAGAGATGATGGGAAAATCCTAGTAAAAAACTTTGCCTATTTCACAATTTTGTCATGAGCTTGACTATAGCTGTTAAGTGTTATTCTTTATTTCAGTGCAAAATGTCTTTGGTTCCCTAGGGTCAGGCTAACAGCGCCAGAAATAGAATGAAAGCACTAGTTTTTCTGGTGAAGCAGCAACTATTGTACTTTGATAAGCTTAGTACGTTCCCCACTTTGTTGTTTTGTTTCTTAATCACACATAGAAATGTGTTGCCATATAAAACATAAAGCGGACAGCTCTGGACGTTTCATTTCATGGAACAGAGCTGGGCTACTCCTGGGTGTACATGATCACCTTCAGGCTGCAAGGAAAATGTGAATCAAAAACATGAGGATTATCAGACAATGAAACAGCTCAGTTCAGGAGAGGATTGTGTTGCCTTTCTCTGGGTGTTGTTAAAAATAGGATCGCAGATCATCTCTTTAGAATGGTGGAAATGTGGTCTTAATTAAAAGCTGGAGTAGGAACAAGGCAACAAAGGTCCCTTCCAACTTAAAAATCTTGTATATCAAAGTGATATATCTACATGATTAAAAAAGCAAATGGTACAGGAGGACTTATTTGGAAAATCAACTGTCCTCTCTCTTATCCTCCTTCTCTCATAGTCTACTGATTCCTGTTCCTCGACTGTCTTCATGTTATAAGGTTATACCCTTTTAAAATGTGTTCATTATCATTTTAATGGGTCCTTGGGAGGGAGTGGCAGAAACCCATGTGCCCAGTCCACCATCTTGAAAAATAAGCTTTCCTATTAAAATTGATTTTTTTTTTTAGGCAAGAACATAAGAAACAGAACCCAGTATTCTGAAAATACCCTGCTTACTAAGTCAAATGCACATATCTGTGCCATTTAAGCCTGTAATGGAAACATTCTTCTTCCAGCTAGTCCAGTCCCTTTTTCTGAAACAGAGTCTCACTCTGTCACCCAGGCTGGAGTACAGTGGCACAATCTCGGCTCACTGCAGCCTCTGCCTCCTGGGTTCAAGCGATTCTCCAGCCTCAGCCTCCCAAGTAGCTGGGATTACAGGCGCCCACCACCATGCCTGGCTAATTTTTGTATCTTTAGTAGAGACGGGGTTTCACCATGTTGGCCAGGCTGGTCTCGAATTCCTGACCTCAGGTGATCCATCCACCTCGGCCTCCCAAAGTGCAGGGATTACAGGCGTGAGCCACTGTGCTCAGCCAGTCCACTCCTTTTGAACTTTTGGATAAATTTCTCTGTCCTACTGGCCACTTGGTGTTCTTCTCCTCCACCTATCTGGTGCTCTTTGGACAAACATTACCTTGAACATCTACATTTTTTTTTTTTTTTTTGAGACAGAGTCTCACTCTGTGACTCAGGGTGGAGTGCAGCGCCATGATCTTGGCTCACTGCAACCTCTGCCTCCCAGGTCCAAGCGATTCTCCTGCCTCAGCTCCCGAGTAGCTGAGATTACAGGCATGCACCACCACACCCAGCTGAGTTTTGTATTTTTAGTAAAGACAGGGTTTTGCCATATTGGCCAGGCTGGTCTCGAACTCCTGGCCTCAAGTGATCCACCTGCCTCAGCCTCCCAAAGTGTTGAGACTACAGGCATGAACACCTGCACCCTGATGAACATCTACATTTTAATTAAAACTTTCAATAGAAGTCAACCTTTATAATAAGCAGCTTGTATTATTATTACCAAAATTAAAATAGCAATATTGCAGATAGTGTAATGGCTACAACCCCAAAGTGCTATGTCCTACAAAAAGAGTCACAGCAACAAAGCAGCTAGGACCCAAGGGGCATAAGTGTGGAGTCGTCGCACTGTGTCCTCCCACCCTCTTGAGCAAGGGTGGTTATCACGTCTCACAATCATTGGCTCTTCTACTAGGACCCATTATTGTAACCCCCCTACCTCTGCCCTTTGTGACAAAAAAAATGGAGGGCTGCGTGGTACATAAAAGAGAGAAATGAGGCTAAATTGTTCTTCATTCTACTGTTGGTTAATCCATCTACACTTCATCCCAATGTCTACTTTTCTCCCCAACTGCTGCAACACCACAGAAGGCCCCGCCCAACAGCCCCGAATGAGCCAAAGCTGTGCTTTAATTAGCCGGCAGCACTTCACTTAAGCTCATGTAATCTCACGGCCATTAATCTATCATGATCGTTACTAGGAATTGTTTTCAAGAAGGCTACGTAGAAAACACTCATAGAATGCACCTTTTTCTGGGCTGGTGTTAGTGACAGGGAAAGCGCTGGGACATCTACTTCTCCAAAAAATGCCATCAAAACTCCTTAGCACATAATACATTTTAGCAATCAGAGCCAGAATCCAAAAGCGTAATAAAAAAGGCAAGTGAAAATGCTTATAATTGTCATATTTTAAATGCCTTATTTCCTGCCAATCTTAGATCCATTCCCAGAGAAGCGAAAGTTACCCGCTCTGCCAGCGCCTTTGTCAGCTGCCAGCTGTTACTTCCCTGGAAAAAGGGTCAGAAGGCTGCTGGTAGCTAATAGCCAGCCAGAAGCTGCAAGTCAGAGCTGTCCCTCATGGGTTTTAGCTACTGGCTGATTGTCAGCCGAGAGCTACAAGTTCTGGTTTGATAAAAGCCAGCTATAGATTTCCAACCTTCTTTTTTTTTCTTTTTCCATTTGTGCTCTGAAATTGTTGTGCACTCCAAATGGAACTCCATGAACACGCGGGCCTTTGTTCTGCCTTGTTAGACACCAACAGTTGGAGTCCTCACTAGACAGTCCCTTGGCAGGGCGGGGGAGCAGGGCGGGGTGAAGCGAGGTGAGGTAGGAGAGGGTTTGGGGTGGGATGAGCCGCACAATGCCCGGTAGCACACGTGCAACCCCGAATGTGGCTGAACGCAGCTGAGAGTGTTTCATGCTCAGTCTGAGAGACACTCAGCCTCTCTGGTTGTTTCTGTGGCAGGCAGCGAGTGGGGTTGGATGTGCTTGTAAGTTCCAGTCAGCATTCATTGACTGAAGCCCCCTGAAATGAAATGAGTCATCAGTTCCATGAGTCAGGCATGAAACCCAAATCTTAAACTGGTTCTTGGATCCCAACTGTTCCTAGAGACCAGCAGTCAAGAATTGGTTTTTCTGAGTGAGACATGCTGTGGAACTCAGAGAGCTCTCTAGATTTCAGGGGGTCAGAGTAAGAGGCAGGCGGGCGGCAGGACCTCTGTAGCATGGTGTGCTTTCAATTCAGATGCTTAGGGGCTGTCATCTGCAATGCATCAACAGTGAAAACTAAACACCCAGCAGAATCAGGCTTTGAGTTAAGGTGAAGGCACAATAAATTTCAGCTGGTTAAATTAATCGCTTGCTGCTTGTTGTGAATATTAATCCCAGGGAGGGAACTGGCTTCAACTCCATCAAAAGACAGGTGAAAACTGAAAACAGCAAAACATTTGGGATCTTCAGAGGGAGCGCTTACCTGTGAGCCAAGTGTTGATGCTGAATCCCAAAGAGAAGCAGAATCTTAAAAACAACCTCTCCTGCTTTATAAGCACAGCTGTGCTGCAGTCACCAGCTCTCCCTGCCCTCAGCCCTCACCTGTCCCCCTCTAGGTCTCTCCAGGGACATGTACACGGAAGGGTGTTGCCTGAAGGTACAGAAGATGAAAGAGCCAAGGCTTCTAATTTGTGGGATTTTTTTCATTGTGATAAAATACACATAAAATTTACCATTTTAACCATTTCCAAATGTACAATTCAGGCATTAAGTACATTCACGTTGTTGTGCAACCTTCACTGCCTTCCATCTCCAGAACATTTTCATCCCGAACAGTACTGCGTATGCATTAAACAAATAACTCCCCATTTCTCTCTCTCCCAGCCCCTGGTAGCCTCTGTTCTACTGTCTCTATGAGTTTGACTACTCTAGGTATTTCATATAACTGGAATCATACAATATCAGCCCTTTTGTGTCTAGTTTATTTACTTAGCATAATGTCTGCAAGGTTCATCCTTGTTGCAGCATGTGTCAAGACTAACTTCCTTTTTAAGGCTGAGTGATGGCCCACTGTATGTATAGACCACATTCTGTTTATCCACCTATCCTCTGATGGATATTTGGGTTGTTGCCACATTTTGGCTATTGCAAACAATGCTGCTATAAATACACGGCACAAATATCTGTCCAAGCCCCTGCTTTAAATTCTTTTGGGGATATACCCAGAGGTTGAATTGCTGAATCATATGGTAATTCTATGTTTAACTTTCTGAGAAACCACCAAACTGTTTCCTAATTTTTTAATATTCCTGAAATGTATGATGTAACAAAGAAAAATATCACTACAAAAACATAAAATGATGGCTTATTCTGGCATTTAGGGAATAGTATTGATCTCAGTGGTAGATAGCTGCTTATGGAATTACCTTGATGGGACATAATTGGTTGAGATCACCAGCAATGGTCAGAAAGGAAATAATTGCTACCAAGGAAAGGAATTCGGTGGCACTGTCTGATAAAGCTGCAAGAATCTTGTCTTCTCTGCGTGGTACTGAGACATGGGTCAAGAGCTGTGAAAGGAGGGAGAGAAATTTCTGGAGAGAGGTGGCACCGTGGCATCCAGGGACCCTAAGATGACCGTGAGATATTCGCCATGGCAAAGATGGTCAATGAAACTTTGAACGTCTCATAGTCCATTTTATATTTTTAGTAGGGACGGGTTTTCGCCATGTTGGCTAGGCTGGTCTCGAACTCCTGACCTCAGGTGATCCGCCTGCCTCAGCCTCCCAAAGTGCTGGGATTACAGGTGTGAGCCACTGCGCCCGGCCTCATAGTCCATTTTAAATATTTACTTCATGTGCCCTGAACTGTAATTCCCCTCCATTGTTCCTAAAATGTTATGTGGAACAGAATTGTGATAGTGGCCCTTTGGGCAAATAGGAAGAATGGGAGCAACAGGGAGGTGGGGGAGGGACTCTCCAAATGGCGGGGAGGTGAGCAGCACCCATATTCAGTGAGAGCAGTAGTCAGAGTGTGCCGTGGCTGTGAGGCACTTCAAAAATCCTACCAGAAATGAGGTGGGACTTGGAGTGGCTATGAAAGGAAAAGGCAATTCCAGACAATGGGAGGACTCGGGCTTTCCAGATTGTCCTGAGAGTACCGTGCCTTTGCACAGGCACACAGGAGCCACTGGCTGAGCTGAAGTGAAGCCCCAGGACCATGTGCCAGGCAGGAAATCCCTGCTTAGTAAATGTTCCAACAGGCCCATAACCAAAACTCACCCCCTCTGAGACAAGTTCTGGCAGAACACATGGCCCATGAAACAGAAGACTGTGAGTTTCAGGGAGCTGGGAGACACCAGGACAGCTTAGATTAGATCTAACTTCCCATCACTATGAGCAACATCCCCAAACGAGTCTCTCCTGAGGCAGGCCAGCCCTGAGCCACGCAGAGCAGAGACCGGCCTTGGAGTATGGCCTTACTCAGACATAACCACCCCTCACTGCGACAGCATCACGCCAAGGGGCTGCCAGCCTCAGTAAGACCATGTGGGCATCAGAACCTTGATTCTGAGAGCAGGTAGGGTCACCTCTCTCCAGGTATCCATCTGTATCAACACAGAGGAGGTTTCTTTAACTCAAGACTTCGAGTAACAAAAGATTTGTTAGCCAGGTGTGGTGGCTCATGCCTATAATCCCAGCACTTTGGGAGGCCGAGGTGGGAGAATTGCTTGAACCTGAGAGTTCAAGGCTAGCCTGGGCAACACAGAAAGACCCTGCCTCTAAAAAATAGAAAATAAATAAATACAAACCAAAAGATTTGTTGATGGTGACTGAGCCCAATACTCTGTAGGAAGAATTGGGTATCATTTTATTAGTCTTTAGTTACGTTTTTACATAACAATGAAAGATTCACGATTGTTTTAGTTCTGAGGTGTCTTCTGCTTCTTTTGCCAACAGTCTGGTGGTAACTCTTAGCTTGTGTGACTGAGGGATTCACCACTAGGCTGCTCCAGTCTGGCGCCTCATTGCAGGTCCTCCCTCCTTGTCCCCACCCCACACGGGCCACTGCAGGTAGCCCTGGAGCTGCCGGTCATTCACACTTGCATCAGGACCCTCCACACTAAGCCCCAGTCTTTACCAATATAACAGGAAAGGAAAACAATCAACACAAAAAGAAATTATTGTAGTGGTGCATCTGAATTCTAGAGGTGTAGGACGGATGGGCGGGGGGAGTAGAAGGAAAGGGGCTTGTTTAAGAAAACACCTGTTTGGTTATGAAAGATGAGCCTTCTTTCCACCATACCCACAGCCTGGCATTGTCTGGAAGGAGAATGGATCTACATAATGAGATGACAAGAATTTGGGAATTTTCTTCAGGCTTCAAAGGAGACCGGTTTGCCATGACCTAGAATAGGGTAAAAGGGGCCAGACTCTGCTCCAAAAAAATTGCTGAGGCCAGAGTTTAAGAAGAAAGATAACTCTGGCCAGGTGCCGTGGCTCACGCCTGTAATCCCAACACTTTGGGAGGCCGAGGTGGGCAGATCACTTGAGGTCAGGAGTTCGAGATCAGCCTGGCCAACATGGTGAAACCCCATCTCTACTAAAATCCAAAAACAGCCAGGTATGGCGGCACACACCCGTAATCCCTGCTACTTGGGAGGCTGAAGCAGGAGAATCCCTTGAGCCCGGGAGGCGGAGGTTGGAGTGAGCTGAGATTGCGCCACTGCACTCCAGCCTGGACGACAAAGCGAGATTCTGTCTCAAAAACATGAACAGTAACTCCAGAAATTCCCCGTGAGCTGCAAAGCTGAAGTTCCTCAGAATAGGAGTACCACCCTTAGGCCCTGTGCTTTAGACCCTTGTTACTCAGATTATGATCCAGAGACCAGCAGCATCAGTAGCACCTGAGAGCTTCTTAGCAATGCAGACTCCCAGGCACCACCCAGACTTACTGAACTAGAATCTGTCATTTAAAAGACCCCCTGGCAATTTATATGTACGCTAAATTTTTTGTTTGTTTGTTTGTTTTGTTTGAGATGGAGTCTCACTCTGTTCCCCAGGCTGGAGTGCAGCAGCGCAATCTCAGCCCACTGCAACCTCCGCCTTTAGGATCCAAGTGATTCTCCTGCCTCAGCCTTTGGAGTAGCTGGGATTACAGGCACCTGCCACCAATGCCTGGCTAATTTTTGTATTCTAGTAGAGATGGGGTTTCACCATGTTGGCCAGGCTGGTCTCAAACTCCTGACCTCAAGCAATCCATCTGCCTTGGCCTCCCAAAGTGCTGGGATTATAGGCGTGTGCCACCACGCCCGGCCTTTATGCTAAATTTTGCGAAGAGATGTTTTAGAGCATTGGTCTGCAATTTGGCTGTGCATTGCGATTCCCTGGGAAACTCTTTACAACACTGATTTCTCAATTGCTAGATCTCTCAGGCGATTCTATTATGCAGCAAAATCTAAGAACCACTGCCTTGGAGAGCTTTGATCTGGCCTTTCTCTGGCTGTGCCCGTGTGCATGGGGTGAGGCATCCATGGCACAGTGGTGTGCTGGCAAAACAGCTCCCCAGGAAAATAAAAATCTGATTTGCAGTGTTTGCCAATTTCCATAGTGTAAATATTCCCACCATCACTGATTTCAAGCTACCATTGTGATGTGCCTGAAAGTGGAGTTAGAAGATGCGCAGAGTTGGTGCCCAAGAGCCTGTCCTAGCCAGCACCACTGCGTGGGGCCAATGAGGTACATCCACTGGAGCCTCTCCCACGCCATGGACCAGGGAATGACCCGATCCCAAAGCAGGCAGTACAGAGTTCACATGTGACGTCCTTCATGTGCAGGATGGAGCTGTTCTTGGGAAGAGAATGGGGGAGAAGGTGAGGGTTGAGGTCTCCATTTGTGCTCCTGTCCATCCCTGTGGATGTAGAGGTGGGCCTGCAGGACAGTGAGGCCTCATTTGGAATTTTCAGCCCTTTCCTGATCACTGCTATGAATAGTGACCCTCTATTATTACCAAACCTCCCCAGTCCTTAAGAACACATTTCCAGGGATTGGCTTGGTTGAGGTATGCTTGGGGGAACGAAGGAAGAAGGAGAATGCTCATGCCTTGGGTGAGGGAAGGGGAGAGAGGACAGCAGATGCTGGCGGCAACAAGACTTGAAGGGATGAAGAATTCAGATAGTAGTAACCAGGAGAATATAACCACCCCCACCTCCCAAGATGCCTTAGAAAGGCAGGGGAGGCTGCTGGACTTCCCACAGGATGTAGGAGATGGACTTGAGACATTTTATCTGTTTGTTAAAGGAAGGGTGAGCCCTGAAGGCTGGAGGATTCAGGGCAAAGAGCCCACACCCTGGAGTCAGCCTGCCTGGGTTAAAATCCCAGCTCCCCACCTGTAGCCTTGTGGCCTTGGGTAAGTTGCATAAGCTTCTGTTTCCTACCCTGCAGCCTCTGAGCCTGGGGAGGGTGTGGTGCAGCCAGTGTGCACTTGGAAGGCAGAGAGTTGGCCAGATCTGGGGCAGGAAAGGGCAAGGGCAAGGAGGGCAAAGGGCCTGCTGGCAGAGGCCTGGAGGAGGCTGGACAGAGCAGGCAGCCCCTCTGCAAGAGGGTATCTTGGGAGAATGGTGTCCTACAGGAAGGGAGCCCGGAACTGCTGAAGGGAATCGATGAATGAAAAGGAGCCTGCCCAGGCGCCGTGGCTCACGCCTGTAATCCCAGTGCTTTGGGAGGCTAAGGCGGGTGGTCATCTGAGGTCAGGAGCTCAAGACCAGTCTGACCAACATGGTGAAATCCCGCCTCTAATAAAAATACAAAATAATTAGCCTGGTGTGGTGGCAGGTGCCTGTAATCCCAGCTACTCAGGAAGCTGAGACAGGAGAATCACTTGAACCCAGGAGGCGGAGGTTGCAGTGAGCTGAGATCGTGCCACTGCACTCCAGCCTGGGTTACAGAGCAAGACTCTGTCTCCACAAAAAACAAAAAAAAAGAAAGAAAAGGAGAGTGAGACAAACACCACCTACTTCCCAGGGGTTATTAGCACAGCTTTGCCTCCCATCCAAATGCCAGGTAGTATTTCTTGTAAAATATTCAAACTGTATTAGCTGGGCATGGTGGTGGGTGCCTGTAATCCCAGCTACTCAGGAGGCTGAGGCAGGAGAATCACTTGAACCCGGGAGGTGGAGGTTGCAGTGAGCCGAGATCTTGCCACTGCACTCCAACCTGGGCAACAGAGCGAGACTCTACCTCAAAAAAAAAAAAAATTCAAAGTGTGAGGGCATGAGCCCCACTGATGATTGCCAGAAATTAAGCCCTCTCAAAGGGCCTGAAAGCTCCCCAGATACTGACATTTCCACTGTTTGTGCGTGTGTGTGTGTGTGTGTGTGTGTGTGTGTGTGTGTGGCAGAGAGAGAGAGAGAGAGTGTCCCATGGCGTCAGGGTCTCGGCTCCAGTTTCCTCATCAGCCCCAGATGCCAGTCGGAAGCAGGCTCCCCTGTGCCTGTCCACTCCCAAATTAGAAACAGCCCATCTTCAGGGAGTCCCAGCCTGTGGCTTCCTTCACTAACTGGCCTACCTCCCCACAGAGGACATGCCCTCTACCCGAGTCCCAGCCCTATCCAGGAGGTCCCAAGAGAGGAAGAGCTCACTCTCCCATTCTGGTCCAAGGCCTGTTTTTGTCTTCAAATCTTTTCTGTAGTTAAGCTCTTCCCAAAATTACTAATAAGAAAAATGCCCACAATCTTCAAGAAAAACCTATTTCCTACCCATAGTGGTGGGTAGTGGAGGGGAGGAGATGTCGTCTTAGTGGGAAAATCCCAATAAGACAAGCAAGTCAGAGTCAAATAGGAGTTTTGTGTGATATTATGTACCCGGGATGTGGGTTTTGGGGTTTTCAGGGACCCAGACTCCTATCCTGTTGCTCTATCATTTCTGGGGTATAACAGCATTATTTGCAACAACCAAGAGGTAGAAAAATACAAGTGTTTATCAACAGATGAATAGATACACAAAATGTGGTCCATACATGCAATGGAATATTATTCCTAACCACGTGGTCCCCGACAGCTCACCGGCACCTTTACATCTACATTCGAGCCAACGAGAAAGGGGAAGGAGAGAGGAAGGCATGCCCCTTTGCTTGAAGGGCATGATTTGAAGGTTGCACACATCACTTCTCATGTCTCATTGATCAGAACTTGGCCACGTGGCCATACTTACCCTACAGGGAAGGCTGGGTAATGGAGCCTTCATTCTAGGAAGCCACTTACCCAACTAAAAATGCTATTACTATGGCAGAAGGAGAGAATACATATGAAGGTTCAACTCTCAGCCTCTGCTACAGATACCCACAACCCCAACTGGGCTGAGCTGCAACAAACTTGGTCCAGTTCCTTGAGAGTCTCTGGGGAAGGTGAAGAACCTTACCCTGGCAGGACAGCTGAAGAGAAAAGGTAGAATTGTTGTGGAAAAGAGGGTTGTGGGGTTTGGAGAGTTTTCTGTTTTTGTTTTTGTGTTGCATAATCTACAAGTAAAATCAATCTCTCTCCTCTCTTACACACACACACACACACACACACACACACACGAGTAAACTTCCTGGCTTTATTGTTGTTGTTGTTGTTGTTGTTATTTTTTGAGACAGAGTCTCACTCTGTCACCCAGGCTGGAGTGCAGTGGCACAATCTTGGCTCATTACAACCGCTACCTCCCAGGCTCAAGCGATTCTCATGCCTCAGCCTCCTGAGTAGTTGGGATTACAGACATGCGCCACCACGCCTGGCTAATTTTTGTATTTTTTGTAGAGATGGGGTTTCACCACGTTGGCCAGGCTGGTCTCAAACTTCTGGGCTCGAGTGATCCACCTGTCTTGGCTTCCCAAAGTGTCAGGATTACAGGCATGAGCCACCGCACCCAGCCTGTTGTTGTTTTGAGACAGGGTCTCACTCTGTTACCCAGGCTGAAGTGCAGTGTGCAATCATGGCTCACTGTAGCCCCAACCTCCTGGACTCAGATGTTCCTCCCACCTCAGCCTCTCGAGTAGCTGGGACTACAGGCGTGTGCCACCACACTCAGCTAATTTTTTGTAGACATGAGGTTTTGCCATGTTGGCCAGGCTGGTTTTGAACTCCTGGGCTCAAGCAATCCACCTGCCTCAGCCTCCCAAAGTGCTGAGATTACAGGTGAGAGCCACCTCACCCGGCCAGCTTCATTGTTTTTAAGATGCAATTCTAAGAACATATTTTCTATAGACAGAATTGCTATCCCCATTTACTCTTACTTCTATATGCATTCTGCCAACCAGGCAGAGTTGAAAGGAAAAATATTTTAAATTAATAGAATACATAATTTTTCTCCTGCCAGGAGGGTATGCGTATCCAGGCAGCAGGCTTTGAGAGTGAGAACGGCTCTACTTATCCTGGAGCTTTCATGTGGTGGGAGAGGCGCAGTGCTGGGTCTGTCCCAGAACAGAGCACAGAGTAGGGCAGGCAGCAGCCCTCCAGAGGTACGTGCTGCTGCCTTTGTTTTCTTCTCAACTGGATCCTCATGTGTGGTTGGGGTCTCTGATTTGTAGTACACTCTCAATCGTACAAAAATACTCCCTTATTCAATTGTCAGCATAAAAATTCATCTCATTACTACATATGAATATTTTCTTTTTCTTTCTTTTTTTTTTTTTTTTTTTGAGACAGAGTCTTCCTCTGTCACCCAGGCTGCAGTGCAGTGGCGTGATCTCGGCAAAAACCACCTCCTGGGTTCAAGCGATTGTCCTACCTCAGCCTCCTGAGTAGCTGGGATTACAGGCACCCACCATCACACCTGGCTAATTTTTGTATTTGTAGTAGAGACAGGGTTTTGCCATGTTGGCCAGGCTGGTCCCGAACTCCTGACCTCAGGTGATCTGCCCGCCTTGGCCTCCCAAAGTGCTGGAATTACAGGCGTGAGCCACTGCGCCCAGCCCATATGAATATTTTCATATTCTCTACTATTTTGTTGAGTTTTTTCCCCCTACAGTATTGACTGATAAGTGATTCTTGGTATAGTAATTGAGTTATGCATTTATTTAATATCAATTATAATAGTAGCTGATATTTATTGAGCCAAATGCTGGACGCAGCACGTAGGTCATTTGATCTGATCTTCATGACTATCCTACAGGCTGCTGTGTACAGTTGTGCAGTTGTGCCTGGCTGAGGAAGGCACAGCAGACTTGGTGGGGCTAAAATCTACTCTGGTCCCCACTTACGATGCTGTGTGCTGGGGGAGAGGATACACCCCCTTGGTGGGAAGGAGACGTTTTCTTCTCATAAAGGAGGCATCCAGAAGCGGTCCATTCGGAGCCTTTGTTACCCATGAAATAGACACATTACTATCCCCATTACGCAGATTAAGAAACTGAGATACAAAGAAATTAAGAAACTTCCCTGTGGCCACACAGCTGGCAGGAGATAAAACGAGGAACTCAGACCAGGAAGCCTGATTCAGATGCAGGCGCTTAGCCTGAATGCTTTTGGGATGGTGTCTTTTCTACTCCTTGGGAACATTCAGTCTTACTCTGTAAGCACCTGGAAGACAGGCATCAATGTCCACAGGATTCGCCTTAGGTTCTGTACAGCACAGTCTGCCAGTGAGTATGTGGAATGCATTCTTGACGCTAAAGGAATCATTGTTCAGATTCTATGGACAGAGAGCTCCAGCTACCACACCCAGCTGCTTGGGACTGGGATTTCACAATGCAGACAGGTGGCATTGAGAACTGTCAGAGAAGTGATCTGCTGAAGAAATCAACCCCTGGATTCTCTTTTCTAGGATGCACACGGTTCTAGTGATAAACACGTGTCTGGAGTCTGGAAATCAGGCAGCTACGCTTGCTCAGAGGGAGGATTTGAGCATCAACTGTCCACCCTCCCATCTCCCACAAACCCACCCCTCACATCTTTGAGGAGCTCTGAAAGATCAGCATGTCCATAAAATCTATCTCCCTTCTAACTGTGTGCCCAAAGTTTCACCATTTAATGCCTTTCCTGGGTTATCATTGCCCCACTTGCCACCAATTTCTCCCCACTTGTTCCTTGATGCCTGAAATTCCTTTAATATGGAACAAAGCCTTTCATTTCATAGAGGGTGATGAGGCTTAACATGCAAGCACCCCTCAGAGAGGCAGTGCGTTGACTTAAATTCACACCGTGTAACTTAGGTATAAATGTGTGATCAGGTTTTTCTCTGAGAGAATGTTTTGATGGGGAAAGGCAGAGAAGGGAATAAGGACCCTAGAAAATGCAGGGTTGGAGGAAGTGCAGTCTAGAGAGAGAAACGCGCAGAAAGGAGAGGCTAGGCCCGCCCAAGATTAATCTCTGTGGCATCAGCTGACAGCCAGCGCCCTCCGTTGCTCCCTGAGTGGCTCCTGTGATGCCTGATGCGGGAGAGAGGCGTGGCTTTCTTAGGGAGTCAGCTCCTGATTTGACGCCCAGCTGTGTAGCCCTAGCAAGGCACCTAACTTCTCTGTGCCTGGATTTCCTCACCTGGGGAATAAAAGTAATAAAACCTATCTCGCACAGCTGCCTTGGGGTTGTTTTTTAAATGTGGTGAAATACACAGAAAATTTACCATCTTAACCATTTTAAGTTGTACAATTCAGTGGGATTAAGCACATTCCCATTGTTGCATAACCATTATCACAATCCATCTCCAGAACTCTTTTCATCTTGCAAACTGAAAGTCCGTACCTGCTGAACAATAACTCCCCACTTCCCTCCTCCCCAGCCCCTGGCAACCACCGTTTACTTTCTGTCTGTGTGAATTTGACTACTTTAGGTCCCTTACATAAGTGGATCGTGCAGTATTTGTCCCTTGTGGCTTATTTCACTCAGCACAATGTGTCAAGGTTCACTCATGTTGTAGTGTCAGAACTTCCTTCCCTTTTAAGGCTGAATAATATTCCATTGTATGAATGGAACACATTTTGTGTATCCATTCATCTGTTGATAAACACTTGGATTGTTTCTACCTCTTGGTTGTTGCAAATAATGCTGTTATGAACACAGGTGTACAGAGAGCTGTTTGAGCCTCTGCTTTCGTTTCTTTGGGGTGTATATATACATATATATTCAGAAGTGAAATTGCTGGATCCTATGGTAATTCTGGTTTTAATTTCTGAGGAACTGTCACTGTGTTTTCCATAGCAGCTGGAGCATTTTACATTCCCACCAACAGTGCACAAGTGTGCCAGTTTCTCCACCTCCTTTCCAACACTTGATATTTTCTGGGTTTTTTTATACTAAACATCCTAATTTTAAAATGTGAACTAAATAACGCTGTCCATGGACACATCCAAAAGTTAAACTGGGTAAATCCAACTAGAGAAAACTTGAAGAAGAATGTCAAACTTTATGATAGATTGTCCTGAAGGGCACAATGTAATGGGTCACGTAGCAAAGCATGTTAAAGCTCCTCCCTGTCCTTTCTACTGTCGCTGCCACCCTGTTCCACAAAGTCTCTCACTGCCACACTGCTGTGCCTCCTCCCCCTCCTCTGCTGGCCCCATGCTACATTGTCATTGTCCCTTTATCCCTTTCCAAACACCCCCTCTCATCTGACCCACCCTGCTGTGTTCAGCCTTCATAGGAAGCAGAATCTGGACTCTATTCACCTGTTTTTTGAAGAGAAGCTCTGGAATTCTGGTGAGTAAATTTCTCCACTTCATTATACAGACGGTGAAAATCACCTTGCATGTATTAGATGCTCCATGAAAGGTAGCTGATCTCATAGTCCCTGCTTCACAGAGGTGTTGTCAACAGTAAACGAGTGAGTGCATGCAAAGTGCTCAGAACCCTGTAGGCGCTCACCAAGTGTTCTCTCGAGCTTAGCTACTACTATTGTGGTGGAAGTCATGGGGAGCCTAGTGTAGAGAACCTAATCACTTTTTAACAAGAAAAGCTGCCAAAACCTTTGGGTCCAGGTGACCACAGAGAGTCAGTCATCTTGGAACAGATCATCTTGAACTTTTCCCAAAACTTGAGAGTGCTCCCTGAGTAAGTATGCAAGTGTCAGTTGAACAGGCATCCATTGCTTAACAGAACCTTTTGTAGGTTGACAAAGCCTGCTGTTCCCAGTATTCCTTTAGTAGGGGAAGGAGGTTAATAAATTTGTACTGGGGGCTGGGCACAGTGGCTCACATCTGTAATCCCAGCACTTTGGGAGGCTAAGGCAGGTGAATCACCTGAGGTCAGGAGTTCAAGACCAGCCATGGCAAAACCCCATCTCTACTAAAAATACAAAAATTAGCCAGGCATGGTAGCGGGTGCCTGTATCTCAGCTACTCGGGAGGCTGAGGCAGGAGAATCTCTTGAACCCAGGAGGTGGTGGTTGCAGTGAGCCAAGATCGCACCACTGCACTCCAGCCTCGGCTACAGAGTGAGACTGTCTCAAAATAAATAAATAGATTAATTAATTAATTAATTTGCACTGGAGTCAAGGAACCTCTTGGAAAGAAAAAACAAATTGAGAACTAACTCTTCCATTCTGAGACTCCATGCTACCAGGACTTCTATTCAGGAGGTCCCCTGACTGAATCTGATGACAGAACAAGACCCTGTTCCAGAGAGGAGCTCACCCAAAGGGAAGGGTCACTAGGAAAGCAGAGCAGGGTCCAGGGGCTTGGCAGGAGGTGGAGGAGGAGGGTGGTGGTCAGTTCTGGTATCTTCCAGGGCCCTGCAGGGCAGCCTCTCTGGACTGGAAGCAGCCCACAAAAGCAGTGGAACAGAAGCAACTGGTGGACTCTATAGCTTTGTCTAGTGGCCAGTTTGGAACTGCTTGCATCACCAGTTTTTGCTTCTGAAAGAGACATGTTGAGAATCTTTCCATTTACATGCCTAGCACCAAGCATATGCCTGGAATAAGGCAGGTGCTCACTGCAGGCTGTGGGACTAGAGTGGGTCTGGTGTGGCAGGACCCGACACTGGGAGCCTGAGCATTTCTTCTCTTCCTGTCTCTGCCCTAGCAGCAACTCCTCTGTGGCTATCTCAGTCTGTTCTGGTTGCTATAACAAAATACCTTAAACCAAGTAATTCATGAACAACAGAAATGTATTGCTCACCGTTCTGGAGGTTGGGAAGTCCAAGATCAAGGTGCTAGCAGATCTGGTGTCTGGTGAGGGCCTGTTCCTTATAGATGGTGCCTTCTATGTGTAGAAGGGGCCAGGAGGCTCCCTTGGGCCTCTTTTAAAGGGCACTAATCCCATGCCTGAGGGCTCCACCCTCATGACCTTATCACCTCCTACAGGCCCCATGTCTTAATACCACCACATTGCAGATAGGGTTTTCAACATGGATTTTGGGGGGACACAGACATTCGGACCCTAGCGATGACTGTCCACTGAGGGGCACTGAGGGGCTGTGGGGAGAGTTAGCCAGTTGGTGTTTGAACACACCAGACCCTTTGGATAAGGGCCCTTCTCAGGGAAGAACATGATGGTAATTGTCTTCTCTTCCACGTGAAACATCATAGTTTCACTCTGCCTTTTTAGTACTTGAAATTATAGCTTTTAAAAATGTAAAATCAAGGTTTGTCCAAGGAATGAATCCTTTCCCTTTTCATTTCTTTCCATAGATTAATGCTATAGAATGGAGAGTTTCTAATTAGATCCAAATGGTTTGGTCAGTTTTGCTTAGGGAGTGGAATAAGATATTCTTTATCTTCTTATGCCTTTTTAAAAAATACTAAGTGATTGGCTGGGCGTGGTGGCTCACGCCTGTAATCCCAGCACTTTGGGAGGCTGAGGCGGGCAGATCACAAGGTCAGGAAATCAAAATCATCCTGGCTAACATGGTGAAACCCCGTCTCTACTAAAAATACAAAAAATTGGCCCTGCATGGTGGCGGGCGCCTGTAGTCCCAGCTACTTGGGAGGCTGAGGCAGGAGAATGGCATGAACCTGGGAGGCGGAGCTTGCAGTGAGCCGAGATTGCGCCACTGCACTCCAGCCTGGGTGACACAGCGAGATTCTGTCTCTAAAATAAAATAAAATAAAATAAAATGAAAAATAAAAAAAATAAATAAAAAATACTAAGTGATATGGTTTGGCTGTGTCCCCACCCAAATCTCATCTTGAATTTTCATGTGTTGTGGAAGGGACTTGGTGGGAGGTAACTGAGTCATGGCGGCAGGTCTTTCCTGTGCTGTTCTCATGATAGTGAATAAGTCTCATGAGATCTGATGGTTTTAAAAAGGGGAGTTTCCCTGCACAAGCTCTCTCTTTGCCTGCCGCCATCCACGTAAGATTTGACTTGCTCCTCCTTGCCTTCTGCCATGATTGTGAGGCCTCCCCAGCCACGCGGAACTATCAGTTCATTAAACCCTTTTCCCTGTATAAATTACCTGGTCTTGGATATGTCTTTATCAGCAGCATCAAAATGGATTAATACACTAAGTATTATAGACTGAATGACATATCCACCCAAAATTCATGTATTGAAATCCCAACCCCCAATATAATGATATTAGGAGGTAGGACTTTGGGGAGGTAATTAAGTCATGAGGTGGAGACCTCATGAATGACATTAGTGCCCTTATAAAAGGGACCTCAGAGAACTCTTCAGCCCCTTTTCTACCATGTGAGGACACAATGAGAAGATGGCCACTTATGAACCAGGAGGTGAAACTTCACCAGACACCAGATTTTCCAGTGCCTTGATCTTGGACTTTCCAGCCTCCTGAACTATGAGAAATAAATGTTTGTTGTTTAAGCCACCCAGTCTATGGTATTCTGTTACAGTAGCCGGAACAGACAATGACACTGAGTGTGATGGTTAGGTATTAACTTGGCTGGATTAAGGAATGTTTGGAAACCTGATAAAGCATTCATTTTGGGTGTGCCTGTGAGGGTGTTTCCAGAGGAGATTAGCATGTGAGTCTGAGTGGACTAGGTGGGGAAGAGCCACAGTGAATGTGAGTGGGCACTATTCTATCTGCTGGGAGTCCAGAGAGAACAAAATCAGAGAAAAGGTGAATGGGTCAATCTGTCTGCTGGAACTGAGTTATACTCTTCCTCTGCTGTTATTGGACAAGGACTCCAGGCTCCCAAGCCTTTGGACTCCAGCATTTACACCAGTGGCCCCTGGGTTTTCAGGCCTTTGGCCTTGGCCTGAGAGTTGCACCATCAGCTGCCCTGGTCCTGAGGCCTTCAGACTTGGACTGAGCCATGCTACCAGCATCCTGGGGTGTCCGGCTCACAGACAGCCTGTCACAGGACTTCTCAGCCTCCATAATCACGGAGGTAATCCTGTTGATTCTCTCTCTGCAGAACCCTGACGAATTCACTGAGCAAACTCTAGGATCTGGCAAACACACATGCTCCCCTTCTAGATTTCTAACAAGAGAGAGAAGACTGACCCACATCTTGACTATTCTATTTATGATCTGTACAGCAATCCTTACATATAAACACAGCACCAGGCTGTGGCACAGTCACAACCCCACCCTTTTATTGTCTACACCTTTTTTTCCCTTCTTAAGCGTTGTCAAGAGTTGTGCAAAGAAAGTGTGTTACCTGTGCTCCACCCAAGCATGTAGGAAGAACAGATGGCAACAGGGCAATGGAGGGTAGGGGTTGGGGGGCTGTGGCGGGGTGCAGGGAGGGGGCAGTAATAACATCCACCTGGAAGGGAGACTGCTCTGGGCTTGACTCCTCCATAGATGAGCTGTGTGACCTTGCAGAAGTTACTCAGTATCTCTGAGCCTCAGAGTCCTCAAAGTTAAAGTGGGAATGACAGTAAACACACCTCACAGGACTGTTTGGAGGATGAGATATGCTCAAAGGGAGTGTAGGGTAGGTCCTCAGTGAAGAGTTGCTCTCCCGTGACAGCAATTCAAAAGCTGTGTGTGTTCGCCTGGGTCACCTGTACTTCACCATAACTGCCTCAGGCAGGTTCAGAGGAGATTTCTCCTGTTCAGGACACCCTCTCTAAACAGTGGCCATCCTCAGGCTGCTTTTCAGCCCGGAGCCCCAGCAGAGGCTTCTAAGAGGGAACCATGAACTCATTCCCTGAAGTGCCTGCCTTTCTGCTCATGATAAATTTAGACAGGAGGCGAGCGGATCACCTGAGGTCAGGAGTTTGAGATCAGCCTGGTCAACATGGTGAAACCCCGTCTCCACTTAAAATACAAGAAAATTAGCTGGGTGTGGTGGCAGGCACCTGTAATCCCAGCTACTCGGGAGGCTGAGGTGAGAGAATTGCTTGAACCCAGGATGCAGAGGTTGCGGTCAGCCGACATCGTGCCATTGCACTCCAGCCTGGGAGACAAAGCAAGACTCCGTTTCAAACAAACAAACAAACAAACTGTAGACAAGAGGAAGGCCCAGCCAACAGCAATGAAAAGCAGCACTTCGGCACTTGTGTTCTTCCTACAGGGCTCTTAGGTCTCACACCCAGGAAAACAGTTGGTGGAGAACTGGAGAAAAGTTTCCCTTTGTTCTCCCTGGCGGGTTGTATTTCAGAGGTGGTACTCGGCAGAGCATCTTCAGGCCTTTCCCAATCCATTTAAGGACAACAAAGAGAAATGAAAAATATTTCCATTCCTGCTCCCCTCGCTCTCCCTGCTAGCTCCTCCCCTTGCCATTCTTCTTTGCTTTTCCGTTCCCATTTCCTAACTCCAGTAGCTCTCTCAAAGTATCCTGGTACCAACCGGACCACAGAAAATGCTATTTTTTCCTACCCTCCAAAAGATGACTCTAATAATAATTTTGAAGCAGAAACTTCAAAGCCAAGGTAATAAAACTTTTTTAAAAAACTTCATTCTTTTAAATGAAAAAGTCCTACATGTTATTGTGAAAAAAAGAATCAAATAGTCCATATGTATATATCATAAAGCCCTCTATCCTTATTTATTTTCCTCAATCGCATTCCCTTGAAGTGAGCACCACTAAACAGTTTGGCATACATCTTTCCAGATATTTCTAACTTGGTCACTGAACAGATACACAGTGATTGCCCACAATGTCCTAGGCAGGGCAGTGTGCTAGGTCCCCTGGGGCCCAGTGGTGAGCAAACACAAATCTATATGTTGGGCTGGGTGCAGTGAGGCACACGTGCAATCCCAGCATTTTGGGAGGCTGAGGTGGTGTAGGGTCCAGCCCCACAGGGTCAGTGGGTCTCTCTCCGTGTGTGGAGACGAGAGAGTGTAGAAATAAAGACACAAGACGAAGAGATAGAAGAAAAGACAGCTGGGCCCCGGGGACCACTACCACCAATGCGCGGAGACCGGTAGTGGCCCCGAATGTCTGGCTGCGCTGTTATTTATTGGATACAAAGCAAAAGGGGCAGGGTAAAGAGTGTGAGTCATCTCCAATGATAGGTAAGGTCACGTGGGTCACGTGTCCACTGGACAGGGGAACCTTCCCTGCCTGGCAGCCAAGGCAGAGAGAGAGAGGAGACAAAGAGAAAGACAGTTTATGCCATTATTTTTGTAGATCAGAGACTTTTAGTACTTTCACTAATTTACTACTGCTATCTAGAAGGCAGAGCCAGCTGTACAGGATGGAACATGAAGGCGGACTAGGAGCGTGACCACTGAAGCACAGCATCACAGGGAGACGGTTAGGCCTCCGGATAACTGTGGGCAAGGCTGACTGCTGTCAGGCCCTCCACAAGAGGTGGAGGGGCAGTCTTTTCTAAACTCCCCCGGGAACCCCTTTCCCCGTCTGCTAAGTAGCGGGTGTTGTTCCTTGACGCTTTTCGCTACCACTAGACCACGGTCCGCCTGGCAACAGGCGTCTTCCCAGATGCTGGCATCGCCGCTAGGCCAAGGAGCCCTTCTGGTGGCTCTGTCTGGGCATAACGGAAGGCTCGCACTCTTGTCTTTTGGTCACTTCTCACTGTGTCCCCTCAGCTCTTATCTCGTATGGCCTGGTTTTTCCTAGGTTATGATTATAGAGCAAGGTTTATTGTAATATTGGAATAAAGAGTAATTGCTACAAACTAATGATTAATGATATTCATATATAATCATATCTAAGATCTATATCTGGTATAACTATTCTTGTTTTATATTTTATTGTACTGGAACAGCTCGTGTCCTCGGTCTCTTGCCTCGGCACCTGGGTGGCTTGCTGCTCACAAGGTGGGAGGATCCCTTGAGACCAGGAGTTCAAGACCAGCCTCAGCAACACAGGGAGACCTGTCTCTAGAAAAAATTTAAAAATTAGCTAGGTGTGGCGGTGTGCACCTGTAGTCCCACCTACCCGGGAGACTGAGGCAGGAGGATTGTTTGAGCCCAGGAGGTCAAGGCTGCAGTGAGCTATGATTGCGCCACTGCACTCCAGCCTGGGCAATAGACTGAGACACTGTCTCTTAAAAAAAATCGATATACATATCTATGTGTGTGTATATGTCACATATATTGGCAAAAAATAAGATAATACTTTTAGTTAAATAATATCTCAGAGCCACTTTTTCATGTTAGTGGCTCAGATAATACATACATATTGATGATTTTTAATAGCTGCATCATTTTCTGCAAACCAAATGCAAACAACCTGTGTATACTGTGTTAAAAACAAGCTGCATTTTCTCTGCTTGTGGAATGTTGAGCAACCTGCTTCCTGTATCCTGCTTGAGCAGAACCTGGTACAATCTGAACAGGGATGCTCTGGGGCCTGTCCCCTTGATGAGAGTAGAGAGATAGCCGGCTGAGTGGACTGACACTTGGACCCCTTCAACAGGCAGACAAGTCCAGCACCAGGAGCATGGTGTGTCTGCCCAGGGCGCCCAGCTGGCCAGTGACATGGCTGAGTTCGTACCCAGGTCCTCCTGACTCCAAAGCTCCAGCTAACACTGCTCCCATTACTGACTGCTGCCCCGAAAGGCAGTTGTCTCTCTCTCTCTCTGTTCACATCGCTGGGTATCATCCTGCCTGCAGCGCTCCTTCATGCAATAAATTCTGCAGGCTACTGATTAAACAATGGGAAGGAAAGGGGAGAAAAAAAATCTTGAGGTCAGGAAAATGCAGCCAGAGGAGGTTAGTGTGCATGTGTGCATGTGTATGTATGTGTGTGTGTGTGTTCTTAAAATTAACCACTTTTTTTGTGCCTGACAATAGGGTGGTGTGTGTGCACAAGCCACAGGCATGTGTATGCTGTGTGTACACGTGTGTCCAGGAGCATGGTCAGTGAGCCCCCCCCCACCCCCCCAGTGGTTATGGGCAGCAAATACTGATTTTTTGGGTTTTTTTAAATTTTTTTTTTGAGACGGAGTCTTCGCTCTGTCGCCCAGTCTGGAGTGCAGTGGCGATCTCGGCTCACTGCAAGCTCCACCTCCCGGGTTCACGCCATTCTCCTGCCTCAGCCTCCCGAGTAGCTGGGACTACAGGCGTCCGCCACTACGCCCGGCTAATTTTTGTATTTTTTAGTAGAGACGGGGTTTCACCTTGTTAGCCAGGATGGTCTCGATCTCCTGACCTCGTGATCCTCCCGCCTCGGCCTCCTAAAGTGCTGGGATTACAGGCGTGAGTCACCGCGCTCGGCAATGCTGATGTTTTAAGCAGTTAGAGGAGGTGGAAGAAGCTCGACTCCCTCTTCTTCCCCATTATCTGCCCACAATCCCCTCCTTTGGAGCTGCTAATGATTACTAATTCTTAACATTCGAGTTCAATCTCCTCCCGGAGACACCCTCCCAGGCGAGGGCACTGCGACTACACTGAGGTTCTGCCCACTCCTGGGCAGCTTCTTAGCTGGGTGGCGAAAACAAAAATGCCGCCTAATTGGTCACTGGCCCTTTCTCATGAATGAAGGAGGTTTCTGTTTTAAGAAATAAAGTGACTCCTCAGCCGTTGATTCACTGCCCACAGGGAGATTTTGAGCAGAGGCTTCCTAGGCTCCGTAGAAATTTGCATACAGCTTCCACTTCCTGCTTCAGAGCCTGTTCTTCTACTTACCTGGGCCCGGAGAAGGTGGAGGGAGACGAGAAGCCGCCGAGAGCCGACTACCCTCCGGGCCCAGTCTGTCTGTCCGTGGTGGATCTAAGGTAAGTTATTCGGAGTTGCCACTTGCCTGGTCTTATTTCTTCACCTCTGACCTATTTCCCAAAGCACGCTGTTTCTCCTTTACTGAAACATTCTGCCTCTACTTTCCTCTGTGTTCGTCTCCCCTCCTTTAACTTGTTCGCACAGAGACCATCTTAGCTGAGAAAATGACAGTGAAGTTTGTGCTGCAAGGATGTGTTGCTAGTATAGTATTTCAGGCCAGCGAGCCCCGCCGGGTTAACCCTTTGAGGAGAGGAGGCTCGCACACGGGGACAGCTCGGAGCTGCCTGGGAACCATTCGTTTGGGTACTTAGTGTCCCCACAAGTTTCTCTCAAGAATTCAAGCCCCACTTCTCCAAAGAGAGAGCCAGGGATGGCAAAGATTAAGTAATTGGCTTTCAGCCCCAGAACACGTCAGTGGCAGTTTTCTCAATCCTTGTTTCGTGCAGGGGGGAAAAAAATCAACAGCACATTTTTGGGCCAGGAAGTTCTGCTGAGCTCTGTGCTGGCTGTGAGCCGCCTCCCGGCCCCTCTCCGCAGCCGCCCTCCAGCCCTCCCAGCCTGGCGCTGGACGGAGCCTTTGGGAACAAGGGGGAGAAATGCCAGAACTTGATCTTAGAAGCTAATCAAGCTTCTTGTGACTTTCAAGTTCAAGATGGTATCTTAGAATAGGGGGATTTTTTTTTTTTTAAAGGAACAGGAGAACAAGAGGCCAAATTTTTTAAAAGGACAAGAAACTTGGTTTCAAGTTCTTCACTTCTTGTGGTTCCATGACTTAGGCAATTCACTCTGACTCCACTAAGCCTGGATTTCTTCATCAGTAAATTGATGGGGGGTGGTGATCTAACATGAGTGTGTCAAATTCCCTTATAAAACAAAGCCAGGATAGTCCCAGAGGGGTAGTGGTAATGGGTGGTCTTCAAGACTTGTTTTGTTTACCGATTATTCACATATTTTAATTTTACCTCCCACTACCAGTTGGTTACCCCCTTGAGGAAAGGACTTTGTTTCCTGATATTTTTCTACCTCCCAGAATCCAGCATGCTACCAAATGCCTAGTAGGTGCTCACCCCCCTTCCATGTCAACTGCTTTGATTTCTGTTTCACTCGTCTGCTCTCAAGGCAAGAGGTAAAGCAGCAGTCAGGGCGAAAGGCTGGGAGACACGTGTCTCTGCGGGAGGGCTGCCTGGAATTGAGGCCTTATTACTGGCTCTAGCCAAATAGGAGAAAACAGGGAGTTTCTCGAATTAGTTCATGTCCCATTTGGGTTACCCAGGAAGGATAGTCTGTGCTATTGTCCACAGAGTCAAGGCAGGCCAGAGAACTGGCAGACAAGCCCAGCTCCAGAAGCCAGAGTTACTGCTGTAGCTGGACCTGGAAACCACTCCTCAGCTGGACCAGTCACTGTGTGTGGGGCCTTTAATGGGAGGGGAAGGGAAACTATGAAACACATCCTAATACCATGTAAGGGTGATGACTGTGATTAGAGACATTATTAGATGGCGGATACACAGAATCCTTAACTTTTTCCAGACCGTGACTTAAAAAAAAATTGTCATTGTTTCTTTTTGGCAATTACTTGCCATCAATACAGTTCAAACAGGCCCTAGCTGACTGGGATGGGCTGGTGCAGGACTTTTGGTTTCTGTGGGATGTCCTGGTGTAGTCCGTGTCATGTTTTTAGGCATTTCTCTCTATTCCCCTGGGATGAAAGGACAGGAATTTCAAGATATTTCACCTGCAATGAGTTCCTGATTTTATTTTCAAACAACGATGCACCATTATCTGAAAGCAGGCTAACTGTTGTGCACTTGCCAGCCTCGCTCTAATCCTTAAAGGCCACACACCACAGTCATTCTTAATCTGCTGCTGCAGCTACCAGTCACTCCATGATGGAGCATCAAAAGATGGATAATGTAGTTACTCTGCTCTGTTCCTTGCATGGGGTGGGTTAAACAGAAGTGAGGTCTGAGTAATGTACCAACATGTCGGATAGAAAGGTTCTTAACTCAGGGTTACTCATTTTTGGAAGGTGTAGAGACAGGAAATGTTAAAGCCTGCTTCTCCTGGGATTAAGGAGTTAGTGACTTTCAAATGCTCTGAAAAGAAAAAGAAGAGGAGAAGACAGTCATATCTGCAGGCATTCTTCAACAGGCATTCAGAAAGATTATGGTGGGGTAGTTTGTCTAAATGAAATCTTTGTTTTACACGTTGTAGAATGGAAATCTCAGGAATATCCTGAATTCAAATCATTTTTCTTCTGCAGGCAATTTTAAA
Organism: Homo sapiens; assembly: GCF_000001405.40. NCBI lineage: Eukaryota > Metazoa > Chordata > Mammalia > Primates > Hominidae > Homo > Homo sapiens. The sequence continues at coordinate 111,603,500 of NC_000006.12, read as the reverse complement.
TTAGCTTCTAAAAACATATATGAATTGCAGGCAACTGCTGCAGAAAAAAAAGAGTGAACACAGATGAGGCATATTCAACTTTAAATTCCTTTCAGATCCAATGAAATGACCCCTAATGTTTGATCACATTTCCTTATCAAAACAATCCTGCAGTCTGAAGGATTTTTCCATGAGAAAGTGTCTGAGGACTGGAATCAAGAAGCTGCCCCCCGGGCCTCTCCTGTTTCTTCCCAATGCGTTGTCACCAAGATATTTTTAGTTCATGAAACTCAGGCTGTCCTTTCTCCCACTTATGGTCTTTGCCTCCCGTGCCCAGCAGGCCTCCTAGAAGCACACATGTGCTTGGCTGTGACTACTCAGCTCACTCTGTAGCTGTGTGTGCACGCCTTGTGTGTGTGTGTGTGTGTGTGTGTGTGCACACCTTGTGTGTGCACAGACCTTCCCGGATACCAGGAGTTGTAGACTGGCTGAAGAAGGGTGGGCTTCCATCCATGGGGTGATCCTTAGGTCTGTGCTGGTTTGGCTTGGTTCCCTGATAAGGCAGCTGAACTCAAGCCCTTTAGGAGGGCCAGGACTGACCGGAGCTCCCAGCCTGTGCCCCTCTCCTCGCACCCCACAGGCCGCACCCCACAGACTGAGGCTGCCTGGGGTCTTGGCAGCTCCCTCAGCAATGAGGGATACTTGCTCTCCGCTGCCTCATTGTTTCCCTGCAGTCAGGATGCCAGTGTTTTTTCCCTTTCCCCTTCCCAGAGTCAACAGGTCTCCCTCCCCGCTCTGAACTCTCTTCCTACTCTGAGCTGTCTGTCCAAACTCTTCCTGGCCTCCCAGCTTACCCTATGACACTCTTACCTTTCACCTATATTCATTCTTTCCCTTCTCTTCCAACTGCCCCTTCTCATACCCAGCACTACATACAAATTACAAGTAAATAAGTGTCTCTCCTACACCAATAAAAGGCAAATACAAAAAAATCCTTCAGCGTTTCCCCACTTTCCTTACTTCTCTTCCGTTCTCCTTCCTTCCTTTCTCTCCCTTCCTCTTCCTCTCTTGGTTTTTCCTTTCTACCCCTTCCTCTCCTTCACTCCGTGGCTGTGGCTGAATTAGGGATCACACATGTGCTTAGAGAAACCATCTTATCTGAAGAAACAAAAAAACAAAAACCAAAACAATGACAACGACAGAAAAAAAAAAAAAACATGGGCTGGTTTGAGGTTGTTCTCTAAATGTTTATTATAACTTCTAATGTGATGGAGTCAGTGTGTTCCCATTAGTCCTTCTCCTCCTCATTTAGTAGCTCAGAGGAGTCCCAGAGCAAACTTCCTCAAATCAGGTCGGTTCATACTGCACTGCCTTCAGCCTGATGTGAGTCTTACTGTGCTGGGTTTATGTCCAAGGGCCAGTAAATATTCCCTTCCTTCCAGGGCTCACCACTGTTTCAAATCCTCTGGCAAGCCCAGTGGAAGAACTTCTCTGTATGGGAAATTCAGCAAGTAAACTTGGAAGTATTTGTTCATTGGAGTTTGAATCTGAGCCAAACAGTTCACTCAAAACCAACCTTCCACTCAGCAAACCAGTGTTATGAAAGTTTGCATGCATTTGGGCAGGAAACAAAGGACATTAATGAGTTTAAAGATTTTTTTTTAAATCCATGACTTTTGGACATTTATTAAAAAGATTACTCTCTGGGGAATGAAGTAAGGCCTTGGGAATCTTGTAATTGAAAGTTTCTGATCCGAAGTAGATCTCAGGATCCTCCCAGCTGTAAATTTATAGATTTCTTTTTAATGTCCACCTGAAATATTCATGCTGTGTGTCTCTAGGACGCTTCAAACCTATTCCTGACTCAAAGAAAGCTTAAGAAAAAATCCAAGCAGTTGTGATCACCAAGGCCTGATTATGGAGGAGCTGTTAATATGGTTTATTAATTACTCAGGCTGCTCACTCCTGTCCTTCCTCTGTTCCTTGCTGTGCTATTTGTCTTCTTCTGGGGACATAACACCTTCATTAAATCCCATCCGTCCTTGCCTTAGAGTTGTCCCCTGGAAGATAGCTCCCCTCTAGATGCATCACCATTTATCATCACCCTTTGTTGGTGCTCTGTCAACCAGTTTTCAATTTATTTTGAATTCAGTTAATGATTAAAATTTAATGAGATCCAGTCAAATGCTTTTCTCAAATCAAGATGCCTCTGCAGCCTCATCTGTATCCTCTTGTGATGGCGTGAAGGAAAGCCATGGCAGATTTCCAGCCTGGTGATGCTGTACAGAACACAGGTGGCCTGCTTCCATGCCTCCTCAGCTTCAAGGTGAATGGCTCTGAAGCATATTTATTACAGAATCTCCTAGGGGTTATGTGGCTTCCCCATCCCCTTTCTTCCCTCCCAATAGCTGAACCAGTCAGTGCTCCCAACCGAGATGCAAGCGGTTAAGTGCACAGGATCTGGTGCCAAACCGCTTATATTTGAATCACAGCTCTGCTACTTAATAGCCATGTGACCTCGGAAAAGTTACTTACCTTCTCTATGCCTTGCTTTTCCTGTCTGTAAAATGAGTCTGACAATAGTACTTAGGAAATTAGAGTGGGTGTGAGGATTAAGTAAGTTAATATATCTATCACACTTGGAACAGCATTTCCCACGTAGTCACCATTCAATAAATATTAACAATGATTGCTAACAAAGAGTAAAGTTCCTTAAGTATGTCAGTTTCATTAGGTTTGTATTTTGGCTTATCAGTGTACAATCTATATCAACAGTAAACTACAACCCTAGAGCCAATGGTTACCATGACCTGTTTTTAGCACCAGCCTGTTGCTCAGAATGGTTTTTATATGTTTAAAGGGTGTCTTTTCTTAAAAAAAATAAAAATAAAAAAGGAGCAGAATATGAAACAGACACAGCATGTGGCCCATAAGGCTTAAACTATTTACTATCTGTCCCCTTTGCAGAAAAAGTTTGCCAACCCGTGATTTATATGGTTTAATGGAAAGAGCTTGGAGATCTAAAGGCTTGATTTGGCTTCACCCATCACTTGTTAAGTGACTATGGAAAAGCTTCTCAATGTGTCTAAGCCTCTGTAAAACAGGAATGGCAAAGTGGTAACACGTACCCTGCTTATGGCCTAGGCTTGTTTTAAGGACCAAACGAGATGATGTGTATCAAATGTGCCGGAAATGACTCATATATACACGTTTGTTAAAAAGATATGGTCTCTATACATTAGCTTCATAGAATAGTATTAGCACCTGGGTGTAAAACCAGGGAATACTGTTTTTAAAAAGAGAGCTCTGAAGCCAGATAATAACTGCAGTTGTCGTTGCGGTAAAAATAACAAAATGGCCATTGCTTTTTAAGAGCTTGATATGTGCCAGGCTCTACATTCAACACTTTATTTACATCTACTCTTTATCCTCACCACACCCCTATGGAGAAGTGTTGCTATTTTCCCTATTTTGCAGATGAGAAAAGTGAGGCCCAGAGACGTTAGGTAACTTTGTCAAGATCACAAATCTAATCATGCAGCTAGCCGGCACAGGGAGAATTTAACCCTAGGGAGTCTGAACCCAGAGCCTGTGCATTTAAGTATTGCATATGTTCCCACATCCTAGGAATATGTGTTGATTTAGGGTAAGCCCATCTGGAAGGCAGAAGCCACTGTTCACTGTGGATGTGGGCATGAAGTCTGTTCATGTGTGCCCTGGGAGAGACTTGCTTCCCACACAGGCCACGGTGGACTCTAACGGACCTGAAGAAAGGGAGGCAGGCATGATGGGAGGAAAAGCTTTTTGGTGAACTCTGAGATCAGAAAGGTAGCGCTGTGAAGACTAATAGGCTCTGTTTCAAAAAACTAGTAAGTTAAGGAAGATTGTGCTAAAAGAGGAAAAGATTGCTGGGAACAGACATGAGCAAACAGTTGGAGGCAGCTCAAGGGGCTTGACTGAGAGCTGTGTACAGAAAAAAAAATTAAAAAAGAGAGAGGGTGAAGCATGGGAAAATCTGTCACTGGGACACCAAGGGAGCATTGTCACATGGACAGCAAGGGAGCATTGTCACATGGACATCAGGGCTGCTGACATCTGGATGTGACATTATTCGCAAAACTAGGCAGCTCGGGGCAGAGTAGAGAAGCCCAGAGAAAGGTATCAGGCCCGAGGAGGCAAAAAGGAAGACAAAGCAAGGGACCTGGAGAGAGAAACTGACATATTTGAGGGAAGATGCCCATCAGATCCAAGAGCTAGAACCACAGCTCACAGTCCAAACGGTGATGAGAGTCCAGAGATTAAAAGCTACTGTCAGGCTGGGTGCAGTGGCTCATGCCTGTAATCTCAGCACTTTGGAAGGACGAGGCAGAAGGATTGCCTGAGCCCAGGAGTTCGAGACCAGCCTAGGCAACATGGCGAGACTCTGTCGCTACAAAAAAAAAAAAAAAAAAAAAATTAACCAGGTGTGGTGGTGCATGCCTGTGGTCCCAACAATATGGGAGGCTAAGGTGGGAGGAAGACCTGATCCCAGGAGGGCAAGGTAGTTGTATGTCCCTGGGAATCACCTCTGTACCCAGCTCATGCCCACCCATGCTTACCCCAGGCACATGTTCTCACCCTCTGCTGAAAGGTTTTTGATATTTGAAGAGATATGTTCACTGTCTCCTGGGCGGTGTCATGAGTTCCTCATTCGCATTGGTTCTTAATCTTTGTGAGCATCAGAATCACTAGTGGAGCCTTTCCTTTTCATTTTTTATCTTTTAAGTCAAAATAGATGCACTTGTTACAAAACTTAAATAGTATAAAATGTTCTGAAAAGCAAACCTCTTTCCTACCCCATTCCTAGCCATCCAATTCCCTTCCCAGAGGCAACCACTGTTCCTCATTTGAGATGGCAGATATACGACCTTATATCATACAAATGATGGCATACCCTACACACTGTGCTACTCTTGAATTTTTTTAACTTAATAAATCTTAGAGATAGTTCCATTTCAGTTCACACAGCCCTTCCTCATTCTTAAAGGATGTGGAGTGCTCATTGTACAGATATACTACAGTTTTAAAAATCAGAACCTTTAGACATGTGGGTTGTGTCTGGTCTTCGCTATTATAAACACTGCGGCGTTGCCTGTCTTCGTAGCCTCTTCATTTCATACAAGATATACATATCTCTGCAGGGGAAATTCTTAGAAGTGAAATTACTAGGTCAAAGGGCATAAGCTTTTAAAATTCTGATAGTTATTGCCAAATTGCACAGATCACATTTCCCTTGGCAAAGTATGAGAGAACCTGTTTACCTGTGAGACTTAAACAAAAATACACTAGTATTTTACATACAATAAACAAAAATACTCAGAGGCCCTGGGTGTGGGGCCTGGGCTCTGTATTGGGAGCCTCAGAGAGGGGTTCTGAGCCAGGAACTCTCCTGGGCTTCTTCGCCCTCCAGCCCCGCTCTCCCCCCAGGATTTGCTGATGAGCCTGAGATGACCCAGGGCACTGCCAGCATGGGGGCTCCCAGGGTCCTAGTTGGCAGGTCTCCTGTTCCCCTGAGGAGTCAGTGCTTGCTCCCTGGGTCATGGCTGGAAAACAGGGCTTTTCCACTTCAATCCAGGCACCGCCCTCTGGTAGAGACTGGAGCAAAGGTCATGCCAGAGTTACAAGCACGTAAATATGGAGAAAGCCTGGAAAAAAAAAGGAAAAACAGAAAAATGGGTCGGGTCAGAACAAGCAAGAACCAGGCTCACATGCACAGCTGTTCCATCCAGTTATATGTCCCCAGGACTCACCTCTGTCCCCAGTTCATGCCCACTCGTGCTTACCCAGGGTACATGCTCTCACCCTCTGCTGAATGGTTTTCTTTGTATTTTAAAAATACAATGGTGAGATACTGAGTGATTGCTTTTTAATGTTTAGTATTTTTACACTATGGACATTAAAGACAAAACAGATAAAACTGCCATCCTTGACATAACCCATTAATCTGTCTGTGGCCCCCTGATGTGGCATTTGTAATTGTTCTCTATGACTGCCTCAGGAGAGTTGGCAGGGTTGCCCACTTTCTGCCAGTTCAGACAGGGGTCTGGGGCTGGAGGGGGCCTGTGTGGTAGTGGCAGGCGTGCCCCACCCTTTTCAGTTCTAGGTGGAGCTCTGCAGAGGCACAAAGACCAGCAACTCCCTGCCTGGAATCTAAGAGCAGATGCTCCCATTACACTGGCTGATGGCATCACCTTTATTCTGCAAGTAAGGGTTGTGGTCAATCCTGCCCATGGGCAGGACCTTTGGGCATGGCCCAGACCTAACTTGGGTGCTTGACACATAGTGGGCACTTAATAAATGTTCTGGAGAGGAAAAAAAAAGAAGAGGGAAGGGTCACCCACGTGGCATAATTTTAAGAACTCTGAGGACCAGGCCCACCAGATACTCCTTGCTACCCAACATTGTTGTTGACAACATTCTCATTGTCACTGATCCGGCTACATGGACCTGTCTGTCCCCTCTCTGAAATAGGCATCAACTATTTATTCATTCAGTGAATCTTTATTGAGCACCTACTATGTGCCAGGTGCAGTTCTAGGTGTTGAGAATATAGCTGTAAACAGAACAGTCAAAAATCATGCCCCCAGGCCAGGCGTGGTGGCTCACTTATAATCCCAGCACTTTGGGAGGCTGAGGTGGGAGGACTGCTTGAGGTAAAGAGTTCAATACCAGTTTGGGTAGCATAGTGAGACCTCATCTCTACAAAAAAATTTTAAAAGTCAGGCACACCGACTGGCGCAGTGGCTCACACCTGTAATCCCAGCACTTTGGGAGGCCGAAGCGGGCGGATCACCTGAGGTCAGGAGTTTGAGACCAGTCTGGCCAACGTGGTGAAACTCTGTCTCTACTAAAAATACAAAAATTAGCCAGACGCAGTGGCGCACACCTGTAATCACAGCTACTCGGGAGGCTGAGGCATGAGAATCGCTTGAACCCGGGAGGCAGAGGTTGCAGTGAGCCGAGATTGTGCCACTGCACTCCAACCTGGGTGACAGAGCAAGACTCCGTCTCAGAAAAAACAGAAAAATTAGGCATGATGGCGTGCGCCTGTAGTCCTAGCTACTTGGGAGACTGAGGTGGGAGGATCACTTGAGCCCAGGAGTTTGAGGCTGCAGTGAACCATGATCTAGGTACTGCTCTCCAGCCTGGGTGACAGAGCAAGACCCCCGTATCACAAAGAAAAAGAAAAGAGAAAATTGCACCCTTAGGAAGTTTATATTCTGGGAGAAGGGAGAGGCAATGAGCAAATAAGAGATTATTAGATATTTGTGTATATCATATACATTTGGGTAATATATAAGACAGTAATAACTGCTGGATAAGAAGGTAAAGCAGGGAAGGGAGATGGGAATGAGAGGAGAGTGTAAACATTTTAGGGAGTGCGACCAGGGAGACCTCCCTGAGGTGACAGCCAAGGAAAGACCTGAAGGAGAAAGGAAGCCAGCCATGCAGCTGTGTGGGGGAAGGGTGTTCCATGAAGAGGGAGCGACAAGCACGAAGGCCCTGGGACGCCGGTCGTGGGTTTTCTGCATGTTACTTAGTTTCCTCTCTTAGGCTGGATCACAGCAACTTGAAGGTAGGAAGAATGTTTTCTGTGTCTTCAGAAATTACTGTGATTATCTCTCACTGCATACCTCCTTTTTTTTTTTTTTTTTGAGACAGAGTCTCGCTGTGTCACCCAGGCTGGAGTGCAGTGGCACGATCTCGGCTCACCGCAACCTCCGCCTCCCGGGTTCAAGCAATTCTCCTGCCTCAGCCTCTGGAGTAGCTGGGATTACAGGTGCCTGCCATCATGCCCGGCTAATTTTTGTATTTTTAGTAGAGGCGGGGTTTCACCATGTTGGCCAGGCTGGTCTCGAACTCCTGACTTTGCGATCTGCCCGCCTTGGCCTCCCAAAGTGCTGGGATTACAGGCGTGAGTCACGGCGCCCGGCATGCATACCCTTTGGTACCTCTTGAAGTTTGTATCACTTGTGGTTATTTAAAAAGTAATAAAACTATTTCAGTTGGGCGTATAGTCAGAAGGGGGATACACAGCATTGAGTTGGACACATAGTTGAGTTCTGTAATTATCTGCTGTTTTGAGTATTTGATAGTGACATGTTTGAAACACCAGGGTCCATTTTGTTTTTTAAAGATTATTAATTCCATAGTTTTATTAGAAGTTGTTTCTTGCCATGCCAGGTTTATTTACTAAATACTCAAAAGCCATGTGTTCCTTTTCAGACCAGTTTATTTTATTTTCTTTTGAGACAGAGTTTCGCTCCTGTTGCCCAGGCTGGGGTACAACAGTTGTGATCTCAGCTCACTGCAACCTCCGCCTCCCAGGCTTAATCGATTCTTCAGCCTCAGTCTCCCAAGTAGCCGGGGTTACAGGTGCCTGCCACCATACCCAGCTAATTTTTGTACTTTTAGTAGAGACAGGGTTTCACCATGTTGGCCAGGCTAGTCTTGAACTCCTGACCTCAGGTGATCCACCCACCTTGGCCTTCCAAAGTGTTGGGACTATAGGCATTAGCCACCGCGCCTGGCCAGACCAGTTTTTTAAAAAATTATTTTTATTTTTTGAGACAGGTTCTTGCTCTGTCACTCAGGCTGGAGTGCCATGGCACGATCTCGGCTCACTGCAGGCTGGACACCTCCAGGGCTCAAGTGACCTCTCACCTCAGCCTCCCAAGTAGCTGGGACTACAGGCTCACGCCACCGCACCTGGCTAATTTGTTTAATTTTTTGTAGAGACAGGGTCTCATTATATTGCCAAGGCTGGTCTTGAACTCTTGGGGTCAAGTAATCCTCCTGCCTCAGCCTGCAAAGTGCTGGGGTTACAGGTGTGAGCCACCACGCCCAGCCCCAGAGCAGTTTTAACTGAAGAATTCCCACCAGAGGATGACCTCAGATTTCCAGTTTATGTGAGATGACTGCCCTCATCACTTTTTTTAAAGCCTCCTCCAAGCCCCCAGATGGCTCCTCAGCTAGAAGAGTAGAATTTGCAACTTTTTTTTTCTTTAGGTAGAAAAGCGCTTCTAAGGTACTCACACTGGAAAACCCAGTGAGAATGGAAATAGTTGTACCTGAAGAGTGAGGATTGAAAGCAAATCCCATGGCAATAAAGAGAGGACAGGAATTAGTCCTCCTGCCACTCAGCTCACTTTTTGCATCTCTTTGCCTCCCATTCAGCTGTGTGCCCACAAGTGCATGTAGACGATGACACAACAGTCAGCCAGGCCTTGAAAAAATATTTTCGTTTTCTGACCGGCTGAAGAGCATGTTGTGTGGCACATCCAATTTCATAACTGTGGAAAAATTGCAAGAAAGAAAGGGAAAAAATGGTGAGCATTTTTTTTTTTTTTGGAGATGGAGTCTCGCTCTTGTCGCTGAGGCTGGAATGCAGTGGCGCAATCTCAGCTCACTGCAACCTCCACCTCCCAGGTTCAAGCGATTCTCCTGCCTCAGCCTCCTGAGTAGCTGGGATTACAGGCACATGCCACCACGCCCAGCTAATTTTTGTACTTCTAGTAGAAAGGGGGTTTTGCCATGTTAGCCAGGCTAGTCTCGAATACCTGACCTCAGGTGATCCACCCGCCTCAGCCTCCCAAAGTGCTGGGATTACAGGCCCGAGCCACTGCGCCCGGCCAAACATTTTTTAAATAATAAAAAGTTGCGATATTTATTTACAGGTTTTTTGGGTAGGCTCTTGTTCATTTTTATAAGGTCTGATCACTTTAGCTGATGAGGTCTCCTTTTCTGCAGAGCCAATGAGCAGAGGACATACACAGCCTGAAAAGGACAAGGACAGGGAAAGGGAGAGACGGAGGGAGGAGGGAAGGCCAGCCGGAAGTTAGAAGTTGAGTTTTCTGTTGCGTCAGAAAACAGAGCAAGGGTCGTTGTGCAGCAGGTGGGTAAGTTTGATACCAAGTGGGAGAAGACTGTCAAAGAGCATTCATTTGGCAGGGAGTGGAGAGGTATCTTTCTGTAGGCTGTTAAGTATATTTGGTGGAAAACTGCTGGCCCCATCTGTGTGAAAGGGGAGCATTTCAAAATGCATGCTGTCCTGATCCCATTGGATTGGGTACAAGGTGCAAGAGAAAGTGAATTCATGCTCTCCGAAACTTGTTTTAGAACATAATTTATGTAAACTGACTTTAGGCACAGTGAGCCCTCAGTGAATGTGGTTGAAATGCGACATGGATCCAAAGTAGGAATTTTTAAATCCAGACATAATCCCTTTTCTCTCTCTGGTATTTGAAGTATGCTGTGTACTAGCCTTGCATAGAATAACCCTCTGGGATTTCTTCTTTTTCACTTGCTTGCTCTTTTACGACACCTGCTCTGCAGCCTCCTGCAAACCCCCAGTTGCTCCTGTGCAGTCCTCTGGACTGCGTTCTTCCTGCCCCTGCAGTCAAGGCATCATCTCAATCAGTTTAATGATGAGAGGAGACTGGTTTTCTTTCTCATTGTGTTAGGTGAATTAAGAGTTCTTCTTACAGCTAAAAGCAATATTGCCCGGCCCGTTGGATAAATGCTCTGCAGGCTAAGGTCTAGTTTAGCGAGCCTTGCTGGTTCAACTACATCACAAACCAGATGGTCATGGCTACCTTTGTTGCAGGCATAGTGCCCAGAGGGAATTAAGTCCTCCAAATGACCTAAAATTAGGTAGAAAATGTCACTCTGACCTTTTTTCAATGTGTTTTAAACTTGGGCTTGCTTTCTTTGCTTAAAAAAAAACACTTTTATTTTTTAAAATTAGGAAATAGTCAAATGGAACAAAATTATAAAAGTTTAAAAGGTGAAAACTTCCTCCCACTCCTCTCCCCCAGCTTAATTCCATCCTCAAAGGCAACCAGTGTAGCAATGTCTGTATATCCTCCACACGGTTTATACATATACAAGCAGATATGCACACAGAAACACACATTCTCCTCTCGTTTTTTACACAAAATAGCAGCATAGTATGCACACTGCTCTGCGCCTGGCTTTTAAAAAAAACTCAATATATCTTAGAGATCATTCCATATCAGTTACTAAGATTTATTTCTTCATGTATTCCAAGCACACACGAAGCAGCCCACATTATGATAATTTCTCTTTCCTCAATACTTGGCAGTTGATTTTCATCTGTGTTTTCCCCTTGCTGGTGAATGATTTCTACCACAGGATGGTCCAATCACATTCTTTGAATTGCCTTCCAGATAAAATATCTTAATAAGCATTAGTGCTTTTGCCTGGAGGATAAGTAAACAATTTTATGTGATTAGGGCTTTGCAAGCACATTGGTGTCTCACTGTTAATTTAAACCACATCTTGAATGAGGTCCCTTAAGGTCATAAAGTGAGGACTCCAAGAATTTATCTGTCTTCTAAGGCTATAGCATGTTTTCTCTTGTTCCAGAAACTAGAATGAACCGAAGCATTCCTGTGGAGGTTGATGAATCAGAACCATACCCAAGTCAGTTGCTGAAACCAATCCCAGAATATTCCCCGGAAGAGGAATCAGAACCACCTGCTCCAAATATAAGGAACATGGCACCCAACAGCTTGTCTGCACCCACAATGCTTCACAATTCCTCCGGAGACTTTTCTCAAGCTCACTCAACCCTGAAACTTGCAAATCACCAGCGGCCTGTATCCCGGCAGGTCACCTGCCTGCGCACTCAAGTTCTGGAGGACAGTGAAGACAGTTTCTGCAGGAGACACCCAGGCCTGGGCAAAGCTTTCCCTTCTGGGTGCTCTGCAGTCAGCGAGCCTGCGTCTGAGTCTGTGGTTGGAGCCCTCCCTGCAGAGCATCAGTTTTCATTTATGGAAAAACGTAATCAATGGCTGGTATCTCAGCTTTCAGCGGCTTCTCCTGACACTGGCCATGACTCAGACAAATCAGACCAAAGTTTACCTAATGCCTCAGCAGACTCCTTGGGCGGTAGCCAGGAGATGGTGCAACGGCCCCAGCCTCACAGGAACCGAGCAGGCCTGGATCTGCCAACCATAGACACGGGATATGATTCCCAGCCCCAGGATGTCCTGGGCATCAGGCAGCTGGAAAGGCCCCTGCCCCTCACCTCCGTGTGTTACCCCCAGGACCTCCCCAGACCTCTCAGGTCCAGGGAGTTCCCTCAGTTTGAACCTCAGAGGTATCCAGCATGTGCACAGATGCTGCCTCCCAATCTTTCCCCACATGCTCCATGGAACTATCATTACCATTGTCCTGGAAGTCCCGATCACCAGGTGCCATGTAAGTGATCTTTACCTCCTCTGGGCATTCTGGGCTGGGTGACTGAAGAAACAAGGGCCTCACATCAATGCTTCGTGTCACTAGGCTGGCATGAACAGGTCAGAATGCAGGGAGGGCATTCTGCTTCTCTTAGGGGCTTTCCATGTGTGGCTGGATTTGCAAAGGGCCTGCAGAGAATGCTTTTTCTTAGCCTAAAGCCTGTCCCACTTGGAGTCTCCTTCTCTAGGGACCTTTAAGGACAAAATGGGTTCCTCTGTCTGGGTTAGTTTAACAAACCTGCCTAGAAGCAGAGAGATGACCAAAATGATTTCTAGAAAATGTATTTTTTGTTCTAATCTTTGGGCATATGGGTTCTTCCTTCTCGTCATCTTTCTTCCCCATCTTAGACTTGGCAGAGAAAGGGCTTTTAGTCAAAAACAAAGCAAAACAAAACAAAAAACCAGAAGGTGCCCAGAATGTCATTGAGACTCTGGGATTCGGGCCATTACATGAAAATGAAGTTGTTTCTGTGATTTTGCTGCTTAAATCCTTTTGGACACTTGAGCCATCCACAGCTACCCTACATTCCAGCCACTCTAAGACTGGCAGTCCCCCTACTTGTCGCGATGGTTCACATCTCCATGCGTTTGCCAGGCTCTTCTCTCTCTTGGGGATGTTCTTCCCCTTCTGGTGTGTTTGACCCAGTTTCAATACACCTTTTAAAAAAACTGCTTTATCGAGATCTAATATACATACTGCAAGGTTTACCCTTAACCCATTTTAAATAAAAAATTCAATAAGTTTTAGTATATTTACAGAGTTATGCAACCACCATCATACACATTTTTTGAGACTTAGCTCAAGTGTCCCTCTGGAAACCTCCCCAGATCACGTTCTCCTTCAGGGCCTCTGTCTCCCTCCTGCTCTGGCCCTGTTGGGACACCTAACACCAGCATGGCATCTAATTATGTACGTGTCTCCTCTCCTTCTAGACTGCAAGTTTTTATGCATCTGCAAATGCAAACGTGTACTTTCAATTCATAATTCCCCAGGATTTAAGCACAGTGTCTGGCACATACTAGACTCTCAATAAACTACTTCCGAAATAATAATATGTATCAGTGCAGGAAGCATCTCTGAAAGTGATAAGTCTTAGGTTGAGATAAAAGGTTCTATCACCATTTTTTTTTTCCTACTACCATTCTTGATGTTAAATCTCCGCTGAGGCCACTGGAAAATAACAAAAGGGCTTTACAGATGAAACACAGGGCTGTGAGGCCTGATATTTTTCTTAGCAAATAAACACTGGACAGAAAGTAGTTCAGAGTGTAAGAAGTGCCTGACCAAAGGCCTGATGCGCAGCTTTAAAATAAATTATAGAAATAATTACAAATGCTGTAATCAACCATAATTTACATATTAGTACATGTATACTAAGTATAAAGCTTCCTAAAGTGAAGAGAGCAACACAGTAATTCATAACTCAAAAAAGAAAAAAACAAAGAGGAGATAGAGAAATGTAACTTAGAAGATGCTTGGAAGAAATAGGTAAGAATGAGTGTGAGATCAGGAATGAGGGCAGGGGCTGGGGAAGCAGGAGGGTGTAAGGAGAATGGGGCCTTGGGCTGGAGCGGGAGAAAGAGCCTCTGATGCCTAAAACTGGGACGTGGTGTATAAATGCTGGGAAGTCAACAGAGTGGGAGTGCATGGATGCCACCCCTGCTCTAAGCGCCCAGTCATAGGGTGGGTGTGGTGGTGGATTCCCTTAAGTATGAATCACTGAGAACTGAATGTTGGCAAGGTCAAGGCTGTATTTCTCAGTGATTGCCAGGTTTAAAAGGAGTAATTTGTGAGAATAATACCATAAACTACTTTTTAACATTCTGTTATCTGTATTTAAAGGTAAGTTTTCACCAGGCACGGTGGCTCACCCCACTTTGTAATCCCAGCACTTTGGGAGGCCAAGGTGGGTGGATCACTTGAGATCAGAAGTTTGAGACTAGCCTGGCCAACATGGTGAAACACTGTCTCTGCTAAAAATACAAAAAGAATTAGCCAGTTGTTGTGGCGGGCGCCTGTAATCCCAGCTACTCGGGAGACTGAGGCACAAGAATTGCCTGAACCTGGGAGGCAGAGGTTACAGTGAGCCGAGACTGCACCTGGGCGATGACACAGTGAGACTCCATCTCAAAAAAAAAAAAAAAAAAGATAATTTTTCTGATCATTATAATATTTGGTCACTCCCAAAATTAAAATATGCCCAGAAGTTCAAAAAAGAAAAGAAAAAGTTTTCATATTTCTGCCACCCAAATAGAATTCCTTATTAGGGTTTTGACATATCAATTTTCAGTGTTTTTTTCTTTGCATATATTTTTAATCTAAAATTAAAATAGTTTTCAGTGACATTGAGTACTTATTCCAGAATCATTTAAAACTGCTTCATTGTATTTCATCAGACGCATCTACCAAATTGTTATGAACCTATTCTTTATTGTTGGACATTTAAAATAGTTTCCAGTTTTCTGATCCAATAAGCAATGCTATGGCAAGCATTGCATACATATGTTTTTAACTGCACTTCCGATTAACTCCTTAGATTAATGCGAAGAACTGTGAATACTTAAGGCTTTGTGATACAGTCCCAAGCAGCTGACTCTGACTACTAACAAGGGAAAGCCTCATTGTGATAGACAAAAAAAGCACTGACTCAATGTTATAATGAAGGTCCCAGGACCTTCTGGAAAATACTTCCCACGGAAAATACTTTTCCTGTTGTTGGAGCTGAAACAGCGCCATTGGCAATCCAGTCTTTGGAGGTGAGCGTTGTCCCATTGGGGCAGGCTCCTTTAAAAGGCAAACACTCCTGACTGGGAACACTTTTTGTCCCTATTGCCCCAGGACCTGCTTTCTTTCATCATTTCACCATCCCCTTGCTCTCTGTATTATTTCCTTCTGTTAGGGGGTTGGGGAGAGACATCTAGGATCCTTGGGGCGAAAAGAGGTGTTGAAAGGCAGAGGGGAGAGAATGGGGATAGGAGAGGGGAATAATTCACAGAAGATACACAAATAGCCAATATGAAAATTAAACCAAGCTCAATATCATTAGATTTAAGAAGTGCAAAATTCTTAAAGATACCTTTTCCTTGATTAGTTGTGCAAAAATAAAAACTTTGGACAACATCCAGTGTTAGTGGAGTTAGAGAGAAATGAATATTCCCAATCACTCTTGATAGGAGTGTAAATTGGTGCAATCTCCCAGAAGGCAATTTCACTATCACAGTTTTATATGTGCTTCCTCTTTGGCCCAGCAGTTTCACTTATAGGAATCTGTCCTATAGAAACATTAAACAAGCATATACAAATACAAGAACAAGAATGTTTATTAAAGCATTGTTGCATTAGAGTAAAAACAAAAACAATTACAATGCCTATCAATAAGGGGCCAGATAAGTCATTTGTGATTTATGTATACTATGGACTACTAGGCCCATGTTGCACTGAATACACATTCTGACATCAAAAAGATTAAGTTGAAAGGCAAGAGCTGCAGTGATGATCCCATCCATGTTTATTTTTTAAAAACTATATAGGTTTATATATACATATTAAGTCTAGAAGGATCTAGTGGTGATCTTGGTGGGGAGGGGAGCAGGGAATTAAGAGGAGACAGGTATATTTTCCTTCTAATTTCATATACTTTTGTTGATTTTTAAAAATAGCAAACGGCCGGGTGCAGTGGCTCACACCTGTAATCCCAACACCTTGGGAGGCAGAGGAGGGCAGATCACTTGAGGTCAGGAGTTCAAGACCAGCCTGGCCAATATGGTGAAATGTTGTCTACTAAAAATACAAAAATTAGCCAGCCATGGTGGTGGGCACCTGTAATCCCAGCTACTCGGGGAGGCTGAGGCATGAGAATCACTTGAACCCGGAAGGTGGAGGTTGCAGTGAGCTGAGATCGCGCCACTGCACTCCAGCCTGGTCAACAGAATGAGACTCAGTCTTAAAAACAAAAACAAAAACACATAGAAAACATAAAAATAAAAATAGCAAACAGGTATTACTTCTATAATTAAGAAATGAGTAAAAACTGAAAAGAACAAAGGGAAACAGCACATATAGAAGGCAAGCTCGCCCCAATTCACCTTGCATGTCCCTTGGCCCTGGCTCCCATCTAACCACAGAGAAGAGGGTCAGGGTTGCCAGTGCTGATGGGTTTTTTGCAGGGCATTGTAGCCCTAGAATATTTATGAGGCCTCCAGCAGCAATGAGTCCCACGAAGGTTGCTGTGAGGATTAAATGAGATAATGTATTAAAGGCACTAGGAAAGTGGCTGGCTGGTGGTAAGCCCTCAATACTAACAGCTTTTAGTTATTATTGTTATTATTTAAAAGCATCCTGTAGCCCAGTTCTGCAGGGTGCTCCTCTACTTCCAGATCCCACTCACTGGCACAGATTTTAAGCATTCATGGCAGGTGTACAAATGCTTAGTTTCATGTCAGGGCTATAACTGCACTTAATTGCTAACAAAACCACTTCAAAAGAGCTGTTCACCTAAGGGATGCTTGTGCAGTTGGAAACCATGGCTACGTGGCTCTACTCAGCTTTAGAAGAGCATTACTTCCTTACCCATTAATGAATATATAAATAAATAATGATCACCATGCAAATGGCATATCTAAGCTTTTTGCAAGTTAAAGCAAAAATGGTTATTGGTCGCCCCTTTCATGTAAAAAAAAAAAGTTTTCAAAGTAGGTGGAAATAAGAAAGGGAATAAGTCTACGTTTTCTCCTCACCCCACCCCCTGGAGAAGTCGGCCTCCTGCTGCCTCCGAATCCTTCCACTGAAGGTCGCCAGCATGGAGTTCATGGCTGTGCAATCAAATGAAACTCATGATGCAAATATATTGGGAAAAGAGAGAGAATTAAGTCTAGAGAGCCCTCATTTTATTATAAAATTATTGCTTTCTCTACCAAGGAGACTGAATAGAATAAAATTACAGGTACATGTGTACAATTGTACCTGTGGACCAAAAAAAAAAAAGGGGAGGGATTATTTGTATGCTAGAATGCATGCACAAAAAATAAACCAGATGGAAGAAATGATAAAGAAGGAGTTGCCTTTCAGGAACGACAGCTGCTTACAGCTGTGGGAGTTCCTGCAACAGTTTATATTGGCCATTTTGTTTCCTGGCTAAACTGATTGCATTATATCACGATTTTTTTTGACAACTTGAAAATCAGATTTTATTTCTCTCTCATAAACTCTTTTAATTCTTAATAAGGAAGAAAAATGTTGCATGTTGTGACTGATAAATGGAAAACCTCATTTAGGATTTGGTTTACATATTCCAAATGGTAAAAGCTCAGTAACATGAAGATCGTGTGTACTCAGGCCAAGAAGATCACAGGATTGACAAATAACATACAGTCCTGGGCGCCCATTTGTGATTGTGCAAGATTTTCATTTTTGCTTTGTGATTAACACTGCCTCTGAACTGAGGAGTTACCATGCTAGCAAATCATTTGTCTATCACATCATCCACCTTCCCTCTCCTACAGAATTAACTCTCTTGATGGAACTGTAGGCATTGGGGACAAGTCCGCAGGGAAGCTATTTCTGAACAGGGATTCTCAAGTAGGTGGCTGTCGACTCATATGTCTCCCCTTCTCACACACTAACTAGTGTGGGTTTGTGTTTAAAAACAGACACCCACAGACACATAGATTTTCTCTTTCTCTCTCCATTTATTTTGAGCTAATCCCAAGGGAACTGTATCCTATTTATCTTTGTTCACCAAGTGCCTGGCCATCGAGGTTCAATAAATATTTGTTGAATGAATAAAAAGAAATCTGTTCTCTACTTCCTGGGGAAAGGAGTGAGCCTTAATCATGAGTAGAGTCTTTGTAATGTGAAGCCTTGGAAAAGCCATTTTTTTTTTTTTGGCCTGGGAGGGAAGCAAAGAAGGGAGTCAATGAAATTTGGAAACAGAACCTGTCCATCCACTTATCAATTTATTCAGCAAATAGTTATACACCGTCCTTGTTTTCATGGAATTCACAGTCTACTGGAGAGATGGATAAGAAGTAGAAGTCAGAAACAGAATGACAAATTATAAGTGCTATAAGGGAAGTAACTGGTTGTTGGAACAGACATTAATAGACAGGTTGACCAGAGAATCTCTTTAAGTAGACATCTGAGCTGAAACCTAAAGGATGAGAAGGTCAAGGAAGCAAGGAGCTAAGGAAGCAAGGAGCTTGATGTCATTAAGATACCAAAAGCAAGTCAGTGGGGCCTAGCAGAGTGAGCAAGGAGAGAATGGTGTGCTAGAAGATGAAGGCTGGATGGGCCATGGTGAGGAATCTGGATTTTTATTCTGAGTTAAACTTCTTTATGAAAATGGAAAATTGAACTCTATAATTCTCAATATGGAACTTAGAACAGTACTTGACATGTAGCAAGTGATCAATAAATGTTAGCCATTATTTTACATGTATAGTACCCAAGTAAATTGGCAAGCCTTCGTCATAGTAATTGGAAAAAAATGATTAAAACTTTAGCAGTGAAATGATGGTCATTTACTTGATAAACATAGTTTTTATTTAGCAACTTTTCTTGTTTCTTTTTTTTTTTTGGTATTTTTTTGTAGAGATGGGATTTCACCTTGTTGCTCAGGCTGGTCTTAAACTCCTGGGCTCAAGAGATCCACCCACCTAGGCCTCCCAAAGTGCTAGGATTACAGGCGTGTCCAGCCTATTTAGGAACCTTTTCCATACAACCAGTCAAATTCCAGACAAAGCTGGTCAGATTCCACTTACAAAAGGGAACACTCATTTCTTACTGATCCACTGATACTCAGTTTTCCTTTGTTTTCAACAATAAAAGGACAGCATGGAGGACTATATTGTCAGTACCCTAATTTTAAAAATTGATGAGGTGTATCATTTTCATCTGCTCACATAAACTGGCATAACTTTTTACCACAGGTGGCCGTTTCTGAAATGAAAGTTACAGCTAATCAAACACTTAGCCCACATGCCTTGGTGATTTTAATGATATGATTTGTTGCTGTGAGACAAAGACATGTTGTGAGGGAAATAATCTGTTAGAAATCATATGACCTTGATTCAAAGGCTTTTGATTAACAGCACCAACATCCGCTTTCTGGAAAAGAAATAAACCCTATGATTAGAGCTTGGTAGTCCTTTTAAAGCAAATAAAACAATATTAGCCATTCATTAATGGATATAGGAAGAAAAATGGCTTCAAACATTAAAAACTTCTCAAGATACTTTCAGCTTTTTCCTCATAAAGGCTTTTAAGGCCACTGGCAAAGTTTCTCCTCTTTTACCTTGTGTTTCTCCTTCCTACTTCTGGAGGGAGACACCGATTAAACCAAAAAACCCCCAAAACAAATGGACAGCAGAAGAGAATTAAGACAGTCTAGGGCAGTGGTCCCCAACTTTTTTGGCACTAGGGACCAGTTTCATGGAAGACAATTTTTCCATGGACTGGGGATGGGGATGGTTTGGGGATGATTCAAGTGCATTACATTTATTGTGCACTTTATTTCTATTATTGTTACATTGTAATATATAATGAAATAATTATACAACTCATTATAATGTAGAATCAGTGGGAGCCCTGAGCTTGTTTTCCTGCAGCTAGATCTGGGGGTGATGGAAGACAGTGACAGATCATCAGGCCTTGGATTCTCATAAGGAGCGTGCAGCCTAGATCCCTCATGTGCGCAGTTCACAATAGGGTTTGCACTCCTGTGAGAATCTGCTGCTGATCTGACAGGAGGCAGAGCTCAGGCGGTAATGCAAGTGATGGGGAGTGGTTGTAAATACAGACAGAGCTTCACTTACTCACCCACTGTTTACCTCCTACTGTGTGGCCTGGTTCCTAACAGGCAATGGACTGATACCAGCCTGTGGCCTGGGAGTTGGGAGCCCCTGGTCTAGGAGACCTGTGCCCTAGAAAGTATTAATAGATTGTGCAGTCCTAAATGGCTTCTCTTTTTCTGTAAGTTGGCTTTGTAACTATTGAGCCTTCATTCATTCATCTATTGAGCATCCCCTGGGTGCCAGTACTATCCTTGGAGACATGGTGGTAAGAGGACACAGTCCATGCTTTCACAGAGCTTATATTCTAGTAGGGAAGGCAGGCAAGAAGTTGACAGGTAAAAGTCATGCTTACTTATGCAAACCCATGATAGGAACTACGAAGAAAGCAAAATAGGGAATGGGATAAAGTAACTGGGTGAAGAGGCAGGACTCTTTGGACAGGTGATATTTGGGCTGAGCTCTGAATGGCAAGAAGTCAGTCTGTGAAAATCTAGGGCAAAAACATTCTGGACAAAGAGGGTGGCAAACTCAGGATCCCAAAGGAGAGGACAAGTTTGGGATATTCAAAATGAAGCCAGAGCTTAGTGGGCCAGTGAGAGTGTAGTGGGAGGCAAGATCTACAGGGGCGGGAACCTGATCTAGCAGGGTGGATTGTAAGTGCAGTCCACCAAGACGGTTCTAGCTACAGCTGGGTTTGTAAAGGGTCTGCTCATGCAAGGCTCATTGAAAAGCAGGGCTGGCCCCTACCTGGGGACCTGATAGCAGTGGCATTTTTTGCTATTTTTTAAACTGAGGGAAAGGAGCAGTAGTGACTTGCTCTGTTGCCCTGAAACTGCAACTGGTGATCTGGACCCCCTGGAATATATCCGCCCTGCCCTGAGAAGGCTGCCAAGGTGAAGCCTGTGCAGTAGACCTTGTCCTAGACCATAGGAGTCTCTGTGGGCCTGTCTTCCATTCTGAGAACAGTCCCTTCAAGTCCCAGTCTCCTTTGTCATCCAGGTGCAGGGATAGATCTAGGCAGATCTGTTTCTCCTCCTCCCCCTCTTTAAACCCCTACTACTTGTCATGACCAGGCCTAAGCAATATCAGGGCAAGGGTCATGGGGTCCTGCCAGGAGACAGTCTGGGATGGAGGGGCATGGTCACTTTTGCCAGAAGAAGCATGACTGGAAGGACCCAGGTGGTGACATGGGTCAAAGGAGACAATAATAGATTGAGTCCAGGGAATCTGACCACACTTGAGAGACTAGCTTGGGCACATCGCCAGGTCACCCAAACAGTTTCCTGAGTCTAGGCACTGGGAACCTGGAGGAGGCCACACTAGTGAACGTGCACATTATTTATCTCTTGTTCTGTACTTGAGGCCATCATTCCCCTGAATGTTCCTTTGAAAACGTAGATGGCTCCTGACTGCTTTGCCAAGCTAAGAATACAGTTCTTTTTTTTGTTTTTGAGACGGAGTCTTGCCCTGTTGCCCAGGCTGGAGTTCAATGGCACAATCTCAGCTCACTGCAGCCTCTGCCTCCCAAGTTCAAGGGTTTCTCCTGCCTCAGCTTCCTGAGTAGCTGGGGTTACAGGTGCGCGCCATCACACCCAGCTAATTTTTGTATTTGTAGTAGAGATGGGGTTTTACCATGTTGGCCAGGCTGGTCTCGAACTCCTGAACTCAGGTGATCTGTCTGCCTCGGCCACCCAAAGTGCTGGGATTACAGGTGTGAGCCACCACGCCTGGCCTTAAGAATCAATTTTTATCCACATTCTCAGCTTCTCATTTTGGTTTCAACCTATCAGTCACTTTTTTGTTTACTTGCCAGTTTTATTTTGCTGTACATCCATATATGTATCCTATCTACATGGCAGGCAAACTTGATTATTACATTTATAATCAGCAAAATAATTTTAAGATCAATGAGGGTTGATCTTAAAAGAATCAAAATAATTTTAAGATCAATGAGGATTTTTAAAAAACAAAACAAAACACCTTCCTTCTTGTCCTAACTAGTTACGCCTCCTCCTGGATCGTCTTACTGCTTATGTGGGTAGGAGGGGCAGTGCTTGGATCACTAGGAGGTGCTCATTGCTCATCTTGCAGGGCTACCATGTGGCTCACTTCAGTCCTCTTGCATCTCTCGTATTTCCCAACACCTTACCCCCTTTGGGCCTGGGCCATTCCCTCAGAGCCCTTCCCTCTCACCCTTACTTGGTTCCCTGCATCTCTCCTCTGGGCTTTTAGTTCTATTCTTTTGCGTGATTAAGCATTAGGTCTCTCCTATGCTTAACTCTGGCAGCAGCAGGCTGCCCTTCCCTGGGGACCCTCCTGCTCCTGGTCCTGGCTGGGACCCACTTTCTCCCAGGTTGCACATTCACATAAGTCACTGCCAGCTCTGGCTTTGCTCTGAGCCCAGCCCTCTTCAAGCAGCCCTGGCTCCAAGTGCACGTAGGCTGTAGCAGGAGAGGACCAAGGGAGTTGGAGGGTATTGCCAGTTGGTTGGCTAGTTCCCAGGAGGATGAGCCAAGTTTTCATTCATTTACCTCTTCTTAAGAGGAGAGTGGGGTGTGTGTGTGCGCGCACGTGTGTGTGCACATGCACGTGTATGTCCACTTGGGGGAGGAAAATACAGAGCAGTGATTCTATATCTATCATACAGATAATTTTTCCTAGCCTTGGGTTCGGGACATGAAGGAAATTGTGGTAGGAATGGTGGTGTGAAAGAGGTTCTTCATGGTTGGATTTTCCTAAGTATCTTACGAAAAGAGGAGCCTGTGTAGAGTTTTTTGAAAAGTTTTTTGAGCTCTCCAGCTGGAATACCAAACTGGTGATTTCGCAGATGTTTTTATTTAGGACAAAAAAAAGTGAATTTCGTGAAAACACTCAAGTAATTAACAGTAGAGAAATACGGCAAACATCACAGAGGTGGTAACAGATATCTGGACCCCTCAGCTGGGATCAAGACACAAATGAGCATGGAGCTTATGACTCCTTTCACACGAAGGAGCTAGAGTTGATGTTCCCTGTTGTCTTTGTTGTCTTCACCTACAGATGGCCATGACTACCCTCGAGCAGCCTACCAGCAAGTGATCCAGCCGGCTCTGCCTGGGCAGCCCCTGCCTGGAGCCAGTGTGAGAGGCCTGCACCCTGTGCAGAAGGTTATCCTGAATTATCCCAGCCCCTGGGACCACGAAGAGAGGCCCGCACAGAGAGACTGCTCCTTTCCGGGGCTTCCAAGGCACCAGTAAGTATGACAGGCCCAACCTTCAGGCATTTTTAACATGGAAAGGAATTATGCCAATGCAATGAAGATGTAACAGAATTCTCTATAGGTTTGCTAACCCACGTTAGTGAGCAAGTCACATAGTGGAATGCCCAATATAGACTTTTCAGGTCAGGAGGAAACGGAAGCTGGTTGACAAGGATCTCTTTATCAGACATAGAAAGCCACTAGTGACTAGTCGAAATTCTCTTGAAGGAAAGGCTCTTCAGATGTTCTCCAAGTCACACCCCTTTCTTTTATTTTCAGATCATCTGAATTTTTAGTCCACAAAATAGATTTTTGATTTTACTACGACTGACTTCCACTGTTAGCCAACTCTTTATATGTCTAGTGTCTGTTCCTGTTTAAGCCTATTTCTTACTTTAAAATGTTAAATTCAATTAATTTTCCATCAAAATTTAAAATTACCTGTTCTTTTCTTTTTTTGAGACAGGGTTTTGCTCTGTCACCCAGGCTGGAGTGCAGTGGTGCAAACTTGACTCACTGCAACCTCTACCTTACAGGTTCAAGCGATCCTCCCACCTCAGCCTCCTAAGTAGCTGGGACTAGAAGCATGCGCCACCATGCCCAGCTAACTTTTGTATATTTTGTAGTGAAGGGATCTCCCTATGTTGCCCAGCTGGTCTTGAACTCCTGGGCTCAAGTGATCCACCCACCTTGGCCTTCCAAAGTGCTGGTATTACAGGCATGAGCCACTGTGCCTGGCCTATTATTTTCTTTTGTAATAAAAACATTCATACATGTTGAGTACCATTATTAGGTCTCTCCTATGCTTAACTCCGTATTTTCATGACTTCAGTTGTCTAACTCTTCAATCTTTTTTTTTTTTTTTTTTTTTTTTGAGATGGAGCCTTGCTCTGTCGTCCAGGCTGGAGTGCAGTGGTATGATCTTGGCTCACTGCAACCTCCGCCTCCTGGGTTCAAGCTATTCTCCTGCCTTAGCCTCCTGGGTAGCTGCGCGCCATCACGTCTAGCTAATTTTTGTATTTTTAGTAGACACGGGGTTTCACCATATAGGCCAGGCTAGTCTCGAACTCATGACCTTGTGATCTGCCCGCCTCGGCCTCCCAAAGTGCTGGGATTGCAGGCATGAGCCACTGTGCCCTGCCTCTTTAATCATTTTTTTTCCCTTATTCTCTTTGGACTTTCCTTTTCTCTTAATTTATGGATCTAAAATATATAGGTAAAACTCATGTAAATGGAGCTTCCTCATTTATGACAATATTTGGAAGAAAGTAGATTAAATGTTTACTTTTGCTCAAAAGCAACTTTTATATACCACTGTAAAACTAGATTCTGTTTTTACAGCATAGAGTAAAATATGAAGTTCCTATTAGAGTGGATTTTTCAGAAATACAGAAAGCGGTAATTAGTTTGAACATTTCATGGAAAGAAAAAAAGCCCACTTTATTAACAATGGTGAAGAGGCACATGCCTGCTTTCTCTTTTGCTCAGAAGCCCACAAACCCTCATATTTTCTTTCAAGACAGATCTCTTTTTTTCTCTCTTTCTTTTGGGACAGGATCTGACTCTGTCACTTAGGGTGGAGTGCAGTGGCGAGATCTCGACTCACTGAAACCTTCGCCTCCTGCACTCAAGCCATCTTCCAACCTCAGCCTCCCAAGAGTAGCTGGAACTACAGACGCCCGCTACCACACCCAGCTAATTTTTTTATTTTTTGCAGAGAAGGGGTCTCACTTTGTTGCCCAGGCTGGTTTCAAACTCCTGGCCTCAAGTGATCCACCCACATCAGCCTCCCAAAGTGCTGGGATTACGGGTGTTAGCCACCGTGCTGGGCCAGATCCCTTATTTTTCTAAACCATAAATACATGGAGTTTAAACAATGGAATTAGGTAAAATGTGATTTTATAGCAGGATAGGCACTCTAACAGAAGAAATATCTAAAATTCCAGGGAAATAAACAAAATGTAAGCATCTTTATGAAATAAGTTTTGTGTTGAATAGGAAAGAGAATAGTAATTTTTAAAATAAACTTTTATTTTCAAACAATTTTAGACTTACAAAAGAGTTGCAAAGATAATACAGAGTAATTGGTTTTATAGCATCAATTTAAGCCTGTTCTGATCTTCTTGATCTATTTTATCACTTTAGGATAATGAAAAATAAGTTCAGGTAGAGGAGCTAGGCTGGGCTTGGTGGCTCACACCTGTAATCCCAGCACTTTGGGAGGCAGAGGTGGGTGGATTGTTTGAGCCCAGGAATTTGAGACCAGCCTGGGCAACATAGCGAAAACCCATCTCTACAAAAAAATACAAAAATTAGCCGGGTGTGGTGGCACATACCTGTGGTTCCAGCTACTAAGGAGGCTGAGGCAGGAGAACTGCCTGAGCACAAGAGGTCATGGCTGCAGTGAGCCGTGATTGTGCCACTGCACTCCAGCCTGGGTGACAGAGTGAGACTCTGTCTCAAAAACTAAAAAACAAACAAAACACACACACACATACACACAAACCCATCCAACTGAGGTTGGGCATAGTGGCTCATGCCTGTAATCCCAGCACTTTGGGAGGCCAAGGCAGGAAGTTTGTGACCAGCTTGGGCAACATGGCGAAATCCCATCTCTACCAAAATAATACAAAAATTAGCCAGGTGTGGTGGCTCATGCCTGTGGTCCCAGCTACTCAGGAGGCTAAGGTGGGAAAATCACCTGAGCCCAGGAGGTCAAGGCTGCAGTGAGCTGTGATTGAGCCTGGGTGACAGAGCAAGACCCTGCCTCAAAAAAAAGAAAAAAGAAGCCAGCTAATTCTCCTCTTACTCATAGTTTGAAAGAGAACTTTAATTCAGAAAGTTTACTCTGTCATTAATTTCCATGGTATTGTTTTTATACAGAAGCTTTTGAATATTATCAAGGCCTTAACATTTCTTTATCATATAAGCAATCATCTTCTATAACAACTAAGCAACTTTTGAAACAATTTTTTTGGTATAAGAGAATTTAATGCAAAAGAACTGGAATGAGTTTTTCTTGGAGAAATAAAAAAAAAAAAGAAAAAGAAAAAAATATGGAATGGGATCCCCCATTAGCTGAAAGCATATTTTATAGAAATTATTTTCTCTATATTAATAAAAATATAAAAAATAATCTTAATCATTCATATTTTCAAAATATAGTACAGTTGAGATTCTGTGTAATTTTATTTTAAATCCTGTTACATAAGACTTTTAGAATTCCTGATTACTCCTTGGGTAAAAATATGAAAAGCGTAAGCAACAATCTACAAAAACTGGGCATATACATAGAGATTTTGTAGTCAAAACATTTTTTTAAAATTTATAATATGACACAATTTCAAACACACCACAAATAACAACATCCATGTTCCCACTACCCAGATTTTAAGAATGTTAACATATTGTCACATTTGCTTCAGAATTTTTTTTTAAGAAATAAAACATTATAGAGACAGTTTTAGTCCCACCACCGGTTAGCACAATACCACAGAACAGGGCCACCAAAGAGGCTGTCTCCTCTGGCGGTCAGGAAGGTTGAGAATCAGAAAGCCAACACCGCTGTGACCACTGCAATGGTTGGATCGGTTCTGTGCCAGATAGATCTCCACTGGTGAACAATAGATGCCCATGCCCTGCCCTCGACGCTTGTGAAGCTGGTAATAGGACACTGGGAGGCCTTCTGGGGAAAACTCAGCACCTCATCACTGTGCTTACCGACAGAAACCACAGAAGCGGCAGACGCATGCTCTCCATTTCCTTCTCTCCTCCAAATCTCACACGAGGTCATCTGATTGTTCATCTCAGCAGAATGCTCGTGGGAATACTGGCAACGAAAATAATAAAGATGCTATCTAATATGGTAGCAACTTCTTTAAAGGGTCTTCAAAATCAGATTTCCATTTATATGTCAACAGTACAAATACTTCTAAATCTACATGGCCCTCTTTACCTTTTGATACATAATTAAATGTTACCTATTATGAGCTAAAAGTCATGTCTTTTTATCTGAATGCCTATAACATCAACCATCTGTGTCACCTGTCATACTACTTTGTTTTGTTGGTGACCTTGTCTGCCCTGTGCATGAGACTTGTTTTTCCAATTAAACAAATCTTGAATAGAGAAATCAAATCCTGCTTCCCTCTTTGGAGTCAGAGCACAGGCCCTCACATGTGGCAGCCAGCTGAAACGCTTATTGACTACAACTCCATGGAGCTCCCCTCTTCCTTCTGTCTCAGTTAAGAAATAGAGGCAGAGGAGAGAGAGCCCACTGGGATCTTCCCATAGTTCTAAAAGTCTTTCTGTCCCTGAAGGTTTGCCTTTGTAAAGAATGAAAATTGACTGTAAATGTATTCCTTTCTAGGGACCAGCCACATCACCAGCCACCTAATAGAGCTGGTGCTCCTGGGGAGTCCTTGGAGTGCCCTGCAGAGCTGAGACCACAGGTTCCCCAGCCTCCGTCCCCAGCTGCTGTGCCTAGACCCCCTAGCAACCCTCCAGCCAGAGGAACTCTAAAAACAAGCAATTTGCCAGAAGAATTGCGTAAGTTGTTTGCAACATTGTTCTCTCCTTCCTCTTTTTTTTTTTTTTTTTTTTTGAGACGGAGTCTCGCTCTGTTGCCCAGGCTGGAGTGCAGTGGTGCGATCTCAGCTCACTGCAAGCTCCGCCTCCCAGGTTCACCCCATTCTCCTGCCTCAGCCTCCCGAGTAGCTGGGACTACAGGTGCCCACTACCACACCCAGCTAATTTTTTGTATTTTTAGTAGAGACGGGGTTTCCCCATGTTGGCCAGGATGGTCTCGATCTCTTCACCTCGTGATCCACCTGCCTCGGCCTCCCACAGTGCTGGGATTACAGATGTGAGCCACCGCACCCGGCCACTCCTTCTTCTTGTGAGGTCTTATACTTTGTGATGGCTGGATGATCACTCGTCCCTAATCTCGAAGATTTTCCTTTTTTTTAAGACAGGGTCTCACTCCTGTTGCCTAGGCGGGAGTGCGGTGGTGTGATCATGGCTAACTGCAGCCTCAACCTCCTGGGGTCAGGTGATTCTCCCACCTCAGCCTCCCAAATAGCTGGGGTTACAGGTGCATACCACCACAACCAGCTAATTTGCTTATACTTTTACTAGAGACGGGGTTTTGCCATGTTGCCCAGGCTGGTCTCAAACTGCTGGATTCGAGTGATCCACCCGCCTTGGCCTCCCAAAGTGCTAGGATTACAGGCGTGAGCCACTGTACCTGGCCTCATAACCTCAGCTATTTCTCATGTACACAGTAAAATAAAATGCACTTTTTTGCTTTTTGCTTAAAAAGTAACCAGCATTTTGTATGAATGTTTTTAGTGATTCTGACACCACTAGTAACACTCAAAAACTGCTTACCTCTAGATTTCCTTAAGCACATACTCCAAAAACAAATAACCCCAGTGCCTTTTCCCTCTTCTAAATGATGCTCTTGAGTGGACTTGTCCCTGGGTAAATTGATTGGATGTCCATGTGGTATTGGGCAGGGACCCAGCATCTCACCATAAGTTAGCAGCAGCCATCAAGAATGAGGTCATTTCCTGTAGGAATGAGCAATCTTGTTTGGAAAAAACGGTCTCACATTCTCCATACTGCATCACAACCAAATGCAAACTAAGCCTTTTATTTAAAGAAACATTCAACTAAGCGTAAGGTGATGATTCTTTTTCCACATTTTGCTGCCAGAACCAGAAATGTTGAAATATCACCAAAATGTTCTCATATTAAGGTCAGTCAGGACAGTAATTTCCAGAAATCTTAAGAAAACAGCCACTACTTGTGAAATTATTATATGATGTGCTTGCTAGAGAAGCTCAGGTAATTCTAATATGCATTTTCCAAATCTGGGAACCTCTTTGAACCAAACCTGAAACAAAGCCTTTTGCATCTGCTAATTCCTTTTGGGGGATCTGTGCTGTTTAGTCATTGACAACTCTGAAAGCTCTCTATGACAATGATTCATTGCTGTTTTCATTCAAAACATTTTATTTCTGAACACTTTCTTAAGATCTTAATCATTTTAATTTTGAGCATTTCTGGAGAACAGATGCTGCCCCACATACATTATAGTCCTGATATCAATCTATAGATCATATATATCTTACCATAATCTATAAAGGAAGTCCTCAAATACGTAACAATTGGGTGAATGTTAGGTGTTCAGAAGAAAATTGAGTGCCATCTATATATCTGGCTGCTTAAGTGAGTTAATATGACCATTATACACACTTCCATTTGGGAGGTGTGTTTCAAAAAACCTCAGTGTAGATACAGACTCGTATTTTCTCTCCAGCCCCCCTTTCTTCTCCATCTTCTGCCCCAAGGGCTTCCTGAGATTTAAGTGGTCCATTCCAGACTAAAAGCCAACACAAAGTAATTATTCAGCTTTCACATTAAAATGCTAGTCAGACAATTTCCCCAAGACTTTAGCCTGAGAAAACACTGGTTCATCCTGACTGGGTAAAGCTTATCCAAACTGTACTGTCTGCTGCTCTAAGCTGACCCAGGGATGAGTGATGGAGTCTGTGATGTTGGACTGCCCAGAGGCAGTGTCTCTTCTTCAAGCTGCTGAAGTGTTTTTTTACTAACATATCTGAGCTGTGCTTTGGTCTACTCCAAACTTGCTGGCCTTTCTGCAAAAGTGAGTGGATTGCGGGGAAGAAGGGAGCGGGGAACCAGTTTCTCACTCTCCTCCCACTTGCTATTGTCAGAAGAGCGAGATTTCAGGGCAGCAGAGAGCATCAGGAGATCAAAAGAAGACACTGCTGGGTGGTCCCTTAGCAAGTTTTAGCTTCTTTGCCTGCTGGGAGAGTATTCCTTGGGCACAGTGCCAAGTGTCTCTAAGAAACTAGTCATGCCTGATCTTAAGGGCTCGCGGATTCTGGGTGGTGGATTTCCTTAGGCTTGTCTGAGCCTGCCAGTGCTCTCCTCTGTCGCTCTGATTTCCATTCACGCTGAGCAGTCTGCACTCCCTTGGACAGACCCACTGGCATTTTGGGCCTGAGGAGCTGTGCCCTGAGGACAGCATACAACGTAGGCATAAGCTCTTAGAGCACCCCAAGCCCAAGGTTTCCTCTTATTATTCTAGAAGGACAAAAGATATTGCATATAATTTAGAAGTTTGTTTACAATAGAATAATTTGATCAGTTTCTAATAAATGTAAAAATTTTCTCTTAGGGAAAGTCTTTATCACTTATTCGATGGACACAGCTATGGAGGTGGTGAAATTCGTGAACTTTTTGTTGGTAAATGGCTTCCAAACTGCAGTAAGTATTTTGTCCAAATAGATAACTGAACAGTTATAGTGAGTACAATGGAGAGAAAAGCAGCAGAAGAAAAAGTGTAATAGCTGTTGGTGTTTTAAATGATATTATTTGATTTATGTGATTATGCATTGAATGCTTATAGATTTAGGTAATAATTTTCTAGATTTTAAGCTATCTGAAGTCTCCAGCATTTTTTTCCTGTATGCTGTTTGAGTGACCCCAAGTACCTCTGAACAGCAAGATCAGTGCTAATGCTGACCACATATGCAGCGGCCCCTGGCCTGAAGGAAACGCCGGGCTCTTGCTGCACTTTGTACCTTTGTCCTTTCTCACCAATCATGCCCACTTTGTCTGAGTTTCCCATGATGCAGGAAGCTGCAGGCTTCACCATGGTCACCTGCTTATTTAACAAGGACCTTTTGTTCTGCACTGGGTTATGAGGTTTGAAGTAGAATCCTGCAGCCTGAATCCCCCATTGCGCACAGCTGCCATTTTCATACCTTGACGCAGTGATGCTTCTGGATGGGTGATACTGGCCAGGTTTGGGGCTGGTCTAATCCAGTTCCAGGGGAGGCTGACCTCACCCAGCCCTGCAAGCCCACTGTGATCTTGGCTCCAGAAATCTCAGGAAACACACACTGCCCCTGTCCCCCTGCAGTCCCTTGACACAGTACAGCTTAAAGCCATGTAAATTTTTCTCTATGATAAATAAAGTACCACATGATGCTACTCAGGGGACTGGCTTTCCTCAAACACTGAGATAACTTCTTTTCCTTTCCAGAGCCCTCTTCTAGGCCTTTTCTAGTGAATTCTAGAGAGTGGTGAAAAATTAAGGGAAATATCTATGAATATAAATGTCTATGGGTAAAGAGGGATACTTAGTAACTAAATATCAATTTTAAAAGTTATTTAGTATTGTTTAACAGGAGTTTTTATTTGAAGCTTTCTTTATTCTATAAGATAATTTTTTTTTTTTTTTTGAGACAGAGTCTAGAACTGTTGCCTGGGCTGGTGTGCAGTGGTGTGATCTTGGCTCACTGCAACCTCTGCCTCCTAGGTTCAGCCTCTCAAGTAGCTAGGATTACAGGTGCCCACCACCATGCCCAGCTAATTTTTTTGTGTGTGTATTTTTAGTAGAGATGGGGTTTCACTATGTTGGCCAGGCTGGTCTCGAACTCCTGACCTCATGATCTGCCAACCTTGGCCTCCCAAAGTGCTGGGATTACAGGTGTGAGTCACTGCACTCGGCCAAGACAATTTTCTAAAAAATGAAAATGAAAGTTCTTTTTTAAAAAATGCATACAACTTATACAATCCAACTCCATAATTATATAGAGACTAATATTTCCCTTTCTCATTTCTGGTATAAGAAAGCACTATAGCAGCCAGGCGTGGTGGCTCATGCCTGTAATCCTAGCACTTTGGGAGGCCAAGGCAGACAAATTGCCTGAGCTCAGGAGTTCGGGACGAGCCTAGGCAACATGGGGAAACCCCATCACGACTAAAATACAAACTATGGCCAGGCGCAGTGGCTCACACCTGTAATACCAGCACTCTGTAAGGCTGAGGCGGGCAGATCACCTGAGGTCAGGAGTTCAAGACCAGCCTGGACAACATAGTGAAACCCTATCTCTACAAAAAATACAAAAAAATTAGCCGAGTGTGGTGGCACATTTCTGTAGTCCCAGCTACTTGGGAGGCTGAGGCAGGAGAATTGCTTGAACCCTGGAGGTGAAGGTTGCAGTGAGCCGAGATCTCGCCACTGCACTCCAGCCTGGGTGACAGAGCAAGGCTCTGTCTCAAAAAAAAAAAAAAAGAAAAAAAAGTTGGCATGGTGGTGTGCGCCTGTAGTCCCAGCTACTTGGGAGGCTGAGGCACAAGAATTGCTTGAACCTGGGAGGTGGAAGTTGTAGTAAGCCGGCATCACACCACTGCACTCCAATCCAGCCTGGGCAACAGAGCAAGACTCTGTCTCCAAAAAAAAGAAAAAAAGAAAGCACTGTGGCAACTGTGACATAAAATCAAATTACACTGGGTGTGGTGGTGCGTGCCTGTAGTCCCAGCTACTTGGGAGGCAGAGGTGGGAGGATCACTTGAGCCCAGGAGTTGGAGGCCAGCCTGGGCAATATAACAAGACCAGGTCTGTAATATAAATAAATACTAAGACATAAGGCCAGCATTTCAGAAAAGATCTTACTTTTTGTCATTTCCAAAGACACATACTGATTGCCCCTGGAGGAGAGCTTAGGTTTTGTTTGTTTATCTTCACAACCAGGGGCCACATAGGCAGAATTTAAATCTGTCCCTGACCCTCATCTCTATGAAGACTTGTGGTAGAAATCACAGAGCCCGGTCCTGGACAGCTAAGTTATTATTGACACATCTAGATCCCCTTAGTGGAATGAAACACTTAATGAGTAATTTAAGGAGAGTGTAATAAGGGGCCTATTACAAAGCTTTGGGTAGGTTTTAGAGAGTCCAATTTTATTGGGGATAGTGCAGTATTCTGGCACTAGCAAAAGCAGGGAGTTGTTACTGCCCCTAGGTCTAAAGAGTCAAAGAAGGAATTCTTACTGGAAGATGAAGAGGATGGCTATATTAGTTTGCTAGGATTCCTATAAAGTACTACCGATTGGGTGGCTTAAGCGTAGAAATTTATTTTCTCACAGTTCTGGAGTCTGGAAGTCCAAGATCAAGGTTTCAGCAGGGTTCATTTCATCCTGAGGCTGTCTTCTCCTTCTGTCCTCACATGGTCTCTCCTCTGTGTGGACACGTCTGTGTTCTAATCTCGTCTTCTATGGACACCAGTTCTGTTGGATTAGGGCCCATACATATCACCTCTTTTTATCCTAATTACTTCTTTAAAGGTCCTGTCTCCAAATACAGTCACATTCTGAGGTAGGGTAGGGAGATAGGGCTTCAACATAGGAATTTTGGGAACACAATTCAGCCCATAATAGTAGCTGTGTGGAGGAATGATCATAACAGGAGCTATGGACTTTGGGAGAGACTTGGAGAAACAAATGGAAGATATCCAGCTCATTGCACCACCCAGGATGTCCACTACAGTAGCTGGGAATAATTTAGAGTGCTTGGATAATAACAATAATCACTATTTTTTATTTATTTAATTTTTTTTGAGACGGGGTCTTGCTCTGTTGCCCAGGCTAGGGTGCAGTGGCACGATCTCGGCTCACTGCAACCTCTGCCTCCCAGGCTCAAGCAATTTTCCTGCCTGAGCCTCCTGAGTAACTGGGATTACAGGCACCTGCCACCAAGCTCAGCTAATTTTTTTTTGTATTTTTAGTAGAGACGGGTTTTCACCATGTTTGCCAGGCTGGTCTCACACTCCTAACCTCAAGTGATCTGCCCCCCTCAGCCTCCCAAAGTGCTGGGATTACAGGCGTGAGCCACCACGCCCGGCCAATTATCACCATTTACTGAGTGCTTATTTCCTGCCTGGCATTATGATAGGCCTTTTCCATGTTAACTCATTTTAGTTCTCACAACCACCGTAGGAAGTCAGTTTATTAACTACATATTACAAGTGAAGATAAGATTTAGAGAGTTTTAGTAACATTTCCAAAGTCATGCAGGTGGGAAGTGGCAAAGCCAAGACAGAACCCAAGCTGTCCGTTTCTTCTCA
Source organism: Homo sapiens (assembly GCF_000001405.40). Classification (NCBI taxonomy): domain Eukaryota; kingdom Metazoa; phylum Chordata; class Mammalia; order Primates; family Hominidae; genus Homo; species Homo sapiens. Next base: position 111,569,248 of record NC_000006.12, on the reverse strand, counting down.
ACCCTGACACTATATTGCTTCTCTCCCATATAATAGCAATGGATTAGTGACACAGTCTCAGAAAGCTACAAAAGCGTTCTCAAGAGTAGTCGTTGGCCATCACACATTTGAAAACAGGAGTCATCTAAACCAAAATAACAGCCATTCCATTTTTCATGTAAAGACACATATTCTGAACTCTGTACTCTATGTATGTGATAGTTCGGTATACACAGGGCATGGTCTCTTTCCGTAGGAGGCTTAGCATCAGGTTGAAGAGACACAGCAGACATAAATGAAACATGTCCTGAATAAAAGAATGTTATCATACGTGTTAATTGTCCAGTATCATTAGTGGTCACAATGGGGTAGAGTTAGGTGAAGTGAGGAAGAGGAGGAGATTGGCATGTGGGAAGGATTCACAGAGCAGGGGGGTTTGTGCTGTGCCTTTAGGGTACAGGGGACTCCAATGTGGGGAGTAAAGTAGACAGGATATGTGAGGAAAAGAGAGGCGAGGCTGGATCATGGATGGCGAGGCTGGATCATGGATGGATCATGGATGGCTTTTCAAGTGATCTGCCTGCCACGGCCTCCCAAGTGCTGGGATTATAGGCATGAGCCATCGTGCCTGGCCTGGAATGACATTTAGGACAAGTAATCTGGGAGCAGTGCAGCTGAATCACGTAACCCCTCCCCAGGGACACTCTCCCTGAGTCACCCATTCCAGTATATAATCCCTCTTCCCATCAAGAGCATCTCGTAAACACACACGTGCACGTACACACACACACACACACACACACACACACACACACACACACACACACACACACACACTCTGCAGTATAAGCCTGAGCCCAAGAAGGGCCTTCTTATTTGGTTTCTTATAAAATAAAAAATAACTGATCTTTCTCCTTTTAAAATATCCCTTCAAAAACTTGAATGCTGATAGTAAATATCAGTCTTTTCAAGGCCTAAGAGTTCTACTTCTGACTTTCATCATAAACCTCTTCCCTACCGTTTCAGTAATTGTTTTTGTGACTGTTCCTTGGCTCTGCTCCAAGTTTCATACAATCCTTTTGAAACATATAGATTGAAACTGTACATAATACCATAATAATGACCTCACTAATGCAAGTAAAGCACCACAATTGTATCTCAGTTACTTGTATGCCACACATCCATTAAAATGTTCCAGAATTATGTTTGCCTTTCAAATGTCTAAATTACAGATATATAATATATGTATATTGCTGGCTTATATCCAACTTAGTGGTATACCGTGTCCCTCAGATTTTTAAAAACCTGATTATTGTGTAGCCATAGATATATTTTGATGTGTATCACAATATCCTAATTATGGACATAACATTAACTACTTAAATGCCTACTAATGTTGAAATAGGGAATATTTTCAGAAAATTATATTTTGTTTTTTAGACCTATGTGCTCCTTCTTGCAAAAAGCATTAGTTAAGTTTTGGAGCTTTAAATGTATATAGTATTGTGTTTTCTTCTGCTCTGCATCTTGAGAGAACCTCTCATTAAGGGCCAACTCCCACATCTTTTTTTTTGCAGATTGACATATTTGAGGATAGAATCCGAGGCATTGATATCATTAAATGGATGGAGCGCTACCTTAGGGATGTAAGTACATTCCAAAAACCAGAGTTTGTTTTCTGGTGAGAAAGACAATGAGCTTATGAAGTTGTTTTATTAAAGAAACCCTGGCATACCCACCTAAGTCTGAAGCTGAGAAAGCCCCAACAAAGCCTCCCTTGTTGGAAGCCGTGCAAAGACTTGGAAAGGAAGGACGGAGTCGCCCTCTTGGACATGCACAGGCAGGAAATAACGGTCAAACCAGACACAGGTGGTTGATAACAATCAGAGGAAACAATCTTTTGACGAGAATAGGAAAGAAGGAAATGAAGGCGGAGAGTGGGGAGAGAGCAGCAGAATTCAATTTAATCTGAGGCCACCCCAAGTGTTTTGTAGAATTGGGCTGAAGAGGTTTCCTAGGCAGCCTCGCAGGCTGCACAGCACACCACCCCCGAGGTGCCCACGTGCAGCCCCGTGATTTGTTCTCCACTGACAGAATCTATACCGGCCACTGGGACACGTTGTGCTTTAACAAGATCGAAATTGATTGCTGCCAGCGTGTCCGTGTCGGCTGCTTCTTTTGGAGGGAGCCAGTGGGGGACGGGAGTCTCAGCAGGCTGGGGTGTTGCACTTTTCCTTTTGTCTGCAGCCTGATGTTTGCTTTGTGCTGAAGGGTCTGTTCCTACTGACTGTGCTAATGTGTACACGCAGAAGACAGGGCAGTCGAGTGCAGTGACTGGCAGCTCAGAACCAGCTGGAGGGAGGGAGGGTGCTTCTTACTGTTGGTGTTGCAGTGCCTTTTTGCCACGACACAGACTCACTCAGTGATTCGGGCTTTCATTAGAGGTTTATTAGTGATGGTTGTGGAAAATGGTAGGCAAAAGCACATCTATTTGAGAGAGCCCCTCTCTGAGCCATTTGCTCTGCATGTTCAAGGTGGGGCTGGGCTGGAGACAGAAGGGAGAAGCAGAGATAAGAGTCTGCCTGAGTGGGGGCCAGTGCTTCTCTTTCTATGGAGAATGAGCCTGGCCCTCCACCCCGTGTGTCAGAGAATGCCCACAGTCCTGCTGGTACACTTCCATAAACATGCCTTTCTCCCTCTCATTAACAGAAGACCGTGATGATAATCGTAGCAATCAGCCCCAAATACAAACAGGACGTGGAAGGCGCTGAGTCGCAGCTGGACGAGGATGAGCATGGCTTACATACTAAGTACATTCATCGAATGGTGAGTGGGGAGGGGATCACAACACCTCACTGTCCCCTGGGGATGGATACCTTGTCCAGGGAAGTCCCATTCTTCCCCAGAGACCAGCTGAAGGCAGCATGATGCTGGGTGAAGAGCTCCAGGCTTGCCATGTCAGGAGAGGAGCTGTTGGTTCTGGCTCCATCTACCTTAGGGACTGTGGGCAAGTCCCTGCACCTCTGGGACTCAGTTGTTCCTATCAGTTGCAAGGGGAGAGCAATCTGTCATCTCTAGGATCCAAGATTCTGGAAAGACGTGCTCTGCTGGCTTGGCTGTTTACCAGCAACTATGAAGTCCTAGGAGGCAGGAGACGGGGTGGTGAGGAGGGCTGGCCCCTGCAGCTGTATCATGTTCTGTGCCCTACCTTTTCAGAAAGGCAGGTGGCGTAGTGAAAGGGACACCTGCTGTTGCATCATGTGGGCCTGGTTAAAGTTGGCTTCCTCATGTACAGGCTGTGTGACCGTGGCCCCACTGCTTAAACTCTTTGTGCCTCAATGTCCCTATTCACAAAATGGGTCACTAATACTTACAGGATTGTCGTGAAGATGAAATGAAATAATGTTTTCAAAATATCTGGTGCATATCAGATGCTCAAACAAGGGAAGGGAGTGTTCTTAGCTCATGACAGGTGGGGAACTATGGGGCCTGGTTATATTCAAATAAGTGGGAGACATTTAGGATATTAAACTTGTCCAGCATGGGATAAAACTAGAACATTCTGACCGAAACAATCACCCAGCGTTGGAACTGGCTGTTTTATGGGCTACGAATCCTCCTTCTCCCCGTGATTATAGAGACGCTGTGAGACAGTTTCTGCTTGACTAGGAGGCGGTGCTACACTTGTGACTTTCAGGCTGTCCTGTGGAGTTCCCAGTGGGTGCCCATATGTGCTGGAGGAGGGGCTGGGTCTGCGCCTCCCACCCCTACCTCAGCCAGAGCTGGTCTGTACTTCTCAGGCTTGTTTGTTGACCAAGGATTCTGAGATTTAAAAAGGCTTGGAAAATCACTGGACTAGAACTGATAAGCTCCATTTCAGCTCTAACACTTCATGAGGGGGAAGGCACCTGGAATGGGCATAGAGTGTCACTAAGATGGGAAGATGGGGAGGGCACAGTCAGGCTGTCTCGGGGCACACAGCTTTACCTCAGGGGAAGCAGATGTAGGTCCCAGGTCTGTCCTGTGGGTCAGCAGCGTGGGAAAGTAGGAGGGTGGGTATTCCCCATCTGAGTCTTCATGGTCTCTGTCTCCCTTTCCACCAAGTGCAGACCACTCACGTGAGCTCACAACCAAACTGAAGGAAGAGCCGAGGCAAGGTGATGAGGTTAAAAAGTGAGGCCAGGGAGTCAGGAGATAAGGCTCCCTCCTCTTCTGGTCTCAACCAGTCTCACAGCCCTTGTACAGTGCCCCGGAAAGGTATCATTCCTGGGAGTAAACTGCCTGAAAAGGTCATGGCTGGCTCGGGGTGCTGCCGGCCCTTGGTTGTCTGATGCATGTCTGCATGGCCTCAGAGCACCCAATGTCCTGTCTGCATCTCTAGGAACCTGCCAGTCCCAGAAGCTGACAGCTGGTGCGTGGGAAGGGCTCGAGGCCTCAGCCAGTTCCTAAGGAAACCTGTCTAGCTCTGTGGGTGTGTGGTGTAGCCAGGCAGTAATACACAGCTTGGCCTCAGAGCTTGTCTGACTGTACCAACTGGAACCAAACTGTCGCCAAACTTGGTTTCTTGGGCCACAATGTCTTGGGCCCTTACTCATCATAGAAGGGGTCGAAGAGGTCAGACACAGAAGTGCCTTCCTGACTGCCTGGCTGACTTCCTGCACCCCTCTAGGCAACAGAAAACCCTGGAACAACAAGAACTTGGCCATGACAGAGGTAGTGCAGAGGTACTGATGAGTAACTGCATCATACAGTGAATTAGTTTACAGAAACTCAGTTTCTGGAAGGGTGAGAGAAAATAAAAATGCACTGCTGCTGGCTGGCCCCTCCACAGGCTGGGCAGCCTAGTGCACAAGCCAAACTTCACAGTATACGGAGTCCTAGAAGTCAAACAAAACTCAGTGCTTCACTTGTAACTTATGCACCCCATCCCCTTCCTTTCATGTGTACTCGGTGCTGGTGTGGTGGGTGCTTCTAGCTGCACAGTACTTGGGTCATTTTAAAATATGTTCTTGGTGTTATCTTATGGTTTTTAGAGAGAGGTGGTTCCGAAAAAACACCTTGTGGAGGATTTGTGTGTGTTGTGTGATCGTGTGTGTGTGTGTGTGCGTATGCAACTATGTGAGAGTGTGTGTTTATGAGGGGTTTCTATGGTGATTTCAATAACCAGCTATCACCACTGTCACTTTCTTCTCTGTTCTGTTATTTCCATGCACAATGAAAACTTCTCAGTTATAAAAATGAATTGGAAGATGAAATGGTTGGAAACACATAATTCCTCGTCTCCTTCTCATCAGATGACTGAAAGCTTTGTGCTGGTCACAGGATTTGGAAGACTCTAACTCCCCTCCTATTGAAAATTCTGATTTTTGAGAGAGTTCTTGGTAGCTAAATCTTCTTGGGCTACCACAGTGTCAGAGCATATTGGAACTGGTGTGAGGAACCTAAAGCCTGGCAGATGGAGCTCTTCGCAATTGACATCCCCTCTCTGCCAAGCCCATCTTGTGCTCTAGTCACAGTGCATTAGTAGCTGGTCCCAACCACATCAACACACTTTCACACCTCCAGACATTTGCTCATGCTGTTGCCTCTGCCTCTGTTTTCCCTACTTGACCAAAATCTTTTCTTTCAGTGCCCAAATGAACCCTCTTTTGTAACTGTCCTTCCAATCTCTGATGTAGAATGGATGGCCCCCATTCTGGGCTTCTAGAGCAATTGTTAATACTTTTCACCCGGCACTCTGGTTGGTAATTTCCCTTTCTGCCTGCTCACTAGACTGCTGGCTTTGTGAAGATAGGGACTGTATCTGTGGTGTTCTGCTAAGCTGGCTCTCCTGATTTGTAGCACTTACCTATTTCCATGGTATAAATACTCTCCAATACCATCGCCAATTTCAAGCTATCAGTGTGAAGTCACTGAACACAGAATTAGGAAGAGATGCACACAACAAGCTTTTGTGAGCTGCTGCAAGCCAGTTCCAGCATACCCTGGAAGGTATCCTAATCCTTAAAACCCAAAGTCTGACATAGAATGTGACTTCTAACAGGCCTCCAATAAACGACTGATGAGTGAATGGAATAGATGTGTAATGGGGAGGCCTTAAAATGTTAAGTGTGTGGCACTCAAGTATGGAAATCAGAATAAAAATGCCATGTGGACGTGCATGATTATGGGTACCATTAACTCCTCATCCTCATTCCTGAAATTAAACCTTCACATTTGTTTGGTTTCAGATGCAGATTGAGTTCATAAAACAAGGAAGCATGAATTTCAGATTCATCCCTGTGCTCTTCCCAAATGCTAAGAAGGTAAACAAACAAAGAAACAAAATCCTCATAATTCAATCTTTGGTTTGCTTTGCCATCTGGGATTTTAAATGGAAAACCTTGTCCATTCTTTTTTTCTTTCTTTTCTTTTTTTTTTTTTTTGAGATGGAGTCTCGCTGTGTTGCCCAGCCTGGAGTGCAATGGCGTGACCTTGGCTCACTGCAACCTCTGCCTCCTGGGTTCAAGTGATTCTCCTGCTTCAGCTTCCCAAGTAGCTGGGATTACAGGTCCCTGCCACCAAGCCTGGCTAATTTTTTTTATTTTTAGTAGAGATGGGGTTTCACCATGTTGGCCAGGCTGGTCTTGAACTCCTGACCTCAGGTGATCTGCCTGCCTCAGCCTCCCAAAGTGCTGGGATTACAGATATGAACCACCATGTCTGCCATCAATTCTTTATCAATCCTTAGAGATAACAATGTTACCAGAAAGATCAACAAGTTGTACCACTCAGTTCAGCAGTATGAATCAGGAGGGTTTTAAAGCTATCTGATAGGATCACTGCTGTCCTAATTGTTCAAAGAACCGTTGCACACAAAGATGTAGTTTCTGTTTTAACTCAAGAAAGAAAAAGAGAAGGTTCATGTCATACTTCTTATCTCTTGTACATAAAAGTCAAGATGTGTATGGTTTTTGCTGGCTGTTCCAGGGAGGCATTTCATTGCACATAGTTCAGCTCTCAAAGCTAATGATTACAGGAATTAAATCTATAGTTACCTGAGTGAACTTTGCCGTGATTCATATGAGGCTTTTCACACCAGAAGGGTCTGCCAGCAAGTTTGGAGAATGGGGGCAAAACCACCTGAGGCCACATTCCATGCTTGGCAAAGGGAAGGCAGTGGTGGAGTAAACATGTTGAGAATCAGACCACAGCACCCTAAACTCAGGCCCTGTTTCACCCTGGAGGGATCCTCAGATGTCAAGACTGCACTGAGACCCCTGCCCTGGATGAGGGAGGCTCCAGTTTATGGGAACGGGACACCTCAGGCTGTATGGTGCACAGCCTGTGCGATGGCACACCTTTCTATCCTCCCTGCGCTGCCTTTGCCCAGGGTCTCACTGCTGTCACTTACTGATGAGTCTCCTTACTGGTCTCATCTCCACTTTGACCTTGTGCTAGCCATCCTCTCCTCTGCCATCAAAGAGGAACATCCAAAATGTAGGTCTGATCTGTTTCTTGGTAGCTTACAAATTTTGTGCCGTTTTCCCATTGACTACAAGATCATATCCACCTTTCTTAGCACGATCTATGAGGCCTCTCAGAAGAGGACTGTGTCCCCTTGCGTAGTTTTCTCTCATCACCCTCTGTAGATGCTGTGTGCTCTGGTCACCCTGGACCATTTCAGCATGCCCTCACACATGCTGTGTTCTTTTGTCTCTGTGCCTTTGCCTTTTCTGTTCCGTCTGCTTGCAATGCCCTTCCCTAACTTGCCTGCCTAGTGAACTCTTACTTACCCTTATATCACCCAATCTCTCTAGCCTCCCCGACACCTCTTTTGGTTGTTTGTTTTGAGACGGAGTCTTGCTCTGTCATCAGGCTGGAGTGTAGTGGTGTGATCTCGGCTCACTGCAACCTCTGCCTCCAGGGTTCAAGCGATTCTCCTGCCTCAGCCTCCCGACTATCTGGGACTACAGGCATGTGCTACTATGCCCAGCTAATTTTTGTATTTTTAGTGGAGATGGGGTTTCACCATGTTGGCCAGGATGGTCTTGTTCTCTTGACCTCGTGATCCACCTGCCTGGGCCTCCCAAAGTGTTTTTTTTTTTTGAGACAGGGTCTTGCTCTGTTGCCCAGGCTGGAGTGCAGTGGTGCAATCTCAGCTCACTGCAACCTCCACCTCCCAGGTTCAAGCAATTCTCCTGCCTCAGCCTCCCAAGTAGCTGGGGTTATAGGTGCTCGCCACCACGCCCAGCTAATTTTTGTATGTTTAGTAGAGACAGGGTTTCACCATGTTGGCCAGGCTGGTCTTGAACTCCTGACCTCAGGTAATCCACTCTCCTCAGCCTCCCCAGTGCTGGGATTACAGGCGTGAGCCACTGCGCCCTGCCCTGACACCTCTTTACCTTCATGCTGATATATTTCATTGTCCCTTTCTTAAGGGTGCTTAATTCTAGCACCTTGGGTCAATGGTATGTGTTTGGGTTGAGGGTACTGGGAATAATTGTTGAGAATTATTGGAGCATGGCGATATACAAAATAGACCAAATTTTCATTGGTTTTGTTATTATTTTTAAATCTCCTTCAGACAATGCCCGTATTACCTGAGCCCAGCACAGGCCGCTCTCACCACCTGTCCCCTTGGTACACCATTGACTAGAAAATCATTTGTTGACATTTTGCTTTCATCCTAAGATTTGAAGTCCTCAAGGCAGTCCCTGCGTCCTTTTCATTTGGGCATCCTCAGTACTCAGTATGATGCCTGCCATGCAGCAGGTGCTGCTTCTAAGCACAATACCTAGAGAAGTCCCGTCCTATAGTCCCTAGGAGTTAGACTCAAAAGCAAAGGCCTTATGGTGGCCTACAGGGCACTATCCGATACAGCCCCTTCTACTTCCAGACCTCTGCACCTACTCACTCTGCTCTACTCACAGTGGCCTTGTTGCTTGTGAACAGACCCAACACACTCCCTCCACAGGGCCTTCGCACTGACTCTCCTATCTGCCTGGACCCAGACAACCACAGAGCTTGCTTCTTCCACTCTTTTAGGTCTTTGCTCATTTTCTCAGTGAGACCTCTCCTAAGCACCCCGTTTAAAACTGCAAATCTTTCACCCTTGCCCCAGCACTCCCTGTCCCCTTTCTTGTTTAATTCTTCTCCACAGCATACATCACTGTTGAACACACTATCCATTTACTTATTATCTGCCTCTCCCCACCAGAACATCCACTCCATGAGGGCAGTCTGACACTGCACCCCCAGGATCCCTGGCTAACAGTTTCTGCCTCTGCCTGATCACTGAGGTCTGATGGGCTCCTTCTACTGCAGGCCAGACCTGGGGCTGGAGTGAAAGAGTAATGAATTGATTTAAGCCTACGGCCCTGGCATACTTCTTCTGAAGTCACAGGGGAATTCACATCACTCTGTGTGACCTCTGTCCTACCCCTTTTATGTGAGGGTGGTGAAAAGCAAGTTGAAATGCAAAGGGTAGGTAGTCTGGGAGACTGACAGAAAATGCTGTGCACATGTGGTTTTTATAATGAGATATACAGCTTGTACCCGAAGCCAAGAACATTTCACATGCTAAACCTTTCCAAAAGCAAAACAGCACAACTCCCAGGATAGTTTGGTAGGAAACGCCCATGTAGGGAAAGCCAGAAATGTTTGGGAACTGAGCCTGGGATCTGGCATCCAGGTTTTTCTCTAATGACCTTTGCTCCTGTCATTCTGCCTCCCATAGGAGCATGTGCCCACCTGGCTTCAGAACACTCATGTCTACAGCTGGCCCAAGAATAAAAAAAACATCCTGCTGCGGCTGCTGAGAGAGGAAGAGTATGTGGCTCCTCCACGGGGGCCTCTGCCCACCCTTCAGGTGGTTCCCTTGTGACACCGTTCATCCCCAGATCACTGAGGCCAGGCCATGTTTGGGGCCTTGTTCTGACAGCATTCTGGCTGAGGCTGGTCGGTAGCACTCCTGGCTGGTTTTTTTCTGTTCCTCCCCGAGAGGCCCTCTGGCCCCCAGGAAACCTGTTGTGCAGAGCTCTTCCCCGGAGACCTCCACACACCCTGGCTTTGAAGTGGAGTCTGTGACTGCTCTGCATTCTCTGCTTTTAAAAAAACCATTGCAGGTGCCAGTGTCCCATATGTTCCTCCTGACAGTTTGATGTGTCCATTCTGGGCCTCTCAGTGCTTAGCAAGTAGATAATGTAAGGGATGTGGCAGCAAATGGAAATGACTACAAACACTCTCCTATCAATCACTTCAGGCTACTTTTATGAGTTAGCCAGATGCTTGTGTATCCTCAGACCAAACTGATTCATGTACAAATAATAAAATGTTTACTCTTTTGTAAGATTATGTTTTACTTATCTCAAAGGAGATACATATAATTTATAATGATATGGGCAGTTGCTTCCAGGGACATCAACAAAGCTGCTTAGATATAATATTAGATAAATATAACAGACCACTCTGTATTAATGGATTAAAGCCAGCTAGTTAAACAACCCTTTTTAACCATAATCATGGAAGCTTTATTCTTGCAATAAAGATTTTTAGGCTGGGCGCAGTGACTCACACCTGTAATCCCAGCACTTTGGGAAGCTAAGGCAGGCAGATCATTTGAGGTCAGGAGTTTGAGACCAGCCTGGCCAACATGGTGAAACCCCATCTCTGCTAAAATTACAAAAAAGTTAGCCGGGCATGGTGGTGTGCACCTGTAATCCCAGCTACTCGGGAGGCTGAGGCAGGAGAATCACTTGAACCCGGGAGGCAGAGGTTGCAGTGAGCCGAGATCATGTCACTGCACTCTAGCTTGGGAGACAGAGCGAGACTCCGTCTCAAAAAACAAACAAACAAATAAAAACACCCATTTTTAACAAAACAACTTTATATAGCATACAGCCATGATTCTAAATAGTATGATTATGGTTCTCAGGATCTGACTACATAGGTAAAAATATTTGCATATGTGTATGAAGTGTTGGGGGATGTAGGCTAGAATTGTAGTCTGTGTTCTAATTTTGGTTCTACCACCAATTAGCTGTATGACCTTTAGCAAGTCCTTTAACTTTTCTTAGATTCCAGGGACTCATTTATAAAATGACATGGACAAAAGCATCTCTAATCACTCTAAAAGATTTGAAGTCTAGGACCTAAATTCTAAATACTCTTTTGAGGAGTGACTGAGTTTTCATTTTCATAATTATGTCTCTCAGAGGACAAATTTACATTTTCTTAACAGAGACATTTTCTTCTTCTTTTTTTTTGTTTGAGACAGAGTCTCGCTCTGTCGTCCAGGCTGGAGTGCAGTGCTGCAATCTTGGCTCACTGCAACCTGCGCCTCCTGGGTTCAAGTGATTCTTCTGCCTCAACCTCCCAAGTAGCTAGACCTATAGGCGCCTGCCACCATGCCCAGCTAATTTTTGTATTTTTAGTAGAGACAGGGTTTCATATTGGCCAGACTGGTCTCGAACTCCTGACCTTGTGATCCGCCCACCTCGGCCTCCCAAAGTGCTGGGATTACAGGTGTGAGCCACCACACCCAGCCAACATTTTCCTCTTTTAAAAAATATCTTCTCACGCCTGTAATCCCAGCACTTTGGGAGGCTGAGGCAGGCGGATCATGAGGTCAGGAGATCAAGACCATCCTGGCTAACACGGTGAAACTCCATCTCTACTAAAAATACAAAAAAAATAGCCGGGCGTGGTGGCAGGCGCCTGTAGTCCCAGCTACTGGGGAGGCTGAGGCAGGAAAATGGTGTCAACCCGGGAGGCGGAGCTTGCAGTGAGCCGAGATTGCGCCACTGCACTCCAGCCTGGGCAATAGAGTGAGACTCCGTCTCAAAAAAAAAAAAAAAAAAAAAAACTTCAACAATACCCTCAGGTTGATAATTTTGGATATCTATCTGTATCTATATATCTTGTTTACCTGGTCTCCAGAAAAAGAACACATACACATATCCATATATAAAATATGTATACATGTATCAAATCTACGTAAACTATAAAGGTGGGATGGCTTTAATTATGGCCCAAGCTACTAAGACAATGAAGACTTTTTGGGGCTGCAAGCTACTGCTTCCCTTCTTTATCTACTAGCCTCTTAAACAAGGCTCACTTGTGCTACAAGACAGTCCACCGTTTTGTTTTTTTTTTCTTTTTTTTGAGACAGGGTCTCACTCTTTCCCAGGCTGCAGTACAGTGACACAGTCTCAGCTCACTGCAGCTTTGACCTTGCCGGGCTCAGGTGACCCTTACACTTCAGCCTCCCAAGTAGCAGGGACTATAGGTGTGCACCAACATGCTTGGTTAATTTTTGTATTTTTTGTAGAGACAGGGTTTTGCCATGTTGTCCAGGCTAGTCTCGAATTCCTGGGCTCAAGTGATTCACCTGCCTTGGCCTCCCAAAGTGCTAGGATTACAGATGGGAGCCACCACGCCCAGCCCAGTCCAGCTCTTATATGTAGCACAGGGAAAGGACAAATACTTGTCAACTATAAATAAGAAACATTGCTAATGCATTGCAAAGAACACTAGTTTCATTTACTTTATAACTTAGATGTCTACTGGGTGAGACGAATGTCTTTGTTCTTTAAAAAATAGGAAAAGAGAAGAAAAACTAGCATAACATAAGTACTCATTTGTAAGACTTTCTGACATGTAACATTAGTTCCGTAGTTTTGAGACCTGGTAGAACTGACTTTCATATTTGGATAACCTGGAAAACACCCAAACACAAACTTCAAGTCTTCTTTCTCTTTTTTCATTATCTTTTTTAGTCTGAGGTGACACCATCATTAAGGATTCGACACCCGTTTGTAAATAAAATGACATCAGCAATTACTCTGAAATGTTTCTAGTTTGCAAAGACTTAGCAATGTGATGTTATTAACCCTTCCTCCCTTCAGAGACCTGTCCTAAGCTCTGAACCACTCATTCCTTCCACTCTTCTTACCCCAGGTGGTTGATGAGCAGTGGTCCCTGGTGTTCCACAAAGAGTCATTAAAGTGTTACAGCTGGTAGCACTGGTAGCAAAAAAACAAACCAAAAAGTACACACAGACACACACACACACACGCACACATACACACACACACGCACTTGGCCAAGTGACAAAAGCTTGGCCCCTGAAATTTCTATGAGATCCGATGACCACCAACATCAAAGCATTTTTTTTTTTTTTTTTTTGAGACGTAGTCTCGCTCTGTCACCCAGGCTAGAGTGCAGTGGTGCAATCACAGCTCACTGCAACCTCCACCTCCCGGGTTCAAGCGATTCTCCTGCCTCAGCCTCTCGAGTAGCTGTGACTACAGGCACCTGCCACCATGCCCGGCTAATTTTTTGTATTTTTAGTAGAGACGGGGTTTCACCGTGTTAGCCAGGATGGTCTTGATCTCCTGACCTCGTGATCCATCCGCCTCGGCCTCCCAAATTGCTGGGATTACAGGCATGAGCCACCACGCCCGGCCCATCAAAGGAATTGTAACAACTATTTGAGAGCACTGACAATAAGATTAACACTCGGTTGATTTAGATGTTATGCTGGTCCTCAGGCATTCATCTTTAGATATTTTTGGGGTGGAAGTGGGGTAGGGCTGACTTAGTAAAAATAACCTCTTAGCCCAAAGGCTTTATTCAGACTTACACCGATTTGAGGGGTGGGTTTGTGGAATGCAAGGTTAGGTTCTTACCTAATATTTGATGACTAATTTAGAATTTTAAATGTAATTTTAAATTTTAGTGACTGGTTTCAAATCTATTTTAACTTCTAGATTGTTCAAAGAGGTCTCAGTACATGGCTACAATCAAAGTATTAGACTAGCTATTTCTCAGCTCAGTGCTCAGAAAAATTATTACTGTTGATACCTTTTTCTTTGTTTCCTGTTAAATAAATCACCTCTTTAAAGACAGAATTTTTCTCGGAGTCATCTCAGCAAGGGATGCAAGTTCTCCATTTTGAACATTCCACCCTAGTTTCATGATGTTTTGCCAAGAGCATTTTTCTTTACCCCAGCTGCTTCGTCAACTACCTCATCCACTTTGCCAAACACCCCATTGTCACCACCACCTTTGCCAAATGGATTGCAAAGTCCTATGATCATGGGAAATGATCCAGAAAGAGTCTCTGAAAACACAAGATCTTTCTGTTTCTTCTTAATGAACCAGGAAGAATCAGTGAGACCCACCTCCTAGTGGCAAATGAAAAGAGAAGGAAGGTTACACTGTGGGAAAATACCACAGAGAAGAAATGCCTCTCATCCCAGAGAATTATGCACTATTTTTCAAGAAAAATAGTTCTATTTTAGCCTACTAACCAAATAAACAACAACAACCAAAGGTCGGGGGGAAAGGAAGAAAGAAAGCACGAAAATCAATTAAATTCTCAGATCATTTATTTCTGTTATGGAACTTTCAGTCTAGAAAGAGACCCTAGAAATCATATATCCCTGCAGCTTTGTTTTATACACAAGGAAAGCAGGGCCCAGAGCAGCCGTGGCTTGTCTAAGGTCATCCTAGGACTAGAACCCGGATGTTCTGATTTCCAGACTGCAGACATTTATTTGATGAATCTAGAAAGCTTTCTGGTTTTTCACAGTAGATGTGTTCAACAAATGACCTGGTGTCTCCCTGAAGAGATACTTCCCTCTCCCTGAGGGAAGAAGTACCTCCATCCTCTAGTGACTGGAGGATTAGATGATCATGTTGCAACTTGTTCCGTTAGAAATTCTTTGGGGAATTGATTATTGCTGTGATTATATGAAGTATGACTTTTCTTGAAGTGGCTTGGCATATTTATCTTATACTGCTATTATATGAAACTGAAGCACAATGTAAAAGGTCTTGACACTTGCCTGACACAGACAAAATCTGCTATTAGTCAGATCAACTTATTTATTTATTTATTTAGAGACATGGTCTTGCTCTGCCACCCAGGCTGGAGTGCAGTGGCATGATCACGGCTTACTGAAGCCTCAACCTCCCGGGCTCAAGCGATCCCCCCACCTCAGCCTCCTGAGTAGCTAGGACCAAAGGTGCATGCCACCACGCCCAGTTTATTTTTTAAAAATTTTGGCTGGGCACAGTGGCTCACACCTGTAATCCCAGCACTTTGGGAGGCCAGGGTGGGCAGGTTGCCTGAGGTCAGGAGTTTGAGACCAGTGAAATCCCGTCTCTACTAAAAATACAAAAAAAATTATCTGGGCATGGTGGCACATGCCTGTAATGCCAGCTACTTGGGAGGCTGAGGCAGGGGAATTGCTTGAGCCAGGGAGGTGGAGGTTGCAGTGAGCAGAGATAGCACTACTGCACTCCAGCCTGGGCAACAGAGCAGGACTTCGTCTCAAAATAAAAAAAATTTTTTTTTTTTTGTAGAGACAGGGTCTCATTATGTTCAACCCAGGCTTGTCTTGACCCCCCTAGCTCAAACAATCCTCCCACCTTGGTTTCCCAAAGTACTAGGATTGCAGGCGTGAGCCACCTCACCTGGCCCAGATCAGTTTCTTTTAGTTGTATCTGGCCAATCTCCAAAACATCAACAATGAAAAAGATTTTTAAATACTGTGATATTCATCTTCCTGTCACCATTCTTTTTTTTTTTTTTTTTGAGACAGTCTCACTCTATCGCCCAGGCTGGAGTACAATAGTGCCATGATCTCAGCTCACTGCAGCCTCTGCCTCCCATGTTCAAACGATTCTCCTGCCTCAGCCTTCCTAGTAGCTGGGACTACAGGCACCCACCACAAGCCCAGCTAATTTTTGCGTTTTTAGTATAGACTGCATTTCACCACATTGGCCAGGCTGGTCTCGAACTCCTAACTCCTGACCTCAAGTGATCTGCCCGCCTCAGCCTCCCAAAGTGCTGGGATTACGGGTATGAGCCACTGCGTCCAGCCCGTCCTATCACAATTCTGATTCCACAAAAATGGCACTTCTTGGAATAATACTTAGCTGTTTGGAACATCTGCATTACCTTTTGGATGTAGACATGAGAAACGTATGGTCATGCTGGCTCGCCTTTTGAGGGAGGCTGCACGAGGCACTTTAGCATACAAAGGAGCCTCGCTCAGTCAACACAGCTGGCATGCTGGGAGGTATTGTGCCCAGGCAGGATAGCATGTTCCTAACTGCATATGACTTCTTCCATTTTCTATTGGAAAATGCTTTAGGATAGGATCACTTTTGGATAGGGTACTTGGCGGCAGGTGGGTGGCTTTTGCAGACCCTGGCAGTCACATGTTGCCAACTCACTGTGCATTTGCTCCCAAATTCTTAGCCTCAAGCAAGCAGGTGGGATCTGTAAGAGGAACACTCAGTGTACTTTAGTTTTCTACTTAACTTTTCAAGGAATATAGGAGCATGGGTCCAGGTTATAGGTATTGGGTGATTAGGAAGTGATATTTGAGGCTTTGCTAAACAATGAAAGTCTTGGACCAAAGTGTACCTGGGCAGAGGTGACCATGTTCTGGGCCTGCCTGCTTTTTTTCTAGAAACTCTCTTATGGAAGGAGTAACTGCAGCCCCCAGATCTCCCAGGGCTTGTAAACGAAAACCATAAGGGCACACATTTCTTGTCCCTTGCCTGACCTCCCTTTGCTCCCTTCACCAGGAAGGGGCTGATGGAAATCGGCAGCTGGGGAGAGAGGGGAGAGGGAGGGAGCTAGCGCGCGAGAGAACTCATGCCTGATGGATCCCATTAGGCTTAGCGTGCAAAGCAAGTTGAGATGAAGTAGCTGCTCTGGTATGCATCCAAAACTGCTGTTCTATTTTTAGTCCCTCCCGCGTGCTTCTTAGGCTCGCGTTGTATGCGCCTGGGCACCTGGATCAGCAGCAAAACATGGAACTGAGCCACTCATTTGTAAAAGTGGAAGGCAGGAGGCCATTGATGCAGGGCTTGTTTATTGCTGACAGGGAAGAGGGACCTGGAATGTTAATGAGGGTGGCTCTCTGAAGCATGCCTTCATGCTTAGCAAGGAGTTCAAAGGAGAAGGCAGACTCAGTCCTGTGCTGAACAAATGTGAACCGTTGATAGAGGGAAGGAGAAATCAATTATGCTGTCGCAGGCTTCCATGTCATTGTGTTGGAGTTGTTAGAAAAGGTAGGACAAGGACCAGATCCCAAAAGGAAACAAAGCCACATGGCCTTGAAGTATAACGAGTTTGCCATGGCAACTGATGGAAATGAGCCTCCCCGGCACCGAGCAGGTGTGTTATCTTACAGAATAAACACACTTCTCTCACTCCCTGGTTTTTATAATAAAACCTGTGTTTGGATTACTTTCCCCTCCTCTTTGTTACCCAGAGAAGTTGGCTGTTGCTCAATTAACCCAAGGCTCCGGTGAGGGAAATGTAATCAGTGTTATCAAAAGGGCTGCTTTTGAAAAGGCTGGCGCTAGACTTGGCTGCCAGCCTCATCGTCGAGCAGCAGCTGGGCCGCAGGTACCTGCCTGGCCTTTGCCACCTTCCAGGCGATGCCCTCCACTGCAAACCACTTGTTCTTGCCTTCACTGAGGTGTTAACAGTGAGGCCGGGCTCTCACACTGGGCAGTGGTCAAAAGCTGCATTCTTCTCAGGAGAGGAGAAACAGGTTTACGTGAGGCTGGGACCAGACCAATTTTCAGCATGCTGTATTGTCTGGGCTATGGGCCAAGGGTTCCTTGAGTTCAGGGATTAACTGATTCTATCTTCCAATCTGTTGTTATCTACAAGGTTCAGTTACTCAGAAACTTGAAGAAAGCTGCTACTTTCCTGAGATTTAAATTCCTCTCAGATGGGTTCTGGGGTGGTAGAGTCTCATGTCTGAAATGTACACAAATGGGGAGATTTTATAAAATCCTCTTGAGTTAAAAAAGTTTACTTTTAATTTTTACGAGGCCAAAATAACAATAAAGTTCAATAGCTATATTTTCATTGCTCTCATTTGTAATTAAAAAGTCCACTTTAGCTTCAAACTGATTTTCAAAATAAGATGCCCGTTCTCCATGGGCTCCTAGAACACAGATGGTTTCCAAACAAGACTGTGGTAAAACCAATGACCTGCGGAGAAATTCTCCAGCCAGGGCCAGCCAGCTGAGGGCTGCGCGTCAAGCAGCAGCCTGTGCTCGGCAGCACTAAGGGCCCTTCTCTGCTTCTGCCTGTGTTCCTACTTCCCTCCAACCAGATGCCCGGCACCACCCCCCTTACCCCTTCCATCAAGCCCTAGCCTCCCGATGATGCCTTGGCTGCCCCTTCACATGTCACCTTACCTTTGACCCTAAGAAGAAAAAAATGTCTGCCTGAAGAGCTAATTCCACCTACGGCATCAGTGGTGAAAAGGGTTTCATGGGATAATCCTCCAAGCCAAAACAGTATCCCAAGGCTTAGGCACTAAACCTCCCCACTCTTATTCCTAACACAACCATCAGACCCTCACCCAGATCACATTTACTCTTACTTTATATACATGGTTCTAACAAGAGCAATTTTCTGTTTTTCTAACGCTTGGTAGGTTAGAAGTTGCCAGTTTAGCAGGACAATAGGGAAGAAGGGTTAGAGGACCAGCATCTTGATGGAAATGACAGCTGACATTTTGACAAGGTGGTTTTGTCATGAAAATATTAATATTTTGAAGCACCCTGAAAAGCACTAGTAAATATTCAGCTTTTAAAAAAATCACTAAGTAATGTTTGTAAAAGCAAGCTTACCTCTAATTTTCACCCAGGTCAAATCAAAACAGCCACATTAAAATGTCCAGCTTCATTGGTTCAGATCATGTACTATAGCAATAAACACCCCTCAGAAGTCACTGATAACATCACAGCTTTCACAGCAAGTGACTGGTTTTAAAAACAATATCTTTAATCATCTGGAAAAGGTTACATCATGTTTTCTCTATTTTGTTTAAGAAGGTCATTGTTCATCTCATTTAAAAGGTTTCCTTAAGGTGAAGCCATTCGCTCATTCCATTCCTGGATGATACCCCTAATCCAAGCCAGGGCTTGGCTCAGCCTGCCCTACACAGGCCTTGTCAGGCCCTCAGTCCAAAGGAGAAGCTTAAGACTGAGGTCCTCCAGGCACCAAGTAAGGGGAGTATTTAGGGCATTTCATATTGGATCTAATAGGTGGCTGCGGAGTCCACTTCTGATGCTGTAAGGTGAGCTTAACAGGGGCATTCCAAAGTGGTTGAGCAGGTTCTTTCCATATTCAGGTTTTTAAAATTCAAGACTCTAAACTGGTACCATATACTTTGGGTACCAGCATAATGTTATTATTTGAAAAGACACATGAGGCAGAAGTCCCTGACACCACAGTGTGAGCATGGGAGGTCTGGTTCCATCATGCCTAATAAAACTGTCATTCAAAAGCTAATCCAGAAAGGCTGCAAGGTGAGAGTTCAGCAGCACCCACAGCAACTAACACATAGCAACCAGACTCCAACTACTCATTAAATGCCTACTGTGTGCAAGGTAATATGCTTGGCACAAAGATGAGTGACACACGCTCTTGCTCTCTAATTACTTAAAATCTAGCTGGGGTGATATAACACCAACATGTGAAAAGGCCATTAACAACCCAAGGCAGCATACAGTAAATGATAAGGAAGTGGGTCAGCTGGTCCCTTTTCTCCGACCCTCACTGAGCTCACATTGATGCAATTTCAAGGTGAGATCTTTAAAGAAGCAGGGACTGCTGAATTTTCCTAATAAACAAACCTGCTCACTTCCTCCTTCCCACATATACCCTTTAGATTATAATATTCAAAGTCTCCATAAATCACTATGTAAATGCAATCAGAGATGGACACAGAATGTAAAAAGTTGGAAAAGTATGTAAAAGCACCACAGAATGTGCATATTAAACCAACAGATGATAATGCAGCCCACAGGGCATACATCACACCTTTCTAAAGAGCAGCCTAGAACCATGCCTCAAGAAGGGCCAGACAACACTGCAGCAAGTGGAGTGGTAAGGTTGTGTGTTTTACATTGCAGCCCGCACATCTGGAAAGGCAGATGTGGCCAGTGTTGGAACCAGCTGGGAGAGAGCAAATGGATTTCTGTACTCTGCTAAGTAGGGTGTGGGAAATGTGTGAAGTTGAGTCCATCAGCTAAGTATACAAATAACTGAGCGAGAAAGCAGAAAATGATAATTTGCTGGAATGGGCAAAGAAACTCTATGAATGAATATTGGCATTGTCCAAGTTCCCCAGACAAAATCTGTTGCAGAAAACACTGCCCAAGCTGAGTCTGTGAGGTGTTTTCACGTTTCTCACTCACACAGTGTAGCTATGGAACCAGACAAAGGTGGGCTTGAACCTCAGTTTACTTATTACAAGTTGGGTGACCTTACGCAAATTACTTTACTTCTCAGAATTTCAGCCAATGATATGGGGACGACAGAACCGACTCCCATGGAGATAGTTAGAATAAGGTAAGATGAAGAATAGAAAGCTTCTAGAATACTGTCTGGCATCTAGTAAATACTCGGTAAATGTTCCTTTCTTTCGTGCTCTTTCCTTCTTGCTTTCTATCCCACAGTTAATGATTATGGGGACTTTGACTATTACCTTATTTCCAAAAAGTTAAACAGCAAATCCTAACAACAAAAAAAAAACTTTCATTTTAAAAAGAAAGCCTAGGAGAGGTCAACAATATGAGTTTTAAGCTGAAAACCTCCATCTAATTTTTCAGGGGAGCTCATCAGCATAGTTTATTTTCTTAATAAGGCCTGGGAGAGGCCACAGCTGACTCACAGAACATTCAGAGCACCTTGAGATGTCTTTCCTCTAACATCTTGCGAAGGAGCAAAGCTCCTAGCAGCACTGGCTAGAATAATTAAAGGTATAACATATCAAAATCTGCCAATGATGTTTGACTTTAAAGGAAACTTACTTAAGAGATTCACAATGGGGCTTCAAAAATAGGATAATGGATTTGAAAGTATTTTAAAAAGTAACTTGAAAGACAGTATTGTGTTCATATTATACTTATTATTAAAAAGGAAGATTTGAATTCAGGTAGAACACTGCTATCCTCTCCTCTGATTCTGCTTTTCCAAGAAATGAGGTTTCACTGTCATCTCCAACACAGCCCACTCTGTGAGCTAGCCAAGAAGGAAAAGTCAAGAGGGTTGGTTGAGCAAACACTGAGACTGAAAGAGAGCCACCATATTGATTAGTGTGTCTCACATCTCTTTTTCTTTAAAGGATAAAAGTTCTCTTGAAACCCCTCCCCATGTTGACTTAAATAATTTTCATTATATAGTTCCTTAAATATGTACAAATATGTAGTAATTAGGTATAAATGTTTTATGCTTGTAGCTAACTAAAAACTATACAAACACAAAAGAAACCGTTCTAGAGATCTGTTGAACAACTATGTGAATATACTTAACACTACTGAACTATATACTTAAATTATCTTAATAATTTACCATCTTAATGGTAAATTTTATTATATATCTTTTTACCACAATTTAAAAAATCACAAGAACAAATCAAATTTACAGATTAAGTGAAAACAAATCATCAGTTAAATTCAAATAAAAAAACATTAATTCAGTGTGAAAGTGGTAACATTTGCTGAAACTAAATAACTAATATTGGGTTTAATTACAATTTATACATATAATGATAAAAGTATAACATGATGCTTTTATAGATTTTATTTCAATTGTTGACTTATATATTTGACTTATATTTATCAAGCATGATACAGTCATTTGACTCATAATCATTATCATTATTATAATTTTTCCCTCCTACAAGGTTATTCATTGGAAACCATCAGTTCATTGTTTTAATTGGCCCACTTAATTTAAAAATGACGTTCTCCAAAATATAATATTGACAAATTATTTTATTTTAATTAATTAATTTTTTTTTTGAGACGGAGTTTTGCTCTTGTTGCCCAGGTTGGAGTGCAATGGCGGGGTCTAGGCTCACCGCAACCCCCGCCTCCAGGCTTCAAGCAGTTCTCCTCCCTCAGCCTCCCAAGTAGCTGGGATTACAGGCACCTGCTACCATACCCAGCTAATTTTTGTATTTTTAGTAGAGACAGGGTTTCACCATGTTGGCCAGGCTGGTCTTGAACTCCTGACCTCAGATGATCTGCCTGCCTAAGCCTCCCAAAGTGCTGGGATTACAGGCATGAGCCACTGCGTCTCGCCTGATCAATAATTTTAAAAGAACTTTTAACAAAAGTTCTTCATGGAGAGTATTTGTAAGTTGGTGTGTCACATAAACACAGAATCAAACCCAATATACTGCTTATAATCCAAATAAAGTGACTGCTTTGCCTGGCTTCTTTTGAGTTCAGCCTATGCTACATGAGCCCTGTAATATTTCAATTTTCTCACTATGTTTCTCTGTTTGAACTACAGTAAAACTTTATTTGCGCTGAGTACCATGATTCACTTGGCCTTCACTTTACATGAATGCATCATTTGTGTACTAAATCAGCCCTGTTCTTTTCTCATTAGTGTATGACAGATTAGCATGTTTATTTTTATGATGGAAAATCAAAATCAATTTATTAAATAAATTAAGAGACTAAACTCAATTGCATCTTATCACTGAAAAAGAACAGTTTTAACTTTAAAACAGGTAAGGTAACTCAATGATTCTCTTTAAACAGAAAGCAAGATGGTTATTGCTATTTTGATGCCAGGACATGCCAACATAATGACTACTGGACACATTAAAAGTTGAATATTCCCACAAAAGTGATCACATGGTGCCAATCCAATTTTAAACACAAAGCACCAATTCTAAAAATATGCAGTTTTTAAATGAACATCTCAGGTGAGCCAGATAAGTTTATACATTTTTATATAAGTTTTTAAAACATTGTTGAAATGAAAACACGATGATGTTGCTTACAATGAAAACACAATGATGTTGCTTATAGCCACAGACTCCTCCAGTTTGAGGAAAAACTGGTATTACATACATAGATAGTAGATAGTACTTTTTGTTTGTCTGTTTTTGAGACAGGGTCTCACTCTGTTGCCCAGGCTGAGTACAGTGGCGTGATCACGGCTCACTGCAGCCTCAACTTCTTGGACTCAAAGGATCCTCCCATTGGAGCCTTCCGAGTAGCTGGGACAATAGACCTGCACCACCACACCCTGCTAATTTTTTATTATTTTTGTAGAGACTGGGTGTATTAGTCTGTTCTTGCATTGCTAGAAAGAACTACCTGAGACTGGGTAATTTGTAAAGAAAAGAGGTTTAATTGACTCACAGTTCCACAGGCTGTACAGGAAGCATGGCTTGGGAGGCCTCGGAAAACTTACAATCATGGCAGAAGGCAAAGAGGAAGCAAGCATGTCTTACCTTGCTGGAGAAGGAGGAAAAGAGTGAAGGGTGAGGTGCTGTACACTTTTAAATAACCAGATCTCATGAGAACTCACTATCATGAGAACAGCAAGGGGGAAATCTGCCCCCATGATCCAATCACTTCCCATCAGACCCCTCCTCCAACATTGGGGATTACAATTCAATATGAGATTTCGTGGGGACACAAATACAAACCATATCACTGGGTCTCACTATGTTGCTCAGGCTGGTCTCTAACTCCCGGACGTAAGGGATCCTCCTGCCTTATTATCCCAAAGTGTTGGGATTACAGGCGTGAGCCACCACACCCAGCCATAATTTTTTTGTATTTTTTTTTTTTGTAGAAACAGGACCTTGCTCTGTTGTCCAGGCTGGTCTTGAACTGAGCCTCAAGCAACCCTCCTGCCTCAGCCTTCCAAAGTGCTGAGATTACAGGCATGAGCCACTGTGCCCAAGAAGGATGAAAGGGGTGTCCCTGAAGAGGGTCAGCTTGGCTCAGAGTGCCAGAACCAAAGAGGACTGAGAGGATGGCTCAGTGCAGAGTACTGGGGCCAGGTGGGTTAAAGGTGGGAGTGCAGGCCAGCATGGGGTTTCAGGGTCCACATGGGGTGAGGAGAGTGGTTCTTGCAAAGGAATAACCAAGTGTGGGTTGAAGAGGGGTGGCTTGATGTGGAACGTTAGAGCCCAGGTAGGGCGAGGTGGGTGTCTGTATAGGAAAATGGCACAGCACAGGCTGCTATAGCCAAAGCAGATGTTCCATCTAAGGATACAATAAGAACCCACGGCATCAATTTTGTGGTAGTCTTGATAAGGACATATAACTTAATCATGAGAATACATCAGAGAAAAGCAAATGGAGGGATAGTCTACAAAATGACTGACCCATATTCTTGAAGTGTTAAGGATATGAAAGTAAAGGAAAGACTGAGGAACTGTTTCAGACTAAAGGCGACTAAGGAAAGATGACAAATAATTGCAATGTGTGGTTCTGAACTGGAATCCTTTGCTATAAATTATACATTATTGAGCAATGGAGAAACTTGACTGGGGTATGAAGATTAGATCGCAATGTATCAATGTTAATTTTCCAATTTTGCTGTTTGTACTGCAGTTATGTAGGGGAATGTCTCTGTTGAAGAAATACTAAGATATTTGGGGATGATGGGGAAATCAAATTGACATCTTCCTTTCAAATGGTTCAGGGGAAAAGAAGGTCTTTGTACTTTACTTGCAACTTTTCTGAAAAATTGAGATTGTCTCAAAATGTACTTTTTTTAAAGTTTAATAAGAAGGGAGTATCATTACGAGAACTGTAGTATAGTCACATGAATAAACTTTATGCAGACATTAAAAATGTTTTTGGAAAATATTAATGATGGAATGTTTTTTTTTTAAAGAGGATAAAAGTTTATGTATAAAGTATGATTAACTTATGTAGAAATATCTTGCAAAATAGTAAGAGTCCCCATATTGAGTACTTATTATGGCTCAGATACTGGACTAAGCAATTTGTATATTTTATCTCATTTAAACTTCACAACAATCTTACAAGGCAGGCATTATTAGTTTCATTCTACAGATAAGGAATTTGAGGCTCAGAGAGGCTAAGTAGCTTGTCCAGATTCTTAACTAGCCTGTTGTACTGCTAAGAACAAAGACTGGAAAAAAATGCCCAAAATGTTAATAGCAGTAGTTTCTGGGCAGTGGGACTATAAATGACTTTTAGATTCCCCTTTTGTAGTTTTCAGTAGTTTCCAAAATATCCACAATGGCATGTTGCTTTTGTAATTTGGGAAAAGAGAAAGTTGTTATTTTTAAAGTAAATCATTTGTTGTGGAACAAAGTTGTACAAATATTCCAATTATTCAAAACCATATTGAGCAACCCAAACTACTAACAGCAATGTTATCTCTTATAGTGATACTAGTGGTTATTTCCATTTAAAATTTTTTCCTTCTATGTAATTAAGTTCCTATAATTCATTCATTCATTCAATCAATAGTGAGCATCTGCTGTTTTTTTAATAAGAAAAAAAATTTTAAAGAAAAAATGTGTAAGTCCAGAGTTATAAATTTTATTCAAAAAAGCAGGGAGGAAGGATATTATGCTTAGAAAAAGTCTAGACACTAAAATGTTACTAGCTGCTATGTGTCAGTGGTGAGTTAGTAGAAATTTTATCTTTTCTTTATACTTTTCCATGCTTTTCCAGTCTTTGGCAATAATATGTATTACATATATATTCTATTCATAGCTGTGACTCCATTGGCTAGAAGATGTGTATCTGGCACATCGTAGGAACTCAAGAATGTTTGTTGAGTAGATGAATGCTTTTGAGTACAAACAGCCTCAAAACACAGTTTTTAAAAACAGCATTGACCTTTATTCATTCCTTTATGATAGTTGGCAAACTTTACATTCAACCTATGATCTGCTATGCTAGAAAAGATATAAGAGAAGGTCTAAGTGTGGTAGGGAGTTCTAGTTACTATTTACTGGATAATGGTGATGGGGAAAGCCATGTTACAGGAAGGCAGGGTAAGCAGAAAGAGGGACATACTATTCAGACAAACACCGCAGTATTGTTTTATTGTACGTATTAAGATTTCTATTCAACCTCTTTCCAGGAGAACTGGAGGTGACACATCACTATATGATATGCTACTGAGGACAGATCTCATGCTGGAGGAGCTGGGTTTCCTGGTAGCGATATCTGAGGTTCACAGAGAAATAGAAGGATGGAGTGAAGTTGGGATGACCCAGGCATAAGCTCCTATTTTGCTTATAATTATGAGGCTAATTTCTCTGGTTTTATAAATTAACTTGAATCATAAACCCTAAGAGAGACTAGATATGAGGCCAGTATGGGGATAGAAGTCCCTTAGCTGGTGCATGAATCAAGCCAACTGCCCAGAATCCACATCTGCACTTGGCTATTCAACTCCACTTATTTACAGGGGAGTTTACATGCTATAGCGATACTGCCAAATTTGAAGATTCCCCAAGACCACATGAGGTAGTCCTTACATATATTCAAGGATTACTAGAAAAAGTAAACCTTTGAAGTCATTGCTGAATCCTCCCTTTCTCTTACATCCTACCATCTAATACATTGGCAAATACTCTTGCTCTACCTTCAAACTATATCCAGAATCTGACCACTACTTTCCTCTTACCTGACTTGGGTTATTGAAAAGCCTCTTACCTACCCCTTGTTTCACCCCTTCACCCTCGAGTATGCTTCCCACTCAGCAGCCACAGGATCCTTTTAAAAACTAACTCATATCATGTCTTTACACAAAAACCTACAATGGCCATAGCCCTTACAATAAAGCTGTACCTTGTGTTCCACAACACTCTGACCTCATTTTCTATAGCCTTCCCCTTGCTCACTTCTGCTCACCGCACTCTAGGCACTTTGACTTCCTTGCTGTTCCTCAAATATGCCAGGTACACTTTGCTCTTGCAGTTTCCTTTACAGGAAGTTGCCCCCACCTCCATCCAAATGGCTCTCTCTCTCTCCCTTGGAATCTCTCTTCAAATATCACCTTATTAGAGAGAACTTTCCAGACCATCTACGTCAAATAGAAACCTCCTACGCAGACACTGTCTCCTTTACCTTGATTTTTTCTTCATAGAAATCATCATCATCGGGGACAGTTCTGTCCACCAAATGTGTCTGATTTTCTTGAGCATATGATATGATTGCACTACCTCACCTTTTGGAGTTGGGTGTAGTTGTGTGACTTGTTTTGGCCAGTGAAATGTTATAGAAGTGCCATGTGTCACTTTCAGGCATAAGCTTTAAGAAGTGGCATATAATTTATCACTCTATCTTCTCCATCTCCCACAAAGACAAGCCATACACTCTAGATGGGGGTTCTCTAGGC
Source organism: Homo sapiens (assembly GCF_000001405.40). Classification (NCBI taxonomy): domain Eukaryota; kingdom Metazoa; phylum Chordata; class Mammalia; order Primates; family Hominidae; genus Homo; species Homo sapiens. Next base: position 111,542,091 of record NC_000006.12, on the reverse strand, counting down.
AGGTTGGGTCCCAGAGGGAAGGTGCTCTCAGAGCAGAGCCCCCAGCTGACCTGCAATGAACATGCAGTGTAAGTAAGAAATAAACTTGGTTGTTTTAAGCCACTGAGATATTGGGTTATTGCCACAAAATAACCTAGCCTATCCTGACTGACACACTTTCTGACATATTGCCTATTTGTTGACCATCTCCCCTTATCCACCTCTAGATTGTAATCTCTATGATGGTAGGATTCTGTATGTTCACGGTATGTCTCCAGTGCCTGGAACAGTGCCTGGCACGTGGTAGGCATCCAATAATATTTGTTGGTTAAGTGAATGAAATAGGAAGATTTAACAGTGGCAGGTGAATCTAATTTTGGGCTTAGCTAAAAAACGTTTATTCCACCTGATCTGAATGTGAACAAAATGGTTCCTGATTCAAGATCAGAAGTGTGGCCGCTTATCTCACCAGACACAGTTTGAAAGCATGAATCGCCTATGGGTACATAACACAGCTAGTCATGAAAGCACATAAAGTAGCTAAAGTTACAACACAAATGGAAATCTGGCATACTGCTGAGGGGACTCAGTGACAATCCATAAATAAAAAGCATTAACAATGTTTGTGTCAATGCCGAATGCTGATGTGGTTTCCTTTCCCTGTGTGGACATTAGCATTTGAAATGAACTGAGCTTCAGAGGCCTGGGATTTTATCTGTCGTTATCATAAATTGGTGTATGAGTCCCTCTAAGGACTTTTGCAAAAGCATTGTGTGCTTTTGTGAGCTGCTTTCTTTTCACGTGCTTCCTCCTGGTATGCCAGAATTTGGATGGGGATAATGCATTTCCTGTATCATGTGGCACAGTACAAGGAAACCCATTGTATCCCTACAGAGGAAGAGTACATCTGTAAGTAGTTTTTAAGAGTGTACTGAAGGATCTTGTTAGGGTGACTTATTCTCCCAGTTCCATTTGGTTGATGAAGTGGATCACGTGACAGATGTGCATAATGAACTGCTTCACTTGCTGCCAGTGGGAAGCTCAACCTATAAAATGCAAAATCTCATGGAATCGTTGAGGGCATAGCAAGCTGATCACATTAAGAGAGAAGCCGGCCTCATTTGGAGTTGTCATTTCTTACTGCCGCATACAATGCACCAGTGTTACCAGACTGCGTTTACTTCCCTTCACCCAAACCACCCTTACTCCCGTGCCCCCAAAGTAACTGCCTTTCCAATTTGTTCCTAATTCAAACTGGAAAGGCAGTTATTTCTGCATACATTTCCTAAAGAGCAAACATTTTGAAGATGTGCAAGTCATCATCCATTAAATGCACTTGCAAGGAGTCTTTATGTTTTGTCATTAGAAAAAGGAAACATTACATCAGAGAACTGGATTGCTGGCTTTTTTATTCTTTCTCATCTCTTTTCCTGTCACCCTCTTCTATATTTCTTTTCTTTCTCTGTTCCATTAGCTTTTATATATATATATATGTATACATTTTTTTTTGCCTTTATACTAATTGGTGATTCTCTAATGACTGCAATACTGCAATCGTAAAGTACATAATTTGTCTCCTGTTTTCTGTGTGTGGTACAGAACAGTGATGTTCAAGCCAAAAAACACAAGTTGACCAACCTATTCCAGGAGTGGTCCAACTTGCAACTCACTGTGGATGCTCCTGGGTCACTAAGGAACAGATAATGACTGGAAAAATAAAAAGAAATAATGCAGACCCTAGTCCTAGATATGATAATTCAGGTAATGATGAAAAAGGCTATAAGCCAATTCAATCCACTTCTACCATGGAGCTTCCATATGTACTGGGCACTATGCTAGGCACTGCAGGGGGAGCTGAAAAGGCAGCGCATATGGCCTTTGACTTGAAAAGTTAGGGAATAAATGATGGCATATGATGACATACCCAAATGCCATAACAGCTTCACAGATCACAGGGCTTTAGGTGTCCCAGAGGAAAGATGTCAGTAAGAACTTAAATTGTCAGGAAAGGTTTTGGGCAGGAGGAGAAACTGAGCTAGACCCTGAGGGAAAGGTCGGTTTTAGATGCTGTCAAAAGAGTAAAATACTCTATTAAAGAGGTCAGTTGTGCATGACATCTCGATTGAATTCAGCTCTTTGGGGAACTCACTTCATAGCCCCAGTTTCCCAACTAACCACACAGTTCAGCCACATAGGTAACCTAAGGAATGTTTTTAAAAATATTCATCAGATGTTAGTATAAGGCAATTAATCACAACATAAAGTACCAAGGCATCACAGCTGAACACCTTAAATTGATGATGAAGACAGCAGAATGATTTTTCTTGTATACCAATGAGTGTCATGGATTAAATGTTGCTAAATTTAAGGAAAATAGAAAATATAATCTGGGAAATCAGAGCTTAATCTTCTAACAGCAACAAGAAAGTTTATGAGACTTCCTTTGGAGACTTTAAAGTATGTTAGATTTGGCTTTAGTGAGTTTAGAGAATTTTCCTTTGCAGACAGAAAGCTGGCTTTAGAGCACTATAGAAAGTTCAGTGGCACTTCGGCTACCTCCTTCTGACTCTGATGCTGGCCAGCAGTCTCTGGTGAAAAATCCCTGGATCTTTTCTGCAGAGGAATGGCAAGGCCTGGCAGCAACTGTTGGGCTCACACAGACAGGAGTGACTTGTTCTTAGGGTCAGCAGGGGTAGAGGTGAGAGGCAGCTCAAGGCCAAGTATTTGACTTTCTGATCCTTCTAGGAAAGTATAGCGTTCTCTAATTTATTCCTAATTGGAATATTTTACTGTGGTTTTCCTGGCCACAAGATGTGCCCTTTTAAACATTTCCTCTCAAAAGACCTTTGTTAGATTTGATCCAGTTTTTTCAATATCAAAATAGCTGCCACCTAAAACTTATTATCAAAAATGTCTCGTAGTCCTGTCACATACCTCAATAACATGGCTTCTGAGGTTTTGAGCCTGGGGCTATTAGTCCTTGTGGTTGTGATGGGTGGAAAGAAAAAAATTAAAAGAGTTTATGAAAAATAGGAACACTTTTGGATCATCTAATATTTTTTTGAGACAGTCTCACTCTGTTGCCGGACGGGAGCGCAGTGGCGTGATCTCAGCTCACTGCAACCTCTGCCTCCCGGGTTCAAGCGATTCTCCTGCCTCAGCCTCCCGAGTAGCTGGGACTACAGGCACGCGCCATCATGCCTGGCTAATTTTTTTTTTTTTTGAGATGGAGTTTTGCTGTTGTTGCCCAGTCTGGAGTGCAATGGCATGATCTCGGCTCACCGCAACCTCCGCCTCCCAGGTTCAAGCGATTCTCCTGCCTCAGCCTCCCGAGTAGCTGGGATTACAGGCATATGTCACCACACCTGGCTAATTTTGTATTTTTAGTAGAGATGGGTTTCTCCATGTTGGTCAGGCTGGTCTCAAACTCCTGACCCCAGGTGATCTGCCCACCTCGGCCTCCCAAAGTGCTGGGATTACAGGCGTGAGCCACAGCGCCTGACTGGATCATCTTATTTTGAATGCTGTGAATACTTGAATGTGGGTGCACAAGCACATGGTTTGCACGTGCACACACATGTTCTCACATATCACCTATTTTACTGAAAAATATTATGATAGAAAATTTTATTATTTTAGTTTAAGTCCTGGTTTTAGTCCTTCAATGATGAGCACCTAAAAAGCATATGTTTGCAACTAGCTGAAAGTACAGCTAAGTGGTCTGCCTGAAATCTAAAATTAGACTGAGTTGATGATTCTACTAGGAGATGTTTTTCCCTTAGTGTTTTTATTCCCAAACATTGCTACCTTCACTTCCTGCAGGGGCTGAAGTCAAGGTAGACACTAGTCAAAAGTTAAGAACTCTTGAGGGACTCCCTCTGAAAAATCGGCATGCAAAAAGCAGCTGGTCCAGAAGTCAAAGACTCTTGGCTACAGCAATAGAATGTTAAAATCACAGGATAGTAAGAGAAATCTGGTTTCCAATCATTTAAAATGTCTATTGTTTCAACCTTAGCATTAGGAAAATCCAAAGAAATGAGTTAAAAATTTTGCTTTTACAGCCTTTATATAAACAAGAGATTTTTGCTGGTATTCCTAGAAAGATGGTGAAAACTAGGTGCTGAAATTTAGATGCCCTCTGAAAATGACTGGAAATAATTGTATCTGTTAAACTGGGCAGCCCTGATATTGTATGCTATATCAATCAACTTTCATTATTCTTTAATGACTTTTTGCAATTATTTTTTCTAAAACTTTGCAAGCTTGACTTGTGTTCACCTTGCTGTGGAATGCTTTAAAGGGCATTTCGTCTAATAGCAGAGGGAAATGATAAATTATAAATGCCAAATCATATAGTAGTGATTTAGATAGCACAAGGGCAAAGTCGTAAGCAATAAAATAAAAAATTTCCCAATCAACCTCTGCATTAGGAGCAAAAAAGAAATAGCTGTCTGCATAATGAAAGAGAGACACATCAACAGGCTTGTTAATGTGCTAATGTGAGGGCTTTTTAAAAAACTTGAAATCATAAAGCCAAATACTTGAAATTGTTATCAGTTTAAGTAAAGAAGTTTTGTATTTATGAATGAGTATGAATTAATTTTATTCTAAGTGTCCTCTGGAAATACAGAAAGAAAAAAAACACCTCAGTCTCAATCTCTTAAGCAGTTGGGGGGTCAGGACAATGAATGAGATGAGTAAGTCTGCCTGGGTCTAAATTCTACCTAAGTCCTTCTGAGCCATGTGATCTTAGGCAAGTTACTTAACCTCTTTGGATTCCTGTTTCCTCAGTGTAAAATGGGGAATATTGTGGTTCCTATCTCATACGATTATTGTGAGGATTACAAATAAAGCGCTGAAAATAGAATCTAACAGAGTAAGCACTCAATAAAAATGGGTTATATAATATCTTACAGTTTCTCTCCCCCAAACTCTCTGGTGGTTTCTCTTCTTCCTCTGAGTAAACACCTTAGTCCTTATCAGGTCCTTTAGGGCCTCACACAAGCAGCCTTGTTTTCTCTGTCCTGATCTCTGACCACTTCCCCTGTTTCCCTCAGCTCTGGCACTCTGGCCTCCTTTCTGGGTGTTCCTCTGACACACTAGGCAATATGTGCAATAGCCCCTGCATCCAACCACCAGACAATGTTAGGGCAGGAAGAAATCAGCCGGTCCAACTTCCTAAAGTTATAAATAGGGAGATGAAAGCCTAAGAGGGATACAAGACTTGTCCATGGTCACAAAACTGGGACCAGGACCCTGGTTTTCTTGGTTCCTTAGTTCTTCATAATACCACACTATGTCTCTTATCTTTGTCCAGAGTATGTGGATTAAGAAAAAAGCCATCTGGTAAAAGTTGTGAAGGCAACACAGGGGCCTGTAAAGACTGCAGGTGGGCCAGGTACAGTGACTCACACCTGTAATCCCAGCACTTTGGGAGGCTGAGGCAGGTGAATCACTTGAGCTCAGGAGTTCAAGGTCAGCCTGGGCAACATGGCAAAACCCTGTCTCTACAAGAAATACAAAAATTGGCCGGGCATGGTGGCATGCACCTGTGATCCCAGCTACTTGAGAGGCTTGAGCCTGGGAGGTCGAGGCTGCAGTGAGCTGAGGTCGCACCACTGCACTCCAGCCTGGGCTAGAGTGAGACCCTCTCTCTGAAAAAAAGACTGAAGGTTGGCAAAGGATAGCAATGGAAATAAATAGCAATCACTTTAACGAGGTTGTTAGTAGCAGATACAGAAAAAATGTCAAAGGCACAAAAGATTATCATAATGGACTTGGTAGGGCTCACAACTGATTTGGGGAGATGAATTTTAAGTCAAAGCTGAAGTGAGAACAAGTATTCATATGCAATATGAATTGAAGGAATTACGGATGATAACAATAGGTGCTATAATTGAACACTTACTATGCCATAGGTACTGTATTGTACTTTCCATGACTTAATCTTCTAACAGCCCTACACTAAACTCTTTTTTATTTTTTATTTTTTGAGATGGAGTCTCGCTCTGTTGCCCAGGCTGGAGGGCAGTGGCATGATCTCAGCTCACTGCAACCTCTGCCTCCCGGGTTCAGGCAATCCTCTGCCTCAGCCTCCCGAGCAGCTGGGACTACAGGTGCCCGCTACCACGCCCAGCTAAATTTTTGGTTTTTTTTTTTTTAGTAGAGATGGGGTTTCACCATGTTAGCCAGGATGGTCTCGATCTCCTGACCTCGTGATCCCCCCGCCTCAGCTTCCCAAAGATCTGGGATTACAGGCGTGTGCCACCGTGCCCAGCCCCTAAACTCTTATTATCCAATTTTACAGATGAAAATATTGAAGCTCAGACAGGTTCAACCTGGAGTCTGAGCCCAGTTAGACTCCAGAGCCAAAGTTTTAATCACTATGTCACTGGTCCTCAACATTAGAATCTTTATGAGAATGTTCACAAAATATTCATGCTTGGGTCCCACTTGCAGAGATTCTGAATTAATTAGTCTAAAGTGGAATCCAGGGAGGGATACTCTGTAGAAGCATCCAGGTGATTCCACTGCAACTAGTTTGAGAACCAGTTCCATGCACAATAGTCTCCATGCTTAAGTATACTATCTAAGTCGTCAGCTGCTAGTAGGTAGTGAAGCTGGGTTCCAAATTCAAATCTGTATGGGTTCAAAGTCTAGTGCAGTTATCACCATCACCTTGACCACTACTTCCACCATTTCCACTCCAATACCACTTTACATTTGAAGAAGATTTACATCTTACACAGCATGCTCAAAGACAGAAAAATAAAGATTCTTCAGCCAGTGAATCTTATGAAAAGTGCTGCTTTCAAGAAATATTTCCGGCCAGGCATGGTGGCTCACGCCTGTAATCCCAGCACTTTGGGAGGATGAGGTGGGGGGATCATGAGGTCAGGAGATCGAGACCATCCTGGCTGACACGGTGAAACCCAGTCTCTACTAAAAATACAAAAAATTAGCCGGGCGTGGTGGCAGGAGCCTGTAGTCCCAGCTACTCGGGAGGCTGAGGCAAGATAATCGCTTGAACCTGGTGGGCGGAAGTTGCAGTGAGCCGAAATCACGCCACCGCACTCCAGCCTGGGCAACGGAGGGAGACTCCGTCTCAAAAAAAAAAAAAAAAAAAAAAAAAAAACTATATATATATATATTATGGTTCGTACCTATTAAAATACAGAAGAAAAAGAAAAAAATTTATAACTTCTTAAATAATCTAATGTCTTTTTTTTTTTTAAGGGTTTGGCTTCTGAAAGGTATTCCAAGTACACCGGCAAAATATCTACTTTCTCTATGAGTTTATAAATTGAAGTGGTTCTTCAGGACAAACAAAAACCCTTTTCATCTAAAATTTTAATTGAGACCAATTTCAGTGCCCTGGGAATTAGTTCCAAAGTTTGGCTCAAGTTTTCTGGCACTGAGCACAGGGCTCTGGCCTCAGGACTGCACTGGGTCACCTTACAGCTGCACCTCAGGGCTACTTGCCAAGAAGCTGGTCTCATGGCAACACTTCCCTATGGCTTAACACCAGAACATTGAGCTTGGATACCCAACCTGGCTGAAAGCAATTCACATGAACTGCAACTCTATCTAGCAAGCAACTTGCAGGAGTCATCTCGTGTAGCACTGTAACACCCTCTGACATTTCTGGGAGAAAAATAAGACTAATGTTCATTGGTTTGTCTAGGAGTGGAGATGGGTGTTTCTCAAGGTTTAATTTATAAATAGAGAGTTGTACGTTGCTATAACCACCACATAAATGGAGAAACGTGTCACTTAAAGTTTGTAACCAAGTTTTTAGCAGCTTTTTCAAAAATGGGGAAGTACAGTCCAGCTATCCTGGTTCAGGAACCAGAAAGATCAGGGTTGGAAATGTTATTTTCCCACTAACCAGGTGGAAGAGTTTGGGCAGTTAACTTAGTCTTACTGTGCCTCAGTTTACTCATACATAAAATACAATTTGGGCTCATTAAATGAATTCTAAATCTCAGTCTTAACATTTTACTATATGTATGAATATATATTTATAGTTTTCCTATTTTGGTACAATCACTTGAAACCCATTCTCTTACTAGAGAAATCTAAATTTCCAAAAATCTCAGGTTGTCATTAAATATAGCACCTAAGAACAAAGCACCATAGAGTTTAGCTGTAAGAGGTACTTAGATAATTTAGTCCAACTTCCTAATTTTATCATCTCTCTTCCTTTTCACTTTCCTTTCTTCCTTTTTTCAACAAATTTTTTTCTGAGTTCTGGTATATGCGAAGCACTGAGTTAAGTGCTAGGGACTGAGTCCTCAGTGTTAAAGAACTTCCAGTACAGTAGAGACAGACAAGTAAATAGGTGATTAAAATACAATGAAGTAAGTGAATAGAGGTGAGCATTGGGTGCATCGGAAGACAGAGGCCAGTCTTGGAGTGAGGGGTAGGAGTTAGGAAAGGGTTCCTGGAGAAATGACATCTTAGCTGTGGGCGGGGGGGGGGAGGGGGGGTGTTGTTTACTAGGCAGAAAAGCAGCATGTGCCTTTGCATAACAGAGAGGAACCCGGGAGCAGTGAGGAGGATTGCCCAAGGGTATGCATCTGGCCAGTGGCAGAGCTGCCAGTAAAATGGAGCTCAAGGCCATAACTAGAAAATTACAGGCTCAGTTGAATGTCAATGACACAAATTGAAAGTTCTTGGTTTTGTTTTTTGGTGCAGGTAAAACATCATGGTCCCTGCCTTTGCTGCCACCAACTTAATTCAAATCTGCGGCTCTTGCCTGGGCTCTAGGATTAGGATTTCCTCTCTGGCTCTAGTGTCTTCAGCAGTAACTCATCAACACAACACAACCACATCACAGGCTTTTCATCTGAGAAGTACCACCACCAATCTACTCTAGAGATGAGGATCTTTCAGTTGCTGAGTGGCAAGGATGAATAAACATCCTGGCTCTGATAGGCTTAGGAGACAAGTCTTTGTTAGTGATGGCTCAGTTATAGAACAGTTATGACATGATGATTGTCTTCACATATCTGAAGGATTGTAGGAGGGATGTTTATTCTGTATAGGGTGGAGGGGAAGAATGAGAACCAAATGGATATATAGATTACACCATTACAGGTAAATATATTTTCCCTAAATAAGAACTTGAGGGCCAGGTGTGGTGGCTCACACCTATAATCCCATATATACCTATATATACTTCTGAGTATATATACTCGGAAGGCTGAAGTTGGGGGATCACTTGAGCCCAGGAGTTTGAGACCAGCCTGGGCAACATGGTGAAGCCCTGTCTCTACAAAAAATACAAAAATTAACCAGTGTTGTGGCTTGTGCCTCTAGTCCTGGCTACTAGGGAGGCTGAAGTGGGAGGATCACTTGAGTCCAGGAGTTCGAGGCTGCAGTGAGCCATCATCGCACCACTGCACTCCAGCCTGGGTAACAGATGGAGACCCTGCTTCAATTAAAAAAAAAAAACCCAAGAACTTGAAGGTGACTGTGTTGGTAAGCACTGAGTATCCCTACACCAAAAGTATAACAAGTGCAGAATGACCACTTTACTGGGATGTTGCAAAGACAATTCATGCCTTTAATAAGATTTAGATTGTAGAGGCCCTGATCAAATCCTTCCAGCTCAGAGCTTCTGTGAGTTTATATTTTCACAGTTGCCCAGGCTGAGGTCTAATTGTTCTAGTTTTTTATCTATTCCTCACAAAGTATGTACTCTCCAATCTAATTAATTAGCATTTCAAGCACATTATTTTTATATTTATAACAAATACATGCTTATTGTATATTGTAATATTTAAGGAGACAAATTCTTTTTCTCAAAATACATTAACATTCACTGCTAGGTATTGAAACTGCTATACTTACGTGAGAAAATCGGCAGTTTGGCATGTACACATCTGTGTACACCACACCTGCATATTCAGTCTGATACACACAAACCACCTTATTTTAGGTATATTTCACCTGTGTATTTATATGCTATGGATGCTAGCATCTATACACTCACATGCCCAAAGTTAATTTAATACATTCCTTTCCTTTATTTCAACCTTTGTTTTTTATTGTGTAAACTGTGTGGCTGAAATATCTGTTCCATTTGTCTAAATATATGGAGGGAGTGAAAGGAAAGTATAGTCAGTGAAAATTGAAGATATTGCTGGCAGTTCTGGCAGGTGCAATTTGGATTGTGTAAACTCCAAATTATTTTTGGAGAGCAGTGGTAAAAGATGATTTATATTGTTTTGTAAGGCAGGCTACCCTGTTGCCCATATAGTACAATAAAACATACAATTTGTTTTTACTTGCTTTCCATGCATGGTGCATGTAATGTGTTATCAATCAAATATATTAAGTAATACTTTGTTTTAAATTAGAATTTGAATATTACCTAAAGCCTAAAATATGTATGTTTTAAAACAACATAATAGCTTTTTCAAAAAGAGAAAAAGAATGCAAGCCCATTTTCCAAGTGTACAAAATCAAACAACATTAAAAGGACCAGTCTAAAATGAGCTGGCTCTTCCCTAAGTGCCATGGAGCATAAATTCCTTTATCATATTGCACAAAGGAATGTATCCTGCACTACCTCCTATATTCTACCTTACAGAATAGCTTATGCTCAACTCTGCTTTTTTAAAGAAAGGGATTCCATAGCTGCTGGTTATAACAGTTTATTGTGCACTGAGAGAAATGTTGGGAGTGGCTTGGCCAGTCCATAAGCACTTTGTGGAAAGTTAGAGAACTGCCTCTGGGACAGTGGTTTACTACCCTATGTGCATAGGATGAATAAGTCATTTCTCTCAACGCAATCCTGTGGAGGGCTTCTCCTCAAAGACTCATAATCATCGGTCCTCTGCGTGTTCTATTGTACTGATAGGGTAGAGCGCATCACCAAAATCAACAGGCAGCACTTGTGGAGGCAGCAGCAAGCCGCTGTATATTAGCTGATAAACGCTTTTTTCTTTCTAGTTTTTTTAAATAAGATACAATGTTTTCACTAATGATCTTTTTACCATACAGAATGCTAAAAGTAAGAGGACACCAGGCAAAATCCCCTGAAATCACTGCAGGGACACTGCCAGACCCCAGGTGGGGCACTGAACAGAAGAGGGCAGCGGGCCATTTTGAAAGGAAGAAAAGGGCAACTGGGAGCGGAGGATGAGGACAGAGTCTGCGGAGCATAGGAGCAGATGACGCAGAAGATGCTACAGCTGCCTACCGCAGCTGCTCTCATAGTCGCCTGTACTTCAGAGTAGGGGCAAATGTGTTTAGAGATGAAAGGCAAGAGGGGGTAAGAAAAATGTACCTTCCATTTCTAACCAACTGTGATATAATCTTCACAAAGCTCATTCTGTTCTTATGAAGTGGTTATTTTCAGGATTCAAATATAGGCAAAATACGAACCGGCAAACCCTATGTGTTTCTTAGCTGCAAGCACAATTGGATACACCCAAATTACTGACAGCACATTGTAATTTCTAAGGCAACTTCTAAGGACAAACTTGTAGTTGGAACCTTGAACATTAGAAATGGTAGCAATTTAGTAATGTGATAGTTTATGGCCTTGCCCAACTGTTTGTGAACTCAAAAAGTGCTTTGTCACGTGTAACCTTAATGTTTACATGCTTTAGGCCATATAATGACTTTAAGTCATTATTTCTTGTTTTAGACTCAGTACACGTAAGGGTAGTTGATCTACCCACTCTGAGATCATTTCCTGGAACTCTGAACCCTACTGAACTCTGTACTATCCTAAGGATTGGCTGATTGACTTAAAATCCTACCCTGAGGAAATAAATACATGAGTGGGGAGGGAGAGAGGGAGGGTTGGGGCAGGCCAACTTTATTGACATCCCCATGTTTTCTTGAGGATCCACAGGGATCCTAAAGAGTAGTTTTCAACTCCTTGGCAGTAGAGGGCATTTAGATTAGACAAAGATGTTCTTCAAAAATGTCAGGAACTGAGAGAAGTCACAAAAGGAAAAAAAGAAAGTTAACAATAACTGCATAGTTACGGGGCTGTTTTATAGATTAAAAAATAAAACAGGCTCATACACATTTGGTAATTTGCCCGAAGTCACACAGACTTCAGATTAAGGTCTGTGAGACTCCAAAGCTGCTTTCTATTATCACAAAATGGCATGGGGATCTGAGAATTCTATAGGGTTCCTCCCTTTTAAGATTTATAAAATGCAGAGATCGCACATATCACTGGTTCAAAAAAGTTTAAGCCATTTCTTTCTTTTTTCTTTTTTTTTTTCTAAGACGGACTCTTGCTCTGTTGCCCAGGCTGGAGTGCAGTGCCATGATCTCAGCTCACTGCAATCTCCATCTCCTGAGTTCAAGCAATTCTCATGCCTCAGCCTCCCGAGTAGCTGGGGCTGCAGGTGTGCACCACCACACCCAGCTAATTTTTGTATTTTTTAGTAGAGATGGGGTTTTACCACATTGGTAAGGCTGGTCTCGAACTCTCAGCCTCAAGTGATCTGTCCGCTTTGGCCTCCCAAAGTGCTGGGATTACAGGCATGAGCCACCGCACCCAGCCAAGTTTAAGTCATTTCTTAGGCTATATGCCTTCACAGGGCAGTGGCACTCTCCTGGCAACTCTAGTCAGCCACTTAGAATCACTTAAAGCTTCTTCCAAGGCCTCTGGCCAGGGGTGAGTGAAGGCACAGGACTGCTTGATCTCCTAGCCTAATTAGGCATGACACAACTTTGAGTAGAGAATCAGGAAGGGCCAGTGGTCCATAGAGTATGTTGTGATCCGAGCAGACTTAACAAACACACTACTTAATCCAAAATGCTAAGTTTTGTTGAGATGTATTCTTACAAGCATGTTTAGAGAATTGAGATAATTTCACTGAGCAATTCAACTAATAGAATAATAATGCCAGACTTCAGCATGCAGCCATATTAATAATCTGACCCCACTCTATCTACTTATAAAGTATATCCCATTACTCCCCCAAACCTATCTTTTCCAGAGGTGAGGTCTCCTCATCGCTTCCACATACTTCCCTCGTTCCTGCCTTCATGCCCAGCTGATGTTGAATCCTGTCTAAGATGCCTCTTCTTTCCACCACAAACTATCCCATCTTTCAAGGTCCATCTCAAAACCCACCTTTTCTACATCATTTGTCTTGATAACTCCAGTCATAGTGGCCTCCAAAATCCTGACCAGCCATAACAATGTCTCCACTCAACATTTTCATATTTGATTATTTTTAACTTAGAACTTGACTATGAGCTCTGTTAATTCTCATTATCTCATCTTTGTAAATCCCCCCCAGTCACCAGGTTTCACGCATCTTGAAGGCAGAGGCTTTGTTGACACAAAGTGATTGGCAAAAAGGGAGCACCATAGCAGTGTTTCCTACCCCGAAATCTGTTTCTTTACTTTGGTTTTAAACCAGATAGAAGGTAAGGAATGCTGTCCTTTGACACTCAATTAAATTGGCTCAAATCCTGTTTCTTTGTGTAGAGGGAGCCCTATATTCCTTCCTCACTGTTTGGGGGTTCAGGGAGGGAATATGGATGGTTTACAATTTCTTTTCTAGTCACCGTTAGGTCCAAGTTCTTTGCTTTTGTATGCTTAGTTCGGAGACTGGAAGGGGCATATTGCTGTCCCTGAGCCCCATATCTCCCAGATGTGAAACTCAGCTCTTTTTTCTGCATCAGTAAAACGGGCTGAAGCTGGAGTGATATCAACTTTGACAAAAAGCCAAGAAGTAAGGCATGTGTGTACTAGGTCTTCAAATATTAAAACTTTATTGTGGGTACTATTTGCTTTTGAAATTTTAGAAGAATATTTTGTATTAATTAACCCTTTATTATATAGAGTAGCATGCCAGAAATTTACTTGGAATTTTCTTTCCTATTTTTTAAATGACTCTGACTTATTACTTGTGCTATAGTATTACATTGGTGCAAAAGTAATAGCGGTTTTTGCCATGATTTTCAATGGCAAAGAAGAATGAAGCTGCTTCTTTATTTCTCACATATGACAACCTAGTAACTGCTAATTAAACATATACAGAATTTTCAAGTTAATCATAATTTTACCTCAAATAGATATTACTGTGTCTTCTGTTTCTTTGCTCCAAACTGGATATTTCTTGTTTTTGTGATGGGCAGTATATATACTGCATAAAAGTTCAGATTCTGGAGTTAGACTGTAGAGCTTCAAATCCTATTTCACTTACTAGTAATGTGACCCTGGACAGACTACCTAGCCTCCCAGTAACAAATGAGGATAAGGATAGTACCTATCCTCATATGGGTTAAATACACATGTATAGAGTGTTTCGAACAGTGTCTCACACATGGTAAACACACAATGGAGGGTAGGTGCTCTTATTTTCATATGCTTTATGCTATATATGCATTGTTATGGGCTGAATATGTCCTCCCCAAATTCCCAAGTTGAAGCCCTAACCTGCAGTACTTCAGAACATGACTATATTTAGAGACAGGGCCTTTAAAGAGGTAATTAAGATAAAATGGAATTGTTATGGTGAGCTGTAATCCAATAGGACTGGTGTCTACATAGAAGAGGAGATGAAGACACAGATAACATGCACAGAAGGACAACCATATGAAGGCACAGCAAGAAGACAGCTGTCTTAGCCTGCTCAGGCTGCTATAACAAAATACCATAAACTGGATATCTTACAAAAAACACACAATTATTTCTCAAAGTTTGGAGGCCAGAAAGTCCAAGACCATGGTGCTGGCAGATTCAGTGTCTGCTAAGGACCCATTTCCTCACAGGCGGTGCCTTCTTGCCCTGTCTTCACATGGTGGAAAGCGTGAGTGGTCGCTTTGGGCCCATCTTATAAGGGAACAAATCTCACTCGTGAGGGCTTTGACTTCATGACATAATCACTCCCAAAGTCCCCATTTCCTTATGTCATTACCTTAAGGTTAGGATTTCAACATATGCATTTGTGGGGACATAAATACTCAGACCATAGCAGCAGTCATCTGCAAGTCAAGAAGAGAGACCACGGAAAAAAGCAAACCTGTCAACACCTTTAGCTTGGACTTCTTGCCTCCAGAATTATAAGAAAATAATTTTCTGCAGCTTAAGCCACCCAGTTTGTGGTACTTTGTTACGGCAGCTCTAGCAAATACATGCATCAAAATTAAATATGGACAGAAAAAAATAAATATGATGAGAAACTAGTGGTTTGTCATTACATTTTCTCTCTCTTTTTTTTTTTTTTTTTTTTGAGATGTAGTCTTGCTCTGTCGCCCAGGCTGGAGTGCAGTGGTGCAGTCTCGGCTCACTGCAACTCCGCCTCCCGGGTTCACGCCATTCTCCTGCCTCAGCCTCCCAAGTAGCTGGGACTACAGGCGCCCACCACCATGCCCGGCTAATTTTTTTTTGCATTTTTAGTAGAGACGGGGTTTCACCGTGTTAGTCAGGATGGTCTCGATCTCCTGACCCTGTGATCCATCCGCCTTGGCCTCCCAAAGTGCTGGAATTACAGGTGTGAACCACCGTGCCTGGCTGTCATTACATTTTCTAACAGCATTAAACTGGTAGGATATCTCTAAGAGATTTTAAATTTTGTGAAGCTAAAATCACAGTAGCTAAGAGCACTGTGCTGTACAGTAGTTTGGCTCTACTACTTCCTAGTTATGTAACTTCAGGCAAGTCAAGCCTGAAGACATATACAAAGGCTGTATAAGCTCCAGTGCTTCGTATGTGTGTTAGGACTAAATGAGATGTGGAGCCCAATGTCAGGCACATAATAAGCATTCAGTTAATAACATTCCATCTGTCTGTCTAGCTATCTATCTAAATGTCTTCTGAGAAGGGTAGGGACAGTGGAGTAACATTTTCTTAGCACCTAACATTTTCTTCTTTCTTTTTTAAACCAGATAAAGAAACTGAGGCCCATAGAAACAAAGCAATTTTGCTAAGGTTATACAGAGAGTATGGTGGAGCTGGATTCACAGGTGGGTTTGCCTGACTCCAAGACGCATTCTCTTTCCACTATACCACATTACCTTTCTCATTAATTTCCTAAAACCAATGGGTTCTAGTATGCTGTTCACAGTACACTCACGCAATACCTGCTTCCTAGTACATACATCTATTTTATAGGCGAGGGATGATAGAAGCCAGGGCATTAGAAAATTAAATATCTTTTTTTATTATTATTTTTTAAGACAGAGTCTCACTCTGTCGCCCAGGCTGGAGTGCAGTGGCACGATCTCGGCTCACTGGAAGCTCCGCCTCCCGGATTCACGCCATTCTCTTGCCCCAGCCTCCTGAGTAGCTGGGACTACAGGCGCCTGCCACCGCGCTCGGCTAATTTTTTGTATTTTTAGTAGAGACCGGGTTTCACTGTGGTCTCGATCTCCTGACCTCGTGATCCCACCCGCCTCGGCCTCCCACAGTGCTGGGATTACAGGCGTGAGCCACCGCGCCTGGCTAAATATCATTTTAAAAGAGTCTTCCAATACATGAAAGAAAAACAAAAAGAAAAAAAAATAAAGCTCAAACGTTACACAGAGGAAATTCTTGCTTTGGTAATTCTAAAGAAATTGTGACAATTATGGTTTAATGACCTCGTAAGAATGTGGCATAAGTGATTTATATTCACACTGCGGTGTCCTGATTTGAACTAACAGACTACAGTTTCTAAAGAATAACTTGTGCAGCTATTGGACCAACCTCAATGTCTAATGTTAGCACAAAACTTGCTCCAGAAGTACTTAATCCCAGTTAAAGAAGCAAAGTGTGTTCTTAATTGCTAAATAATAGCTCTCTATTTCATTTTGTAACTTTTCCACACCCCAAGTCGGCAATCACAGAACAGCTACCTATGGAGTTATTTTAAGATATCCGAACAAAGCATTTTTCCAACTAGTTTCTTTAACAAAACAAACAAATAAACAAAACATGAAGGTAACCATTTCTTGAATCATCTGATTTTTATTAAATTACCTCCCAGAAAATGTTTAATTCCTTCATGTGAGCTGTAAACTCACATATTTATTTCATTTTTGTTAAAAACAGAGTGGCTTAAAGAGGATGACACCATATGCAATACCAGTTTCTAAATGTCTCAATGAGGATGACCACATACACATTTCTACCACTTCAATTATTCCTAAGCAAGTCTTTTCTAAGTAGAGCTAAGCTGGTTGCTGTGAACTACTTTGCTCCAGCAAGTATACTGACAGGAGCATAGTGTGCAATTATATTTAGGTATTTGGGCTTGAAATGTGAAACCCCCTATGTTCAAAAACTCTTTAATCCATTGGAAATATTTTAAATGCCTAGTGTAAATCACAATGCAGTTCACTGACAGTTCCCTAGATTGTTATTGGCAACAGCATGAAAGAGCAAAAGATTGAAAATTGTTTTTTAAAATATTTGCATCTAAAAGAACATAGAGCATAGTTCGAGGCAAATAAACAAGTAGGAAGGCTTTTCTTCCTCCTCTTGCCCAAGTTCAGAGGCAGTAACACTCTGGAAAGGCTACCAAGTTATGACAAAGGGTCTGAAAATCCACGTATTCTCCAATAACAGATTGAAGGTTGCATAAAAAAAGGGCCCATGGAGGAATAGGAAAAGGAGAGAGAGCAGCTCGAAGCAGAGATGGGGAGGAGGTGGGGACACAAAGCACTGTCTGATACCATTCTCATCAACCAGATGTAGGAGGGAGCAAAGCTGGGATACTATCCCTGTTCTATTCTAACTCCAGCACTGAGTTACGATGCCCTCAAAGAAACAATTAAACCACTATATGGAAAATGACAATATTTCACCTGAATTTCTGTGATTTGAGATCCCTCAAAATGAGAGGGAGAGTTGGGAGCGTTTCTCAATAAAGCAGGCAGTTAAATTACATTATTTCCTAAGCCAAGACAATATCAAATTGAAAAAGAATCAGTAGAATTTCCAAACAAGGTGGCACAGTAAATTCATGTTTCAGCTTATCTTATATGCTCTAAACACATGGTAATGAGAGATAAAACAGAAAAAAAGAAAACTAAAAGGCCATTGTTGGGTTTAAAAAACAAAACTAACATCTTTGTGGACCAGAAACACAATAGAAATGCAAAGCAGTAAGCTGGGCTAGAGCTGTAGTCGATCAGGGTCTGGGTCTTGAGGCAGCTAGTGGCAACTGGAAACTCAGCTCTTGTGGAATACACAGACTAAAATGCTCTGCTAAAGATGAAGACCAATGCCAGCCATGTTACTGGAAGCCAGAAACTGGGGCATGACTGAGGTGATCAGCCTTCCTGGTTTTCCTAGGACTCTTCCTGTTTTAGCACTGATCATCCCAAATCCCAAGAAACCCTTTAGTTCCAGGCAAACAGTGGTTTGTCACCTGGTTTTCCCCAGTCTCATGAAAGGAGGCTAAATTAAACTGCTTCTGATTCTGCCTGGGGCTGTGCATTTATGGGAAGCTTTGGACCCAAGAGGGCAAAATGACAAAAGAAAAACATCACTACAGCAACTGAGCTGAGCTAACAGCTGGTTCAGTTACTGAATTGGCCATATTCCGGATATCAGTAAGGAGTAGGAGCCCTCTAAAGCCATTTTAAGAACTGGCTCTGGACTGGGATATGGAATGAGGAAAAGGGCAGATAGAAATATTCATCAAACTTGGAGACAGGCCAAGAAAGGGTGACAACAAAAATATCTCCCACTCAAAGTGATTATGCTAATCAAAATCCTAAAACTTATAAAGAAGTAAATGCTAAAAAGACAGAATCAGGCCGGGCACGGTGGCTCACGCCTGTAATCCCAGCACTTTGCGAGGCCAAGGCAGGCGGATCATGAGGCCAGGAGATTGAGACCATCCTGGACATCGTGGTGAAACACCATCTCTACTAAAAATACAAAAATTAGCTGGGCGTGGTGGCACATGCCTGTAGTCCCAGCTACTAGGGAGGCTGAGGCAGGAGAGTCGCTTGAACCTAGGAGGCGGAGGTTTCAGTGAGCCGAGATCTCGCCACTGCACTCCAGCCTGGTGACAGCCAGACTCTGTTTAAAAAACAAACAAACAAACAAACAAACAAAAGAATCAATGATGGAGTAACTAATATGGGACTAGCATCTGCTATAAAAAATAGTAAAAGTAGACAAAATATATAAAGTAACCGCTTTGAAAATCTGAACAACAGGTAGTACAGGAGGACTGTGATCCCTTGGGAAAGAAAAATGAACTGAGTTCCAGCCTTCTGCCTGGAGGCACTCTATCGACTGATATACAAAGAAGGAGAACCTAAGCAGAGTACAGTGGTTTTGCTGGGCTTAAGAGAGAGACAGGAACTTAGGAGGGCAACCACAATTTGAGAAAGAGAGCACCACAAGAGAAGAGAAAGCTGTCAAGAGACAGAGCTCCAGAAATCTGCATAAAAATCATCTTGAGTCTACGTGAATACTAAGATGTACATCCATAAAATGGGACTATGTAAGGCCAGGCAGAGAACAACTATTAGAACAACTCTCAGAGGAAGAACTACTGGGGCACTGAGACCTCAGCAACACTTTCACAGGGCTGACAAGCATTTGAGTTACAACCAGTGGAAATGCCTCTTGAACATGTGGGTGCTAAGCAACAATTCTCCACGGCATTTCTGTGTGTCTTGTGACAAATTTTGACCTAGACTATCTTTCAAAGGATGTTTGTCTAGCCAACACCTTTGGAAGGCATAGTGTCACCCTCCAGCACAGAGGACAGATTTGTTTCCTGACCAGAAAAATAAAGTGAATGGCTTCTTCCAGGACAAAGTGTGGCAGATTTACTAGCGGTTACCTTATAAGATTAGGGGTTTCCTAAGCTTGGGGCTCCTCAGATGTGACACAGACCAACTGTATGTGTAGCATTTACCTGGACCCACTCACATTGTCCTCATTGTCTTGGTTTGGAGAACAAGGAAAACCAAGAGAACATAAAGCCCATGCTATTTGCTGTACTGTGAATAATAAGGTTGTCTGTTTCTGACCTAGGAGTCTCATGTCTTCTGCCAGCATCTGTTAAACTGTGGCAAGCTCATTTACTGGCTTCAAAGTAGGGTAAAATCTCAGACCCTGAATAGTCTCTGACTCGACAGAGGAGTATTTAATAACAAAAGTATGGCTAAAGTAGCCCTAAAGAATTCTTTAGAACAGCAATTGGTGGCTCCAGCCCACAGGCCAAATCCAACCCACAGCCTGGTTTTGTATGGGTCACAAGCAAAAGATGTTTTTTACATTTTTAAGGTGTTGTACACACAAATACGCAAAAGAAACTGTAGAAGCTAAAATACTATCTGGCTCGTTAAATAAAAACGTTGTCATCTTCTGCTTTAAAACCATCTTAAGAAAGCATAAAACAAGCTTCAAAGGATCAAGTTGACCTTCAACTATCTGCTGGAACTGAATGTTCTTGGAAACAAGATAAAATACAGACACACAACTACATGGTAATCACAATGTCCAACACCAGTAAAAAATTATTAGACATAAAAAGTAGCAAGGAAACATACCCCATAACTAGGATAACATTAGTCAGTAAAAACAGACTCAGAATTGACAAAGATGACGGAATAGGAAAAGCCTTAGAATAGCTAGTATAAATATGTTCAAGATATAATGGAAAACATGAAAAGACAATGGTCTTTCTTGATGAATGTTTCATGTGCACTGGGAAAAAAAATGTGTATCTGGCAGTTGTCAGAGTGTTAGTTGCCACTGAGCAAGTTTCAAAAAATTTAAAAGAATTGGCATTATAAAAACATGGGTTCTGAGTATAAAATAAAATTAAAATTAAATTAGAAATCAATAGAAAATATATCTGCAAAATTCCCAAATATTTGGAAATTAAGCAACTTAAAATAACTAAAGAAATTGCAATGAAAATTATAGAAAAATATTTTGAATTGAATGATAATGAAAAGACAACATATCAAAATGTGTGTAATGCAGTTAAAACAGCACTTAGAGGGAAATTTATAGCAGATCATCTCTGAATAGGGACCATAAGAAGAATAACTATAAATATCTGAATGTCTACATTGAACTAAAGTAATTTTTAACAGCAATGTATTGAAAGTATAAAAGTTCAAAAAGTATTAAAATACATACTTTTCTCATGGTATACTTCTTTTAAAGTACAGTTGACCCTTGAACAATGCGGGCGGCGGGGGGGGGGGGTCCCCACACCATGCAGCTGAAAATCTGCATATAACTTTTGATTCTCCTGAAACTTAACTACTAATAGTCTACCATTGACCTGAAGCTTTACCCATAACATAAACAGTCCATTAATACATATTTTGTATTTTGCAAAAAGTGTAAAGTTTTCATGCCCACTGGCATAGCTGCAGCAATGCCTTCCCAAGTTCCCTTTTCTTTTATTTAAGAGACAGGATCTTGCTGTTGCCCAGGCTGGAGTGCAGTGGTGCAATCACAGTTCACTGCAGCACAGCCTCCTGAACTACAAGTACTACAAGCACACCTCCATGCTTGGCTTTTTTTTTTTTTTTTTTAACATGAGACTTATTTTATTTTATTTTCCATAGAGACAGGAGTCTTGCTATGTTGCTCAGGCTGGTCTTGAACTCCTGGACTCAAGTGATCCTCCCACCTCAGCCTTCCAAAGCATGGGATTACAGTCATGAGCCACTGTGTCTTTTTACAGTGGTCTTTAGGCTGAATTCATTCATCTAGAAATGGCAGGCAATTGCAGCTGCAGACCTCAATCTATGGTGCATATCAAGGAATTCAACCTTTTCTGGTAATGTCTTGACTTTTCTCTGCTTATTGGGAGCATTTCTAGCATCACTGGTGGCACTTCATATGGGCCCCATGGTCCCATACATCCAAGGTTTATAGCATTGAACTAAACAAGATAAAAAAAAAATACTCGAGAACCCCTAGAGATCACTTTTTACTGAGATATGCAATTTACTGGAGGCGAACTGTTCACTCAGAGATGATTGATTAGCATCACATAGAATTTTAAATGGATACTCCCAACACTTAAGCTCACTGCAACAGCAACAGGAGGTTGCTACAAAACTATTACACTAGTACAGTTAATTTTACGCAGTTATGACTTAATACTGTTTATTTCCATTTCCTTCCACTAGGAATCTTCCATAGTATGGTCTGGGTGTAAGGTTTGATAAATTTTAAATTTTATAGTGGACTTGTATATATTTTATGTTAGTAAATTATAAAATAGACTAGTATGTACATATATTTTATGCATTCATAACACACCTTTTTCTTAATTTCTTCAATATTTCTAGGTTACACATTTACCTGCAAGTTTTTTCAAATTGTCAAAAATCTCCAAAGAAATTTCCGAAGTATTTATTGAAAAAAAAAATCTGTGGGCTGGGCATCATGGTGCATGTGTGTAAATCCCAGCACTTGGGGAGGACAAGGCAGGAGGATCGCTTGAGGCCAAGAGTTTGAGACCAGTTTGGGCAACATAGCAAGACACTATCTCTACAAAATAAAAAAGAAAAAATTAGCTGGGCATGGTGGCGTGAACCTGTAGTCCCAGCTACTCAGGAGGCTGAGGCAGGAGGATCCCTTGAGCCCAGGAGATCGAGGCTGCAGTGAGCTATGATGGCACCACTGTACTCCAGCCTGTGTAACAAGAGGGAGACCTTGTCTCTTAAAAAAAAAAAAAATTTTGCGTGTAAGTGGACCCACATAGTTAAACGTGTTGTTCAAGGGTCAACTGCATATAAGAGGGAGAGTCCCACAATTTCTAGAAAGACGAATGCCTATAGTGACTCACCTGAAGCTAAAACCGTATTTAAATTATGTTTATAAAGCAGAATTGAGTCCGGTGTGGTGGCTCATGCCTGTAATCCCAGCAGTTTGGAAGGCAGATCACTTGAGGCTAGGAGTTCAAGACCAACCTGGACAACATGGGAAAAACCTGTCTCTACCAAAAGTACAAAAATTAGCTGGGAGTGATGGTGCATGCCTATAGTCCCAGCCACCTGGGGGGCTGAGACAGGAGAATCGTCTGAACCTGGGAGGTGGAGGTTGCAGTGAGCCGAGATCACACCACTGCACTCCAGCCTGGGCAACAGAGTGAGACCCTATCTTCAAAATAAAACAAACAAACAAACAAACAAAAACAGAATTGGTGAAACAGATTTAAAAAAATTCAGTCTGCATGACTGATACTCCTAAGTCATTTTCCAATTATACTCTATTATAGATTCATTCTTTCAACAAATATTGGTAAGTACCTACTATGTTCTAGGAATACACCAGTAATATGGGAGGGGAGTAAAAAGGAAAAAAAAATCCCAACCACTCAAGCACCTTACCTGGGGTAGGGTTGAGGGGGGTGACAGACTATAGACAACAATTAACAAGTAAAAATATATGGTATTTCACAACATGGAGACAAGTGTAACTGAGAAAAATAGAGTAGGGGAGGTGGGGGCAGTTATACTTCTAATGAGTGGGCAGGAAAGGCCTCACTGATGATATGAAAGATGAAAGGTCAAAAAAGGGAAAGGGAACAAGCTAGATGAAAATCTAGGGCAAGCAGTGGGGGTTCTAGGAAACTAGAAAATCTGGGGCTAGATGGAAGTTCTAGCCAGGGTGTTCTAGGAAAAATAAAATCAGTGTGGCTGGTGCAGAAAGAGCTGAGGGAGAGGAGTAAGATATTAGGTTAGAGAAGTAAGAAGAGGTAGAGGGCAGGGAAGACCAAGTAGGGTTGGATTTTTTTTTTTTTCTTTAGAGATTTTAACTTTTATACTTAGTGAATGAGAAGCCTCTGGAGGGTTCTGAGCAAGAGTGGATTTTAATGGAATCATTCTGGCTATTGCGATGAAAATAAAGTGAAAGGGAGCAGGGGCTAAAAGGAGACCAGGTAGGAGGCTACTGCAAGAATCCGGGAGCGGGCTGATTGTTGCTTCCACCAAGCTGGTTGTGGGAATGACCCAATAGAGAGGGTGGGAGTGATGCTGCAGGGGAGAGGAGAAAGTTGCTGAATCACTCTTTGAGTAGGGGAAGGAATGGGATCTAGTGCACAAGTTGCAAGGATACAGCTCGGAACATTTCATTCATAAGAACAGATGGAAGACAGAGAATACAAGGCACAGTTACAAGTAGGTGACTCTATATGGTGGTGGGGGGAGGTGGTCTGTGGAAGTCCTCTGATTACTTCTATTTCTCAGGGAAATAGTAAGTAACACTGCAAAGGAAGATAGGAGAAAAAGTACTTGTGGCTTGAGGATGAGAAGGTATGAAGCGGTGGATGAGGAGAGCAGGAGAATAAGTAGATTAGGTTTGATATAGTTGGTATTTTTAACCTAGGCACTTTTGAAACAATTTTCTAACATTTTGTTCCTAAATTTAGGTACACAAAGAAAGCATCATTTTGATGCAAGTAATTATCAATCTCTGTCCATCTTTATTATGCATATGCTACTCCAGAGAGATAGCAAATCCTGCCCTCTAGTAAAGATAGATGTGTCTCAGAAATGTGTAGCTAAATGTGAATGGAATATTGGCAGGTTTGTAGCTTTCTTGCACATTTGCAGAGCTGCAAACAAGTTCTGTTTTGAATTCCTTCCTCATTACAAGACTACCTTCACAAGAGAATCAGTGCATTATAAATTTAAATGCACTTATGTCTATTTCCCATTTACCTTAAGATTATAGCTGAAGAGAAAACTTTAAGGAGTAAATTAATGTCATAGAGGAAAAAGTGCTTATTGTCAGAGGCTGGAATATTAGAAATGTTTTCAAAAATCCCATGAAGCATTCTAATGACCACCTCATATAGAAAGCTTAGAAAAGATTTTTTTTTCCATAGTCTGCAGGTATCATCTAATAAAATCATCTCCAATAAATAAGGGTATAAGTTATATCATAAATGTGCTATACATGAAAATTACTAATCTATAAAACTCTGATGAAGTGACAGGGAGACTAATTATCATTTTATGTTTTTTCTATTGATATAACTCAGGAAAATAGAAAAACAATCTTGGTGTTTTACGGGACATGAATAATGTGTTGATTTTCCTAAATTGTCTTATTCTCCTAAAACTTTGTATTTGAGAAACAGGAATTTGAGAAACAAAATTACACTGGACTCCTTAGGGGTGTGTGTGTGTGTGTGTGTGTGTATTTTCCCCCCCTGGAAAAAGACTTGTATATATTTTTCCAGAATCCAAACCTTTTGCATATATCTCATCATACCAAATCCCCTTGTTATGGAATCTTTAGGCAGGTGTTCAAAGGCAGGAATCTCCTGCACCTCCCAACATGCTGATTCAAAGGACAGGTATCTTTACAACTGACACATTTTTAACAATAAAGTAATGATTTTTTTCTGTGTGTGTGTGTGTGTGTGTGTGTGTGTTATGGTAGATTATTATTTAAGAAAATTAGGCCACTTCCCATAAGTAACTACTGTTCATGTATGGGAACGAGATGTCAAAAAATAATCCTTGGGAATATTCAAAACCAACCAAAGACTCAATACCCTCTTTTTTTTTTGGTATGAATGAAGCAAAATTAACCAAACTAAGTCACTGGTTCCTAGAAAACATTTAAAAGTTTAAAAATGCTGTTCTGATTCCTCTTAAGAACAGAGGAAAATGTTATAATTCTTAGGTAGAACCATTTATTCTGCTTAGTTCAAATTTTGGTTTTGAATGGCTGTAGGCAGTTTTCACTCTTGGACAAAGTCCATGATGCCATTCTCAGGTAGGTTTGACTGTTCTCAAATCTAGATAATTTTTTAAATATTGGCTGAGAGTGAATAATACAAATGTTCAAATTAGGGCCATTCCATGATCACGAGGGCCAGGAGTCTGTACATGTAATGAGCGAGGCTTGTGCTCTGAAGTAATTTCCCTACAAGTTAAGAATACATGCCAGGCCGGGCACAGTGGCTCATGCCTATAATCCCAGGACTCTGGGAGGCTGAGGCAGGCAGATCACTTGAGGCCAGGAGTTTGAGACCAACCTGGCCAACATGGCGAAAACCTGTCTCTACTAAAAATACAAAAATTAGCCAGGTGTGGTGGTGTGCCTGTAATCCCAGCTACTTGGGAAGCTGAGGCAGGAGAATCACTTGAACCCTGGAGGTGGATTGCAGTGAGCTGAGATGGCACCATTGTACTCCAGCCTGGGCAACAGCAAGACTGTCTCAGAAAAAAAAAAAAAAAGAAAAAGGAAAAGAAAAAAAGAATACATACCAAAGAAACCTGGATCCCTTTACTAATATATTATAAATGAATGAAATATTATGAGGGGGACCCAGATTTTAACTAAAAAAAAAAATAAATAAAAGGGCTATTCATATTTTCAGCCCATTCTACCTCAAAGTAATAAGAATTTTCATAATCACATTCTTTATTATTTATCCCAAATTTGTCTTTTCAATCTTTCACAGAAGGGAAATGTAACTCAAGAACAAATTTCTGTCATAAAGCCTCTGGTATAAGATATTCCTGATGAATAAGTCTTTTAAAATAATAGCTAAAATAAGCGTTTTGTTTTATTCATGCTTTTAATCATCTCAGCAATTCTTGTCCCTCATTTGCACATATAATTGAAGGTTGACTATGCTACTGCTACACTCCAAATTTCATTCTGGTACCATCTGTACCATCAACCCTGTTCAAACTTTCAAAGTGTCTCAGGTCTAAATTTCTTTGCCCTCTGATAATAGAGGACATATCTATTTTGTGTGGGAAAAGACACGGAACAGCATGTTCTACATTGATTTTTAAGTAAATAATTAATCCTAAAGCCTTATTTGTACCATTAATTTAAAACAGAAGCTATAAAGCCTGGGGAAACTTAAAGTTTCCTTGAGTGGAGCTTCTCTGATTCTTTTTTTTTTTTTTTTTTTTTGAGATGGAGTCTCGCTCTGTCGCCCAGGCTGGAGTGCAATGGCATGATCTCGGCTCACTGCAACCTCCACCTCACAGGTTCCAGCAATTCTCCTGCCTCAGCCTCCCTAGTAGCTGGGACTACAGGTGC
Source organism: Homo sapiens (assembly GCF_000001405.40). Classification (NCBI taxonomy): domain Eukaryota; kingdom Metazoa; phylum Chordata; class Mammalia; order Primates; family Hominidae; genus Homo; species Homo sapiens. The sequence continues at coordinate 111,515,132 of NC_000006.12, read as the reverse complement.
CCGCCACCACGCCCAGCTAATTTTTTGTATTTTTAGTAGAGACGGGGTTTCACCTTGTTAGCCAAGATGGTCTCCATCTCCTGACCTCGTGATCCGCCTGCCTTGGCCTCCCAAAGTGCTGGAGCGTCTCTGATTCTTCCTAAAAAAAAATTTAGTCTGGCCAGGCATGGTGGCTCACGCCTGTAATCCAGCCAAGTTGGGGGGATCACTTGAGGTCAGGAATTTGAGACCAGCCCGGCCAACATGGAGAAACCCCATTTCTACTAAAAATACAAAAATTAGCCAGGTGTGGTGATGGGTGCCTATAATCCCAGCTACTTGGGAGGGTGGGGCAGGAGAATCGCTTCAATCCAGGAAGCGAAGGGTTGCAGTGAGCAGAGATCGTGTCACTGCACTCCAGCCTGGGCGACAAAGTGAGACTCTGTCTCAAAACAAAACAAAACAAAAATTTGAGCCCGTATTTGCCTCTGCCTCTGTGTTTGAGAGCACTCCTGTCAGCATGCCTAGTAAGTGCTGTTACAGTCTAATACAATCCTTCTTAGCTTCTCCAGGGTAGGCATCTCACCTTACTCACCTATCACAGACATACCTATTCAATACTTACCTAGAATGCCTTAAGTACCAAATATATCTTTGCCAGGTTGATAAATAATTCTGTAAGACAAGGGGTTTGAACTTGATGACATCAAAGTTCCTTTCCAGGTCAAAATTCTATTATTTCTATTTGTCTCAACTTCTACCTATAAATTTTGAGAATTCCTAGGTATGTTCATATTAATACACAGAAGTTGTCAATTTGGTCTTTAATGGGGTGCTAATCCTTTTCCTGCATTACGCTGTTGATTTAAGACCCAATGTGAAGCTAATACAAGTAAAATCCTATTAACAGTTATTCTAGACCAGTGCTGTCCAATAGCAATATGATACAAGCCAAAAATACAAACCACAAATAAAATTTAAAATTTTCTAGTAACTACATTAAATTACATTATTTAAATCTTTACATTATTAAAATTACATTATTAAATGTAGTTAAAATCTATTTTAACTACATTAAAATAGTAAAAAAAGGGTGAAATTAATTTTAATATCTATTTAACACAATGTGTCCAAAATAGTTTCAATATGTAATTAGTATAAAACAATGATTAAGATGTTATTCTTTTATAAAAATTGTCTTCAAAATCCAATGTGTATTTACACTTAACAGTATATCTCAATTTGGACTAGCCACATTTCAAGTGCTTAACAGCCTTACGTGGCTAGTTAGTGGCTGCTGTATTGAGAGCACAGTTTTAAAGCCTTGATATTCAGTGTGGTCCATGGACCAGTAGCACTGGAATCAAGAGGAAGCTTGTCAGAAATGCAAATCCTTGGAATCATAATATGCATTTCAACAAGCACTCCAGGTGATTTGTATGGACATCATGTTTGAGAAGCACTATTCTAGGAGTATTCAAATTCTTTTTCTCAAATTCTTTTTCAGTGAAACTTTGTCTTGAATATTTTTGTAACGTCTACATTTCTAATATGTACAAGCTTTTAATATGTGTATGCTTGCTGGGTCCCTCACCCCTGTATTTTAAGATAACCTTTTTTTTTTTTAGTTACAAAAGCATAACTTGTTCATACTATAGAAACATTAGAAAATACAAATAAGCAAAAATAAAATAGGCCAGATAGGGTGGCTCACGCCTGTAATCCCAGCACTTTGGGAGGCCGAGGCAGGTGGATCGCTTGCGCTCAGGAGTTCAAGACCAGCCTGGGCAAGATGGCAAAACCCATCTCTACAAAAAATACAAAAAATTAGCCAGGCATGGTGATATGGGCCTCTAGTCCCAACTACTCAGGAAGCTGATGTGGGAGGATAGCTTGAGCCTGGGAGGTCGAGGCTGCAGTGAGCTGAGATTGCACCACTGCACTCCAGCCTGGGCAACAGACACTGTCTCAGACCAAAAAAAAAAGAAAGAAAAAAATAAAATAAAAGACATTTATAGCTCCACCAGCCAGAGATAACTACTATTGACATTTTTGGTGTTTATCCTTCTATTCTCTAAAATGTTGTTTACTTCTTAATTATACAATACAGAAATATATTATAAATAATTCAAACAGCAACCCATAAACTAAGGTCTCAAATCACTTCACCAAATTTAGTCCCTTCTTAGAGGTAATTGCCATTATAAGTTTGAAGTATATTCTTTCACATCTTGTTCTAGGCATTTAAATAAATTTATATAACCCAGAGATACACATGAACTTACACACATGTATATGGATGACATTTGTTTTGTTTTTAGAAAAACATTTAACTTGACTTTTCTATTACATATGTATCAGGTACATTTATTCAACATCATTTTTTAAAAACGTTAGTATACTTTTTAAAAAAGTATATTGAGTATACACAGTATATTGTATATTGAGTATGTACAGTAAAATTAACCTTTTTTAGCATTCAGTCCCATGAGTTTTGATGAATGCATACAATAATGCAACCATCACGATCAAGATATAGAACAGGTCCATCACCCTCAAACTGTCTTTGTGCCTGATTGTAGTTTAGAGGCACTTGCTCCTTCTCCAGCAATCACTGAACTATTTTCAATCCCTACAGTTTTGCCTTTTTTGGTTTTTTTTGGAGACAGAGTCTCACTCTGTCGGCCAGGCTGGAGTGCAGTGGCACGATCTCGGCTCACTGCAACCTCCATCTCCCAGGCTCAAGCAATTCTCCTGCCTCAGTCTCCAGAATAGCTGGGATTACAGGGGTGTGCCACCATGCCCAGCTAATTTTTGTATTTTTAGTAGAGATGGGGTTTCACCATGTTGGCCAGGCTGGTCTCAAACTCCTGACCTTAGGTGATCTGCCCACCTTGGCCCCCTACAAAGTGCTAGGATTACAGGCGTGAGCCACTGGGCCCAGCCCAGTTTTGCCTTTTCTACAATGCTACATAAATGGAATCATACATTTGCTTTTTGAGCCTGGCTTCTTTCACTCAGCCTAATGCTGCTGCAATTCATCCATGTTTTCTGCATATATTTGTAATTTGGTCCTTTTTATTGCTCAGTAGTATTCTATTCTATGGATGTACATTATATGAATGTTCGTTGATCTGTTTACCAGTTGATAGACAATAGGGTTGTTTCCAGTTTTTGGTAGTTATGAATAAAGTTGATATAAACATTGAATTTCAGGTTTTTGAGTACATACATATGAGTGAGACTGCTAATAGAAGACATCTTTTTTAATGGCTGCATTTTACTTCAGGACTGAAATGTATATGTACATTTATTCATTCAATCAACAAATATTAAATACTTACACTATAGTAGATAATGAGAGTACAGTGAACATACTGTTGGTCAGTGTTAGTCCTAATCCTCATGGAATTTGCTTTTAGGCAAACTCCTATAAATAGGCATATAAATTACTTCCAATTCCCCCATCATACACAATTAATTTTTTTTACCTCAATTCTATCATTACCAATCATCTGCCATTTTTCCCAATATTTTCCTAGGAGTTTTCAAGGAAACAAATGAGGTCCTAGGCAGTAGTCTTGGTTGAGAGAGCTGCATATCTCTAAGAATGGCACTATATTGGAGATGGGGCGGTCGACTAGTCCCAGGAAGCTGTTGCAATTTGATGTAGGGAACCTGCGATCATCATTCATAGTCCTAGGACAGTTGTTTTCAAAATTTAGTATACATCAGAATCTTGTTGAAACACAGATTTCTGGGCTCCACTTCTCATTCTGCAGGTCTGGGATGGGGTCCAAGAGTCTGTGTGTGTGTATATATATAATTTGAGATGGAGTCTCGCTCTGTTGCCCAGGCTGGAGTGCAGTGGCGTGATCTTGACTCACTGCAAACTCCGCCTCCTGGGTTCACGCCATTCTCCCGCCTCAGCCTCCCAAGTAGCTGGGACTACAGGCGCCTGCCACCATGCCCTGCTAATTTTTTGTATTTTTAGTAGAGACGGGTTTTCACCGTGTTAGCCAGGATGATCTCGATCTCCTGACCTCGTGATCCGCCTGCCTCAGCCTCCCAAAGTGCTGGGATTACAGGTGTGAGCCACCATGCCCGGCCAAGAGTCTGTATTTTCAACAAGTTCCCAGGTGAGGCTAATGCTGCTTGTCCCAGGAACATACTTTGAGAACTGTTCTAAGTTATTTCTGGCAGTTTCTGAGCCTGATAATCTTAAACTTGGATGCTCTTTCATCTCCTGTCAGGAATTCGGAGATCTAGAAGTATTAACAGCTATCTTTGAAGTTACTGACGTAGAAAAAAACTCCTGTGGGCCAGGGACTCCTCTGCAGGATCACCTGACAATTGTAGTTCTTCAAGACTTTATTTTCATTTCTCTTATCATCTTCAGGTAGGTTCTTCCCTGAGTTACACGAGTTGGCAGGGTGGCATGTTATCTGGCACCTCTCAGCACCACAAACAGCACAGAAGGGCTTCCTGCTTTGAAGGATTCTACTAGAGCAGGGTCTTAATATCAAACTTAAGAGTTACATCCTCTAGGTTAGAGGTGGCTAGGTTTCCTAGGTGGGAAGCCTTGTGAAAGTTCTGGGGTATTCACCTGAGACTTCAGAAGGGCTAGGGGGAATATGCTTACCCTGGATTTAGGGGTAGGGGGAGTCTTGGGCACATGAGCTGGCTGCAGGGGCCAGGTCCCACAGGCAGAGGAGCCACAGTTGCTTGTCATTGTTGGTGAGTATAAAGCTAACTGCAGTAAAAGGCTTTTTGGTTTCCTTCCCTTAGCTAGTTTGATGGGCAGGTTTAGTGAAGGGATCCCTGGTTTCATTCCCCTCATAAGAGGTTTCAAATCAGTTTTACCATTCACTAGCTCCACCACCAACTAATTAGTTCTTGGGAAATTTCCTCATCTGTAAAATGAGGACAATCCCCCTACCTCTCAGGGTTATTGTGAAGAATAATGAATAAATGAATAATAAATGAATATAGTAACATATGTAAAGTAGTTAGTGTGGTACCTGACACACAGTAGGCCCTTCTTTATCTAACGGGAACATGGATCCCACGTGGGGAAGCTGCAGTACGCCATTCTGTGGGAACTCCAGTTGCCTCATCACAAAGTATGCCTAATTCTCCCATATAAGGGTACTGACATTACTGTCTTTGAAAAATGAGACTAACTAGCTTTGGGGGCCTGCTGTTAAGTCACTCACAAGAACATGCATTTTCTGGAGGACATGTAAGATTGGAGCCTATATTAGCTGACAGGATAAGAGCCACACCACATTAGCACTTGAAGACTTGCAGGATCTAGGACAACTATTCACAATATGGAACTTTCGTTTTTGAGCTAGAAGGAACAGGGCTGATTTATTTCAATCACTCATTCTACAGATTATCCTGGGAGGTTAAGTAACCTGCTCGGTGTCAGAGAACATTGTAATATTTAGGGTTCCTCTGAGCAGGTCTTGTTTTCAGCCACTCCATTCTTTCTGAATTTTGCCCCTTTTGTCAGTAAAGCACTTCCTCTATTACCTTTTTATTTTATATATACATACACAAAATGAGGAGAAATTCATTAGCACCATTTTGTGGCTCCATAATCTTGCTTAGAAAAGGATTTTGGAAGAGTACAAATGTAAGGTAAGTTGGAAGAGAATGTAGGTTGGTGAGACAGAAGCACTGGCACTCCTCTCTGCTCCCATCTGTCATTCCCAGATACTCTAAAAGGTTATACTACTTATAGGTTTACTATAAGCATTATTCCAACAACCTGATTTTAGCTAGTTGGCAGTTTAGTACCTATGCTTATATTCCAATTTTATGTTTTAACATTCAGGAATCTTTTCTTGATGCCTTAGACATGTCTTAGCCAGTGAAAATAATTTTTCCCCATATCAGTAACTTAAGACAATCAGCCCTCTTTTTAAAAAGTCTATGAAACATAAGCTTTAGGTATATCACAGAGTATTTGTTTTATAAAGGGAGGTTTCCTTTCTGTTCTTTTAAAAAATAAGCTTAAAAAAAAAAGCACAAACAAACTCTGTCAGCAGAGAAAGTGGTAAATAATTTCAGAATGGTATGGGAGAGTAGACTCTTGTCCCCCAACACTCAGTGTTCCCATTACATTTGCTGAGAGCTAAGGAGCCCTCACAGACAAGATACCTATTACAGGAGAGCTTGACTCCTCAACTCCCCCTAGCAGAGGAATAATTTCGGAAGAGTATACATGAAGTATACTATGTCCCCCGACTGTTTACTCTGAGTTCCTGCTACTTTTGCTGAGAGAGCTAAGGACCCATCACAGACAAAATCCCTATTACAAGATAACTCGACTACCCATTTTCAACAGAGAGGAAGATGAGTGGTGGTATTCCCTAGAATTCTAATTGCAAAAGAGGCATTTTTCTGGCCGAGTGTGGTGGCTCACACCTATAATCCCAGCACTTTGGGAGGCTAAAAGCAAACTTGAGGCCAGGAGTTTGAGACCAACCTGGGTAACAAAGCAAGACCCCTCCTCTAAAAAAAGAATTAAAGAAAAAAAATTTTAAAAAATTAGCCAGGCATTGTGGTGTGCACCTGTAGCCCTAGCTACTCAGGAGGCTGAGGCAAGAGGATCACTTGAGCCTAGGAGTTAGAGGCTGTAGTGAGTTATGATTGTGCCACTGCACTCCAGCCTGGGCGACAGAATGAGAGTCTAATTTAAAAAAAAAAAAGAAAAGAAAAAAAAATTTTTTTTTGAGACGTAGTTTCACTCTTGTTGCCCAGGCTAGAGTGCAGTGGCGTGATCTCGGCTCACAGCAACATCCGCCTCCCGGGCTCAAGAGATTCTCCTGCCTCAGCCTCCCAAATAGCTGGGATTACAGACATGCGCCACCACGCCTGGCTAATTTTATATTTTTAGTAGAGATGGGGTTTCTGCATGTTGGTCAGGCTGGTCTCAATCTCCCAACCTCAGGTGATCTGCCCACCTTGGCCTCCCAAAGTGCTGGGATTACAGGCGTTAGCCACCGTGCCCAGCCAGAAAAAAATTTTTTTAAAAGAGGCATTTTCTCATTGAAACAATGTTAAAAATGATGGGTAAGTTTCCCTAAACTATGAATTAGATAAGTTATGGAGAGCTGGCCTGAAAACCTAGTAGCCATTTTAAGATTGTTTCTATGAAAAACACATTTGTAGGTCCAAAAATTGGCTTACCACCAAATTTTTGAAATATATTCTATCATAGATTAGGAAATGGAGGGATTTTTAAAAATTTTCATGTACACAAATTCTTTCAAGTGGGGTTTCTGTTCCAAGATGGCCAAATAGGAACAGCTCCGATCTGCAGCTCCCAGCATGACTGACGCAGAAGACAGGTGATTTCCGCATTTCCAACTGAGGTACCTGGTTCATCTCATTGGGACTGGTTGGACAGTGGGTGCAGCCCACGGAGGGCAAGCCAAAGCAAGGCGGGGCATCACCTCACCTGGGAAGCGCAAGGGGTTGGGGGATTTCCCTTTCCTAGCCAAGGGAAGCAGTGACAGACTGTACCTGGAAAAATGGGACACTTCTGCCCTAATACTGCACTTTTCCCACGGTCTTAGCAACCAGCAGACCAGGAGATTTTCTCCTGTGCCTGGCTCAGTGGGTCCCATGCCCACAGAGCCTTGCTCACTGCTAGCGCAGCAGTCTGAGATCAACCTGCGAGGCTGCAGCCTGGCTGGGGGAGGGGCGTCCACCATTACTGAGGCTTGAGTAGGTAAACAAAGCGGCCAGGAAGCTCCAACTGGGCAGAGCCCAGTGCAGCTCAGCACTGTCTACTGCCTCTATAGACTTCACCTTTGTGGGCAGGGCATAGCTAAACAGAAGGCAGCAGAAACTTCTGCAGACTTAAATGTCCCTGTCTGACAGCTCTGAAGAGAGCAGTGGTTCTCCCAGCATGGTGTTTGAACTCTGAGAACGGACAGGCTGCCTCCTCAAGTGGGTCCCTGACCCCCATGTAGCCTAACTGGGAGACATCTGCAGTAGGGGCCAACAGACACCTCATACAGGTGGGTGCCCCTCTGGGATGAAGCTTCCAGAAGAAGGATCAGGCAGCAATATTTGCTGTTCTGCAGGCTCCGCTGGTGATACCCAGGCAAACAGGGTCTGGAGTGGACCTCCAGCAAACTCCAACAGTCCTGCAGCTGACGGACCTGTTAGAAGGAAAACTAACAAACAGAAAGGAATAGCATCAACATCAACAAAAAGGACATCTACACCAAAACCCCATCTGTAGGTTACCAACATCAAAGACCAAAGGTAGATAAAACCACAAAGATGGGGAGAAACCAGAGCAGAAAAGCTGAAAATTCTAAAAACCGGAGCGTCTCTTCTCCTCCAAAAGATCACAGCTCCTCGCCAGCAATGGAACAAAGCTGGATGGAGAATGACTTTGATGAGTTGACAGAAATAGGCTTCAGAAGGTCGGTAGTAACAAACTTCTCTGAGCTAAGGGAGCATGGTCTAACCCATCGCAAGGAAGCTAAAAACCTTGAAAAAAGGTTAAACGAATGGCTAACTAGAATAAACAGTGTAGAGAAGACCTTAAATGATCTGATGAAGCTGAAAAGCATGGCACGAGAACTTCGTGATGCATGCACAAGCTTCAATAGCCGATTCGATCAAGTGGAAGAAAGGGTATCAGTGATTGAAGATCAAATTAATTTGAAATAAAGCAAGAAGACAAGTTTAGAGAAAAAAAGAGTAAAATGAAACGAACAAAGCCTCCAAGAAAATATGGGACTTACATGAAAAGACCAAATCTATGTCTGATTGGTGTACCTGAAAGTGACGGGGAGAATGGAAGCAAGTTGGAAAACACTCTTCAGGATATTATCCAGGAGAACTTCCCCAACCTACCAAGGCAGGCCAACAGTCAAATTCAGGAAATACAGAAAATACCACAAAGATACTCCTCGAGAACAGCGACCCCAAGACACATAATTGTCAGATTCACCAAGGTTGAAGTGAAGGAAAAAATGTTAAGGGCAGCCAGAGAGAAAGGTTGGGTTACCCACAAACGGAAGCCCATCAGACTAACAGTGGATCTCTCAGCAGAAACCCTACAATCCAGAAGAGAGTGGGGGCCGATATTCACACATTCTTAAAGAAAAGAATTTTCAACCCAGAATTTCATATCCAGCCAAACTAAGCTTCATAAGTGAAGGACAGATAAAATCCTTTACAGACAAGCAAATGCTGAGAGATTTTGTCACCACCAGGCTTGCCTTACAAGAGCTCCTGAAGGAAGCACTAAACATAGAAAGGAACACCGGTACCAGCCACTGCAAAAACATGCCAAATTGTAAAGACCATCAATGCTATGAAGAAACTGCATCAATTAATGGGCAAAATAACCAGCTAACATCATAATGACAGGATCCAATTCAAACATAACAATATTAACCTTAAATGTAAATGGGCTAAATGCCCCAATTAAAAGACACAGACTAGCAAATTGAATAAAGAGTCAAGACCCATCAGTGTGCTGTATTCAGGAGACCCATCTCACATGCAGAGACACACATAGGCTCAAAATAAAGGGATGGAGGAAGATCTACCAAGAAAATGGAAAGCTAAAAAAAGCAAGGGTTGCAATCCTAGTCTCTGACAAATTATTTCAAGTGCACATTAAGCAACAAGCATTTTTTGAGTTCCTGAACATCTGTTGCATCAACAATCACAGTACCTGTACTAACATATTACTAAAGACTCAAACAAAACTTGGAGGTTCATGTTATTTGCTTTATTTCTGTATATGTTAACAGTTTTTCATTAAAAAAATTTTTTAAAACTCTTCAAACATAAATTCCATGAATCCACAAAAGATCAACTTAGGCTGAAATTGGGTGGCAATGTAAATAAAGAACCTCTAATAAAAAGAAAAATCTTGAATTTTGAATTGCATCCACAATATAGACAGCAAACCAACTATCAAAATGTTGAAAACATTTGAAATAATGCATCTATATTGGATCTTCCAAAATCTCACATAACTATTGTTCACAATTAAGAATGCCTTTCAAATGGTTACATGTGACTTTTTTTTTTTTTTTTTGAGATGGAGTCTCGCTCTGTCGCCCAGGCTGGAGTGCAGTGGCACAATCTTGGCTCACTGCAACCACCACCTTCCAGGTTCAAGTGATTCTCCCGCCTCAGCCTCCCAAGTAGCTGGGATTATAGGTGCTTGCCACCATGTCTGGCTAATTTTTGTATTTTTAGTAGAGATGGGGTTTCGCCATGTTGGCCAGGCTGGTCTCAAACTCCTGACCTCAGGTGATCCACCCACCTCGGCCTCCCAAAGTGCTGGGATTACAGGCATGAGCCACTGTGCCGGGCCTTTTTTTGTATTTTTAGTAGAGACAGGGTTTCACCATGTTAGGCAGGATGGTCTATATCTCCTGACCTCATGATCTGCCCGCCTTGGCCTCCCAAAGTGCTGGGATTACAGGCATGAGCCACCATACACGTGACATTTTAAAGAATCAATATACACCATAAGTAAAACTGAATTGAGGCAAATCTTACTAAATTTGGCACAAATGAAAGATCTCTGTTAAGTCTCTGAAGATATTATTTAATTTTAGCTCTTTAATCTCAACTCTGATATTTTATGATTCAATTACCAATTAGTACTTTCAGAACCATACAGCAAAATATATATTCCCATTAATTTTTCAAATGTCTAAACACTGACTACTTTTATATATTTCCATATTATCTAAAAATCCATTGTAATTAATATAGAAAGGAAAATTCATCTTTTTAAGTATCTCTTTTTAGTATATTTATCTTTTTAAGACGTAGCTTAATAAAAGTCTGCTGGGCTTCCTAAGATATAATTTTATTAAATTCAGAGTTGAAACTTTTACTCTTTAGATATCTACAGTTAACTAATAAATTTTCTATAACATACTTTCATATCTTTTATAAACAGAATATTTTTAAAACCCACAATTGCATGATATAAAAGAAAACAATAATTAAGTAGACAAAATAATAAATGAAATATGATATGGCTTCTGCTAGGTACCTATGAGTTTTACAGAATAATCATTTCAACAGATGTCCTTAGAGAACAAAGGAGAATGAGAAAATGAAAAAGTGGGGGTGGCATGGAAGATATTTTGTTATCTTCTACTGTGTGGTCTTTCACTGCACTATACTTTAAACAGAAAAAGGCCTCCTCAAGGGCAAGTCCTGCTTCAAATGTCCCCTTCCCCTCCTGACTACAGAATAATGTGTTTGTGTAGTATACGATTACACCAGACAAGACTGTGAACACATGTGATTTACTCAATGATCCTATTCTGCTTCCTTTTAAAGATAAAGAATGCATTTAAGTCGATTGTGTGTGAGACTGTGGTAATTCCTTAGAAGCCTCCATTCAAACAGAGAATAATATTACCTTATTTTAAAACATTAAGAGCATAGCTATTTTCCTGGTCTTCATTTTCCTTCCAGACAACAACATTAATACTTTCATTTATTTTAGAATAGACAAGTGTAACACGAGTGATTATTTTAAAACAGTTTTAATTTTTCTTTGTATAAGCAAGATGCCCCCATAAAACATTCACTTTTCAAAAACCTTTATATGCAAATAACTTACAAAAATCTGTGTAAGATAAAAGAAACAACTAAAACCAGACAGGCACCACCACCACAGATCCTAATAGCAGGCCAGATCAAGATGCAGATCTCCTGAAAACAAGCTGCTCACATTCCCAGAACCACAACCCCCTGGGGGTGGAATCTTGTCTTCTTTAACTCGCTGGGTGGTAGAGCCCATAGGAATTACTCAAACTATGAAAATCCCAAAGCATGGTCACCTACAGGGAAATGAGACAGATATGACTTGAGCATAATTATTTTCTTCTAATAACAGTTAAAGAAAACAACCTTAAATAGTAAAAGTTGTGTGAGCTTCAACAGGTAGATAATTGTGTTTGTTTTTACCAAACATAGCATTTGTTAGCTTACCAAGGAGGAAAATATACAATGTATTGTTGCCATTTTTTCTTTAAAATAATATTCTCTAGGGCACACATATATAGTGATTATAGATACACTTAACCAGACATAGTGTTCTTGGTATTTCACATGGTTTATTTCATTTAATCTTCACAATAACCTTATGAGGTAAGAACCAATTTTTTTTTTTTTTTTTTTGAGACACAGTCTCGCTCAGTCGCCCGGGCTCGAGTGCAATGGCGTGATCTTGGCTCACTGCAACCTCTGCCTCCCAGGTTCAAGCGATTCTCCTGCCTCAGCCTCCCAACTACCTGGGATTACAGGCGCATGCCACCATGCCTGGCTAAATTTTGTATTTTTAGTGGAGACGGGGTTTCACCATGTTCGCCAGGCTAGTCTCGACCTCCTGACCTCAAGTGATCCACCTGCCTCAGCCTCCCAAAGTGCTGGGATTACAGACATGAGCCACTGTGCCCGGCCCCAAGAACCATCATTATTACTATTTTTCAAATAAAGAGCGAAGACACAGGGAAGTTAAATTACTTGGCCAAGATCACACAACCAGAATTCAAAACCAAGTATCTTGTCTCCAGAGCTCTTACTTTTAATTTAGTAAAAGTAAATGTGAAATTGGATTTTTAACCCCGTTATCATACAGAACCATTCCTCCAAGATTGTAAATTCTGAGTTTCTTCCCTGTGAACTTCTACCTCTTTGACTCATTGTGACTGCCAAACTCTCAGTCCCTTCTAATTCATCTTCTGGTTTCACCTGCTTTCATTTACAGCCTGGACTCTAGTCATTTCAATTATGCCCAAATCTCCTGCTCAGTCCTCACCAGCTAGAGCCAAACCAAAGTGGTCCCTTGTACCAGCAATCTCTGCTATTACTCTTCTTAGCAGTGATTCAATCAAGAAAAGTCATGCTGCTTCTTTTTAAGTGAGTTCACTACTGCTCAGCAATCCTTTCACTGACACTACACAGCATCTATAGCAGCGGTTCCGAACTTTTTCTAGGACTAAATCCCTGAATATACCCATCTATCCCTTTATAGATTACTTTACCATGGATTTATTTAAAATTCATCCGAAGTAGGGTTGCCATATAAAATACAGGATGCCTAGTTAAATTTGAATTTACAATAATAAAGAAAAATTTTAGTTTAAAGTTATGTCCCAAATATAGAAACACGTAAATAGTATTTAAGATAACAAAAAATACCAAATGTACCGAGCCAAATATTGCATGAGACATACTTAAATACTAAAAAAAATTGTTCATCTAAAATTCAATTTTAACTGGGCATCTTGGATTTTAATTTGTTAAATTTAATCCAATCAAATTCCCTTCTTTCCATTCCCAGAAGTATCTTTTCTGTTTTCAAAGGTTAATTCTCTGAACTTTTATTTGTCTTTCTCCTTACTTCTCTTTCTTCCTCATTCTACATATTCCTTCTTTGTACTTTCAAGCATGTTCGGGTCATCTCTACTGTGTGTTGTTTTGAGACAGGGTCTTGCTTTGCTGCCTCCCATGCTAGAGTGCAATGGTGCAATCATAGCTCACTGAAGCCTCAAATTCCTGGGCTCAAACAATCCTCCCGCCTCAGCCTTCCCAGTAGGTGGGACTACAAGCACGTGCCATCACACCTGGCTAATTTTAAATTTTTTTTGGAGAGACAGGGTCTCCCTATGTTGCCCAGACTGGTCTCAAACTCCTGGGCCCTCCCATCTCGGCCTCTCAAAGTGTTGGGATTATAAGCAAGAGTCACCACTCCTGGCCTCCTACTGTGGTATTAAGCGTCCCAATTCTTCATCCCTCTATGAATCCATGCCCTTTGCCATGTCACTTTGCAAGTTCTCTAAAGAGGAGAATTCTGTTTCTCTGCTCCTTGAATACGGGCTTGGCCACATAAATTGCTTTGGTCACTAGAATGAGGGAGAAGTGCTAGTGTCAGTTTGGAGTCCATGTGTTTGTGTTTGCCGCCACCCCCAATTTTTTTTTCTTTTTTTGGGAGAGTCTCACTCTGTCGCCCAGGCTGGAGTGCAGTGGCGCAAACAGGTTCAGGTGATTCTCCTGCCTCAGCCTCCCGAGCAGCTGGGACTACAGGCATGTGCCACCACACCCGGCTACGTTTTGTATTTTTAGTAGAGACGGGGTTTTACCATTTTGGCCAGGCTGGTCTCGAACTCCTGACCTCAGGTGATCCGCCCGCCTCGGCCTCCTAAAGTGCTGGGATTATAGGTGTGAGCCACCGCGCCCAGCCTCTGTTTGCCCTCTTCAACACTTCTTCCATCTTCATGAGAAAGATATGCCTAAGTGAGCTGGACAGTCACAGAAGGAGGATGATAGGTAAGTGTCCAGCCTAGAGCAAAGCTCCCAGTAGGTCTGCTGATGTATGAGCAAGCCCAGCTGGGAGGAGCCAACCCTCAGACATGTGAGCTATAATAATAATTATTGTCTTAAGCCACTTTAGAGTGTTTGTTATACAGCAAAACCTAAATGATGCATCTACCCTGAAAAACCTCATCCTGACCATATTATTCTAAGTCCCTTTGTTGTATTCCCAAACTGCTGCAAAAAGTATCCTTTAGTTTTTGCTTGTATTCCTTTGCATTTACTCTTATCTGTACCACTTCTCTTTTAACTGACACCAAAATTCTCCTAATGGTCAGTCTTACAGCTTTGGCATGATCCTCATCCATGCTGGCCTCTGTACAGCACCTGACACTATAGGTCATTTCATACCACTGTTAAATTTCTCCCGCTTTTATTGTACTCCACTAGTTTTTATTTCTTTGATTGTTCCATTTACTTCAAGGGCTCATCTTCTCTCTTCCACTCTTCTAGGGAGTTTATTCATTCTCTCAAGAGTGACTGTTATGTATCTGACTTACACATCTTTATTTCTACTCCTAATCTCTATTTCAAGCTCTAGTTCAGTTGGTCCTCAAACTGCAGTGTGCATCAGAATCACTTGGACGGCTTGTTAATATTCAGATTGCTGGGGCCTCACTCCCAGTTTCCTATTCAGTAAGTCTGGGATGGGACCTGTTAATTTTCATTTTTAGTAAGTTCCCAGGTGATGCTGATGCTGCATCAGTGACCACACCTTGAGAACCACACTTCTAGTTCCATATTTCCAACTCCCTAACAGTTTTCTCCTAGTTATCCATAAGTGCTTCAAATATCACATACAATGTCAATTAGGGTAGTTTTTGTTTTGTTTTGTGTTGTTTTTAATACTGTAACCACTAGTAACTAACAGTCTAACTAATGCAAAAGAAAGATTTATCAGGAAGCTCACTAAAGACTGCAGAACCATGTTCCAAATAAAAAGATAACCAGAAACTAGACTACTTGACAGTAGGAGCATTACCCCTAAGTCTGAAGTAAACTGAGTGTTTGTTGTTTTTGAATCCCTCAGTTCAAAAGTCAATTCCAAATGAGAGTCACCTATCTATCCCTTCGTTGTACCAAGGGAGAGACAGAAAGGATTATGGTGGAAGTAGCCACCAAGGACTCCTTTTCTTTCACATTGTCTTAGTTCAGGCCCTCTTAATTAAGCAGGTAGATTACTACGACAGCCTCTTAACTAGTTTTCTTGCCCCTAACATAACCTCCAATTCATTCTCCACATCATCTTCAGTTATCTCTTTAAGACACATGTCATTTTCTTCTTTGCCTTATCTGGTGCAGTATTCATGTCTTATCTTGTTTTAAGTAATAAATTGCTTTTCTCCATATACAAGTGGTTGCAATATTTTTGCCTTAGCTGACACAAAAAATGGAAAAGCAGTTTGAGAGGGTAGGAAACACAGCCCATTGTAAACTGAGGATCTAATCACCTAGTAATCAGGCAAGAGTCAGAAGCAGAGTACCAAATTTTGGATAGAGACCCCTCAAGGAGGCTTTAAGATATCAAGTCTCTCACTAGACTGAAAACTCCCTCATGGCAAGGATCTAGTTCTCACTCTTTCCCCAGCACCTAGCTCAGCACCTCACAAATAACAAGATTTAATGACATGAAGAAAGTCATCTCCAGACCCTCCCCTACTTTAAATTACTAGCTTACAGTCTCTGCCTGCATATCACCTCACCACCAAATCCTTCCTACATACCACTGCTAAATCAAGCCAATTATCATTTCATTTCCTGCTCAAAACCTTCTGACTGTCCAATACATGCTCGCCAACTCTAAACTCTTCACCATTCAAAGCCTTCCAGAACTTGGTTCTAACCAATTTTTCTAAGCTTTCTTCCACTCCTCATTACACTGTCAGTCTGGATAAATAAGGTTTAACATAACATTTTTCCTGTTCTTGTTGGTTCCAGTTTTTGTAGTATCTGTCTTCCATGATGTCTCCCCTATCTTACCGTCAAAATCTAGTTAAGATGCCACCTGTCAGTGACCTACCACTCTAGGTTATTGGTAACGTATCCTCGTACCCTATGCTCCTTAATTACTTAAGGATCTATTTGAAGCTTTTGTTAATTACTGTCCTGTTCGTATATATAACTTCTAGTAGTTGAACACATACTATCTTAAATTATAATTATGTAGTTGTATTATTTGTCCTACCAGATTTTAAGAGACTTAAGAGCTTTCTGCCACTAATCTTCTATATCCCCAGAAACTTCTGTAGTGCCTTATACATAGTGGGCAATAAGTAAAATCTGTTAAAAAGATGAATAAATGGATGTTTATAATACAGCACTAGTGTTTGGGGCTGGTCCCTTGAGGTAGCCAGCCTGTGACTGTGCCAGGGATTTCTGAGCTGCTGAAATCAGAGGGTAATAAATCCTGGCAGCTTGGAACTGGATGGTGAGTCTAAATCAAAGATCATCAGGTTGAATGGAGATTCAAATGCCAGGAACAAGCATCAAGTGAAAAGGTCCAAAAGACAGAACCTGAGATGAAATGTAGAGCAAAGGGTATGGAATCAGGCAGAGACACAGTAAAGGCAACAGTCGTCATAACATATTGATGAGGATCTGAATGGTGGACTTTGGAGCGGGGGCCATGCAGTGCACTCATCAAGGTGAGTGGTTTGTTGGTAAAATAATCACCTAAAAATTGGAAGTTAGGTTGGCATCCAATTATCATCTCTAGCAAAGAAACACATATATGAAAATAAAAAATTTATAATAGCAAATATAGAGAAATTAAATAGAACCTGCTTTGAGAGGTGGATTTCATTTGAGCTTCATTTTGTTGCTTCTGCCCTGTCACCTTAATTTGTTTCACACATTTGCACAAGTTCACATACAAGTTGTATTTTTTGATTCCTTTATATTATGGAAAAAGAAAAACACATTTTAAAAGAGATAACATCACAGCACCCAACATCAATACAAAAACTCAGAACTTATTTTTACTGTATTTTTTAGATTTTTAATCTTTCAGCGAAGCTGCAATAACAGTGTACATAATAACCACTGATTTTTCTACATGAACTGTTCACAGACTAGAAAATTCTGAGATTTTATAAAAGTTTAAAAATCCTTAAAAATGTTTAAAAAACCCTAATTATGAGAAGTACATATTCTGTTATCAAAAATCCTAAAAAGTTTAATTCCAACAGCTACCTTGCCCTATAAAACATTTGTTTGCCTGTCAATCTGTGAGGTTGGATCGAGCAACTCTGTCCCACACAGCGTTTTCTTGTACTCATTAGTAGTAAGCATTGTGGCAAAGACTAATGTCCTCATGAAAAAGACAGCAAAATTCACTTTAAGTTCTTCTGTACAGGTGCAATAGTCCTCTGAATAAATTGTAAAAATTAAAAAAAAATTTTTTTTTGACACGATCTCACTCTGTTTCCCAGGCTGGAGTGCAGCGGTGTGATCATGGCTCACTGCAGCCTTGATCTCCTGGGCTCAAGCAATCCTTCCACCTCAGCCTCCCCAGTAGCTGGGACCACAGGTGCACACCACCACACCTGGCTAGTTTTTTTATTATTATTTATGGAGATAGAGTCTCACTATGTTGTCCAGGCTGGTCTCAAACTCCTGGCTTCAAGGGATTCTCCCACCTCAGCCTCCCAAAGTGCTGAGATTACAGATGTAAGCCACCATACCTGGCCGGAATTTTGTTATTTTGATTTAAATGCTGAATGAAGTAAGTTTTAAAGCCTATATTATTCTTCCTGATATAACTGACAGAAGGATAAGTTCTCATATTAGGTTCTTTAAAAGTTAATATATTTGGTGGCAACACAGAAGAATAGGAAGATCGCTTACCAAGGAGGTAGGTAACCTGGATCTCACTTACTCTATGGGGTCTTAGGCAAGTCATTTACTTTCTCTGAGTCTCAATTTCTTCATTATAAAATCTAAAGACTTGGATTATTTCAATGGTCTTGACAGGAAGACTGCACTGGAATTGCCTGTGGGCATTCTGACTTGGTAGATATGAGAAGAAAGGGCCTAGATAAATGTATCTTTACAACGTCTCATAAATGATTCTGATGCATATTACTGGTTAAGAACCAATGGTATAAATAATTTCTTGGGTTATTTGAAATTCTAAGAATCTACTTTTTACATCCAATCAACGGAATTTTTAAAACTCCTACCTTTCACTATTACATCATTCTTCTTGATGAATAAGTATATTTTAGGAAATGGAGAAGCTGCCTCTAAATTGTGAATAGCTTACTGTTATTGAGTGCTTAGCAGTCTAAGGTGTTAACTCATTTAATATATGTAATTCAATCTTCACAACAACACTAAGAGGTAGGTACTACTATTATTATCTGTTTATTACAGACAGGAAAAATGAGGCACAGAAAGTAATTTGCCCAAGTTATGGAGCAGGTAAGTAGGGAAATTGGGCTGCAGAGTTTAAACACCAGAATGCTCTACTATTATTCAATAAATGACCTATATATACCAATAAGCCCCATCACTATTCCCCACCCGAATAGTGCTGTTTTCCCTGCTACTACAGGGGAAAAAAGGGGTATGTTTTTAGACAATCTTTGAGAGCAGAAGGGAGAAGCTGGGAAACTCAAGAATGAAAAAACTCAAGGGACCTGGGCCTAAGACCTCTGGCCCTGAATTACAACTAGAGACTACTTTGATTTACAAAAGCCTCTTTAAATAGGGTGACTATTTTTAGGAGTTATTTTCCTTCAGTTATCATTTCATCCCATGATGTCTAAGACATGCTCTTTTTGATTGAATAAATATTAATTTTAAAAAATATTAGAAATGTACCTTATCAGATGAACTAGACCCAAAACTGTAAAGCAAAACAGGAAAGGATAAAAGCTATGTTAGAGTCAAAGGGAATGATAATCAAATGATTCAGCCTATTGTTAATTTTGGGTATGCAAAGGAGAATTATAACACCATACTTTGGCATAAGGTAGAGATTAATCCATAACACGGTATAACCTTCCCTTCCCAACAGTATTAGATGGGCTGTCTACTTGGGTGATGAATTTACTCAGGATGAGGGCAGGAATTCAGGTGAAGGAGAAAGACTGTAAGCCAAGTGTCAAAGTCTTTAACATCTTTAATAAATTAAGTCTTGAAAGACTATGAATATGCTAAGTACAGGGGAGCAGATATTCTAGAATGAGGATCCTTCTCTTTTCTCTATGAGCTTTCAGTCTAAAAACATGTTATACAAATGCAGAAGTAAGCAGCCTCCTAAGAAAAATGAGTAGTGTTTTCCTTCATTCATAAAACTAATCTTTATACTGCTTTGCAGACTTGGCAAGAACCTCTGGTTCACATTTTCATCCAAAGGCTAGATTTTCCCCACTAAAGAGGAATGGAGAATGAAATTACCTGCTAATTCAAGCAAGAAAAATATCAGCTCTTATTCTCATAAATTTGTGAAAATAAATTACAACTAGATTGCCCCAGTTCTGATTTGAAAACATCTGGTGAGACCACTAGGTATAGTTTCTCACTACTTTTTTTTTTTTAAAGTGTAAAAACACACATATTCAAAGGTTTTAAAAATAATCTTAAAAGAACAGAGTAGCATGCTATTTCCTGACAGGCTGACCTTTACACAAAGAATGTTCACTTTCAACAAACTGAAAATTACTCTTACTGATGGCTTCAGAATATCACTGTCTACCTCAGAAAGCGGAATGTTTTGTACAAATCATAAATAAGTGGCTAGACGGACACTATTTGGTCATCAAATGATCAATGTAGAGGGCAGGGGGAAATTATTTCTGCAGTACCAACCATATATCTGGTACTGTGCAAAGGGAAAAAGGAAATGGGCTGGGAATGGTGGTTCATGCCTATCATCCCAGCACTTTGGGAGGCCCAGCTGGGAGGATCCCTTGAGCCTAGGAGTTTAAGACCAGCCTGGGCAACATTGGGAGACTCCATCTCTACAAAAATAAAAAAACTGGTGGCAGGAGCCCATAGTCCCAGCTACTCAGGAGGCTGAGGCAGGAGAATGGTGTGAACCCGGGAGGCAGAGCTTGCAGTGAGCCAAGATCGCACCACTGCACTCCAGCCTGGGTGACAGAGCAAGAATCATTCTCAAAAAAAAAAAAAAAAAAAAAAAAAAAAAAAAAAATTCGCCAGGAGCAGTAGCGCACGTCTGTGGCCCCGGTTACTTAGGAGGCTGAGGTGAGAGGATCGCTTAGGCCCAGGAGGTCAAGGCTGCAGTGAAGTGTGATTGCACCACCGCACTCCAGCCTGGGCAACAAAGCAAGACCCTGTCTTAAAAGAAAAAAGGAAATGTAGAATATGATTCCTAATGTCAAGAAACTTACAGTTTATTGGTCAATTACATAATACTGGAGTCCAGGACCATGTCTTACTCTTAAAAAAAAAAAATCAACCACATCGTTTAACATAGAATTTTATAAATATCAGTGAGTTAATAAAAAGTTAAAATAATACAAAAAGCTTAGAATTGAGCAATAAAATGCATGTTTAATATAGGCGACTGGGCCAGGCATGGTGGCTCGTGCCTGTAATCCCAGCACTTTGGGAGGCCGAGGCGGGCAGATCACCTGAGGTCAGGAATTTGAGACTACACTGGCCAAACATGGTGAAACCCCGTCTCTACTAAAAATACAAAAATTAGCTGGGTGTGGTGGCGGGCACCTGTAATCCCAGCTATCTGGGAGGCTGAGGCAGGAGAATCGCTTGAACTCGGGAGGCAGAGGTTGCAGTGAGCCAAGAATGTGCAACTGCACTCTAGCCTGGGTGACAGAGTGAGACTCTGTCTCAAAAATAAATAAATAAATAAATAAATAAATAAATTAATTAAATTAAATAAATAGGTGACTGAGTGAAGAGATAACAGTTAAGCTGGTGTAATTATAATCTTTGAAACCTCTATTAACAACGAAAACACATGGACACAAGGAGGGGAACAACACACACCGGGGCCTGTTGGGGGGTGGGGGACAAGGGGAGGGAGAGCATTAGGACAAATACCTAATGCATGCGGGGCTTAAAAGCTAGATGATGGGTTGATAGGTGCAGCAAACCACCATGGCACATGTATACCTAAGTAACAAACCTGCACATTCTGCACATGTATCCCGGAACTTCAAGTAAAAAAAGCAAACAACAAAAAAACCTCTATTAAAAAATCTTCTTCCTATTCCAATTTTATATTTTGACTAAGTACTGACACAGGAAGGTCTCTACTCCTACTTACTGAAATCTTTAAGAAAGAAAAGAGTGGGTTAACTTGGCAAAAAGAGACAGGGAAAGGAAGAGCAAACCAGGCAGAATGAGTATCACATGCAATTCTCTCTTCTGTGTAGAAAGAACATGGTATGTACCAAGAACTGGTGATATCAAATAGTGAACTAGAAAGTAAGTTCCTTGAAAAATTCAGGATAGGATCCAAAATGGAGCAAAATTTTCAGCCTAAAAATGCTCAGTGTGATATACAAGATAATGTAAAATTTGAACCATTCTGTTGTTGGCCAACAGTGGGAAAATGGTTAGGTAAATTATCATATGTCCACAACACAGCATATTTTGCAGCCATTAAAACAATGTATATGAAGAGTTTTAATTTACATGGAAAATGCTTGTTATGATGCAAAGTGAAAAAACTAGGACATT
Organism: Homo sapiens; assembly: GCF_000001405.40. NCBI lineage: Eukaryota > Metazoa > Chordata > Mammalia > Primates > Hominidae > Homo > Homo sapiens. The sequence goes on along the minus strand of NC_000006.12, from coordinate 111,493,088 downwards.
ATTTTCTCTATGTAATATATTTACAGAAAAATTTTCTAGAAACAGAATGGACTAGAATGTTAATCATGACTTCCACTGGGTGAGACTGAATGTTCTATATTTTTCTTTATTGTCCTCCATGTTTTCCATGCTATGCATTTAAAAACTTTTAAAATTGGAAAAATACATTTTATTGAGAAAATGAAGAAACAGAAGGACTTATCTATATTTACACATCTGAGAATAAGTAGTCTTTTCTGGCCTCTGGAATGAGGATGTAAAATAAAGCAAAATCTAGGAGAATCCAGTGTCAATAACAAAGTTTTCTGTGTGTGTGTTTTTTGAGACAGGGTCTTGCTCTGTGACCCAGGCTGGAGTGCAGTGGTGATCATGGCTCACTGCAGCTTCAACTTCCTAGGCTCCAGTGATCCTCCTGCCTCAGCCTCCTGAGTAAGTGGGACTACAGGCATACATCACCACGCCTGGCTAATTGTTAATTTTTTGTAGCGACAAGGTCTCACTATGTTGCCCAAGCTGGTCTCAAACTTCTGGGCTCAAGCAATAATCTCACCTTGGTCTTCCAAAGTACTGGGATTACAGGCATGAGCCACCCTGCCCAGTCTCAGTAAAAAGCTTTTTAGTGGGAGTTTTTCTGGAATGTGATTTACACTGTGAATATTAAAATGCAATAAACTTTGGGGCCAGGGGAAACTACCCTGAGATATGTTGATCCAAATAGATACCTAGCTTCTGAGATTTTGCATCTTAATTATTTAAATTGGGAATTTTATCTATCCTTACTCTATGTGTGTTTGGTCTCCTCCTGCCTATCTATAATATAATCCATTGGAAATGCTCCAATATCAATTCTGGATATGTAATTTAAATGAGGGTCCTGGAAAGCTCAGGCATCAGTTCTAATATTACTCTATTCTGAAAGTTTCTTTTATTTCTTGTTCCTCAAACATCATCTTTAATTTATAGGCTATCAATTCCTTCCTTAAGACTATTACTGCTAACTTATGGAAGTGGAAGTTGTTTCAGAAAAGTTTTGCTTCTCTGAGTAACTGAGTAAATTAATTGGTTAAAATGAATAGAGAGATCTCTGTTCAGGAAATTCATCTCTCACCACATGATAAATCTGACTTTGGTTTAAAGAGAAAGAAATAAAATATGTCTTTTAGCCAAGAATTATTTTATTATTATTCATTTAGGCAACAAATATTTATGTGCCTACCTTGTACCCAGGAAGGTTCTATGGAGAAATTGCAGAAACCTGCATATAAAGCCTTTTGGGACTTTGTATGGTTGATGCAATTGACTCCAAAGTTTGCCGTACTTACTTAGGCCTTCCAAATGCCTCTGAAAGGGAATGAGTTTCTTTTCCATCATGGTTTCATAAAGGCAAGAGACTGGATGAAGGGCTGGGTACAAATTTACTTTAAACTAGGCCAGGGTTTTTCAACACCTGCACTATTGACACTTTGGACCTGATAATTCTTTGCGCTGCAGGGGCTGCCCTATGCATTGTAAGATGTGATAATCAAAAATGCCTCCAGATATTTTGCCAAATGTCCCCTAGGGCGGCAAAAATCACCCCTGGTTGAGGAACACTGAACTAAATGACTCAGACATTTGCCCTACAGTAGTTAAGAAAACTGAGTTATCTGAAAGTGAAGGAAAGAAAAGGGATGACACAAAGAATAATTTAGCTTGAGGCTGGGCGCCATGGCTCACACCTGTAATCCCAGCACTTTGGGAGGCCAAGGCAGGCAGATCACTTGAGCTCAGGAGTTCGAGACCAGCCTGGGCAATATAGTGAAACCCTGTCTCCAAAAAAATATGAAAAATAGCTGGGTGTAGAGGTGCACGCCTGTAGTCCCAGCTACTCAGGAGGCTGAGGTGGGAGGATTGCTTGAGCCTGGGAAGTCAAGACTGCAGTGAGTTGAGATTGGGTCACTGCACCCCAGCCTGGGTGACAGAGTCTCACTCTGTCTCAAAAAGAATAATTTCGCAGGGCATGGTGGCTCATACCTGTTATCTCAGCACTTTGGGAGGCTGAGGCAGGAAGATCGCTTGAGCCCAGGAGTTCGAGACCAGCTTGGGCAATATAGTGAGACCTCATCTCTATTAAAATAATTTCTAAAAAAAAAAAAAAAAAAAAAAAAAAATTTAGCTTGAACTCTACCAAATTTACTAGAAAACAAAGTATCTAAATGATTGAATAAGAAAGAAAATACTGCCACTCTTGTCAAATCACTATGCCCTTCTACCTTCTCCTTAAAGATGAATGAAAAAACAGTGACAAGACAGTCTTTCTTACCATAGAAATGACTACTTACATAGCCGCAGCTCAGAAGATTCTCTAAGTATAGGAGTAAAAGTAATAAATCTAGAGTTTGGAGGCATGAGTTCCCACTAAACAGCTTTATTTCTTTGGACCTTAGCTTACTGATATGTAACGGAGGGGTGTTGGGCAGGCAGTAGAGAGAGTTGTAAACAGATTTTTAAATTTTTTTAATTCAATAAATGTTGATAACTTATATTCTAGGCATTATACTTGGATCTAGTATATAAAAGATGAAAAGATATGGTCTGCTCCTTCAAGAAGATAACAGTCTATTAAACTGACAGACTAACAAACAACTACAATAATATAAGCATTATAATAGAAGCACATACAAAGAGAAGTGGAAGGCTAGAAATAACACCTAAATCTGTTTGAGGAAATCAGGGAAACCTTTACAAGGAAGTGGCATTTGAGCTAAAACTTGAAAGATAAATAAGAATTTTGCCAGGAGGCAAGAAGGGAAAATGTACTATGCCAGTTAGAAAGGCAAATGCACAGAGATTTGATAGTTTTTCAAAAAGAATGGCATGTTTACGAAGCTATAATACCTCAGAGGTGCTAGAAGATAAATGGAAAAGGTGAAAAGGTATGAAGCCGAATATCTATCTAGGCCAAATCATGAAGTTGGTATGCCATAAACACTGTTTTTATGGCAATAGATGATAATTTGACATAGACGATAACTTAAAATTTATGTGGTACACAGATCACCCTTGCAGTACAGTAGAAAATAAAATTAGTGGGGAATAAGCCAAGAGACCAATCAAGTGACTACTGCAATAGTATACCTAAAGCTAGTGAAAGGCTACAAAAGGACAATGATTCTGTGGACAAAAATGGGGAATATTCAGGAGAAAGAATAGGCAGGACTTGAAGTATGAATGTTGGCGGGGGGGATTACAGCTAAAGTGTATTCAGATTGTGCTAAGTATTTTTGGCAATACTTCATTTAATCCTTATAATATCCCTAATAGGGATGGAAAGCAGTCCAATTTGCTAAAAGGTAATTTGCCAACGAATCAGTTTGCTATATTTACCAAATACTTGTTTTAGAGAATATTCACCTCAATATATTTAATGAATGTATTCTTTTTTTTTTTTTTTTTTTGAGACATGATCTTGCTCTACCACCCAGGCTGGAGTGCAGTGGTGCGGCAACCTTGACCTCTCGGGCTCAAGTGATCCTCCCACCTCTCAACCAAGCAGCCTCTCAGTCCCACAGGGTTTCACCATGTTGCCTAGGCTGGTCTTAAACTCCTGGGCTCAAGCAATCCTCCCACCTCTGCCTCCCAAAGTGCTGGGATTACAGGTGTGAGCCATCGTGCCTGGCCAATGAATGTATTCTTGGTACACTTTTTTAATGAATTCACTTTTGATGAAATGATTTTTTTTTTTTTTTTGAGACAGGGTCTCACTCTGTTGCCCAGGCTGCAGTACAGTGGCAACACTATGACTCCACTAACTCAGTCATAGATGTACGTTTGTCTTATATTAACTTTATTACTCTTTTGAGTTCTCGCACCTCATAGGTCCACCAGAATCCTATGCTCATGAGGCTCAAGGCTCACTGCAGCCTTGACCTCCCCAAGCTCAAGCTATCCTTCCACCTCAGCCCCCAAGTAGCTGGGACTACAGGCATGCACCATCGCACCCAGCTAATTTTTGTATTTCTGGTAGAGATGGATTTTTGCCACGTTGCCCAGCCTGGTCTCGAACTCCTGGGCTCAGGCAATCCTCCCGCATTGGTCTCCCAAAGTGCTGTGATTACAGAGTTGAGCCACTGTGCCTGGCCCTGACAGTTAATATTCTTAAATGAAGAACTATACCTTAAAAAAAAATAGATATGATAAAACTAAATTCCAAATCCAATGTAATAAGAGTAGCATATCTTATTATGACAACTTTCTTAGTTTTTCCTGGGGGCTACCTGATGAAGATAATGAAGGTAAGATGGTTCTCTTTGCTTTTCTGTGGTGCTCTGCTCTTTTCTTTTTTTTTTTAAACTATCAGAAATTGCCATCTATCTGGAGTCAACTACCATTTACATGTGACACATAGAACCCACTAACCACCTTTAAATTGTTATCTCAAATATTTGTTTCATCATCAATGTAGGTGGTATTATTTATTTGACAATACGAAAAAAGTCATCATAATTCTGCTTTCCGGGATATGAGAATTTGAAATCCTTTTTAACTCAACTCTGTAGTGCTCATGGTTCATAGCTGTACACAGTGGAGGTCACTCTAGGAGTTTAGTGGAGAGCAGCAACTCCTCTTTGGGGACATTTAGAAATACATGGGGAATTTTTTATTGTTACAGTGGCATGTAGTGCATGGGGGCCAGGGATGTTAAATGTCCTGCACAATGAAAAACTGTTTCACCAAAAATGCCAGAAGCCCCATTTGAGAAACCCAAGCGCTCAGAGCCATCAACTTCATGAACATGCGACAAGTATAGTCACACAGGGCCCAGTGCTTGGTTTAATGCTCTGTAGTCACTGTCTTGAAAATTGTAATACTTTTATGTTTGACTATCTGTTTTGTAAGTCCAGTGGTATAGCAGAGCATAATATGCAAGCAGAGGTATGTATCCTTTCTTCCTTGCCGTTCTATTTGCATATGGTCTCCATGATGCCTCATGACAAAGGATTCTGGTGGACCTATGAGGTGCAGGAACTCAAGAGAGTAACAAAGTTAATACAAAACAAGCATGTAACATCTATGACTGAGTTAGTGGAGGCATAGACAGTTCCAAGAGGCTACACTTTTCATTCAAATCCGAACTTGCTTCAGGTGCAGAAAGAAGGCAACAGCATCTTTAAGAAACACAAGTGATTACATCACATCCTTCCTTACTCATGTGTTACTTACCACTATTAGCCAACCATTTACACAAAAAATGATGACAAAGAATGAAAGGGAAAGTAGGGCAACTCAGCACTCCCTTTCCTTTCATCCTTCCTTACTCATCAGTAAGCAGAAGATGGAGAATGTTGGTAGAATGTGTGCATATCAAGAAGGAAAACAAAAATAGTTTTGTTTTGTGCAGAGTTTACACTGCTCTGATAGCACAAAATACATATGCATTTACAAGCTATGAATTGTATAATTTTGGTGATTCCACATACAATTGAAATGCTCTTATATTTGCATTTTAAAACGGCATTACACAATATAAAGATGAATGGTAAAATTCATCCTAAGAATTAAAAAATTTAATTTTTCTTCTCATAGAATGACATTAAAAAGCAAATTTAAAAACACTATGACAAGTGGAGAGAGCGACGACAGAACAAAGAAAAAGCTTTATATTTTAATACAGATAATAGCACATTTTCCCCTGTGTTGGAACAAGAGGCCTTACGTTTTCATTTTGCTCTGGGCTCCACAAATTATGTAGCTGGCTGTGACTGGGCTGGTTGAAGCAAAAAGGGATTAAAAGATACTATTTAGTTCACAGATCTCTCAGAGGGCCAGAGAACCAGACTTGGATAAACCAAGCTAGAAACAACATCCAAGAAAAACCAAACCACAAAGAACACCCATCCCACATCACAAAGCTATTCTAGTGGAAACCCATCCCAGCAATGCCTGCCAGTCAGCACCTATGACTCTAGAACAGATGCCACAACTCCTCCCTACCTACCCAGAGGAACCAGATACCTCCTTCATGGTATTTGTCAGAAGATACTTATCTCCCTGAGTGCAGTTGAAGCATCATGTTGCTCGCTCTCACATCCATGTCCTGAATGGGTACATCTGATTGCTGGAAACTAGGTCATATACTGAAGCCAACTTCTGATTGTCAGCATCCTTTCCAACTAACTCCACATTTACTGAAGTCACTCTGGTAGAGGACACATTTGTACCATGTAGTCCCAACTAGTTGGCAGGTTGAGGTGGGAGGAGCCTAGCAGTTCAAGACCAGCCTGGGCAACATCGTGAGACCCTGTTCCTCAAAAAGAAAGCAAACCGAATTGGCCAATGCTACAAATTAGGGCCTTCCCTCTTCTCTAGCCATTGTTAAACATTTACTGATCACACCATTGATCTCACACCAGCAATCTAGCTGCAAAGGAGTCTGAGAACTGTAGTTTGTTTTCCAGCTTTTAAAGTACAGAAAAGTAAGCAAGAAGAGGGTTGGATGAATACTGAATAAGCCATCTTATAGTATCTGCCACAAAAGTATGGTAGCTACTACTGTCTGTTCTAGATTATAAACTGCTAACAGGCAGATGTTAACAGATGTTGAACAGTATTGGTAAAGGAGACTTGGTAGGCTTTTACTAAAGGCAGACATGCTAAGTACATGTCAGTGAACTAGAAGAGATGATTAAATGTTAATTGATATGATTAAAATACATTTTTAGGATGCTAGACTATAAACCTTATAAGGGAAGGGACCATGTCTGTTTTGTTTCTCACCATATCTCAAATCTCCTGGCAAGAAATAGCCACCTAAAAAAAAAAAGAAAGCACAGTCAGGTGTGGTGGCTCACACCTGCAATCCCAGCACTTTGGGAGGCCAAAGTAGGCAGATCGTGAGGTTAGGAGTTCGAGACCAGCCTGGCCAACATGGTGAAACCCCATCTCTACTAATAATACAAAAATTATCCAGGCATGGTGGCACATGCCTGTAGTCCCAGCTCCTCGGGAGGCTGAGGCAGGAGAATTACTTGAACCCGGGAGGTGGAGGTTGCAGTGAGCCAAGATTGTGCCACTGGACTCCAGCCTGGGTGACAGAGTGAGACTCTGTCTCAAAAAAAAAAAAAAAAAAAGCATTAAGGATATTAAGTATAGAGTTCAATTTTTGCATTTCTCATACTGTATGTAGATAAGTCAATTCCAAGTGATTTTACTGTTTCTCAATGAATCAGACTTCTGGATATGAACATTTTACTATATTTTCACATACATTATCTCATTTGAGCCTTATAACATCCCTGAGAAGTTAAAACAGGAATTACTATCCATTTCACAGATGAGGAAATAAATTCCAAAAAATAAGTGAGCACTTAGCTAAATGATGGTTTAATATTCACATTCTCTGACTCAAAATTCCAGAACTTTTTCTTACTTCAGGAAGAATATACATATAAAACACATTTGATAGTGGTTAATTAGGGGGCTATTGTCAGGTTTTCAATTTGAGCATCAACTTAAAACTAAATTACATGCAATGAACACAACATTCCTAATTTCATGCTGCAAATGTTTTTCTTCAAGAGTGAACATTCTTGGAGTTCTAGAAGGATTTGACTTGTGGTTGCAACTGCCTTTTCTTAAAGTAAATAATGTTGATTCAAGAGGTAAGGGGAAAGAAACCCTCTTCTAGAAATCGCAAATCTGTTAATTTGATGCTTTTACCATTTTCTAGTTAGGAATATTATAATTTAAAAGTTATGGATACACTGATTATAATATAGTACAAGGATTCTCAATTTTATTTTGCTTAAGAATCACGGGGTGGCAAGTAGTGTTGCTAACAATACAGATTCCCAGGCCCCATCCCCCAAAATATAATTCAGTAAGAGCCAAAATATCAACACTTAAAGAATTCTAGGTGTCATGGAACACTGAGAATCACTGATATTGTGTATCTGACATTCGGCGTGTACAAAATATTTATTTTATAAAAAATACATTTTAGCATGGTAGTCATATTTTAAAATCACTTCTATAGCCTTCTAAAATTTCAGATCAAGAGATTTTGCCTCTTAAAAATATTAGCTAATTTCCAGCATATTAGTAGAAATCTTGCCACGTATGTTTATAATCATGCTCTGAGGTTAAAAACTACAAGCTAATTTACTGTAGTAATCAGTCTCAAATCCCTCGGAGCGTAAGTTCTTATTATAGCATTTATATGTTAGGGAATTTATAGACAGCTTCTTACCAGTGAGCTGTCTCTTTGGGCCTTTTGATTTTCCTATTTGAAAATCCACAACGGTTCCAAACGAGTAGCTCTCACACCACTTCAAATACGTGGCAACCTGGTAACCACTAAAATGCACCTGTATAACACACAAATGTAAAAGAACGATCTCTACTTGGATGGGTTAGAAATGTGTCAAGGGTCCTAATTCAGGGGCAAATTTCGAACTTGAACCCACGCTTTCTGCCTCCTACAGCTTGCATCTTTTTGTTGAGAAGAAACCCTTCAGGATTAGTTTTTAAGAGAAACCTTCCCGTTTTACATATGTAGAAACTGAGCCCAAAGAAACAAAATTATTTGTCCAAGGTCACGCCCAATATCAGTGGCCAAGTCAGAGAGGAACCCCTTGTTTCCAATTTAATAGCCAAGCCAGCTGCATGTTACTACTCTTTAAAACAAAAATTCCCTAACTGCATCGCTTCACCCCCTCTCGATTTTTGAATAAAGTTGTTTATTCAAAACGGCCCTTCCCCACGGTGGTGCTTTTATGCCTTCGGGTAGTAAAACCTTCCATAACGTGTTAGTGAAAAACACGAGGAGGCCACGTCTAACGCGGTGACTTTCACAGGCCTTTTTCTTTGGCCAAAATTTTCTCGGAAAGACTGTTAATCCTACATTCCGCTGGGGGAGGAGCGACGAGGGAGGAGGGAGGTCACCGGCAGCTGACAAGTCCTTACATGTACTTGCGCGTGCCCGGGACGCAGCCTGCGGGGCCGAGGAAACCAACGAAGGATGTATTAGGACGAGAGGGAAGGAAGGGGGCGGGAGAAAAACACGGTAGTGGGAAATCCCTGTGCACTGGATCTGCCAACCCCTCGCAAAGCTGAGAAGAGCCGTGCGTGAATAAATCTCATTAAATGGCCCGGCGCAGACACTGCAGCAGCAAAGAGGAGGGGGCACCGCGGCTCGCGCGGCACGTTCGGGAAGGGGGAACGCCAGGGCGGCCCTTTTATAGGCCGAAGCCCGCGCCCGCGCGCCCCCACCCTTCGCACCGCCCCCGGGCCACGCGCGGAGCCGCGGCGTTACCTGAGAAGGGCCGGCTGCGTCCGCACCCGGCCCCGCCCGTTCCGCCGCCCGCCCGCCCTTCCCTCCCGCGAGGCCGCAGCGGCACGAGATCTGCGCCTCGCCTCCCTCCTCACGCGGGCGGATTTTCTTACCTTGTGAAAAACCGTCTCAGCGGCTGCCCCCGCCTCCTCTGCTGGATGTGAAATGGCGGTCGGCGAGGCAAGTGTGAGCATCGCAGCTCCTGCCAATCCTGCATAGCCGCCAAAACGGCCCCGAACACTGGCGCCCCCCTCCCGCAAGCCCCTCGGAGCCCATCCATGAGATCGGTGCTCCGCCGCCCCTTCCGCTGCCCCTCACCCAGGTGACCGTGCCCGCCAGCCGAGTCATCGATCCCGCGCGGGCGCTGCCGGCCGCCGGCCGCCTCCCTCGCCGCGTGCCCGGGGAGGGGGAGAAAGCCCCTTCTCGGCCCCCGCCCTCCGTGTCCCGCCCGGGCGCCCGCCCTCTCGCTCCTTTTCCCGCCGAGCCCCCTCCCCCGCACTACTCGCAGCCTCCCTTCGCCACACACACCCCCCTCTCCCCTCCCCCCAGTGGTTGCGTCCGTGACATCATCATCATGGCAACAAGAGCTGCAGCCTGGGACCGAGGAGCCCGTGTGATTCCCGGCGGTGGCGGCAGTGGCGGCAGCACCAGCACCGACGAAAGCTCGAGGGCTTCTCTCCTGCGGCCCCTTGCCGGGTGCTCCTGAGGAGGCGGCGGCAGCAGCGCCTACACCGCCCCGCCCGCCGCTCCTCGAGGTGCCTCTGTGTGAGGGGAGGGGGCCGTGCCGAGAAGGGGAGGGGGCGCCGCCGCCGCTGCGGAGGGAGCCGCCGCCGCTGCTGCTGCCGCTGCCGGGTCGCCAGTGAAGGGAGGCAGTGGCGGCGGCGGCGAACATGTTTTCAGTAAGGATAGTGACTGCAGACTACTACATGGCCAGCCCGCTGCAGGGGCTGGATACCTGCCAATCCCCCCTCACCCAGGCCCCTGTCAAGAAGGTGCCGGTGGTGCGAGTCTTCGGAGCGACCCCGGCAGGTAAGCGGGCGCCGGGCGCGGGGCGGGAGCGGGAGTCGGCGGGGCGCCGGGGCCGCCCTCCCCGCCGCGCACACGCGCACACGCCACCGGCGCCGGCCGTCTCCGTGGATCGCTGCCGCGTCTTCCCTCCCCTCCGCCCTCCTCGCCTTTTCTCTCGTGCGTGACAAGAGCCGCAAAAATGTGGGTCCGCGCGAGCGCTGCGCGGCGCCCCCACCCCCGGGCAGGGAGGTGGCGAGCGCCGCGTGTTTAGACTGCGTGTGGCGGCCGGGAGCGGGAGCCGCACTCCAGGGCGCGGGCCGGGAGAGCGAAAGCCGCGGGCGCCCCGGACGGCGGGCCAGGTGGCCGCGCCATGTCCATCGGTGGACGGGTTCGTAGGGCCTGCTCTGAGGTCGGTCGCTAGTGGGACATCCCTTGTGTCCCCCAAGTGCCGCTTTCTGGAAACGGGGAAGTGTCAGCCTTGTTGTCAGTCGCTCCCCATGGTCTCTTCTCACCCTCGCTCTCCTCTGCCAGTTCCGGAGATGCAGTGGGCCGGAGAGAGTGGCGCTTGGGGCCAGATAATCTTTCTCACTGGGGTGACCGTGTGGCTCTGCTGTGAGTGCAGGTCGTGACTCCTTAGAGTTTAGTGCCTGAGCGTCGGGGGACAGGGCAGCATCCTTAGGTGCAGTGCTTTCAGGAAATGTGCATCCATGGAAGTAGGAAATGCGTGTTTATGTTGCCCAACCTAAAACATCACACTTAATGGGGTGAATTTATTAGGAACCACAGCCAGACTCAGCAGCACAGACATTTTGAAATGCTCCTAGGCTGGGCTGTAGGATTGCGTTTTAAGTACAGGTATATATTTTTTAAACACAACTATGTTGAAGAAGGGATGGGAAGGGGAGACAGCCGTGACAGAAGGTACGTTCTCAAAAACTCCTGGGGCTTATGATAATATAAAAAAGATAGAGGCCCAGTTTACTAGGTGTTTTAAAATGGTTTTGCTTTTTTGCATGCTTTGAACTGCTTCCATGAAATAATGGAGTTCTAGGAAATAATGCATCTTAGGAAAGGTTGTTCTTCCCTCTAGCTATGAATTGCCCTATGGGATTTTAGATAGCATTTCCCACTTGATGCTCCTTGCCCTCATCACCATTCATCTTATTACTACAGTCAGTTTCTGTGGACTACCAAGATAATAGCGCTTTCCCAAACACAAGCACTCATTTTAAAGCAGTTATCTTTTAATGTGAATTCTCTTTGTTAAAATGTCAATGTTGTGAGATTTGGTAGCATATTCCTATTTAAACTAGTGAATATGATTTTGATATGAACCTTGAAAGATGGGGAATTTGAGTGCTTTTAACGTGTTGAAAGTGTAACACTTGAAACTTTGGAGGCTGGGAAATCGAGGCGATGAAGTGTTCTATAAGATAGGTTTTCTGCCCTTTTAAATATAGTGGTGCTGTCTTTGTTTCCAATTGGAATTTCAGTGTAATGCACTGTTCTCACTTCAGATGCAGAGGAAGGATAAAATAGTGAAGTTGATATGGCCCTGTTCAGCCAAATTTCCGAATCATAAAGTGACATGCTAATAGGATATACTGTGGCATTTCTGTGTATTACAGCTTGTATGGTTTGAGTTACTTTTCCACACATAATTTTTTCTCCTCCACACAAGTCATTAAATATGTTTTCCTGAGAGATAGTCAAGCTTTGTTGTATAGGAAAGTTTCGTTTGTGGAAATAAATGAGTTTCACTGTAAGCTAATGTAATTCTATTACGTGAGGAAATGTTCCTTAAAAAATAAAGAATATTATATACTGTTGTTTTCCTGAATATTTTTTAAAAGACACATTAACTATTTCCTATTTAATCCTTCATGGACATCCCACAATAGATTACCAGCACCTTAAAAAAAAAAAAAAAAACAAAAACGAAAAAACCAAAGACTAAAAACCCCCATTGGGGTTTTTTTTTTGGTACATACTTTGAAATTTATATTTTAAATGAATTAAAAAGTAACACTTTTTATATGTACATTGAAAGACATAAAACTTGATACAGAGAAAGTCAAATTTTAAATTGTTAAGGATTATCAAATTGAATTTGCCATGTAGTTCACAGTTTCCAACAAAATGTTTGTTTCAACAAGAAAAAATTTGAAGTCATTGGCATACATTTAGAGTTTACACTTTTCATAAACCAAGCCAGCATTTTTATTAGCACGTCAGAAACTCCCAGTGAGATTAATATTAATTAAACATAATCAAAAACTGCAGAATTACCTGCTTTTGAATTATCTCCCCAAGGAAAACTAGTCCAATAAAATAAAACTTGAAAATTATTAATATAAAAGAGAGGCCAGTCTGACTTAGTAAAACTCTGAATGCTAGAATTTTTAATGAAGACAGATTTATTTGAAAGTAAAGATGTAAACATAATGCAAAGATATAAACATGGTTTGTATTATATCTTTATAGTTTATATCTTTACTAACAAGTAAAATAAGGTAATAAAAATGTGTAACACATGATAAACCTATGCTACATAAAATAGCATAAACATACTTTTTTCATATATAAGAATTACTTTGGGAGGTCCTTAATGCTTTACTTTGGTTTGGAGAGAAAATGTTTTAAAATTGACTTTGCTTTACAAATGAGATCCTGAAAAATAGCAACCAAAGATATTTTTTCTCAAATGAAGTGGCCGTTTCAAAATTATATTACAAATTCTGAACTGATTGGATTAATACCCTTTTACTAGTTTAGTTTTTCTATTATTGCCTGAAAAGCATTTTTCTGCTTTAGAAAACAGTCCAGTTGACTTTTGATTGTTCTGTGTTTTGAGGACGTATCTTGAGTAATTTAAGAAATAAAGTGTTTTGGGTTTAAAAGCTCCCATGTCTTAAGTTGGTGAAATTTGAAAAGGTATTTTTAAAAAGAGGGATATTCAGGGCTGGGTGCTGTGGCTCATGCCTGTAATCCCAACACTTTGGAAGACAGAGGCAGGAGGATCGCTTGAACCCAGGAGTTGGAGACCAGCCTGGGCGACATAGTCTGTACAAAACAAACAAACAAACAAACAAAATTGGCTGGGCGTGGTGGTGTGCACCTGTAGTACTAGCTATTTGGAAAGCTGAGACAGGAGAATCGCTTCAGCCCAGAAGGTTGAGGCTGCAGTGAGCCAAGATCACGCCACTGCACTCCAGCCTGGGCAACAGAGCAAGAGCCTGTCTTAAAAAAAAAAAAAAAAAAGGCGGGGGGGGATATTCAGATTTGAATGGTAAATCCTGACTGATTTAATCCCTTGCCAACTGAGGATATTGATTCCTAAGGGAATCACTTAAAGTTTCTTCATCTGAGTTATGGAATTTTTTAAAAAACAAAAACAAATTTCCTCTCCATTTTTTTAACTAGTTTTTAAAATGTCTTGAACATTATTTTGACATAATCAAATTGAGCAGTATCATTTGTAGAATAAATTGTTAATTTTTTCTTTTAGAACAACATTTTGGTAACTTGTTTTAATGGAGGGAAGAAAGGTTGTGAATAAAGTATAGGACAATGTTTTTTCATTTAGATTTGAATATAGGTGTGACCACTCAGAGGATTCACTACAAATGAAATCATCAGGCTTCATTTAAGGATTTGACTGAGGTGGACTTGGGAAGCTGTCCATTTTCCACATCTCGACTTTTGCTTAGTTGCTTGATGTAACTCACTTCATGCTGAGTTTAGACAGCTCTCACAGTTTCCTCAGCACCAGGTTAAACAGAACTATCCTTTCAAAGAGCTTCCCTGCTGAGATGCAGAGTAGGAGTAAATAGAAGAGTGTGGGATGTCCACAAAGCAAGGAATTAAACAAAGTAGGCCAGACAGACTATAGAGGGAGCTGCTTGTCTTTAAGATTACTCTAAGGAACTCTGCCACTTCCTCTAGCTTAGTGAATATTTTGGTAGATTGTTCTAGATACTGTTAGCCATGAAATCAAGCTTTTCAACATAAGGAATTGATAATTCTGAAATGCTATATAAGTTTATGTAGATGCTTATCCAATTATAAATATATTCTCATTGTTTATATTTTATAAAATTAAATATAAGAAACTACCAGAATAACCTTTTTTTTTTTTTTTGGTAAATTGGAGTTAAATTTGCAATAAGAATAATTTTGAAAATTAGCGTGTATCAACAACTCAGGTTCAAAAGTTTCTCTAATAGAATCTGCTTTGTTCATAGTCTGTTTTTTACTAAGCTATTTAAAAATATTTTAAGATCATATAACACCTATTTGATTACAATTATTGGAGAGATTTTCAGGAACGCTATGGAGATGTAATGACTCATCACAAACAAATTGGTCACTTTTTTTAAAGTAGGTATTTGAAGCCCTGAGTAGCAAGTTGTTTTAGCTTTAAGTGCCTTAAGAACAGCTTTACTCTCCAGAAGCTCACAATGTAGTAGAGATGATGGGCATGTAAACGTAAGTCAAATGCAGTATGACTGGACTATAGAAATGTGTATAAGACAAAGCAAGGATTCATTGGGAGACATGTTCTATATCCAGGCAAAAAGGGGAGTCAGGGAAGACTTCGTGAAGGAAATATGGATTAGTCATGTTAAAGGAATTTTTAAGGAACTTAAAATTTCAGATAGAGGAACAGCTACAAGGTAATTGACAGATGAAGACAACTGCTCTTTGCAGGGCAGTTTGGCAATGTATATTAGAATCCTTGAAGTGTTCTTTTTTGACCCAGTAATTCTAGTTTTAGGGATTTTAATCTATGAGCATAAATCTTTTGGCAAATCTGGTTGTCTTTTGAATCCGTCTACTTCTTTTCATAATCCATCACCACCCTAAACTACTAGCATTTTTGGTCAGGTTTACTACAGTAGCCTCCTAATCTTGGTTTATCCCAATCTACTTTGTCCCCTTCTGATCTGTTTCCTACACTGTAATCAGAGGGATCTTTTAAAAATGCAAACCTGATTACATCACCCTACTGTTTGATATGCTTCAGTAGCTTTCCATTGCATTCAGGATATGGACAGAACTCTGTGTCTTATATGGTGGCATCTGCCTGTCTTACAAGGTCTTGCATAGTCTGGCCCTTACCTTTCTGTCTAGTCATGACTTGAGCCATGTTCTTGACTTACTCTTTTTGTTCCAGCCTTGTTGGCCTTATCTCAGTCCCTTGTTCTTGCCATGCTCCTTCCCACAGTGAGGGCTTTGTACCTGCCGTTGCCCCTGCTGAGAATGTTTTTACTTTTCTTTCACCTAAACTTCGATTTATCTTTCCTCAGGGAAGGCTTCCCTATCACAGACTCTCAGAGCACCATGAACTCTCCTCATAGCACTTGCTGTCATTGTAATTTCATATGTGTTGGAGATTAACATCTGTTTTTCCAAATAGATTGTAACCTCCAGAAATCCTGATAATGTGTTTCTTTTTCCTCACCATTATAGAGTTAATGCTTACCACAGTGCTTGAAACTCGTCTATTAATTCTTGGAACTCATTTGTGGCAAGGATTAATAAATAGATGATAATCATCACAGAGAACAACTCTAAGTGTTCAACAATTGGCAAATGGTTGCATAAACTGGGTATATTCATTTGGGAGGATGTGTTTAAAACATGTTGTAGAAGTATGTGTAATAACATGGGAAAGTGCTGTCATATTATGTGAAAAAATTAGTTTACAAAATAGTCACTTATTAAAAGTGTGGAAAAAAATACACCGAAGTATAAAAGTTGGTTATCTCTGGAAGGTATGTTTTATATTTTCAGATTTTTTACAGATAACATGTGCTGATTTTATAATTTAAAAAAACCATGTACAAAATTAAGGAAAAATTGATTTTCTAGATATGGTTCCAGAAATGTAGTGGGAGACATGAGATTCGTAATGGTCTCCAAAATATGTGTCAACCAAAATGCATGATTGCATGATGATCATATTGAACTTAATTATATAAATTCCATTTAGAAATTGCAAAATGATTCATAAATTAAAGCAAGCCAGTAATTTCTGGTTGTATTATTCTTACTTGTATGTAAAGTGGTTTTAATTTTAAAATGTTTTGAAAAGTAACATGGTTTTGGCACATGACAGCACTAAAACAGAGTAAAGACTAGAATTAACTTAAATATATATGAGAGCTTAATATAGGTTGAGCATCCCTTATCTAAAACTCCATAATCTGAAATCCTTCAAAATCTGAAATGTTTTGAACACCAACATGATGCCACAAGTAGAAAATTCCACACCTGACCTCATGATGGGTCGCAGTCAAAACTTCGTTTCAGGCTGGATGCAGTGGCTCATGTCTGTAATCCCAACACTTTGGGAGGCTAAGGTGGGAGGATTGCTTCAGCCCAGGAGTTCAAGACCAGCCTGGGCAACATGGAAAGACGCTATCTCTACAAAAAAATACAAAAGTTAGCCAGGCAGGGTGGTACACGTTTGTGGTTCCAGCTACTTGGGAGGCTGAGGCAGGAGGATCGCTTGAGCCCAGGAGGTGAAGGCTGCAGTGAGCCATGATTGTATGACTGCATTCCAGCCTGGGTGACAGAGCAAGTCCCTGTCTCAAAAACAATCAAAACAACTTTGTTTCATGTGTAACATTATTTAAAATTATATAAAATTACATTCAGGTTTGGTCCCATCCTCAGGATATCTCATGTATGTGCAAATATTCTAAAATCTGAAACACTTCTGGTCCCAAGCATTTCAGATAAGGGGTATTCAACTTGTATATGAAAATGGATCCCACCTTCATTTATGAGTAGGGAAAAGAAGAATTGTTTAATAAACAGTGTTGGGATAGCCAGTTAGTCATCTGGAAAAATAATGTTGGCTTCCAGAGGAGTTAAAGATTTAAATATGAAACAAAGAAACAAAAAAGGTAGGGTAATTATTTTTTACGTAATCCAGGATTGGTGAAGTCCTTTAATAGCATACTGGGTTGCTGGATTTTAGGACATAAAAATAAAATTCTGTACAGGGGAAAAAATCAAACAAAGTTAAAAGAGAAACAGACTAGTAAAACTTATTTGTATACTTCACAAAGGGCTAAGTTCCTCTTAATACAAAGAACTAGAAAATAATCCAGTAGAAAAATTAGCAAAGAGAATTCATATGAAAAAATGTACAACTTTATTTATAATATAATAAAGATGTAAATTCAAGCTACAACATACTCTTTGTCACCTATCAAATGAGCAAAGGTTATGTATAGTATAACTCGGGAAAGGTGAGAAGAGAAAATGGTCAGCCTTATACATTGCTGGTGGGATTATAAAGTATTCATACTCTATAGAAAGCAGTTTGAAAATGGTTTTCAAAAATTAAAACACAGATTTATTTCGTTCTAGTAATTCCATTATAGGATTTTATTCTCTAGAAGATTTTGCATATATGTCAAATAAATATCTAAGAATATTTGTGGCAGCATTATTTGTTACTGCAAAAGATTGGAAACATGCTAAACATATCAGTAGGGAAGTAGTTAGGTGAATTATGGTGTATATATTCAACAGAATACTAGTCAGCCTTTAAAAATAATGAGAGAATACTATGTGTACTGCTGTGGTGCTATGTCAAAGATATGAGGAAAAAAAGCAAGAGGCATGACTGCATGTGCAGTTTGCTGCCATTCGTGTGGTTAAAATATATATTTTTATATGCTATATATGCCTATGTATTAGAATAAAATTCTTTATTATAATAAAATCCATATGTGTGTGTGTGTGTGTGTGTGTGTGTGTGTGTGTATATATAGGCAGCTATAGAATGTAATGTGCATGGGAGGATACGGGAGAGTCTGATGACAGTAATTGCTCCAGTGTGTAGAAGTGGTTGCCTAGAGGACAAAGATGGACTAACTTTTAAAGTATACTGTTTGGTAATTTTTCAGTATTTTAAAATCATGTGCATGTAATACTATTCAAAGTTAATATTTTTAAGTTATGTTTTGCTTACAGGAATTGGTAAGAAGGAAAAAATAAGAGACCATAATAGTTGTTACAAACAAATGATTACTGCAATACTGTTTTTAACTTTAGTTATTGTTAGAGATCTTCTAATTCAAAGTTTTCAGTTGATGTTACATGGCTCACAGAAGGGTAGTCCTAGTAGAATGGGGGCTGAAGGAAGGCGTTGGGGTTCCTGTGAACAAATAGCATGGTGAGTGACAACCAACAGTTAAAAGCAGCATACTGCTCCTTTTGATATTTTAAGTGCATTAAATGAGGTGTGCCTTACTACTTGGAATCTACTTCAGCAGCCAGCCACAGTGTACAGCTGCCTTTTGTGGGAAAGGGATCATGGAATTGTTACTGGAGTTTGTATTCACGGTGCCGAAGGAACATGCCACCTACCACAAGGTGCAACCCACTTACAATGAGAGGACAAGGAAGCAGGGAGGGTGTCTCTGGTGGCCCAGCTCCAGGCCTGACTATCTGTATTCACCTGTATTGGATGCTGCTCACCACGTGCGTTTGATATGCTCTGCAAGGTGACTGCCTAATAGTGCATGTATGTTTGTCAGAAATAAAGCATGATTTTAATTTTGAAATATTCTTGATGTGAAAATGTTTGGTTTTGAAATTCATATTAAAATTTTCAGCATTACATGTGTCAAAAAATATCTACCATAACACTTTACATTTTTTCTTCTGTAATTAGAAAATATGATAATTTTTTTTCACCAGGCACTGTGTAGATGCCTCCAAATGCCCTCCTGTTGTCCAGTGTGCTAAATTTTTTTTTGCTGACAAGTTTTGTTTGCAATGTTAAAAGGGTTGAGAAGCATCATTCTAGTCAAATGTACTCATTTTGTATGAAGAAAACTGAAATCTACATAGCAGGCTCAGGGATTTGTCCAGTGTCCTACAGTTGGTTGGTGTGAGGCTGGATTTGAAAATTGGGGATCTTGGATCTTGACTCTTCAGCTCTCATCACCTCACACTGACCCCCTCTCCCCCCGAAACATGAGGGAATATTGGAGGAAGGCATTGATGATAATTGAAAGACAAAAATACAGAACCTCAGAGGAATTATTAAAAGAACTGCACATATGTAGTTCAGAAATCTTTGAGACCCTACTGTATCTAATAGTGCTTAGAATCTTCTTATATAATAATATTATTAATATTCTATAATCTAGAATAGATTATAGTAGGATTCGTTTTATGATGACTTGGGCTGTATCTTTAAGAAAACAAAAGATTATAGCAAAAGGAGTTTAGGGCAAACATAAATAAAAATTGATACTAAAATCGTATGTATGCTATTTCCAAAAAAGGGAGGAGGGAATATATGAGACCTTTCAAGTTCCTCTGGTACTATAATTACATTTTCTCTCATCTTGCTTTTGATTGGATTAGAATTCACGCAATTAAAGATAATCTAGGGCCAGGCACCTATAATCCCAGCACTTTGGGAAGCAGAGGCAGGAAGATTGCCTGAGCCCAGGATTTTGAGACCAGTCTGGGCAACATGGCAAGACCCCGTCTCTTTAAAAAAAAAAAAAAATCTAAGTGAAAAATGATTCAAGTCTAAATAGGTTGGGTTAAAGTAGGTTTTAGAGGATGTTGTCATTGGTGCTGGATATTTCAAAGAAATAGTTTGAACTTACTTATAAAGTAAGAAATGGGCCATGGTATGAGGTATGTCACTCTGGTATCTGGCTGCCATTTTAACATCATAGTGATAATAAGAGGAAATAATGGGAGTTAAGGAACAGTAAACTTTGGGTGAAATTGTGTTAACTTGTAATTTCCATGTAGATACAGATAAGGCAGGAATGAGTGTCTTAGGCAATTAGAAATAACTCAGTCTACTGTCCAAACATGATGTGGATTTTGAGACCAAAACAAATTATAAGTAAAAGTAAGACCCTCTTAATGACAGCCTATTTAACCTTTTTGGTGTTTTTGTTTGGTGTGTGTGTGTGTTTTCTGTCGTTCCTTCTAAGTTTTCCAGATGATCTTGTGTTTCTTCCAGCTCTCTGTGGGTTTTTAAATATTTCATTTTATAAATGAAAAATACTTTGTTGTTTAATTAGCATTGGTAAACTGGACTGTTTTCTGTAGCAGAAATTGAATACAAGCCTAGCAAAGTAAATTCTGAGAAAAATGAGTAGTAATTGTCAATGGAAAATTTCGTGGTTTTTTTTTTTCTTTTTTGGCCAATTCTATTTTTTTAGATGATAGTTTTGGGAAATACTAAGAATTTGAGCTCAATTTACTTTGGGGCAGTTATTTAATTTTCTTTGGGTTCAGAGAGCATTACTACTATATAAACAATTCAAATAATAAAAGAGTGTTACCTCAAAAATGCCTTGTGTAATATATAACAGTTCACAAGAATACTATTTTTCTTCCATTTATTACGATTACAAAGAAGTATAACAAGAATTAAAAGAAATATATTATTTTGCATATATATTTATACTTCAAAGTAATTTATATACTAAATTAGGTTTTGTTTGAGATGGTGAAATGAAAGACTTTGTAAATAAGAATACATGTTGATATGTGAAAAATGTAAAGTTAAAACATGTTGGCATACTCGCAGTTTCTCAGAACAAGAAAATGACTAATCTAAATTTCATTTCAGAATAAAACCCAAGACAAGCCACATAAAAGCAACCTAAAAATTAAACTGTCATCATATTATTTGTTTTAAAACTATGGAATAATATATCTGAGGAAGATTTCTCTCAAAATTGTTTTTCTCAATTTCAAGTAAGTAATTTATTTTGGTTAATATATTGGGGGTGAGGGGGGTGGGGGTGAGCCTTGGCATTGAAGTTGGTAAATCCTACTCACCCTTAACTAACAACTTAAATATCAACCTCTTTAAAGCCTTCTGTGACTCCTTTGCCCATTCCCAAAGATTATCTCCTTGGTTTTCCAAGTCTTCATCCCCTTCCACATTGCTGTTAAAAAAGGATCTGTTACAATGGATATTGTGTTTGTCTCTAAGAATAGTCATGTGGCACTACCTTCATGGGCCCCACCTCATACTTCTCAACCCCACTGCCTTCTGTTGCTGAGAGACCCCGAGCAAGTTATTATACTTATGTTAGCCTTAATTTCCTCCTCTGTAAAGTGAGTTTTAATAATTTCTACAGCATAGCATTATTATGATTGAATAAGATAACCAGCTAATGTCTGGCATACATAGTAACATAAATGTTACTTTCTTTACCTGTCTTATCTCCAGAATCTGCTACATTACCTCATATACTGAGTACTCTTTAAAATGTTTGAATTGAAATGAAACATGGAATTTTTGTAGCAGGTATTCCTCACATTAGGAGAAACTAAAACATCTGCACATTGTGGTATGAGATTTTTTACATTTCGTTAGTGACATATCTACAGTCTAGGTAATTGCCTGTTTAAAACACTTTTTAAAAATTTGGCTATGTTTTATAAGTGGTCCATCAGGACCTGAAAAGAACCTTATTTTCCAAAGCCATCACTAGTGCCTTAAAAAAAAAAAGGTGATAGAACATGTTGAAAGTATGTATGCTAGATGTCACAGTAAAGGTGACATGTCAGTAGGATTTATTGCTCTCTTGTGAATTTGTAACACACACAAAAATGGAAGCCTTTGTATTTTAAACGTACTTAGGATTGTGGAATGTGGACTAAATGATTTATTATTGCCCAGAGCTTCACCTCTCATCACCATATATTTTCTACATACATTCCTAGGTTTTGTTTAATAACATTGTCTTTTACTTATTTATTTTTATTTATTTATTTTTTTGAGACAGAGTCTCACTCTGTTGCCCAGGCTGGAGTGTAGTGGCACAATCTTGGCTCCGTGCAACCTCCACCTCCCGAGTTCAAATGATTCTCCTGCCTCAGCCTCCCAAGTAGCTGGAATTACAGCCACGTGCCACCACACCCGGCTACTTTTTGTATTTTTAGTAGAGATGGAATTTCACCATGTTGGCCAGGCTGGTTTCGAACTCCTGACCTCAGGTGATCTGCTCACCTTGGCCTCCCAAAGTGCCGGGATTACAGGCGTGAGCCATCACCACACCCCGGCATGTCTTTTAATTTTTTAATGAGGTCATTAGAAAGATATCCAAATTAATTATGATGTCTCACACCTTAGTTGATAATGCTTAGTGTTTTGAAAATAGAAGCCATGTTATTATAGTTAAAAGACCTTAATTTTACGTCATTTTACTAAACGAGGTGGTAAACCGTTTATTAAGGACTGTGTGCCCTGTTATAAGCGATGTAATCTTCACAACAGTTCTATAAAATAGGACTGTTATCCCCATTTTACAGTTGAGGAAATGAGGCATAGAGAGGTTAATTAACTTTGCCTAAAGTGATGCAGCATAATGTTTACCTCATACCATGTGAGGATTAAATGAGAAAACATGTATTAGGCCATTACCCACTTAAACAGAAGAAACAGTGAAGCAGAATTTGAGATGAGTGTCTTCTAACACTTCCAGAATTTGATAATAGCCATTATTGAGATGTGACAGTGACCGTGAATATATTCTTATTCACATTTGTGTGTGTGTGTGTGTGTGTGTGTGTGTGTGTGTGTGAGAGATAGTAAACCCTGGTACTCTTAACCCATTTTTTTTTTCTGAAGCAATATTAATGTCTCCTCTCAAATTCATGCTCCTATTTGGACTGAATTAATGTATTTGTGTTTACAAGGTGATAGTAAGATTTTAATATCAATCTGATATAAAATTTTTATAAGTTCAGTGTAATTAAATAGTATGTGGATATATTCTCATTGTGAAATTTGAAAAGCAGAACAGGTAAGGGAAAAATCTTCTTTGACCACCTATTCCCCTCTCTACTTGGATCAGCTTTTGTTGTATGATAAATCTCCCCAAAACATAGTGCTGTGAAACAATAGGCATTTGTTAGCCTAATTCTGGGCTGGGCTCAATTAAGCAATTCTGCTGCAGCTTATGTCTGGCCTTGCGGATGTGGCTGCAGTCAGCTGATGGGTCAGCTGGGAGCTGGTTGGTCTAGGATAGCTATGTCTGGATAATCCGTACTGGTTGTTTGCTTGGGTGATGGGGGCCATGTGTCTCCCGCAGGCTAGGCGTGGCTCTTTCACCTGGAGGCAGTAGTAGGGTTTACAGAAGTAACTAGTGACAGCAAGCCTCGTATATTTTCTGTTGTCCATAGGCCAAAGCAGATCAACATGGCCAATTCCAGAGTTGGTATGGGAGGGGTTTCCTAACTGAGTGGGGCTAATTAGGGGGCCATTACTACAACAATCTATTATCCAACTGTTGCTGGCTAACTCATTTTTCAGGAAACATGCACTAACTAGCGTGGCATTGCTCCTTTCTTGAAGTAGTGTTTATGTAAGCAATTTATTCAACAGTTCAGATAAATTTAGTTAATTCATTGTTCTTGTTTTTATTCCATTTTTGTCATCCTTCAGCATTATTCTTAGTTTCATTCAACTCAACAAATATTTATTGAGCACCCATTAAGTGCACAATAAGGTATCAAGAGGTGAGCAGCAGATAGAGCAAGACTACTGTGTTAATCATCCAGGTTTGTTTTGTTTTGTTTTGTTTTTTGTTGTTGTTTGAAACAGTCTCGCTCTGTTGCCCAGGCTGGAGTGCAATGGTGTGATCTTGGCTCACTGCCACCTTCACCTCCTGGGTTCAGGCTATTCTCCCACCTCAGCCTCCTGAGTAGCTGGGATTACAGGCATGCACCACCCCACCCAGCTAATTTTTTGTATTTTTAGTAGAGACAGGGTTTCACCATTTTGGCCAGGCTGGTTTCAAACTCCTGACCTCAAATGATTCACCCGCCTCAGCCCTCCCAAAGTGCTGAGATTACAGGCATGAGCCACTACGCCCGACCAGTCATCCAAGTTTTTAAAAGTGGCCTACCTGTCTGCTTCATTATGTAAACAGAATTCTATAAAAGTAGAAAACTTTTAACAATTTTTTGAGAATGACCAACAGCCCACACCAGGCTAAATATTATCTTACATGCTACATTTTTAAACATCTTACAAGGATTTCTTCAAATGAGAAAAACTAATACAGAGGTTGTTTTGATCTGTACTCCCACCAGCAATAGGAGACTTTTTCCATGTCTTCATCAAGATTATGTTCTCAAATGTTTTGATCATTGCCAATCTAATAGACATAAAATGGATCTCAGTGTAGTTTTAATTTGCATTCCTTTTATTATGAGTGAGATTGAGTGTTTTTTCATATG
Organism: Homo sapiens; assembly: GCF_000001405.40. Taxonomy (NCBI): domain Eukaryota; kingdom Metazoa; phylum Chordata; class Mammalia; order Primates; family Hominidae; genus Homo; species Homo sapiens. Next base: position 111,468,514 of record NC_000006.12, on the reverse strand, counting down.
CTTGAGAGGCCCTTATGGTATTTCCTTCTCAGCGTACTGTTTATCTTTTACCCATTTTCCTGTTGAGACTCTTGGTCTTTTCCTTACTGATTCCAAAGAGCCTTCATATATTAGTAAAGTTCATCTCCATCTGTAAATTGAGTTCCAAATGTTTTCCTCCGTTAGTTCTTATGGTAGATTACTTTTTATTTAAGTAGTATCTTTTTTTCATTTCATAAATAATCTTTATATCTGAATTAGGCTTTTAAATCACATTTAGATGAAGTTAGGTTTAAGTATTAGGCATGGGAATGGAAGGAAAAGATCCTGGCATTATCAAATCTTTTGTAGAGAACTTTTTAAAACTCTGGATAGTTAAAATGAAAAACTTCAAAAGGATCCTGTCTTTGATTTATTTTTTCCTCTTCTAGGTTTGGTTTTATTATGACATCAGTCGTTTTGACCGGGCAGTCCAAGGAGTAGGATCATAACCTCTGGAGGGCTGTTTTTAGATGATGAGATTGTATAGTATAGATGGAAAATACTCTGTGTAACTTAGAAGAAATTGTTAATAATGTTGCTTTGAGTCTCGTTAATTTCATTGTGTGTGTGTTTGTGTGTGTGATGTGTATAAAACATGCATAGATCATGGTAGTGCTTCTAGCAATGCTCTACTCTTACGTACAGTCTTCCCTCTGTATCCATCCCTTAGTATCTGTGAGGGATTCGTTGCAGGAATCCCTGAGGATATAAAAATCCACAGATGCTCAAATCACTTATATAAAATGGTGTAGTATTTGCATAAAATAACCTAAGCATATTCTCCTATATAGTACTTCAAATTATCACTTACACCTAATACATTGTAAATGCTATGTAATAGTTGTGATACTGTATTATTTAAGGTAGTAATAACAAGGAAAAAAGTTTGTACGCATTCAGTACAGATGCAACTCTTTCCCTGAATATTTTTGATCTGTGGTTGGTTGAATCCACAGATGTGGAACCCACAGATATGGAGGGCCAGCTATATAATTTTCAATCTGTTCAGCCAACCTTAACCTAATCAACCACATGGGTATGTTAGGATGGCTAGATTAGGCTAGCCATTAGCAGTGGACCACACAGAAGAAAAACACACAGAATGTAGACTCTTTTGAGAATGCAGTAATGCTACCTACTGCCCAAATAATATCCTAGATTTTTTCTGAGATTGTGGGAAGCCAGGAAGAAGGTGGCAGAGACATCTGTGACCTCCTATGCCACATCTGACATGAAGTACTTTGACCTTTTCCCTTGACTTTTGTATAAAAAGGTATTAGAAAACTGCGAGGCTGGACATTTTATATGTTTTGAGTAATTTAATATAATTTTAAACATTTTAAAGTTGTCGAACCCTTTCTTCTTATATAATTTTACCCAGCAGCATCAAAAACAAATAGGAATCCTTAAGTGATTAGTGGGGCATGGCAGAAAGCCAGTTTTTTACCATGCTTTACATAGTTTTTAGTTTTTCAAAGTTATTGATGTATTCTTTAGCGTCTGCTTTATTACTAACATCTTTATACATGTTTCACTGAAAATTGAAAGGAAGTTTTTCATTTAATACCAAATTATTGACTTACTGTTATTTTCTTGGTTAATCCTTTTTAAACAATTTAAAATTTCTTTTTTCTAATTTTATTTTATTTTTTGAGACAGAGTCTCACTGTGTCGCCCAGGCTAGAGTGCTGTGGTGCGATCTCGGCTCACTGCAACCTCCATCTCCTGGGTTCAAGTGATTCTCGTGCTTCAGTCTCCCAAGTAGCTGGGATTACAAGCATGTGCCACCACACCATACCTGTCTAATTTTTGTATGTTTCATAGAGATGGGGTTTCGCCATGTTGGCCAGGCTGGTCTTGAACTCCTGACTTCAGGTGATCTGCCCATCTCAGCCCCTCAAAGTGCTGAGATTACAGGCATGAGCCACCTCGCCTGGCCCAATTTTAACATTTCCGAGTTTGTAATGTGTCTCACAGTATGTACATTTAATACAGTAATTTTCCCTCCTGAAAAGCTGGTATTAAACTGATAGGACATTTATAATCAGTGACTTCTTAGAGAAAACGTGACATTTTAAAATTCCTCTATGTGCTTTTTTTAAAAAAAATCTAATGTGTCATGGAATGGGTTTGCTTCCCAAATAAACATTTGTCCTTCATTTTTGCCTTGCATCTGTAATTGTTTTAAATTTGTATATTTTGATGTGTTGTTTGGCACATCCCAGCTTCATGACCGATAAGTCTTTTATCACAGTGCTTTTCAAATTATTTGTGGTGAAGAATCAGGTTTTTTTCCCAATACTTCTTTAAAATACATTAAAAATGAATTACTAGAAAAATGAAATGAAATGAGAATAACTTGACAAAATAGTAATATAACCTCCATTTTTAAAAATTATTTTATTTAACAGGTATAGAATTTCCCTCTCAGACTGCTGTAAGAGTTTCTAAATGCTAAGTTTCGAGCTTTGTTCTTGTCTTGTTGCATAGCTGTAGCAAACAGCTAGTTCATAGATGGCATTTGAGTAGCACTGTAGAGATCTTTTTAGCAATATAAAAAGACTAATTCATTTCTTAAAATCTTTTTGTCCTGTGTCAAAATTATTATTCCTATTTCCTTTCAGTTTGACTATTTCTGCGATATATTGTATAAATCGTTTTTCATCACTATTTTTAATCTTTTTATGTCAGTTCAGTTTTAAACCCATCTGAAGATTTTAAACAAAGTTTTTTTTTTTTTTTTTTTTTGGTTTTTGTTTTTGAGTCGGAATCTCGCTTTGTTGCCCAGGCTAGAGTGCTCGGGCGCGATCTCAGCTCACTGCAACCTCCGCCTCCCTGGTTCAAGCGATTCTCCTGCCTTAGCCTCCCGAGTAACTGAGATTACAGGCGCGTACCACCATGCCCAGCTAACTTTGAATTTTTAGAAGAGATGGGGTTTCACCATGTTGGTCTGGCTTGTCTCAAACTCCTGACCTCAAGTGATCCGCCTGCCTCAGCCTCCCAAAGTGCTGGGATTATAGGTGTGAGCCACTGCGCTCAGCCAACAAAATTTGCTATAATTGAGGTTTGATTTTGTTTTTCACTCTTGTAATTTTATATTTTTACAATAACTTGGCTGGGTGCTGTGGCTCATGCCTGTAATCACAGCACTTTGGGAGGCTGAGGCAGGTGGATCACCTGAGGTCAGAAGTTTGAGACCAGCCTAGCCAACATGGCAAAACCCCGTCTCTACTAAAAGTACAAAAATTAGCTGGGCGTGATGGTGCATGCCTGTAATCCTGGCTACTCAGGGGGCTGAGCCAGGAGAATCACTTGAACCCGGGAGGCAGAGGTTGCAGTGAGCTGAGATCGCACCATTGCACTCCAGCACAACAAGAGAGAAACTCCATCTCAAAAAAAAAAAAAAAACAAATAAAAATAACTTTATTTTACCCTTTCCTTTAGTGTGTGACTTTTGCAGCATAGACCGTTTTATGTGTTTTCCTTTTTTTTGAGATGGAGTCTTGCTCTGTCACCCAGGCTGGAGTGCAGTGGTGCGATCGTGGCTCACTGCAGCCTCCGTCTCCCAGGTTCAAGCAATTCTTCTGCCTCAGCCTCCCAAGTAGCTGGGACTATAGGCGCACGCTGCCATGTCCAGCTAGTTTTTTGTATTTTAGTAGAGATGGGGTTTCACCATGTTGCCCAGGCTGGTCTTGAACTCCTGAGCTCAGGAAGTCCACCTGTCTAGGCCTCCCAAAGTGCAAGGATTACAGGCGTGAGCAACCATGCCCGGCCCTGTTTTCCTTTTTGGAAAACATAGATAACAGAACTCATTTTTAAAAGTGTATGTACCAAAATGTAGTTTTTTAAATTGTTGTTTCTATTCATTTCTTTTTTCTTATCTCTTAAGAGTTCCATTTATATCTTAGACTGCATATAAGTCTGTCTTTTTATTTCTTCCTATATGTATGTTGTTGAGAACACACAGCATATACTTTTTACATTTTTTCTGTTTCTAAATATAAATTATCACAGATTCTTTTCTTTGGCATTTTTAAGAAGATGTTTTATCTATGCTGCTGAATGTTTGTTTAGGTCCCATTCCATACATACCTATCTATGAACAAGGGCTATTTTTCCAAGCCTAGTGTTTGCCAGTAGGTAGGGTATGGCAAGTTCACTTTAATCATATTTATTTTCTGCTTATAAAAAGATAGATTTGCCTTCCCTAGCATAAAGAACTAATGATCGTATACAACCCACTTAGATGAAAACATTCACTTAGTGTACCTCTACTGGATTGAGGTTTAAGGTTTTTTCCACTTTTCTCCTTGCACAGTTCGCTGGTATATGGGAACTAACATATTTATGGATAACCTGAAACAGTTTTTTTTTTTAAATTTTTGTTATTTATTTATTTATTTTACCAGAACATTGCATGCAAGCCTCCAGGTTGTAAAGGCCCTTAGGACTTTTAGTGATTTAATCAGTGATGGGAGCTAATTCATTTATTTAGATTTTGGATGCTTTTTAACATGCCAGGATGAAGACAGCTATGCTGCGTCAATTATGTTGATATTGGTTGTTTTTAGAGTAGATGAACAGAGGTATTACATGTCTTAGAAAATTTTTAGTAGGGGACTGGTTTCTGTTGGAGCAGACCGTGTCCCCAAGGTAGAGAAAAGAGTTACACAGTAAGTCCTTGCTTAATGTCCATGACAGGTTCTTGGAAATTGTGACTTTAAGTGAAATCACATATAATGAAACCGTTTTTTTCTCATTGTTATAATAAAATGAAGTTGAACAAAATGTCATTTGGAGATCTGCTACAAAGTTTTTCTTAAAGTTTAGGTTTCCAAGAACCTATCAACAAAGTTAAGTGAAAATTTACTGTATGTCTTAAATATTTTAGTGAAAAATTTAGAGAAGGATTATTCTGTATTTCATCAATTCTAAGAAGTATATTTTCCCTCCTTGTGCATCTCAGTAATTAGGATATGTCTTACAATCAGTAGTGCACCATATTTACTTAACAGCACTTTTCTTAGTACAAAAATTAATTATGTCATAATCACTAGCATCTTGGATTCAGTGAAATATATTAATAGTTGTTTAGCTTAGTGCCATTCTAAATTGAATCTCTTTATTTGTTGTAACATTAACCTTTCTTCTCTTCGGACAGTTTTGGCCTTGGCTTAACTTCCTAGCTTTGTTCACTTGGAAGCTTGATAAGGTAGAATATCAGTTGTATAACCGAGCACCATTGCTTATGGTAATAATGACTCATGATTACTGAATTGCATAAGGACCAGAGGAGGACTGTGAATGAATTGTAAATACTGGTACTTATACCGTTAACAGCTTTGGACTTCCCTGAGTGTGATAACTCTTGCAACTAAGCAAATCTGTTGCTGAAGCTCAGGAAGCTATGCCTATGAGACTGGAGATATTGGTTGCTATTTGGTACCTGTAAGCTAGAGTAGCTACTGCAAGGACCTTATGCTCTCATTCTCTTACACTTGATCTGCCACCTGAGAGGGCCAAAGATACTAGCCCCCGAATTGCAATGAGGACTCCTGCCTGACATGTTAAGTATAACCAGCCTGTTTGGGTTATGTGAGTCTCGGTGTCTAGTTAGGCCTAACGGGGTGTTGTACTTACATTCTGTGGCTTTATTTTGTTTTTAATATTTGCTGAGTGAATCTATATTTACTATTTATTCGTCATAAGAATTTTAAATTATAAATATGAGCACATCTCTACTAAGTAATGCCAAATTGTTTTCCAAAGTGATCATACCAATCTATACTCCCACCAGAAGTGTGAGTTTCTGATGTTCCACATCTTCACCAATATTTAGGATTGTCAGACTTAAGTTTTAAATTAGGAATTAATTTAAAACATCTCATTGTGGGTTTGTACATTTTTCATCACTAGTGAGAGATTGAGTTTTTCCATATGTTTATAGCCTACTCGTTCTATAAAATACTGAGAGATGTGTTGAAGTCTCCAACTTAATAGATTTGTCTATTTCTCTTTCCAGTTCTATCAGTTTTTTTTTCATGTATTTTGAAAGTTTGTTAGATCCATACATATTTAAGATCGGTGTGCCTTTCTGGCGGACAGCCTCTTTATCTCTGGTAATATTCCTTGTTCTGAAATCTTCTTTGCCTTGTATTAATATAACCACTTCAGCTTCCTTTTGATTAGTATTTACATGGTATATCATGTCAAAAACTGAAGTTTGCCATGAATTTCATACATATTAGCAATAGACATGAGATTTCCATCTCTCCATTGTATCACTTATTAATAAAGAGTAACTGGGGAGATGGTTGCAGACCAGATACTGAGAAGTAGGTTCAAAGGCAGCTACCTCAACAGAGACCCATGGAGAATTGTCTCCCAACATATTTTTTCTGTTTTTGTTTTTTGTTTTACTTTCACTTTCAACCTATCTGTATCTTTACACTTAATATGGGTTTCTTATAGTCAGCATATAGATGGGCTTACTTGTTTATCCAGTCTGATAATCTCTGTCTTTCATTTTGACATGTCTCTTTTATTTAGTGTGTTTAGATTGTTTATATTTATCAACATTGGTAATATGGTTGGATTAAAATCTACCACTATGGTATCTGGTTTATGTTAGTCTATCTGTTCTTTTTTTCTTTTGGATTACTTGGACTTTTTAAAAATTCCATTTCTCTCCGCGGTTTGCTTATTTATTTATACCTCTTTCTGAAATTTGTTTAGTGGTTGCCCTAGGGTTTGCCGTATATTTGTAATTAATCACAGTTTTCTTGATATAATAATACATAGCTTTATATGTAGTATTAGGACCTTATAGTTCTATACTCCCATTTCTCCTCTTCATCTTTTATGTTTTTGTTGTCATACACTTTACTTTTATATATATGCAATCAACATGCAATATATTACTACTCTAAGACTTTACAGTATATTGCTATAGATTTTATAGAACTGTTCATGTAGGTTATAATAAATTTATTTTTAAAAAGTCTTCAATAATTAGCCTTACCTTACTGTAACTTTTACTTTATTAACTTCTTAGTTTTTTAAACTTTTTTACTCTCTTACAATAACTTAGCTTAAAACAAATACATTGTACAGCTGTACAAAAGTATGTCCTCATTCTGTAAGCTTTTTTCTATTTAAAAATTTTTAATTTTTACTTTTAAAACTTTTGTTAAAAACTAAGACGCAAATACATTAGCCCTAGGCCCACAGAGAGTCAAGCTATAAATATCACTGTCTTCCACTTCCACATCTTGTCTGGAAGGTCTTCAGGGACAATTACACACATGGAACTGCCATCTCCTATGATAACAGTTCCTTCTTCTGTAATATCTCCTGAAGGACTTACCTGAGGCTGTTTTACAGTTAACTTTCCTTTTTATGTAAGTAGGAGTACATTCTAAAATAATGATAAAGTATATAATAAATACATAAGCTAGTAACTGTTACCATGATCAAGTATTATGTACTTAACATAATTGTATATGCTATACTTTTATACAACTGGCAGTGTAGGTTTCTTTACACCAGCTTCACCACAAACACGTGAGTAACTCATCGTACTACAATGTTAATACAACTAGGATGTCCCTAGGCGATAGGAATTTTTCAGCTTCATCGTAATCTTATGGGACCACCATTATATATGTGGTCCCTTGTCGATTAAATATCATTATGCAGTACATGACTGCATTTTTGCTTTAGAGACAGTTATCTTTTAGAACAATTGCAAATAAGAAAAATATGAAGTTTTGTATTTACTTTCATTTATACCGTTTATACTGTTGTTCATGTCTTTGTGTAGATCCAAGTTTTCTGTCTGGTATCATTCTGTCTACCTGAAGAACTTTTAACATTTCTTATAGGCCAAGTCTGCTAGTAATAAATTATCTTTGTTTCTCTCAAAAAGACTTTATTTTTCTAAAATATTCTTGCTGAATATAGAATTCTGGATTGCCTTTTTTTTCTTTCAGTACTTAAAAGATGTCACTCTACTGTTTGTTATATGGCTTTTACGTATATATTTTTATTTGAATTAAATTTTTTTTCTTTTTCCGCTTTTATTTTAGATTCCGGGTGTACCTGTGCAGGTTTATTACAAAGGTATATTGCATAATGCTGAGGTTTGAAGTACGACTGAACCCGTCACCTAGGAAGTGAGCATAGTACTCAATAGGTAGTTTTTCCATCCTTGCCTCCCTCTCCCATCTTGTATTCTCCAGTGTCTGTTTGTTCCCATCTTAATGTCCATATGTACTCATGGTTTGGCTGCCACTTGTAAGTGAGAACATGGGGTATTTGGTTTTCTGTTTCTCCATTAGTTTGCTTAGGATAATGGCCCCCAACTGCATCCGTGTTGTTGCAAAGGACATGATTTTGTTCTTTCTGTGGCTGTGTAGTGTTCCATGGTGTATATGTACCACATTTTCTTTATCTCATTTACTGTTGATGGACACCTGTGTTGATTCCATGTCTTTGCTGTTGTGAATAGTGCTGTGATGAACACATGGGTGCATGTGTCTTTTTGGTAGAATGATATATTTTTCTTTGGGTATATACCCAGTAATGGGATTGCTAGGTTAAATGGTAGTTCCATTTTGTGTTCTTTTAGAAATCTCCAAGCTGCTCTCCACAGTGGCTGAACTAAGTTACATTCCCACCAACAGCGTAAAGGTTTTCCCTTTTCTCCACAGCCCCACTGAGATCTGTTATTTATTGACTTTTTAACAAAAGCTATTCTGACTGGTATGAGATGGTATTTCAATTGTGATTTTGATTTGCATTTCTCTGATGATTAGTGATGAGCATTTTTTCAATTTTTTTTTGGCCATTTGTATGTCTTCTTTTGAGAAGTGTCTGTTCATGTCCTTTGCTTACATTTTAATGGGGTTATTTGTTTTTTACTTGTTGATTTAAGTTCCTTATAAATTCTGGATATTAGGCCTTTGTCAGATACATAGTTTCTGAATTTTTTCTCCCATTCTGTAGATTATCTGTTTACTCTGTTAATGGTTTCTCTTGCTGTATAGAAGCTCTTAGGTCCTACTTGTCAGTTTTTGGTTTTGTTGCAATTGTTTTTGAGGACTTAGCCATAAATTCTTCGACAGGGCTGTTGTCGAGAAAAGAATTTCCTAGGTTTTCTTCTAGGATTTTTGTAGTTTTAGGTCTTACAGTTATGTCTTTAATCCATCTTGAGTTAATTTTTGTATATGGTGATAGGTAAGAGTCCAGTTTCATTCTTCTGCATATGGCTAGCCAGTTATCCCAGCACCATGTATTGAATAGGGACTTTTTCCTCATTGCTTATTTTTGTCAACTTTGTTGAACATCAGATGGTTGTAGGTGTGTGGCTTTATTTCTGGGTTGTCTATTCTGTTTTATTGGTCCATGTATCTCTTTTTGTACCAGTACTGTGCTGTTTTGGTTACTGTAGCTTTGTAGTGTAGTTTGAAGTTGAGTAATGTGATGCCTCCAGGTTTTTTCTTTTTGCTTAGGATTGCTTTGGCTGTTTGGGCTGTTTTTTGGTTCCATATGAATTTTAGAGTAGTTTTTTCTGATTCTGTGAAAAATGATATTGGTAATTTGATAGGAATAATGCTGAATCTGCAAATTACTTTGGGCAGTATGGTCATTTTAATGATACTGATTCTTCCAATCCATGAGCATGAAATATGTTTTCATTTGTGTGTGTCATTTCTGATTCTTTAAGCAGTGTTTTGTAGTTCTCCTTGTAGAGATCTTTCACTACTTTCATTAGATGTATTCCTAGGTATTTTCTTGTTTTTGTGGCTCTTGTAAATGGAATTGTGTTCTTGATTTGGCTCTTAGCCTGAAGGTTATTGTTACGTAGAAATGCTACTGATTTTTGTACATTGATTTTTGTATCCTAAAACTTGACTGAAGTTGTTTATCAGTTCAAGGAGCCTTTTGGTGGAGTCTTCGGAGTTTTCTGGTATAGAATCATACCATTAGCAAAGAAAGATAGTTTGACTTCTTCTTTTCCTATCTGGATACCTTTTATTTCTTTTTCTTGCCTGATTACTCTAGCTAGGACTTCCATTACTATGTTGAGTAAGAGTGGTGAAAGTGAGCATCATTGTCTTCTTCCATTTCTCAAGGAGAATGTTTCTAGGCTTTGCCCATCCAGTATGATGTTGGCTGTGGGTGTGTCATAAATGGCTCTTAGATATATTCCTTTGATACCTAGTTTATTGAGGGGTTTTATCATGAAGGGATGTTGGATTTTATCAAAAGCTTTTTCTGCATCTATTGAGATGGTCATATCGTGTTTCTTTTTAATTCTGTTTATGTGGTGAATCACAGTGATTGATTTGCATATGTTGAACCAACCTTGCATCCCAGGAATAAAGTCTACTTGATTATGGTGAATTAGGTTTTAGATGTGCTGATGGATTTGGTTTGCTGGTATTTTGTTGAGATTTTTTGCATCTATTACATATTTTTGTCATTTGTCTTTGATTCTTTGCATATAATGTCCTTTGTTCATTTAATTTATTTTTCTTTTGGCCGTCTTTAAGAGTTTCTCTATCTTTAGATATGATTTATCTTTATTTTGAATGTGATGTGTCTGTTTTCTTTTGTTGGTTTGTTTGGTCTTCTCTGAGTTTTTTGGTTCTCTGGTTTAGCATCTTTTACTTAATTTGGAAAATTCTTAGCCATTGTCTCTTCATGTATTTCATTTGACCTGTTCTGTCTTCTCTTTCTGTGATTTCAATTGCAGGTATATGGGCCATTTAATAATTGTCTAATTGCTCTTGTATGCTTTGTTCTGCTTTCATTTTTGTTTTTTTAATACTTGTTTTTTTTCTAACATGATGAGATTTTTCAGGGAGATTACCTTGATGATAATGGTTATTGTTGCTGTTCCTGAAGCATCAATTATTTCAAAAGATGAAGCTATATTTTAGAGACATAGGCTTCTTGGCATATTTGAGATCCTTCAGATTATTAGTAAAATATAAGTTTATGATAATCTTTTTCCCAACTAAAAACAATCTGCTTAGATTTAGGGACCATGAGATATAGCCTGGGGTTGTGGCTATTGTTGTGATGATAAAATGTAATGTAATAACCCTAATGACTTATGAACTAAGCTATGTTTTTAGTTTTCTGTATCAAAATATTTTCTTATTTTTCTGTTAGATCACTTGAATGTCATTTGATTGTCTTCGGAATTATGCTCGTTATTATACTGTTATATATTTAATTTGGAATAAAGAGTATTACCTATTATCAAGTAGCTAGACCTAGATGTTTTTATTTTTCTCTCCTATAACTATGTAGAATTAAATAGACTTGAGGTACAGTACAATTAAGGAATTAACAATAATTTTTTTTTCTGGAGTGTGTTAATTTGCATTTATGTTAAGAAAGTGGTTTGAAAGTATAAATGGGATGCCTTTTAAAGAAGGATTTTTGTAATGCATAAAATATTTAAGACCGCTAAAAGGTAATAAACTGAATTAGTGTAAATAAAACAAATTTAAACTTAGAAATATCAAAGTGTGGAGATTTTTTTGAGTAGATTCAGACTTTTTGAACTACTAAAAGTGATGAATGAGAGTTATTCTGGTTTCTTCTTAAAATTATGTGGTAGTCAAGTGAAAAGGAATATTACCTGCAAAGGGAAGCAAGATACGCTTCTATTAAATTTACATCAATTCAGGTGTGTCAGATTTACCAGAGATTCTTTGGATATGTCTGATTCCAGTGTCTAAAAGTTTAATCATAGAAAACCTTATATTTGAAATCTGAAGTTTAATATTGTGGAATGAGTATTAGTATCTGAGAAAAGATTGTTTTGGGGGAACTAGTTATATGCATTTTTAAATGTGATCTCTGCTTTACCTAATAGGATTCATAGTCTTGATACATTATACTCTACAGAGAGGAAAGTGTTTTGTTTGACCCATGTTTCAGTAGCTGGCAGATTTTGAGATAGGGACATCTCCAAGTTGATATTGGAGAACAGCCACAAGAAAAGACAAGGAGCCAAATCCGTGAAGCATTTGCTTTTTTGGCAGAAAGCCTCAGTATTTATATACAGATTTCTTCTTAAAAATTGAAGTAAACTGGATTATGGACAGTTTCTTGTTTAGTGTGTTAAATTCCCACTACATCCCCAGCACATACTTGAGAACAGAGGGTCAAGCTTCTGTTGACAACTGTTAACTCTTTCTGGCACTCCTCTTGCAGTTGTAGAACAGAAACAAGGAATTGTTTTTCCTCTGGTAAAAAGGAAGACCGACTCTAAAATTACTTAAAGGTATAGTTGTGTGTTGCTTAACGACAGGGATGTGTTCTGAGAAATGCATTGGTAGGCGATTTTGTCATTGTGTGAACATCATAGAGTATACTACACAAACCTAGAAAAAATATGTATAAATAAAAATATATTTGTATGTTACATTAGAAAACGAAATGTCCCAGCACCATTACTGAATATCAGCTATTTCCCCTACTTGATCTGCAGTGTCAATATCAAGTGCCATATACGAGGTTTCGATATGATGCTCTATCTTAAGGAACCACCATTGCATGTGCATTCCATCTTGACTGAAACATTGTTATGTGGCACAGGATTGTAATTGGAGCCCTGATTCCACACACCTACACATACATAAAAGAAAAGTGAAAATGCATTGTGTTCTTTTATCCTAATATGTTTTTGTCAATAATTTTTAATACATTATGGGGCTTTGGTAGATATTTACTGAAGAAGAGAAATTATTTCTTTTTATTTAATCATAAACAGGTAACAATCACTTACATGTAGTTTGTGGACTTTCAAGTCCATTCTCTGTCCATTTCCATGGTTACTACTTTAATTGAGGTGTCATTATTTTTGCATGGATCATCATAATAGCCTCCCAGTTTGTCTCTAACTTTACCTGTTTTCAAATTCAGCCCTTATATATTTTAGATTATAGCCCTGGCCTATAATCTAAAATAAAACTCTAGACAACATAAAGTTTTTTCATGATCGAGCACCTGCCTACCTTTTCAGCATCATCTTCTGCTTCTCCCTCAAGCACTTTGCTTTTCAGTCTGAACTGCTTGCTCTTGCTCAAATGTATGTACCTCATGACTTTGCATATGCTGTTAGCTTAATGAAAGCAGGTACCTTGGCTGTCCTAGGTGTTCAGTGTCTGGTGTGGTGTCATCCCTTATGAAATGACTGAATGCCATTCCTCTGGATGGAATGGCCTTTTCTACTGGTGAATTCTTCACACTTCAAGACTGTCCTGAGACATCATCTACACTGTGAAGCCTCTCCCAACTACCCTTAGTCATATCAGTCCTTTGTGCCACCATTGTACTTTGTATCCCTGTTAAAGCAGTTATCACATTAACTTGCAAGATTGTTTGTTTTTAACATGTCTGACTTGCCTCTTAGAGTGTGCGTTTCATGAGGGCAGATTCAGTATGCTGCCAGTCTTTGTGTCCTTAGTGCTTATTGCCTACACATGCATTAAAAATTAGAAAAAACAGCCGGGCGCGGTGGCTCATGCCTGTAATCCCAACACTTTGGGAGGCTGAGGTGGGTGGATCACCTGAGGTTGGGAGTTTGAGACCAGTCTGACCAACATGGAGAAATCCCATCTCTACTAAAAATACAAAATTAGCCAGGTGTGGTGGTACATGCCTGTAATCCCAGCTACTCGGGAGGCTGAGGCAGGAGAATCGCTTGAACCTGGGAGATGGAGGTTGTGGTGAGCCGAGATCGTGCCGTTGCACTCCAGCCTGGGCAACAAGAGCGAAACTCCATCTCAAAAAAAGTTAGAAAAAACTCAGGAAGGAAGGACAAATACATGATTCCACTTATATGAGATACCTACAATAGTCAAATTTATAGAGAACAAACAATAGAATAGTGTTTACTGAGGGTGGGATGGAGGAGGAATGGGGATTTATTATTATTTAATGGGTACAGAGTTTGTGATGATGGGAAAGTTCTGGAGATGGATAGTGATGATGGTTACACAATAATGTGAATGTACTTAATGCCACTGAATTGTATACCCAAAAAGGGTTAAGATGGTAAATTTTACGTATATTTTACCACATTTAAAAAAAAAAAATTCATGAAGGTAAGGACCTTGGCCTGTTTACTCAGCTTTGTTTTCTGTAGTTCCTCACATTGTTTTGTTTTATTGTTAAATTGTTTTCTTTTGACATGGTAGTACTTGATTTTTTTAAGTGTTTGAAATTGGGTCCAGCACAGTAGCTCAAGCCTGTAATCCCCTCACTTCAGGAAGCTAAGGCAGGAGGATTGCTCCAGGCTGGGTGTTTGAGACCCGCCTGGACAACATAGTGAGACCCTGTCTCTATTATTAAAAAAAAAAAAAAAGTTTGAAATTAAATTGTGTGTAAGCGCATGGGATATTGTCTAAGAAACCAACTGAATCTATAAAGTAAGGGAGGAAACATAGCACATAACTTTTTTATTTTCTTATTTTTTATTTTTTTGAGACTGAGTCTTGCCCTGTAGCCCAGGCTGGAGTGCAATGGCATGATCTTAGCACACTGCAACCTCTGCTTCCCAGCTTCAAGCCATTCTTTTGCCTCAGCCTCCCAGGTAGCTGGGACCACAGGCATGCGCCACCACGCCCAGCTAATTTTTTTGTATTTTTAGTAGAGATGGGGTTTCACCATGCTGGCCAGGCTGGTCTCGAACTCCTGACCTCAAGTGATCTACCCGCCTCAGCCTCCCAAAGTGCTGGGATTATAGACGTGAGCCACCGCACCCAGCTGTAGCACATAACTTTAAAATATCACATATTTAAAGGAAATATTCTTGTGATAATATAAATATTAACTAAAATTAATAACTAAAGTGGTTGTCACCTGCTACTAAGCAGTATATAGTGGTAAAAGAGAGGCAGTATGGCATTGTGAGACTTCAGGCTTGGTAAGGTCAAAAAGTCTTTTTTACCTGCTTAGAATGATGTTCCTATCCAAGTCCAGGATGACTGGGGAACAGTACAACCTTGAGTGTATCTTATGTTATAGATAATCTCATTTGAGCCCCCTACGTCTCCATGAAATGGAGATACCTCTATTTTCCTATAAGGAAAGTATATGTGCTATTGAATACTATCAACCTGGCATAATTGCAAACCCAGTTGATATATATGTGTGAGTACACACGTGTACATTAGAACTTCTAATAAAGTCATTCTGTGAGACTAAATTTGCAAAATAATTTATCTGGAAACAGTTTAAAATGGGGTCTTATTTTTACCTAAGAGTGTGTGATGGATGGAGTAGGTCTGGGATGGTGCCCAGAAATATGTTGATGCCTGTGATTTAGGTAACCCTTAGAATCTACTCTAAGAAATACTGTTTTGATAAAGCAGGTGATATTTTGGATTGATGAAGGTCTCTTTTAGAATCAGATTGTTCTTATTATTGAATGGTTAAAATATATATTTATGTATTACATTATTATATATTAAAATATGTAAAGAATGACATTGCTTTTATCTTGACTGCATAATTCTTATCAATTTCTTGCTCTTTCCAGTGATTTCCACATTTTTACTTTCCTACCTATTGCTATTTTCTGTCAGGTGTTGATAAATTCTGGTGAGTGACAGGTAATATGAGGGGCAAATATGTTTATTCCCCTGTTCTTTTTCTTTAATCACGTTTATTGAGGTATAATTTACATATAATAAAATGGACCAATTAGACGAGTTATGACAAACGTATGCCGTCATATAACCATCATCACCACAGTCATGGTATATAAAATATTTCTATCACCCTAAAAAGTTCCCTTGTGCTCCTTTTAGTAAAACCTCTCTCGCTATTCCTGGTCCCTCACAACCACTTATCTGCTATATCACTGTAATCACTTATAGTTTTGCCATTTCTAGACTTTCTTATAAATGGAACCATGTGTTACGTAGTTAAGTGTCATCCACATTGTCGTATGAGTTAATGTTTTTTTTTAATTGCATTATATGCATTTATCCATTATATGGATATACCATTCACTAGGTGCTGAACATTTGGATTGTTTCCAGTTTGGGCTGTTATGAATAAAGCATTTATGTACAAGTCTCTGTGATTATATACTTTCATTTCTCTTATAAATACTTAGGAGTGGGATTGTTGGGTTGAATGGTAAGTTTACTTCATAAGAAACAGCCAGATTTTTTTCCCAGTGTGGCTGTACCATTTTGCATTAGCTCCAGCAACTCATGGGAGGTCCAGTTTCTCCTACCCTCTCCAACATTTGTTTATATTTAGTCTTTTAAAATTCTGTCTTTTCTAGTGAAAGTGTAATGATATCTCATTGTGGTTTTAATTTTCATTTCCCTAAGGTCTAAGAATCTGAACATCTTTTAGTGTGCATATTTGCCATTCACATATCTTCTTTGGTGAAGTATCCAAATCTTTTTTACAAAATTGAGTTGTTTTTCTTCTTGTTGAGTTGAAAGGGTTCTTTATTCATTCTGGACTCAAGTCCTTTATCAGATACATGTTTTGCAGATATTTTCTCCCAATCTATGGCTTGCATTCTTATTTTTCTAGTGGTATCTTTTGAAGAGTCAAGGTTTTAAACTATGATAAAGTCCAATTTATCTTTTTTTTTTTTTTCCTTTCGTGATTCATACTTTTTGGTGACCTAAGAAATCTTTGCCTAACCTAAAATATCAAATGTTTTCTGTTTTCTTGTAGTTTATGTCCTCTGTTCTTACCAGATTGTGGTTTGATTTCTAAGTTGTCATTAGGTGGTACTTTTTAGAAGTATTAATGGAGATTATTTTGATAGGCTTTTTAAGCTGTGAGGTAGCTTTATAAAAATTCCCTTCGGTATTGGGCCCAAAATTTGCTTTAAATATAGGCAGAGTATCAGTAGAAGGCAACACAGAGCTATTCTGTGCCCTAGGATTTTAATTTCTGACCTCCTGGTTATAGTTGGTATCTGCCCAGGGATAATTGCTCTTAGGGTAAGACTTTTAACATGTAAGCCAGCCTGTCAAAAGTGCACCTAAAAGTTCTCTTTCAGTCATTTTCTGAGTTACTGATAGGAACATAGGTACTGTGTGAATCAGATCTGAGAGGATTATGAATGTTATAGAATGCCTTTTGTTAGGGAATTTAAGCCCAGAAGAAGTTGGGAAAGTGACAGATTTATATAAATGCGAGTGACAAAACCAGTTAAAATGTTCTGACTCAACTTGAAATATGTTGGACTATATAATAAATATAATATTGTGAGATATTCTGAACTAGACTCAACTCTGCTCTGGCTTTCCTCCCTTGTAATTCCATTACTTGGTCCCTTTCCCCTTTTTCTTCTATGACCTCTGGCAATTTGGCTTCTTACACTTAGAACTTAACTAACACCCAGCTCAGACCCATGGCATCCACTTACACTTCATGAAGAACTGTGAACCTGTAATGTTTTTTATGGAAACTCATTATGATTCTGTCTCCTTTCTGCCTTATCACCTGTGTGGGATAAGTTTCATAAACAAATAGCTTCTCTGGTTCTTTCTGTTGTGAGCTGACTAGGATAGTTTATAGGTAATATCTCATTCCACTTTTCTGCATAACACAGACTGGTTGGTTGTCTTTCCCAGCCAAAACAGCATAAGCAACAGATTGGACAAAAGCGGATATGATAACCCAGCTTTCTCTTCTGAAACCCAGACGTTAGAGTGATTTACAAAAATGTAAAACAATTTCTGTCTTTTCACAGTTTTTTTCTTTAATTATCCAAATGTACAGCTTTTCTCATTACTTTCTTCCTCTCCATAATATGTAATAGTTTGCTCTTGTAGTACCATTTTAAGCCCATACTTTTCTACCTTTTTTGTTTTGTTTTGTTTTTTTGGTAATTGTATATAGCACTTACCCTCCACTGCAGGAACTTAAGTTATACATATATAAGCCTGCTTAAAGATGTAACATAGGATACTAATGTTTTTTGGTTTTTTTTTTTTTTTTTTTTTTTTTTTTGAGACAGGGTCTTGCTCTGTCACCCGGGCTGGAGTGCAATGGCACAAGCATGGCTCACTGCAGCCTCGAATTCCTGGGCTCAAGCAGTCCTCCCATCTCAGCCTCCTGAATAGCTGGAACAACAGGTGCGCATCACCGTGCCTGGCTAATTTTTTAATTTTTAGTAGAGGTAGGGTCTCACAATGTTGCCCAGGCTGGGCTCTAACTCCTGGCCTCAAGCATTTCTCCTGCCTCAGCCTCCCAAAGAGCTGGGATTACAGGCATGAGCCACCACACCCGCACCCAGCCTTGTTCATGTATTTTCAGGCTTTTTCTGTGCTTCATTTTGGACGGTTTCTATGGCTTTGTCTTCAAGTTTATTAATCTTTAATTCCGGCATTTCTGATATATTCTTAGTTCTACTCATATTTTTCCTCTTCATTTATTTTTCATCCGTCATGAGATGAAAATTTTGATTTATGTTTGTTTATTGTCCACATCTCTATTTAATATATTCAGGCATTCTTCTACTTCTTGAACATATAGTTTACAGTTGCAATAACTATTTTAATATCTTTGCTTACTAATTCCATCATCTGTATCATTTCCTGGCTTGTTTCTATTGCTACATTTTTTTCCTCATAATGGGTCACATTGTTCTGTTTATTACATGCCTAGTTTTTTTCACTGGATTCCAGGCATGGTGGATTTTACCTTGTGTTCTGGATATCATTGTATTTTTAGAAATATTCTTGAGCTTTATTCTGGGACACTTAAGTTATTTGGAGATAGTGTAATCCTTTCAAGTCTTTTTATGCTTAGTTGGGTGGGAACAGAACAAACTTAACTAGGGCTAATGTTGCCCATCTACTGAGTCAATAATCTTATGATTATTCTACTCGATGTCTTGTGAAGTATGTTTCCTTCTTAGATGAAACATAAGTTATTCCTGCTACTGTGTGAGCCCTTGGGATTGTTCCCTCTGCCCATTTTAGTTACTTATTTTTCTGCTTTAGGTACATTCCTCACAAAGCACGTGCTGATACTTTCAGTAAAACCTTGAGGGAACCCTCTGCAGATCTACTCCTGTCTGTCTCTGCAGTTCTCTTCTCCCGGTATTCTACTAGGCAAATTCTAACAAGCATGGCCTTCAACTTTGTTTCCTCAACTCAGGGAGATTGCCAGCTTCCACCTGGGTTTCTTATCCCTCTGCTCCGTGGAAGCTGTTAAGTGGGGAGCTATTGAAGAAGGACTTACAATGTTTGTTTCCCGTCTCTCAGGGATTACTGTCCTATGCTGGCCAATGTCTAATGTGTAAAGACCATTGATTTACATGCTTTTCTGTTTATTAATTATTTCAGGCAGTGGGTAAATGTATTCCCTATTATTTCACCTTGACTCAAAACCCTGCCTACTCGTTTTTAAAGTTTAAGCTCAAGCATTAAATCCTCTCCAAAGTGTTTCATATTCCATTTTCTATTCAGGAATGATTTGTTTGCAAAGACCACAAGCTCTTTCAAAAAAGCTGTAATTGGCCAGGTGTGGTGGCTCACGCCTGTAATCCCATTCAGCACTTTGGGAGGCCGGGGCAGGAAGATTGCTTGAGGCAAGATTGCTTGAGGAGTCTCTAACTCCTCAAGCAGGAGTTAGAGACCAGGCTGGGCAACATACCAAGACCTCATCTTTGTTAAAAATTGAAAAAAAAAAAAAAAATAGCCAAGTGTGGTGGTGTGCTCCTGTAGTCCCATACACTGGAGAGGCTGAGGTGAGAGGATCATTTAATCCTGGGAGGTTGAGGCTACAGTGAGCCGTGATTGTGCCATGGCACTCCAGCCTGGGTGACAGTTAGACCCTGTCTTGGAAAGAAAAGAAAATGGCCAGGCACAGTGGCTCACGCCTGTAATCCCAGCACTTTGGGAGGCCGAGGCAGGTGGATCACTTGAGCCCAGAATTTCAAGACCAGCCTGGGCAACACCATCTTTCCAAAAACTACAAAAATTAGCTGGGTGTGGTGGCCGGTGCCTGTGGTCCCAGCTACCCAGGAGGCTGAGGTGGATCATCTGAGCCTAGGAGGCAGAGGTTGCAGTGAGCCAAGATTACTCTATTATACGCCAGCCTGGGCAACAGAGCGAGACCTTGTCTCAAAAAAAAAAGAAAAGAAAAAAAAGAAAACCTCCAATAAAAAGGGGATTTATTATTACAGTATAGAGAAATCTCACAGATCTTCGTTGCATGGTATAAACAAGTCTTACTTCTCTTCCATTGTTTTCTCTGCAGACCAGTTTCCACACAGTTCTTCCCATTTGCCTTTGGCTCTCACTTGCCTGTTAAGGTATTAACTGTGGCCTTAACTCAACATGACCATTCAGCTCTAGTCCTTATACCTGATCGTTGGATTGCTTATTTATATGAACAGCCCCAAGGAGCCAGAAAATTCATATCTTGGGTGAACAGAGTTCAATACTGACATGATAGTGTTCCATGATTCATAATACAATTAAAGTAAAATTTTTAATTAAAAAAATTTTAAAGTAAGGATTTTGTGTGGGGAAATAACCTATAAATTCTAACTTAGGAAGTTGAGTCTCAATACTCAATGAACACAGTGTTTGTATAGTAGTAGAGACATTTGGTTAAGTTTTTTGCTTATTAAATAATATGATTCATCAATAAACATATATAGAGCATCTATTATGTATCAAGGACTGCCCAGAGCTTATATTCTGAAAGAGGGGTTGACCAACTATAGTCTGTGAGCCAAATCCAGTCCAGCCACCTATTTTTCTAAGTAAAACTTTATTGGATCACTGCCCCTCACATCGATTACTTATAATGGCTGTTGTCATGCTTCAGCAGGAGGTAGTTGCACCAAAGGTTCACTGTGACCCACAGTGCCTAAAATATTTGCCATTTGTCCTGTTATACCTTATGCCAACCCCTGACGTAAAGTGAATTTTTTTAATGTGAAAAGGTTAACAACTTTTTACAGGGTGAAAACCATCTTTAATCAGGTCTTAGACTTTGACGAAAATTAATAGAGGTTAAATTACTTTCCTTAGAGTCGTGACATTTGAAGTTTTTGGTTTTATTTGCTCATAAAGACCACAGGTTTGTTTTGTCTCTTTATTAATTTCTAGTTAGTGAGATTGCATTTTTCTCTGTAAGTGTTTTCTAATAGCAAGCATTTGAAAGTTGGAGTTGAAATAATCTCACACGAGGGCATCCCGGTTTACTGGTGATTCAGAACACATCTGGTACGGTATTT
Source organism: Homo sapiens (assembly GCF_000001405.40). NCBI lineage: Eukaryota > Metazoa > Chordata > Mammalia > Primates > Hominidae > Homo > Homo sapiens. The sequence continues at coordinate 111,447,234 of NC_000006.12, read as the reverse complement.
GGCAAGAGGCTAAAGGCTAAGTTTTGCAGCCACCCGTATTAAGTCTTTTGCAAACCATCAGGTGTATTCTGTAATTTTAGCAATAAACAGATTTTTTTCCTTCAGTATGCTAAAATAAAGACTGATATATTTTGGGATGGTAGGTATAGTTGAAAATTAACTGTTTTCAAATATAAAAAACACCGAAGCTCAGGAAATACCATCTGAGTCTAATTATACTTGTGAGGTTAGTGATCAGTATGTAGTTCTTGTGTCTTCATGGTTGTCATTAGTTAAGGTAAAGAAGTCTCATATAGATTTACACGAAGTTATTCATCCTTCAAGTCTCTGCTACTATACAAAGAGTAGATTTATTCATTTTTAATATATGCCTATCTCTTTAAAATGCCATAGCCACTAATCTCAGTATCAAATACTAGATTCTCCTAAGGCTTTACAAAAGGAGATTCCCACTGAAGGGAATTTGTGGAAGAAAAGTAGAGTCCCTGTGATTTGGGAGTTGTTTGTTTGTTTGTTTGTTTGTTTGTTTGTTTTGAGACAGAGTCTCACTCCGTCGCTCATGCTGGAGTGCAGTGGCGTGGTCTTGGCTCACTGCAACCTCTGCCTCCTGGGTTCAAGCAATTCTCCTGTTTCAACCTCCTGAGTAGCTGGGACTACAGGCGCCTGCCAACTCGCCTGGCTAATTGTATTTTTAGTAGAAATGGGGTTTCACCTTGTTGGTCAGGTTGGTCTCGAACTCCTGACCTCAGGTGATCCACCCGCCTCGGCCTCCCAAAGCGCTGGGATTGTAAGCGTGAGCCAGCCACCGTGCCCAGCTGATTTGGGAGTTTTTATAACTAAAGTCACTTCATCCCAGTTTGTTGGGATGTTCCTAATTTACACTAGCATTATTATTAATAGGAACCACCTTTATTCTCAACAATCCAGTTTGTACAAGAAATTATATTGTTACTCTATTAATAGAATCATATTGATTATGGAGCAGCAGGATCTGTTTTAAAATTTAGCATTTAACCAACCTCAGCATTTATTCTGATTAACTGTTAACTCTCATGGGAGTTGGTGGATTGATGACCACAAGACAGCACAATTGTTAAAATGAGACTTAACTCATACACAGGCCCATCTGACAGTAAAGGGCTACATTATGTATGTCTGTACAGCACAAAATCATTTGAATCCCCACAGCTGAAAATGAACTTTTTGTGTTGTGTAAAGGGACTTCCTCAGTCTGTCTCCATTGTTCTTTTCTAGGCTTATTTCCCATTTTTCTTTCTCTTTACCATGAATCTTATATTTCAGCCCCACTCATATGCTTGGCATTTCCTGAATATATCCTATGCTTTGTCTAACCCCCATACCTTTGCTTAAACTGTTCCCTCTGTTTTTTTGTCTGCTTTACCTTTTCCAGTCTCCTTTTCCTATGTCTGTTAAATTCCTACCCATCCTTTAAAGACTGGTGTAAATAACACTTCTATGAATCCTTTCTTGCCACATCCATTCCAATTAGTTTCCCTTTTTAGGGGGGCTCCCTAAGCATTTTGTTTCCATCTCTGTCTTGCAGTATAACTTTTTGCAACAACCCCATCCCCAGCTCTTTAAAGGTAGAGGTTGTACTTAATTCATTTTGAAATCCACATTACCTTTATAAAGCCTTGTACACACTTAGGTGTTCAGTAAAAACGTATGGTGAATTGTTGGTATATCCCCCTAATTTATTTAGAATAACCAGAAAATATTTAAAAAATGGTTTTCTTTATAAGGTTTTAAGAGTAACTTTACTCCAATTTCTAAATATATTTAATACTTTTAATTTTCTTTATTTTAGCTGTTTTTTAAAAAAATTGCAACTTATATTTTGGATTCAGGGGTACATATTCAGGTTTGTTACATGGGTATATTGCATGATGCTGAGGCTTGGGACATGATTTACCCCCGTTACCCAGGTAGTGAGCATGGCACCCAATGGTTACTTAATCCTTGCCCCCCTCCCTACCTTTCCTTTCTAGTAGTTCCCACTGTCTATTGTTGCCACCTGCATTCTTGTTAACACTTTTTTCTTCAGATAGAAGTATATTCTCATTGAGTTTTTAAGTGGACCCCAAAAGTTTTTGTTTCTTCTTCCCTTCCAAGGCAGTTGGCCACATGCCGAGAGCTTCTTATATTTCTCTCCTGTTGCCGTCTTATTATCTGTAGTTGATTCTTGAAAACGATGAGGTGATCGGTTGCTTGACTGCCTAGGTTAGTTCTCTGGGTTAATCATTGCCTTCCATAAATCTCCTTCGCTTTGGCCACTATACTTCTGGGAAAGAAGTAGGATGAACAGTATTCAGTTCTCTTTGCCAGTTGAGGAAAATATACCTTAAACATTAACCTGCTTTGTGAAATTTTTCTAATGACAAAAAGGACAAATTAGCAGATGACATTATAGCCCTGGCATTTTTTTCCTTTCAAATAAGTCTAATTTTATTGTACTGGAGTAGAGAAAGCCTACACCAAGCAACTAACCCGTTAGGCATTTTATCTTGGCTGTATCAAAAAGTTTTGTTTTGAGTGAAAGAAGTTTGTAGGAATTTTCAGAACGTAAAACCTAAAGGTTGATTATCATTTGATATATTATCAGTCGTTCTACTTTCCTTTTCTTCCTTTTCTGTGGAAATGGCCCCATCATATTCTTTCACCATTTTTCTTTTGGGTTGCTATCTTTCTTACTGATTTGTAGGAGTTCTTTATATATTCTGGATACTGATCATTTGTGGTTAAGTGTATTGGAAACATCTCTTTCAGGTCTTTGTCTTTTAATTTGTGGTATTTGTGGCCATTTTAATTTAAAGTCATAGCTTTTTCTTTTGTAGTTTAAGCCTTTTATGCTTGTTTTTAAAAATCTCCTTCTAGACAGAGACTTTAAAAATATTTTGTATATACTTGGATTTGAATCTATCTGGATTGATTTCTTGGGCAGTATGATTTTGGAAATCTAACCCTACCTTTTTTCCCAGCTTGATAACCACTTGGTCTAGCACTATGCAATGGGCAATCAGTTCCTTTTCTGCTGATCTATAGTTTTATGAACCTGTGTTTTTAACCAATACTTCCTAATCTGCCAGTAGATGTTTGAAGGCCTGTCTACATGTTACATTTCCATGTCAGTTACCATTGCTATACACACTTTGTTAATTCTCTGTTGTTTGCCCATATTTTATAGAGGGAATGGAACATGGACAATAATGGTACTCTGTTTTCTGTTTGGTTTGGAATATTTAAAATCAGTTCTCTTTGACCTCAGAGCTTTGGGAAATAGAATTAACTCCTTTTTATAAAACAATTAAGAATTTCTGGCCTACACCATTAAAGTCATGTATCAGACTAAAGGATAGCATCTTTTCTAAATTCCTTCATGAAATGAATAAATGAACAGCCTATGGCTGAATGTTAAGCTGTGTATGGACAGGTTAAGACCCTATGAGGCCAATTTTCAGTGAAAGGATAGCTACTGAAAACCATAAATTAAGCAACTACCAAAGTTTGCACACATCTGCAAAATATGAACATTTTGTCTATTCAGAGTATTGAGACCTTCTTGAATACACCAGGCATTCAGTAGAAATTCCAGAAAGGTCACATCTTATGAGTAGGGCTAATGTAGTCTTAGCGTAAAGGCTTTCCTGGACCTGCACTAACAAAATTTAAAAACGAGGCTCAAAACAATCAGATTGATCTGCAAGTAAATTAGTTGCCTGCTGGGACAAACCTTTCTTGAAAGGAAGACAATAAAATCCACATATAAGCAGGTATCTACAATGCCCACCATCTATTTAAAAATTACTAGATATGGCCGGGCGCGGTGGATCACAATGTCAGGAGTTTGAGACCAGCCTGGCCAATATGGTGAAACCTCGTCTCTACTAAAAATACAAAAATTAGCTGGGCGAGGTGGCGGCGCCTGTAGTCCCAGCTACTCGGAAGGCTGAGGCATGAGAATGGCTTGAACCCAGGAAGCGGAGGTTGCAGTGAGCCACTGCACTCCAGCCTGGGCAACAGAGAAAGACTCTGTCTGAGAAAAAAAAAAATTACTAGATATATAAAGAAGTAGGCAAATGTAATCTATAAAAAGGAGAAAGTCTTGTGAATAAAAACAGACCCAGAATGCAATATGTGATCAAATTCAAATAAAAGGACTTTAAGATAGGTATTTAAGTGTATTTAGTAATTTTAATGAAAACACAATAGAACAAAACTTATAATACAACATAGCCGCCTGAGCGACAAAGTGAAATCCTGTCCCAGAAACAAAAAACACCACCACCGATCCTAAACAGGACACACACACACACATACACACAGAGAGAGAGACACCATGGCACATCATAATTGAATTGTTGCAAATTAATAAAAATCTTTAAAGCAGCCAAGAAAAATCTCTCAAACCATATACAGGGAAATCATCATAAGAACAACTACTTAAAGAGATGTAGTTAATAAGACAACTGATAAGGCAGAATTGAATCTAAAATTTTTTCAGGCCAAAAGAGAGCAGGTTAGGGGAAAAAAATGAGCAATGAATAAGCAGGAAAAATAGAAAACAAAATGGCAAAACATAACCTCAAACCTTATTACTTAAATAATTGGATTAGTTTTACGTGGACTTATTATTCTAACTTAAAATGCAAAGCACTACCATATGCAGCTCATAAGAATCATACTTAATATATAGACAGTTTGAAAGTAAAACAGTGGAGAAATGTACTTTGCAAGGAAAAGTCACTAGGAACACTGGCGTATCTAAAGATCAGGCAAAGTAGACTTCATGGTAAGACATATTATCAGAATTAAAGAGGGATATTTCAAAATGATAAAAAGTTCAAGTTTTCAAAAAGACAAAAAGTTCAAAAAACTTGATGCAATACTGACATCAAGGGAGAACATAAGGGAGAACTAAAGAGAGAAAAAGATAAAGCCAGTGTTACAGTTGGAGACTTCAACACTCCTCTTTTCAGCATTTGGTGAAACAAGTGGGTAGAAAATCAGTAAGTATATGAAACACTTGAACAACACTGTCAACCAACTCAGTCTAATTGACATTTTTAGAACCCTACACCTACCTAATAATTTCAGAATACACATTGTTTACAAGGTCACATGTAACATTTGCCAAGGGAAACCACCAGCGCCGTAACCAACTCAGGGAAAGGGAAGTATCTAACTCCAGCCCCCTTTATTCTTCCTGTTTCACCTAAGTGGGGGGAAAAGCTGAAAATCACTTGTGACGGTCACACCCCCGGGACACAGGCCCACTTAAAGACTGAAACGTAATCATAGGACTATAGAACACTTTATCTTCTCCCCATACCCCACATCAACAGGTTCTTCCCCTCCCCTCATGTCAGCAGGCTCCTGTATAATAACAGAAGATTACAGCTGAAAGAACTGCAAGGCTTAGACTCACACTATGTAAAGAGTTTCTAGGGAAACCCAAAGACAGTATGAGACAAAAACAAGGACAGTAGAGAAAATATTAGCCTCTAACACCTATAACTACAGCAAATAGTAAACATGACAGTCTTAACTCCCAGCTAGATATGGCAGAGATTTTGGAATTGTCAGATTGATAATTTAAAATAATGATGAGTAACATGGTAAGGTCTGTAATAAAAAATGTAGACAATATACAAGAACAGATGAGTGGCTGGACGTGGTGGCTCGCACCTGTAATCTCAGCACTTTGGGAAGCGAGGTGGGAGAATCACTTGAGCCCAGGAGTTCAAGACCAGCCTGGGCAGCATAGTGAGACCTTGTCTCTATAAAAAATAAAATTAGCTGGGTGTGGTGGCATATGTGCTTGTAGTCCCAGCCATTTGGGAGGCTGAGGTGGGAGAATTGCCTGAGCCCATGAGGTCAAGGCTGCAGTGAGCCAAGATCACGCCACTGCACTCCAGCCTGAGTGACAGAGCGAGACCCTGTCTCAAAAACAACAATGACGACAACAACAACAGTAACAAAAAGAACAGATGGATAATAGAGGCATAGGGATTGGAATTGTAAGAAAAGGAAATGCTAGAAATAAAATCTATAACAGAAATGAAGAATACCTTTGATGGGCTTTTCAGAAGAACAAAATAAATATTTGAAGTAATAATGACTGAGAATTTTCCAAAATTAAACACCTACACATATCATATTCAAACTGCAGGAAACCAAAGATAAAGAGAAAATTTTGAAAGAAACCAGAGGCGAAAAAACCCACCTTACTTCTATGTGAAGAAAGCAAAAATTACATCGGACTTCTGTTCACAAACAATGCAAGCAAGAAGCGAGAGGAGTGAAGTGTTTTAAGTGTTGAAAGAAAAACACCAACCTCGAATTATTCTGTGTGCAGTGAAATTATCCTTCAAAATGAAAGAGAAATAAAAAACTTTCTCAGACAAATAAACATTGAGGGAATCTGTTGCCAGTAAGAAATGTTACTTGCCTTATAAGAAATGTTAGAAGTTCTCCAGAGAAAAGGAACATGATATAGGTGAGAAACTTGGATCTACATAAAGAAAGGAAGAGTATTAGAAAAGGAATAAGTAAAGGTAAAATCTTTTATTTTCTTGTTCTTAACTGATAGGTAACTGTTCAAAATAATAATAGCAGTAATGCATTCAGTTATAGCTTAGGGATAAGTGAAATTAATGGCAGCAATTTTATAAGGGACAGGAGGGCTGTCCCTTATAAGTAATTGCAGTTTTGGACCAGGAATTTTAAATCATTGTAACTAGGCTCAGACACATCTTTATTAATCAAAATAGGAACCATTATAATCAACACATTTTCGCCAAAAGATACGTTTGTTTATTTCTGTAGCATAAAAATCTTTGCTTTGGGACTCGGCGTGGTGGCTCACGCCTGTAATCCCAGCACTTTGGGAGGCCCAGGTGGGTGGATCACCTGAGGTTGGGAGTTTGAGACCAGCCTGACCAACATGGAGAAACCCCGTCTCTACTAAAAATACAAAATTAGCCGGGCATGGTGGCGCATGCCTGTAATCCCAGCTACTAGGAGGGAGGCCGAGGTAGGAAAATCACTTGAACCCCGGAGGCGGTGGTTGCAGTGAGCCAAGATTGTGCCATTGTACTCCAGCCTGGGCAACAAGAGCGAAACTCCTCCGTCTCAAAAAAAAAAAATCTGTGCTTCAGGATTCAGTGAACTCTTGGAAAGCATTTTCTGCATCCTATGGGTTGTGGAAGCATTTTCCTGGCAAAAAGTTGTCCAGATGCTGGAAGAAATCATAGTCCACTGGCAAGAGGTCAGGTGAATATGATGGCTGAAGCAAAATTGTATAGCCCAATTTCTTCAACTTTTGAAGCGCTGGTTGGCGGTCAGGCATTGTCTTGAAGAGGAATTGGGCCCTTTCTGTTTTCGGTGCATCTCATTGATTTGCCGAGCATACTTTTCAGATGTATTGGTTTTTGCCTGGATTCAGAAAGCTGTAGTGGGTCAAACGGGCAGCAGACCACCAAACTGTGACCATGACCTTTTCTTGGTCCAGCCACTGAGCTGGTCATCACATAAAATCCATTTTCTGTCATGTTACCATCCAGTCAAGAAATGTTTCGTTGTTATTGGGTAGAATAAGAGAAGACCATACTTCAAAACGATTTCTTTTGTTTTCATGCAGCTCATGAGGCACCCACTTATGTAGCTTTTTCACTTTTCCAATGTGCTTCAAATGTTGAATGACTGTAGAATGCTCTATGTTGAGTTCTTTGGCAACTTTTCGTGTAGTTTTAAGAGGATCAGCTTTGATGATTGCTCTCAATTGGTTGTTGTCTACTTCTGATGGCCAGCCACCAAGTTCCTTATCTTCAAGCCTCTTGTCCCCCTTGCACAACTTCTTGAACCACCACCGCACTGTACATTTGTTAGCAGTTCCTGGGCCAAATGCATTGTTGATGTTGTGAGTTGTCTCTGCTATTTTACAACCCATTTTGAACTCAAATAAGAAAATCGCTCAAATTTGCTTTTTGTCTGACGTCATTTCCATACTCTAAACATAAAATGAACAGCAAGTAATAAGTCATTAGCAAAAAAACATAAAGTGAGAAATGCCTGTTAAAAGGATGTATAACATAATCACATTTATTTAAGAATGTATTACAATCAAACAGCAAATTCCAACAATGCAAAAACCACAGTTACTTTTGCACCAACCTAATATAAGTTACCTTTGAGGCAGTATAGTATTATTTGAAAGTGGATTTAGAATAGTTGCAAATGTATACTTCAAACTCCAGGGTAACCACTAAAAAATTGACTGTTTTTTTTGTCTTTTAATACATTAAAGATGTTGCTCCACTGACTTCTGGTTTGCACTGTTTTTGACAAGTTTAGTTAATGTGTTTTTGCCCAAAGCTTTGGACTTTGGATTTTTATGATTTATCATTTTGCCTTATTCAGGACCCCGTGAGATCAACTGTATGCTTAGTAGAACTCACTTGCCATATCAACCCAGGACTCTAAATAATTAAACATAGTCCTAAGAAAACCTTTCTTTAATTCATGTATGAAAGTTATAGGATATCGGGTTGGGATATGGGATTTTGAGGGATGTGAGGAGCCTGTTCAAATATTAAATTGTTTTTTTGTCATTTAGTTTTATTGTCTGAGAAAACTTTCTTAACATTAACAGTTCTTTCTTGTTAGTTTATTTTTTGGTAATGATCACTTTACCTCTTTTTTTTTTTTTTTAATCTTAATATGATTCAGGGTTTAAAGCCAGGTACACTGGTGCACACTTATAGTCCCAGCCTGGGCAACATAGCAAGATTCTGTCTCTAAAAAAATAATTAAAATAAAAATACTATATTTAGTGCATCATTAAATAAAAATAAAGATATGTAAGTGGTTGTAGTGGCAAATGATTATATTTCTGTATATTCATAATTTATTCCTATGATATAAATTGAATAATTTAATGAATGCATTTTCTCTAATGGTATATTCAAAATTAGGTCATCTCATTAGCAACTGCTAAAGAAAACAATGAGTATAGATAAGTTTAAAAGATTGTATAATAGGCCAGGTGAGGTGGCTGATGCCTGTAATCCCAGCACTTTGAGGCAAGGCAGCTACTCAGGAGGCTGAGGCAAGAGGATCACTTGAGCCCAGGAGTTTGAGACCAGTCTAAGCACTTAGCGAGACCCTGTCTCTATAAAAAATAAAAATAAAAAAAAAAAAATTAGGCAGGTGTCACATACCTGTAGTTCCAGCTACTCGAGAGGCTGAAGCAGGAAGATCACTAGAGCCAGGTGGTCAGACCTGCAGTGAACTGTGATCCTGCCACTGTGCTCCAGCCTGAGTGACAGAGGAAGACCCTGTCTCAAAAAAAAAATTATGTAAGTTTATTGAGATGTAGTTCACATACTATACATTTTACCTATTTATACAATTCAGTGATCTTTGTTCACAGAGTTGTGCAACCATAAGCGCAATCAATTTTAGAACACTGTCACCCTAAAAAGAAACACCGTCTCAAATAGCAGTCAGTACTCATTTCCCACCAATTCCCTAAGCCCCAGCAACCATTAATCTCCTTTCTTTCTCTATAAATTTGCCTATTTTGGACATTTCACATAAATGGAGTCATATAATATGTGATTTTTTGTGTCTGGCTCCCTTAGCATAATATTTAAAATTTTTCTCTATATAATATAAAATTAAAATATTTTAATTAAAAATTGTATACTAAAAATGCTAAAAATTAAAAAGTTTTAGTATACAATTTTTAATTGAAATATTTTAATTTTATATATAGTATAGCATTTATCAGCACTTCATTCCTTTTTATGGCTGAATAATATTCTATTTTCTGGATATGCTGTATTGTATTTATCCATTCATCAATTGATGGACTTCTGAGTTGTGTTCACCTTTTGACCATTATGAATAATGCTGCTATGAATATTCATGTACAGGTATTTGTGTGGACATGTATTTTCATTTCTCTTAGACATATACCTAGGAGTAGAATTGCTGGTCATATGATAACTCTATTTTTTTAACTTTTTGAAGAACTACCAGACTATTCTATAAAGCACCTGCACCATTTAACATTCCTAGAAGTAGTGTATGAAATTTCCAGTTTCTCCACAACACTAGTTATTGTCTGACTTTTTAATTATAGCTGTCCTAGTGAGCGTGTGGTTCCGATTTGCATTTTGCTGATGGCTGCTGATGTTGAGAATCTTTTAATGTGCTTATTTGCCATTTGATATCTCCTCAGGAAAATGTTTATTCACATCCTTTGCCCATTTATAATATTTAGTATTTTTTATTGAGACATAGTAGATGTACATATGTTTGGGGTACATGTGATAATTTACTACATTTACATAATTTGTAAAGATCAAATCAGTGTAATTGGGATATTCATCTCATCTTAAATATTTGTCTTTATGCTAGAAATATTTGATTTATTCTCTTCTAGCTATTTTGAAATATACAACATATTATTGTAAACTATAGTCACCCTGCTGATCTACCAAACACTAGGTCTTGTTTCTTCTATCAAACTCTATATTTGTACCCCTTAATCAACCTCTCTTCATCCCTGCACCCCCACCCTTCTCAGCTTCTGGTAACTACCAGTCTACTCTATATCTTCATGAGATCCACTTTTTTAGCTCCCACATATGAATGAGAACATGTAATAATGTCTTTCTGTACTTGGCTTTTTTCACTTAACATATAATGACTTCCAGTTTCACTTACGTTGCTGCAAATGACAGGATTTCATTTTTTTTATATGGCTGAATAACATTCCATTGTGTATATATACCATATTTTCTTTATCCATTCATCCACTGATGGGCACTTACATTGATTCTAATAATTTTTGTTATTGTGAATATAGTGCTTCAATAAACATGGGAGTACAGAGATATCTTCAGTATATTGATTTTCTTTTGGGTTTATATTCAAAAGTGGAATTGTTGGATTGAGGAACCTCCACACAGTTTTCCATAGTAACTGTACTAATTTACATTCCCAGCAGTGGTGTACGAGGATTCTCCTTTATCCGCATCCTCACCAGCATCCATTATTCATTGTCTTTTTGATAAAAGCCATTCTAACTGGGGTGAGATGATATCGCATTATGATTTTGATTTGTATTTCTCTGATGGTTAGTGATGTTGAGCATCTTTTCATGTGTCTGGCCATTTTTATGTCTTCTTTTGAGAAATATCTATTCAGACCTTTTGCCTATTTAAAAATCAGATTATTTGTTTTGTTGTTATTGAGTTGTTTGAGCTCCTTATATATTTTGGTTGTTAATCCCATGTTAGATGAGTAGCGTGTGAATATTTTTTCCATTTTATGAATTGTCTTTATCACTTCATTGATTGTTTCCTTTGCTCAACAGAAGCTTGATGTAATCCTTTTGTCTATTTTTGGCTTGGTTGCCTGTGCTTTTGAGGTCTTACCCAAAAAAATCTTTGCACAGACCAATGTCCTGGAGCATTTCCCCAATGTTTTCTTCTAGTAGTTTCATAGTTTCAGGTGTTAGATTTAAGTCTTCAATCCATTTTGACTTTTGTATATGGTGAGAGATAAGGAGGTTCTGTTTTTAGTTTCATTGTTCTGCATGTGGTTATTCAGTTTTCCCAGCACCATTTGTTGAAGAGACTGTTTTTTTCCCCATTGTATGTTTTTGATGCCTTTGTTGAAAATGAGTTAGCTGTTAATGTCTGGATTTATATGTAGGTTCTCTGTTCTGTTTCATTGGTCTGTATGTCTGTTTTTATGCCAATAGCATGCTGATTTGGTTTCTATAGCTTTGTAGTATATTCTGAAGTCAGGTAGTGTGATGCCTCCAGCTTTCTTTTTGCTCAAGATTGATTTGGCTATTCAGGGTCTTTTATGGTTCCATACATATTTTAGGATTGTTTTTTCTATTTCTGTGAAGAACGTCATTTATACGTTGATAGGGATTCCATTGACTTTGTAAATTGCTTTGGGTAGAATTGTTTTGTTGTTTTGTTTTGAGACAGGATCTTGCTGTGTCTTACAGGCTGGAGTACAGTGGTGCAATTACATACAGTTCACTGCAGCCTTGACTTCTGGTCTCAGGCAATCCTCCCACCTTTCAGCCTCCCCAGTAGCTGGGACTATAGGCGTGTGCTACCACGTCCAGCTAATTTTTGTATTTTTTGTAGAGACAGGGTTTCACCATGTTGCCCAGGCTTACCTTGAACTCCTGGGCTCAGGCAGTCCTTCAGTCTCGGCCTCCCAAAGTGCTGGGATACAGGCGTGAGTTACCACATTAGCCAGAATTGTTACTTTAACAATATTGGTTCTTCTAATCCATGAGCATGGAGTATCTTTTCATTTTTCTGTGTCCTCTTTAATTTCTTTCATCAGTGTTTTATACTTTTTCTAGTAGAGATATTTTACTTCTTTGGTTGGATTGATTCTTAGATATTTTCTATTCTTTGTAGTTATTGTAAGTGGGGTTGCTTTCTTGATTTTTTTTTCAGATTGTTTGCTGTTGGTGTATATAAATGCTACTGATTTTTGTATGTTGATTTTGTATCCTACAACTTTACTGGATTCATTGATTTTTTTTTTTTTTTTTGAGACGGAGTCTCGCCCTGTCGCCCAGGCTAGAGTGCAGTGGCACAATCTTGGCTCACTGCAAGCTCCGCTTCCCGGGTTCACGCCATTCTCCTGCCTCAGCCTCCTGAGTAGCTGGGACTACAGGCGCCCGCCAGCATGCCCAGCTAATTTTTTTTTTTGTATTTTTATTAGAGACGTGGTTTCACCATGTTAGCCAGGATGGTCTCGATCTCCTGACCTGGTGATGCGCCCACTTCGGCCTCCCAAAGTGCTGGGATTACAGGCATGAGCCACCACGCCCGGACCATTAATCATTTTTAACAGTTTTTTTGGTTGAGTTCCTCAGGCTTTTCTGAGTATAAGACCATGTCATCTGCAAGCAAGGCTAATTTGACTTCTTCCTTTCCAATTTGGATACTCTTTATTTCTCTCTCTTGCCTCATTGCTCTGGACAGGACTTCCAGTATTACATTGAATAAAAGTGGTGAAAGTGGGCATCCTGGTCTTGCTCCAGATCTTAGAGGAAAGGCTTTTAATATTTCCACATTGAGTACAGTGTTAGGTGTGGGTTTGTAATATATATTCTTTATTATTTTGAGGGATGTTCCTTTGTTGAGGGTTTTTATCATGAAGTGATGTTGAATTTTATTTAATGCTTTTCCAGCATCTGTTGAAACAATAATAGGCTTTTTTGTTCATGATTATGTTAATTTGATGTATCATGTTCACTGATTTGCTTATGTTGAACAATCTGCATCCCTGGGATGAATTCCACTTGATCGTGGTGAATGATCTTTCTAATGTGATGTTGAATTTGGTTTGCTAGAATTTTGTTGAGGATTTTTGCATCTGTGTTCATCAGGGATGTTGGCCTGTAGTCTTCTTTTTTTGGTTGTGTCCTTGTCTGGTTTTGGTATCAGGGTAATGCTGGTCTCATAGAATGAGTTTGAAAGTATTCCTTCTGCTTCAATTTTGTTTGAAGAGTTTGAGTAGAATTGGTATTAGTTCTTTATATGTTTGATGGAATTTAGGAATGAAGCCATTAGGTCCTGGGCTCTTCTTTGATGGGAGACTGTTATGGCTTCAGTCTCCTTACTCATTATTGGTGTATTAAGGTTTCTCTTTCTCCTTGATTCAACCTTGGTAGGCTGTGTCCAGGAAATTATCCATTTCTTCTAGGTTTTCCAATTTGTTGGTGTATAGTTCTTCATAACAGTCTCTCATATATTAGCCTCTTCATAATAGTCTCTTTGTATTTCTGTGGTCTCAGTTGTTTTATCTCCTCTTTTGTTTCTGGTTTTATTTGTTTGGATCTTCTCTCTTTTTTCCAGCCTAGCTAAAGGTTTGTTAGTTAATTTTGTTTGTCTTTTTAAAAAAAACAACCTTTCATTTTGTTGATCTTCTGTATTGGTTTTTAGTCTCAATTTCATTTATTTCTGATTTGATCGCTACTATTTATTTCCTTCCACTAATTTTGGGTTTGTTTTGTTCTTTTTCTAGTTCCTTCAGGTATACCATTAGGTTGTCTATTTGAAGTCTTTCTACTTTTTGACATAGGTGTTTATTGTTATAAACTTCCTTCTTAGTACCACTTTTGCTGTATCCCATAGGTTTGGGTATGTTGTGTTTTCATTTCCTTTGGTTTCAAGAAATTTTTAAATTTCCTTCTTAATTTCTTTATTGACCCATTGGTCATTCAGGAGAATGTTGTTTAATTTTCATGTGTTTGTGTATTTTTAAGCTTCCTTTTGTTATTAATTTCTAGTTTTATTCCATTGTGGCCAGAGAAGATACTTGGTATGATTTCTACTTACTTAAATTTGGTGAGACTTGTTTTTTGTCTCAGATATGATTTGTTTCGGAGAATGTTCCATATGCTGATGAAAAGAATGTGTTTTCTGCAGCCATGGGTAAAATGTTCCATAAATGTTGATTAGGCCTGTTTGTGTACTGTGTAGCTTAACTCCAGTGTTCTTTCTTGATTTTCTGTCTGGATGTTCTGTCCATTACTGAAAATGGGGTGTTGAAGTCCCCTACTATTACTGTATTGCAGTCTGTCTCTCCTTTTAAATGTATTATTTGCTTTATGCACTCAGATGCTCTGGTGTTGCATGCATAGATATTTATAATTGTTATATCCTCTTGCTGAATTGACCCTTTTATCAATACATAGTGACCCTCTTTGTTTCTTTTTACAGTCTTGATAGTCTGTTTTATCTGATACAAATATAGCTACTCCTGCTTTTGTTTCCAGTTGCATGGAATATCTTTTTTCAGCCTTTCACTTTCAGTCTGTGTGTGGCTTTATAGGCGAAGTAAGTTTCTTATAGGCAGCATATAGTTTAACTCTTGCTTCTTTATCTGTTTAGACAGAATTCATTCTGCCTTGTGATTAGAGAATTGAGTCCATTTGCATTCAGTGTTACTGTTGCCAAGTAAACTTACTACTGTCATTTCATTGCTTGTTTTCTGTTGTTTTAGAACTCCTTCCTTTTTTCTTTTTCTTACTGTCTTCCTTTGTGATTAAGAGATTTTCTCTGGTAGTATGTTTTAATTCATTGCTTTTTAGTTATAGTGAATCTGTTATAGGTTTTTGCATTGTGGTAACCATGAGACTACAAAAACATCTTAATTACAAAACAAAGAATAGAAATTTTTTTTAAAAACCCTCTTTTTTTTTCCTCAGGTCCCGCTTTATTACCTAATACAAGTCCAACCTCTGGAACATTCAAATTCACTGTTGCAAAGTTTAATTAAAAACACAATTTACAAATATTTAACATATTCTAAAAAGCGTTTCTAAGTTAAGAATGAAAAAGTATGTACATAATATATAATCAAATACAGGTGGCCTCAACTTCCACCAGGTCCACATTCAGCAACATTCGTCTTTTTAGGTTCTTCAGTATCTTCTGTCAAATCCACAGAGTTGTTTTCCATGACGGGGGAAGGAATGGAAATCCCCATTGCTTTTCAAACTCCGTATGTGCTTATGATATCACCTGTAGTTACTTGCTGTGCAAGTTCTTTAAGATTATTGGTCACTTGTTCAGTGAGATGCATTTCTCTGTATGAGGGACCCAAGAGACAGATCATGTTGGGAGGGGGTCTGGTGTTGAAACATTCATTCTGGGCTTCCTGGAGCTAGCTCCCTGAGCAATCTGGTGGTCTCATCAAGTTTCTTCTGGAATATTTCAGCTTCCTCAGAATCAAAAACTTTAACCGGAACGCCAAAGTTTGTTACTGCTTTCAGCGCTATGAGCCTGTCTTGAAGTATTGGAGTCCAGACATCCTGGTGGCTCTACTTCTGTAATCTCCATTTCTTTTGCTGTGTCAGGTGTCCTAGTATGGCCTTCCATCTTCAGGCAGTGACATCTAAATCTCTTGTAGGGTCCTGGAATGCCCTCCTTTTGTTAAAACATCCAGTAAACTATCTGCCATCACAGATGGATAATCTTGGCACGTGGCCAAAAACTCATGGCTGCTGAGATCGCTTGGAAGATCTGTGTCTTCCCCATAGGTTGAATAGATTAAATCAGAATCATTCTTGTTGATATTTGCATATGTGGAGTCATAATGCGGTGCATAAGAACTGTAGGGCCCATAATTCAAATATAACACTGGAGTGACTTTGTTCTTTTGTCCTCTTTGAACCCCTGCAAAGTATTCACACCAGACTGAAGTCTTCCAGTTGTCATTCCCAGTCTCACAGGGCAGTAGCCTGGCTCTCCTACAATGAGATCCACAGGATGGAGAAGTCCCAACATTGTTGTTCCGTCTGGTTTTCTTCTTTCCAATTTGCACTGACTGTTCACAAGCCGCCTGGTCAGCTTTCCTCCAGATTCCTTCACGATGCGGTCAAGCTGCTCCTGCGCTCTCTCTAAATTATTGCTTTTAAACTTATCTTCAAGCATGTCTTTGTCTTTCTTTTTATTTTCTTTGCTGGGACTCTTGAAGGCGTGTGCTTTGGCATCTCCAGAGTCCTCTCTCTTCTCGGCCAGCAGCCTCTGTCCTCCCCACTCTGCGAGGTGTCTGTTCTGTCTTCCTGCTTTTGAGTTTTCTGCAAGTCAGCCATGAAGTCTATGCTCTGCTTCAGGCTCTGAATTCTTTCATGTCTAAGAATTTTCATCCCCGAGTGCAACCGCTTCTTTGCAGCTTTATAATAAATGGTCTCTGGTTTATTGTAAATCATGGCATTAGTACACATTAGTTTGAAAATATCCTTTAGTTTTTCTATGGACTGGTAGTCATTGTTCTTGATCTTTTCTTTCATTTAAAATCCATTGGGTGTTTAATGATCATGGAGTAGCCAGGAGCAGTAAAATCAGTCACAGGAAATGAAAGAAAGCACTTGGATCTTTTCTCTGCAATTGTCTCGCCAGTTGATTCAAAGCTTCTTGAAGGGGTGGGGTATCTGTTCTACTTCTTCTTGTTTGGCTAAAGTGCTTGTGAGAGGCTTCTCACCGGGCAAGTCTAATCCCACAGGGGCGTGACACTGGAGGTCTTTTTCTGCCTCATTCTCCACCCCGTCTCAATCTCGCTTCTTTTTATCCTCCTTAACTCTTATCTGTTTTCTCCCCTTTTCTTCCCCTGGAACCTGCTTGTCTCCTTTCTTTCTCTTTTTCCACTTTCTGTCCTTTTGTTTGTCATGATTGTTTTTTGTCTTCGAAGAGGCTGGAGTTGTGCCCCGAGCTGCCCACGGAGAGTTCGGTGACTTCATTCCCTCCTGCTTTGAGGACCAGCTTCAAGGGCTTCTCTACATACTCCTGGTAGAGGTGTTTGTCCGACTTGAGCTTCTTGTGCTTGTGCTTCTTGTCCATGTCCGACCGGGCCCCTGTGCTCACCCCCCGCGCCAGGCCCAGGCAGTGCGGCGCTGCTTCCGGTCTGGGCCAGGCGAGCCGAGGGCGGGAGCGGGGCCCGCGAGGCCCCTCTCGAGAAGCTAAAAAACCCTCTTTCCTATAACTCCACCCCACCCCGCCCCCCACATTTTGACACTATGTTGTGTTAATTTTTATGTTTTTATATTGCCTATCTCTTAATGGGTTGCTATAAGTATTACTGTTTTTGGTAGATTTGTCTTTTGGACTTCATACCAAACAGAGTTACAAATGGATTGTACACTACAAATTGCAGTAATAGAGTATTCTGGTTTGTTTGTGTACTTAATTTTACCAGTGGGTTTTATACCTTTACAAGCTTTCTTTTTGTAAGTTAGTGTTTTTTTCTGTCTGGTGGAAGAACTCCCATGTGCATTTTTTTGTAAGGTGGTTCTGGTGGTGGTGAATTCTCTTAGCTTAAGTTTGTCTGGGAAAGACTATGTATTTGACTGGGCACAATGGCTCACACCTATAATCCTAGCACTTTGGGAGGCAGAGATGGGAGGATTGCTTGAGTCCAGGAGTTCAAAACCAGCATGGTCAACATAGCATGATTCCCATCACTACAAAAGAAGATTTAAAAAATAAAAAGACAAACCAAAAACCCTCTTTTTTATATTTGAAGGATAGCATTGCTCAATACTTTATTCTTAGATGGCATTTTTTTAAAGCACGTTGAAGATGGCATTCCACTCTTTCCTGGCCTTTATAGTTTCTCTTAAGATGTCTGTTGCCAGACAAGTTGGAGCACTTGTATACATCATTTACTTCTTTTCTCTTGCTGCTTTCTTTGTCCTTGACCTTTGAGTGTTTCATTATTATATAACTTGGGAGTAGTCTTATTTGCATCAAATCTATTTGGTGTTGTCTTACCTTTATTCCTGTACCTGGATATTTATCTTTTTCTCAAGTTTTTGGGATTTTTTTCTGTTATTTCTTGAAATAAGCTTTTTGCCCCTTTCCCTTGCTTAACAAGAGCCCTCACTCTTAAATACCAATAAATTTCTTAGATTTTGTCTTTAGAGGTAATTTTCTGTATCTTAAAGGCAGCCTTCATTCCTTTCCATTGGTTTTTTTCTTTTTTCTCCTCATGTATTTTCAAATAGCCTGTCTTTGAGCTCACTGACTTTTTTTTGTTTCATATATCCTGCTATTGAGAGACTTTAATGAATTTTTCAGTTCACCAAATGTATTTCTCAGTTTTGATTTCTGTTTGTTTTCTTTGTATTATTTCACTCTTCTTGTTAAATTTCTCTAATAAATTTCTGTATTACTTTTCTGTGTTGTCTTGTAGGTTATTTAGTTTCCATTGTGCTATTGAGAGTATCTAATGAATTTTTCTGTTCACCAAATGTATTTCTCAATTTCGATTTCTGTTTGGTTTTTTTTGTATTATTTTGATCTCCTTGCTAAATTTCTCTAATAAATTTCTTAATTACTTTTCTGCTTTGCCTTGTAAAAGTTACTGAATTTCCTTATACCTGGTATTTTGAATTCTTGATCAGAAAGCTCATGTCACTGTCTTCTTAGGGTCAGTCACTGGTTCCTTGCTTTGTCTGTTTGAGGTCATGGTTCCCTGTTTTCTGTTGTTTGTTGTGGATATACATCTGTGTCTTTGCATTCAAGGATTAGTTATTTATTCTAGTCTTCTCTATCTGGCTTGTTTTGGTTTTTATCGAATATGCTTGCTTAGAGATTCTTTGAAGTTTACCTGTTAATTTTCTTTCTTTTTTTTTTTTTCTTAAATCTGCTAGGTTGCTGCCTCCTTTTCAGCACCTAACCTCTGGGTAGAGGTTCATGTCCAATGAACCTGTGAAATGAACCTCTTAACAGTGTGGTGCTGCTGAACAGCCACTCCAACTTGGCATCTCTTTTGGCTGAGTTACATAGCAGAGTTTCCAGGACTAGGGATGGTAGTCCCACCTCCGACCTCTTCTCTTTATTTCTGGTGGTTTTCAGGGATTATTTCTCCCTTAGGTATTTCCACTGCTCCCAGTTATTAGGACAGGGATAGGTCTCTTGCCAACAAACCCAAGATGGTGGAGAAGCCAGTTGTCCACCTCAGTTATACTTTTTCCAGTGTAGCAACTCTGAGTTGGGAAAGTTTTCTGCATGCTTGGTGCTGGACAGATTGAGGGGAGGGGCACTGTGATTATGAAAGTCTAATTTGCTTTCTTTTGCTCAGAGTTTTTTCACTTCTTTGTGGCCTTGGGAACTGTCTCCTCATATTTGAGTTCGGGATATTGCTCATGATCGTGTCAGCACTGTATTTGTGGTTTTGGTTTCCTGTGGCAGTGAGTGAAGCCAGGTTACTTCTGTACCACCGTTTTACAACCAGAAGTCTCTGTCCATTTTAAAATTTTATTGTCTTTTTATTATTGAGTTGAAAGAGTTGTTTGTTCTAGATACAAGTCCCTTATGAAATATATGATTCACAACTTTTTTTTCATTCTGTGCATTGTCTTTTCAACTTTCTTTTAGACAGGTAAAAGCTTAAGGTCCTTTAGTATTCAGCTACCATAAAATATGGTTGAATAATTTACTAGACTTGCATATAATGTTAATTACCAATAATATTTTATTTATTTGCATTTGAAGGAGCATTTAGGTATTTATGTACAAATTTGACCAGACAGTAAGTTTGTTTTGATTAACTTTTGATATTGCTTTAAATTGAGATGAATTTTCATGTCATAATCAGAATTTTTTTTTGAGACTTTGGTTTATTTACCTTTCAATTAAAATACCACAAAAATTAATGTGTGTGACCATTCTGGCTAAATTATCTGAAACTAAAAAGTGTTTGTTTTACAAGCCAGAATTTTATTTTTCACTAAGGTTAATAACACTAATTATTTTTATGACGTTTAGTCTGAAAGGTGCACATTTTCTTGGAGATTTGTGCTTGAAACTACTGTTAGAAGCTTTGTTTTTTAAGACTGAGCTTTTTAGAAATAGTTGTACCATGGCGTGTGCCTTTGAGCAGTACCCATATAGTTTCATAGTTATTGAAAATCAAGGGAATTGTTGATTTACTTTCTATAACAATAATTGCAGATTAAATTGCTTATGAACTTTGGATACAACATTTCATCAGATTTCTGACATATTAATCATAAAAGAATCATATTAATCATCAAACTACTGTTGTTCAGTTTGGAAGTTGGCCCTTAACCCATTTATGCCTAGTGTTCCATTATTGGGCTGCTAAGCTTGTGGGAGTTATTTATATCCTACTGCTCAGGGTCATCACCAAAGTCTGATTTTTCACACACAAAAAATTGCAACCTCTGGCATAAATGGGTTAATTGATTCCCTTCTAGTTCCGTTCCATAAAGGGGAGATGTGAGGACATTATACATATCTTCATTGTTTATAAGGAGAAAGAAAATAGTTTATAAGGAGAAAGTAAGATTTAAATCCATCAAATTTTCAGCTAGACTCAGTTGAAAGCCTTCTTAGAGGCCACCCAATTTGAAAAAGACATCCTGTGCATCAGTTTTACAGTAACAAATTCTCGGTTTTCTGACATCAACTGTGGGTGTTCTACAATTGAATTCAATTCTGACACTAACTACTACTAATGTATACCCTACAGGGTAAGGGTTCTGTCCGATAGTACTGCTCACTTCAGACACCAGCCACAAATGGAGTCCCTAGGCTCCCTGCACTTCTGCCCTACCTGAGGCTATCCAGGAGCCCCCAGCTACCAGTCATCTCATTGGTACACATGTAAACACTTAACACTTAAAAGAATCCAAACGTTTTAGGAGCTGTGTACCAGGAAGAGGGACAAAGACCAAATATATATTTCTTCTTATATCATAGTATCATACCCCCTCTTGTAAATTTTTCATTTTAGTTATTGAACTTTTCAATTCTGGAATTTCTATTTGGTTCTTTTTTTATAATTTCTCTCTCTTCATTGATATTCTCTATTTGGTAAGATGTTGGTCTCATACTCTCCTTTAACTCTCTTGACATGTTTCTTTTAGTTTTTTGAAATAGCTGGCTTAAAATCTTTGTCCAGTAAGTCCAACACCTTGGCTTCTTCATGAACAGTTTCTGTTGTCTGCTTTTATATATATGTGTGCATATATATATATATATGGTGCCATATTTGCCTGTTTGTGTGTTTTATAATTTTATTTTTGTTGAAAACCAGACATTTTAAATTATGTAGCAGTTCTCAAGTTAGATTCCTCTCTACCCACCCAGTTTATTTTTGTTGTTGCTGCAGTTTATTTCTTCAGTGATTTTCATGGGCTTATTTTGTATAGTCTCTATTCTTTTTTCTTTTTTGAGATGGAGTCCCACTCTGTCGCCCAGGCTGGAGTGCAGTGGCGCAATCTCCGCTCACTGCAAGCTCCGCCTGCCGGGTTCGTGCCATTCTTCTGCCTCAGCCTCCCGAGGAGCTGGGACTACAGGTGCCCGCCACCACACCCGGCTAATTTTTTTTTGTATTTTTAGTAGAGACGGGGTTTCCATGTTCGCCAGGATGGTCTTGATCTCCTGACCTCGTAATCTGCCCGCCTCGGCCTCCCAAAACGCTGGGATTACAGGCATGAGCCACCGCGCCCGGCAGTCTCTATTTGAAATCTCTGCTCAGCTAGCATAGTGGTCAGTTAATGGTTGACCAGAGATTTCTTTAAATGCCTCTTTTCTCAGCTTTTGCTGAGGGGCTCTGTGAGTATGTTGGGGCAGAGCCTCAAGATCAACCAGAGGCAAAATATTAGTCTTCTTAGATCTTTCCTGGGCATGTACATAGCCCTACACATGCTTATGGCCTTCTAAATTCCCTTAACTGTATCAAAGCTTTTCCAAGCCCCCGGTGGACATTTCATTCCTGTTTGTACTTTTGAATTTTTTGGTCAGCCTCTTGTTAGACCCAACTGGTAAAATTTCTCCAGGCAGCTACAGCAATTAAATAATTGCTGTTGATTGTTTTCCACAAAGACCCTGCCGCATATAGGGCTCTTCACATAGTGTGAGCCCTTCTTCAAATCAAATAAAGGCAAGTGCTGGGAATGGAGTGTTGTTCAGCAAGCTGCCAGACAAGTCCAATAGTGGCAGTTTTCTGAGGGTAGGGCTTTGGAGGAGCTCCAAATGGGTTCCGGCTCCTCCAGTGGCTGCCTGGCTGCTGGTTTTTACAGCTGCTATGGATGCAAGGCTTTGATTTTCAAGACTGTTTTGAAGCTGCAGAGGGAGAGATCAGATTAGAACAAGTTAAAATGCCACAAAGCTTGCTGTTTTAGCATTCATCTGGTGTTCTTGAATAAATACGCCTTGAATTGTTGCAAACCTTTAATTTCCAGAGTTCTGAAAAAGTTGCTTTTGACAGTTTTTGCCAGTGTTCTTGTTGCTTTTATGGAGGAACAGATATTGAAAGGTCCTTACTCAGCAATTTTGTAAATGCCTCTTTTCAGTCCTATATACTTTTATCTACATCCTGCCACCAATCTCTGATCCAGCCTCTCGTTACTTGCCTATCTCTTATATTTCCACTGGATCCTTGGAACACTGGTTCCATGGCTAATATGTTTATATTATCAAATTTTCACTATTAGCTTCCCTTTCTTGCCTGGTAGCCCTCTCAGGGCTCTGTCTGTCACATTTCACATAAATCAAAATATTTAGTGCCTCTCTTAAATATCGGCTCAGGATTCTTGCCTAGGTCCCTTCTCTTGTATTGGGTATTGGATATTTTCCCTGAGAAATCTTACCCAATTGTTGCTCATACTGGCAAATCTGTCTTCTTCTCTAGCTCAGATCTCTTTCTTAAGCTCCATATCTGTATGTGTTTCATTTAAATATCCATTTAGAAATTCTATAGACATGTAAAATTGTATAAATGCAAAACAGAAGTCAACCCGCCCCTCTTTTACAGTTTTCTTTGAGTGACATTATCATCCGTCCAGTTGCCTAAGCCAAAAATAAGAGTCATCTTTGATTCCTTCTGCCTTATCCTACTCTCAAATTCCAGTTACCATAGCCTCTTGATTCTACTCCCTAAATCCTTGACCTTTTCTCCACCTCTACTGACATCTCGACTGAATTCCTCCAGCAGCCTCCTAAACAGATTTTCCTTTCTGTAGTTCTGTTGCTAGTGTCCCCACAATGTGTCCACAGGGAACTTTATAAAATGCGAATCTGTACAGGTCATTAGTACATGCATGTGCGCACACACACAAAAACACAGACTTTCTCTCACACACACACACACTGTTTTTCTCTCTCTCATACTCTTTTTCTTTCTCTCCTTCTCATACTCTTTTTCTTTTCTCTCCACTGCACTCCTTGTTTCATCCCACCTACACTTTTCCTGTTCCCAGATGCCATGTTTCTGTTGCTGTCAGGTTTCTGTACATACTGAAAACATTCTTCCTCATTTGCTTGGCTAAATCTGATTCATAGTTCAGATATCAGCTCAAATGTCACTTCCTCTGGTAAGCCTTCCTAGATTCTCACAAGTCTGAGTTAGATACTTGTGGATATAGCCATAGGATTTTGTGCTTCTGAGCACCTGTCATACCATACTGTAATTGCCTATTTATTCATCATTTTCTCCAAGTAGACTATAAAGTTAGTGGCTTTATAGTCATGAAGTTAGTGGCTGTGTTATAAGCAGCCTATGGTTTAGCACCAAACATTGGGTCTCCACAAATTACTTGAGTAGAGAAATTATGACTACATTTATGAATAAAGGAACCAACTATACCCTGCACTGTATATACAAAGACACATTAGACAAATGTATGAATAAAATAGACTTTTGAAACATCTGGTATTTCAGCGATATAGTTTCTCTTAGTAATTTGGGATTAATCATTTAAAGCCAATGATTCTAGATAAAGTTCTGTATATTTTATTTGAAGAAATAAAATGGCATAAATAAATTTGAAACTCCAAAGTATTATTTACAAATAAAAGGAGAAAATGAAAGGAAACTGTTATATATTATGCTTTGTTTTGCCTTTTAAGTTTCTGGGTTATTTAAAAGTAGGTAAATTCTTTCTTCCTCCCTTTTGTTTACACAAGTTGTATATTTAGTGGGGGGAAATATATATATATATATATATACGTATATATATATATATGTATATATATATATGTATATATATATATATGTGTATATATATATATATGTGTATATATATATATATGTGTATATATATATATATGTGTATATATATATAAAAGAATCACCCATATATATATAAAAGAATCACTCATCACCTGGTCTCATGTACTATGTTATTTTATAACTGATTTTCATCTGACTATAAAGACATCATAAACATTTTCTTATACTAGGAAATACACTTAAACATCTTCTGTTGCTGAGGTTAGCAAACTTTTTCTATAAAGAACAAGAAAGCACATATTTTAGGTTTTGAGGGTTGTAGGGTGTCTATTGCAACTGCTCAACTCTGTCTATAGCATAAGCAGCCATAGACCATTCTAAATGGCTGTGGTGTATTCTTATAAAACTTTATTTAGAAAATCAGGCAGGAAGCAGGATTTGCTACAGAGCCACAGAGCTATTATACAGATATAACATAATTTTACTTATTTCCCTATTTTTGGAAATTTAGATTATCTTCATTTTTTTCACTATTGTTAGTCATACCTCACATCTTAGTATCTGAATCTTCGTGTACATTTTTAAGTTTTTCTGTAAGATAAATTCTGAAAATCTAATTTCCAAGGCTAAGAGTACATCCTTACAACTTTTCTTTTTCCATGAGAATAGATAATTTAACACTTTCTGTGACTGAGTTTTGTTTAGTTCGTTTTGTGGTTTTGTGGAGATGGGAAAAGAAAGATGGAGTAAAATTTAGAAAGACAGAAGCAAAGAAAGACTGGAAGGAAACAGATGGAGTTAATGATAGTGATATAAAACTTGAGATGTTCCAGGAAGAAGAAAATATGAAAATTTTTGTAAACGTAAATGTTCTTGCTCACATACCAAGTTTTTCTGTTTTATAGCTCTGTCGAGGTTTGTTTAAAACCTTGTTTAGATTGAATTTGAGATTTGGGAGATGGGATATGCAAATTACACAATGAGTATTTCTTATTCTCCTAAGATACTCTTAGGCTATCACTATTTTGATTTTGATTACCCATCAGCTTTAAAAAAAAAAAAACTTTTCTATTCCAGATGATGATGGAGAAAGAAGTCTAATTAATTAGAGCAGAGATTGGCAAACTACTATCCATGGGCCAAATCCCTCATGTTGCGTGTTTTTGTAAATGAAGTTTTATTGTAACACGGTCATGCCCGTTCACTTAAGTATTGCATACAGCTGCTTCCAGGCTACAACAGCAGAGTTATGTAATTGTGTCAGATACAGCATGTCCCATAAAGCCTAAAATATTTACTGTCACCTTCCAGAAAAAGTTTTCAGACCCCCAAATTAGAGGAATGGTACATTTAGTCTTTGTGTTTATCGAAACTGAATCTACAAAAATACCCCAAGTAATTTTACTACAAATAGGCTAACAAGATTTTAGATGGGCAATTTAGAGACCAAATCAAGACACCTAAATTGCAGAATAAAATGTTGAAAAATGACAATAAGAAATGTTGGGATATAAAGGACTTAATGTTTTGTTTTGTTTTTGTTTTTTTTGAGATGGAGTCTCGCTCTGTCTCCCAGGCTGGAGTGCATTGGCGCGATCTTGGCTCACTGCAACCTCCGCCTCCCGGGTTCACGCCATTCTCCTGCCTCAGCCTCCCGAGTGTCTGGGACTACAGGCACCTGGCTAATTTTTTTGTGTTTTTAGTGGAGAGGGGTTTCACCATGTTGGCCAGGATGGTCTTGATCTCCTGACCTCGTGATCTACCTGCCTCAGCCCCCAAAGTGCTGGGATTACAGGCGTGAGCCACCATGCCCAGCCAAGGACTTAATGTTTAGTATAATTCTGGGTTCCGTGAAAGATGAAATTCAGAGCACCCACATACTCCTTGTTGAAGAGGCATCTGCCTTTTGTTATGTACTTACACACAATGGGAAGTAGCCAGCTCCACAGAGTTTTGCCATGGTGTCAAGTTTTGGTGGCGCTTTTTAAAATAACTTTTGCAGCTTCTGAATTAGGGAACATCAATCAAATTGGAAAATTCAAACTCTGAAATTTTTGAAACCTGTGTACATGGGCTTGTTCAGCCACAGACGATCTTATTTCTCTTGGACTTGTTGTCTAACTTCAGTTTGCCATGATAGTAAGAGGGAACCTTCAGAGGAGGGGAAGGGGAGTTGTTGTTTAAAGAGTATGAAGTTTCAACTAGACATGATGAATAAGTTCTGGACATCAGTTGTACTGCATGGTGACTGTAGTTGATAATGTATTATATACTTGAAAATCGCTAAGAGATTAGATTTTAAATGCTCTTACCACAAAATAATAAGTATGTGAAGTGATGGATATGTTAGCTCGACTTAATCATTTCATGGTGTATACATATCAAAGTTTCATGTTGTATACCATATATATGTACAATTTTTATGTATCAGTTTACGTTAATAGAGTTGAAGGGGTAGGGATATTTTCTTTCCTTAAATCTATATGTTACCTAGAAATACCTAATACCCTGACTCCTTTAAGAATCCAAAATGGCCGGGCGCGGTGGCTCACGCCTGTAATCCCAGCACTTTGGAAGGCCGAGGCAGGTGGATCATGAGGTCAGGAGATCGAGACCATCCTGATTAACACGGTGAAACCCCGTCTCTACTAAAAAATACAAAAAATTAGCCGGGCATGGTGGCAGGCACCTGTAGTCCCAGCTACTCCGGAGGCTGAGGCAGGAGAACGGCGTGAGCCCGGGAGGTGGAGCTTGCAGCAAGCCGAGATCGCAACACTGCACTCCAGCCTGGGTGACAGAGCGAGACTCCATCTCAAAAAAAAAAAAGAGAATCCAAAATCATTTAGTAGAAGGTTTCAAAATACCATAACTTTCACTAATTTTATAAAAACATTCTTGAAAGCATCCTGTATGTGGAACTTCTAGAAGTATAGTGGAAAAGCGCCTGGACTGAAGTCACAAGTTCTTAATTAGACCACTAACTAGATGTTGAAAAAAGCTGGGTTTCTAGTACCAGCTACCTACCTCTGGACTTCTTTTAGGAGAGAAGCCACTAATTTTAATGCTAAATCCACTGATTTGGGGGCATTTTCTCACAATTTAACCTAATCCTAACTAACGGGAGTTGTAGTAGACTGGTTTATCTCTAAAGACTTTACAGCTCTGTATCTCCACACATTTGTGTGAGGTAGAGCTAGCGGAGGGAAATAAATAGAAGTGGTCTGTATCTTGTCAAGATAAAGCAAATTACAGAACTACAAATTTTATGGTAATAAAAGACATACTATTTCCAAAAAGCAGTTGACTCTCGTGTTCATTTTTACACATTTCTCTTTCCTTATTTAACTTTTGAGTTTTTTATTTTATCCTGTTTCTTTCATTTTCTCTTATATCATTCTTATTCTATATTAGAGCTGTTAGTGCTATGCCAAGAATTCCTTGTGTTGTGGTTGTTCTTCAGGAGGTTGTTCTTGAGGAAGGGTGATGAGTAAGGCACTGAGCCATCTCTAGCTGCAGGAGCACTGGAGAGAGAGGTACGTCTGTGTTGATAGAGTGACTACAGATTTGGATGGCACTTCAGGTCATTCAGGGTAGGAAAGTGCAATATGTTGGGGATCCTTCTCAACCCCACACACCCATGTCCTCCTCTAACCCTGATGGTAGTTACATTAATTGTATCAGAGTCCCTCTTTTTTCGTGGATGTGTTTCTTCAGATATTCAAAGGCTTTCACATCATTCCTTTGTCCTTAAGCAGTTATTCTGTTTTGTTGTGGGTTCTTTAATTCATTTAATAAATGTTTGTTAAGCACATACCATGTGTTTTTTGTTGAGTTCTGGGGACATAGTGTTCATTTGAACACAATAACACCTCCCTAAGAGTTTTTGCCATGAAATGGGAAAGTTAGATAAGGAAACAGGCAATTATAATAAAAAATAAAAACTGAGGAATTAAGGAAGCCAACATTGACTTTTTAAAAACATTGAACCAGCATGGTTAAATGGAAAGAGTATTGGTTTTAGGTTTTGTTGAGCTGGATTCTATTGCTTAATAGTTATGTGACTTTGGGAACGTTAACCTCCATCAATACTGCAAGATTATCCTAATTAGAAATACATAGGTAAAGCACTTACCCTATTACCTGCTGAGTAAATCATTTCTTCCTTTTTCCTAAATTGTACATCCCAAAATTGTTGTAGTTCTGAAGCCTATAAATAGAAAGGTAATTCTTCTGGTCCCTACTTCACAGGAGATGTGAAAAGTGGATATAAAATTATTTTTAAGACACTTTGTGAACACTCTGACCATAAAGAAACTATTAATACAGTCCAATTTTGTAATTGTTTCTTGTAAAATTTACCCAAAATTCCATTATTGAGATATATTGACTATAAAACAAATACCTTAGGAATTTACAGTATTGCTTGTAAAATATGGCATTGCACTAGTAATTCTGTAATCACTGGTCTTGCATTTGTCAACTTAAGAGGAAATAATTCACTGTCTTCCCACCTCCCTCAACCTGTAGTTTAGCATACCAGTTACTCTTAGTCAAATTGTGGTTTTTGTCCAGAAGGGTAATGGTTATAACATTTATTCATGAGATATTTAAAAAGCATTCAAGTAAGTCATCAGTAAATTGATTAAATCTATTAAGACTCATTAATATAGTTTGAATGTTCTCTATTTGAAGAATTGAAAAACTATGAAATTTAGGAATTAATACCATGTTGTATTTAGAAATGAAATAGCCAAACTGGAAACTGAAATTTGTATAACAGCAACACAATTTGTAATTTTTCAAAAGCACGACAGTTGGTAGTTCAAATCAGAATATTACAGTTCGGAGAATCAGATCTTGTTTCATTATGTGACTGATCTTTCTAAATTTGCTCTGCTTTATGTAATAACTGTTCCAGATTTATTTTTCTGTCGTAAGTGTACCTTAAAAATAAGAGAAGCTAATGTTATTCTTTATAAGAAATGTAAACATTAAGATATCAACACAGTGTAGAACTACTTTCTATATATTTTATATAAATCATTCTAAATCATAAATGGGAAATAGTGATCAAACAAATATTTACATTCCTACCAAAAGAAAAGGCCCAGTGAAGCAGAGTGAGGAGGGATAAGGGGTGGGGAAGAAGCCTGAGGCTTGTGTTGGCAGGAACAGCACAGTGAGAGCGGGTGACAGCATGAGAAAAATGGATGTGTTCTTCCATCACTGCTGTTCTCCTCTCTGTTTGGATTAGACAAATGGCACATACCCAAGGGGAACTAGGGACAATGCTCTGAGGACAGTAACCACTTCCATACAGCCCTGCCAGATTCATGAGAGCAATGGTGCATCTGCTTTTTGTTGCCATTGTTGTTACTTAATCTTGTCATGGACAGATTATCGTTTCTGTGGCATTTCTTTTGTGGGTTCTCACTCAAATTACTTTCTTTATCATGGCTGTGCTGGATTGTCTGTTGGCAAGTCAGCACCATTTACCCCTTCTGCACCTTGACTGATATATTGGTTTTCTGAGAAGTGTGCATGTTGGCCTTTTGTCTCCCCTTGTTCCATACCACCAAATATAAAATTTAGATACCCTGAAATCCATTATAGATAATTGATCTGTAGAGATTTTGTTTTGATTTGGTTTTGTCTTTTTTTTTTTCCTTTTAATGGCAAAATTTCATTTTTACCCTCCTTCCCACTGCAATAGCAAAATTCTGCACACTGGAACTGCTTTTACATTCCCCTTTCTCCCAGAGCTGCCTCTCTTTTAGGGAAGGCTCTTGTTTGAAAACATTAATGCCAAGACAGGCATTCATTGATTTATTTAGTAAACTTTTTGTGAATTTTTGTAACCTTCATAACACTGTGCTTATAACCTTCATAACACTGGTATTTATAGATGATTCAGTGAAGTACACAAGACTAGTTGGATTATGAGGGTTAAATAGTGAAAATACTTTCATCAAAACTACTGTTTAAGTCATACTGTTATACAATGCTTGTGTTTACACAATGTTTCCAAATGTTCTGTTGTAAAATGTAGTTAATACTGGTTACTTTGAACTATGGGTTAATTTTTTTCAACTCTTCCCTTAGATAAGCTGTGTTGCCATTAGAACATTTAAATGAGTTTCATTCTGAGTTTTGTATTGTTAAACTGTGTCTGGAAACTAAACTTTATAATGTGTTACATTTTAGGTCAGAAGACATGTCTTCATCTACATGGCATCTTTCCTTACCTCTATGTGCCATACGATGGTTATGGACAGCAGCCAGAAAGCTATCTTTCTCAGATGGCATTCAGTATCGACAGAGCACTTAATGTGGCTTTAGGCAATCCATCTTCCACTGCTCAGCATGTGTTCAAAGTGTCATTAGTATCAGGAATGTAAGTATATGATAATATATTTTATAATTTCTGTTTATGTTGCTATTCTATTTAGAGGAAAACATACTCAGTTGATAAACTCTATTTCTTTTACTTCTAGTCTAATGGAACTGTAGTGAATTCCTTGCTGTAACTTTTTAACATGAATTTTTATGGCAATGAAAGGTAGAGAGTCAACAGTGATTTTTGTTGTTTCCTTTCCCATTTCTCTGCTTCCTGTAACTATAGAAATTCATTAGTAATTCATATAGTAATTTATTCAGCAAATATTTCTTAAATACTTTTTATGTGCTAAGCACTGTTCTAGGCGTTTGGGATATACTGCTGGACAAAACAAAGAGCCCTGCCCATGTGGAAGTTACATTCTACTACGGGAAACAGATAATAACCAATAAATACAACATTAAATTAATTTATTTGCTATATGATAATTAGTCGTGTGGAAGGAAAGAATCTATACAAGCAGGATAAGAAGGAATAGTAGTGTGGGGTAAGGAAGTAGACTAGTGACAATTTTAGAGTAATCAGGGAATGTGTCATTGACAAAGTAACAACATCTGAGCAAAGACCTGAAGGAGGTAAGGGAGTAGGAACAGCATGGAAGCCAGGTGACTAGAGTGGAAGAGTAAAGGAGAGTTGGACTAAATGAGATAAGAGAGAGATGAGAGGGTAGAGACTGTGAGGACCAATGATTCTCAAAGTGTGGTTTCCATACTTTGGTTTCCTAGTATCACCTACTATCATTAGCTTTACCTAGTTTTACAGCCATGAGAATATACCTCTCAGATCTCCAAATACACAGAGAATGAGTGAATGGCCCCAGCTACTATACACTCAATTCCAGTCTGTCACTCCACATGAGCTGCTTTCCATAGGCTACTCTTACCCTATGACTGAGCATGGCAAAGATACTAAAGCAGATCTGTAAAACATCCCTCTGTCCACTTGAGATGAGACTGGTATCTAGGTCTGGTGGCTATGCCGGCTTCTTCTGGCTGCCTTCTCATTTTCTCTCACATTTGGCATTTACTTCTTGGAGGACTGGGACTGACACACCTGGGAACTTGGTAGAACTACATTCTTGGGGCCCAGCAATTTGTGTTTTAATAAAGCCTTTCTGATGATTCTTATGCATGCTTAAGTTTGTTAATCACTCAGTAGGCTAATGTAAGGACTTTGACTTTTACTGTAAGTTATTACATGATTTTGAGCAGCCAAGATCTGGCTTAAACTGGAAAGGATTACTTAAGCAACTGTATTAATAATAGATTGTAGGGGGACGAGAATAAGAGCAGGGAGAGAATTAGGACATTAATCTGGGTAAGAAAATATGGTGGCTTGATATTAAGGTAGAAAAGACCAAGGAATTAAAATTAAAACAAAAAAGAAAATAGTGTGGCTTGAACTAGGGTGGTAGCAGGGAAGTAATCATCAGCTTCTGGATCTATTCTGAAGGTTGAGTTAATGTATTAGCTTTGCTTTGTGTTTGGGTAAGGATTGTGAGAGAGGAATCAAGGTTGACTGCAAAAGTTTAAGGGTGTTCTGCTAGGAAGACGGAAGGTAGAGGTAGAGTCAACTGACAGGAAAGATCTGGAGCTCATACAGGAACATTTGAGTTGTTTTATGTCCATATGAAATCCAAGTGGAGACCTTAAATCTCTGCTTCCACCTTAATCTAGGCTTTCCTCTGGACCATGATAGTATCATTTTAATTGAATTTCCTTCTATTTTTATCTCATTCCAGAGCAGCAGAAGTACTCTTATACTGTAAATTTAAAATCATTTAAAAATTCTTGAGTGGCTTCATATTGTTAATAGAATACAATTTAAACTTCTAGCCATAACCTATGTGACCTCACCCCATCTACCTCTGAAACTCTGCTTTCTGTATTCCATTCAGAAACAGTGACTTTCTCTCAGTTCCTCTGCTATCCAAGTTGTTTCTCACCTAAGTTCTTTGTATGTACAATTTTCTTTCCTTGAGTGTTCTACCCTTCCCCAATCCTCCAGATCATTGACCTCTTCAGAGAAGTTTTCTTTGACTATCCCACGTAAAATAAGGTATTTTAAGTAGGGCATTATTATTATTACTGTTTTTATTATTCTGTATCTCAGCCCATTATTTGTTTTCTTTAGCACTTAATACAGTTTGCAGGTATTTTAATTTTTATTTATTTACTTAATTTTTATGTGTTTCTTCCACTAGCATGTAAACTGCATGCTAGTGCACTAGCATGTATGAGATGACTCAATAACTGTTTGGTTGGATAAATGAATGAGGTGAAAGTTTACACTCATCCTATAACAGGAGCAATTATGTTAGGGATAATTATCTACTTTATCTTTTAGTTTTGTTTATTCTTGATAGTTTCTAATAACTTTCCTATATATATCCTCATTTCAAAGTTAAGTCTCCAAACAGCCCAGTGAAATACATAGTCACTTATCTTCCTGTATTTTTGTATTTGTTAAAGACATTGCCACATTTTTGAGAGTAGTTGAGTTACAGATCTGGATACATGGGGCAACAGATGAGCTGCTCACTCTAATTTTTCATTGCAGTTTTCTTTTTTCTTCTAATTTTTTGGTCATTTTCTTCCCTAGATCCCCTTTTTCCTTCCCATTCATTCTACCTTCTCTAATTCCTTTACTCCTTCAATTTTTCCTACTTAAGTTACATAAAGTTGCATCTAGCTACCAAATTAACATTTACATGAGGTTTAACTCTATTCTTTTTAGACTATCACTATCCTGAGGCTGAGTTAAGAGATAGGATCATGACCTTGGGCTAATTTCTGGGATTCCTTCTCACTCATGATTTTAGAGAATCTTCTATAAAGAGATTCTCAATCCATCAAAATTAATTAGGTGAGATTTTTCGCTATCCACACTCATTTTCCTTCCTATTGATATACTTAAAAAACTAATTACGAGATATAATTTTTTAAACATGAAAACATCTGCTTTCATACTCCTCCATTCTACTTTTTTCCCCCAAAGAGTCTCCCTGATGAGGAATTCTTTTGGCAAAACCATTCATCTGGCTGAAGATAACCCATGTTTCCAGACAACTACCTTTGTATATATGAAAAATACCATAGCAGGAAAGGGCTACAGTTAAGGTTGAATTTGCCAATGAGAGAGAATGATATCATTTATGTAATATGTCTTTCTTTAACCAATTCTTCATGGCAACAAAATAGGGTATACAGCAGCAAACTAGACGGGAAGTGGTATTATAAAAAGTTAAGAAAAGGGTGAAGAGTAAGAGGGAGGGATGGTCAGGTGAGACTTTTCTGAGAAGGTAAATTAAGCAGAGTTCTGAATGAAGATTAAACAAGCCATGCAAAAGTCCAGAGCGGAGCTTTCCACTTGAGGGATCGAGTTAGAGGGTCTGAAATGTTTAGAGTGGTTGGAGGAGAAGGAAGAATGGTATGACTTGAGATTGGAGTGAGAGGCAAGGATGAGATGAGGAACCCTTTAGACCTTGGTAAATAGTTGTTTTTTTTTTTTTTTAACAGAAATTACTTTATAACAATAATACAGATGGCTTAAAACAACTAAAAAATTATACCCAAAATAATGTCTCTGCTACCAAATTAGTCCTTTATTTGATGTCCACTACACTATTAGACATCACAGAGAGGTGATGTCCTATGAGAGTAAATTCTATTATCTGCTGCCTGTCATAAGGGAACAATGTTTTTAAATAAAGAGTGATTGGGTTTATCCACCTAAAGATTTAACCGTGTATTAACAGACCACTTTTCAGCCAATACAAAGCCTTTTATTTCATTCACAAATTTACGCCTGTTTATGTATTGTTTCTAATTACATCATCCTTGAAAATAGTGTTCTGTATATCAGAGGTTGTAGTGTAGTTTCAGATCCTCCTGAAATGATGTGAGAGTTCAGCTTATTTCATCTTGCACCGAGGATTTCTCTTCCTGTTATATAGCCTTTTGCTTCCCCCTTTCCTCATTCCAGCTGATACCCCGAGAAAAAACTCAGCCATAACATGATTATGTTGCTTAAGTAAGTCCATGGTCTTTTTCAGTCTCTTAAGTTCCTGTCTACACAGTTTTTTCACAGGATGCACTTGATATGGTTGTGTGTTACAGGTTTATTCATATCAGCTACTGAAATACATGCTGTGTGTACATATAATAGGTACATTGTCTCTGCTTATTGAACTTATAAAATAATAATAAACAGCTGAATAAGGAAAGTAATGTAAGTGTTGTTAAGTAAAGGACTTTGTTGAAGAAGAACTTCAGTTTTTAACAAAAAAATGGGAGCCAGAAGAAGGCGGCTGAAAGGTCTGTTTCTCTCATATGTGGAGTAAAGCAAACAAAAATATGTTTTCTTATATGTGGAGTAAAGAAAACAAAAAGCCACTTAAAGAGTCTTGATGTTTGAGATTAAGGGGTGGATGGTTTGTTCTTCCTTTTTGTCCATAGTTTTTTCAGAGTGATAATTTTTAATTCCCATCGTCAGTAATTAAAGAAAGTGATATTTTTTACACTTTTTAAAAAAGCTTCAGTATTTCATGTTAACCTGTGCTAGGTTTAACTGAAAGGTTTGGGATTTTTTAGTTGTTTTTTGGGGGGTGGATAATATTAAACGTAAGACTGAATTTGGCCAGCTGAATCTAATTAGGGCAATAAGTTGCATTATTTCATCTCTGAATTATGAAAATAATTTGAAATTTTTTTTCTTATATTTCAGGCCTTTTTATGGTTATCATGAGAAGGAAAGACACTTTATGAAGATCTATCTTTACAATCCTACAATGGTGAAAAGGTACAAAGATAAATGAAACCAAAATATGAATAACTATCATTGAAGTATTTTAATAATAAAAAAAATCTAGAAAGAAGGCCTCTATAGTTTGTAGTCTTATTAAAGACAGAGACCGTAAAATACACATGTACGTGTATAGAGAGAGACCAGTGGCTTGGACTCTATGAAGGATATTTTAGAGGTGGAGGCTCCCAACTGCTTCTTTCCTGTTACAGATTAGAGAGTTCGTAGAAGTAGGTTAGGAGAGATTACGGCTGCCTTGTGTGATGTTAGGCCTCTTCTGGCCAGACCTTAGTTCAGCATTAAGAGAAAGTTGCTCTTTAGCTTCAAAGCAAGGGGAAATATGTAGGAGTGAGTCCAGAGTGAGAGGGCTTTTGAGATCTCAGAAACCTGTTGACTGTTTACTAGATGTTGGTGAAATTTTATATTCCAGGTTTTTTGTTGGTTTTGGTTTTGGTTGTTTTTTCTTCCCTCAGTTAGTCTCCCTGCCTCTAGCTTATCCTCTCAATCATCCTGGAGGGCAGGGAAGGGCACATATATGGAAGATTTTAATCATCCTTTCAGATTCAAAACAAGGATTTTCACTATGTATAGTGGGAAGCTAGGGTAAAAGTGGCCTCGGAGGTGTACTGAGTATTATTTTTTCAGGAGGTCCTCTCTGCTAGTAGGTACTGGGTTCCAAAAAGTAACTTTTTTGTAAAACACAGATTGGATGTTTTCCCATAGTGAATTAAAGCACTACAGGGGGCACGACTGCCCAGAACATGAGGTTTACCCTGGATTAAACCATTTGAGTACTTCACTGAAGCACAGCTCTATTCCCAATGGTTATTCCCTTGTAACTGAAAACTAGTTTTCTTACATCCTGCCCTTGATCTTACCCAAAATAACTTCTGTTCTGTACCAGTTCCCCTCTACTCATACTTCCTCATATTCGTGGAGTACAAAAGAGCAATTTCTGTGGACTCTTATTCTCTCACACACATACAGAGTGGTAAGAGAGTAAACCTCAGTCATTTTTCCCTTTCTCGTCCACAAGTTGTGCTGGAGTGGGAGCCATGATTAAAAGAGGCTTAAGTGTTTTATAAATAACCTATAAACAAATTATAAATACAATCAATTTTTTTCCTTGCAACCATAGCAAACACTAAACTGTTCTCAGTAAGTTTGCTTTAAATTATATAGTCAGCTTATCACAATGCCATTCTAAAATTCCTGATTTATTAATGGATTCATTCATTTATTCATCATTATTTGTTCATTTATTATTTTTTCAAGACAGTCTTGCTTTGTTGCCCAGGCTGGAGTACGCAATGGTGCAGTCATAGCTCACTGCAACCCCAAACTCCTGGGCTCCAGTGATCTTCCCACGTTAGCCTCCCAAAGTGCTGGGATTACAGGCCTGAGCCACCATACCAGACCTGTTTATGCATGTTTAATAAATATTTGCAAAGTACCTACATTACTTGATGCTCTGTGGAAGTTGATGGGCAGACATGGTGAGCAAAGTGTGCATGGTTCATGCCCTCAGGGAACTTACAACAAGCTGGGGAGATAGAGAATACACAGGTAACCCAAATATATAAGCAAAAATTGTGGTACTCTTTGGTCTGCCAAATGAAAACGTCAGTTCTGAATTCATCCATTTATTTTCTCTCCACTAAGCCTCAGTTTCTGATTACTGCAGAATAAAAAAATTTAAAAAAAAATTACACACTGGTGCCACTGTAAATTCATGGTTTTCAACTTCACCCAGACCCTTCCCTGCGTGCTGTATGTCTACTTTTTTCTAGTTAATTGTCTCTTTACTATTCTCTATCCTCTACTCAGGCCTTACCTTCTTAGAGAAAACAGAACCCATCATTCTAGAGAGGTGGTTTTCAAAGTGTGAAGTGGGGATTTCTGAAACCCTTTCAGGGGATTTGTATGGTCAGAATTCTCTTTATTATACTAAAATACTAAGATCTTTATTATACTAAGATTATACTGATTTTCCTTTTGCACTGTTTTCATTGATAGTGGGTTAATCTGGCACCTTGTCTCAAATCAGGGTAATGACATCAACTACTAATCATTGTGTTTTCTACCACTAAGTACTCACCTTTAAAAAAAAAAAAAAGCCGGTTTCACATTAGAATATCCATTAGGACATGGTAAAAATTATTTTATTGAATTTTGACCCTTGGTTATATATCTTTGTAACATTTATGTGACAAAATGAAAGTAACATGAAAGGCTATTAAATTATTTTCTTTTTCAACTCCATATCTGTGTGAGGCTAGATTTTCTTTATATACATCAACAAAAGCAATATACTGCAACAGATTGAACAGAAGCTGATGTAATAATCCAGCTATCTTCTGTAAAAACAAGGATTTGTAAACATGTAAAACAATGTTTCTTTTCTCACTAAGTTGTTCTTGTTTTGAAAAATATAGTTTAAAACAATGTTATTTATGTTAACATAGGAGTTTATTGTTACTTTAAAATTAGTAGGTGGGGCACGGTGGCTCACACTTGTAATTCCAGCACTTTGGGAGGCCGAGGTGGGTAGATCACGTGAGGTCAGGAGTTTGAGACAAGCCTGGCCAGCATGATGAAACCCCATCTCTACCAAAAAATACAAAAATTAGTTGGGCTTGTGGCAAGCACCTATCGTCTTAGCTATTCTGGAGGCTAAGGTGGGAGAATCGTTTGAACCCCAGAGGTGGAGGTTGCAGTGAGCTGAGATCGCACCACTGCATTTCTGTTTTAATTTCTAATATGGTAAATATCAGTAGATATAAACCACATAAACAAAAGCTCTTTAGTGTTCTCAATAATGTTGTTTTTGTTTTGTTTTGTTTTGTTTTGTTTTGTTTTGTTTTGTTTTGTTTTTAAGATGGAGTCTCACTGTTGCCCAGGCTGGGGTGCAGTGGCACCATGTCGGCTCACTGCAACTTCCGCCTCCCAGGTTCAAGCAATTCTCCTGCCTCAGCCTCCTGAGTAGCTGGGATTACAGGTGCCCACCACCATGCCTGGCTAATTTTTTAATATTTTTAGTAGAGATGGGGTTTCACCATCTTGGCCAGGTGGTCTCAAACTCCTGACCTCAGGTGATCCGCCCACCTCAGGCTCCCAAAGTGCTGGGATTACAGGCGTGAGCCACCGTGCCCAGCCCCTCAATAACATTTTAAGAATGAAAGGGGTTCTGGGGCCAAAAAGTTTGAGAACCACTGGAATAAAGCTCTCTTAAGGCTTTCTTAACCTTAAATTGCATTTACATCCATTCTCTCCTCGCTGCCTATTCCGTGAAAGAAATTTTTCCTCCTCACCTCTGAGGCTCAAGATTCATCTTCTTTGATGTTTTCAAGGATCGCTTCCATCTGTCGGCTATTCCCGTCTTTCTTTCCAATTCCATTTTAATATTAATAAAACTTTGCTAATTATACGCACACATTCATACTCATAGAAACACCTTTCTCATTTAGCCATTCTCCTTGAAAGATTTATCTATACTTTGTGTATCCAACTTCTTACCTCCCATTCATTGTTTGTTTGTTTTGAATTGGAATCTTGCCCTGTTGCTCAGGCTGGAGGTCAATGGCACGATCTCAGCTCACTGTAACCTCATCCTCCGGGGTTCATGCAATTCTCCTGCCTCAGCCTCCTGAGTAGTTAGGATTACAGGCACCACCACCACGTCTGACTAATTTTTTTGTATTTTTAGTAAGGACAGGGTTTCTCCATGTTGGCCAGGCTGGTCTAGAACCCCTGACCTCAAGTGATCCACCTGCCTCAGCCTCCCAAAGTGCTGGGATTACAAGCACAAGCCACTGTGCTCGGCTTTCCCATTCACTCTTTAACTTACTACAATATGGCTTCTACCCCAACCATTTTACTGAAAATTGCTTTCACTAATGACCTCTGTGTTGCTAAATCCAATTTTAGGTCCTTACTTTTTGACCTCATGGTGATGCTTATGGTGCCTTAAAACAATCCTAAATGTTAGCTTCTGTGATATATACCACCTCTAGTTTTTCTCATTCCAGTGTGATCAATCATATTTCTGCCATTTTGTTGGTTTACATTTTAACATCTATGGTTGTTTCTTAGAATTCTGCCTTAGACTTTCATCTTTACTCTGTATATTTTCTGTTCCCTCTACAGACTTATTTACTCCCATGGGTTTGTTTGGTTTTAACTTTTGTTTTTGTTTATCTTTATGCTTTTGACTTCCAAATGTATATGAATAGCCTCATTTCTCTCTAGAGCTTCTAAACAATATATCAAACCATCTACTGGATAGATGGAATAGCCGAGTGGTTAAGAGTGAGGGCTCACAAGGCAGAGAAATTTTGATTTGAATTTTAGCCCCTTTGTTTTTTTAAGACACAGGATCTTGCTCTGTTGCCCAGGATGGCATGCAGTGGCGCCATCATACCTCACTGTAACCTGGAACTCCTGGGCTCAGGTGGTCCTCCCACCTCAGAGCTCTTCTATCTTTTGTGTGATTTTTAAATCTAAGATAATTTCTTTATTTATAAAATGGAGATGATCGTACCACAGACTTGTAATAAACATTACTTGTAATAAAGTACGTTAGCACAGTATCCAATATATAGTGCTCAGAAATGTTAGTTACCTCTGCTGTGTTAATAAAATGATTATTATTTTCTTTATGATTCATTTCCAATATTATTATTGGATCCCCACTATACCTAAATGCCCTTGTGTCTAAATTGAGTTTATCCTTATTCCCCTTCCAAAAAATCCCAAACCAATTTTTCTTACAGTTCTTCCCCTTTCAAATAATTGCACCACCACTAACCAGCTGCTTAAGCAAGAAATCTAGGCATCACCCTCAGCCCCTTTTCTGTCTCACCCTTCACATCTAGTTAGTCATCAAGGCCTGATCATTTCACCCCTTATATGTCTCCTGAATCAGTACATTTCTATGATCCTTGTTATAGCCACCATCCTTAGTTTTTCCACAACAGCCTATTTACTCCTTACCTGTAGTCTTCTGTGTTCTATAGCTAGTCTGGTGATGTCACTTTTCTGCTATTCACCTCTCAGACAAATTTCACTACCTCTTCAAATGTCTTAACAGGCTCTTCATGCTCTTACTTCTCATTACTTCTCTATCCCTGCCTCTGACACTAGGTCACAGTCTTACTCAGTGGTTTCAGTTCCTGAATAAGCCGTGTTTTCTCGTGACCCTTTACATGTGCAGTTTTATTTACGTGAATACTCTTCCCTCTCTTCAGAGAAAAAAGTGCCTCTAGTTCATCATTTAGTCTCTTGCTTAGAGAGTTTCTCTAAGGTTTTGCAGAAACCACCTCTGTACCTCTATCTGTTTAGTATCTTTTCTAGATGTTTAATGTATTTCCCCACATAGTACTTAACTATGCTGTATATAATTGTCTGTTGTTTGTATTCGTCATCATGAAGGGAAAAAAAATACTCAGGAAAGAAAAATATCAAAATGGCAATACCTCTGAGTGGTGGGATTATAAGTAATGATTTCTTTTCCTTTTTTGAATATTAATCTTTTCAAAATTATTTGTTATTTTTAAAAGAAAAATTTTATTTTAAAAACCTTTTAATTTTTAAATATAGTTAGTATCAAATTGGTTTAAGACAAAATATTCTTCATCCATGCAGTTTTTTGTTATTCAGAACATGTTGCTTACTTGAAAACTTGATTGAAACTTTTAATTTCTAACAAAATACAAATTTCCGGTAAAATTGAGATGGAAATTTTGTGTGCTAATAAGTGCTTTGTTCTGTATATTTCTATAATCATTGTTTCATTTAACATTTTAGGGAACATAATTTTATGATAAAACTTTTTTTTTCTAATTTAGGATATGTGAACTTTTGCAAAGCGGAGCCATAATGAATAAATTTTACCAGCCTCATGAAGCGCATATTCCCTACCTCCTACAGCTCTTCATTGACTACAATCTTTATGGCATGAATTTAATAAATCTGGCTGCTGTCAAGTTCCGAAAAGCAAGAAGGAAAAGTAAGGTTAATTTTCAGTCAAATTAAATTTTTGTCAAATTAAAGTTTTGAAACAAGTGTTATATAGTCAGTGATTTATAAAATAATATATATTTAGAAAATAAATGTTGAGTGACTAAAGAATGAAAAGAAATACATGCAAAGTGGGATTAGAGATTGTCAGGAAAAGCATCTCAGAAAAAATTTTTTTTGGTAACAGCTTTATTGAGTTATAATTTATATCCGTTTAAAGAGGACAGTTTGATGGTTTTTAGTATACAGGCTACCTAAAAGGTATTGTGGGTTTAGTTCTAGACCACTGCAAAAGTGAACCCTTTACACTGCTTAGCAATTGATATGTATTGTGATTCTTTTTTTTTTTTAACCTCAGACCTTAATGTTACTTTTTATATTTTAGGAATAGTATATGATACACAATTCTAGAAATCCCTGGAGTTGTTAGAGCCTTGTTACTTTAGTCCAGCACTTCCCTGATGGTGTGAATAGCTGTAGGTTAGTGGACGTGTTGGTCTCTCAGCATTCCAGACGGATTCCTAAGTCCCTTGAGCCATCACCTCCACCACTGAACATCCTTGTCCATTTTATCTCAGTGGGCTGTGCAAGCATTGTTATTTTTCTTTGTGTGACATGACCTGAAAAATATTGCAGGCAGAGCTTTCTCTGGGTGAATTTGCTATTTCTTTAAAGTTCTTTATTTATAGAGCCGTTGATATTATGAACAAAACAGAATAACATGGCTATTTGAATAAGTGATTTCCTCTCAAAACAAATTTATTTTTCCTTTTACATTTGTAGCTTTCTGAGGTGAAAAGTAGGAGATCCCAGATTTTTTACTGTTGGAATGGAAAGTTACAGACCAGAGCAGCCTAGAGCATCTTGAATGGTGAATCCTTTCTGGAAGGTTTTCAATATATTTTGCCCAGATCCATCAGTGGAATCACTGTCAGTGACAGCTATAGCCTTATGAAATGCACTTCTTAAATAATAAGACTTGAAAGTTGAAATTACTCTTTGACCCATGGGCTGCAGAACGGATGTTGTGTTAGCAGGCAGGGAACCAACATTAGTCGTCTTGTACATCTCCATCAGACCTGTTGGGTGACCAGGTGCATTGTTAGTGAGCAGAAATAGTTTGAAAGGAATCTTTTTTCTGAGCAGTAGTTCTCAAAAATGGGCTTAAAATATTCAGTCAACCATGCTGCAACTGTTATACTGTCATCCATGCTTTTTTGATCCACTTATAGAACACAGGCAGAGTAGATTTAGCATAATTCTTAAGGGCCCTAGGATTTTCAGAATGGCAAATGAGCATTGGCTTCAACTTCAAGTTACCAGCAGCATTAAATAACCCTACCAAGAGAGTCCTTTGAAGCTTTGAAATCAGGCATTGACTGCTCTCAGGTTGTTTTCATCTACATTGCAAATCTGTTATTTAGTGTATCCACCTTCATCAGTTATCTTAGCTAGGTCTTCCAGAGAACTTGCTGCAGCTTCTACATCAGCCCCTGCTGTTTCACCTATCTGCAGTAAGGCTATTTCACTTTCTCATCGTTTGTGTGTTCCATTGGAGTAGCACTGTTAATTTCCTTCAAGAACTTTTCCTTTGCATTCACTACTTGGCTAACTGGCACAAGAGACCTAGCTTTTGGCTTATTTTGGCTTCTGACATGCCTTCCTTGGTAAGCTTAATCATTTTTAGTTTTTGATTTAAAGTGAGAGACATGTGACTCTTCCTTTCATTTGAACATTTAGAGGCCATTGTAGGGTTACTAATTTGCCTAATTTCAATATCGTAGTGTCTCAGGGAATAGGAAGGTGCTAGGAAAGAAAGAAACGGGAATGGCCAGTCAGTGGAGCAGTTGGAACACACTCAAGTTTGCTGTCTTTTATGGGCACGGTTTATTGTGGTACCTGAAAACAATTAACAATAGTAACATCAGAGATCACTGTTCACAGGTTTGAAATATTGCAAGAGGAACCAAAATGTGACAGAGAGACACAAAATGAACACATGCTCTTGTAAAAATGGCACCAATAGATTTGCTCAATGCAGAGTTGCCACAAATGTTCAATATGTAAAAATTTTAATATCTGCAAAATGCAATAAAGCAAAGCACAATTTAATGGGGTATTCCTGTATTTGGAGTTATGCAACCATCACCACAAATTCAGAACATTTTCATCACCTCTGAAAGAAATCCTATGACCTGTAGCAGTCACCCCCAAGCTTCCCATGTTTCCCACTCCTGAGCAACCTTACTAATCTACTTTTGGTCTCTGTATATTTGCCCATACTGCACATTTAATGTAAGTGGAATCATATAATATGTGGGGTTTTTTCCTACTTAGCATAATGTTTTCACGGTTCATCAGTGTTGTAGCTTATATCAGTACTTCGTTTCTTTTTATGGCCAAATAATACTCTGTTATGTGAATACACTACATTTTATTTATTCCTATCCCAGTTAATGGATATTTTGGCTATTATGAACAATGCTGCTGTGAACATCCATTTATGAATTTTTGTGTAGCTATATATTTTCATTTCTCTTGGACACCTACCTGGGAGTAGAATTTCTGTGTCAAGTGTTTTAGCATCTTTTGCCTTTTCTTCTCATTGAATTCCTTCCCTTCTACTTCTCTTAAAATGAAACTGACACTTCCAGTCCTAATATCCTTTCTAACTGCCATAATTTTTTTTCTTTTCCATCACTGTCAACCTTCTTGAAGCAGAGGTTAGCATTTTTTGTCTCTTAGTTCACTTTTGGTTTAACTC
Source organism: Homo sapiens (assembly GCF_000001405.40). Lineage (NCBI taxonomy): Eukaryota > Metazoa > Chordata > Mammalia > Primates > Hominidae > Homo > Homo sapiens. The sequence continues at coordinate 111,402,694 of NC_000006.12, read as the reverse complement.
CTCGCATTTCTTCTACCATACCCAAACTATGCTCTGAAAAGTCACCAGGGAGGGTTTCTTTTTGTTGCCGTGAATAGTGGGCTAGGTTAGTGGGATCAGCCCTTCTGCTAAAAACAATTTAAGGGCCAGGCAACATTGAAATAAAAAAATTTAAATACATTGAAGAGTTTATGAACAATAAAGAAGTGCAGGCCAAAAGGGAATAGAACGCTTAAAGCAACTTTTGACCTGAGGGCATTTACTAATCTTGGAAAATTAAGAACCTTCTTTGGGAAGGCCATGCTGGGTGAGAGAGATGAAAAGCAGAAGTGGGTCCTGCCCAGCAGGTGGGAGCCCTCCGCAGGTTAAGGTAGGGCCTCAAATGCATATTCTCTTAAGGTGAGCACAGACTGGGAAATGGAACATACTTCAGACATTTTTTTTTCAGTATAGTTTGAATCTCCTGGGACTAAAAGAGATTCCCAAATCCAGAGCTTGATCTAAGGTGGTGCTGGTCTAGTAATAGACTCAGATCTGACAGAAGCAGCAAGTGCAAATCCTCCCTAGAGGATATTATTTTTATTTTTTATTATTTTTTTCTTTGTAAGACAGGGTTTTGCTGTCACCAGACTGGAGTGCAATAGTGTGAACATGGCTCACTGCAACCTCCACCTCCTGGGCTCAAGCCATCCTCCCACCTCAGTCTCCCAAGTAACTGGGACTACAGGTGCATGCCACCGCACCTAGCTAATTTGGGTATTTTTTTTGTAGAGATAGGGTTTCGCCATGTTGCTCAGGCTGGTCTCAGAACTCCTAGGCTTAAGCGATCCACCCACCTCAGCCTCCCAAAGTGCTGGGATTACAGGCATGAGCCACCATGCCTGGCCTCCAGAATCTTTATCAAATAATGATGCTATATGCAATGCTCTAATGTCATGTTATATTCACTAATAGTTTTATTTGTTTTGTCTCTCCAGCATGCTAGTAATTTTCTTATGTGGAACAACTTATGCATTTAAACTTTTTTTCAGAAGAGAATGTTTTGTGGTGACAACTTGTTAAAATTACATTTTTATTTTAAATACACAAATATTGAAGCATTGAAACTAGCATGTGCCTCCCTTTTAGAGCAGAGTAATTCATTTGTTCATAACTAATTCTTCTGGATAATAACCTCAGGTTTAGATGACAACTTATAGTTTACTAAATGCCAGTTTTTCTTATCTTCTCTGTATCTTAGAGTAGTATAAAATTCCCACAGTAAACCAAAGTATGTGAGCAAATAACTTGCCCTTGGTCCTTAGAATTCCCAAGAGGGAATCATATAATGAAGGATGAAGTAGGCTTGGCTTTTTCTCCATAATGACTGAAAGGAAAGGAAGGAAGAGGGAAGATAGAAGAAAAGCAGGACAGAGACAACTGTCCACCAATTTCTCCCATCTTTGTGAAGGTTGTATTATTTCATGTCCAGGAGATAATCCTTTTTTAAAGTATGGAGACTTCCAAAAGTTGAGGTTTAGGGAGTTCATTACCCACTTTCGAGACTTACTATAAAGCAACAGTTATCAAGACAGCATGGTATTGGCAAAAAGATAAACACATATACCAATGGAACAGAATAGAGTCCAGAAATAGACCTATATTTGAAATAATCCATAATTGGCCCATATAGTCAACTTAACTTTGACAAAGATATAATGGTAATTCAATGGAGAAAGCATAGCCTTTTCAACAAATAGTGCTGGGATAATTGGATGTCCATATGCCAGAAAATAAAAATAAAAGAACATATTTTTGTATGTTCTTCACACCTTATACGTCACATACTTCACACCTTAAATAATAATTAAAATACTTCACAAACTTAAATGTAAAATATGAACCTATCAAACTTCTAGCAGAAAATAAGGGAAAATGTACCCAGTCTTGGGTTTGGCAATGAAGTTTTAGATATGACACCAAAAGCATGATCCATGAAAAGAGAAATTAATGTTAGATTTTGTCAAAATTAAAAACTTTTACTTTGTGAAAAACTGTTAAAAAATGAAAAGACAAGTCATGGACTGGGAGAAAATGTTTGCAAATTACAATCTGATAGAGGACTTGTGTATAAAATATATAAGAATTCTTAAAAATCAACAATAAGAAAGCAAACAGTCCAATTAAAAATGGTCAAAAGACCTAAAGAAGATATAAGGATGGCAAACACATGAAAAGATGATATTCAACATTATATGTCGTTAGGGAAATACAGATTAAAACTACAAAGGGCTACCACTATATACCTATTAGAATGACTACAATTCGCAAGACTAACAATAACAAATGTTGACCAAGAGGTGGAACAGCAGCGCTGACATTCTTTGCTGGTGGGAATGCAAAATAATATAGTCACTTTGGAAGACAGATAGTTTCTCAGAACACTAAACATAGACTTAGAGTGCGACCCAGTGATGGCACTCCTAGGTATGTTTACCTAAGTGATTTAGGTCCACCCAAACCTGTATGCAAATGTTTATAGCAACTTTATTCATAACTGCCAAAAATGTAAAGCAACCGAGATGTCCACTCAACAGGGGAATGGATAAACTTTGATAACATTTAGTGATAAAAAGGAACAAACAATTGATTCATATAACATGGATGAATCTTTAAAGCATTTTACTAAGTGAAAGAAGCCAGACCGAAAAGGATACAAACTGTGTGACTTCATTCACATGACATTCTGGAAAAGGCAAAACTATAGAAGTAGAAAATGGACTATTAGTTGTTAGGGTTTAGGAGAGAGGGAAGTATTGACTGCAAAGGGGATGTACAGGGGAACTTTTTAAGAGTGAAGGAATTATTCTGTACAGTCCTGGGTTGGTGGTTACATGACTATTCATTCATCAAACTCTATAACCACGTGATGTACCTTAACCAAGTGATGAGGTTTAATGTCACCAGTTATTATGTCATGTGGGTGTCATGTGGCCCCTCATGTGATGTGATAACAAAGGTACTTCGCCTGTGTGATATTCTTGCCAAAAACTCGTAACCCCAGTCTACTCATGAGAAAAACATCAGACAAACCCAAATTGGGAGTTGTCCTACAGGTTATCTCATCAGTTCTCATGACTGCAAAGGTCATGAAAAGCAAGGAAAGACAGATAAATAGACCAGAGGAGACTGGAAAGACATGGCAACTGAATGCAGTGTGGTGTCCTAGATTGGATCCTGGAACAGAAAGAGGACATTAGTGGAAAAACTGGTGACATTCAAATAAAAGGTTTTGTTTAGTTAATAGTAATCTTCCAGTGTCAGTTTCTTTGTTTTGACAGATATACCATGATAATATGATAACAATGAGGGAAACCAGGTGTCTGGTATATGGAAACTCTCTGTGGTACCCTTGGAACTTGGAACTTTTCTGTAAATCTAAAGTTATTAAAAAATAAAAAGGTTACTGGGGAAAATAATAAGTTAGTTATCATTGTCAAGTATAACCAAGAATTTAAGACAGATTGAGGAATGGAAGAGTTTCTAGAGTATATACATTAGATATTATAGAAAGAGGAGATAATTTTCATAATTAGTTTTTTCCAGTAGGTGAAAAAGCACAAGAATAGTTTGAATTAGCAAATATACAGAAACCATTTATTTTATTTATAAAAGTTAGATTATTGGAATGGTACTCAGAAGGGTTTTTTTCAGAATATCGGAAGTGTTTACAGATTTGAAGGCATCATGTGAAATTTATTAGGTTGTTGCAAAAGTAATTGCAGCTTTTGCTGTTACTTTCAATGGCAAAAATCACAATTAGTTTTGGTAGAAAGGAAGTTAAAAACAGGGAAATTGCAGTATGATAAAAAAATTTACATCTTCTTTTATCATATAGTTAGCCCTCAGGTTTTTGTTTTTGTTTAGTATGAGATAAAAGATTATACTGAAATCATGTACAAAATCAGTGAATAATTTTTTTTATTTTATTTTATCATGTTATCTCAGGCACATTACAGTTTAACTTGACAGTAAACTTCTTGTAAGTAAATATATGTATTACATGTATGCATAACTTCATTTTACCTGATAAATTAATATAATACATGGAGTTTTACTTTTGAAAGTAAAATACATTCAAAAATGAAAATGATTTAGAAATTTGAATATTATATGTGCATATACAGTTTTGCCTCAGCACTCAGTTGTATAATCAGTGGTCAAATGAAATGGAAATGATGCTAATTACTGTAGTTGTTAAAATGAAGTGTATAAAGTATGTAAATGGGACAATTTTTTTTTTCTTTTTTCTTTTTTTCCCCCCACATGGGTAAAAGAGGAATAAATGGAGCAAATGTTTTGAGCACCACAGAAGCATTTTATATTTTTTTAACATCCTCATTTTTCAACTGAGTATGTATTTCTTGCTGTATATGAATTTTTAGGATACAATTTTAGTAACTAGTCACATAAGTTATATATTATTTTACTTAAAGGGAACATTCCTATAGTTTGCTACTAGAGAAGTTTCTCTGAACATGTAGAGTGCTGAAAAGATGTAACAGTTCTCAATATGTATGCACCCAACACCAGAGCACCCACATATATAAAGCAAATATTATTAGATTGAAAGCAAATGTTATTAGATTTGATTCTTAGCATCTGTCCAATGCTGAGAGTGGGGTGTTGAAGTCCCCAACTAGCCAATACAATACAGTGATAGCTGGGGACTTCAACACCCCACTCTCAGCATTAGGCAGATAATCTAGACAGAAAATCAAAAAAGAAACATTGGATTTAAACTTTACTTTAGAGCCGGGCACCGTAAGCCTGACACTTTGAGAAGCTGAGGCAGGAGGATTGCTTGAGCCCAGGAATTTGAGACTAGCTCAGGTAACATAGTGAGATCTCATCTTTACAAAAAAGATAAAAATCAGCCAGGTGTGGTGGCATACACCTGTGGTCTCAGCTACTCAGGAGGCTGAGGTAGGAGGATTGCTTATGCCTGGGAAATTGAGGCTGCAGTGAACTGTGGTCACACCACTGCACTGCAGCCTGGTGACAGAACAAGACACTGTCTCAATAAATAAATAAACTGCACTTTAGACCAAATGGACCTAACAGACATTTACAGAACATTTTATCCAGTAGTTGCAGAATACACATTCTCCTCATCTGCATGTGGAACATTCTCCAGGAAAGATCATACGTTAGGCCACAAAACAAGTCTTAACAAATTTTAGAAAATTGAAATCATATTAAGTGTCTTTTCTGACCACTATGGAATAAAACTAGAAATCAATAAAAAGAGAAACTTTGGAAACTGTACCAATACATGGAAATTAAACAAAATGCTCCTGAACCTTTATTGGATCAATGAAGAAATTAAGAAGGAAATTTAAAAATTTCTTGAAACCAATGAAAATGGAAACACAACATACCAAAACCTATGAGATACAGCAAAAACAGTACTAAGAGGTAAGTTTATAGCAATAGGTGCCTATATCAAAAAAAAGATTTCAAATAAACAATGTAATGATGTACTTTAAGAAACTAGAAAAGCAAGAACAAAGCCAAAATTAGAAGAAGAAAAGAAATAATAAAGATCAGAGTAGAACTAAACAAAATAGAGACTAAAAAAAAAAATACAAAAGATCAGAGAAATGAAAAACTGGTGCTTTGAAAAGATCAATAAATCGCTAGCTAGACTAACCAAGAAAAAAGAAGACATACATAAAATTAGACATGAAAAAGGAGACATTACAATTTATATAACAAATAGAGAGGATCATCAGAGACTATCATGAACAACTATATGTGAACAAGTTGGGAAACCTAGAGGGAATGTGTACATTTTTGGACGCATTACAGCATACCAAGATTGAACCAGGAAGAAATAGGAAACCTGGCCAGGCACAGTGGCTCACACCTGCAATCCTAGCATTTTGGAAGGTCAAGATGGGAGGAAGGCTTGAGCTCAGGAGGTCAAGACCAGCCTGGGCAACAGTGAGACCTTGTCTCTATTTTAAATTTTTAGAAAAGAAAACCTGAGCAGACGAATCACAAGTAACAAGATTGAATCTGTAATTTAAAGGTCTCCCAATAAAGAAAAGCCCAGGTCTGGATGGCTTTACTGCTGAATCCTGCCATACTTAGAAAGAAAAACTAACACCAATTCTTCTCAAACTAGTCTAGAAATTTGAAGAGGGGGAAATTCTTCCTAACTCATTCTATGAAGCCAGCATTATCCTGATACCAAAATCAGACAGGACACAACAAAAAAAGAAAACTACAGGTCAGCATCACTGATGAACATAGACACAAAAATCCTCAACAAAATACTAACAAATCGAATCCAACAAAACATAAAAAAAAAAAAATACACCATGATCAAGTGAAATTTATCCTAGGGCCAGGCACAGTGGCTCATGCCTGTAATCCCAGAACTTTGGAAGGCTGAAGTGGGTAGATCACTTGAGCCCAGGAGTTTGAGACCATCCTGGGCAACATGGTGAAACCCTGTCTCTACAAAAAATAAAAAAATTAGCTGGGTATGGTGGCATGCACCTGTAGTCCCACCTACTTGGGAGACTTAGGTAGGAGGATGGCTTGAGCCCAGGAGGCGGAGGTTACAGTAAGCCAAGATCATGCCACTGTACTCAAGCCTGGGTGACAGAGTGAGACCCTGTCTCAAAAAAAAACTTATTTCAGGGGTGCAAGGATTGTTCATTATATACAAATCAATAAATGTGATACATCACATCAACAGAATGAAGGACAAAAACCATATGATCATCTCAGCTAACACAGAAAAGTTATTTGATAAAATTCAATGTCCCTTCATGGTAAAAACTCTTGATAAGTTAATCATAGAAGGATCATACCTCAAATAATGAACATCATGTCTGAAAAACCCACATTTAACATCTTACTGAATGGGGAAAAGCTGAAAACCTGCCCTCTAAGAACTAGAAGAAGACAGGATGCCCATTTTTACCACTCCTGTTCAACATAGTACTGAAAATTCTAGCCATAGCAATCAGGTAATAAAAGACACCAAATTGGGAAAAAGGAGGTCAAATTGTCCCTTTTTCACAGGTGACATGATATATATGGCAAAACCTGAAGACTCCAACAAAAAACTCTTAGAACTGATAAATTTAGTAAAGTTGCAGATTTTTTTTTAAAACCCACAAAAAACTAATAGCATTTCTGTGCACCAATAACAACTAGCTGAAAAAGAAAACAAGAACACAATCCCATTTATTAAGGCTACCAAAAAGAATAGTAATAAATTTAACCAAGGAAGTAAAGGTTGTATAGGAGGAAAACTAGAAATTACTGATAAAATTAACTGAAGTAGACAGTGGAAATAGACAAATGGGAGACATCCCATGTTCATGGATCAGAAACATTAATATTGTTAAAATGGCCATATTTTCCAATAAAATCTAAAGATTCATTGCAGTTCATATCAAAATACCAATGACATTCTTCATGGAAATAGAAAAAAAAATTCTAAACTTCATGTGGAACTACAAAAGAGCCTAAATAGCCAAAGCAATCCTGAGCAAAAAGAACAGTTGGAGACATCATATTACCTGAGGTCAAAACGATACTACAAAGCTTTAGTAACCAAATCAGCATGATGTTGGTATAAAAATGGACACACAGGCTGAGCAAAATAATACTACAAAGCTTTAGTAACCAAATCAGCATGGTGTTGGTATAAAAACAGACACATAGGCTGAGCATGGTGGCTTACTCTTCTAATCTCAACAGTTTGGGAGGCTGAGGTGGGAGGATCACTTGAGCCAAGAAATTTGAGTCCAGCCTGTGCAAGATAGTCAAAGCCCATCTCTACAAATTAGCCAGTCACGATGGTGCATGCCTGTTGCCCCAGCAGCTTGGGAGGCTGAGATGGGAGGATCATTTGAGCCTGGAAGCTCAAGGCTGCAGTGAGCCATAATCATACACTGCACTCCAGCCTGGATGACAGTGAGACCCTGTCTCAAAAAAAAAAAAAAAAATTGTAGGACAGATACTCTGGGACATTGGTCTGGGAAAAAATTTTATGGCTAAGACTTCAAAAGCACAGGCAACCAAAGCATATAGACAAAAGGGACTGTGTAAAAGCTTCTGCACAGCAAAGGAAACAATCAACAGAGTAAAGAGACAGCCTACAGAATGAGAGAAAATATTTGCAAACTATTCATGAAATGAGACTAATCTCCAGAATATGTAAGGAACTCAACAGGAAAAAAAATAGTTTCGTATCTGAATAGACACCTCTCAAAAAAGAAGACATACAAATGGCCGGCAGGTATATTTTTTAAATGTTCAACATCACTAATCATCAGGGAGATGCAAATCAAAACCACAGTAAGCAATCATCTTACCCCAGTTAGAATGGCTGTTACGGAAAAGACACCAACAAATGCTGGTGAGGATGCAAGGAAAAGGAAACTCTTATACACTGTTGGTGGGAATGTAAATTAGTACAGCCATTATGCAAAACAGTATGGAGGTTTCTCAAAAACCAAAAACTAGAACTACCATATGATACAGCAATCCCACTGCTGGGTATTTATCCAAAGGAAAGGAAATCAATTCAATATATCAAAGATAGATAACCTACACCCCCATGTTTATTGCAGCACTGTTTATAATAGCCAAGATGCGGAATCAACCTTAAGTGCACATCAGTGGATGAATGGATAAAGAAAATGTGGTATATATACACAATGGAATTATATTCTACCATATTTTTTATGAAAATGAAATTCTGTCATTTGCAGCCACATGGATAGAATTGAGATCATTATGTTAAATGAAATAAGCCAGGCCTAGAAAGACAAATATCACATGTTCTTACTGATGTGGGAACTAAAAAAAGTTCGTCTTTAGCCAGGAGTCGTGATGCACCCCTGTAGTCTCAGCTACATGGGAGGCTGAGGCAGGAGGATTGCTTGAGTCCAGGAGATTGATTCCAGTCTGGGCAACATAGCAAGATGTCATGTCAAAAAAATAAATAAAAAGAAGAAAGGTAGTTACTAGAGGCTGGGAAGGGTGTATGGGAAGGGTTCCAGGAAGATACGAAGACAGGCTGGTTAATGGATATAGACATACAATTAGACGAAATAAGTTCTAGTGTTTGATAGCATACAGGAGTGACTGTAGTTAACAACAATACATTATATATTTCAAAATAACTAGAAGAGAAGATTTGAAATGTTCTCGACACAAATGGTGAATAATGTTTGGGCTGATGGCATCCTAAGTACCTTGATTTTGTCATTACAGATTGTATGCATGTATGAAAATACCACATGTGGCTCTATGAGTATGTACAAATATTATGTATCAATAAAAAGGGATCTGTAATTTATGAGTAATAAAATTTTTTAAAGAACATTTACCAGCCGGGCATGGTGGCTCACACCTGTAATCCCAGCACTTTGGGAGGCCGAGGCAGGCGGATCACAAGGTCAGATCGAGACCATCCTGGCTAACACGGTGAAACCCAGTCTCTACTAAAAATACAAAAAAAATTTGCTGCGCTTGGAGGCTACTCGGGAGACTGTGGCAGGAGAATGGCGTGAACCTGGGAGGTGGAGCTTGCAGTGAGCCGAGATTGCGCCACTGTACTCCAGCCTGGGCAACAAAGCGAGACTCCATCTCAAAAAAAAAAAAATTTACCTTCTAAAAAGTAATTATATGAAAATTGAAAGTAGAATTTATTCCTTTTACCTTTCTATTCCTAGGTAATACATTGCATGCAACTGGATCCTGCAAGAATCATTTATCAGGAAATTCTCTTGCTGATACTTTATTTCGGTGGGAACAAGATGAAATACCAAGGTTAGTTAATGTTGTAAAGGAAATGAAAATTTTACATATATCCTAGTTGTGATCAGAAATCAGTGGTTACCATAATTAAATTTTAACCTTTTATTGTATTGGATCTTTTTAATCTATACACTTAACAGAAACAAACCTTGACATTAGTGTATTACAAGGAATAAACGATTTTAAAAACAAACCATGAAAATGTACTAGTTATTACCTAATTAACAAAAGGAATACAAGGTAGATATTGTTATACTTTTCTGCAACATTCATCTTCATCATCTATTCTAATTTGATATCCTATAACTTGTCAAGTAAAACAATTACATTTATGATAAAATAGTAATTTAAAACAAAAATCTAAATATTTTTAATAACCCCTAAAATTTATAAATATTAAATAAGTAATAAAGTATTTTGACATGCTCTGGTTTTGAATAATATAATTTGTAATTTATTTGTTTCATTATTGATTAGATTTTTTTTGGAGGCAGTATATTCCAAATGCTTGGATTTCTCTATTTCAAAGCAGCTATGTATTTGCTTATGCAAATTTTTTACTCATACATTTTCTGTCTACTGGTGCTAATTTTTAATTCTGAAAACTACTTCCCCTCCATAGGAACACCTCCTGTTCTGAATGTCTGAAGTAGTTTTGTATAAGGGCAAGTTGTAAATTTCTACTGTGAGATTATATTTTTTGAGGTTATTGTTTCCCTCCTTTCTCTCAAATGTGCTACTTCGGGAATATTCATCCTTGACATTTACAACATAATTATTTCAAATTATAAAACTTTTTTATATGAGAAAACTGTGGATCATAAACATTTTTAAATTTGATACTTCAATGTGTGTTAAATTGTATGAATGAAGAGGACAATTCACATTTTGTTGTTGTTGAGACAAGGTCTCACGCTGTTGCCCAGACCGGAGGTCAGTGGCACAATCTCAGCTTACTACGACCGCCGCCTTCTGGGCTCAAGTGATCCTCCCACCTTAGCCTCCCAAGAATCTAGGACTATAGGTGTGCAACACCATGCCTGGCTAGTTTTTAAAAATTTTTGTAGAGGTGAGGTCTTACTATAATGCTCAGCCTCCCAAGTATCTGGGACTACAGGTGTGCAGCACCATGCCTGGCTAATTTAAAAAAATTTTTTGTAGAGATGAGGTCTCACTATATTGCTCAGGCTGGCCTCCCAAGCCGAAGCTGGGATCACATTCATGAGCCACCAAGCGCAGCTGACAATCTATATTGAGAAATATTTTTTCTGAAAGAGAAAGGAATATATTATGATAGGTTGGCTAATTATATTCCTTCTCTATCAATGGTGAAAAGATACGTGTGTTTGAACATCTAAATATATACTTGTGAGTACATATATACGTATATTATTTGAGTTGTGAAAATTCTGTGGTTTAACAACTAACATGTAATATTCCATCAAAATTTCCTTTAAAATAGACAATGGAAAATGAGTTTTTGCTAACATGTTTTTCTTAAAACATTAAAAAGTGTTTCAAGGCCAGGGCGCAATGGCTCACACCTGTAATTCCAGCACTTTGGGAGGCCGAGGTAGGCAGATCACTTGAGGTCAGGAGTTCAAGACCAGCCTGGCCAACATGGTGAAACCCCTTCTGTACTAAAAATACAAAAATTAACTCTGCATGATGTCACATGCTTGTAATCCCAGTTACTTGGGAAGCTGAGGCAGGAGAATCGCTTGAACCTGGGAGGTGGAGGTTGAGGTGAGCTGAGTTCGCACCAGTGCACTCCAGCCTGGGCGATGGAGCGAGACTCCATCTGAAAAAAAAAAAAAAAAATACCAAAGTGTTTCAAATCAAAAGTTAATGAAATATGTCATCAACCACTTTGTAGTAAAATTAAGGATCTCCCCTTTTCCACTTGGTGTCCATTTTTGTACAAGGCCTAAATTTTGGAATGAGTAAACTAGGATCCACACTAGATGTTATCTCTTCATTCTGTTAAGTAGGGTCAATTATGTGGTGTCTTCTTTATCTTCTCTTTTGGGGCACTGATGAAAAGCAAATGCTTTTGAGTCAAAGATCCAGACTGGGAAACAATCCTTTGTAGTTCTCATAAAAATTAATGACCTGGTGATATCATTACTTTTCCTAGCTATGATCCCACTGTTGATCATTCATACATTTTATCAGTTCTGTAGTTATGAAGAATTTTAAAGTATTCCCTATCTCAGCAGTAGTTGAGGGCAGGAAGAATGGTGAATATCGTTTGCCCATTTCTCAGTGTGCTCACCTTCCCTTTTATTGCATGTTCTCCCTTGTTTTTTGAATACTGAAAAAGATGTCTCTAGGCAACTGATTTCATATGTGTATGGTTTTTTATGCATTCCTCTGAGGTTTTTATATTATCCTATCCCATTCTGCCCCGGGTATAACCATATGCTAAAACGTTTTATATTCCTTTTATATAAAATATAATGAACCAAAATACGTAGAATTTACTTCAAAAGGATCTAGGGTAGTCAGTATAATATGTTTTGTATTTTTCTCATCCTATTTTTCATTATATATACATATAAAGTATCAATTTTGTCAGAATAATTGTGAATTAATATATCAGGTTTTCTGGGTACAAGCTAAATGTAAGATAATTGTATAAGTAAGAAAAATGTTAGAAAGTTTGCTCTCACATAATTATTATGTTTTTTATATCCTTTAATTGCAGCTCTTTAATATTGGAAGGTGTTGAACCACAGAGTACATGTGAATTAGAAGTGGATGCTGTAGCTGCTGATATCTTAAATCGTCTGGACATTGAAGGTTCATACACAATTATTCTTAATATATGTTTTTATTTTTTAAAATTAATGACCGGCGGGTGTGGTGGCTCACGCCTGTAATCCCAGCACTTTGGGAGGCCAAGGTGGGTGGATCATGAGGTCAGATCGAGACCATCCTGGCCAACATGGTGAAACCCCGTCTCTACTAAAATACAAAATAAATTAGCTGAGTGTGGTGGCACACGTCTGTAGTCCCAGCTACTTGGGAGGCTGAGGCAGGGGAATCACTTGAGCCTGGGTGGCGGAGGTTGCAGTGGGCCAAGATCGCACCACTGCACTCCAGCCTGGTGATAGAGCAAGACTCTATCTCAAAAAAAAAAAAAAAAAAAAAAAAAAAATTAATGACCAAAATGGAATAGAAAAAGTAGGAAAGAAAACTTTACGAGGAAACTAAGATATTATAGAAGGAGGATACAAAATGTTATGAAGATTGCTTCTATACTTCTGATGAGGTATTAATTTTTTGTTTATATTTTTGTCCAAATGACTATATTTGAATAGATGATACTAAAATAAGTGTGACACTAAATAAAATTAGCTAATATAAAGCAATTTAATGTACTGTGCCTTTTAATTTCTTAATTTTCATATTATATATCAGCAAAGGGACTCTTAGGTCTATTGACTATCATCAGATGTTTGAATTGTATTCACTTGCTGGATTTTGGGGAACCACTAGGAAGAAAACTAAAAAAGGAGTAACATAGTAAGTGTAGGTTGGGATAATTTGTCCACTTTATTACACAAAATATGTGATTGGTTTTTTTAAAGGCAGTATTTGTTAAAGAAAAGTTTAGATTTTTTAGGCATTTCTTACTTTGACCCTGTAGTATTGAAGTATTATTGTGATTACAGCTCAAATTGGTGGAAACCCTGGTCTACAGGCCATATGGGAAGATGAAAAGCAACGGCGAAGAAACAGAAATGAAACTTCTCAAATGAGCCAACCTGAGTCACAAGGTATAAACCTAATAGTGCTCTGATTATTCTTTTAAATCAAGTATTTTAATGGAAAAGTTTGTCATTGAGTTGTTCCTTTGACATTAGATTTTACTTTTCAAATGACCTTTATATTTTGTATGTATTTTTCTTGTTGTCATTGCTGTACAGCCACTATTTATCTTTACAGCTGTCTCCAATTGTCGCTTATTATCTCTTTGTAAGAAGTTGACGTTTTTACTGTTCTTTGTTTTTAATGTACCTTGTCCTCTTGCCTCACTTTTTTGTTTTCATTCTCTAGTATGTTCTAGCCCTCTGTATTTCCAAATGAGCTATAGAAAACTCACAGAAGATCATGAATCTCAACTTAGAAACACTGTTTAATACATTAAGCTTTGAAAATGTAGCCATTGAAATGCTGCCCACAGTTTATTTTCTGAGTATGTCATATAAGCTCTCACTTTGTTCAATATGTACAGCTCTAAAGAAACATTTATTGCTAAATGGTGCCACATTCAAAAAGAATTCGAGGGGGTTTAGATAATACCATGGATACAACAGTTTTAAAAATAAAGGTAAAAGAGTGAACGACATCATTCAAAAGGCAGATATATTATTTCAAAATACAGCAGTAAGCCTATATTGAAGTTCAATTAAAATTATTATATCTTAGGCACTAAAAATGTTTTGATAAACTTTGAGTGCCTTTTATACTTTTAAAAATAGAAATATATTTTATGAGGGGAAATTTTTAGCTTTAGGATACAATATATTTATAGGTAGAGAACAATTTTTCTGTTTTAGATTTAGATTATAATTATAGAACTTAATCTTGAACTGACTTAAGTGCCTAATTTTATAACTTTAGTAACAACCGTTTCTCTTTTGTGTGATTCTATGGTAAAACTACAGTTAGGTTGTATTATGTATATCTAGAGAAAGATAGGAAATTGCCACCATTTTTAAAGCTACTTTAGGAGAAGGGAAAATATTTCATTCATTTGCTATTTACATTTTTTAATGCACTTTTAAAATTCAAAGATCACAGGTTTGTGCCAGCAACAGAAAGTGAAAAAAAATTTCAGAAGAGACTTCAGGAAATTCTCAAACAGAATGATTTCTCTGTGTAAGTGGTTATTTATTATAGATCTCAGAACTAATTTTATTCCTTTGTTATGTAGTCTGTTATAAAGGATATGTTTTAATTAAGCAGAACATTATCAGGATCTGTGGACTACAGCGATGGATCCCAGGAGTTCTCTGCTGAGTTAACATTGCACTCTGAGGTTCTGTCTCCTGAAATGCTTCAGTGTACACCAGCCAATATGGTAGAAGTTCACAAAGACAAAGAGTCAAGCAAAGGTAAGATTTTCTTTTCATGTATACAGAAACTACTAGAACAGATATCTAGCACTGAGATGTTAATATTTGATTGAGTTTGCTAGGGATTTTTTTCCCTATGAAATAAATATTGTGGATATAGCAAAAATTTCTCCCATTCTGTCACCCTTTCTACATCTCTAAAGGTAAGCAGTATCCTGAAGTTAGTGCAAACTGTTACCATATATAATTTTATATTTTCTTATAATGTTTGCCCACCATATATACCATTGTTTTAAGTTTTAAATTTTACGTAAATGATGTTCTGCTTGGCGTAGATGAAGCAACTTGCTTTTTTCACTCAGCATTATATTTTTAAGCAGCTTGAAGTTTAATTTATATAACATAAAATTCAGTCATTTTAAGCGTATAATTCAATGATTTACAAAGTTGTGCAAACGTCTCCACAATCCAGTTTTAGAATGTTTCCATCAGTCCACAGGATCCCTTGTGTCCATTTACAGTTATGCCTATTTCCACCTCAAACCCCAAGTAACCACTAATAATACATGGGCCTTGTCTAGATACTGTATATTATGTAAGTGAAACCATACAATATATAGTCTTTTGTGTCTGGCTTCTTTTACTTAGCATAATACTTTCAAGTTTTATACATGTTGTAGTATCTATCAGTATGTATGGAGATACCACATTTTGTTAATCCATTTATCAGTTGATCAGCATTTGAGTTGTTTTCACTTTTGCCTGGTAAGAATAGTGCTGCTGGCCAGGAGCAGTGGCTCCTGCCTGTAATCTCAGCAATTTGAGAGGCTGAAGCAGGCGGATCACCTGAGGTCAGGAGTTGGCAACCAGCCTGGCCAACATGGTGAAACTCTGTCTCTACTAAAAATACAAAAATTAGCCGGGCGTGGTGGCGCACACCTGTAATCCCAGCTACTCAGGAGGCTGAGGCAGGAGAATGGCTTGAACCCAGGAGGTGGAGGTTGCAGTAAGCCAAGATGATGCCACTGCATTCCAGCCTGGGCAACAGAGCAAAACTCCATCTCAAAAAAAAAAAAAAAAAAAAAATAGTGCTGTTATAAGCAGTAAAGCATAAATTTTAGGATAAATATCATAAAGTTGTAAAATGATATCAATAGTAACAAATGAAACAGTTTAAGAATAAACGTCACTAAAAAGATTACCTCTGCCAAGCAAAAGAATTACTAGGGCATGTGGTATATTTGTGTTTAATTTTTAAATAAACTCCCAAGCTGTTTTTAAAGTGACAGCAATGTTTTACTTTCCCACCAGCAATATATGAGAGTTTCTCTGGCTCTATATCCTCACTAACACTTGTTATTATCTGTCTTTTTTTAATGTAGCCATCCTAGTGTGTGAAATAGAATCCTACTGTGGTTTTAATTTTCGTTACCCTCATTACTACTGATGTCGAGCATCTTTATGTCAACATTATAACTTTGAAATTTATCCTTGTTCATTCATTTTAGCTGCTGATGACTGTTCCATTTTAAGACTAAACAACAATGTTAGCTATTTCTCTACAAGTATTAGATGGTCTTTACTTTTGCACTTAGTGCTACATCTGTCTCCTTATGGCTATGTGCAGGAGCTTCTCTACCAAACACATGTAGAAGAGTGAGTTGCTGAATGTTAGGGTGTATGCATTGTACTCTACCTAGATAGCATCTGTTCTAACAGTTTTTCTATAATGCAATTAGCTTATACATGGTTAGTAAACAAGACAATAATAAAAGTTTTACTCAGAAGTCACATTGTATCATACGCAATTTTACTAGGCAAGCAAAGCCTCAACATTTGATAGCATCAAATAATAAGGATAAAATAATAGATGTAAAAAATTTGCTGCTCTGATTCTTTGAAATAGTGTCTCTGCATTTTAATCTGCATTTCCTAATTACTAATGAATTTGAGCATCTTTAAAGGCCATTTGGGTTTCTCTGTTTGTGAATTACATTTTGTGCTTATT
Organism: Homo sapiens; assembly: GCF_000001405.40. Lineage (NCBI taxonomy): Eukaryota > Metazoa > Chordata > Mammalia > Primates > Hominidae > Homo > Homo sapiens. The sequence continues at coordinate 111,385,795 of NC_000006.12, read as the reverse complement.
TTCTATTGAGTCATTTGTCTTTTTCTTATTTGTAGGAGTTCTTCATATTTTCTAGATATTAAGTCTTTATCAGTTATACTTATTGTAGAGATGTTTTCTCTCCATCTAGGCTTATCTTATAAAAATCTTCAAAAAAAAATGTTAACTTCTTTTCCCCCCATTTAAAAAAAAAAGTTATCCTTGGGGTTTTACATGTCTTCAGTTTTAATGTCAAGTTTACCAATATTCCTTTATGGTTTAGTTTTGGTATGTGATTTATGAGACCTTCCCTACCCTGATGTAATGAAAATTTTCTCTTAAGTATTCATTTTAAGGCTTACGTGTGCTTACAGTTTGGTTTTTCACATTTAGGTCTTTAATGCATTTGAAATTTTACATTTTACTTTTAAATTTTTTTTAATTTTTGTGGGTACATAGTAGACATATATATTTATGGGGTACATGAGAGATTTTTATACAGGCATACAATGTAATAACCACATCAGGATAAATGGGGTATCCATAACCTCAAGCATATATTTCTTTGTGTTACAAACATTCCAATTATACTTTTAGTTATTTTTTAATATACAATAGATTATTGTTGACTGTAGTCACTGTGTTGTGCTATCAAATACTAGATCTTATTCCTTCTATTTTTTTGTACTCATTAACCATCCCCACTTCCCCACCCCACCCTACTACCCTTCCTAGCTTCTGGCAGCCATCATTCTACTCTCTTATCTCCATGAGTTCCATTGTTTAAATTATTAATTAGCCCCCACAAGTGAGTGAGAACATGCAAAGTTTGTCTTTCTGTGCCTGGCGTATTTCACATAACATGATGTCCTCCACTTCTATCCATGTTGTTGGAAATGGCATGATCTCATTCTCTTTATGGCTGAGTAGTACTCCATTATGTAAATGTACCACATTTTCTTTATCCATTCATCTGTTGATGGACACTTAGATTGCTTCCAAATCTTGGCTGTTGTGAATAGGACTGTGATAAACATGGGAGTGCAGATATCTCTTCAACTCGACATACCAATTTCATTTCCTTTGGATAAATACCGAGTAGAGAGATTGCTGGATTATATGGTAGTTCTATCTTTAGTTTATTAAGGAACCTTCATACTGTTCTCCATAGTGGCTGTACTAATTTACATTTCTACCAACAGTGTACGAGAGTTCCCTTTCCTCCACATCATTGCCAGCATTCATTATTGCCTGTCTTTTGGATAAAAGCCATTTTTACTAGGGTGAGATGATTTCTCATTGTAATTTTGATTTTCATTTATCTGATGATCAGTGATGTTGAGCATCTTTTCACCTGTCTGCCATTTGTATATCTTCTTTTGAGAAATGTCTGTTCAGATCTTTTGCCGATTTTTTAATTGGATTATTAGATTTTTTACTATTGAGTTATATATATTTTGGTTATTAATCCCTTGTCAGATGGATAGTTTGCAGATATTTCCTCCCATTCTGTGGGTTGTCTCTTCACTTTGTTGATTGTTTCCTTTGCTGTGCAGAAGCTTTGTATAATAACTTGATATGATCCCATTTGTCTGCTTTTGCTTTGATTGCCTGTGCTTTGGGGATATTTCCCAAAAAATCTTTGCTCAGACCAATATTCTAGAGAGTTTCCCCAATGTTTTCTTTTAGTATTTTCATAGTTTGAGTCTTAGATTTAAGTCTTTAATTCATTTTGATTTAATTTCTGAATATGGTGGAGAGATCAGGGTCTAGTTTCATTCTTCTGCATGTAGATATCCAATGTCTCAGCACCATTTATCGAAGAAATTGTTCTTTCCCCCAAGGTATGTTCTTGGCACCTTCATCAAAAACGAGTTCACTGCAGTCATGAATTTATTTCAGGGTTCTCTATTCCATTGGTCTGTGTGCCTGTTTTTATGCCAGTATCATGCCGTTTTGATTACTATAGCTCTGTAGTATAATTTGAAGTCAGGTAATGTGACCTCCAGTTTTGTTCTTTTTGCTCAGAGTAGCTTTGGTTATTCGGGATCTTTTGTGGTTCCTTATAAATTTTAGGATTTTTTTTTTCTGTTTCTGTGAAGAATATCATTGGTATTTTGATAGGGATTGCATTGAATCTGTAGATTGCTCTGGGTAGGCATGGACATTTTATCAGTATTGATTCTTCCAATCCATGAACGTGGAATATCTTTTCCATTTTTTGGTGTACTCTTCAATTTCTTGCATCAGTGTTTTATAGTTTTCATTGTAGGGATGTTTCACTTACTTGGTTAAGTTTATTCCTAAGTATCTTATTTGTAGCTATTGTAAATGGGATTACTTTCTTGGTTTCTTATTCAGATTGTTCACTGTTGGCATATAGAAATGCTACTGATTTTCATATGTTGATTTTGTATCCTGCAACTTCGCTGAATTTGTTTTTTGGTGGAGTCTATAGGTTTTTCCTAATATAAGATCATACCATCGGCAGATAAGGATAATTCGACTTCTTCCTTTCCAATTTGGATGCACTTTATTTATTCCTTTCTTTTGTCTGATTACTCTAACTAGGACTTCTAGTACTGTGTTGAATAACAGTGGTGAAACTAGGCATCCTTGTCTTGTTCCAGATCTTAGAGAACGGGCTTTCAATTTTTCCCAGTGCTGTGAATGCACTGGGTCACACCTGAAGTCAGCATGTCCCTGGGTCTCACCCGAGGCCTGCAGCAAGTACTGCCTGAGTGTCACTTGTGTTTACTCAAGGCCAAAGGGCTCTTTAGTGAGCAAGTGATGAACCCTGCCAGGTCTGAGTCCTTCTCTTCAAGGCAGCAGGTTCCCTTCTGGCCCAGGGTGTGTTTAGAGATGTCATCCAGGAGTTAGGGCCTGGAATATGTGTGTCACGACTCTACCTCCTCTACTGTGGCTGAGCTGGTATCCAAGTTGCAAGATAAAGTTCTCTTCACTCCTTCCTCTCCTGTCCTCTTGTGGAATGAAAGAGTCTTCTGGAGCTGCGAGTTGTGCTGCCTGGGACTGTGAAGGTTGGGGGAGGGGGGGTGACACAAATAATTCTTTAGCTGCCCCAGCTACTCTCTCACCAGGCGCGTGTACCCCAAGTCTACTGGCTCTGAGCCCAGCACAGCACTGGGACTTGCCCAAGAATTGCAGTCCTTGTGGATAAGACTGGCTTTCAAGTTTATTTAGGATCCCAAAGCACTTTAGCCCATAGTAGTAAGGCTGGCTGCAACTCAGGTTCTGGACTGCTGGGATGGGCAGTTTCCCTCTGGCTGGGGCTGGTCAAATCCTCTCCTCATGGGTGCTGGCTAAATTCTATACCGTGTCGCTCTCCACTGTGACAGGGACGTTGCTTTCCACTGTGACAGGGTAGCACTGAGTTCCAATGCAAAGCAAAGTCCCATATTCACTCTGTTCTGTCTCTCCTAAGCACAGATTTCTCTCTCCGTGCCTCAAGACCACTGCCTGAGAGATGGGAGGTGCTGTCAGCAATTCACGACTGTCTTTTCTACCCTCTTCGCTGCCTCTTTCCTTGATACGTTGTTAAAACCAAGTACTGTGATTGCTCTCCTGATTTTTTATTCTAATGAAGGCGCTTTCTTGTGTGGGTAGTTCAGTTTGGTGTTCCTTCAGGGGACGGCAATTGTTGGAGGATTCCATATGGCCACATGGACTAATATTTTTTGATATCATGAAAATGTAATGAATGTGATATATAATGAAAGCTTTCTGAAAAATATTAATGTAAAATGAATTTTTTAATTGCTTAACCATTTCTTTGTATTTTTATAGCACTTAAAAACTATTTCTGCCCAGTTATGGCAATGAAATGGGAAACCACAACTACAGTTCACAAACAGGCATGAAAAACCAACACACGCCCCATTAGGGATTACACTAAGCTCTTTATTTTTTATGCATTCAAAAGAGAGTCCAATACACATGTGTCAAATAATGAGCACTGTCAATTTTTTTTTTCTAGGAGAGTTCAAAAACATTTATTCTAAATTTGTTGTTTTTGAACCATAGAGAATAAAGAATTTTAGTATTCAAATAAGATAGTTTATCTTTCCTTTTCACTTTATATATTTGAATATGCAGTGATTTTTATCAGAGTAATATAACTACACACATTAAGTAGGATTAAAGAGGTTATAAATATTTGGTGATTTATAGATTCAGTGTTTGTTTTGATAAATCCATGTGACTGGTTAAATATTTCTGTGGCTTTTTATTATGTTTTTATTTGGCATGCATCATTAACATTTTGAAATTTAAAATAGGTTTATATGGTAATGCTTCCAAATTTACACAAATTCTAAATGATAAATTTTGGATTTAGGCCATTGCTTCAATTTTTTTTATTCTTTGTCAAATTAAGGTCACACTAGACACAAAGTGGAAGAAGCTCTTATTAATGAAGAAGCAATTTTGAACCTTATGGAAAATAGTCAGACTTTTCAGCCTTTGACCCAAAGACTGAGTGAGTCACCTGTTTTCAGTAAGTAACAGTGCTACCATAAATATTCAGTATTGTAATTCAGAGAAAATGTGTGTTGTGAAGAGGCATTTTTTTTTTTATTGACTTGAAGAGGTAAATGTTGCATGTTCAGTAAACACTCTACTGAATATGAAAATGAAACCTTGCATTAAATCAAGTAGCTTTGCTTTTTTTCTATACAGCTTAAAAAAATTTGTGAAAGAAAATAGTTTTTTTAACTGTACTTTGATTCACGGAAAACCGTATTACTTAAGAAGGAAAATGCATTTATTTTGAATTAATATTTTGCAAAGTTCAGTACATTACTAAAACACCATAAGTGGTTCTTTCTTGGTGAGTATCACAAATTTCACCGGAGGAAACACGGGTGGCTAGGGCCATGGTCCCAGCCTCCTCATCTCACTGGCCAGGGCTGCACTCAACCAGTCCTTCAGTGGCCTCCCCTTGAGTGGCATCTCAGGCTTCCTGCAGCCACTGCCAGCCTTCCCTGGCAAGGCCTCCCAACTAGGGGCTGACAGTGCTGAGCTGTACCCACGGCCAAGACCCTGTGCAGTCCCAGGCAGCCCTGGCTGGAGCACACAACAATGTTATTTTAATAATGTCCCTAAATTACTCTAATGCAGGTGGTCCAAGGATCAACTTTGATAGGAGAGCTACCTCAACACCTGAGCCTTTGTACCAACTGTATTCTTTCAGCCTGTGCCAGTATCTATGATGTTGTTATTTTATTCTGAGTGATCTGAATTGTTGGATTATTAAGAAAACAGGCCGGGCGTGGTGGCTCACGCCTGTAATCCCAGCACTTTGGGAGGCCGAGGCAGGCAGATCACGAGGTCAGGAGATCGAGACCATCCTGGCTAACACGGTGAAACCCCATCTCTGCTAAAAATACAAAAAATTAACCAGGTGTGGTGACGGGCACCTGTAGTCCCAGCTACTCGGGAGGCTGAGGCAGGAGAATGGCATGAACCCAGGAGGCAGAGCTTGCAGTGAGCCTAGATCACGCCACTGCACTCCAACTCCAGCCTGGGTGAGAGAGCAAGACTCCGTGTCAAAAAAAAAAAAGAAAACTTATTTGTTGGTGATTATTGTACTTGTTTTATAGTGGACAGTAGTCCTGATGAGGCTCTGGTACATCTTCTTGCTGGTTTGGAAAGTGATGGATATCGGGGGGAAAGAAATAGGATGCCATCACCATGTCGCTCCTTTGGAAATAATAAATATCCACAAAATAGTGATGATGAAGAAAATGAACCACAGATTGAAAAAGAGGAAATGGAGCTTAGTTTGGTGATGTCCCAGAGATGGGACAGCAATATTGAAGAACATTGTGCCAAAAAGAGGTAATTTTTTAGTTATTGCAGTTGTTTTATTAACTTTTATCATTATTGTCCTTCAATCAGAAATTATTTATTACTATTGTTCATGATATAAAATACCTTATGAACTAAATTGATGTTTTAAAATTCCCCTTTAGTGATCTGTTTTTCATATGGCGTATACTCCATATTCCAAGCAAAATAAAGTTTTGCTACATTTTAAAAGATTAACCTAACTTTTAGAAGTTATCCATTTATATACACAGTATTAACATATGTGAGTGATAAATGGAGCAAAATTGAAGTGCCTTCTTATCTTAGAACTTAAGAAAAAGAATGCCCTGTGATAGTTGAACTGTTGGGTATCAGAACAACAATGTATAGAGTCAGCCTGAAGACAGGGTATGGTTTTGGGCTCTGATTAGACTAAGGGAACTAAGGTTAAAAACAAATAAATAAAAGACTAAGAAGCAAACACTGGTGTTGTGGTTTGTTTCTCAAAATAAATGAATAAGTTGGTGTTGTGGTTTTCTAAATCAGTCTCTGTGAACTTGATTGGTTTGAGTCTGCCCTTTAGTTATATGCTCTGTGTATAGAAAAATCTAGGCCTATGAGCCTGAAAGACTGAGTATGCCTCTCCTTTAAACTTCTATAGGCTAGATTAGAACTTTTTTAGTCTGTATTTGAAATTTCCAACCCAAAGCCATCACTGAAAGGTGAAACAGGTTAATCCATAAATTCAGTGTTTACATGTATATGATGAAAGTTTTTATTTTTCTACTTAATAAATCAGATATAGAAATCTCCAGATGTGATGTTAAATTCTTTCCTCTAACATTGTCACTGCTGTAATAATAGGCATAGTCAATCCTATGATTAAATTTATGTTTGTATGTTCAGTGGCTGAACCAATTTGGTGAAAACCATGCCCAATTTAACCTTGGGAAAACAAACCTAAACATTTTGTACACATATATTAGAGAGAGATTGAATAGTAGAAGCATGGTGTCTAGAAAAGGGTTTAGTTAATTCTGCTCTTTATATTGGATATTATATTCTGTGCTGAGTACCATATTTTAAGAATACTGAAAAAGGAAAGGGAAAGAAGAGGAAGAAAACTAGAAGGATCTGTGAGCATTGTCACTTTTGAAGAACTTTTGAATGGAGAATGTTTGATCTAATTAGAATTACAAGATGAATGAGAAATGCCTTTATGTATTTTAAAGATTATCATGTGGAAAATGACATCAACCTGCTCTGTATAGCTACAGAGAACAAAATAGGAATCATGTATGGAAGTTGAAAGAGTTTGTGTATTACAAGAAGACAACTATGAATAATTAAAGCCATTAACAGTGGAAAGATTGCCCTGTGAGACAGCAAGCCCCTTATACAGATTATGTAAAAACAGAGATTGTGTCAGGTTCGTTAAAAATGAGGTTTTCGCATTGGGTAGAAAGTTGGACTGGACCTCTGATACCTCTTTCAGCTCTTAAGGGAGTGATTTTTATGATAAATTGTGATTTGGAAAGGCTTAATGGAAAAACAGTTCCAGTATAATAAGTATAATAAAATAATAATAATTTCAAATTGTTGAGATTAGTGAAAGAAAAAATTGGGTATGGATAGGAAAAAAGTTTGCCCATTCAATTAAAAGGGAAAACATCAAGTTAATACCAATATGAGATGAAACTTAAAGACTGGACTTCACTGTCCATCTGAATTTCTCAGTAACCCTTTGTAGTTATTGTCAGGTTGACTGAACACCTTTACTACTTCCTATTACCCTCTCTCTTCTTCAGCATTTTCTCTTCAGCCCTGACCTCAATGCCCCTTCACTCATCTTTTTATTCTTGTTTCTTCCAATTCAGAATGCAGGAATTGTGGTGTATTTTAGCTCACATGAAAGGGATTATGAAGTCTAATTATAATAACTCTTTGTAAGTTACTATAGTAAGACATGTTAATAAAGCAAAGTAAATATGCTTTTCTAGAAGTTACAATTTTCAGATTTTTTGTATTGTTTTACTATAGAGTAACTTAGATACATTATTATAGTTAACTTAGATACATTATTATAGAGTTAACTTAGATGCATTATTTGCATCTGAGATGGTCTTTACTAATGATCATGCTCACCAGTGAATTTTAATGTTCTCCAGATCACTGTGCAGAAATACCCACAGAAGTTCAACTGAAGATGATGACTCATCTTCAGGAGAAGAAATGGAATGGAGTGATAACAGTTTGCTTCTAGCCAGTCTTTCTATACCTCAGTTAGATGGAACTGCAGATGAAAATAGTGGTAAGTAAACAAGTCTACTGTGAGAAATTGGTTATTCACGATCTAAAAATGTATTTGATTTTGAGGCTAGGCGCTCTGGCTCACACCTGTAATCCCAGCATTCTGGGAGTCCAAGGTGAGAGGATCACTTGAATTCAGGAGTTCGAGACCAGCCTAGGCAACGTAGTGGGACCCCCGTCTCTAAAAAACTAAAAAAATTAGCCCAGCATAGTGATACATGCCTGTAGTCCCAGCTACTCAGGAGGCTGAGGTGGGAGGCTTACTTGAGCCCAAGGGTTTGAGGCTGCAGTGAGCTGTGATTGCTCCATGGCATTCCAGCCTAGGCAACAGAACAAGATTCTGCCTCCAAAAAAAATAATAAATAAATAAATATGATTTTGAAACTTTAATCATACTTTCTATTGATTTTGAAACTGTAATCATACTTTCTATATAGTTGGCTAAGGGAGGCTATAGTGATGTTTCGTCCTTCAGGATTTTTTTCTTTTGAAAGAATTAGATACATGATTTGCTTCTCATTTCTAAAAGGATATAACATTTGTTGACCACTGAATTCAAGCTTTGAAAACTTTAATGTTTGTTGTGCAAGTAGAATAATAAACTGAAAAATATGCTCAGTTTATTTGAAGTGATAATGTAAAGCATATTATTTTATGAACATTTTTAAAGTGACAGTATTTTTCCCTTATGCCCCAAAGGAACTAAATAGTAATATAATCTATTTCTGATCAATGGAATATTTGTTTAAAATGATGACTAATAATTGTAACTAACTATATTTAGATTGAGTCATTAATGATAAGCATTACCTTTTTGTTAAGATAACCAAACTTAATTTGATGTAATTTTTTCATAGTGATAGCATTAATATCTTGGTGTGGGAAAATGTCTTAAAAATTAAAAGAGTAAAATGAAATAAACTGTTTTTCCCTCCTCATTTCAGACAATCCATTGAACAATGAAAATTCTAGAACCCACTCTTCTGTAATTGCAACAAGCAAGCTTTCAGTTAAACCCTCCATCTTTCACAAAGATGCTGCTACATTAGAACCCTCATCTTCTGCTAAGATTACCTTTCAGTGTAAACACACAAGTGCCCTTTCTTCCCATGTTTTGAACAAGGAAGATTTAATTGAAGACCTTTCACAGACAAACAAAAATACAGAAAAAGGTCTAGATAACTCAGTCACTTCTTTTACAAACGAAAGCACTTATTCTATGAAATACCCTGGATCTTTAAGCAGTACTGTTCATTCAGAAAATTCTCATAAAGAGAATAGTAAGAAAGAGATCCTCCCAGTATCTTCCTGTGAAAGTAGTATTTTTGATTATGAAGAAGATATTCCATCTGTTACAAGACAAGTACCAAGTAGAAAATATACAAACATTAGAAAAATCGAAAAGGATTCCCCTTTTATACATATGCACCGTCACCCTAACGAGAATACATTGGGCAAAAATTCTTTCAACTTTTCTGACTTAAATCATTCAAAAAATAAAGTATCCTCTGAAGGAAATGAAAAAGGAAACAGCACAGCTCTGAGTAGTTTATTCCCTTCATCATTTACTGAAAATTGTGAATTACTGTCATGCTCAGGGGAGAATAGAACTATGGTGCATTCTCTTAATAGCACTGCTGATGAAAGTGGACTAAATAAACTTAAAATTAGGTATGAAGAATTTCAAGAACATAAAACAGAAAAGCCAAGCCTCAGCCAGCAAGCAGCACACTATATGTTTTTTCCCAGTGTTGTTCTTTCTAACTGTCTTACTAGACCACAGAAACTATCTCCTGTCACATATAAATTACAACCTGGCAATAAACCATCCCGGTTAAAATTGAATAAAAGGAAACTTGCAGGTCATCAGGAGACTTCTACCAAAAGTAGTGAGACTGGATCCACAAAAGATAATTTTATACAAAATAATCCTTGTAATAGTAATCCTGAGAAGGATAATGCATTGGCTAGTGATTTAACTAAAACCACTCGTGGAGCTTTTGAAAATAAAACACCCACAGATGGTTTTATAGACTGTCACTTTGGAGATGGAACGTTAGAAACTGAGCAGTCCTTTGGACTATATGGAAATAAATACACACTTAGAGCCAAACGCAAGGTAAATTATGAGACTGAAGACAGTGAGTCAAGTTTTGTAACTCACAACTCAAAAATTAGTCTACCTCATCCCATGGAAATTGGTGAAAGTTTAGATGGAACTCTCAAATCCCGAAAACGAAGAAAAATGTCTAAAAAGCTGCCCCCTGTCATCATAAAGTATATTATTATTAATAGATTTAGAGGGAGAAAAAATATGCTTGTGAAGCTAGGAAAAATAGACTCTAAAGAAAAACAAGTAATATTAACAGAAGAAAAAATGGAACTATATAAAAAGCTTGCACCTTTGAAGGACTTTTGGCCAAAAGTTCCCGACTCCCCTGCAACCAAATATCCCATTTATCCACTAACACCAAAGAAAAGTCACAGAAGAAAGTCAAAACATAAATCTGCTAAGAAAAAAACTGGTAAACAACAAAGGACAAATAATGAAAATATTAAAAGAACTTTGTCTTTCAGGAAAAAACGGTCACATGCTATTCTTTCTCCTCCCTCACCATCTTACAATGCTGAAACCGAAGATTGTGACCTGAATTATAGTGATGTTATGTCTAAACTAGGTTTTCTTTCTGAGAGAAGCACAAGTCCCATAAATTCTTCTCCACCTCGCTGCTGGTCTCCCACAGATCCAAGAGCTGAAGAAATCATGGCTGCTGCAGAAAAAGAGGCAATGCTTTTTAAGGGTCCTAATGTATATAAGAAGACTGTTAATTCTCGTATAGGAAAAACTAGTCGCGCAAGAGCACAGATTAAGAAATCAAAAGCAAAGCTTGCTAATCCCTCTATAGTTACTAAGAAAAGGAACAAACGAAATCAGACAAATAAACTAGTAGATGATGGAAAAAAGAAACCAAGAGCAAAACAAAAAACAAATGAGAAAGGTACATCGAGAAAGCATACAACACTTAAGGATGAAAAAATAAAATCTCAGTCTGGTGCTGAGGTTAAGTTTGTACTGAAACACCAGAATGTGTCTGAATTTGCAAGTAGTTCTGGAGGCTCTCAACTACTTTTTAAACAGAAAGATATGCCACTAATGGGCTCTGCTGTAGATCATCCCCTTTCTGCTTCCCTACCCACTGGAATTAATGCACAACAGAAGTTATCTGGCTGCTTTTCTTCTTTCTTAGAAAGCAAGAAGTCTGTAGATTTGCAGACATTCCCCAGTTCACGAGATGATTTGCATCCATCAGTTGTTTGTAATTCTATAGGACCTGGAGTCTCAAAAATTAATGTTCAAAGGCCTCATAATCAAAGTGCTATGTTTACTCTAAAGGAATCAACGTTAATTCAAAAAAATATATTTGACCTTTCCAATCATTTATCTCAGGTAGCACAGAATACACAGATATCTTCTGGTATGTCCTCAAAGATAGAAGATAATGCAAATAATATACAAAGAAACTATTTGTCATCAATCGGAAAGTTAAGTGAATATCGCAATTCCCTAGAATCAAAGCTGGACCAAGCATATACCCCTAATTTTTTGCATTGCAAAGACAGTCAGCAGCAGATTGTGTGCATAGCGGAACAGTCAAAGCACAGTGAAACTTGTTCTCCGGGAAATACAGCTTCAGAGGAAAGCCAAATGCCTAATAATTGCTTTGTAACTTCCTTGAGAAGTCCAATCAAACAAATAGCATGGGAGCAAAAGCAAAGGGGCTTTATTTTAGATATGTCAAATTTTAAACCTGAAAGAGTAAAACCGAGGTCGTTATCAGAAGCAATTTCACAAACCAAAGCACTTTCTCAGTGTAAAAATCGAAATGTGTCAACACCTTCAGCATTTGGTGAAGGACAGTCTGGACTGGCAGTTCTAAAAGAATTGTTACAAAAAAGACAGCAGAAAGCACAAAATGCAAATACTACACAAGACCCATTATCCAATAAACATCAACCAAATAAAAATATTTCTGGTTCCCTTGAGCATAACAAAGCAAATAAACGGACACGATCGGTAACGTCCCCAAGAAAACCTCGAACTCCCAGAAGTACAAAACAAAAAGAAAAAATCCCCAAACTTCTCAAAGTAGACTCTTTAAATTTACAAAACTCTAGCCAGTTGGATAACTCTGTATCAGATGATAGTCCCATCTTTTTTTCAGATCCAGGCTTTGAAAGTTGTTACTCACTTGAAGATAGTTTATCTCCTGAACATAATTATAATTTTGATATTAACACAATAGGTCAGACTGGATTTTGTAGCTTTTATTCTGGAAGTCAGTTTGTCCCAGCTGATCAGAATTTGCCTCAGAAGTTCCTAAGTGATGCTGTTCAGGATCTTTTTCCAGGACAAGCTATAGAAAAAAATGAGTTTTTAAGTCATGACAACCAGAAATGTGATGAAGACAAGCATCATACCACAGACTCAGCCTCATGGATTAGATCTGGTACTTTAAGTCCTGAAATTTTTGAGAAGTCAACCATAGATAGCAATGAGAATCGTCGCCACAACCAGTGGAAAAATAGCTTTCATCCTCTAACAACTCGGTCTAACTCAATAATGGATTCTTTCTGTGTTCAGCAGGCAGAAGACTGTCTAAGTGAAAAATCTAGATTGAATAGGAGTTCAGTAAGCAAAGAAGTGTTTCTTAGCCTCCCACAGCCAAACAATTCAGACTGGATTCAAGGTCACACCAGAAAAGAAATGGGACAGTCTCTTGACTCAGCCAATACCTCTTTTACTGCAATACTCTCCTCCCCTGATGGTGAACTTGTAGACGTGGCCTGTGAAGATTTAGAACTGTATGTTTCAAGAAACAATGATATGTTGACACCAACTCCTGATAGTTCACCAAGATCTACTAGCTCTCCTTCACAATCTAAAAATGGCAGCTTCACCCCTCGAACTGCTAACATTCTGAAACCACTTATGTCCCCCCCAAGTAGGGAAGAAATTATGGCAACTTTGTTGGATCATGACCTGTCTGAGACTATTTACCAGGAACCATTTTGCAGTAATCCTTCTGATGTACCAGAAAAGCCCAGGTAATCAGTTATTTTTTCCCTTGGGTCACTCTGAATTATTATGATATATAAAATTATGCTATGGGGATTGAAAAAAAAAGAATGTATGCAACATTTGGTTACCTGACTGCTAGTTTTCTGTGATACCGTATTTGTAAGTATATCATTGTGGAAAGTATTTCTAATTACAGACTTACTAAGAAAATTCAAAAACTAACTGGATGGTTACACCTAGAGAAATTTATTTAAGTTGACTTGGATCTACCATTATTTAACACTATGTCTTCATTAAAGATTAGAGGTGCTCACTGTAAAGATGTCATGATACTTTAAAAGGATTACAATGATCATTGTTTAAATGGTATTTAATTTTTAAATGTTAAACTTTTATACCATTTTAAAAGAACTTCATTTTCAAGTGTTTTGAAAATGAGCATGTATGTGTTTTAAGTATTCCTCTGATATATCTCTAAGTGAAGATTATTGTAAGTTGTTTCTATTATAAACCACTTTTCATGTGGTTTCAATATCTTGTATTATATTGTTATTGTTATTATAGTTTATGCAGTTATTAGCAAATGGACTTTGGTTTCCATTCTCCTTTCTTTTAAGAATTTTTTCAGGTGGCTGGGTATGGTGGTGTGCACCTGTAATCCCAGCACTTTGGGAGGCCGAGGTGGGAGGATCGCTTGAGCCCAGGAGTTTGCGACCAGCCCAGGCAAAATAGTGAGACTCTCTCTCTACAAAAAATTAGGCCGGGCACAGTGGCTCACGCCTGTAATCCCAGCACTTTGGGAGGCCGAGGGGGGCAGATCACCTGAGGTCAGGAGTTCAAGACCAGCCTGGCCAACATGGTGAAACCCTGTCTCTACTAAAAATACAAAAATTAGCTGGACATGGTGGCAGGTGCCTGTAATCCCAGCTGCCTAGGAGGCTGAGACAGGAGAATCACTTGAACCCAGGAGGTGGAGGTTGTAGTGAGCTGAGATCACGCCACTGCACTTTGTTGCCTGGGCAATAAAGAGTGAAACTCCATCTCAGAAAAAAAAAAAAAAAAAGATAGCTGGGCATGGTGGCATGCACCTGTGGTCCCAGCTACTCAGGAGGCTAAGGAAGGAGAATCACTTGAGCCCAGGATGTCAAGGCTGCAGTGAGCTGTGTTCACGCCGCTGCATTCCAGCTTGGGCAATAGAATGAGACTTTATCTCAAAAAAAAAATCTCTTCAGGGAATTGATAGACAAACATGTGAGCGCACGCACACACACAGCAAATAGCAAAATAGAAATCAGAGTACTGGTTTATTTATCAGTAGTTAAGTAGTTATGGTGTATACCACTTTCATCACCAAGTTAGGACATAACTGATGAAAGCTAAATTGGGTAATGTGGCTTAATCCAGAAAGTTTAAATGATGGCTCTTGTTCCTGCCCTTGTGTCCATGATCTCATATACTTAACCAGTTGCAGAGCAGGCAGTTCATTTCAGCCATCCATTCAGAAGCAGAAGAGGATGGCTGGAACTGCTAAGGCAGGCCCTGCCTTAGTCTAAATCTTGGAAAGAGATAGGAAAAGCAGCAGAGGACACACTGCATGTATGCACTGACCTGTGGCAGTACCATGTTCCTGACTCCAGTGGGAAAAAAAAAAAAGAAAGATACAATATGAATATTACACATTTGTTCAAAGCCATAGAAAGTACCACACCAAGAACAAACCCAAATGTAATCTGTGGACTTTGGACAATTATGATGTGTCAACATAGGTTCATCGATTGTAACACATGTACCACTCTGGTAGGGGATGGTGATAATGAGGGAGGCCATGTATGTGTGGGGGCACAAGGGATATATGGGAAACTTCTGTACCTTCCTTTCAATTTTGCTGTCAACCTAAAGCTGTTAAAATATCTTTTTAAAAAAGTTTAAATTAAAAAAACACGACAGTGAATGCCAGGCTTTTACCCAGCAGATTCACAATAATTCCTATAGGAATCCATTTAAGAAAGGGTTGAGAATGTGAAATGATGGATATGTTAATTTGTTTCACTGTAAGAACCATTTTACTATATACTAATATCATATTTTATACCTTAAATATACACAATAAAATTTATTTTTTTAATAAAGGGGTGAGAAAAGGTTATCAGAAATGCAGAATAAAAGTTCTCTCCTGTAATGACTTGAAGTGAAAGGTAGAAATGTCCACCTCCCAGCCCCTTTTCAACACACAGTTTTGTTTAGTACCCACATGGAACTCTTTATTTCACTGCTGGAGCATATGAAATCTGTTCTTTAGACGTTAGTTTCCATCATTTTGGGGACTTTGGTGTTATTAGTAGTGATTATGGTATATTTACTTTTAGTTACCAAACTTTATGTGCTAGTCATTACCTTTGTGTTGTTGTTATTGTCCAACTTTGACACTTGTCCTGCAGCTAAAATAAAAAATAATCATTTTTGAAAAATATTTTTGAAATATGAAACTGTAGGCCGGGCACGGTGGCTCACGCCTGTAATCCCAGCACTTTGGGAGGCCAAGGTGGGCAGATCACAAGGTCAGGAGATCGAGACCATCCTGGCCAACATGGTGAAACCCCATCTCTACTAAAAATACAAAAATTAGCTGGGCATGGTGGCATGAGTCTGTAATCCTACTCGGGAGGCTGAGGCAGGAGAATCACTTGAACCAGGGAGTCAGAGGTTGCAGTGAGCTGAGATCGCACCACTGCACTCCAGCCTGGTGACACAGCAAGACTGTCTCAAAAAAAAAAAATGAAACTGTATATTCAATATAGAAAATTTAGGAAGTATGAAAGAAGAAAAAATAAAAATTACATCATTTTTCCATGTAGTAACAGCCACCATAATATTTTGATGTGTATTCTGTTTTCTTTTTTAAAAAGTATAGTTTTTAGTTTGTTTTGTTTTGTGAAGTGTGATCTTACTATAGTCACAGTATTATATCCAAATTTTTCACTTAACATTATATTGTAAACATTTTCCAAATGAGTTTCTTGAATATTTTAATCGCTGCATATGTTGCATCATGTATATATTATTGGACAGAAAGGTTGTTTGCAATTTTGCCACTATAGATATTATGTATATTATTATGTATGTTAAGAAGATATTAGCATTTTCTTCTTAAAGCATTTCTTGTATTTTGGAGTTTTTCCTTATAGCCCTAGAAGTAGGATTACTGAAAAATTTAAGGCTCTTGATACATATTAGGAGATTTTTTTTCCCAGTGGGTTATAGCAATTACCATGCTGCTGACAATATGTAAGAAAACTGAATTCACCACACCTCACCATTTTTTTTTTTTTTTTTTTTTTTTGAGACAGAGTCTGGCTCTGTCACCCAGGTTGGAGTGCAGTGGCGTGATTTCGGCTCACTGCAAGGTCCGCCTCCCTGGTTCACGCCATTCTCCTGCCTCAGCCTCCCGACACCTCACCATTTTTTATTCTTGACCTCATTATGACTTCTCTATCCTTAGTATTAGAGTTGGGTATGGTCACTTGGTATGTGTATTCATTTCCTTCAACAGCATTAATTCTGTTTCTGTTTTTTCACATTGCCAAGAGTGGATGCAGGGACAGTGCTGGATGCTGGTTATGGAGTTAACTAGTAGGGGCTTAAGTCTTTTCATATAAAGGAGACAGAGTAGCCCTAATGCTCTTCTTTCAGCTTCAAATCTGAAAACATGATCCAGTTAGTGGATTTTACATAGAGAGTGATGGGGACATTTGGGGAATCATGCCCTAAGAGAAGTGATTGAAAAAACTATGAATTAACTTTATATCCATAATAAAGTTAACATGAAGAAGTAGAATTATTTTATGTTGCTGTAGTAAGCAGAAATAGTATCAAGGGATTGGAGAAAGACAGAGGTTTCACTTAATATTTATAACTATTGGAAATGAAACCAGACTGTTTTCATTAGTGATTTCCCACATATTCATGCATTGGTAACATTTAAGCCATGCATCCTGTGGGCTCTGCCAGCTCCTAAGTTATGTCAGTGTTAATCCCTGCCATGGAATGGGAAGAAAGAATTAGAGTAATTTACCTCAGTTGGTATTTTTTTTAATGTTTAAGGGAATTTGAGAGTACGAAGATTCATTTGAATTGACTGGCTTTGTTAAACTACAGATACTGGAGAATATAGGAAGAAGCTATGAATAATATCCAGGGACATAGTATTTGAATGATAAATTCATTGTTTTTATTCATATGTGGTAATAATGGAAAATTTATTTTAAGATTAGGAGAGGAAAGGAATCTGAAAAGTTTGTGTCATCTCCTTGAAGGACAGAAGGCTTCATGGGGCATTAAAATAAAACAAAAAATACCTTCTCTCCCTAAGATTAATGGTACCTTCCAAAGGAAATTAAGTAGTAGTCATATACCTGTGAGGAAAAGCATATTGAGACTAAAGATAGAATGTACCTGCACAATATAGAGGGGGCAGGGAAGATAGACATGGACATTTTTGAGACTCCAAAAGGGACTTTATCTAGGATATGGAGTTAAATATTTTGGTAATTGCTCTTTGAAACAAAACAGTTGTTCTAAAATATGTTATTATAGGGAGATTGGTGGACGGCTCCTCATGGTAGAAACTCGACTTGCAAATGATCTGGCTGAGTTTGAGGGAGACTTTTCCTTGGAAGGACTTCGTCTTTGGAAAACAGCATTCTCAGCAATGACTCAGAATCCAAGGCCAGGGTCACCCCTTCGCAGTGGCCAAGGAGTTGTCAATAAAGGGTCAAGTAATAGCCCTAAGATGGTTGAAGATAAAAAAATTGTGATTATGCCTTGCAAATGTGCCCCAAGTCGACAACTGGTTCAAGTGTGGCTTCAAGCCAAAGAAGAATACGAACGTTCCAAGAAACTGCCTAAAACCAAGCCAACTGGAGTTGTAAAATCTGCTGAGAACTTTAGCTCTTCAGTTAACCCAGATGACAAACCTGTAGTGCCTCCAAAAATGGATGTAAGTCCATGTATACTCCCCACTACAGCACATACCAAGGAGGATGTTGATAATTCTCAGATTGCTTTACAAGCACCAACCACGGGATGTAGTCAAACTGCAAGTGAAAGTCAGATGCTGCCACCAGTTGCCTCTGCAAGTGATCCCGAAAAAGATGAAGATGATGATGATAACTATTACATTAGTTATAGCTCCCCTGATTCTCCAGTAATTCCCCCTTGGCAACAACCAATATCCCCAGATTCCAAAGCATTAAATGGAGATGATAGACCCTCATCACCAGTAGAGGAGCTGCCTTCATTGGCTTTTGAGAACTTCTTAAAGCCAATAAAAGATGGTATACAAAAAAGCCCCTGCAGTGAGCCTCAAGAGCCTCTAGTGATATCTCCAATTAATACTAGGGCAAGAACTGGGAAATGTGAATCACTTTGCTTTCATAGTACACCAATCATACAGAGAAAACTTCTGGAAAGGCTTCCTGAAGCACCTGGCCTTAGCCCATTATCAACAGGTAAGTGTACAAATAACAGGAAGTCTCCATAATTGTTCTTCAGAAATAGAAATGAAGATAACATTAGACTGTAATGAAAATCAGAGCTTTTTAAATGAAGGTATAGCTCAGCAAATATTTTTCGTCATGTCTTAGAAAGTCGTCACATGGCAACTGTCTTTCTGCTGTGAAATCTACTTATATTTGCTTCCATCCTGTCTTGTGGGTGAAATGCAGGAGCCCTCTCAAAAGGCTTATCTTCTCAACTTGACTTTCCTGTTGGCTTTTATACATACCCAGGTCTCCCACATTTTAAAACAGAAACAAAAAACCTGCCTTGACCTCACGTCTCCAGCCAGCTTCTACTCTTTCTCCTCCCCTTCAAAGCCAAATTTCTTAAAAGATTTATCTAATTTGACAACTCCAGTTATTTACCTCCTACTCATTTCTCAGCCCACTCTAAACTGAATTCTGCCCCTGTCATTCTACATTATAGCTCTTGTAAAGATTCCCAGTAAACTTATAGCTAAAACCAATAGATGTTCCTGAGTCTTATCATATGTCCTCTAAGCAGCCATTTTCTTGTTGACCTTACCTTCCTTCTTGGAGCTTCTCCACTTGGCTTTCCTCCTACTTCTCTGTTTTTTTCCCACTTGATTTTCTCATTATTCTCAGTTGTTATCTAAATGTTGGAGTTTATTAAGGCTTGGTCTTAAGCCTTCTTTATATCTTTCTCTAAATGATCTAATTCCTGTCTACAGGATTACTACAGATAACTCGCAAATTTATATTCCCAGTTCAGATCTCTCTTTTAAGCTCCAGAACACTATATCCAACTACCTATCTGACATTTCCACTTGAATGCTAAATGGCACCTCAAGATTAGTATTTTAAAAACCAATTCATGATCTCACCGCATACATTCACCACCACTTCCCCAACACACTTATATATACATGCCTCCACATAAAAACCCATCTGGCCTTCTTTCAGTTTTCCTTATTTCAATGAATAGTGCCATCATTTCTTAGTTACACAAGTCAGAAACATAGAATTTATTTTTAACACTCACCTCATTCCCTCATTACCCACCTTGTAGTTTCTAGTCCCTAACCAAGCCTTATCACTTGTTTATCTCCCAAGTAACCCAGATCTATCTACTTTATTGTACTTCTTCCACCACAACCTTAGGCCAAACTGTCATCATCTCTTGCCTGGGCTCCTGCACCAGCCATTTTATCTACTCTTAGTAACTTCCAATTCTTTTGCACAGTAATCAGGGAAAAATCCCCACTCTGTTCTTAGTTAGTTACTACTCTCTTCAGATTTTACCTCCAGGAAACCTTCCCTAATCTCCTTGACTACATAAAAATTCCCAATTATATTCCCCTTTGTTGTATTAGTGCAGTTATAATTTTATTTTTCTAGTATGTTTGATGAATGTCTGATTCTCTCTCTAGACCCCACAAGGGCAGAGATTATGTCTTTTCTTCCTCATCATAGATACTTGATAAATAAGTGAATAAATGAATTAAACAGTTCTCTAGGTTAATGACTGAGGTATAAAATTCAGTAATTAAAACATAAACATTTAAAATACAAAATGTCAAAATGTTATTTTGGTTGGGATCAGAGGTTTGAATTTCATTTTTAAATTATGAAATTCTGGGGGGAATTCATAGGACAGCACCCACAAGTGGTACTTAAGTGTTTGGAACAACAAAAGGTTTTTTAAAAACCAGAAGCAGGTAATTTTGATATACATGTTAAATATTAAATTTCTTTCTACAGAACCAAAAACACAGAAGTTGAGTAATAAGAAAGGAAGTAATACTGACACTCTTAGAAGAGTACTGTTAACACAAGCAAAGGTAACTATACTAAACATTTTTAAAGATCAGTGGAAGAGCCAGTCTTTTTCCTAGATTTCAGTTAGATAATTGTTAACTTTGTCTCAATTAAAAAATTTTGGTTACTTAAATTTTTGCATCATTATTTGCATATCTTTGAGACAACAAAAATTTGCCTTTTTTTAGTTTTTTTTTTGATGTTGGGATCTAAAAGATTCTTATATGTAAATACAAATATTACAGAGAAAGTGAATATGATAGCCAAAATGTGGATTATGAGGATACAAATACATTAACTGATTACTGGCAAAATCAGAACAATCCAATGACAGCAGAGCTCAAGTAAGTGATTTTTGATCCCACCAAAAATATATCCTTTTTCTTGGTTTATTACTTTTTTCTAAAATATAACCTTATTGATTTTTTAAAATTTATTTTACTAAGTAGTAAAAGAAAGCAACATTATTTACTACTGAAACTCTGGAAAGTCACAAATGTCTTTATTCAAATACTAAAAATATGACAAAACTTAGAATTATATGGTTATGTGAAAGAAGTATACATTAGACATACATCCTTGGAAATATATGCTAGAAATCACTTATATATTGGCCACTTCTTATAAATGTCATTAACTACATAAAATATATTTTAATATTTCTGAGATTATCAAACTTTTTAAACTTTCATTTATAAAATACTGTTGAATTACAAGCTATATATATTAAAAAATACTATATCAGTGTGTTGTGAACATAACACTTTGGGGAAAACAGTTAATAGATTTAGAAATCAGAAAAAATAATTTTGTAAGAAATGGAAAGATTCCATTTTTTTCTGAATCTTTGAAGATTACATTGTTTTATTTAATTCATCTTTCAGACACATGTTATATTAGAGTAAAATACAAATCAGTATTTCAAATCTTTTACAAACTTTAGCCAAAGTAGTTGGAAATATATTGATTGCTTGCTTGTCTTTCTTACTTCCAAGAAAGGTCAAGATAAATGTCCATGTGGTATAAATGTCAACTCCCTACAAAACTGTTATTTTCAGTATTGAGGGCTTCTGAACTGAGAGATAACATATGGTTTGCTTATATTTCTACATGTATCCAGTTCTGATATCTTTGTTAGCATGAAAATAACATTAATAAAATACAGTTTGTTCTTGAACTTAGAGATGATATTAGTTTACCATTTATTACTAAACACATAAAGCATATTATCTGAGAATAAGTAATCAAAAGAAAAATGATTGCTCATGTATCTTTTTCTGGCTGTGTGTGTGTGTGTTTTTTTTTATAGAATCAATTTGCAGCAGTAAATACCCCACAGAAAGAAACTTCTCAGATTGATGGACCATCTTTAAACAATACTTACGGTTTCAAAGTCAGCATACAAAACTTACAGGAGGCAAAAGCTTTACATGAGGTAAAACTGCAACAGTAAGGACACATACATTGTGTTCAGTTTAACTCCTGTTTTATTCTATAAAACAAGTATGGAATTTTTTTAACAAGGGAGGAGTATATTGAATTCTATCCTATTAATCTTCATCTTGTTCTCATTTTACTATTTTGTATATTTACATGTTTATGTACAATACATAAACTTAAAGCATTTAAGTTGCTGAGACTGCTTTGTGATTTCATATCTTTCACAAATCTCATAACTGAAATTCAGCTTATGGACATTAAAATAAGAAAAGATTTTTGGGAGGTGGAGGTGGGATGATCCCTTGAGTCGAGGAGTTTAAGACTATCCTGGGCTACATAGGAAGACCCTGTCTCTACCAAAAAATAAAAATAAAATTAGATGAGCATGGTGGCGCGCACCTATAGTCTCAGCTACTTGGGAGGCTGAGGTGGGAGGATCACTTGATCCTGGGAGTTCGAGGGTGCAGTGAGCTGTGATTGCGCCACTACACTCCAGCCTGGGCTACAGACAGAGCAAGACTCTGTCTCTTTGGGGAAAAACAAAAAAAAGAAGTAAGTCTGTATTTTGGGGATTATTATATTAAGATGTTATGTCACATCTGAAATGTGATATTTACTTGTATTTTCTGTTTGATTGGCTGAGTGGATTAGAGCTTGCTACAAAAGAGGATAAATTCATTCACTCATATACTCTCTACTTAATCCAGCTATCTTCACAGCACAGGCTGCCTGCCAAAGACTAGGACTTTGCAAAAATATACATCAGCTACAGTATGCATTGGAAAGAATATGTGAATGGGTCACTGTAAATTTATTTGTATGCAGAAAACAAACTCAAAGCACATATCTGACTGGCAGTAAGATAGAAATTGGAGTATGTTTTCATTGTTTACACCTGTGCTGTCGTATGGTAGCCGCTAGCAGCATGGATATTGAGAACTTAAAATTTGGCTTATACAACTGAAGAACTGAATTTTAAACTTTATTTAATTTTAATTTAGATTTTAAAACATAGTTGACTCAAAGTATGTTTGGAACGACTTAGGTATGTAATACTATTTTTTACTCTTAAGTTGTATGAAATTACAGATCAAGTATTTCTGTAGAAAATTTAGCGTGCACAGTGAGATATACTAGAAGGATAAAGTACATACTCATTTCAAAGACTTCATGGAAAGAATAATTTAAAATATTTTGTTAGTAATTTTAATATTGATTACATGTTGAAAGGATAATATTTTAAATATATTGGATCAGATCAAAGTGTTTTTAAATTAACCTATTTTTATTTTTTTAAATGTGACTACTAGAAAACTTTAAGTTACATGTGACTTTCATTATATTTCTATTGGACAATGCTAGTTTTATACAGTCACTTTATGTCTTTGCTTTTAAAGCAGAGGATTAGTAACCACCTTTAAGTTATAATTCAATTTTTAAGTGTGGTTTTTTTTCTCAAGTCAATTCTGTTGTAAACTGTTCTAGAGATTAGATTAACATAAACTGAGGGAAAAATTTTAATATTGTCCTCCTTTGTTCTTCACATTTGAACTGAGAATTATGTTTTTTTAGAATTAGATTGGAACATAGTCTCTCCCTCATTTATTCATTTGCACATTTTTCTCATTCAGCAGCATTCATTCAGTTTCTGTTTTATACCTAGGTCTATACTAGCCCCTGAAGCCTAGATAAATTAAGTGATAAATTCAGTAATACATACCATCAAATGCAAACTTGAAATTAGCAAATTTTTAAAAACTTTTTTAAAAATATGTATTAAAGCAAATTTGATAGACCATAGCAAAAAGACATGTTACATTTGATTATTCTCTTATTTGAAAAGTACGCTTTTCTACATTTTCCTAGGTAACCCTGTTTCAGAACCATGGGCCCTCTGGAAGTTAAAATCACTCTGGAGGTCTCACTGGTTGCTCTGACAGCTTCTTCCTCCCGATAACCGGCTTTCCTCATCTCAAGGCACATTCCAAACTGCCGCCCGGTGGTTGAAACAGGGAATAAACCAAAGAAAAAATACTGTTCTCTTCCTTTCTCTAGGAAATTATGCTTGTGGCATTTTCTCCCTCTGTTTCCATTACCCTAGGATAATCTCTCTTTCTTCTGCACATCAGTACTCAGTGCAGAAGACAAGGGTTGTAATCTTTGTCCCCCTTCTCACCTGCCTCTTGCCTAGTCACACTCACTAAATCTCTCAAGCCATGTCTTTATATAGTTTGCTTTAAAAAAATACCCCCTAAGCACAGTAATGCATTTTGTTATTAAGGAATAGAAATGCAAATTTTGAGTGTGAAAATTTGATCTAGTAAACAAAAATCAACCTCTAAGACCCTTTTAACCTAAAATTGTTTTCAGAGTCTTCATGTCTTTTCATATGTTCATCCCTTTCTTTTTTTTTTTTGTTTTTTTTTTTGTGTGTGTGTGTTTTTTGTTTTTTTTTGTTTTGTTTGAGACATAGTCTCACTCTGTCACCCAGGCTGGAATGCAATGGCACAATCTCAGCTCACTGCAACCTCCACCTCCCAGGTTCAAGCAGTTCTCCTGCCTCAGCCTCCCTAGTAGCTGGGATTACAGGCATGCGTCACCACACCCGGCTAATTTTTGTATTTTTAGTAGAGACGGGGTTTCGCTACATTTGCCAGACTGGTCTCAAACTCCTGACCTCAGGTGATCCACCTGCCTCAGCCTCCCAAAGTGCTGGGATTACAGGCATAAGCCACCGTGCCCGGCCTCATATGTTCATCCCTTTCTAATGAAACTGGTTGTTTTGTTTTATTTGGGTTTGTGGGAGGAGTTTTCCATTTAAAAATTTTTTATTTACTAAATTAATGCATGCTTATTGTTAAAATTAAGTTCTGAAGAGTATGCATTTAAAAGTAAAAGTTTTTTCCCTTAGCTCTCCATTTCATGTGGTTTGATTTTTTTTTTAATACTAATATTTTAAAGTAGAAACAGCAGTATATGTTTCTGAGGAAAGTGGTAGATTTGTATTTGTTTTATTATTATGCCTTATACATGCATAATTGATGTTCTTTATATTTTAAAAAGTACTTAGTGGCCAGGCAAGGTGGCTCACACCTGTAATCCTAGCACTTCGGGAGGTTGAGGCAGGAGGATTGCTTGAGGCCAGGAGTTCGAGACCAGCCTGAGCAACATAGTGAGGCCCCATCTCTACAGAAGTTTTTATAAATTAGCTGGCCATGGTGATATGTACCTATAGTCCCAGCTAGTAGGAAAGCTGAAGTGAGTGGATCACTTGAGCCCAGGAGTTCAGGGCTGCAGTGAACTATGATCACACCATGGCATTCCAGCCTGGGCAACAGAGAGAGACCCTGTGTCTAAAAAAAAAAAAAAAAAAAAAAGATTATTTAACAAATTTACAATGAGCACATGCAATAGTATATATACCAAAAATACTCAATCAGGACAAAAAAATTTGCAATGAAAAGTAAGCTTCCCTCCTACTTTAGGCTAGCAATTTCTTTCCCCCAAAGCAATAAGTATGTCTGCATTTTTATGTCACTTTTCAGAAATTTTCTATGCATGTGCTTCCATTTTTTCATGTATAGAAGTTTACTGTGTTTACTGGTTCCATGTATCAGTGTATTATAGTGATCTTTTTATATTAGGACATACAGATCTGCCTCATTCCCTTGAAAATCTTAAAGGTTACAGAATATTCCATTGTGTGTATCCTTTATGGATACCACATAATTTATGTAACCTGTCCCCAACAGGTAAACATTTAGTTTTTTTCCAGTCTTTGCTATTCTCGAGTAAACATCCTTGTTGTGTATATTTTATCTACATGTATGAGTGTATCTGTCTCTAGGATAAATTTTCAGGAGTAGGATTGCCACATCAATGGATTTTAATTTTGATAGAGATTTACCAAATTCTACTCCTGTCACTAGTGAGAAACTTGAATTTACATTTCTTCAACAGTTTGCATGCAAGATAATACAAAACACAAATCCTTTGTTAAATTTATATGATCTGAATAATTACCAATATTGAAACAGGAATCTGTTTTCCATTGCCAGGTACATGTACATGATAAAAAGATGAGGTATAATTCTAGCTATAATCATGAATTCAACCTATATTTTGTTTTTCTTATTTACTCTGTCTTGATTTTAGAAAGAAAACTAAGAATTACAGTTAAAAGTTTATATTGGCATAGAAAAATAAGCATGAAAAGCAAATATTAACTTTTTTGCATTATATGTTAAAGAGAAAATGTGCATGTGTAAAAATCTGGCTGTTGTGTAGTTGATACCATAACAGTTCTTTTTTTTTTTTTTTTTTTTTTCAGGAAAAACTATAATTAAAAATCTGCCTAGTGTATGCAAAAGTCTAAGTTTAAGTAGCCCTCAAGTAGTAGTGAATTAATTGGTAGGAAATTTGAATTTTAAAAAAGCTCTCTTTTTACTTTAAACTACAGGTAAAACTATATAGTTTAGCTAACTACATGAAGAGTAAAACGTGACAGACTTTGGTTTCATTGTATAACTACTTGGACTAGTCATTCTCTTTCTCAAACAGGCATTGAGAGATCCTGCATATATTTGAGAAAAATAGTCTAAATATTGTCATTGAGAGCAGATTTTCTGAAATAACATCATGAATTGATTTAATCTAATCTTGGGATTAAAAATCTTTCGTTTTAATATATGGAGTGCTGCTGAGCTGTGACTTTGTCCTTTATGTCCATTTTTTCTGTAATCTTACATACATATTTCCCTAGAGCCTTACATACTTCTTTGAGCATGTCTTTAAAAAATGTTTTAAAAACATAGTATTTATTTGCTTTTATAGATACAAAATCTTACCCTAATCAGTGTGGAGTTGCATGCTCGAACTAGACGAGACTTAGAACCGGATCCTGAATTTGACCCAATCTGTGCTCTGTTCTACTGCATCTCATCTGACACTCCACTGCCAGATACAGAAAAAACAGAACTCACAGGTGTAATAGTGATTGATAAAGACAAGACAGTTTTCAGTCAAGGTATTGTCCATTTTTATTAATGATATACCTGCCCACTCTAGGGTGAATGTTTTAATGGGGAATTCCTGTGCTGAAGATCTAATCTAAGCAAGCATGATGACTCTTTTCTAAAATGTTTGCTGAGGTAGGGGTAGGAGATTGTGTATAACTTTGTCCTAGATTTATTATTCTTACTTGGATTAGTCAGAAGCAGCCAGGCACAGTGGTGCCTGCTTATATATAGTCCCAGCTACCTGGGAGGCTGGGCAACAGGATTGCTCGAGCCCAGGAGTTTGGGGCTGTAGTGCACTATGATTGTGCCTGTAAATAGCCACTGCATTCCAGCCTGGGTAACATAGCAAGACCCCATTTATTTATTCATTTTTTAAGTCAGAAGCAATGCAATATAAAGATCTTAATATTTATAATTATCTTATATAATTTGTTCTAAGTATTATTTTATAAAAATACTTACTACTAATACAGAGTCCACCTTATTATGTATCCCTAGATTAGGTGCACAGTCTTCCTTATGTATGCATATGCAGGTATTTTCCTGCTGATAGAGGGTTTATCTTACCACTATAAGTTAATGGTTTATAAGATACTTTTAAGATATATTCTTACTTTGCTTATATCTCTTTATCTTTCTTTCTAAATAATATACTTTTGGTTCAGAGGTTCTTCATATAGAATGCCATATAAGGCATTTTATAAAATACCTACTGTCCCTCTGCAGCTTTCAGTGGTCACCATTACAAGTGAATTCAGTCCACTGAGGAGGAAGTCTTAGCACAGAATACAACCATATTAAGAATTTGCAATTTATTCAGTGATGTGCTTGAGCTGACACATACCAGCTCACAAGCCAGTTCTTGGATTTTCATGAATTTTTCAAACTAGTTGCTGTCACTTTGGCAGTTGGAAATCAGTCATAGGGTGGGGGAGGGGTCCTTACATCATGAAATAGGCCAGCACTACAAATTAAGGCTTTCTTTTTTTTCCTGCAGAAGTGGTGGTTAAGCATTTTCATCATACCAGAGATTAAAATGTCCTGTGCTAAGCAAAGCTCTCCTGCTAGGAAGAGTAAAGACAGAAACAAAGTAATACAGTTTCTTCACAAGAGATATGTTATTTTCTTTTTTTTTTTGAGACAGAGTCTCGCTCTGTTGCCCAGGTTGGAGTGCAGTGGTGCGATCTCCGCTCACTGCAAGCTCTGCCTCCCGGATTCACGCCATTCTCCTGCCTCAGCCTCCCGAGTAGCTGGGACTACAGGTGCCCGCCACCATGCCCAGCTAATTCTTTGTATTTTTTAGTAGAGACGGGGTTTCACCATGTTAACCAGGATGGTCTTGATCTCCTGACCTCGTGATCCGCCTGCCTCGGCCTCCCAAAGTGCTGGGATTACAGGCGTGAGCCACTGCACCCAGCCAGTGATATGTTATTTTCTAGGGAATTTTATGAATGCAGCCTTTTCAGGAGAATAGCTGAAAATACAAAATTTGAATTTTCAGTTGTATATTAAACTAAAAAATCTTTTGAGAGTTTTTTAAAGACATTGAGTTAGTTATGTTTTCACTTGGGGAGATGTTTTCTTAATTTGAAATATTTCAGTAGTACAATTTTACTTAAAAGTAGAGGATAATATTACTTTTATATTATGAAGGTATATTATTATATAATGTTATATATAATAGACATTTTGTTTGTTTTTTAGATATCAGATATCAGACTCCATTACTTATTAGATCTGGAATTACAGGACTCGAAGTCACCTATGCTGCTGATGAGAAGGCACTTTTTCATGAAATTGCAAATATAATAAAGAGGTATTGTTTTGTATATCTGATTTTTCCAGTTTTATTCAGAGAGTCGTTTCATGCTATTGCAGATAATAGTGAAGATAAAAGTAAAGGTAGGAAGAAAGCGAATCCCTTCCTATGACCCTTGAAAGCAGAGTTACTCTTGGGAAGATTTTATACTCACTTCCCACCACCATCACTATTTTCATCAGACAAGGGATAGGAAAAGCAGTGTTCTGTTCTCAAGATTGAGGGGCCAGTGAAAGACAAATATTTGTTTAGCCTCTAACTAACTTCCCAGTTGTACTTGAGGTTGGTTTTTCTGTGGTGCTGAAATAATGGAGAACTGTATAAAGTTCCATTGTATTATTCATTAACTAGGTTTCTACCTTGGGAGCCAGCCACCATTTCAGTACCTTTTTTTGGTTTGTTTTTTCTTTTTTAAAGTTTTCTGAGTTCTAAACAAGCCAATATTTTCAAAAAGCTTTGGGATGCATTCTCTGTATAAATTTATCTGTTCATAAATGTAGGATTATCTATTACATACTCTTGTGCACAGAGCTCCTTAAAAAATCTCTTTTGACCATTTGGTAGTCGGTCCTCAGTCCGATAGTAGAATCTTGTCCAAGTTTATGAAAAAAAATTTTTAACAAAAATATTTTAATTTAAAAATAAAATCATTAAGTGGATAATTTGCATTTTCTCAACAGTGTAGCTCTTGGTAGCCATGGACTCTCTTATTAAATGCTTCACTTTGTAGAAACTTAAGGATTCTGCCCATTGCTAGGTTTAGGGTTTTAGATGCCTAAAGCAAGATAGAAGACATTCTTTGGATCCTGATATACAGATAAAAGCTGTCCATGAGCATGTTGTTATACTCACCCTTTTTTGTTTTGCTTATATAGTTGAACTTCATCCTATAAAAACTAAATCAGTATTCTACATGAAAAATTAAGATGATATTCTACAGACTTGTCATCAGATTGAATCCCAGATGGGTTAACATAAACCATTCTGAGAATTAGAAAACCAAAACATGTGTTTTCTACAAAACAAAATTAAATGACAGAGCATCAAAAATAGTATGCTACTACCCACGACTCTGAAGGAAAAAAAGTATTTTTACTATTTATAGCACTGGTGACTAGATAGATTCCCATCTATTTGAGTCTTGTCATTGTCAGTCCTACCTTTTATCTTCTCACAGAGGTTGTCATCAACATGTCAGATGCTTTCAGTATCCACACTTCTTTTATTTCTGCAAGCAACTCAGAGAAAGAAATATGTAAGAGTTTCAGTCAATACTATTTTGTGTACCAGCACATGTCCAGTAATGTCCCTGGGCTTGTATGCTTGCCTTTTCCTTGTTGGGTATATTCCCAATGATAGGATTACCTGCCAACATTGAGAATTTTGTTAGTCATTTGCAAGTATAATAACTTTCTTAAATGTCCATAAAATGAAATGTACTAGTAATTAAGGAAAATGGGGTAAACAAAACTGTCATAAAAAGAAAAATGCTTAAATGTCAACTTTTCAATTCTATAGTGTTCTTTATATATTAGTCCAAACAACTCTGCAAAAAGATTGATTATTTCATTCTTTCACCCTATTTGTTGTGTACCTACTCAGCACAGCCTTTGGAGTCAGCCAGCACTGTGTTTCTGTCTTGAATAAGTTGCTTAACTCTCTCAGCTTTGTTTTCCTAATCTGTAAAATGGGTAGATAATACACATAAAACTCTTAAACTCAGGTCTGGCACATAGTGAGTACATAAATGTTAACTGTGTGTAAGGGGCAGTGCTAGGTACTAATATAAAAATAAATATATCTTTATTTTTCCATTTTTAATATTGACTTCCTCAAGTGACAAACACGAAAAGTAATATAAAGTGATATTAAACAAGTAAAACCTCATCTATAATCTTGTCACAATCATTTTCCTCTTTCTGTATTTCCTTGGACTATTAACTTCACTTTGCGCAGTCTCCCTAACTTAAATATAACTATGATTCTTCCCTTTTCCTCTTCCCTAAATGCTATTACATTTATATTACATCATATCCATTTAACCTCAGAATTCTTTTTCAAGATGATTCCTTCCCCTCCGTGCCCCTTGCCTCTACTAGAGTACCCTTATCTGTCATGTGTGTAGATGGTAGTGAGTTACTTAAAATACTAACTGTGAAGCAGCTTTTTTCTGCCTAAGCAAATGGAACCATTTACCTATTTCTTCTGCTTCTATTTTATCCACAGTTTTGGGTTGTTTTCACCACTAATCCCATCTACCCAACTTTATTCTTTCTGTAACTTTCAGAAACCTGATAGAATGAATAAAACCCACTAGAAATTGAAGAACAAGTCATCAAGACCTTGTTATTGTCTCCAAATGTTTTTAGAGAGGAAAAATGGAATCCTTTGGCTTTTGAACTTGAAAACAGGTGTTTTATCAGCTTTAAAAGAGTCTCTTACATCCTCCAGACTAAACATCCTCCGGGTCAAAAAATAAATATATATGTAATATATCTGAAAAAATGCCTGAAACAACTTTACAATTCTTCTAAAGGGACAAAATCTGTGAAATAAATCTGAGAAGCGCAGGGTAACTTTTTTCAGCAGTCATTTCTGAGCTGTAGCAGTTTATAAAAATAGACAGCTTTTTATCTGAGACGAAGTTATTTTCAATACATTATTTTTTTTAAAAAAAGTGTACGTAGCCAACTCCCTTAGTTGCCACAACAGAACAAATAGCTGACTGGAATAAGTCTTGCAATAACAAGATGTTGCATAAATGAGAAAGATTCAGATGAAGAAATTAGAAGAACTGTCTTTATAACATTTAAAACAGAAGGCCTGTGTAATCATCTGGCATCCTCTTCATGTTGTAGCTGTGTAACTATGTGATATGTGATAGGTAACTATGTGATAGGAACTCCAGGAATCTTCCCGATTCTTAAGATCAAGGTCAACTGTGGCCACACTGTAATGCCTATTCTGAGCCACTCTGAGTACTTAGCAGACAACTGTGTGGGTTCTGTTGTGTTTGTATGAGAATGCTTCAAGTCTGCGACCCCTGATGATCCTTAGAGCCACTTAATACTTGTGCCCCAATTCTCAAATGTAGCCATTCATTACACAGTTAGTTTTAAAGGGAGATATACTGGACAAGTAGATAGTCTGTCTTTGGACTAAGAAGAGTTTAATGAAAGAGATGAAGTCAGTATCAAGGATTTGGTTAAGGGTTTGGGTGTTATGTTGGAAGACTAAACAGAAAGAGTATTGGGATATTTCTCTTTCCTTGAGTGCCCTGGGATCTTTCTGGACTTCCTTTCTGGATATTCATGCCATTGTTGCTTATTGCTTTGCTTCAATAGCTGTTTATTAAATTAAGCCATTTTCTCAGAAATGTCAACCCTATTTGTATAGAGAAAAGCACATAAATAATATGTTTATTATCTTTTTCTCCTAACAAGTTTGAAGGCTGCTCAGCAAGTCTGTGGTATAACAATGGATCATGAACAGATCACCAGATATTAAAATTTATACTACAGAATGTACTTTCATAGGGCCTTTAGGGAATAGGAAAATTTAAAAGTGTGCTGTTGCAGAAGTTTGAACCCAGTTCTTTTGACATCAGCCACTGAAATACTCCAGAATTAAAAATCAGAAAACATTTATTGTGACATTCCAATTTTTATTGACTAGGTAAAAACGAAAGCCATTCAATACCCATTTTTAGAAGACAGCTATGGAATTATGATAAAATATTAACATATTGGTTCTAAAAGCAGATCTGGTGATCTGGTCATGATCCATTGTTATGCCAGACTTGCAGAGTAGCCATAGATAGCTTATATCAGTAAATTAGTCTAGTACTGTAGACATTGGCTGAGGCTTAGGGTATTAAATGCTGTAAATTGGACAGGCTGCACATCTCACAATTTAGTGTTTCATGAGTAGTTATGTAAAACTCAACGATTTAAATTTTTGTGATATTTCACTTGGCCTTTTGGCATTTATAAAGAACAAGATAATGCTACTAATTGATA
The DNA here is from genome assembly GCF_000001405.40 of Homo sapiens. NCBI lineage: Eukaryota > Metazoa > Chordata > Mammalia > Primates > Hominidae > Homo > Homo sapiens. The sequence continues at coordinate 111,352,991 of NC_000006.12, read as the reverse complement.
GAGCTACTTACTGTAGTTTTTGCTCTCAAAACTTATAACTATAATTAGTTCCGCTCTCTCCCACACAATTTTCCACTCGAAATAAATTTTCATATTTATAGCTAAACATTTCTCTATGGTGGTCACAACATGGAGGTTCTAAGAGGAGCCACAAAGAGGCTCCTTCTGGATTGGACGCAGGTGGTCGGTTCAGTTTTGCCAGTGAAGCTCTGACCACGAGGAGCACATTTTTCTTCTAGATTCTGATGTTTACCTTCCCCACCTTAATCCCACCTCTATTAATATTTCATTCTTCCATTAAGTTGAATCACCATCCTTTTAAATTTAAAGGACAAACTTGTCATTACTTAGGCCTTATTTTGTGTGAGAACCAAATAATTACTAAAATTAAGTGAGAAAAGGAAAGCATTCTCATTTTTCTTTCTCAGCATTAAAACTGTTTAAGGGCAGTATAGATTAGAAGGGTAGATAAGTGGCAACACAATGACCTAGGGATCTTTTTCAAAATACCATACCCACACACACCCTCACACTTCACCTTCCCCTGCCCACATTATATTCTCACTTGTACCTTCACTCATATACTTCAGTGGTAATGGCCTGCCTTCCACCCCAATTTCCATCAGCCTCTTTTCCCACTTGTATCAAACAAATACACAGTCTAAGTAAAAATTATGTTTACTTTACAAAAATAGCGTCAAATCGCCTATAATCCCAGCACTTTGGGAGGCTGAGGCAGGCAGATCACTGGAAGTCAGTAGTCTGAGACCAACCTGACCAACATGGTGAAACCTCATCTCTACTAAAAATACAAAAAATTAGCCGGGCGTGGTGTGGGGCACCTGTAATCCCAGCTACTCAGGAGGCTGAGGCAGGAGAATCGTTTGAACCTGGGAAGCAGAGGTTGCAGTGAGCTAACATCATGCCACTGCAATCCAGCCTGGACAACAGAGTGAGACCCCATCTCAAAAAAAAAAAAGAAAGAAAGAAACAAAGTAGCTTCAAATCAAGTACTCTTAACCATCCATCTCTTCCTGTATAAAAACTCTGTAGGTACCACTGTATCATCCCTTCTCCATCTGGGCACCGTTAGAGAACATAGGTTTTTGTTTTCATACCTTATATCATGAAGAAACAATTATTCTGGTTAAAGGTTCAAATGTATGGTACTTATATAACTTTTTTAAATTCCTTTTTTAGGTATGATCCTGATATTCTGCTAGGATATGAGATTCAGATGCATTCCTGGGGTTACCTCTTACAAAGGGCTGCCGCTTTAAGTATTGACTTATGTCGGATGATCTCTCGGGTGCCAGGTATGTGTCATTGTGAATGTTTTGTCATTCAACTACAGAGCAAATTATAAAGGAAATAAAGACAGAATGTTAAAGAGTACTTATGCTGTAGCCCAATTTTTTAGTACTAAGTTGTGTAAGTTTTAGATATAGCATAACTCCATTGTAGAAAAAATTAAAAATAAAATAAAAAATATTCTAGTCTCACTGCTATATGTACTGTTAGTATAGTTGTTGGGTTTTTTCCTTTCAGTCACTTTTCATATACATATGTAGTGGTTTTTAAATAATCATACCGTATATTCCATTTTTATTATGCTTCCTTCATCTAGTGTCTTACCACACATATTTTTCTGCATTATGAAATAGTCTTCATAATTATTATGAAGCTACATAGCATTTCTTTGACTTGTTGTACCATAATTTTATTGTTTGTCTGCCTCTGTTTTTTTTAATCCATTTTGTTGGTTAAGAAGGACAGGATGGGTTGAGGAACACTAGTAGTTAACTAATCATTGATTTTTATTTGGATATCAGGCTACAAATATTGCAGAAATTTTGAAGTCCATTCCCCAAAGTTTCATTCTAACTAGAAGGGAATAATAATATTCATACCAAAATTATTTGTAGTTTATAATGCACTTTTTAAAACTATGTTTTCTTTATAAACATAGGATTTTTAATAAATTTGTTCCCAAGGGTTCCCACAAGTCTAACTAAAACAAAGTAGTGTATACTTTAGGAAAAGTTGAAGCTGGAAGATTCCAGGACAGTAAAGTTTTTTAGCTTTGCAAAAAATTGGAATAAAAAGATCAGGTGCAGTGGCTCACACCTGTAATCCCATCTTTGGGAGGCCAAGGTGGGAGGCTTGCTTGAGCCCTGGAGTTCAAAACTATCCCAGGCAACAAAGTGAGACCCCATTTCTACCAAAAAAAAAAAAAAAAGAAAGAAAATTAGCCAGGTGTGATAGCTTGTGCCTGTAGTCCCAGCTACTCAGGAGACTGAGGTGAGATGATTGCTTGAACCCAGGAGTTCAAGGCTGCAGTGAGCTATGATCACACCACTGCACCCAAGCTTGGGCAATAGAACAAGACTCTGTCTTATAAAAAGGGAATGGGGGGCAGAGATGCTTTAAGTTTAGCTTTTCATTCCATGAATTTTTGTGTAGCTTGTGTGTCCTTTGCATGATAGCAATAGTGGTATATCTTTTTTTTTTTTCAATATCTTTTTTGGGATAGGTTTTAAATATCCTTGTCTCAGTTTATTCATCTGTAAAATAGGGATAATAGAACTTATTTCATAGGGTTATTTTGAAGAACTTAAAACAATCACCAGAGTATATGTTACATTGTTTGCTAAATGAAAAACAAACTTTTAAACATTATCTCTTTAAAATAAAAAGAATTGGGTGAGTGGTTGTACATGGTCTTTGGATTCAGGTAATCCTAGTTTAGAATACTAGTTTTCTTACTGTAAGATCTTGGGCAAGATATAACATTTCTGAGTAGAATTTTCCGTAATACAAAATGAAAATTATACTAACTTCTTAAATGGTCCTGTTAAAATAAAGGAAGTAATGTTTGTATTAAAATAAATGATGTTGGTAAAATTCTTAGAACATAATAAACCTTCAATATGGTAAATATTTTTATTATTCTGGAACCTCTAATCATCAACATTCACATATACCTAGTGTTACATAGGAGAGACGCATTTTAATTTATATTCTAGGTAAACTTCATCTCCTAAGAAACTAGACTCACAACGCTATTTGCTATGAGGAACTCTTCATCTAGTTCTCCATATGCATTCAAGAGAATTTCATCCTGAATGTGAACATGATGTCAACAAATTTTCAGAGAATCGTTTAGGTTAAAAATTGAACTAGTTTTTTTTCCAAGAAATTACCAGATTAACTGTGGATCTTTCTCATGCTAAGACCAAAGAAATGTTAGCATTAGGTGTTTATAAAGGTAGCATCAGGCACCTGTAGTCCCAGCTATTCGAGCAGCTGAGGCAGGCGGATTGCTTGTGACCAGGAGTTTGAGGCTGTAGTGTGCTATGATTGCACCTGTGGCTAGCCACTGCACTCAACCTGGGCAACATAAAAAACAAACAAAAAAAGGTAGTGCCAAAAATTACCAAATCTAAAGAAAAAAGTGTTTCTTATTTAAATATAGAAAGAAGGAGGGAGGGAGAGACTTCAGGTTATATTTATTTCACAAAATTTTTTCATACATTGTGAATTATATTTCATCTTTAATATTCATCCTTAATGTATATTCTCATTTTCCCTGGCATAATTTTATTGAAAGTTTGTTTTCTGTGAGCCCTGATACAGTCTGTTTTCATTTCTATAGATGACAAAATTGAGAACAGATTTGCAGCTGAAAGAGATGAGTATGGATCATATACAATGAGTGAGATAAATATTGTTGGCCGAATTACACTAAATCTTTGGAGAATCATGAGAAATGAGGTGGGTGATTTATCCAAAATGTTGTTTAGAAATAAGATATTCGGTCAATATAATGATTTAATCATTATAGAGTATTAGTAAGATTTACTATATAGCTTATGCGTTTGTCAATTACTGTTATACTTAAGTAGAGTTAAAATAGTACTTTCTAAAATGCAAAACTACAGAGGTAATAGACTTTAATGTTTTAAGTGAGTTTTTTTTTTTTTCTTGTGTCTAAGGTAGCAATAACTAGAAAGGTCTATAGCTATAATAAAATATTGGGGCCAGGTGCAGTGCTCACACTTGTAATCTCAGCACTTTGGGAGGCCCAGGCAGGGGCATCCCTTGAGCCCAGGAGTTCCAGACCAGCCTGAGCAACATGGCAAAACCCTGTCTCTACAAATAATAGCTAAAAAAAATTAGCTGGATGTGGAGGCGCATGCCTGTGGTCCCAGCTACTTGGGAGGCTGAGGTGGGAGAATCACTTGAGCTCAGGCAGCCGAGGTTGCGGTGAGCTGTGATTGTGCCACTGCACTCAAGCCTGGGTGACAGAGTGAGACCCTGTCTCAAAATACAATAAAATATTGTGTTGTACATGTTGAATATTGTCTAATTTCACCGTATTTTTTTCACGGAAGTCATTTTTGCACTTAAGGCCAGATGAATTCAGCTGGCCTTGTTGATTTATTATAGTAAGAAAAATTTAGTCTAGAAATAGGAAGGAGCTTCTCAAATGAAGTATATTTAAATACTGGGTCAGATTAATAAGATAAAGAGACAGTACTTTGAAATAGTTAATAATTAAGGCTTTGGGAGCTCAGATAAGGATTTTTTAGTAGAGTAATTTCAATGAACTATCCCATTAATTTGCATTCACTTAGAAAAAGAATTATTTCACACACAAAAAGTAAGATCATAGGATTTTCCTGGGTAATATTTGCATCCTTGAAGTTACCCAATTTCTCTTATTTGAAATGTAAAAAAGCCATACATGGTGGCTCACACCTCTAATCCCAACTCTTTGGGAGGCCGAGGTAGGAGGGGATAGCTTGAGGCCAGGAGTTCAATCAAGACCATCCTGGGTAACATAGCGAGACCTTGTCTGTATTAAAAATAAAAAATAAAAAACAATTAGGTTGGGCATGGTGGCTCATACCTGTAATCCCAGCACTTGGGGAGGCCAAGGAGGGTGGATCACTTGAGCCCAGGAGTTTGAGAGTAGCCTGGGCAACACAGCAAAACCCCGTCTCTACCAAAAAATACGAGTTAGCCATGTATGGTAGCATGTGCCTAGCGTGTAGCCAGGCAACAGCTACTTGGAAGGCTGAGGTGGGAGGATCACTTGATCCTGAGAGCCAGTGGCACACACATACAGTCCCAGCTTCTCAGGAGGCTCAGGCGGGAAGACCTTTTGAGGCCAGGAATTCAAGGCTGCAGTGCACTGTTTTATTATGCCTCAAAGGCAAGGGTTGCAGTGAACTGAGATTGCACCACCACACTCCAGCCTGGGTGACAGAGCTAGAGCCTATCTCAAAAAAGACAAAACAGAAACAAAGATACCTACTATAAATTGGTCTATTCTTAGACTTTGGACTTTGGATAATGTCAACTAAAATGTTTATATTTAAAAGAAAGCTAATTCTTCAATTGCTTCTGCTCTTTGAAACTACTTTCTCATTAGACACTTTCTATTATATACTTATTATTATTATCTTCTTGGCTCTTTGGATTTATATAAAACATTTGACTTTCTAAGCTGCTGTATGCAGTATACAACATGACTCTGCTTGAGAATGATTTTATCTTGTTGTGTTGTTCTTAAAATAATAGAAGAGTGTTAGAGTCCCCAGTGATTTAAAGTAATTTCTAGTGATACAGCACAGGATATAAGAGATACAGAGATTGTGGTGTATTTGGTGTGTATATTTCATTATATATATATATTTTTTTTTATTTTATTTATTTATGAGACGGAGTCTTGCTCTGTCACCCAGAATGGAGTGCAGTGGTGCAGTCTCGGCTCACCGCAACCTCCGCCTCCTGGGTTCAAGCAATTCTCCTGTCTCAGCCTCCTGAGTAGGTAGGATGACAGGTGCCTGAACCACACCTGGCTAATTTTTGTATGTTTAGTAGAGACACGGTTTTTCCTTGTTGGCCAGCCTGGTCACAAACTCCTGACCTCAAGTGGTCTGCCCACCTCGGCCTCCCAAAATGCTGGGACTACAGGTGTGAGCCACAGCCCAGGCCTCATTATATATTTTAATGTATAGTCTGATATTGCCTGAGATGAGCACATACTTTAAGTGTATAAACACAAAGTAAATTACTGAATCCTAGTTTCAGGGGTCTTTTCAACCCTGTATATCCAAAAGGCAACAGTAGCAAATTAACTAGTAGCTTAAAATTGCAAATTAGAGAACAAATATTTTTGCAAAGTTTAGGGCCTTCTCTAGTCCTCACTGAAAATTCAGGGTCAAATGTTTCCTCTCATTTAGGATGAATATATAGTATCTCTGATCTTTATGCAAATGTGGGAAACAACTGTAAGAAAGTTATGAGCTGGGTAACCTGTTTTTTAAAAATTTGGAACTGGGTACAGTGGCACACACATATAGTCCCAGCTACTCAGGAGACTCAGGCGGGAGGACATTTTGAGGCCAGGAATTCAAGGCTGCAGTGCACTGTTTTATTATGCCTGTGAATAGCCTGAGAGATAAAGCAGGACCCCATCTGTTAAAATAATAGTAATCATAAATTTTGTTTGTTTTTTTAATATACAAGTACTAGATTTCTTTCTCTTACTTTACTTTGAACATAGAACTCCTGCAGTTTCCTTATGGACTTTGAATTCGTAGTGACAAGCAAAATACCTCTTAAATAGTAATGCTTATTAGATATTTGTTGACTGCTTAAATGACAATAAATAGCTCTTCCCCAGACAGTTATACTTAGAGGCCTTCTGGATGTCAAGTCAATCTAGGCTTTTCAAGAATTTGCCAAGTGGGTTGGAAACAGACTTGATTCAATTCAACAAATATTTACTGAATGCCATCTTTGGTGCACTGGTTGAGGGGCCTGGGTTTAGATAAAGTAAGAGTATAGTAACAGACAGGAAGGCGGAATATATGGGTATGGATGTTGGTAGGTAGAGATATGGCAGTGAGAATCTGTGGAAGTTCTCTTGTGATTCATTTTCTCAGTAAAATAGGAATTACTGTTCTTAGCTAAAACAGAATTGTGGAGAGGCTTTTGGGGTTTGAGGAGAGATGAGTTTGAAATGGTTATTAGGAGAATTTGAGAGAAAATATAAACACTGGGCCACATTAAGAGCCCATTTGAGATTTGGGTTAGGAAATTAAAGTGATACCCACCAGCTATGTTCAAATTCACAGGTGCAAGTTAGATTTAACCATCACTCACAAAGGGTTATGGATTTGCTTTAAAAATTAAAAAAAAAAAGGCGGCAGCAGCAGGAAAGGGACAAGGGAATGAAGGGTACATGCAGGGGAATGATTACCATGATTGACTATGAAATTTAAACTAAATAAGGAGCAGAGAGGTCAGAGCATCAAGGGGAGTAAGCTGGAAGCACCGGAGATGATGGTCAGAGAATGGGATGCATGAGATTTTGGAGGGAGTACAGCTGTTGATAGATCCTGGGGTATGATTATGGGAGTGGGTAGCTTAGGTAGGATGGAGGACAAAATCATTAGAGAAGAGGAGTTCAAGGAATCAAGGAGTATCTTTATTTTCTTCCCACATAATTGTTACACTTACTGCATATAAAATAACAGTAGTCCTTTTCCTTTAAAATTCAAGTAGATATAGTGCCATTCACCTCTGGAATTTAGTACTGCAGAGGAGAAATCTAAGGTCCAGCTAATTAATATATTTGATTATTGCTCCTGTCTCCATATTAGGCTTTCCTTTAGGAACCTAATTATATATTAACATTCTGTTCTCTGTTCCCCATATCTTCCCTCTTCTCATTTTCATGTTTTCATCCTCTTTATCTGCATGCTGAGACATTTCCATATTCCTAACTTGACTTTTAGTAGAACTATTTAGTAGAACTGTTCTGCTATTTACTGCTTTCAATATGAGCTTTCATTCTGTTAGTGATTTTATAATCCTTCCTCATTTAATCTTGTGGCCTTTTCCTCATTCTATTGCTCTCTACCTTTTTACAACCTATGAGGGGCATCTGTGTATATGTATACCTACACAAGTACATACACACACTGTGAAGTGTGCTGCATTGTAGTGCCATTGTTCTGAAGATTGACAGAAATTGTAGATAAAGTAAGACCAATTTGGGTCACTGCACTGAGATAAGATTAACATTCAATCCCTATTTTGTACCTCCTGGATCACAGGAGTGGAAAAGAAAGTAATTTAAAATTATAATGTAATATACAAATGTGAAGTGCTGTTTGAACTATTTCTGAATCCGAAACTGACCTAAGAATGGGGACTACTGGTTCCTTAATTTCCATTTTGCATTGAAATACCTGCCATTGTCTAGATTGCTTTTGTCTTGTAGATATTTCAGAGAAATCATCTAGCTGGAAGTACATATTTATTAATTTGGGCCCTTTTACAGTATCCTTTACCCATTAACACTGCTTTCACTTACGTATTTGGAACATGGGGAGACATTTCTGACATTTTAGTATTTTGCTTTTGGAATGAAATTGAGTGGCTCTATAATGTCTGTGTAGTGGGGTCTAGTAACTAATGTAATTATTGGGAGGAGAATGCCTGCCTTTAACTAGATAACTCACCTCAAATCTGTGGAATCCCATTAATCAGCATGTCATCAAGAACCAAAAAGTAAGTATGGAAAGAACAAAAAATTAATTTGCTTGACAATGCTTCTGTCAATATGTATATTATCATGGAGTATAAAAATGGTAAGAACTAGAATCTCTTAAAATAAGTATTATATGACCAAGTTGAATCTCATCAGGTCTGCTTTCTCTAATTAAATAATTTTCCAATTTGTTATGAACATTTCTGTCCAGTAGGCTCTACATAGTTTTGAATTATGATTCAGTTGTACTGCACATCAGTTTTACAAGTAGCTTTAATATCTACTATGAAAAGTTTAAAGTGATATTGGTATCTTTTAGAACCAAATTTGCTACATAAATGTAAGCATTATTATAATGGTGTCTTGCCTTTTTTTTTAGGTGGCTCTAACTAACTACACCTTTGAAAATGTGAGCTTTCATGTTCTTCATCAGCGTTTTCCCCTCTTTACCTTTCGAGTCTTGTCAGACTGGTTTGATAACAAGACAGATCTATACAGGTACTGTTCTATAACTCTGAAGAAGGTAATATAAAATCATCATTGAGATGTAATTTATATGTAATAAAATGCACACATTTAAAGTGTATTGTTCAGGCCAGTTGCGGTGGCTTACGCCTGTAATCCTAGCACATTGGGAGGCCGAGGCGGGCACATCACCTGACATCAGGAGTTCGAGACCAGCCTGGCCAACATGGTGAAACCCCATCTCTACTAAAAATACAAAAATTGGCCAGGTGTGGTGATGCATGCCTGTAATCCCAGCTACTCAGGAGGCTAAGGCAGGAGAATCACTTGAACCCAGGAGGCAGAGGTTGCAGTGAGCCGAGATCGTGCCACTGCACTCCAGCCTGGGCGACAGAGTGAGACTCTATCTCAAAAAATATATAAATAAATAAAGTGTATTATTGTTCAATGACTTTGAAAAATGCATTTATCTTGTACTCATTACTCCAATCAAGATAAGGAGCATATCTCACACCCAGAAGATTCCCTTCTACAGCTTTGCAGTCAACCTACCCATCCCTAATCATCTAGATAATTACTAATTGGATTTCTATTACTGTAGATTAGTTTTGCCAATTATAGAACTTCATATTAATGGAAATATTCATAATCTATCTTGGCTTTGAAGAAACTCAGAAAACATAGTATGTATTTCTGTTGCATAAATAGTTTGTTCATTCTTATTATTAAATAGTATTCAATTATATGAATATAACTTACCCACCCACCTGTTGATGGACATTTGGGTTGTTTCCAGTTTGAGGCTATTATGAATAAAACTGCAATAAAGATTTGCATATGAGTCAGCATGTGAACATACATTTTCATATCTCTTAGGAGTAGAATTACTGGGTCATATGGCTGTTGTGTGTTAACATTTTAAGAAACTTAATCTGTTTTCTTTGGCAAGTCTGTTGGCAAAAAATTATCTTAGCCCTTGTTTATATGAAGATGTCTTTATTTCACCCTTATTTTTGAAGGATAATTTCTCAGTCTCAGTTGCGTTTTTTTCTTTCACCACTCTAAAGATTTTGTTCCCTTCCAGCCTCTCATTTTGCTGATGAGAAGTCAACAGTTATTCTCATTTTTCCAGTATTTGTGATTCATTTTCTTTCCAAAGTCAGATTTAATGAGTGGTTGACCGATGTCACTTTTTACTCTCTGCAAGGTTTATAGTGGAGGCAGGGGGAGTTTCTCAGTTCTCCTGTCTAACCTCAGTCTTTGGATCTTCCTGTTCTTTTTTTTTTTTTTGAGACAGAGTCTCGCTCTGTCACCCAGGCTGGAGTGCAGTGGCACAGTCTCTGCTCACTGCAAGCTCCGCCTCCCGAGTTCACGCCATTCTCCTGCCTCAGCCTCCCGAGTACCTGGGACTACAGGCGCCCGCCACGACAACTGGCTAATTTTTTGTATTTTTAGTAGAGACGGGGTTTCACCATGTTAGCCAGGATGGGCTCGATCTCCTGACCTCATGATCCGCCCGCCTCGGCCTCCCAAAGTGCTGGGATTACAGGCATGAGCCACCGTGCCCGGCCTGGATCTTCCTATTCTTCTGGGGTTTGCTCAGCACTCCTGCTCTTCCCACAGAGGCAACAGACCTCTGCTTTGTACCACTGGCAGGTCCTGGGCCCAAGTAAGCTTCCTGACCCTCCCCCTGGGGCAGATAGCATTTTCTTCTACTCCTTTCTCAGTGATACTGTTCCTTTGCCTGGAATCTATGACAGGAAGTTTTCTTGCCCCTTTTCCAGTTGCTTGTTATTTAGTTCAAAGCCTATGGTTGGAACAGGCAAGTATACCAGGCCCAAGGTGTTTCCTAAGCTCCTCCAACTTGATGTAGGATTCAATCTCCAAACTCTGTCGTCTGTACATATTGTCAGTATTTGGTTTTAAGTTTTATCTAGAGTAGGCCTTTCTCTAGGGCAAAGGCCTCTGTTTTTTTCTGGGCTCACAACTGAATGCCAAGGTTGTTAACAAGGGGGTGATGAGGTCTCTCCACTCTGGCATTGGTGAGCCTCCAACCCCAGCACTATCTGACCATTTCTGCCCACACTCAACCCCCAGCGAGCTGCTCTTTATTCAGCCTCATGTGGTTTCATCCTGTTCGTTTTCGGGACAGCCTTGAGCTATCACTCATAAGGAATCCAGCTATACTTCTGACCCCCCCCAACTCCTGCCACTTGCACAGCTCCCTTTCTCTCCTGTGCTCCGTCCCACAGACTCGAGCTGTGAGCTGCCTAAATGAACTCTGAGCTGTTCATCTTTGGCTTAGTAGGACAGCCTTGCTCTGTGTAGACTGTGGCACACTGCACTGTGTCTAGGAAAAGTCCTTAAATTAATGTGTCTAATTTTTTAAATGAGTGAATCTGTACTTACTGAATTGTAAGGCTGTATGGTGGTGAGGATGGAAAAAGTATAGCTTTGAAAACAACTTGATAATATTTGGGGAAACTGCTTCCTGAGCATGTCATCGCATATTCCAATCACTTTTGAGGAATCTCAGGGAAGTGAAGTGAAGTAACAGAAAGCACTTAGCTTCTATCAAAGCCTTATAGAAATAGAAGCTGAGGCGAAGTTGGCTGAGTGCAGTGGCTCACGCCTGTAATTTCAGTGCTTTGGAATGCCGAGGCGGGCGGATCACCTGAGGTCAGGAGTTCGAGACCAGCCTGGCCAATGTGGTGAAACCCCATCTCTATTAAAAATACAAAAAATTAGCCGGGCATGGTGGTGCACACCTGTAATCCCAGCTACTCGGGAGGCTGAGGCATGAAAATCACTTGAACCCGGGAGCAGGAGTCAGAGGTTGCAGTGACTAAGATCACGCCACTGCGCTCCACTCCAGTCTGGGCGACACAGCAAGACTCCATCTCAAAAAAAAAAAAAAAGCTGAGGAGAAATTATACACCAATAAATAAAACTTGATATTTAACTTAACATTGAAAACTATATTCAGTGGTTTGTTTATAAGCCCCGGAATCTCTAAATACATGTTTTACCACCTTTAATTAGGTATTATCTAGGATGATAACTGTTTTTGACAAGTAAAATAGAGGACTGGAACTAAAATTGTACAGAAGGGACTTAGACTAGACATTAGACCATTTATGTCAAATGGATTATGTTATATGAGAAGACCATGCACTCTTTGAGTAGTCTTGGAAATATCAGACAACTTCATTCTTAAATTTAAGTGAATACTTAAATTTAAATGAGTACATTCTTAACTTTAAGTGAATACAAAAAAATAAGTCTGACTTACTTTTTTGGTAGGTATGGTAACCCCTTTTGATTTCCATTTGCTTTCTACAGTGTTTTAAGGACATACATATATATTGTAAATCGACTTAGAATGAGAAGAACTTGCTAGTCAAGGATTTCTTGTGTTAAACCTGTAAAACACAAAGGTACCCTAATTTTTTTTAATAAACCCAGATTTTTGTCTCCTGGAAGCCCCAGATTTATATGAATGAATTATGTTCCCAACATTTTATTGTTTCAAGCTTAGAACACATTTTTTCATAAAATAATGTCTTGTGATTAGATTCCTAAGCCAGCCTATAAAACTTTTCCTAATCTCTAATATTACTAATCTATATAATTCCTAATACCAGCATGATTTTATCTGTCATTCAAGGAATAGTTATTAAATACTATTCCAGATTCCAGTTTCTGAGCTAGGAGGTATATCCTGGGAGCAGAGTTCTGTAGCTGAAGAAGATAATATAAGAAATTTTCTTTTCTATTTGCTGAGTATAGAGCCAGTCCACAGAAAAACTTCAGAATAAGTGAATTTTGTACTCGGGATTCTCCTGTCTCCTTTTTTGTCACCTTCTCCCCAGATGAACTATCTTGAAAAATATCCATGCCTTCAGGATGCTCTAAGTTCCCATTTCAGCACTACCCAAGCCTATCCTGAGTAGCATGTGCTTTATAAGTATGTTTCCCTTCCTCCTTTCCGGATCAAAACTTGTATTTATTACCGTTAAGTTTGACAAAGCATTAGGAGGATGGCATAATTCTTTAACAACAATTTAAAAAACTAACAAAAGTCAATCTTCTCCTTTAACCATAAGTAAAGGCCACAATTACTCTTTCTCTTTTATGTTATATGGTTAGTCAGATAGGACCCGAAAGTAGAAAGGATGATGATTTTATTTCGGAAAGATCACTTTTTTAAATTAAAAAGTCTAAAATACATTTTTTTAAATTAGCCATTCAAAGTATTTTTTATATTCATGCCTATAGGTCAGCAGATTTAGATCAGAAAACAGCAGTTGTTACCTGCTGGATAAACTGTATAAGATAAAATGTCCCTTGTTAAATTAACCTTTAGTTATGAAAGATAAGATGCATCTAATTTGTTTATATTACTTGGTTACCAGTCAGTGGAGAGGAATACATTTAGTGTGAAATGAATAAGCATTCATTTCACAAAATGGTCTACCATTTTTGTTAGTGAGGAAATGAGTACTTTGCTGTGATGACAGAAATTTAACAAGACAGTTACTCATTTATAATGTATTATCTTGTTTTCTTTTCATCATGTTTTCGTTTATTTGGCCAAAATCTCAGGTTCTAGTGTACTAGGTTTGTAAACTAGGATGGATTAGTCTTACAGTAATCCTCAGTTTTCTTATCTATAATAGAGAGATGTTAATATATTCTACCTCATGAAGTGAAGTAAGAATTAAATGAGATAGTATGAGTCTTCAACACACAGAAGGCTCTCAATAAATGTTAATTAATTGGTACGTCTTTCTTTTCAGGATAGAGAATTAGATTCTGAATGAAATGGGGAAATAGTAATTACCATAATTATCATAATAATAGCAGCAAAGGTTATTAAGTTTTTGCTTTTGCCTAACACCTTACAACAGTTTCACCTTACAACAGTGAAACCACTGTTTCACACATACAGAAACTGAAAACTAGAGAGTTAAATGATTTGCCTAGGGTCACGTAGCAGCTTGCAGTAGAGCCACAATTTGAACCTACGACTATCTCACTCCAAAGTCTGTGCTGTCAACCAATATGTGAAAATCTCTTAGACTATATTCTTCAAAATGTGAAATAAACCATTTCCACTTTTTAAAAAGAGTTAGTTATATGTAGCATAGTAAAAATATTTCTTTTGAAATATACTATTATATCCATTTATTTAAGTTCTAATAGACTATACTGCCTAAAAAAATAGAGTTGATCTTAGTCAAATCACTTAAATCAGGAACCTTTAAGATTCAGTTTAATCAGTTTTGTATATAAAGTATTAGACTTACTTTCACCATTTTTGCCCAAAAACAAACTTCTGTACTTCATTAAATAACATCAACAAAAGTAAAAAGCTAACATCAACCTAGGAAAACCATTTTCACCGTAACAGTTATGTATATTAACTATATTATATACTTTTAAATTAGTAAAAAAAAGGGTAAAAGACATGAACAATTATCAAAGGAAAAAAATCCTGAAATATTCAAATGTTTACCTTACTAAAGGAATTCTTAATCTGCTGATTATGTTTCTTAATTGTACCATGAATTACAAAAACCTATTGGCAAGATCAGTCTTATTTAAAAAAAAAAAAAAAAAAAAAAAAAAAAAAAAAAAAAAAAGGACTTTAGACTGGAGTAAACAAAGAAAATAAACCAGTATGTTTTAAAACACATTTTCCGAAACAAATTATCGTCAACATACTTCAATTGGTAACTCTTCTCCTGAATCACCACCTACAGATTTCAAGGAAATATTCGTGCCCAGTCAGCATGATTATCTGTTGAAACAGATTCTTATATATGTGTAATACATACCTTTTTAAAGTTTTCTGTTAAACCTGTGTTGGTTGAGACTTAACACTTATTTTTCTCATGTTTTACAAATCTCAGCAAAATGCTTGTGTGCTGCCTGGCATTTTCAGAAATTATGTTGGTGTCTCACTATTTTGGTATCTCATTTGGCATGTTTCTCCAGGTCAGCTCTCTGTCCATATGTTGAGAGGGCAAAGTGTAAATGTTATCTCCTTTTTCTGCACTCTCCATAGATAAATCCACACATCCTGAAGGAGTGGTGAGCCATTAAATCCATTTTGTTCTATTTTAAAGGGACTGATCTGATTTGTACATAATGCATTATTTCAGATTTACACTTTGCAGTTTTGTATTGTTGAGGGGTTACATTAATGATCTAAAACAAAACAATGCAGATTAAAATGTATCATTTTTTGTCTATCAAACTCATAATAATTTTAAAAACTATAATCTTCATTGTTAACAAATATACAAGGAAACAAGCACTTTATCATCACTAGTATGAATATAAATTATTAAAACCTTTCTGGAAAGCAGTGTATTGTTAGGTATTGAAAACTGACCAAATCTAGGAATTTATTTTAAGGAATTATTTAATCATCTGTATAAAGACTTAGCTTTAAAAATGTTCATCATACCATTGCTTACAGTAATAAAAGATATTCAGTAAGTGTTTCGATTAAATATGTTATCATTATACAATAGCACGCTCGATAGCTACAAAACATAAATATGGGGAGTCAGTATATTAAGTTAAAAATGTAAATTATGAAACAAAATTTCTGTTTCTTAAACATTTATAGAGTTTAGGATTCTTTCATGTTTGCCTAATGTTTTAACAGCTTTATTCAGATATAATTTGTATATCATACAATTTACCCATTTAAAGTATATAATTCACTGGCTTTCAGTATATTCAGAGTTGTACAACATCATCACAGTAAGTTTTATACTATTTTAATTACTCTAAATGGAAATCCTGCATCACCTAGCCACCACTCTTCAACCTTTCATCACTCCTATCACCCCCTCCACCAGAGTCCCCCCACCCTCTACCTCTTGCCTTAGACAACCGCTGATCTATTTTCTGTCCCCATAGATTTATATCTTAAGTCCCCTGACAGCTTTTTAATTCTCTAATTTTCCCAAATAAATTTGACTGTCCTCAACATTTCACATGAACAGAATCGTGCAATATGTAATCTTTTGTGGCTGGCTTCTTTTAGCATAATGCTGTCCAGAATTGTCCATGTTATAGCATCTTTCAGTATTTCTTTTATTGCTGAATAATACTGTATCGTATGGATATATACTGCATTTTATTTCTTCATCAGTTGATAGACATTTTGGTTGTTTCCACTTTGGGCTACTATGATTAATACTGTAATGAACATTGATATATAGTTTTTTGTGTAGATACCCTCTTTCATTCCTTTTGGATATGTACCTAGGAGTAGAATTTTTGGTGGATTATATGGTAACTCTATGTTTAACTGTTTGAGGAACTGCCAAATTATCTTCCCAAGCAACTACTCTATTTTACGTTCCCACCAGCAGTATATGAGGATTCCAATGTCTCTACTTTCTTGGTAATATACTGTTATTATCTTTTTTATAATAGGGTATTTTTTTCTTCCTTCACATGCATTTTCTAGTTTTTCTATTAAGCATTAGTCATGTGTCTGAGGAAAAGGTCTTTAAACACATTTATTAGACAATTATGTGACTATATTGTTCTAAAAGCAATATAATTAAAGATTACAATATATGTGAACCTTAATCTTCAAATGAATAAATTTTATTCCTTATAGTATACTTCTGGGTCATTTTTACATCTTATAATATTAAAATTCTTTTTATGGATTTGCTGAGGGTTTTATTGTTTGTTTTCTTAAGAAGGTAAGGTAAAGAGGTTAAATTTAAGGTTTAAACTGAAAAACAGAACTTTTATATTTTAACAAAAAATACTTATTGAAATATGTTTAACCCATGTATTATCTCACTAAAATTTATGTTCCTGATTTTTCTAAATCTTCACCAAATTACTCTTTTTTTTTTGCCATGAACATAGTGCATGTTTTTATTTTAGACTTACAATGATAACCCAGACCCTTCATGTTCTTTAAAAATCTATAGATATGATAAATAATTATTGCATAATCAGCAGCTGTATCTTAAAGGAGAATGTTAATTTTCTATAATAAGAATAGAAAAAAAAAGAATAGAGCAACATCAAGCAAAATATTGAAAAAGAGTGATCCTTAATCTTACCACCTAATCACAAGTACTATTTTAAATTTTGTGTATCTTTACTGGTTTTCATGCCCTTGAAATACCTAAAATTTTCTAATGTTTAATTCCTTAGCATACTTTGCTTAAAGGCTCATATCATTACTCTTTCCTTAAGTAACCTCACTTTTAGCATGTAGATTTTTGGCAGGAAAAAAAGTACTGTTTTCAAGTGTCCAAATTTTTCCCTGATGTTCATAATGTGGATTCTTTTTTAACAGATGGAAAATGGTTGATCATTATGTTAGCCGTGTCCGTGGAAATCTCCAAATGTTAGAACAGCTGGACCTGATTGGGAAAACCAGTGAGATGGCTAGACTTTTTGGCATTCAGTTTTTACATGTACTGACAAGGGGTTCACAGGTGGGAAATCAGTTTTCTTGCAGACTTGAAAGTTCTGTATGAGTGATACACTTTTGTGATGTTTGAAGTGATTTGACTTTTTAAACTTTCTGTTTGGTACCAACTAATCAATAGCTGGGTAATTAAATCTTGTCATTTTATTCTCTTTCTATGCCAACTTTCCGGCCACTGCCAAGTTTTTTATGGTATTAAGAAAATAAATGTCCATGCCCTTAAGGATATAATATTCCTGAATATTGTTACTGTGATTAAAGATGTCCCTTAAAACTAGAGAAGCAACAAAGAAAGTACCTTTCTTTTGTTTTACATTTTTAATTTTGGCTTGTTAAAACTTCCCATAGATAATTTTAATATAAAAATAAAAAGCTTGAAAATCAATATAAGTGGACTATGTAACTTTTTTAAATGTTATAAAAAAAGAAACCTAAGAAGCCATTTAATTCATATCTAAGTAATTTCCCAAGGATATAATGAGAGATTTTTACTAAACGCCTTGCTGAAAATGATTTTATATATTCAACAAATATGTATTTGAATACCTGTAGTTTGTTAAGCACGGTGGTAGGCATCAGCGATACCATATTAAAACACTCAGATTCCTTAACGTTGTAAAATCCTTACTTATTTTAATTACCTGTGTCTATAACATAATCAACCAGTTCAGTAAATATAGCAAAAATAGAGTTCCAACTACGTTTGTTTTACCTGTTTATTTCATTTAATTGCTTATAAGCTATTTATTTTATTTATACCCATCAAATTTAACAACTGTTTGAGCTAGTCTGTAATAAAAGGCAAAAATACCTTAAAACCTCATGAGAATACTTCAGTGAACCCAGGCTGGTTCTTGTGAGTAATTTTTTTTCTAATACCCCAAGCCTTCTAATAGTTATTATTAGAAACAAACATACCAGTAATTGCTTGATTCAGTTTTGCTAGGGACCAGTAATAAGCTGATTACTATTCAGTTCTTTTTTTTTATTTTTTAATTATTTCCACAACAAAAGCCACATTCAATACTTTATAATTCTATAATCATTTTGTTTCTTTCTTTGAAAAACTGGGATAACATTTTCTATCTTAAGTCTCCTGACAGCTTTTTAATTCTCTAATTTTCCCAAATAAATTTCTCCAGGATTATCAACCAACTTCTTAAACGAAATTGTCAAACTATACAGCTGTCTGTCCTACAGTTTTTTATTATGGTGTAGCTGTATTTAAATACAAAGAGGGCCAGGTGCAGTGGCTCACACCTGTAATCCCAGCAGTTTAGGAGGCCAAGGCAGGGGATCACTTGAGGTCAGGAGTTCAAGACCACCTTGGCCAACATGATGAAACCCCATCTCTACTAAAAATACAAAAATTAGCTGGGCATGATGGCACAAGCCTGTTATCCCAGCTACTTGGGAGGCTGAGACAGGAGAATCACTTGAACCCTGGAGGTGGAGGTTGCAGTGAGCCGAGATTTTGCCATTGCACTCTAGCCTGGACAACAGAGCGAGACTTCATCTCAAAATAAATAAGTAAATAATAAAAATAAAAAGAGATCTAATTGCATCTGTCTTTTAAAATTGACTTATCTTTTAAGTTATTTGACATGTTTTATAGTTTTTATAAAAGTCGTAGGAATAGGAAAAGGATTTACATATATCCCTTTTCGCATCTGAAAGCTGACTAAATAACCAGTATTACAGGCTGGTCATAGTGGCTCACGCCTATAATCCCAGCACTTTGGGAGGCTGAGGTGGGCGGATCACCTGAGGTCAGGAGTTCGAGACCAGCCTGGCTAACATGGTGAAACCCTGTTTCTACTAAAAATACAAAAAATTAGCTGGACATGGTGGCGCATGCCTGTAATCCCAGCTACTCGGGAGGCTGAGGTAGGAGAATCGCTTGAACCTGGGAGGCGGAGGTTGCAGTGAGCCGCAATCGTGCCATCGTACTCCAGCTTGGGCAACAAGAGCGAAACACTGTCTCAAAAAAAAAAAAAAGTCATACAATCTTATTCTGAAAAGCAGATTATCCTCAAATGATTATATATTCAAATGACCAATATATTTAACTGTGTTTCTTCTCTTCTCACCTCCCTTTCTCCCTGCAGTACCGTGTGGAATCAATGATGTTGCGTATTGCTAAACCAATGAACTATATTCCTGTGACACCTAGTGTTCAGCAAAGATCCCAGATGAGAGCCCCACAGTGTGTTCCTCTAATTATGGAGCCTGAATCCCGCTTCTATAGCAACTCTGTTCTCGTTTTGGATTTCCAATCACTTTATCCTTCTATTGTGATTGCATATAACTACTGCTTTTCCACCTGCCTTGGCCATGTGGAGAACTTGGGAAAGTAAGGTTTTTTTCACATTTACAATAATATTGTTGTGCTTTGTACTTCTTACTAAAATTAGACACTTTCTGAGTGTCTCTTTGCTCTGGACACCTTCCCTATGAGCAAGATAAATGGACTGTATCCCAGCTAATCCATTCATTATAGTTGTCTTACCAATTGACATGGATCACCATATGATTAATCCAGCTTCATGGATGGATGACTCATGAAGAGGATTGGGAATAGGTCAGCCTTGCAACTGTTTCACTCCATATGTAACTATAGTCTCTTTTAAAATGAAAGTTAAATTGTTGATGTAAATTACCTTTCAGTGGAACAGTTTGAGGATTATGATCTTATAACTTCAACTAGACCTCCTCTTTATTTTTCTTATAAATAGTCCAGGATTTTAAAAATTAAATGTTAGGTTTTATTAATTAATGTAAATTAAATTTTATAAACTGATAATAACATTTTAAATTCTCAAAGGATTAGATACTTTTCTTAAATTGTAGGAAATAACGGAGTCTTCCTTTTTATTGATTTTTGCGTATTTGAGATCATGTGTTGGTTTTAGTATATCCTATATTCCTTCATAGAAAGCATCTGTGGAAATTATATTGGTAATCCTGTCTTTTTATTAAAAACAGGAATTTGGAAAATTTACAAGATTTACAGTATTTCTATTTAAGGTTTAAATTATTCTTTAAATATATTCACAAGGATGTTAAAATAAATTTTTATTTAAGTAATTTAGTATAAGATGATTGGGCTGGACGTGGTGGCTCACACCTGTAATCCCAGCACTTTGGGAGGCCAAGGCGGGCAGATCATGAGGTTAGGAGATCGAGACCATCCTGGCTAACATGAGGAAACCCTGTCTCTACTAAAAATGCAAAAAATTAGCCGGGTATGGTGGCAGGCACCTGTAGTCCCAGCTACTCGGGAGGCTGAGGCAGGAGAATGGCATGAACCCGGGAGGCGGAGCTTGCAGTGAGCCGAGATCGCGCCACTGCACTCCAGCCTGGGTGACAGAGCGAGACTCCATCTCAAAAAATAATAATAATAAAATAAATAAGATGATCAGATGTTGAGTTGAAATTTGGTATTTCAGTATAGATTTTACCCATAAATTTTAGGATAGTGCCATTTAAGAAATGTTTCTTGTAATAAATTATGAATATTTGAAAAACTATTTTGGTAATGAGGCAAATAAACATATTACTAAGTACATGAATTCTTGTTTAGATGTTTGAAAATGAATTTCTAATGGAGTTAGAAAGATTTTTTAAATTGCGTAAAATCTCTGTTCTATGATTTGAGGAAGTATTTGCTTAATGTTCTCTTTCTTAACAGGTATGATGAGTTCAAATTTGGCTGTACCTCTCTGAGAGTACCTCCAGATTTACTTTACCAAGTTAGGCATGATATCACAGTGTCCCCCAATGGAGTAGCTTTTGTCAAGGTAATACTCTCTTGTAAATGAAAGATAACAACTATGGCTTAACTTTTGGAGAGCTGATAATGGTTTAGATATTGTTGGCACATAATAGAAAACAAAAACACCGAGTTTGCTTGAATATTTTATCTCAAAAAGTCAAAGATATGAGAATCTTCTAAGAAATCACTTCAGGAACAAACCAGTCACCTTGTTTTTCTTGAATTTAGGTTTTAAATCTTTAAATTGTTAAATTTTAGTTAACGAAATATTGAAAGAAATAAACGTATGCTTATACTTTCTGCCCTTTATTAGAATCAGGCAGACTTAAATGGCAACTTAATGGTCAAAATATATTACCTACAAAGATTTAAATTGTTTTAATGTGTAGATGCTACTAGTTGTTCTTCTACATTATTTTAAATTAAGACTATCTTAGAATTAATGATACTCTAATAGGCTTATTGTTTATATTTTTCAGAAGATATCCAAACTAAAAATAGGGTCCCTTTTTTCTCTCCTGTATCTCCCCTCAAAAGAGACAGAGGAAAACTTTACAAATTAAAGACAAATAAGAGACATCTTAAAAGAAGATTATATTGCCTCTTAAATGCCAACTTTATTCCTTTCTTTTCTATTTTCTTAGCAGTGAGTCTGTACTAGAATCATGAGACAGTAGAGTGGTTGATGGTAGAGTGGACCCCACCAGCCCTCAAATTCATTCTGGTGTACTATATCAAAAGTGGCATCATTCTCTACCAGTAAGAGGGAATACTAAACTAAAATTAGCCATGTAGATGAAGAAAATTTTAACCAAAGAGTTCATGGTATGTTTCTTTTTGGAAAATTTTAAAATGTAGTATTTCTAAGGACTGATGTAGATGAGATCTACTTGGAGAAATGGAAACAGATTTTTTTTTATTAAATGGGTCTCTATATAAAAATCAGTTTTCCAGTCACATTTCTGCGAATTTGGTCCCTGTTCTTTTTATCTTATGTCTTAAAACATTATGGCTGCTTCAAAATGTACACCAAATGAATTAGAGGTTAGAATATGTTCCATTGTCGCATATCTAGCAGCTTATTATCTCCCTTTAACAGCTTTTTTTTAAACTTGCATCTACTTTTGGACCCAGTGTGTAAAGCTTAATGAAAATAAGATTTTTTAAATATTCAGGTGTGTGAATATCCTATACCTGAGATTTTAATTGTTAGGTCTGACATGCATTACCTTGCACGTGTCTGTGAATCATCATCAAAGTTAATACTGTTTTGTGGTTTTCATTCCTACTGGAGTTCTCATAAATTCTCCCTAGTCTTGATGAATACAAATGATTTTTTTTTTGGCATCAACAAATTTTATCACCTCACTATTCATCCCCTCTTCCAGATTGCTAATAAATGTAGGCCGGAGGGGATGGCTTAGTGGTCTAAGCATCAGATTTGAAATACCTAGAGTCCCTGGAACTGCAGGTTTGAATGTCAGCAGAGTCAACCCAGCTCATCATTCTTCCAAGGTAGATAAATGGAGTTCCATGCAGATTTCTGTGTGGGGTCATTAGGATGAGATCTTTAAAAACTGAGTTGGTTATGAGTGATACAAGTCCCATGTGTCATTTTGAAAGAATGGGGGTTTCTGTCAAAGTTTCGAACAAAATTTCCCTCTGAAGTTGTTGTATGGTCACTTATGCACTAGTTGACATCCTCCTCCCTGGAGGTCTCTGAACTCACATAGAAGTGCTCTGTTAGATTTATAAACATTGCAGGAACCATTTAGGAGAAATCCTCTTCCAAGAAATAAAATGTGATGATTTTATATTGACGGCCACTAATACTATGGTCACTCTGTTGTTAGCATGTTTCAATTCCTGACAGTTGGCCATTATTATGTTTTATGCTTCCTTCTTAATTATGTAAATCTATAATGTTTGAGGGGTTTTAAACATTTTTTTTCTTTATGATAGCCTTCAGTAAGAAAAGGTGTACTACCAAGAATGCTTGAAGAAATTTTGAAGACTAGATTTATGGTGAAGCAGTCAATGAAGGCTTACAAGCAAGACAGAGCCCTGTCACGAATGCTTGATGCGCGTCAGTTGGGACTTAAGCTGATAGCAAATGTCACATTTGGCTATACATCTGCTAATTTTTCTGGGAGAATGCCATGCATTGAGGTAAGTGATACAAATCTGTAGTTTTTTCAAAAGAGACTAAAATACAGTGAGGCACGGTGGCACTCACCTGTATTCCCAGTTACTTTGGAAGCTAAGATGTGGTGCGGGGGTCTTCAGCCCAGAGTTGAATCCTGCCTGGACAACATAGTGAGACCTCATCTCTTTTTTAAAAGAAAAAAAAAAAAAAAAGGCCAGGCATGGTGGCTCACGCCTGTAATCCCAACACTTTGGGAGGCCAAGGCAGGCGGATCACATGAGGTCAGGAGTCGCGACCAGCGTGGTCAACAGGGTGAAACCCCATCTCTACTAAAAACACAAAAATAAGCTAGGTGTGGTGGTGGGCACCTGTAATCCCAGTTACTCAAGAGGCCGAGGCAGGATAATTGCTTGAACCCAGGAGGCAGAGGTTGCAGTGAGCCAAGATCGCGCCATTGCACTCCAGCCTGGGCGACAGAATGAGACTTGGTCTCAAAAAAGTGGCTCACACCTGTAACCCCAACACTTTGGGAGGCCAAGGCATGTGGATTACTTGAGCTCAGGAGTTTGAGACCAGCCTGGGCAACATGGTGAAATCCCATCTCTAACCAAAAATGCAAAAACTAGCCGGGCATAGTGTTATGTGCCTGTGGTCCCAGTTACTTGGGAAGCTGAGATGGGAGGATCACTAGAGCCCAGGAAGTCAAGGTTGCAGTGAGCCATGATTGCACCACTGCATTCCACCCTGGGTAACAGAACGAGACCCTGTCTCAAAAAAAAGAGACTAAAGCAGCATTAAATGAATGCCTGTTCATTCAAGCATTTCATTTTGTTTTAAAACTTTAAACCATTTCATTTCTATGACATAACATCAGTTTTTCTCATGCCAAGCCTAAATATATATATATTCTTGGGGATCTGTGACTTTTCTCTATAAGATACCTCTGTGTCTTTATTCCAATGATAATTTTAGAAATTAGCATACACCTATTTCTGCATGATCTTCATAACTATACTGTAACTTTCTATTAGCATAAAATTTCAGTGCCACCTTTGTAGCAGTTTTTACAACAGCCTTGGTACTGCATAATTCATTTTATGTATTGACAAGAGATCTGATTATAGTTATGTTGGCTTGTCCAAATGTCACAATTAGCCAGGTGTGGTGTCTCACACTTGTGATCCCAACTCAGGAGGCTGAGGTGGGAGGATTGCTTGAGCCCAAGAGTTCAAGACTAGCCTAAGCAACATAGTGAGCCCTTGCCTCTATTAATACACAAAATTAAAAACTAAAAAAATTTTTTAAGTCAGAATAAACAACAGTCATTCCATATTTACTAGTATACCAGTAGATATAAAGCACAACCTTTTTTGCAATGATAGTGACAGTTGAAAGACATTTTTCATAGAATGACTTAATTTCATATTTACTAAGTTAAGGTGTTTATTTGATACAAATACAATATAGTGTGACAGGGTAATATAAATAATATACTAGTGAGTGAGAAAAGAACAGAGTAACTTGTTATATTGTGATCTTTTCATGCCAAATGAAGGTCAGAGAACATTGTGGTATATCATATTTGCATTAGTTCAGTAAGAGAAAAGCAGGGAAAGCATAAAGTCTTCACACAGCTCACAGTAGGCAAAATGAACTCCAAAAACATGAGCAAGGCAGTAGTGGCATATTCACATTGAAAGCAGCAAAATACCATCTATAGTGGAAACTTAATATTGTTAACTTGAATATTTTGGTACAGTAATATGATTTTGTGCTGGATAAATTTTTTTATAGTTGCACTGTAAAGGCTGTAAGCAATAAAAGTTTGTATCTAGGTTTATATTTGTATACTTTTAGGTAAGATAAAAAATACTTTGTCAGTCCTGGGGGTTCATATTAATACATTTGAAAACCACTGATCTATATGATCTAGCAGGAAAAAAAAAATGGAAATGATATTACTAATGTAAAACCAAAAGCTATCCTTTTTTTTTTTTTTTTGAAACAGCGTCTTGCTTTATCACCCAGGCTAGAGTGCAGTGGCTTAACCACGGCTCACTGCAGCCTCGACCTCCCAGGCTCAAGCAATCCTCCCACCTCTGCCTCCAAGTAGCTGGGACTACAGGTGCTTACCTCTATGCCCAGTTAAGTTTTCTATTTTTTGTAGAGATGGGGTTTCGCCCTGCTGCCCAGGCTGGTCTTGAATTCCTGGGCTCAAGTGATTCTCCTGCCTTGGCAGGGATTACAGGTGTGAGCGACCATGCTTGTCCCAAATCCTTTCTTAGGGGCCATTTCCACATTTCCCTAATTTCTTCCCTGCCTCTCGGTTTTAAAAGTGTTTATTAATGTATTTTAGTAATAATGCAGAAATTATACTATTTTTAAAATATGTAAATACTGTAACTTTAGAATAACCAGAATTTGGTAGGATTTTTGAACTAGCAGTGGAAGTTTAGGAATAGGGTTTCACCAGGGAGTACGTTGCTGCTTTGCACGGTGAACTCAGACTGCCAAGCAGTACCTGCTTCCTTGACCCTGGTCTTCTCAGCTATCCTCAGATTAATGACTGCAAGCATGCATTTGACCCCTCATCATATGCTAACTTCGCAACAGTACAATGTTAACTTCTAGGTGAAATCATGAGTGGAAAAAGCAGCTAACATCACAGAAAGAGCCTCTCATGAATAAGTGAAAAGTTAGCACCAATAGAGTAAAAATGGAAGATATCAGCCACTTTTTTTTTTTTTAAAGGGCAGATGGCTTCATTCTTTTTTATGGCTGTATGATATTCCATTGTACACATAATATGGCATTTCCTTTATCCATTCACTCGTTGATGGACACTTAGGTTGTTTCCATATCTTGGCTATTGTGAATAGTGCTACAATAAATATGGGAGTGCAGATATCAATTCAATGTACCGATTTCCATTTTTTTTTTTGGGGGGGGTATATACCCAGCAGTGGGATATCTGGATCATATGGCAGTTCTATTTTTAGATTTTTGCAGCATCCTATATTGTTCTACATAGTGGCTCTACTAATTTACATTCCCACTACAGTGGGTTCCCCTTTCTCCACATCCTTGCCAGCATTCATTATTGCCTGTTTTTTGGATAAAAGCCATTTTAGCTGGGGTGAGAAGATATCTCATTATAATTTTGATTTGCATTTCTCTAATTAGTAATGTTAGTCATTTGTATGTCATCTTTTGAGAAATGTCTATTCAGACCTTTTGTGCATTTTTAATCGAATTATTTGTTTTTTTCCTACTGAGTTGTTTGAGTTCCTTACATATTCTGGTTATTAATCCCATGTTAGATGGGTAGTTTGCAAATAATTTCTCCCATTCTATGGGTTGTCTCTTCACTTTGTTGATTATTTCCTTTACTGTGCAGAAGCTTTTTAGCTTTATGTGATCCCATTTGTCCAGTAATCAGCCCTAAAAAAGAATAAAATCCCGTCATTTGCAAAACATGGATGGAACTGAAGGACATTATGCTAAGTGAAATAAGCCAGACAGAGAAAGACAAATATCACACATTCTCACTCTTATGGAAACTAAAAAAAATAAAGGAACTCATGGAGATAGAGAGTAGAATGATGGTTGCCAGAGGCAATGAGGTGGGGAGGGAGGGAGATAAAGTAGAAATGATTAATGAGTACAAAAATACAATTAGAATGAATAAAATATAGTATTTAGTAGCACAGTAACTATAGTGAACAGCAACTTATTGTATATTTTTAAATAACTAAAAGAATGGAATTGAAATGTCTAACACAAATAAATGATAAATGCTTGAGGTGATGGATATCCCAGTTACCCTGATTTGATCATTACACATTGTCTGCCTGTGTACATCATATGTACCGCATATACGTATATATACAACAGTTATGTATCCAGAATAATTAAAAGCTTTTAAAAGCGGGAGGCAAATGGATTACTGACTGTGGTCTCCTGCTTTCCTTCAGAGAACACACAATCAAAAAAGTACTAGATCTGGACTATCATAGAGAAAGATGAGACTTTGTAAGCATATAAGGAGAATATGGAGAATAAATAAATGTAGCTAATAGTTGTAGGTTAATGTCTCTGTCTCAGTACCATCATAGAGAAAGACAAGACTTGGTAAGCAAAAATTCCTATGAAGAGAATATGGAGAATAAAGTAGCTAATAGTGGAGGTTAATGTCTCTGTCTCAGTTGGACTTACTTCATAAATTAAAATTTTTATATGTTGACAGTTTTCTACTAAATTATTGGTCATTCATATTTATGATAAAGGTATATTTGTGCCTTTTAAAAAATTGTCTGAACTTTATTTCTTCCTTTTTATGTCTTTTCAGGGAATTAATTTTTACTTAAAACATTTGTTTTTATTAAGACTTTTGAGGCCAGGTGCAGTGGCTCACGCCTGTAATCCCAGCACTTTGGGAGGCCAAGGCGGGTGGATCACGAGGTCAGGAGACCAAGACCATCCTGGCTAATGCGGTGAAACCCCGTCTTTACTAAAAATACAAAAAATTAGCCGGGCGTAGTGGCGGGTGCCTGTAGTCCCAGCTACTTGGGAGGCTGAGGCAGGAGAATGGCGTGAACCCGGGAGGTAGAGGTTGCAGTGAGCCGAGATTGCGCCACTGTACTCCAGCCTGGGCGACAGAGTGAGACTCCATCTCAAAAAAAAAAAAAGACTTTTGAGCATCCCCAATCATGGCCTAAATTGTGAAACCATTTCTTTTCCTCTTTTAAATCCTCTCTTAGCCCTTTAATGAAGTAATGCTTTTCAGGTTAGGAACCTTGGCACAAAGTAGCAGAATCTGTTAATTTAATTACTTCTCCTTCCCTCTTCCGCCTCCCCCTCACTCTAGTGCTGCTGAATTCTTCTTATTATGTGGTCTTCAGGGGTAACTGCAGAGTTCTGACTCTTTGGGGTATAACTTAAATGCGCCAGAGTAAGAGCATTAGGCAGACATTTAAGACCACTATGTATATGTTCGAGTATATACTTGTAAGTATACATCTCAGAAGTATATTTGACTTTGACACTAAAATGGCTTGCTTATGCAGCTCTTTTTCCTCACATATTTAAAAGTTGACCTTGTTTGAAAGTGGCAGTAGGTAACAGAACATTTTATTCAATTTGAGTTTCCATTAGATAACATGATTTTTGTAATGTATTAAGTTACAGTTTACATTCTCAAGATTTTCTGATGTACTAGAGGTCTCAGCAGAATTCATAATCTTAATTTAAAACCTAAGGCCAGGCATGGTGGCTTACACCTGTAATTACAACACTTTGGGAGGCTGAGGCGGGTGGATCATTTGAGGCCAGGAGTTCCAGACCAGCCTGGCCATCATGGCAAAACCCTGTCTACTAAAAATACGAAAAATAGCTGGGCATGGTGGCACACTCCTGTAATCCCAGCTATTCGGGAGACTGAAGCACGAGAATTGCTTGAACCCAGGAGGCAGAGGTTGCAGTGAGCCAAGCTCACACCACTGCACTCCAGCCTGGGTGACAGAACGAGACTCTGTCTCAAAATAAGTAAATAAATCAGAATAAATAAATAAATAAATCCCAACTCGTTTCTACTACTAGTTTTATTATTTATTCCTTTGTTCATGTACTTAATATGTCCTTTGTAATGCAATTTTAAATAGCCTTTTAAATACTATTCAATCCTATATTTAGTAATTCAAATTTTACAGTAAAGGGAGAAGGATGATTATTGCTATTGTTTGCTTCTTAACAAAAAAAAATGTGCAGTTTGCGTTTTAAAATTGCAAAAGGAATGCTCCATTTATGTTTTATGTTGAATGGCAATTTTTCCCACTCTTAGCTTTAATGAGTTTAATAAATAAAACAGCATTGTTATATAGTCTCCTTAATTTACTTAACTGTAAAATCTCATTAGCATGCTTCTCATATTTGTCAAGGCCCAGCATCTTTTTGTTTTGTAAACTCATGCTGTGGTCACTGTTAAAATTCACTAATCACCAATGAGTAAAACCTTCCTAGATATATATCTACCTATTTAATTTAAATTGAACAGTTTTAATATATTTCCCATCATATAATTAGATACATTTTTCTTTGTATAACTAGTGACAAGATTGAAGTTCAGCATTAACTTTAATGATATTGAAAGACATTATCATCAACACTTCAACAGAAAAATTTTGAGAGATACACGTACATATACTCATGCACCCACAAAGAGTGCTTTTCTGCCTGATGAGTTGTAAGGGCACATAAGAAAGTTGAATAGGTCGGGCACGGTGGCTCACGCCTATAATCCCAGTACTTTGGGAGGCCGAGGTGGGTGGATCACGAAATCAGGAGTTCAAGACTAGCCTGGCCAATATGGTGAAACCCCATCTCTACTAAAAAATACAAAAATTCTCTGGGTGTGGTGGCGTGCGCCTATAGTCCCAGCTACTCAGGAGGCTGAGGCAGGAGAATCGCTTGAACCCAGGAGGCAGAGGTTGCAGTGAGCCAAGATTGTGCCACTGCACTCTAGCCTGGGTGACAGAGTGAGACTCCTCAAAAAAAAAAAAAAAGTTCTTGAATAAAGAAGGATTATTCTTCCAAGAATCCAACGTAGCTGAGTACCTTGTAACAAGTGCAGTCCACTTACTGTTATACTCAAAGACAAGTTTGTATATTGATTGGTTCTTTCAAATTCTTCACCTCAGTTTCTTCTTGAGTACTTGTAGAAAGAATGATGATACTGATGGCTATTTTGATTTCTTTTTTACGTTCTTTTCTCGTTTCATTTCTGGAAATATTTAGTAATTAAATGTATTATATGTTAAAGTCTGTTAACTTATACTGAGCTATGTTAAGAAATTATTTCCAATGTGTTTGTACCAACAGGTTGGCGATAGTATTGTTCACAAAGCCAGAGAGACCTTGGAACGAGCTATTAAACTGGTGAATGATACCAAGAAATGGGGGGCTAGGGTTGTATATGGCGATACTGACAGGTAATGGGTTTTTGGTTTTGTAGTTGTCTTTTGCATCTCTCTAGATCTTCATTTCAGTGTTTAAAATGGCTTAAGGGAATCTTTTCTAAAAACAGAGTTCTGTCTGAGTCCTTTCCAGTCCTTACGATCTCATGATCAGAGTTAACACAGATCCTGATTTACCAGATAGGATCGTAAGAGACAGTTTGTGTCCTGAGCCACAAACTGAAGATACCTATGGCTTCCCTCCAGGTAGCTCTAAGCCAAGTAGATAGTGATCTGTAAACTAACTGTGTACACAGGAGTCTAGTTTATTTAAAGAAACTACTTTTAATGTGAATAATTCCTCTAATATAGCTGTAACTCTCTGAATTTAAGTGTATATCTTAAAATAAACTGTTTTTGAAGGACAATTGCCAGAACTGTGAATGGTTAACTTACCACTCGGCCCCAGAATATGTTGACCTTCTAAGAGAAGTGCATATAGGCAAATACAGTTTTCCATTTGATTCCAGAGGGTCCACAGACTTCCTCAAGCCTATTATTTATGGATTGGCAAATAATGTGCCTGCATTTGAAGGCACGTTATTAATAATGTAAGTTATTAACACCAGCTTGCATGCTTCCTGCTTGCTGTGATATTTTTCAGGTTTCAGTTATTTATGTAACATCTTTTTTGCATGGCTTATTGAAATTCTTCTAGAATGTAGGCACTATTCAAATTTCTTACAGTGAAATTTTTTCCATATTGGGGACGTAGAGTCACAGTGTGATCATGCTAAGAGCACTTGCTTCAAGACCTCTGATCTCTTTACAGTCCAACAGAGCAATAGGAGATAATGCTTCTGATCATTAAATAGCTTATAAGTAATCTTTGAACAGCATTTAATCTTATCCAGTTCTTTAAAATGTTCATACAGACAGCATAATCATATTAATGCTGAATGAGACCTTGCCTTATAGAGCAGCTGTTTCATTACCAGCCGGTGGGGATAGTTTCAAATTATCCAGGCCCTAATTATCCATATTCTCTCCTGTTGCTCATCAAAAGCCACTTCTTAGTTTGGCTTTGGTTATTTTATTGTTCTATGAAACTACTTCTGCTGGGTATTCCAGCAAAATAAGAGTTACTAAAATAAGTTCTCCACTTGTTAGCAGAACTCCTTAAAAAATATTTAGGGAAAAATGTTAATCCTTTAACTTACTGATTTTAATTCAGGGGCTATCCATGTTGTTGACAACACCCAGAAGTCAGCATGATTCTGATTGTAGTTATATTATTTACCCTTTAAGATCTGTAAGAAGTCAAGCTACAAAAAATAATAGACTCACAGAATGTCAGAGCCGGAAGGGATTTTGATATTATTTAGGCCAGCAGTTTTCATACTTGGGGAGAGCTTAGAATGTGCCTCAAGTGATGCTTATTAAGAACAAATTTCCCTAGGATAAGAAATTTAAGATCTTGCAACTAGTCAGTAAAGAGCCATAAATTGATATTCAGTGTTTTGATTCCTAGCTGATGCTTTCTC
Source organism: Homo sapiens (assembly GCF_000001405.40). Lineage (NCBI taxonomy): Eukaryota > Metazoa > Chordata > Mammalia > Primates > Hominidae > Homo > Homo sapiens. Next base: position 111,321,060 of record NC_000006.12, on the reverse strand, counting down.
TCTACATCAGATTTTATAGTTATTATATGATTCCAGTCAAAGGAAATTTACTTGCAATGTCATTAAAACTTTTGATCACCATTCACTACCTGATACATTCAACAAACATTGGCCAGGCGTGCTGCCTCATACTTGAAATCCTAGCACTTTGGGAGGCCAAGGCAGGTGGATTGCTTGAGCCCAGAAGTTTTAAGACCAGCTTGGGCAACAAAGTGCAACCCTGTCTCTACAAAAAATTTAAAAATTAGCCGGACATGGTGGTGTGCACCT